>NC_000004.12:70171381-71421381 GCF_000001405.40 Homo sapiens | reverse complement strand
TTAATGTGTGGGAGTCTCAGTCTCTTTGTAGGTCACTCAGGACTTGCTTTATGAATCTGGGTGCTCCTGTATTGGGTGCATATATATTTAGGATAGTTAGCTCTTCTTGTTGAATTAATCTCTTTAACATTATGTAATGGCCTTCTTTGTCTCTTTTGATCTTTGTTGGTTTAAAGTCTGTTTTATCAGAGACTAGGATTGAAACCCCTACCTTTTTTTGTTTTCCATTTGCTTGGTAGATCTTCCTCCATCCTTTTATTTTGAGCCTATGTGTGTCTCTGCACGTGAGATGGGTTTCCTGAATACAGCACACTGATGGGTCTTGACTCTTTATCCAATTTGCCAGTCTGTGTCTTTTAATTGGAGCATTTAGTCCATTTACATTTAAAGTTAATATTGTTATGTGTGAATTGGATCCTGTCATTATGATGTTAGCTGGTTATTTTGCTCGTTAGTTGATGCAGTTTCTTCCTAGTCTCAATGGTCTTTACATTTTGGCATGATTTTGCAGCGGCTGGTACCGGTTGTTCCTTTCCATGTTTAGTGCTTCCTTCAGGAGCTCTTTTAGGGCAGGCCTGGTGGTGACAAAATCTCTCAGCATTTGCTTGTCTGTAAAGTATTTTATTTCTCCTTCACTTATGAAGCTTAGTTTGGCTGGATATGAAATTCTGGGTTGAAAATTCTTTTCTTTAAGAATGTTGAATATTGGCCCCCACTCTCTTCTGGCTTGTAGGGTTTCTGATGAGAGATCCGCTGTTAGTCTGATGGGCTTCCCTTTGTGAGTAACCCGACCTTTCTCTCTGGCTGCCCTTAACATTTTTCCTTCATTTCAACTTTGGTGAATCTGACAATTATGTGTCTTGGAGTTGCTCTTCTCGAGGAGTATCTTTGTGGCGTTCTCTGTATTTCCTGAATCTGAATGTTGGCCTGCCTTGCTAGATTGGGGAAGTTCTCCTGGATAATATCCTGCAGAGTGTTTTCCAACTTGGTTCCATTCTCCCCATCACTTTCAGGTACACCAATCAGAGATAGATTTGGTCTTTTCACATAGTCCCATATTTCTTGGAGGCTTTGTTCGTTTCTTTTTATTCTTTTTTCTCTAAATTTCCCTTCTTGCTTCATTTCATTCATTTCATCTTCCATCACTGATACCCTTTCTTCCAGTTGATTGCATTGGCTCCTGAGGCTTCTGCATTCTTCACGTAGTTCTGGAGCCTTGGCTTTCAGCTCCATCAGCTCCTTTAAGTACTTCTCTGTATTGGTTATTCTAGTTATACATTCGTCTAAATTTGTTTCAAAGTTTTTAACTTCTTTGCCTTTGGTTTGAATTTCCTCCGGTAGCTCGTTGTTTGATCGTCTGAAGCCTTCTTCTCTCAACTCGTCAAAGTCATTCTCCGTCCAGCTTTGTTCCACTGCTGGTGAGGAACTGCTTTCCTTTGGAGGAGGAGAGGTGCTCTGCTTTTTAGAGTTCTAGTTTTTCTGCTCTGTTTTTCCCCCATCTTTGTGGTTTTATCTACTTTTGGTCTTTGATGATGGTGAGGAGCCAAGATGGCCGAATAGGAACAGCTCCGGTCTACAGCTCCCAGCATGAGTGACGCAGAAGACGGGTGATTTCTGCATTTCCATCTGAGGTACCGGGTTCATCTCACTAGGGAGTGCCAGATAGTGGGTGCAGGTCAGTAGGTGCAGCGCACCGTGCACGAGCCGAAGGAGGGCAAGGCATTGCCTCACTCGGGAAGCACAAGGGGTCAGCGAGTTCCCTTTCCTAGTCAAAGAAAGGAGTGACAGACAGCACCTGGAAAATCGGGTCACTCCCACTCAAATACTGCACTTTTCCGACAGGCTTAAAAAACGGGGCACCAGGAGATTATATCCCGCACCTGGCTCGGAGGGTCCTACGCCCACGGAGTCTCGCTGATTGCTAGCACAGCAGTCTGAGATCAAACTGCAAGGCGGCAGTGAGGCTGGGGGAGGGGCGCCTGCCATTGTCCAGGCTTGCTTAGGTAAACAAAGCAGCAGGGAAGCTCCAACTGGGTGGAGCCCACCACAGCTCAAGGAGGCCTGCCTGCCTCTGTAGGCTCCACCTCTGGGGGCAGGGCACAGACAAACAAAAGGACAGCAGTAACCTCTGCAGACTTAAATGTCCCTGTCTGACAGCTTTGAAGAGAGCAGTGGTTCTCCCAGCACGCAGCTGGAGATCTGAGAACGGGCAGACTGCCTCCTCAAGTGTGTCCCTGACCCCTGACCCCTGAGCAGCCTAACTGGGAGGCACCCCCCAGTAGGGGCAGACTGACACTTCACACGGCCGGGTACTCCTCTGAGACAAAACTTCCAGAGGAATGATCAGACAGCTGCATTCGCGGTTCATGAAAAACTGCTGTTCTGCAAACACCGCTGCGGATACCCAGGCAAACAGGGTCTGGAGTGGACCTCTAGCAAACTCCAACAGACCTGCAGCTGAGTGTCCTGTCTGTTAGAAGGAAAACTAACAAAGAGAAAGGACATCCACACCAAAAACCCGTCTGTACATCACCATCATCAAAGACCAAAAGTAGATATTACCTTTTATTCTAAGACTACATAGGAAAAAGTACCTTTAAATTTTTCTGTTAAATAAGGATATTATTTAAGTGTTGGTTAGGCTAATTTATGGGATAGGACTCTTTTGGTGTCATAAAAGAAAACCCCTGGGATAATTACTAGAAACATATTTTTGTTTTGTTGTTAATGGAAATGCTGATTGCCCTTCAGGCTATCTTAAAGGTGTGATTTAGAAGAATATTTCCAATGACTAAATTTACATACCGTTGGCCTAATATCTAAGAGGCCTAAAAAGAGCTATTGCTTGATAGCCCATAGAATCCAAAATTTAGACAATCACTTTTAATGTTTTCGGAACTTAATAGTTATGATGCAGAGATTTCCAGTGTGTATGAAATATGAAAGAATACAGACAAAATCATTAAATAAGACAAGTTGCCAAAAGGCTCTGGTGACATGTTTTTACTTTTTGAATACTCTTCTACTTGTGTTTACTCCATTTCCAAAAAACACTACTTCAAAATGAAAACAATGCTGAGGGTAAAAATTTGATTTTCTAATTTTTCCTTCCAAATATATCTCACCACGATTAATGCAAATGATTCTGCAAAGCAGCACATTTACAAATGGCTATTAAACTAAATATAACATTAAGTACAATCCATTAGTTCTGATTTCCTAAACAGGATGAAATTTCAAGTACTGCCCCAGTTTAAAAATCAACTTGTTAAAATCTCCAAGTCACATTTTCTTAATGTCTCACATTATTTTTTTAAAAAAATTGTCAATACGCATATAGCTACTTACAGTTTTTAAAACACTTTCATATGTACTATGTTACTGGAATTCTTACAGCAAGCTTGTAAGAAATGTATTATTACATCATTTTACAGATGAGGGAAATTAAGTCTCAAAAGCGTAAAGGTCTTCACCAAACTCATACAGCTAAGGCCAGGCCATGAGTTGAATATTCACTTCACTATACGGTGAAACCATTACATGTCTGAGGAATAGATTTTACTACCTAAAGTTTAGAAGCTATTTTCCTGAAATACCAGAGCCTTTTATACAGCAAAACAGTGTTAATTAAGTATCTACAATGGTTTTGGTTCTGTAAAGATACCTTTAAAATTTTTAATGAGCATATTTTAAAGTATTTAATAGTATTTAACTGCATAAAATAAAGTGGGACAGAGACAAGGAAAGGAGAAGACCAAATAAAGACAACAGCACTTTAAAAAAGATTTAAAGAAAAACAAGAACTGCAGGTTCTAGGTGCTAGCTAAGTTAGGTATTTTTTCTTTTATAATAAGTTATTTTCCTCTTTCACTGTTGTGCCATGAACTCCACTGTATATAAATACAGGTCACTTGCTCCATGCCTGAAGGAAGTAGACTTGAAATACTCATTCATCTATCTCAGAGGGAAAGTCCCAAAATTCCACTTATGCCTCTGAACTCTAGCCAGGCCTTTGGAAAGACTAACTCCCCTGACTACCCCCCACCTTCCCTGACTTTCCCTAGCCTTACCTCTGAAATTGTGCTTATCACCAGGCATTCATTGATTGACTTGGCTGTGACTCTTATCAGACTACAAGTACTTTAAAGACAGGTCTAAAGTACCCTAAGAAAAGAAACCATGTATCATTCAACTTTGTTTCCTCAGTACCTTACAAAGCCAAGGCCTTGCAATAAGCATTCCATAAATGTTTGTTAAACACATGAAGTCCATGTGTTCACACCTGTGTTGTGGCATCTTTACACCCATGCATAGAAACAAGCAGGGACACTGATAGCTCCACTAACGGTGCTCCATCTCGTGGTAGTCGACTTCAGAAAGGTCGCTAGTAAGAAGCAAAGGGCCTTTACGAGTTCCAAAACTTATGACCACAGGTCCCTACCATTCATTGTTTAAAAAAATTCCCTGCTGAAGTGGCTAAAAGTCCTACCCTTGTCCGGGATTTCTCAGTGAGATTTTGAAAAAGAGTCTTTCTTTGGGAGAACAGCTGTACACTGAATTCCTTCCAGATTTAAGATTTTGAATCTCATATTGGTAAGACTGAATTCTAAAGGCACCATTGTTACCAACAGGCACAAAGAGCTTCAATAATAATTCTAAAATTACTAGTAATAATAATAATAATAATAATTTAAAATGTTTTAAATCAATCATCTCTGGCCAGGCACTGGACCAAAAACTTCGTATGCATCATCTTATTAAATTCTCACCACATTTCTATAAGTAAGTTATTATTGTGGTCTCCATTTGCCCAATAAGAAATTGAGATTTAGAAATTCCCCCTTATCTAAGGTTTTGCTTCTGCAGTTTCAGTTACTTATGGTCAAGCAGGGTCTGAAAATAAGTGAACTCAGTACAATAAGATGTTTTGTGAGAGAGCAAGAGTAGGAGCACATTCACATAACTTTTATTATACAATATTGTCGTAATTGTTTTATTAGTAATTATTGTTGTCAATCTCTTACTGTTCCTGATTTGTAAACTAAACTTTTATCACAGTATATGAAAAATCACAGTATATGTAAGGTTTGGTACTGTCCACAGTTTTAGACATCCACTGGGGGTTTTGGAACATACCTCACTCAGGTGATGGGAAACTGCTATATATAGCTAACATCACAAAACTAGAAAAGGCAGAACGAAGATTCAAACCAAAGGCTGGCTGTCTCCAGAGTCCAAGCTTCACCATGCTAAGCTTGCTAATTGTTATCCAGTGTTTGAAATTCAAGTAGTGAAAACAGGAATAAGCTTTGGAATTAGACAGAGCTAGAAGAAAATCTCAGTTCTTCCATTTATTAGCTGAGGGACGCTGGACAAATGACTTCATTTCTTTAAAGTGAGTTTCCTCATCTGTATAATGGGAATAATAAATGATTACTCTGTGGAATTAAGAAGAGTAAATGAGGTGATCTTTGAAAGTATTTATGCACAATGCTGAGCAGATAATAGGTCCCTCAATAAATATGTTAAATGGAGGAACACTATGGGGCCCTGAATCAAGAAAGCATCAGTGGGACTGAATGTTGAAGACAGATTTGAGAAAAATTAAAAGGCAGAATGTATAAGACTCATTAAATGCCTGGATAAAGGGGGTGACAGAGCAGGAAGAATCCAGCATGACACACAACACGAGAATTTGATTTCTTCAAATGCTTAGTGCTCTCCAACATTAAAAGCAAATATTTCACCAATACTGGTGATTCACAGATACATCATTTAAAATTCAGCTGTGCATTAAAAATATCTGTGCCTTAAATTTTTTAAAGTTTAACCTACGCAACAGTTAAGCTGAGAAGACTACAAAGTTATCATCTACATTTAGCCTACTCATCTGTAAAGTAAGGTTAATGATAATATACAACATGATATAGGTAAAAGCTCCTAGCACAGTACCTGAAATAGTATAGTAGATAGTCAATAAATGGTACCAATAATTATAATCACATTAGAGTTCTAATATAATCCTAGAAAAAAGGGGAAGAGGTGACTGACAAAAATAAAATTTCTCTTTCCCAAGGGAATAAAGTAAAATACAGCTAGATTGCCACCACATTTAATTCAGATATACAATCATCTGAACTTTAAAAAGAAATTTCTTCCACCAGTTTGTATCATAGACTTAAAAACATGTTATCCATAAAGTAAAGTACCTCCCTAGGTAAGTTCATTCTACCAAGTGTATAGTTGCATGCATTTTAGCTTGAGAAGGTTGAAGAGACAGCATCTCATGCTAAGGCTGCAAAATGAACTGCAGACTGAGGTGAGCATGGGTGGTTCAGTGCAACTACACTGTAAAACAAATATAATATAATTCCTCATGATAACTGCACCAATCTTAATGATCTGCATTCCCTCAGAATGACACCCTTATCCTTGAATGACTATGTTCAGCAGAAACACTTTGTTTTAAAATGAAATGCTTTATTTCTAACTTTGGCCTTACCTATTATTATCTAAAAAGCAGTATCTATTAATAGTCTTCCCTCTCCTACCCCCAAAAAAGAGATGCTAAACATAGGATTTCTTTTATTCTTTCTGCCCCACAAACTCCAGCTGCCATTAGGAAAGAAAGGTTATGGAAGGAACAACCATATGAAATCAAAATAAATAGACAAATGAAAAAACATTGTGGGGCTACTGACTTCAAGAAAAATAAAAAATATAGTTTCAGGAGAATTGTTTTACATGCATTCTCTTCTGCACATACCCCAGTTGGGGTAACTAATAAAAAACATAGACTTCTCTCTTAAAAAGTTCAAGGCATGCATGGTAAAAGGGTAGAATAACCAGAGGTAATGTAGGCAACCAAGAGTTAAAAGTTAATAGTTTGAAAATAATAAATAAATAAAAGTTAATGGATTGACAAACACTTATGCAGAATGCCTATCTTGTGCAGAAACTGGAAAAAACACTTTCCATTGCTTCTCCCACCCTTTGCTCCACCCTAGTATAGTTTATGAACCCAACAAAGCTCTGCCCTTGGCACCATTCAAAGCTCAGGGCTGGTGCTTCAGGCCTTAGGCCCTCTACTTCACTGTTCTCAACCTCACCTGCAGGTCCCTTCACTCAGAACAAAACAGAGATGTCAGGGCTCTTATCAAAGCACAGAGCAATGGTTCTTAAGGTTGGCTGATGGGGATCCAGGGAGTGCATGGGCACCTGGAAATTACACACAACTTTTTGTCCTTCATATTTATTGTGCATTTTTCTGGTGAAAGCATCCACAGTTTCATCATAAGCTCAAATGGATCCTTGACATGAGAAAAGCTTAAGAACCACTGCATTAGACCATCTTTGCACTGAAAAAGCAGATAAGAATGGCCACAGCTCTGTTACTCTGTGAGGCTTTGATCTCTAAACAGAGTTCATATTGAAAGATTTTTGTGGCTCAAGAAATGGGAAATTTGGGCTTCCTAAGCACAAGGGGGAAGAGATGCACAGACCACCACAGTGGGAAAAGGAACAACCACCCTTCTCCAGATGCATTTCACTGGCAAGAGCATGTTCCCCAGCTGATCTGAATCACAGAATTTTAGAACTGGAAGGAACCTAGAAGGGCTCAGTTTTGGCCCTCCTGAGGACCAGAGAAGTTAATACATGTTCAAGGTTATACTTCTAGAACAGCAACAAGCGCCCTTTCCCAAGTCCTCCTCCATTTCTGCTCCCACCATACCATGGGGACAGAAAACCATTAAAAGAATCATCCACTAAAATACTTTTCTTTTTTTCAAAAAAGCCATTGAGGGAAAGTGCTTAAATGCAGAAGTACTTTTCACTTAGCACATCAAATATGATGACAAAAATCAGACTGTAAAACTAACAAGTAGACATAGCTCTTAAGACCTGTCTGGATGAGTGCTTTAATATCTGATTATTTGGGATCTAATAAGAAATTGTCAATAAAACATCCAGTTGCAGAAAGACAGTTGAGGTAAAACACACAATCTATTGACTTCCAAATGACTGCTAGCAGTTCTTTAAGAATTCAATACTATAAGCTGGGAAACAATTAAACTAGGTCTTTCCAGGGCTGAGATATACAAGGGAACATATGGCCCCAGCAGAACACTTCAAACAGGCAGCTGTATAGCTATAATTAAATCTGTAGTAGTCATGCTATTATTTATTTAGCAGATTTTTTAATGTACCCTTCACGGAGGTCTCAGAACATGTACCAAATTAGAACAATAAAGAATACTGAAGAAGCAGAAAAAAGGAATCAAGAGGAAAATAAGACACTGACACAAAGGCAGGCAACAACTATACAGAAGTTTGGTTGAGGGGTTCTTCATCTGCATCTGGGGGCTTCTGGCTGAGCCACCAGTAGGTTATGGTTACTTAACTGACATATTGACCTGAGATCCCTTCACTCCTTTGTTCTAAGGTCAAGCCCAAAGTCGGCTTCTTATTTTTGAATTCCTATAAATCACAAAGTCTTTAAATTACTTAAAGATTGACTAGTTTATAATACCCCACCCAGTGAACACATTCCTAACATACAGTCATTTGCTTCTTCTGGTACATTATAGTGAAAGAAGGAGCATCAACTCAAGAGTTAATTCAGAGTCACCTCTGCCCACTCCCCAGTTCCTGACAAAATTCATACTCCATTTCTGTGCTAGGACATCTAACATCCTACATTATTTACCGATTCATCTCACAGTCTATAATGAGACCTCCTGGAGAGCAGGGATTGTTTGCTGTTTCTTTCTGTAGTCCTGATACCTACTGTATTATTTAAGTGCAAAGAAAGACTTTAAAAAGTTCATATATACATTAGTGACAAAGCTCAATTTCCTATATAATTCATCCTTATATTGAAATGAAATCTGCTTCCACGAAACATCCATCTGCTATTGCAATTTTATATCTGGAGCAAAAAACAATAAATCTATTCTCTCTCACTGGAAGGCAACTTTCATGAGCCTTGTACCCTTCAAGCTTTCTCATCTCTAAAAGTTTTGGATGAGTTACTTCTATTTTTCTTCTTAGGTTAGTGCCCAGGCATCTCACTACACTGTTACCATAACTACATCTCCTCAAGTATTTCTGAATAATGGACACCTTTGAAGAGTCTAAATCTGCTGAAAGTCATAAATTCTCTGTTCAAATAAAGTAGGATTTTTCACGTTCTTATTCACTCCACATTTAGATCTTACATAGTTTATCTTACTCTTGTGAAATTCCTGTGGTTTGAAGCCTGTCAAGATCATTCTCCATCTTAATTATATTACTTAAATTTTAGATGGCAGTTTTGTGTATTTGTAAATCTGATAATAACGTATTATGTCTTAATCTAAATTGCTAATACAGTTGTTTAGCAGAGCAATACATGCTAAAAAGTACCATGGCATTAGAAACCTCTTCCACTTTTACACTGGCTATTAATTGACACACTTCGAGTACAGTTGTTTATCCAGCTAAGAACCTTCTGATGTTCATGCGGCCCTCAGTTTGTCTAAGTGCTTACAGCAACATCACTAGGCCCTATAGATGCCACATTACAATGAAGTGCCCTGCTCAGAAAATAAAACGTAGCATATAAATACACTTACATTCTTCTACCCAACATGTATAGCAACAACTTAGACCACAGACAGGCAAACTTTTTCTGTGAAAGACCAAACACTAAATACTTTAGGCTTTATGAGCAAACATACAGTATCTGTCACTTATTCTTTTTTTTTAACTGCTTTTTAAAACTGTAACCTTGCTGAGCTTGCAAGCCATACAAAAGCAAGTTACTGGCAGGCTATGGTCCATGAACTACAGATGGCTGGATATCATTTCTCCAATTTTGAAGCAAATGGCCTATTAGTGAAGATAAACATGTAGCCAAAAATTAAAATAGGCAACTATTTGATGACAGTTGTGGTAGGTGTCATGGTAGAAAAGCATCATGTGCTGTAACAGCTTATAACAGCAGCCCCTAGCAAAGACTGGGGGCAAGAGGGGGGGGGCGTGTCACAGAAAACTTCCCTGAAAAGGTGACATTTACAGAGAAATAATGGGCGAACACCAGTTGCCTGGACAAGGAAGCACATTTCAGTGAACAAAAGCAGCATGTCCAAAGACCCAAAGGTAGGAGGGAGACTGCCATGTTAGTGAAACTGGAAGAATACCATATGGTTGTAGTAAAGTCAGGACGGGAGAAAACCTGGCACATCTGCTTTGGAGAGAGACACCAGGCAGGATAACGCAGGTCTTGGAAGGTCATGCCAAGGATTCTGGGCTTTATCATAAAGGCAACAGGTAGTCATCGAATGGTTATAAGCCACGAGTGACACTTTCTGTACACTCTTTCAGCACAAAAACCTGTCTTACATTTGCTATATATGCCCACAGTGCTTTGTCAGCTTTCTATGGTCTCAGCTTAAAAAATCACAATAGTTTGTATCAATGTAAAAATAATGATTAATGCACTACCACAGGCTGGCTAGTGGCTTGTTATTTTCAAGAAAGGAGAGGGGAAAGAGAATACCACCAATATAAAATTTGCCTGTATATACTCCTGTGGAACTAATTAATGTGGAATCATTCTAAATTCAGATTTATTCCAAAACAAAAACAAAAACCAAAAAAACCACACTAGTATTCTATTTTACAACTGCCTCTCTCTTGAACTTCTCCAAAAATTGAAAATGTATTCCCAACAGTCCCTCAAAGTCTTAACTCATTTCAGCATTAACCCAAAAGTCCACAGTCCAAAGTCTCACCTGAGACAAGGCAAGTCCCTTTTGCCTGTGAGCCTGTAAAATCAAAAGCAAGCTAGTTACTTCCTAGATACAATGGGAGTACAGGTATTGGGTAAATACAGCTGTTCCAAATGGGAGAAATTGGCCAAAACAAAGGGGTTACAGGGTCAATGCAAGTCCAAAATCCAGTGGGGGTGTCAAATTTTAAAGCTCCAAAATGATCTCCTCTGACTCCAGTTTTCACACTGATGCAAAAGGTGGCTTCCCATGGTCTTGGGCAGCTCCACCCCTGTGGCTTTGCAGAGTACATTCTCCCTCCTGGCTGCCTTCATGGGCTGGCATTGAGTGTCTTCAGCTTTTCCAGGCACACAGTGCAAGCTGTGAGTGGATCTACCATTCTGGGGTCTGGAGGACAGTAGCCCTCTTCTCACAGCTATGGTAGGCAGTGCTTCAGTAGGGACTCAGTGTGGGGGATCCAACCCCTCATTTCCCTTCTGCACTGACCTAACAGAGGTTCTCCATAAGGGCCCCACCCCTGCAGCAAACTTTTGCCTGGGCATCCAGGCATTTCCATACATCTTCTGAAATCTAGGCAGAGGTTCCCAAACCTCAATTCTTGACTTCTGTGCGCTCGCAGGCTCAACACCATGTGGAAGCTGCCAAGGCTTGAGGCTTCCACCCTCTGAAGCCACAGCCTGAGCTCTACATTGGCCCCTTTCAGCCACAGCTGGAGCATCTGGGACACAGGGCACCAAATCCCTAGGCTGCATACAGCACGGGGACCCCGGGTGTGGCCCACGAAACCACTTTTTCCTACTGGGCCTCTGGGCCTGTGATGGGAGGGGCTTTCATGAAGGTCTCTGACATGGCCTGAAGACATTTTCCCATGGTCTTGGGGAATAACATTAGGCTCCTTGCTACTCATGCAAAGTTCTGCAGCTGGCTTGAATTTCTCCTCAAAACATGGGTTTTTCTTTTCTACTGCATTGTCAGGCTGCAAATTTTCGGAACTTTTATGCTCTGTTTCCCTTCTAAAACAGAATGCTTTTAACAGCACCCAAGTCACCTTTTGAATGCTTTGCTGCTTAGAAATTTCTTCTGCCAGATACCTTAAATCACCTCTCTCAAGTTCAAAGTTTCACGTATCTCTAGGGCAGGGGCAGAATGCCTCCAGTCTCTTTGCTAAAACATAACAAGAGTCACCTTTGTTCCAGTTCCCAACAAGTTACACATCTCCATCTGAGACCACCTCAGCCTGAACCTTATTGTTCATATCAGTATCAGCATTTTTGTCAATGCCATTCAACAAGTCTCTAGAGGTTCCACACTTTCCCACATTTTCCTATCTTCTTCTGAGACCTCCAAACTGTTCCAGCCTCTGCCTGTTACCCAGTTCCAAAGTTGCTTCCACATTTTTGGGTATTTTTTCAGCAACACCCCACTTCTGGTACCAGTTTACTATATTAGTTAGTTTTCATGCTGCTGATAAAGACATACCCAAGACTAGGAAGAAAATGAGATTTAATTGAACTTACAGTTCCACATGCCTGGGAGGCCCAGAATCATGGAGGGAGGTGAAAGGCACTTCTTACATGGTGGTGGCAAAAGAAAATGAGCAAGAAGCAAAAGCAGAAACACCAGATAAGCCCATAGATCTCATGAGACTTATTCACTATCATGAGAATAGAAAAGGAAAAACTGGCCCCCATGATTCAATTACCTGCCCCTGGGTCACTCCCATAACATGTGGGAATTCTGGGAGATACAATTCAAGTTGAGATTTGGGTGGGGACACAGCCAAACCACATCAGTGATGAAAATAATAAGTACTAGATGGTATTGGAAATTCAAAACAGGAGTAGTTAACATAAGCTGGAATATTCAAGGATGGATATAAAGAAAAAGTAACACTTGACAAGTTTTGAAGTAAAGGTAAGACTTGGAAAAGTAGAGAGAAAAAGAGAAATTTGGGTACAAGAGTAATGTGCATTCAATAAGATTCATGAAATGACAATCGGACATACATTTCTTTACAGTGTGGATAGAGCAGTATAGAGCAGAAGTTAAGAGCATGAACTCCAAAGAGCCAAATTAACAATGCAAATTTAAAAGATAAGGAATGATACCTAAATGAAATGGACTTTCATCCCACCAAATCTTACTGCAAAGCAAAACCAAAAATAAAAAAGCAGTAGCCCATTTAAATAATGAAAATGGCAATGATGATGAAGATTTATATAACATTTTGAAGTGTATTAAGTATTTTCCTTTTCACAAAACAACTCAGTAGAAAAAGCAGTTCAGACTGAAGTATAATATCTCTATTATGAATCAGAAAACTGAAGTTCAGAAGAGTTAAGGTTTACTATGCTTACTTAAGTCTTCAAAGCTATTCCTATGATCCTGGATGGATGTTTCTCCTGCCACAGTGATTAAAATACTCAATGTTATGTGCTGATACTCTGGATGTCATTGGTGAAGGTCAGTGAAAAAAGACTGATATAATAAAAAAGTATAATCTATGATCTCAGATTGTAAGTTTATATCTTAGCTTATTAATAAAAAAGTTCAATAATAATCACTTTTTCCTCTTACCAGAACAAAATTTTAAGGTCATAATGATGTGCATTTATCAGACTAAATGAACTAGAGTTGACCCTATCTATAGTGAGAATGAATATTTAACAGCCTGAAAGTCAAAGAACCATGGGGTTTAGCAAAGCACAAGTGAAGATCTGTAAATTAAGTGTGTTGTAACTCTCTATTCATTGTGGTCTGTGGACAAGTCAACTAACTAATCTACTTTCACTAATTCTACATGTCACACTAACTACAAAAAAAAAAAACATTGAAATGTTGTATTTCCTCAAATTTGGAAAGTTTGGCTATTATTTCAAATAATTCTAAAAGCCACAATAATTTCCATTTATTAGATGAACTAAGTCTTTTACTTGTATTGCTAAACTCTAGATAGTTGCATTCCAATTTATTTCTCCCATTTCTTACCTAACCTTTTATCCAAGGAAGAATGTTTTATTTGGTTAAAACTCTTTTATTCTGTTATTTTTGTTCTCTAGAATGGAAAGATGCTTCTAAAGTCCCTGGTTCCTCTTTGATTGATGGCTTTGGCCCACACAGTTGTGTCTTTCACTGAACCCCAGCTGCACTTCACTGTCAGCACCACAGTTTATTCGGTGTGAATAATCAGCTAAGATATAAACTCACAATCTGAGATCATAGATTATACTTTTTTATTATATCAGTCTTTTTTCACTGACCTTCACCAATGACATCCAGAGTATCAGCACATAACATTGAGTATTTTAATCATTGTGGCAGCAGAAACATCCATCCAGTCACCATAAGACCCTTAAAAATTTTTTATTATTCATTTTTAATAGTAATTCTGGTAATTAGCCTATTCAGCATGATGTTTGCCTCAAAGACAAACCAAAAGCCAGAAACTTCGATTGAATACGTGTCTGTTCCACAGTGGCTTTCAGGGACCTAAAAAGACCCTAATCCAACTAGGCAGAACTCATTATATCCACTAAGAGCACAGGCACTAGGACCAGGATGCAGCTCTATCATTTAGATGCTATTTAACTTTAGGGAAATTACTTAATCTCCTCATGCCTCCAGTTTGCCAATATGTCAAATAGAGTTGACAGTACCAACCCCAAAGCATTAGTTGTAATTAGATGTCCAATCTATGCTAGTTGTTAATTATTGCTTACGTAGCAATAGACTCAATACTATCAGATACAGCTACTGAATGATGAAGAGTACAGCTAATTTTGAAGTTCAAAGCTTACAATCACTCCCTATGCAATGACTCAGTTACTTCCTACCCTCTTATATGTGTATGCATGGAACACTGATTAGTCAGGAATGTCATCTTGGCATGATTAACCACTGGCTTTCAGATTGTAGAAAACATTACTGCTGTCCTTTTAACATGGTGGCAAAAAAAAAAAAAAAAGAATCATTGTTTTCATTTCAGTTCAGTTCTAGGAAGTAAAACCAGCCCATTGGTGGGTAACACATGGAGAAACCAGGAAGCTCTGCTGGTGACTGATAAGGTCATGAGATTCTGCTGAGACACATAAATCAACCAGCCACTGGATCAATCAGACAAGTGAGCTAGAAACAGTGGGGAGCTCTTCTCTTTCTAAAGAAGAACAGGAAAAACTTCCTCCCATGGTGTGACCTCTTCATAAACTTACTCTGCAGAGATTCCCTATTAAGAGGGAAATTGGGGAGCAGTAGAATCTGCAAATATGCCCCAACATGTTAAAAAAAAAAGTGTTGGCTCATCTTTTTATTAGCCATTTCAGTTGACAACACTCCTTCAAAGCTCCTAATAAAGCACTCCATATAAGGTATAAAACTTTTTATTTAACTAACTTTACAGTCTGGCATATATGCATTTAAAATTCTCTTGGGGGTTGGGGGAAGGAAAGGAAGGAGATGTAGATCCAAGCTGCAAATGTGTTGAATAATATTCAAAGGGAACACTTGTCCAACTCTTTTTGCAATTTTTCTTTTTGTTCCAAATGCTGACCACCAAGAAGGGCTCTTGAGATGAAGCCATTTTTTGGTTGCCAAGGAAATTCTCACAGAGCCTGAAAAGCCCTCTCAGAGCTGGGAACAGCAACATCTTCAGTCAAAGCAAGTATATGGCCACTGCACTTTTCACCTCCTTACTTCAGAATACAAGTGATTAGCCAGCTCGGACGTCCAATTAGATCAGGAAAATAAACTCAGTTTTAATCTCTATACTTTAAGCTTCTGACAAAAAGCCCCCAAAGTGAGCTGGGAGGCAAATGCTAGATACTGAGATTCTTTTCATTTTGAATCACTAAGCTTTTAGTGGAGTGAAACATAAAGAATAAACTCAAATCTGACCAGCAAATAGTATCTTAGCAGTGGAGGCGGATTCAATAAAGTGTTTAAAGATCTAGAACATAACTCATATAATCTTTTGGGAAGGTAATTAAATTCGCAATACACGGTAATCCAGCAATTCCACTTATAAAAATTTCTCCTCCAGAAATACTCATGAAAGAATGCAGAAAAATTACAATAAGGATACTTCTTAAAGGCTTATTTGTACAGCAAAGAACTGAAAATATCTAGTCATAGAAGATAGAATCAATAAAATACGATTCATATATACTATATAGCCTTTAAGAAGAATAAGGTAGGTGTCCATGGTATTGTTAGTTTAAAAAAATCAAATTTTAGAACAATACAATCACATTTTTATTATTTATATAGAAATATATAAGTATTCATCTATCAGAAAAGTTCATTAAACTCAACATCAAGCTGCTAATGGCAGTTGTTTTGAAGGATTTTAATTTAAGAATTTTCACTTTTTATTTTATTCATTTTTGCTTTGTTTAAATTTTACAGCATTGTTGTATATTTTGAATCAGAAAATTCTAAAGTTTTAAAAAATATTGTGGATAATAACATGTTACTATAGTAAGTAAAGAATGATTCCATGGGTGGGGCATAGTGGCTTACGCTTATAATCCCAGCACTTTGGAAGGTCAAGACAGGCAGATCGCTTGAGCCCAGGAATTCGAGACCAGCCTGGGCAACATGGCAAAACTGCATGTCTCAAAAAAAAATTATATATATATACACAAAAAAAAAATTAGCTGGGTATGGTGGTGTGCACCTGTAGTCCCCACTATTCAGGAGGCTAAGGTAAGAGAATAGCTTAAGCCCAAAAGGTGGAGGCTGCAGTGAGCCAAGATTGTGCCACTGTACTCCAGCCTGGGTAACAGAGTGAGACTCTGTCTCAAAAAGAAAAAAAAAGAATGATTCCCTATATATATTTACAATTTCTATAAAGTTTTAAAAACTGTACTCAAGAGTGTTCATCACAAGGTATTGCTGTTTTCTGGTTTTGTAACAATTTGCCACTTCCAAGAAGAAAAATGCTCGTTTCTTTTATGAAGTCTCTGTCAGATGTAAGTAACTTGTGATGTGAGAGTATACGTCCATCAAAGATTATTGTTGACAGCATGCTACTGTTCTCTGAAATATATTCTAGGTATATTCCTGGTATTGGCATACTGGCAGAATGCTACATATTGAAAAGAGAAAAAAAGTGACATCAAATGTAAAACATGCCAGTTTATTAAGATATGCAATAGCTACAATTTCTTTGGTTAAATGTTGAATACAGGGATGCAGTGCAATCGGAGTTCAATTCTTTCATAGGAACAGGTAAGAATGTGGCACAGAGCCCCTTTTTGGCTGTTCTGTCCTGTTCCTACACATCCTGATGCTCCTTTCTGAACCACAAAGACTAAGAAGGTTTCCTGTTACCATTCTTCAGAGAGGACTCCAGTGAAGCTTTCATGAATCATGTGTCATTAGCCAGTTGGCATGCCTCATGTTAGCCAACAGTAATAACAAGAGGACCACAGGTGCAAATATAATTACTCAAAAATTCAATCTCACTATTCTTGGTGGCTTACACCCACTTCTAGTGCATTAAATATTTCAATAATTAATATTTACTCATTAATAATGTAATATAATTAACAGTACATGGATGACCTTTTAACTGGGAAACTCTTTTTCTTTCTTACGATATTTCTATGGCACAGAAGAACTTCCTTTGCTGATAGTAATAAGGTCTTAATGGCTATGGCTAACACATTAAGAAATGGGCTCTTATGGGTCTGTGAGCTCTCATTTTAATGCACTGGGATATTCATACAATACTTAATATAGGAATAACACCAGACGATCCAACACATTCACAAATTTCTCCATCCTATCACATTGCATCTCCAGTGAGCTTTTTAAAATGTAAATCAGAACATACAAACTCTAGGTAAAAATCCTAAGAGAGTGTCTCACCGCACTCAGAATAAAATAAAAGGTCCTCCGGCCTATTTTCCTGACTTGTCTACCACTGCACACCTGCTACATTTGCTCCAGCCACTTATGATATTTTTTTTCCTGTTTCTTGAACACATCATCTTCATTTCTGCCTTAGGCCTCTACTCTTGCTTTTTGCTCAGCCTAGAAACCTCTCTCACCAGATCCTCTCCTTACTGGCTAACCCTCTTACCTAAAATAGTTTTCCTGTACCTCTCCACATTACCCTGCTTTATTTTCAAGATAGCACTTTTGATTATGTGAAATTATCCTATGTATTTATTGTTTTTCTTGATTACAGTCTGTCTCTTCCCAAAAGTATGGAAGTTCCATGAGTCAAAAGATTTATCTGTTTCATTCACTTCTGGAACCCACAACTAAGAACATTTTCTAGCACAGAATATACATTTTGAATGAATGAATTCAAATCATAGCTGCATGCAGTGATGGGGTGTTTTAGGAGTTCAAATTTATTGTAGCGCAGTTACTTAAAACCATAGCTCTAAATTTCACAAAAGGCTCCTTTTTTCCTAAAATAATACACGAGATAGAGTTCAGTTTACTTCATACAGGATCATCTACTTCAGTTTAAAGCTGATACAAAACCCGTTCTTAAATGAATGCTAGTTTTCTATTCCAGACAAATAGCTTTTAAGAATGTACAACATTAATAAATGCGGAGATGCAACTGTCCCAATTTTAAAATACATACCTTCTTTAAATCAGTATTAATATCAATGCTTCTCAAACCCTACTAATCCCTGTCAACTGTTTAAGCTTTAAGAATATGGGAGAAGCATAGAATGGGAAAAGGAAGCTATCTTAAGCCAAATTTCTTGTAGACAGGGAAAAAATAATGACAGACATGTTTTGTTAATTATCTAAGCACAAGCTGTTTCCCTGTGAAAGGGGCCCAAGGATATCATTGCATGGCTACACAAGTTCCCCTCAGGGACACCTGGCTGAAGGAAAGCTGTAGGTGCTGAGCCAGAGAGATGCTCACCAAAGTCACCAAAACTGTAGTGACTAAGGACCTCTAAGTACCCTAACTACCTTCTCACAACATGCCTTTGTTCTTAGGTTTTCACAGATGTGATTCCATCTGGAGCTCCTCTAACACAGCAATGTCTCACTGCTCCCTGAAAACATGCTAAAGACAATTATTATAACCTCAGAAAATATGAATCTTTCTTAGACACTGTACCTCCTCTGAGGGGTGAAGTAAGACCACCCACATTCAGTGTGAACTGTAGGTTTTTTTGACTGAGCCATGGAAAGGAAAAGGAGGTGCTTTTGTACTTTTCCTTCACTGTGAGCATGAAATAACTATTAATGCTAAGAGAAGCTTTATGTGAGCCCTGGGATGGAAATCTATGTTCAAAATCATGAGAAAAAGTCATCTCAGTGGACTTGGTTGACTCACTCCTATATCATGTATGTGTAAGAAAAGGATTGGGGGTTATTCCCCCAATAATCACAGGATGTTTCCTTCTAGATTTCATTTTAAGATAGTTATGGCTTAGCAACTTTAAACTTATACATGGTTAATGGTTTCATCCGCATACTTTCTGACAAAATATTTAAATTCAGGTCTATTTCCTTAAAAGACCAAGACTTCAAACACAAGAATCAAGGCAGCAAAATATATTTAAACATAATAGGCAACAGACAGTGCTAAAAATGATTCTAATATGCTTTAGAAAGTAACCTTAGGCAAAACTCCACCACAAGACCTATGGAATAGATTCTCAGATTAGCCAGCTAAATAATGAATATCACAGAAATAATAACCAGATAAGCAGTTACAAGGTTATGTAGACCTCAAGTGTCCCCCTGAGAATCTGCAGGCTATTTCTACATCTACTGCATCCACTGCAATCTACAGACTACAATTTCACTTGAGGTTGACATGTAATTGTGAGATGTTATAGCATTATTAATAAACCTGGAAAAAGTCAACATTTTTAAAGCCATTGCACCACTAAGCACAGTATTTCTACAAGAGTTAAAGCTAAGGGGTAAAATGAAGAGAAAAGCTCTTTCTTATCCTCATAGCTGAAGCCATATTCACATGAAAACTGTAACTAAATCCACTGCATTTGATAAGCACCCACCTCACATGTAAATTTTTAAAAGAACAGAAAAAGAATAAGAAGAAATGGAAAAGCAAATCAAAGGCAATCAAGAAACATAATTAGATAATGTGAAAAATACTCCATAGCAACAAAATAGAAGAGATTATTTATGTAGATTTACAACTAGATGAACTCCAGATGTATTTTTTAAATCTACTTCTCCACAGGTGTTTTTCTGCTTAATAAATATAACATCCAAGTTGGAATATGGTTGAAGCATTGAATCACCTAAATTCTGGCTATGCTCTTCTTCTGCTGTTAACTATTTTAAGCCATTTTTCAATAAAGCAGCCGCTACTGAAATCGTAAGCACATAGGCTTGGCAAAGCCAGAAAGAAAAAGTGCAGCCCACAGATTTGTTTCTTCTGTTTTCCCAAAACAGAATCTCATAAAAAATATGCCCTCAAATTCTGTCACTATGTAGCTGTCAGAAAGAGCAATTCTGTTCCTCTTCATAACTCTGAACCCATTCTTTGTGCTACTAAGAAGTTAGGTAGCTCCAGGAAGTTGCAAGGCACCATCACAACTGTTCAAATTGTATCCAGGCAGAATAATCAGTCAATCAGAAATTTCAGTCCTGGTCAAATGGAAGTTTTTGGGGCCAACTTGGACAAGTACACAAGACAAGTTTGAGTTTACTGCCAAGATCACTTCCAGGACACTGGCTAATTAATTATAAAAGCTTTCTCAAAACAAACATAAGCCTGGAAACCTTTTTTTTTCTTTCCTGTCCAAACAGAGAAGAAACAGGTTAAAAAAAAATAAAAGCCAGAGTTTATCACAGCTTCATCTTACTTGCAAATCCACTTTCCTTTTTCTTGCCCTAAAATGATCCAGGAGTTTTTGTATTTGAAGTTACCAAAATAGTAGGTATAGAAACTGAAAATGTTAGTTTGATTTCTGTACCTGTACCTTTGGTTGTAGAAGAGATTATGAATTAGTTACAAAAGCCTCTCTTCAAACTCTGGTAGGAAGAGAGAATGGAGTTTCTTCCTTTCTTGAAGAACTCATTGGATTAACTATATACACTGTAATAGATACAAATTAGATTAATAGTTGGTCTTATAATTATATATTCATCAACCTTCCTTTGCTGGCTTTGAAAACAAAAGGAACATTCCTGAATTAAATTTTCCTCGCTTCATCTAAACATGAACCTTGATGACTATGAGATGCTAGTGATAGGCACTGAAGATTCTGGTTTTAAAGACTCCATTCCCATGGGCTTTATAACAAAATCAATACCCACAAAAAATGTTCCACATATTTCTTCTACTACTGGAATCAAAATTTTATGTAATATGCATCTTAAGCCATCAGATTTCTTCTGCATATGCCCAGATATGAAAAGACCCAATAAGTTAGTAAATTTATCTGTCAGCATTTACCAGCTGCTTCTTGCCAAATTCCTGGCAAAAGGAGAGCTGCCCTTAATAAAAGAAGGCTTCCTCAAGAACTCCATCAACAAGATATTCCTAAGCTAATTAGTACACTGCCTTAACCAGTATTAAGACTCATGGCAAACCTTGCAAATAATCAGCATGGCTTGGTAAGCAATGAGTGGAGACAAAATGTGCGAAATAAATTTAAGAAAACTTCTAGTGGCCTGAGTTCTCCCTTTTCCACTACAGGTATGTATCTACCAATGTACCCATATTTAAATGCTCTTCTTCCTGATCATTTCAAGAGGTAGAAAGATGAAAGGAAGGTGACAATCCACATTAGCATCTGAAGGAGCAACTGAAGGAGTCAAGAATTTATCTCAATGTAAAGTGGGAGGTAAGTAAAGAAATTAGTCCTGACCTAAACAGAGTCCCTCTTCTGGGGAACACAAATGAATAAATGAAGACAAGACGGATAACATCAGATTTCAGAGCATCATAAAGGTCATCAAGAAGTCCTGAACTTAAAATGATGGGAAGCCACTAACCATTTTTAATCTAGAGTAGAAAAATGAGGGCAACTATGTAAAAAGTATATTGAATTGAGAAAAAATGGGGACAAGGGATCAATTCCAACAGCTTTTCTAGCAATTCAGATCTGAGATGATGAAGACACTACCAGGGAGGAAGGAAGGAAGGAAGGAAGGGAGGGAGGGAGAGGGGGAGGGGAGGGGAGGGGAACGGAGGGGAGGGGACGGAAGGGGAGGGGAAGGGACGGGAGAATGGAATGGAATGTACACCCTTCCCGTACTTTCTAGAATTCACCAAGGCCTATAAACCTCTATGACTACTACAAGTGCTGTCAGTTAAAGAGGAACACCATCATGAATATGGCTTCTTGAAAAAAATCAGCAAAGTGTGAAAAGAAGAATCTTCAAACTCACCCACTTAAAAGACAGAAAGAGAAAGAACAAGTCATCCCTCAGTATATGTTGGGGATTGATTCCACAACCTCCATCAGATAACAAAATTGGACAATGCTAAAGACTCTGATATAAATGGCATACTATTTGTATATAACCTACACACATCCTCATATACACTTTAAATTGCTCTAGATTACTTATAATACCTAATATAAATGCTATGTAAACAGTTGCTATGATGTATTATTTAGAGAATAATGACAACAAAAAAAAAGTCTGTATGTGTTCAGCACAGACACAATTTTATTTTCATTCTGTCCATGGTTGGTTGAATCCATGGATATGAAACCACGGATATGGAGGACTAACTGTACAATTAGCATATCAAGCATGGAGCCAACCAGAACCATCTCTTCTACTATATCAAAAGACAAAATGGTAAGTTAAAAGAGCAAGGATCAGATATTTGATTTTCTGAGGTGAGTTATGTATTATAGTTTCCACTTAGCAAAGAACAAAACTAGTGTCCATCATCACACAACTAGCCAGTTTTGGAACAAGTAGCAAGACCAGATTTTCTTGCTTCATGTTCCTTCTTCTTTCCAATATATGCTACTTCTCCTTCAATCCTGGGGAAACAGTCTTAGGATTTCTATGATTTTTTTAAATATATTGCTTTCATTTCTTCAAAACTTTGAAATTTTTTCATTTAGGAAGCATCATTTTTCCATATACTATATTCTTAAAATATAATTTTCTTGCAGAGATATTTACGTAGCTGGGCAAAAATGGCCCAGTTTACACCATATTCTCTTCCAAAGAAAGCAAACAGATATTCAAAACCTGATTGCTCTTCATTCAACTATATGTTTTAATAGACAAACAAATATATAGCTAGTGAGAACTTAGCTGTCATTACCTTGCCCTAAAGTATCCCCCAAAAGTTAACAACAATTTCAGCATTTCTTAGCATTTCTTTTTTTTTTTTTTTTTTGAGACAAAGTCTCGCTCTGTCACTGAGGTTGGAGCACAGTGGTGCGATCTCAGTGCAATGCAACCTCTGCCTCTCGGGTTCAAGCGATTCTCATGCTTCAGCCTGTGGAGTAGCTGGGATTACAGCCCTGTGCCACCGTGCCTGGCTAATTTTTGTGGTTTTAGTAGAGACGGGTTTTGTCATGTTGGCCAGACTGGTCTTCAACTCCTGGCCTCAAGTGATCCGCCCACCTCAGCCTCCCAAAGTGCTGTGATTACAGGCATGAGCCACTGTGCCAGGCAAGTATTTCTTTATAATTTACCAAAGTATTTTTTTCATAAGTTATCTCGTTTAATCCCTAGAATAAACAGAAGGCAGGGATTATTACTATTTTAAAGCTGAGACAACTATTGCTTTAAGATTTAAATTGCCCAAGTGATGCATCTGCAACAGCTGAAGTAAACGCACATTTTTCCCTTCTGATTCCAGCTCCCTTCACACACTGCTTCTCCTTCTGCCCAGGAAAGTGCAAACTGTTGTCTGCACGTAAAGGTCCATTTTAAGTGAAGCAACCATCACCTCTAATCCTTTCTCAGCATCTTTTAGATATACGTTCTCTTACATTTCAAAGAAGCAAGAATTTTTTGCTTACCTGGTCCTTCTCCGGTTTATCAGAAATGTCATTCAGACTGGAGGAAGTCAGATTCCTATGGGTCATGGCTGGGCTACCTGGAAAAACACAAGTAAACTCTAATTAAAGACTTCTTTTCAATAACACAAAGACTTTGGTGGTATACTTAATAAACATTAGTAGATGATGATGGAAATGGTGATGATACTTTTAACCACACTAGGATTCTTCTGAAGAGTTTTCCAGAGTCCAGGTTGGAGTACAAACATAGTTAAATGTAAAGTATGTAAAATCTCAAATACCTTGTTTAGGACTTACTGCCTGGTTCAGTTTCAAGGTAAGCTAAACTTTGAAAGAAACTTCTAAGACAATAAGCATAAAAATAAAATTGTTCCTGGTTTTGTTCACTCTTTGTCATTGCCCTTTACATACATGCTAATCTATCTGGTTTCCTTTCCTTTTCCTGTTGCCTGCAGAGAGCGGCTGTTTCCTCATCTTCAGCAGAGCTGACCCTGGATGCCAGGCCCAGACCTCCTCTCCCCCAGGCCTTTGCAGCCCTTCCTAGCATGCCACTCACTCAGATCAACCTGAAAAGTCTTGGTCAAAGTGTTCCCTTCTCTGGCTAACACTTGGATCAAGAATATTTCTCATTAGTGGGCATCTGATGTAGAATCCTCACTCTTTGCCTCAATGTAGTGTTATCACAGGCTGCCTTATTTCTCTGCATTCCCATTTGCCAGAATAAAATAAGTATATCCTCTTTTCCCCCTTAACATGTTAAACCTCTTCTTCAAGTGAAAGGATGGATGTCATCGGAATACTACATGGGAACCAATCTCCCTGACCATATAGCAGCTGTCAATATGGTTCACCGGTGATCCATCCAATGATTTCAGACACTATCATACACAAATAGAGAGGAAGGACATGTAGAAGAGCCACAGGCTGTTTTCAAGTAGACCATGTTAATCAACAGAATACTGAACTTTCATTCTGCAGTTGGACCTGAAATTTCTAGGCTTGCTAAGCAAAAAAAAACCTAACTTTTCAAAGCCAAGATGTTTGACCCAACTGCTGCAGGGTGCTGAGTAATGCATTCATCCTTAATCCTCAATGATCTGACTCAGGCTGCTCTTTACAGCAAGAGGACAAGGGTTGAAAAGAAGCACCGAAGTTCTAACATAGCTTCACATTTGCTTCCAAATAATTCTTTAGATTAGACTTTAATTCCTTCAGATACAGACCTCAACATATAATTTCACAAAAGACTAAAATCTGCCCCTAATAAATTAATGCCTATATAACAGCAGCTATTTAAATATCATTCCTTTTAACTACCAGATCAGAAAAATTATAATTTCCTTGAACTGGCAAGACAGGATATTTTCCACTCTGCTGCATTTCATCAAGTAAGCATGGCCTAGATCTCTTAAATCTTTTACCTGGTTGGGTGTTTTATTCTAGGAAAATTTAAGCACAGAGCATTATTCAAAGGAAAATAACATTTGAAAATGTGCTTTATGTGCAAAATTAAAAGAACCCCTTTGAAGGGCACATTTTCTTCTTTGAGCCAGGTATTAGATTTCTAGTGTCCACTCAATACAAAAGACACTAGGTACAATCTGAATGCCCCCAAATAATGCTGAGATTGAAACTAATAGAAAATGATGAGTACAGACAATTTTGCACTTGACATTTAAAAACAAAACCAGCTATTTGGACTAACTGAGTAAAAGTTCTGCCTGAATAAGTGAATAAATCTGAATTATACAATCCTAAAGCAATGAAGCCTTAGCAATCCTAATCATGTTGAAAATAGCTTATGTAAATAAATAGGTAAGATAAATTTCTAATCATCAAATAATTTATATGTAAGTGGCAGTACTGAAATAAATTTAAAGCAGTTTTCCATTAAGTAATTTAAATTTCCTAGCCAATAGCCTAAAGTCATTGATTTGCTATAGGCACTCTTTATAAATACTGCAAAGGCACATTTCAGCCCAAGCACTGTCCTAACTGCTGCAAAATCTGAATAGGTAGAAGCCAAATTAATGAGGTTTTCATTATAATTGTAATCTTGATTGATGTGACAGCTTTTCCAAGAAACCTTATATACCGTCTCATCATTCTTCGCATTTCTGAAAGACAGTGATAGTATGGCTATCTATATTTATACTATATGAGGAGCAAGAGAAAGGTTCAGGTCCAAGAAAAATGCAGGAACCAGATGAGGAAGAGAAGACTAGTATTAAGAAATAATCAAATCTGTTTCCTCTCCTAACTTTCTCTGATTCTCATTAATAAAAGTAATTAATATTAACAGCTTCACTAATGTTTAACACTGCAAGAGTCTGCTAGTCAACACTTCTAGTAACTAAGCAAGATGATCAGCATTCTTCAATCTTTTTCCATCCCCCTCCCTACCAAACTCCCCATCCTGACTTCCCAAGACCTTGAAGCAGAGACAAATCCTTCCCAATCCTCTAAATCAGTGGTTTCTACAGTGAGGTCTCCAGACCAGCAATATCCACATCACCTGTACGCTTGTTAGAAAGGCAGATTATTGACACTCACACCAGAGCAATTCTTTATTTTATTTTGTTTTTCCCATAAATTACTGGGATACAGGTGGTATTTGGCTACGTAAGTTCTGTAGTGATGATTTGTGAGATTTTGATGCACTCATCACCCAAGCAATATATACTGCACCATATTTGTTGTCTTTAATCCCTCACCCCCTCCCACACTTCCCCTCAAGTTCCCAAAGTCCATTGTACCATTCTTATGCCTTTGCGTCCTCATAGCTTAGCTCTCACATATCAGTGAGAACATACGATGTTTGG
Source organism: Homo sapiens (assembly GCF_000001405.40). Taxonomy (NCBI): domain Eukaryota; kingdom Metazoa; phylum Chordata; class Mammalia; order Primates; family Hominidae; genus Homo; species Homo sapiens. The sequence goes on along the minus strand of NC_000004.12, from coordinate 71,394,831 downwards.
TTTTCCATTTCTGAGTTACTTCACTTAGAATAACGGTCTCCAATCCCATCCAGGTCACTGCAAATGCCATTAATTCATTCTTTTTATGGCTGAGTAGTATTCCATCCTATAAATATACCACAGTTTCTTTATCCACTCGTCGACTGATGGGCATTCGAGTTGGTTCCTCAATTCTGCAATTGTGAATTGTGCTGCTATAGTAGTTCTACTTTTAGTTCTTTAAGGAATTTCTACACTGTTTTCCAGTTTTCCATAGCAGCTGTACTAGTTTACATTCCCCTCAGCAGTGTAGAAGTGTTCCCTGATCACCGCCATCCACACCAACATTTACTGTTTTTTGATTTTTTGATTATGGCCATTCTTGCAGGAGTAAGGTGGTTTTGCATTGTGGCTTTTATTTGCATTTCCCTGATCATTCCTGATGTTGGGCATTTTTTTCATGTTTGTTGGGCCATTTGCATATCTTCTTTTGAGAACCGTCTATTCATATCCTTAGCCCACTTTTTGATGGGATTTTTTTTTCCTTACTAATTTGTTTGAGTTTGTTGTAGATCCTGGATATTAGTCCTCTGTCAGATGTGTAGAATGTGGAGAGTTTCTCCCACTCTGTGGGTTGTCTGTTTACTTTGCTGTTTCTTTTGCTATGCAAAAGCTCTTTAATTAAGTTCCAACTATTTATCTTTGTTTCTATTGTATTTGCTTTTGGATTCTTCGTCATGAAATCCTTGCTTAAGCCAACGTTTATAAGGGTTTTTCCAATGTTATCTTCTATAATTTTTATAGTTGCAGGTCTTAGATTTAAGTCCTTAATCCATCTTGAGTTGATTTTTGTATAAAGTGAGAGATGAGGATCCAGTTTCATTCTCCTACCTGTGGCTAGCCGATTATCTCAGCACCATTTGTTGAAAAGGGTGTCCTTTCTCCACTTTATGTTTTTGTTTGCTTTGTTGGAGATCAGTTGGTTGTAAGTATTTGGGTTTATTTCTGGGTTCTCTATTCTGTTCCATTGGTCTATGTGCCTATTTTTATAACAGTATCATGCTGTTTTGGTGACTATGACCTTTTAATATAGTTTGAAATCAGGTAGTGTGATGCCTTCAGATGTTCTTTTTACTTAGCCTTGCTTTGGCTATGCAGGCTTTTTTTTGGTCCCATATGAATTTTGGAATTTTTTTTTCTAACTCAGTGAAGAATTATGGTGGTATTTTGATAGAGTTTGTGTTAAATTTGTAGATTGCTTTTGACAGTACTGTCATTTTCACAATATAGATTCTACCCATCCATGAGCATGGGATATGTTTCCATTTGTTTGTGTCATCTATGATTTCTTTCAGCAGTGTTTTATAGTTTGCCTTGTTGATGTCTTTCGCCTCCTTCGTTAGGTATATTCCTAAGTATTTTATTTTTTTGCAGCTATTGTAAAAGGGGATGCATTCTTGATTTGATTCTCCGTTGAGTCGCTGTTGGTGTACAGAAGAGCTACTGATTTGTGTACATTAATCTTGTATCCAGAAAATTTGCTGAAATCTTTTGTTAGTTCTAGGAGCTTTCTGGAGGAGTCTTCAGGGTTTTCAATGTAAACAGTCATATCATCAGCAAACAGTGTCAGTTTGACTTCCTCTTTACCGATTTGGATGCCATTTATTTCTCTTGTCTGATTGCTCTGGCTAGGGACTTCCAGTGTTATGTTGAAGAGGGGTGGTGAAAGTGGGCATCCTTGTCTTGTTCCAGGTTTTGGAGGGAATGCTTCCAACTTTTCCCCAGTTAGTATTATGTTGGCTGTGGGTTTGTCATAGATGGCTTTTATTACATTGAGGTACGTCCCTTGTATGCCAATTTTGTTGAGAGTTTTAATCAGAAAGGGATGCTGGATTTTGTTGAATGCTTTTTCTGCATTTATTGAGATGATCATGTGATTTTTTTTGTTTTTAATTCTGTTTATATGCTGTATCACATTTATTGACTTACATATGTTAAACCATCCCTGCATCCCTGGTATGAAACCCACTTGATCATGGTGGATTATCTTTTTGATATGTTGTTGGACTCGGTTAGCTAGTATTTTGTTAAGGATTTTGGCATCTATGTTCATCAAAGATTTCAGTCTGTAGTTGTCTTTTTTGATTATGTCCTTTCCTGGTTTGGGTATTAGGGTGACGCTGGCTTCACAGAATGAAATTCCTTCTTTCTCTATCTTGTGGAATAGTGTCAAAAGATTTAGTACCAATTCTTCTTTGAATACGCCTGACCAATTCTATCAACACTCTGGATATGAGCGGGGAGTGTGGACACCAATGTGCATTTTAACAAGCCCTCCAGGGGATTCTGAATCATGCTGAAGATTGAGAACCACTACTCTAAATAAACCAGTTATCTTAACAGTATCTATACTAGTTGGAATCTAAGTTGAAAGAAGTATATACGTTGGAGGGGTATCGCCAGAGGATAATTCTAATAATCTTGCCCTCCCCAAGCTACTGCTCTAAACTATCATACCTCAAGCAAATCATTAACTTATCATCCTTGCCACATAAACACACAAAGAGGTTATCTGGCTTTTCCTCTGAATCCTCACCTATACAACCAAATAAATAATTTTGTTTTGGAAACGCACTGTTTAATCAGCCTTTTCCAGAAACATATCACCCAAATCCAAGAAGAAAAAGATGAGGACCAAAAGAGATTATCAACCAGATTATACATGGGAATTAGAAATTGGTGTGTGGCATTTTTGCTAACCTGGGAAGGTGTTGGAAAACAGGTTCCTAACAACGTTCTTGTGAATATTTTACATCTGACATTTCAGAAGACATATTGTCAGAATAAATCAGTGCTTTCTACTTAGATTTTGGCCTATAATGTAAACACATTATACTGCAATCCTGAGCAAGTAAGGATGCTAGAGAAAAATGTCACCTTGCACCAAAAAGGTGAAATACAAGTGTACCCTAAAGTATGTTGCTTCTTGGGCAAGTGGTGTTTCATCCACTCAAAGCTACAACCAGCAGGACCTTTCCACCTAAAATCCAGGGTGTAAAAATGTCTTATGCTTGTTCTTGGTCCAAAGAAACTTTGTGTTTTTTAAGATTCATTTAAAAAAAAAGAAAATAAAAGCAGAAGAAGAACCAGTCTCAAGTGCATAATCATAATTAATTTCCATATCACTATTTTCTGGCCATAAGAAAAAGAAAGCTTTGGAGAATCACATTTTCAAGCAGTTTCACACAATCAAAAACAACTTCATTTTCAAAGTACCCACTTGGCAGGTACATACTGTTGCTATAAAAATTAATTACATTCTGTACTAAGTTTGAAAATCATTGTTATTCTTTAGCACACATGTAGCAATTTAAAGTCCTTTGCAATTATAACTATTAGTTACAATAAAAAGGGGTGAGGAGAATCTATGGCACAGAAAGAAGATATTTGAATGTGTACATATTAATGTAATACAATGACACATAAACGTCCTCCTCACCTCATACCTCCATAATGAGCCAATAGAGAACCCATGGACAAGCTAAAACAAAGATCTCATGGCCTATGAAATAAATTGAATCTTTTTTTATTCTTAAGAATAAATAACATTTGTAGCACAAAAAATAACTAAGATAACTTACATGTAATAGACATACAAGAGGATCTGCATGTTCTTGTCAGAATATTTGGAGGTATGGGTCTGATTTTCATTGCTTGGGACCATAAAACTAGCAATAAATGTCATTTCAGAATAATGTATGTTAATGTTTTCTACACCCACATTGACTCATTGATGTTCTTTCTTCTTCCTTTGTTGGCATAACAAACCTACTAGAAAATGTCTATATTCGAGAGTAATGGTCAACTAATCTTTTTGAGTACTAGGTACCTGAACTCACATTATCTTACTTAATCCTCATATCAACACTGTGAGGTTAGTATTATTATTACCACTTGATAATAAACAAATGAACTTCAAGCAGGTTAAGTTCATGGTCACATAGCAAGTGGTAAAACCATAATGTAAACATGGATCTCATAATGCCAATCTCACTGCCTCTGAGAGGGAAACTTATCTCTCTGTGTTATTTGCATAAACACATAAACTTCATCATGGCTAATAAAGAGAAAATGTAATGTACAACCACAGAGAATATATTCTATTTTCATGCCAATTATGTGCAGAATAACATCACTACAGAGGTTTAAGGCAGTTATGTTCCTGGTTTCCAACTTAGCAGTTCCAAAAATGAAGATGGTATTACTCTACTTTCTCATTTTCATAAAGAAAAGAAGGGGGGAAATATTGAACTTAGCCACTCTGTTTGCCATTCTAATTAAATAGTTGTCACAAACCACAGCTCTGTGGCAAAGAAGGATGCTAAAGGCAGCAGCAATATAATTGTAAAAGAATTACACCACAGGCTTCTGAATGTCTTCATTCATAGCCATAGTCAAGTGTTTGCAAAATTCCACAATATACATACAGCCTATTCTCCATTATTTCTATGTTAGTTTTCCATATTTCAAGTTACTTCAGTTCTAATTTCTTCCCATTTCACTCACTAAAAACAGGAATAAAATGGGACAAAGAGAACAAATCACTTAGGATGCTTACAATGAGTTTGATTGACAAAGTCTAGAAGAAAGGCTAAAAGAGAGTTTGGATTTCTGTCAGACCAGTTTCCTAGTTTTAGACAGCAACAGGTTATTAAGAGCTTCCCCATCCCGTGAAAAAAAATAAAATAAAATAAGCATGTCATTATGGTCTCCAACCCACTTCCATCCCCCACACCCTAAATAAAAGACAAAAATATTTTAAATATTAGACTAAGGAAAGTTATTATAAACATATCATCAGTCAGAAGGTGCCCTTTGGAGGAATTTCATAACTAAGAAAAAATCAGTTTGGGTATTTTTGCTTATTTTCTTTTTAATTGTTTTGTTTTGTTTAAAATATTTTTAAAGTTTGTTTTTATTTTATATAATGTAAACTCCAAGAGCCTAGAGCCAAGGCCCTTGGTTTGTCTTGATTGTAGTTATAGCCTCAGACCTTGGCATTAGTGGCACTTAATACTTTGTGAATGAATAATAGTGATGGGGTATCATTTTACCTCCATTTGGAGTTACTACTATAAACACTACTGTGCAAAGTCCATTTCCTATGGAGGGAGATGCTGTGTGCACACTCCAAGAACCTTCAGACTTGGACAGCCTTAGAGTAAATAAGTAAGAAGTTTGTAGCTGGCCCAGAACTAACAGAACTGAAAGACTCTGCCAAACTGGCCCAAAGCCTGTCGTTGAGCAGAGGGAAAAGAAGAAGCAATAAAGAGGAAAAAGAGAAATTCCCTGCAAAGAAGGAATGAGGATGTGAGGATGGAGGAGAAATAAGGCAGAGTGTAAGGATCTCAGCTAAAGGAAAGGAGAGGCTGGGGTAGAGAAAAGCTGGGAGAAACTAAAATAAGTCGAAGCATATGATTGTCTTGGAAAGTGGAGCAAATGTGGAGAAAATAAGACATCAAAAGACCCAGATAACCATCAAAGTATGTGAGTAAAGTTGAAGCCAAAAGCTGATGTCATTCCTAATGTATGGGATAAAGATAATAGAGAGGATGTCCTTATATGGAGAGCTGAAAGTGTGTAGAGGTCAAATCACAGATACCTGCATCAATTAGGCTTCATAAATACTATTCTCTTATTTTAAAAGCCATTCCCTGCCCTTTGGGACCTTTGTTATCTACAGTCCCTTTGATAATCTATTTAACCTCAATTCCCTAGACCCTGTTCATTCCTGTTTTTTAATTTTCTGACTACTCTCTGGGCCTTTCCCAAGATTCAGTGTTAGGTCTAATACATCTCAATATCAAATACAAAAATTTCACCGCTTCTAATTCTTTCCAATTTCAACCAGCAAAAGCAAAATGCTCTAATTCATTGAGAGTCTTATTCTAATAATATTACACTGGATATAATTTTTATTGTGATCTAAAATAGGTAGGTTAGGCCAGGCATGGTGGCTCATGCCTGTAATCCCAGCATTTTGGGAGACCAAAGCAGGAGAATCACTTGAATCTAGGAGTTCAAGACCACCCTGAGCAACACAGTGAGGGCTCATCTCTATAAAAATTTTTTAAAAGTTAGCTGAGCAAGGTGGTGCACACCTGTAGGCCCAGCTACTAGAGAGGCAGTGGGGCGGGGAGAGGACTGCTTGGGCCCAGGAGTTAAAGGTTGCAGTTGGCTATGGTCACATCACTGTACTCCAGCCTGGGCAACAAAGCAAGACCCCAACATGAATGAATGAATGAATGAATGAATGAATATAATATAATAGGTAGCTTCATTTCTTAAAAAATATTTCATGCTCTTTCTCACAAACACATACATTAATAAGGCATACAAAATCTCCACTCAGCTGAGAAAGCATTCAAAAGACATATAAAGACTGGAAAATTTACTAAATAAAAAAGTCCCTATAATGTACTTCAAGGAACCTGTGGTCCCTGTGATTATAGTATTTGTGATTGTAGTTCTCTTTCTCTGTCTCATATTCACACACACATACATGAGCACACTAATATACATAGACACATACCCACACACGCACACACACAACAATTATGAAGAAAATATTATTCCCTCCCCAAAATGTGATGAAACCATATAAAATAATTTGTGACCTTCTTATCTCACAAAAGCAGAAAGAGAAAAGAATAGTACTTTCAGCAAGCCTATGCTAGCTAGTTAAAGGCTAAGAGGGAAAACCTATCAACGGTGTAACATAACAGAAGTAAATGAATATCTCGCTGCCTTCATTCCAAACAGGCACTGACCCAGAGTGATTTTCAGTAAATGTCCCTAAGCCAAGGTAAAGAGGATCTTCAGTAGGTTCCTGCAGCCACATCATTCCAAGGACACATACAGTGTCTAATTTAGATAAGTTTGGTCTACTCTCTTCCATATATATGTAGACATCAGCTCCAAGACATAGGAAAATTTTACTGATTCAGATGAGTGGAAGAATTCTCTGATTTGATGAGGCATCCAAATTAAAAATACTTTAGGCCAGGCACGGTGGCTCACACTTGTAATCCCAGCGCTTCGGAGGCCGAGGCGGGCAGATCACCTGAGGTCAGGAGTTTGAGCCCAGCCTGACCAACATGGAGAAACTCCGTCTCTACTAAAAATATAAAATTAGCCAGGCGTGGTGGTGCACGCCTGTAATCCCAGCTACTCGGGAGGCTGAGGCAGGAGAATCACTTGAACCCAGGAGACAGACGTTGTGGTGAGCCAAGATCACACCATTGCACTCCAGCCTGGGCAACAAGAGTGAAACTTTATTTCAAAAAAATAAATAAATAAATACTTGAAGTAGGGTACCACTTCAAAATGGTAAACTTAGTATATGACATAGTAACTGGGTTTATCTCTTCAACCTTCCTAGATACTTTAAAAATGACAGATTCACAAAAAAACACTTTTTACAAAAGTATAAAGCCACACCAATGAAAAGAACAGATAGAAGACCAGCATAGACAAGAGACTCCAAAAACTTTCTGGAAGAAGAAGAGCAGATAGAATAGTAGAACATGACACCATTTATGCTATTTAGAAATGTCAGTGTAAAACTCCATGCAGAGGGACATGGAGTTAAAAAAGAGAACATCTTCCCTGCAAAACTCTGAAGAAACTCACATTGGAATCTGCCAAGTACAATGGAGGCAGGAGTAAGGGACAGGCTAAAAAGGATGGATTCAAGGAAAGGGATGGATTCAAGAAAGTATAACACTACCCCATTGGGCAGAATACCCAGAAGCCAAAGCATTTACACTGCAGGGCTCTGCTCAAGAAGTATCCAGAAAAGACCAGGGCAATTAGCACAGGTGTTTGTATCTCACAGCAAAGTCTTCTGAATTCTTGAGCTTAGAGCACCCCTCAGAATTATGCCTCCTGCTTACATTAAAGCAAATATTCTTTTTTAAGTACAAATGTACAATTGAGCACCATCAGTGGTTTAAGAGAGGAAGTCAAAGACTAAAACCCATACCTTAAAGAAAAAAGCAGGCAAAAGAATTCCAAAAAAGAAATATCACTTAGAAAACTTGAAATAAAAGTTCTAATTAGTTTTTAGAGATTTAAGAAGATACTGTATCCACAAAACATGAAGAGACTGCTATGAAAAATAGAACAAGGAAAAGATTTTAGATTAGACCAATAATTACCTTAAAACCTATATGTATGAGATTATACATACAGCCAAAAAAAAGAAAAGAAAAAACCTCAATAAAACTGTTAGAAAATATTATAACAAGAATTTTCCAAAGAGCATGGGAAGAAGGGGCAAAGAGCCAGAAAACATAAGAGAATAGATAAGAGGTCCAGGAACCCCAATATCTGATTATTAGGAGTTCTACTAAGCCAGAACAAGGAAAATTGTAGAGAGAACATTATCAAAGAGAATATAATATCCCAGAACATTATCAAAGAGAATTCAAGAGTCCAAAGATAAAGGACATATTTCTTCAGATCACAAGGACACCCAGGGAAAAATAAAATAAACCAAAAAAAATTTAAAAATTCCTGTATGCAGATGAATCATTGTGAAATTTAATAACACTAAGGATGAAAATAAAAATCCAAAAGTGTTCTATCTAGAAAGGAAAAGCTACAAGAAACAGATTTTGGAATTCTCTTAAGCAAAACAGAATGGTAGAAGATAATGGGAACATGATTTCAAAGGACTGGAAGAAAATTGTCTTCAATAAAGAATTCTATATGCTTCCAAATCATCAATTGAGCATGAAAAAAATATATATAGAAAAGCTGGGGCCAAAAAAAAAAACTCCAAAAAATTTTAACCTTAATTTGTCCTTTTATACAAAGTTACTGACAGTGTGATAAGCAAAATGAGGGAATTAACTAAGAAAAAAAGAGATATATGGTCTCCAACGCAGGATGACAATGAAAGTCAATGCCAGAATGTCCACTGTGCAGTGATGTGGAAAGCAATCAGTCTCGTAAAGCAGGAGGGCAACATAGGGAAGAGAGGAGCTAACAGGAGGGGCGAATCTGCAAGGAGATATCAAGGGATTCCATAGGTGTATCAGTATCCTTGAGATATTGAAAGAGCTTAGGAATGTAGTAACAATAGGCAATTTTTAAAATGCAATCTAAAACTCCATATTTAAGAAAAACTACCCAAAAGAAAATGTACTTACAGTTCATTACACAGCTTTAGGGTAAACCATATTCATATAGTCATAATGATATAAATTCTATTCATGTATTTCTAACATTAGAACAAACTGATAGAGAAAGCACAAAATTTATAGATAAGAGACAAGAATATAAATCTAAAGGCTGGGCGTGATGGCTCACGCTTATAATCCCAGCACTTTCGGAGGCTGAGGTGGGCGGATTGCCTGAGGTCAGTAGTTCGAGAGCAGCCTGATCAACATGGAGAAACCCCGTCTCTATTAAAAATACAAAATTAGCCGGGTCGGATGGTGCATGCCTGTAATCCCAGGTACTCAGGAGGCTGAGGCAGGAGAATCACTTGAACCTGGGAGGCAGAGGTTGTGGTGAGCCGAGATCATGCCACTGCACTCCAGCCTGGGCAACAAGAGTGAAACTCTGTCTCAAAAAAAAAAAAAAAAAAAAAAAATATATATATATATATATATAAATCTAACCTATATTGACAATAAAAAGTACAAGCACCAATGACAGAAGTCTAGAAGGGAAGCAGCAAAAAGAGGGGCAGCAAAGAGTAGGGATGCTAACATTCTTTTTTTAGTTTTTCTTTTCTACTTTTTAAATTTTTTATTATTATACTTTTAAGTTCTGGGGTACATGTGCAGAACGTGCAGTTTTGTTACATAGGTATACACGTGCCATGGTGGTTTGCTGCACCCATCAAACTGTCACCTACATTAGGTATTTCTCCTAATGCTATCCCTCCCCTAACCCCCTACTCCCCAACAGGTCCCTGTGTGTGATGCTCCTACATCCTTTTTTCACAAGGTAAGAAGTCAAAAGACCCTGTCAATATTTGCTACAAAAATAGGTTTTTGTAGCAAATTATAAAAAATAGAGACATAGGTTTACTACTTAAAATTACAAATGCAATTAATAATGGATTAGAAATAATAATACAAATGTATTTGAAGGAAAAAGGTGTACAAATGAGGTAATTTTTTTTTTTTTTTTTTTTGGTGGGAGGGACGGAGTCTTGCTGTGCCGCCCAGGCTTGAGTGCAATGGCGTGATCTGGCCTCACTGCAACCTCCTGGGTTCAAGCCCCCTCCTCACTGCTCTAGATTTACAGCTCACAAAACATGACTTGGGAAAAGGCCATTCAATTGGCTTCCTCATGCAGTAAACTCCTCAGGTCTTGCTGACTGCACATTCATTTAAGTGATACACTCTTAGCAATCAATGACTATAGGACACCCACAACTCTAGCAGTAGCCTCCAGAAAAGAAGAGCACAAACACCTCTGGACCCATAATGCCTCTTTCACCCAAGTGACCCTGAAGACACTGTAGACCAAAGTGCTGTAAGTCTGAGAAAGAAGAGAGGTAGGGTACAACCTGTCCCATTGTGCACTTGCTCATATACTCATTTTCTCCCCCTTGGAGAGATTAATTACGCAATTCAGCTAAAGTGCCATCTAGGGTCCAAATGATGTGATAGCTTCAGGACCTCAAGTGATCCTAGAGTTACTCTGGAAAATTCTGTTCAGAGCTATGACAGCCACAGGATTTCCTTCTTATTGAAAAGCCCAAGCTGAACTGAGATGCTTGCAGCTCTTGGTTGATACTGTGCTACTCCTAAATTACATCAAGTTATCTAGTTCTAAGAAGTCTCATTGGTGAAGATATTTGGCTCTGCAACACAGACCTGCCTAACATTACCTGCTACAGGCATTATTTTTCTGACTGGAAGGCGACAGAGCGGGGGCAGTAGAGGAGAAGACAGCATGGTGGCTCACACGTCTCCTTTCTGGATGGGCCTAATGGATCCATAAAGACATATATAAAAAGAATTATGCCAATATGTTATTAATATCATGAAAAAAGACAAAATAAGAAAAGGTAGTAAAATGGAAATAAAAATATCTTATCAGGATGTCATAAGGATTAAGCAAGCAAACACATGTGGAAGTGTCTTGCTCAGCTGTTCAATAGATGTTAGTTTTCCTCTCTTTCCCTTTGCCCTGTAATCATGTGCATAAATCCCTCTGAACTCAAGATCCTTACGAAACAGTAAACTACATTTGCCATGGTGCGATCCCATATACTCACCATTTGTAATTTTCTAGTCTAAGAAAATGAGTTCAGAGAACTGAGAGGTTGCAGTTCTAATTCATATCCTGAGGTGGGGGTTGAAATCTTGAGCTGACTTAAGAAATAAGGAGTGAGACCTAAATGTAGTTGTTATTCATCATACAGAGGGTATGTGATGACTTTAGGCAAACCAATACAAGAGCTTCTAGGAAAAATGTTAGATGTCTCACTTACTGCATAGGTCATTAGTAATTATTTACTTAAGAAATCAATGCAGTAAGTACCTCGCTTACTTATGTATATACATCACGGATATAGAAAGTTCTTTAATGGTAATTTCTAATGTTCTCTTGAGGAAAGTATGGTCTTAGCTCATTCTAGTATCTGTCATTCTGATTTGAAGGCAATATATACTTTCCTATATTTACTACTAAAGCAGTGTGGAGAATGAATTCGGTAGGAAAAAAAGAGCAAGTGGTAAAATATATGAATCACCATGCAAAAAAAGCTGTGGGAATGCTTCACTGGGCCTAGTTATACTAGTTAAAGATTGCTTAAGCCAGTGGGCAAAGGTGCATTTAAAAAAATCCATTTTCTGCTGAACCAAGGTAAAGAGAAAAGCAAAGAATGAGAAAGAAATTCATATCAGAATCAGTATCAAAACTTTGGCTTCAGAAATTCCCCCAGTACAGCACTACTAGAACTTTCCCACAGTTGTACATTATCTCTGGACCAGGAACACAACACAGTGGAACAATGAGTTTAGATACCCCACAAGGTGGGTTCTCTGGAGACTGGGTATGTTGTAGATGTGGCTCATAGAATCACAGAGTTAAAGGGCAACTGGAACTCATCTAACCAACTTCTCATCCAAGCAGTTTCCCTCCTATAACATTATACATAGCCAGTCTCCTAATATCCATTTACATACTTTGAGTGACAGGAAGCCTGCCACTTAATGAAGTGATCCATTTCATTTTAATAAAGCTCATTTTTATGTGGTAAACTGTTTCAATATCCCAGGTAAGCAGTAGCATTTGCACAGACCAAGAAAAAGCGTGAGGATTGTGTTCAGAGTGCCAACCCAAGTACACAGATGCTCAGAAAAAGCTAGTTTTCACTTAAATATGTATAGCTTCTATTAGTCACCTTAGAAATAATGTATGTCTTCATATGTTCCCAGGCTTAGCTTAGAATGTTCATGACAAGGCCCTCATTGGTCCCTGCAGTCCTCATCCCTCCCAATAAAACTAGTGTACAAAGGTCCTTTGAAGAAAAAACCCTGCTTCCTCATATAAGAGGACTATATCCTCACCAACAGGCCTTCGCCAGCCTGAAACTGGGAAAACTAAAACTTCGATCACATCATTGATTTTTTTTTTTTGGAAAATCAATGAACTATAAAAATTACATTCACTCCTTAACCAAAAACATCAGGAGTCTCAATAAAATATCTTCTTCACTAAAATGATCACCCAAAGTCTACTTTCCTCTAAATATTTGTATTGAGGGAGCTCTCATGAACTAACTAAGCTGCCTTTTCTCCAGTTCCTTTAATCAACACTCCTATGGCCATGTCTAGATCTCTCACTACCTAACGACCTCCTCGACGGTCTCTACGTTCTCATTCTCCTCCTTCAGATGTGAACCACTCTCTCTACAAGCACTTCTCACTTTGTTCAGGATAAGCTCCACTTTATCCAGTAAACTAGTCCAGTTATCATAAACATCACTTGTTCCTTGGTTAAAAACAAACAAACAAACAAAAACAGTCTAGTGAGCCAAGATCACACCACCTCACTCCAGCCTGGGTGACACAGCGAGACGTGTCTCCAAAAAAAAAGGTCTAACTGGTAGCTCTCTAAGATAGGGACTGTGTCTGCCTTAATCATTGTAAATTCCCAGCACCTAGCTGAGTAGTGAGCAAAGAATAGTACTCAAAAATATTTAAATGAATGAATGAATTGATGATCTGAATGAATTAGTATACTCCCCAAAACTCTACCCCTATAACTGGGTATGATAAAATTATCGCCACTAAAGGGAGAAGGAATCTTCCCAATCTGAGGTTACGATAATCACTGTTACTGAAGACAACAGTCACAGCTCTCTTGGTCATTATTATAATAATAACAAATATAACCTGAGCCACTATCTGGGTAAGAGGAAGTGCCACTTTCTTACAGGCTCTAGACACTTCCCTAGAAACTCAGACAAAAATTATTCAAAGGTGCTCTCAGGAAAATGGAGAAATAATTCAACCTTGAAACCTACAGCAATTCCCAAAATCAAGACCCTAGCTTAAATGTGTGCTAGAAGAATCGATTTTTAAAGCAAGACATTTACAGATGGAAAAGCTTGTCATTATAGTTGAATTGATCCTGTTCTTCATCCTCGAAAAGGATGCTGAATCTCTGCTACATTCACCTAGTAAGACTGCACTTCGATTTGTAACCATGGTTACTGCTTGCATCACAGTGAATGGCTCTTTCTGAGGCAAAAGCTGATCACAGCCCATAATAGTAAGTGTGCTCCAGCTGTTTCCTGGGATTGATAAGAATGGGTCTCAGAAAACAGAACCATTGCAGAAAATTACACTTCAGAATGCCGACTTGTTGTCCTTCATTGAGAAACACCAGGCATTTCATTTTCTGACTTGAAACAGTAAAATACTGACTCATCAGTGTCTACACTTCTTATGAGCAGACAAGAGCAGCATCTGTGGCTGGAAGTAAGGAAACCTGAGAGTAGAGAGAACAAGAAGCAGAGGGAGGAATAGCAAGGAAATGTGCCATCTGGAGTCTAAACCCCCAAGTTCAAACCCTGTTCCCCCCAACTAACTGAGTGACCTCAAACACTCCGTGTCAGATAGGCTAGATTACAGTAGAACAATCTTTGATTCTCATGGCTTAAAACACCAGTGATTTATTTCTTACTCATGATAATAACCATTGTGGATTGGCTGGGGGTTGGTTCTGCATTTATGTCCTCAGGCCAGGACCCAGATGCATGGAGCAGCCATTCTCTTTAAAGCTTTCCTGGGAAATGACCTCTATTACTCCTGCTCACATTTCCTTGGCCAAAGAAAGTCATGAGCTCACACCTAACTTCAAGTGGGTTGAAGACGTAGGGTCCTCATACCTGCCCAGAAAGAGACAGACCTGGAATATTGGTGAATAGCCCTAATGACTACCATAAATACTTAACTTCACTGAGCCTCAGTTCCTTCATCTGTAATAAGGAGTGAGTGATGCTTACTTCAGAGAAATGTTTTGTGGGAACTGGTGTAATAAATGATAGCTGGAGTAGTCATAGTTGCCCTGTTTGTGATATCTCAGTCATGGATAGAATGATCTAGACAGTAAGAAACGAAGGCCCTAACCAAAGAATCTAATTCTCAAATTCTACTACTATCAGCAGCCACAGAAAAGCAGCAGAGCTTCCCTCATGTCACTGTGTCTGGTCAGTTTTTTGGGCGATATGAAGACTAAAATCTGATCAATTTAGAAAAATCATTCCTGCTCTAGGTTTACGTTACCTCATCTTTTCTCTCCCTTTCAGGTTAAGTGTCCATTTAGTCAACAAATATTTATGAAGTGTCTGTGTATCAGGCCCTATGTTAGACCCTGGATGAGGAACAAATCAGTTTCTTCAAAAAAGCCCCAATCTATGCAAGAGGAATCACAATTTGTGGCCCAGTAACAGCTCCACATATCACCATCACCACCACCAGAAAAAAAAAACTAATTCATACAAATAAAGAAATCTAGATGAATTTGAGAAATTCGTCATCGTTCCCTCCAAACTCTGTTTTGTCCAATAGTCAAAAACAAAAATGGAACCACCTTATTGTTCAGAATGTTTGTCTAAGCGTGTGACATTATGTTTGGCACCAAGAATACAAAACTGAATGGGTTCTGCTCAAGCTCTTTAGATACTTTGCCAATGATGAAGGAAACATATTTGTATTATTGTATAATGATAAGTCAATGGGGGAAGGGGGTTGGGGTTATGAGAGCACAAATAAGGGAGAGTTATTTGTGCAGTGCGATGGGAGGAGGAGGAGATGATGAGAGTTATGAAAAAAGTCTCCTGCGGGACATAAGAGCTTTAGGGATAGGTTAAATTTAGTCACATCAAGAGGGGGCAATTGGAACAGCATGAATAAGTGATAGAGAGATTGCAAGGCATGGGATCTAAGTATATAGAAATCTAAATTACAAGAGCTTGTAGTACAAGAGTGGGAATGGCAAGAGATGATTAGGGCGTTAGGCAGAGACCAAGTTCAAAAGCATTCCACAGGCTAGAGAACTCAGGCTTGACATTATAAGTATTAGCCAGGCTAGGGAACATGAACCTGAGTTTAAAAATGATAGAGAGTCATCACTAAAGGTTTTTGAGCAGAGGGAGTGATGTGTGGCGTTCATAACGTAGATCCTTCTGGCAGTTGTGAAAGATGGATTTTAAGAAGTCAGAGTGAAGGCGTGGAAAACAAGAGGATATTCAAGTGGTCCCACAAGAGATGATGATAAAAACCTGAATTAGAGCAGTTGTAATAGTCAAGGAAGGGTGGGAATAAATCAGAAGTAAAATGGCAGAAGAGTATGGTTACTGAAGGGTACAGAGGGTGAAGGGCAAGAAGAAGTCTAAGATGACAGGGACTTTTTGGCCTGACAAGGGGATGAATGAGGATCTATTGAGGTGGAGGATGCATTAAGAGGAGTAGAAATGAGATCTGAATTACCAGGACAAGTCTAAACACAATAAATATTCAGCTTACCATGGAAAGAAAAGCCTCGTTTCTGAAGATTTTGCCAGCAATTTTCATCAAAGTAAAATTCGACAGTTTGCTGCCAAAAAGAAATTTCATTATTAACTTTGAAATTGATATCTGTAGCTGGAATACTGCATTTGCTTTTCCTTCTGTCTCTCTCACTCACATGTGCACAGACAAACGAATTCAAGTATTTAGCGCTTGAGCTGTCTCCAATCATTAAATCCAGACATTGTTTGGTCTAATAAGAGTGCTTTACTGTATATTTGCATGAAAGACTGTCTATCAGTTTCAAATTAATGTAGTATACTTCAGAAGTCTCCTGTAAAACCACAGTCTCACCAGTTCTTCAGTAGACCTTGAACTGGCAACCCTCCCTCATTATGTGAAAAGCCCTCATCCTCCATTGTAAGAGTATGCAGGAGATTTTCTGCACAGTGGCCTTCCATAACTTCACATTGCTCTCAGCCTTGCCAAGAAGAGCACACTCCAAAGTCAAGTTATAATTCCTTTTGTGACTGGGTGGTAGTCATTAGTGCTGCCCACCAAATATTTCTGAATCTCCACCTTCAGGGCACATGGTAGCATAATCATTCTTCAAAGTGAGATGTGGACACATGGTATGATTTGGCTGTGTCCCCACCCAAATCTCAACTTGAATTGTATCTCCCAGAATTCCCATGTGTTGTGGGAGGTACCCAGGGGGAGGTAATTGAATCATGGGGACTGGTCTCTCCTGTGCTATTCTCCTGATACTGAATAAGTCTTACGAGATCTGATGGGTTTATCAGGGGTTTCTGCTTTTGCTTATTCCTCATTTTCTCTTACCATATAAGAAGTGCCTTTCACCTCCCGCCATGATTCTGAGGCGTTCCCAGCCACATGAAACTGTAAGTCTAATTAAACCTCTTCTTCTTCCCAGTTTTGGGTATGTCTTTATCAGCACCATGAAAATGGACTAATACAATACATGACTCACTATGTCAAATGAAATATACACAAACATGATGTATTATTTCTGTGCAGAACTTTACGAGGCAGCTTGTGAGTCACCATGACCCTTGCTTACTGCTACGGTGACTGTGGAAACACAGATGAGAGAAGGCTTCTATTAGCCTGATCCTAACTAACAATGATGAGCAGAGACCCCTGAAGATCCACATTACACATATAGTAGCATGAGTAAGAAAGAAACTTCTGTGTTGTTAGGCCACACAGATGTTTGGGGCTAGCTCACACTATAGCAAAATCTAGCCCATTCTTCATGACTTGTCATGAAACCAGCAAAGACAGAAAGTCAGGAAGACCTGCTCTTCCTCTCACCCCAACAAAACCATTCCTACTCCACTATCCCTCATCAATGTTCTCTGGGAGAACAAAGAGGAATCACAGTCACAAACACATAGTAGATATCATTTCTCAATGACTCTTAACCTTCCCTTTCAATACTTTCAATTATTACCACCACACTTCATTTATTTCCTGATTTGAACCATCTGGTTCTATTGTTCATTCATTCATTCAGCATATATTGATTTACTGCTATGTATAAGGCATTCTGCCAGACACAAAGAAGTAGCAGTTATCAAACTTTTTGGTCTCAGAACACCTTTACACAATTAAATATTAAGAGGGTCTGTTTATTTGGGTCATATCTATCAATACGTGTTACATTAGGAATTAAAACTAAAAATTTTTAAATATTTATTCATTAATTCACTTTAACAATAAACCATTGCGTGTTAACATAAGTCGTATATCTTATGAAAAACAACTATACTTTCAGAAACAAAAAATTTCATAAAAAGAAAGGCACTGTTTCACATTTTTACAAATCTCTTTAATATACAACCAAATGAGGCCAGGTGAGGTGCTCACGCCTGTAATCCCAGGACTTTGGGAGGCTGAGGCAGGTGGATAACTTGACACCAGGAGTTCGAGACCAGCCTCGGCAACATGGCAAAACCCCGTCTCTACTAAAAACACAAAAATTAGCTGGGCATGGTGGCGCACATATGTAGTCCCAGCTACTTGGGAGACTGAGGCAGGAGAATCGCTTGAACCCAAGAAGTGGAGGTTGCAGTGAGACAGATCGCACCACTGCACTCCAGCCTGGGTGACAGAGTAAGTGAGACTCCAACTCAAAAATAAATAATAAAATACATTTAAATATATGTATATATATTTTAAACATATATATATTTTAAATATATATATATATATGATTAAATGACACACAATTGGATTTTCTTGTCTGCTTCTGTGTTCAACCTGTTAAAATATATTTTAGGAGGCCAGATGCAGTGGCTTATGCCTGTAATCCCAGCACTATGGGAGGCTGAGGCGGGTGGATCACGAGGTCAGGAGATCAAGACCATCCTGGCTAACACAGTGAAACCCCGTCTCTACTAAAAATAACAAAAAAATTAGCCAGGCATGGTGGCGGGTGCCCGTAGTCCCAGCTACTTGGGAGGCTGAGGCAGGAGAATGGCGTGAACCCGAGAGGCAGAGCTTGCAGTGAGCCGATATCGCGCCACTGCACTCCAGCCTGGGTGACAGAGCGAGACTCCGTCTCAAAAAATATATATACACACATATATATGTGTGTGTGTGTGTGTGTGTGTGTGTGTGTGTGTGTATATATACAGGTATATATGTGTATGTATATATATATACACAAACGTATATATATATACACACGTATATATGTATATATATACGTGTATATGTATATATATATACGTGTATATATGTATATATATGTAGTTTTGGTTGAATTACATGATGAAAATCCTAGGACCTTTCAATCCCTTTGAAAGGGTCTCAGGGACACTTAGGGCTCTTCAGTTCCTACTTTGAGAATCAGGACTACAGTATAAGGGTCAGAAAATGTTTTAATGACAGGTAGTAAATATTTCAGGTTTTGTAGGCTACATGATCTCCGCCACTACTCCGTCATTGTAGCATGAAAGCAGCTATATAGACAACAATATAAACTAATGAGCATGGCTTTATTCCAACAAAACTTTATTTACAAAACCAGGTGGCAAGCTGGATTTTGTACATAGGCCACAGTTTGTCAATCCCTGCAATAAAGGATACCTAAATGAATCAGACACATTCCTGCCCTTAAGAAATTGATAGCTAGTAAAGGGAATAAGACATGTACTCATACATTATAGTGCAAAGTAGAATGAGATAAATGTCATGTGAGGAGTCTCAGAAAAGGATCAGAGTTCAAGGTCAGTAAAGAGCACCTCAAGTTAAGAAGCCTTCAAGGAGAATGTGGGCCTTGAAGGATGGTCAAGATTTTAACAGAAAGTTTCAGGAGGAAGAAGAATATTCCAAGTGGAAAAATCATTCAGGATAAAGGCACTAAGCGTCCAGCAAATTCTAGTAATGGGAAGTGACTGCTGAAATGTAGTATAGATAAAGGCAAATACAGAAAGATGTGTGAAATACTACTTAATCAACTTTAGTTCACTATGGGTTAGGCCTTGAATGCCAGACTCAAGCATTTGGAGGTTGCCTGAGATCCTCTCAGGTACCACTGAACACTTCCACATGAGGAGGTAACTTATCAGCCAGGTATGATAAGGTCAACTGGAACAAAGTGTAAGATGCGTTTCCATATGCCCAACTATAACCACTGACCCCAGAAAACAAGCTACTGGATCAGACTAAGCAAAAGGAAATAAGGACATGAACAAAAGCAAGGAAAGTCAGACTGGAAAGGAGACTGAGGCAAGCAACAATATGGAGGTAACATTTAACAGGTTTAGTGGTATACTGGAGGTATAATCAAAGTTGCATTAATCAAAGTTGACGCTAAGGTTCCAAGTCCGAAAGAAGGGAGAAAGATGGTAAGGATCAGGAAGGTTTGGAAAACAGACAGCTTTGGTGATGAGCAGGAGAGTCTGATTATAAATATATCACACATATCACCATTTTGTCAAGCACAAGTCTGAATCCTCACAAATCCCAAAATCTTATTAGGAAAAAAAAAAAACTGTTTTACAATTTTAGCAGACTGCCAACGTTTTTCCAAATATGTGCCTCTTGAAATCTCCTCCAAGTCCCCAGTATTCTGAAATATAACAGAATTTCTACGTTTTTATTCTCTCATCTTGATTTTCTCTATTTATAGTTGTCTAAAGTCAGCATAATATATTTTAGTCCATTGTAAATGTAATATTAGATATCAAGGAAATAATTTATGATATGTTTTTCATAAATTCAGGATAAACAGTAACTAATTCCTTTATTAAAAAGTGGTTAGAACTGCCTGTATCTTAAGAATGTTGTAACTCATTCTTGCATACCACATACAATTTCTGAATGTCTTACGTTAACTAAAAAGTCTGAACATAGACATCAGGTTGCTGAAAGATTTTATTTCTTACAATCTTTTGAAAATTGTGACTATGAAAAGCTACAGTGAAGGAATTTTTAAAGTTGTACTTGGAATTGCTTTAGATTTTAAAGGCCAAAAATATACGTGGAAATGGTACAATAAGTGACCCAAATAATATTTCCATTCAAAAACAAGTCTGCATCTGAAAAAAACAGAGGGATGGAAAGTGAGATGCTTGGAATCAAGATAAGAATGCTCAAAATTCACTGGGCAATAAAGAGAGTTGTGATGTGGTGGTTGTTCTCCACCTCAAAAGAAAGTTTAGGAGAAAAAAACACCAAGCTAAGAGTGTGATAACAAAGCAGGAATCTAGAAGAGTCTTGGCCCATGATGGGTAACCTAAAAATCTGCTAGTGAAACATATCTTCAAAGATGGTCACAACACGTATGATGGGAGCAGAAATCTTAACTGTCATGCTTCTGTAAACCCAGCACCTGTGCCCATGAATGGTTTCCTATGATCTTCCTGGTTGCTACCTCCTGAGGCATCCTGGACTCCTTTCTCTTCCTCCCCTAACATTCAGTCAGTTATTGAGTCTAGACAACACCATTCCTATAACATTTCTTGCATTATCCCCTCCTTTCCACTTCCACAGTCGCAATCCTAGCTTAAATCCTTTTTCCAGCACTGGTCTACTGAAATCATCTCCTAACTGATTCCCACTCAAAGAATGACTGACAGGTTAATTTCCCTAACATAAAGTTCTAACCATGCTATCTCCGTACTAAAAACTTTCATAGACCTTCCACAAAATGGCCCAATTATTTTGCCACTCTAGCTCCACACATCTTCTTCCCATGCCCTTTCTGCTAATTTAATGTATCAACTCACTCTACCTCATACAAACTCTTATTTATACTTTCTCAACAACATGGTTGCTTTTTTACTTTTCTCTAGCCTAGCATGATCTTTCAATGTCTCACCCTGCTCTTACTACAATCTCTATTTACGGAAATATATAAGGTCCATTGAAAAGTCTGTCTCTCCCAAGAATTCTTTTCCCAATTCTCTGTTTATACCCCACCATTCATTCTTCTAATTAGTATTTGCAGAGAGTATAATAAATGCTACTGTTGTACACACTGTAGACAAACCAGTCTGCCCCCTACCCTCCTGGTGGCACTTACCATAGCTTCTCTCAAATGATTGTTATTTGTGAGTTTCCCTTATCTCCTTCCCTCTGATTGGACCATATAACTAGAAGAGTGGAAGCTTGGTGAACAGCTGTTGAATTGAACTTGTTAAAGTGAATTCTCTGGGTTCACCATTTTCCTAAAGAAGTAAAACTTTATGAAGACCCTAGAGCCAGAGAAAAATTATGTAATTTTAATTTAGTCAGTAAACTCTCCAAAAGTTAAAAGATTTTGAATTGTTTAATTCCAGAAATGCTCAAAGAAAAATTTTTAAAAGCAAAAAAATGTCCACTTACAATTCAGTTATTTAAATTCTAATGTTAACTGTGTAGCCTGATTGTAGGATGAAACAAGAATCTACAGTTATACCACTGTGGTTTCATTAAATAAAAAAAAAAAACAAAGAAAACAGTATTACAACTACTAATACTTGGGATGATAATAATAACATTAAACACTGGGTAAGTACTTGCAAAGCAAAACACTGAACTGGACCAGGTCCCTGCCCAGTAGATGGACAAACTAGACAGGTAAAATACAAAGCAAGGTGAAGGCAGATGCCAGGAATGTGCATAAGATGACAGAAAAAAACTCTGAACCTCCTTTTCTTCTTTGAAGTTCAGACCTGAGAGTCTGAAGCAGCTGATTTCGACTGCCAGTAAATGCAAAAGGACACAAGTGTTTTCTAAGGGCTCAGATGATGCTGGCTGCTAGATGTCAAACTGAATTCACAGATAAGCGCTAAGAGTGAAAAGCCATTCTGGATCTAGCAAGATAGGGTATGTTCTTATGCTCTAATAATGGCAAGGCATTTAGGTGGGTATTAACTTGTCCTGAAAAGTAGCTTCTCTTTGTTTTCCCCAGCCCAGGCTGGTTTCAGGCCTGCCGGTGAGATCTGTAAGAGGAAATCATTTTTGGTTTTGTTCCAAATTCTAATTCAATACCTTGGCAGCATTTGAAATGGATAAGAGCTCTAGGCTCACATCTGCCTCAGGTGACAATGAAGATAAGAAGCACACAATGTAAAAATGATGAGAGCTTACTCCTTAAAAGGAACTTTAAATGAAGCTTTTAAAGGTAGTTAGTAACTTCTAGTTACATTAGGCCTGAAAATATCTTGCTAAAATCTTTAAAGATAAACTTTAAAAAACCTTGTTACAAATTTGTTTTTAGCTAATATTCTGGCAGTTTTTTAAGTCCATGTTAACAATTAGAATAAATTGATAATCAAATTCATCAGACCAGGATATGCAGAAATATGGTGAAATAGTTTTTACAAGTAAACCATATTCACTTTTGGTTAACGGTTTCTGGTGACCAAGATGGGCCCTAGTGAAAACTGGGCTGTTGGTTGCTTTTAATGAAATGATGGAGTATCAAGGGTCAACAAATGTGTATTGTACAACACCCTTGTTTCAAGTACCTGCACCAGAGGAGACACAAAAGCATGAGATACAGACCCTAGAGAAGGCTTTTTTTTATGTAGATAGTTGAAATGAAAAAATAAAGACAATGAAACATCAGAGAACAACGTAAGACAATATATGGTAAATCTTCCATTGTGAGGCACAGAAAATAGGAGTTATGGAATTTTAAGACTTGAAAAGATCTGTGTTTATAAGAACTATTTTACAAAGGAGATGGAACTTCATTCAGGTCCTACTGAATAGTTTTGGATAGGTATACTGGAAAAGGCATTCCTGGGCCATGTGTGGTGGCTTACATCTGTAATCCCAGAGCTTTGGGAGGCCGAGGCGGGTGGATCACCTGAGGTCAGGAGTTCGAAACCAGCCTGGCCAACATGGCGAAAACCCGTCTCTACTAAAAATACAAAAATTAGCTGGGAGTGGTGGTGGGCGCCTGTAATCCCAGCCACTTGGGAGGCTGAGGCAGGAGAATTGCTTGAACTCAGGAGGCAGAGGTTGCAGTAAGCCGAGATCAAGCCACTGCACTCTAGCCTGGGAAACAGAGCAAGACTGTACCAAAAAAAAAAAAAAAAAAGGCATTCCTGGAAGGGTAGAGTTTATCAACAAAAACATGGAGGTAGGATTTTCCATGATATAGGACAAAAGAAAAGAGACAAGCTGATTAGAGTTTATATTGAGAAGAGACAAAAGTGAGGTTGAATAGGTAGGTAAAACCAGCAGTATTTAACACTACTTTGCACACCTTAGTTATTCACTAGGTGTCTATTTCATTTACTGAATGGATACAGTAAGTATTAGAAGCCCTAGGGAAGGTGATTATACATCAAAGCTGATTATTTAGGGAGAGATTACATCACATAAAGAGACAATGAGAAGAATCCTCCCTCATTACTAAAATGTGTTTCTCAGAAGGATTGGTCCAGGGTTTGGTCTCAAGTTGATTTCCAAATAGCTGCCATATTTCCATATCATCCGCAAACTGAACACTTTGGTCAATTTCCTTGACACTTTATCGACAAAAATACTTCAATGTCTGGATGTCTGACATGGAATAAATGAAACTTAAAAAAATAAAAACAGCTAGAATTTCTTGAGCAATTTCTATAAGAACTTTGCTATCAGCAGTAATGCTGGATTAACTGAGTGCTGAGCACTACACTAGATACTTTAGATATTTCTAATTTAATTCTCACAACAATCCTATGTTGGTAAGATTAACTCAGTTTTATAGTTGGTTGAAACACCCAGGTTTACGGTAAAAGAGTAATTTGCCCAAAGTCAGGAAGCCAGGAGTGGTAGATCCAGGATTCAGACCCATTCCTGCCTGACTTTATACTCCAAGGCCCAAACTTTTTACCTGAAATTTTTTTCCCCAAGAGGCATCATTAAGTAGTAAAAGAATTTATTAGAAGAAATGCTTGATTCTTGCAGAGAGAATCATGTGAGTGTTAGAGCTTCATTGTGGGATTAGCAGATCTTTTGGGCAATCTGACCATGTAAGTTTCCTATACTTTAACTTCAGTAAGGCATCACCCATAAAATTATAGTTGAAACTACCATATGATGAAGCTCAAGTCCTGCCCTACACACTTATGACCTGTGTGATCTAGGCAAGTTACTTAACCTTTCTAATTTCTTCATCTGTCAAATGTGGGTAATAACAATAGCCACTTCACAAGATTCTTCAGAAAATTAAATAGCATAACATAAAGTATTTAGTATTTGTAACTTTTATTATTCAAGGAAAATTATTAAGTTTCTATTTTATGGATATATCAAACTCATACTTTTCCTTTAAGATTTAGCTCAGAAAACACCTGCTCTAAAAGCCCTTTCTATTACTGCCACTCCCAGACCAAGGGTATGTTCTCACAATCGTGTGTGTGTGTATGTATTTTCATTCATTTCACTTATCATTTTATACAATTGTTATCTATTTATGTCCTGTCTCCTTCATTAGAAAGGAAACCCCCCAAGGACAGGGAATCACCTTATTCATCTCTTAATACTCTACTTTAAAAAAATTATATCACATATACTCAGTTTAGAAACCTGTGGGAAAGTGCATGTAGCTTCCTGTGCATGTTCTCTTTTGGTTTTAGGTACATAAATCTTGTCACTTTACCAAGCTCTAAATTTTTAAAAAGTAAAGATTCTATCTTATTCCCCTTTTTTGTTGTCCATAGCCCATTCTGTCTTTCTGGCATATAGTAGGTATTTGAGGTATTTAACATTATTAACTTAGTAAGCTCTTCCTCTTACTTAGCACTTGAATGCTTTCAAACCACCTTCAGAGACCTCATCTCCAGTGACCTTCCTCCCAGTCCTCTGAAGTAAGAAGGTTCAGCATCACCATGAGGAAACTGAGGTTCAGAGAAGTGTCCCATGGAGGGAGGGCTGCCAGTGCCAGCCCCACCCCTTAGTCTCACAATCCTTCCACTGCCTTACAATGTCCTCAACTTGGATTCAGGACAGCAGATCACCCAGGAAGTTCTTCATTACTGTACTCTTTGACAGTAGAAGAAATAAGTCAGCAATTACGACTTTAGGAATATTTACATCTTACACTTTCAGGCATTCTTGAGGTTTCCCTCCACTCAGTAACCATGAGCCCGATCTTCCTGCCCTCCCTCTCCCGACCACCGCCACCTTCCTTGCCCTTTCCCCAGCCATTGACTTACTTAGCCATCCCACGCTGGGAGTGCGCCGCACTCGGGGGTCATCATCCAAGGTGCGGGTTGCTAGGCAGGGCACTGAGTTCTCAAGCGGGCTGCGCACTTTAGTGTCAGAAGCAGAAGACAGGAGGAGGAGGAGGACACATGAGCAGCCACAGCAAGGATGAGGATGGAAGCATTAATTAAGAAGAAAAAAATGCTAAAGCAAATCACACAAGCGGGTTAAAGGAGAACAATGACACATTACAAAGACACACACTCCCTCCCATGCCCTGCACCCTTAGATGAAATGAATCCCCACAAAGAATGAAAAAGTCTAAAAAAATTACATTCAATCATTATAGTTCCCCAAATACCAATGGATGATCCACCCTGCAGTTCTAATACACAAAACATAAATTATATTCAGAAGAAGAAAGATTTACATAATAAACACTAATCTCAGGATGTAAGATCAAGATTGTTAATAATTATGAACCACATAAGCACACACAGAGCGAAGTTACACACAGCTTTGTAAAGCACAGGGGGCAGGGTGTCGTATTAGTAAGCAGCTTTCTTATGACCTACTCAATAGATAGGTCTATGGATCTTATGCACAAATGGAGAAAGCAACATTTCATACTTTCACTTCTGAAATATTTTCCTTGATGAATATAGAGCTGGATCTCAATTTCCTCTGTTTTTCAGCCCTTCAGAAACATAAGACTGGGGTAGGGATAAATTAATACCTTAATATAAGCCAATTTAAGGATGTATGTTAGTCCTCATTTTCTGGTGCCCTTTAATACTCACTTTTAATTTTAACATTTTAACCTTTGGTGCACCTATGCCAAATCTTAGACCACAGCAAAGATTAAATAATGTTGCAGGCTACATATACAGTATGGTTTCTCCAGATACATTTTATCACCTGGAGGAAACAACACCATCAACTTCTTCCTGAAGATAGTTTCATTTGGGCTCCATGTCATTTATTTTGCTATTCCTATTAAATGTCATGCTCCAAGGCTAGTAAAATAGAGACGGCATAATTATCCTTTAAGGAATCACAACGAGGTTGGAAATATCTAGCCATCAGACTACATGCAATTTGACTTAATAAAGATCATCATTAAATGATCAAGGCAGTAAACAAGGCATATCCAACCAACAGCAAATATGAGATAATCTATTCACATAAGTATGCAAACAACAGGGGAGACAAATGGTCTTTTTAAGGCTACTGATGACTTGGGAGGTCAAGGTTTAAAGTGAATCATTTACAAATTAATATAAGTTTATAGCCAAATTTGGGCATTCGGCACATTATAAAATCGAGAAACATTTTTGTCAATTTATCTGTCTGTGTTTAAAAGCTGTAAATAAAGCCAGGACTTGTGAGCAGGCCATCTGTGCCAGCACCTGTTTGAGGCAAATCTGATGTCTTCTCTTTGCAATCTGAATTTTTAATTGTTTCCCATAATTGAAGTTCTTTGCAACTTTTTATTGCACTAAGAAAAATGAAAAAGAGAAATGAATGGGTTGAGATTGTTCCCAAATTGCTTTTGTTAAGAGGGAGACATTTAGAAATGTATATTATCATACTGGCCAAGTTTTGCCTCCTATTTCTTTTGACAACTAAGTGATCTGCTTAAAGAGCCAATATTCCTGCAGGCTTAGCTAAATTAAATGAATTAGGCTAAACAACTGGCAAACATTTATCTAGGCCCAAGCAAGGACCCAGTGAAATGCCAGATCAGTGAGAACTGACAGAAGCTGATAATACAAAGGAAACTTCTTCAAAAGAAGACATGTCCTTTAGCTTCCAATTTCTTTAGAATGAGAATTCATATTCCTTTAGCTTCTAATGTGTATGTAGGTACCCAAATTTTATCACTGATACCATGGCTTGCTTCTAACGTGAGTAGAGGAAGTCAGCAGCTTCTCCAAAACTCATGCTGATAACTAACGTTCCCCAGCAGCTTCTCTCTCCTCTACTCCCCTCAACCTGTCAGTGTATTGTTGGGAACTAAAGCTGGAAATTTCTTTTTGCGTATACAGCCTCCATTGAGGCAGAGCCTCACCATCAAGGGGACAGTGGAATGAAGCCTGGCACTCGCCAGCAAAGAACCTGGCTCCAAAGACAGGCATGAAAATGGAACTGCCCAGAGAGACTCGGCACCTGTGTTTTAGCAAAGCCTGACTGGAGCCATCTGGCAGCTTACCCTCATGAAAGCTGAGACTTGCACAGCATCCATTACTTACATTGGCAAATGTCTACATTTTGATTTGTTGGACCCTCTGTGTACTTCTGTGCAGGAGGAGATATAAACTCTGTAACCCTTTCATGTTGCTTTTTTTCACTTCACAAATTTAACTCCAAATATCAAATTTTGAGAAGTCGTTCCCAAAGCTAGAGCAGAACTTTCTGTAATTATACCATGGTAATGATATATTATGTATGCCTTGTCTACACAATGCTTTCACCATACCTCTTTTACACTTGAGCTACAAAATAAACAGCTTAGCCTTGCTATTATCTTACATATTCTCTTTACATCACTTTTGCCTGACTTCAGGTATAAACAAGGTAGAAATTGGTTTATATTACCACAATCTGATGAGGAAAGATATAGCTCCGAAGGCTTTTGAGTGATGGTATCCAATATTTAGACTGTAGAAAAAGATGTTGTGAGGAATATTGTTTTACATGACCCACATTCCCCTTGAGAATCAACTTGTCCAAAACCATCAATCCTAAATCTGTTCATGTGAAGGTGTCTCTTTTTGAATCAAGCAAATAGATACACACACACACACACACACACACACACACACACACACACAATATCTCCAGAAAAAATGCTTTTTTTAAAACAATCCTATTAAGAAGAAAATAAATTTTATTCATGGTGAAGTTTTAGGACTCTTTTGGGATTGCAACATCATATGTTCAAATAGTCATTGAATGCTTCCTATGCACTCGGCACTGCTATTTAGACAAGAAATTTAACCCAAGATTATACCAGCATTTCACCTAAACACATGAAACATGTTGCCTAGAAATCTCCATTTGGAAAGCCAATAAAGACAATCATCTGTCTGCCATGTTTGGTGTGTTTTCCTGCTTAGATGTAGAATGGCCTCCAGAGCCCTTCACCATCACATTATTACATATGAGACCTGGACCGGGTGATGTGTGGGAAATAAATTATGATTGAGGAAGCTCATCCCCTTGTGGTTGAATTAGCATATGATTATTAAGCACACTGGGTTCCTCCATTTACTATGCTTAGACAAGTTATTTATATTTCTGACTTTCAGGTTTTTCATCTGAAATGATATATACATTAGAGCTACCATAATAATGTGAGGCATTATTCTTATTTCTACTACTAATATAGTTAATGGAATGACATTTTCTTTGTTCAACATCTTGAAGAGTGTTGGAAAACACTAAAGACAGAAATCCTGGCCTACTTTAAATTCAAAGTGTGGTTTTTAAGAAATTGGGTTCACAAACCTAGAAAGATCTCCTTTTTGTCCTTTGTATTTCTATGGATACAGGAGTTGAGTAGAATGAGGCATGCTTAGTCATTCTTGGAAGACCTTAATTTATCCCCTCCTTTAAATGAACCCATGGTGCTCATATTTTATGTCTCTATCTTGCTTACCCTTCTCTCCTTACTTTTCCCTGTCCTTCCCTCTCCTATATCTCTTTCACAGGGAGCAGGATGTGGTCCCAGATCTGCACCTACACTTCGATTGCTCCCAGAGCAACATGGGGCTTGGGAATACAAAAAACTTTGCAAGCGTGGCTCTATTAAGGAAACCAAGCCTTGGAAGAAGATTTACTCAGGGTTGACAGCAGCAAACCAGTTCAGTGTCCTTGAAATACATGACTTCTCCAGGAAAGGGGAATGAAGAAAAAAGCACTCACATGTGGTAGCATAAACGCAAAGAGAATCATTTCAGTTCTTTTACTCTCTCACAGACCCTAGATGTATAAAACAGACTGACAACTAGTAAAATTTAAAAATATGTTTATTACATGGTAACATCTTGCTGTACACATATTATTTCTTGATAGCTAAAACTGTCATTACTTAGACATAATGATCAATCTTTATACTCTAAATTTAAAAATACTAGAAAGCCCATGAGTGACAACTCATTATGTATTATTTGGCATCTGCAAAGTAGATAATGAAAGTAGCACTATTTTAAAAATAAAACTCCAAGAATATTTTCGTATAAATGAAGTAGTAGGCAAAAAATGGAGAGAAACAGAAAATAATAAAATGCAAAATAATGGTAGTGAATTGAAGTTCTGTCCTCAATTTTAAAGCTGAAAGTCACTAAATTTTCCCCCTAAAATATTTCTGGATAATAATTGTTCCTTACAGTGTGCTAGGATCTGAATGTTTGTATCCCCCCCAAAATTCTTCTGTTGAAGCCTAATCTCCAATGCAATAGTATTAAAAGGTGAAGCCTTTGTAAAGTGATTAAGTCAAGAGAGCTCCACCCTCAGGAATGGGATTCCTGCTCTCCTGAAAGGCTTGAAGGAATGTTTGCCCCTTCCACCTTGCGAGGATCCATAGAACGCACCATCTATGAGGAAAGGGCTCTCACCAGTCAGTAAATTTGCTGGTACCTAGATCTTGGACTTGCCAGCCTCCAGAATTGTGAGCAATAAATTTCTATTGTTTTAAATTACCCAATCTAAGCTATTTTGTTATGGCAGTATGAATGCACCAAAGCACAATGGTATCTCACATTCTGCTTATTTAATAATTTTCACAAAGGTATCTCATTTATTCCTGGTTATATGCACAGAATAAGACATCACTACCCTTATTTTACAGATATAAAAACTGAGGCTCAAAGAGATTATGTAAATTGCTCATAACCACAATGCTACTAAACATTTGCCAAAGAATTGAATGAAACCTCTGGAAATGATGGTCCCATGTCTTTAAAAAGAAGATTACAAAGTAGGCCTTCAATGTCAAACAACTAAAGACCCACTTGAGTTTTATCTCCTAAGCCCAACTCTTCATTGCTATAAAGAGTGGAATAGGTCAGCAAATACTGAGAGAGATTGACCCTTGGAGAAAAATGTGTTGTTTATTTAAAGATCTGAACATTATGCATTTGGAAAATCAGTCATCTGCCTGGAGAAAGAAAAGGAAAATAAGAAAATAAGAATGGTGCCTGATGAATGAGTTAGAAATACCATAATAACAATAGCCATAATAATTACTGTTATTAAGGAAGAGGATTTCATTCAGGCACTTTGCTAGCAACTTTCCATAGATCGGTTCATTTATTCTCAGGTGGGAAAGAGCTTGATCGTTATTTGGGTTCTGGTCAGGACATTCATCTGTGCTATGAAAATGAACGGAAAATGAGAGTCCTGAACAAAACAGGTGGATGTATGCTGTTGCTTTTGGGAAAGAGTTAATTGTATGCAGAAAGGCACATAGGAAGAGGATTCTAACCTTCAGGTGATGTGGGCCTGAGAGTTGCAAGATGTCAACTGACCTATCTGAGAACTAGAGAAGCATGATGGCCGGCTTCAGAAGCAGGTTAGGGAAATATCTGCCTTACACATTGATTAAGGGACCATGTCTGAATTCAAGGGTATGGGGCAGTTGGGGGGATGGCCTGGAAAGCAGAACAACCCAGCCTGAGACAAATGGGCAAGCTGGAATCCAAAGTGCAGGCAAAAAGTGAAGAATTTCTAAAGGGAACGAGAAAGCTACCAGACCTGGCGGTGGTCCCAGCCAGATCCAAAATAAGCCAGTGTCAAGGCATCTGGATCTAATATCAAACCAAATAGTCTGAATGGGCCTAATCTCAAATCAGATCCAATGCAGCAAGAGCCCAACTAATATCACTTATATTTCACTGGAGCCTAAAATTACTATTAACATAAAAATTGATTTCTTTCCATTGTTTGTTCTGCATTGCAAACCACCTATCTGTTACTGTAGGTAACAGCAATAGACTATGCTTTTAAAAATACCTAAAGGTGTGTGTGTTTATATCAAACCAGCAATATGGGAGACAGCTAGGAAGTGGCATCCCACCTGGCAGATAACCTTAAACAGAGGAGTCCAGATTCAGGAGTAAGTAGTGGCAACCCATAATGGGAGCAAGTGGATTACATTTCTCATATTTGAATTAAAAAAGAGGAAAATGGTGGTAAATTGAAGATAAGATGCAGAGGTTCTATCAGGAGCAGGCCCGGGGTGCCTACAAATATGGAGGAGACCACGGGCACCAGGAGAAGGCATGGGGAAAGCAGCAAGAAGCCTAGGAGCCAGCCGCTCTCCTTGGAGCTGCCACTGTCTCCAGCTCCTTATCTCCCTGATGGGACAACTTTACCAAGTCGTGGATTTCCAGTGTGATTTAGGACCCCCCCTGACACCCATTTAGCAAAAGATAAAACCAATGAAGGGAACAAATTATTACGTAAGAGGGCTATGATGAGAAAGGTCTTCCTCACCTCCCATTGCTAATGAAAGACTATTGGTATCACTTAACAAAGGGCAGAGGGAATAAATCAGCACTATATCTGCTAGTTTCTTTCCAAATAGTAAGCTACAGAGCAAGTATCATTCCAGAAACCACTCCTATTCAATATAAGATTTTTCTTCCCTAATTGTGCTTAAACATATTGTATAAAATTTACTAACATTTGTGGAGTGATTACTATGTGCCAGTTACCACTCTAAACATTTTATACATTTCTTCTTACTTTTCATTATCTCTCTTTCACAGACATCAAGAGCAACTACTAAATTATCTTTCCAATTTTTTATTGAAAAAAGAGAAACTTTTCACTAATACAAAGTGAGGTCGTAAAATTAGATTAAGGGAAAATGAAATCCATAGTCTAGATCCAATTAGATTACTAAAGCCAATTCTCAGCAAAGGGCATCTATACTCCCAGACCTTGGAAGGCAAGGAACTGATCTTTATGGTAATCTGGGGACAAAAAATGAAGAAGTTAGGAAAAAATCAGGGACAGGTCGATGATGGCTTTACCCAACTTTCTACAAAGGTAGAAAAAGGTGAATACTCAAATTCAGGCTCCTCATTGGTTTTGGTCCTTAAAGTCAGGTCTCAATGATTTTTTGCAAGCTTTGGGATAAGACAATACATATAAAAAGTACTCATTTAAATGGTACATTTAAAAAAAAGTCTGATCATCTTATAAACCACAACTTTTTAAAATGCAGTTGTTATGCTTGTCATAAACATCTTACTAAATATTTATTGAATGAATACCAATTAAGAAAAAACTTTACTTTTACTTTCTAATAAAAAGCAAACTAAATACATGTTTATTTTTTAAATACTACCAAGCAATGTTTCCAGGCTTAAACATTACTTTTTCATAATACACTAAATAATACAGAATTATTAGCTAAGTATCTCAGACCAAATTATTAGGTAGAATCATATGAAATTGCTGACAACTTAATTTTACCTTTGGCAATTTCATATAGTTCAACCTAAAACAATAGTGATAAATAAAAAGTAGGTAAGGAAAAATCCAACACCAGAATTACCTAAAACCTCATTAATTTCTTCATGCAACATTATAGAAATGCCTCAGTTAATCTACTGAGAAATGATAGCATTTGCCTAAAATTTAGTACCTGGCAGGCATGCCCATAGAATTTACACATGTCTCAAACAAGTAGCAATTTCACAATAATTAGCATTTTGAAAGCTTGCCTCACTGTTCCCTGATTTATTACAGATAAAAAATGTTTTTTGCTCCTTTTTAAAAACATAAAATCGTCTTGAACCCCAAGCCATACCAGGATGCTAAAAGACGAGAGTTAGTCTTTAGGAATAAAGACAGTAGTGTGCTGGTAGTGGATGTGCCAGTAAATGTTTGAAAACCGGTTACCAGGGGAAAGAACCATATTTATACATGAACGTGTGCGTGCGTGAGTATGTGTATGCATTGATTTTTACTGTTATAAAGGATATTGTCACAACCAAGTATAGAGGGGTTCCTGGAGAAACTCTGACCGGCCTGTGCACTGGGAGGAGTGCGCACTGGGGTGGAGCCTTGGGAATTTCCCTCTGTTCTCAGGGTGGAGAAGCCGGGCCGCTCCTCCTCCTGGGTGTACCTGGGATTCAATCTGCAAGGCAGGAAGCCTGTACTACCAGGACTCGCTCTGCTGAGAGTCCCTGTTTCCCTTTTTTTCCTTTTTGCTCAATAAATTCCATTTTTCTCACTCTTCAAATTGTGTGCAAGCCTAATTTTTCGTGGTCGTGTGACAAGAACCCCGTCTTTAACTGAACTAAGGAGAAGTCCTACAACAATATGTAGCACACATTATATAAATAATAATAAAATATACAATATTGTATTGTAAATTGCATATAGTTAGTTGATTCTCATACAATACTTTAGTTGATCTTGGCCAAACTCTTGCATCAGTAGCTAGCATATGGTTATGCTAGCTGGCAAATGAGTATAGTTCCAACATCCATCAAATATCCAACAAATATTTGTGACATTTGTTGATTAATATTATTATGTATGTTAACCAATAAGACAAAAGTGAAACAATGAAGATTGAATATGTCAGACTTCATCCATTTGTCAGTGATGTGGCTGACTCTTTTCCTAAATCAGATAACAGTTTTTGATTACTGAAAAAAAGTTCTTCAATTTTTTTCTGCTATTCATTTTAACAGTTATAGACACTTTACACTTTTAAATGTAATCTACATTATTAGCATTTTCTCCATCACTTCTTTAAGCCTAGAGACAAATGGTCAAAAAAAAAAATTTAAAAATCAAGCCCTGATTTATAGCATTTGCTGGTTTCTATGGGGTAAATACTACCATAACAGCCCATTTCAAGGTACCAGTATAGTCACTGAGGGAAGAGATGCACAACGGCACACTATTTAACAGTATTTCTACCACCATACAGACACAGTAGATACAAATAACCTTAAGAGCACAGACTACAGTAAAATGTAGTGAAACAGGCAGAAAGCAATAAATTTTCAGTATTCGTTATCTTTGTTTTAATATAATTATTAAATTGTATGTTTATATAACTTAATTTTTAATAGTAGCTGTATTTAACAACCAGCTTGCAAATCCCTGATATCAACTGGCTCTCCCGAGCAGATTAGAGCTGACTCCAGTACACTACCATGAAATGAAAAAATTCACAACTTTGAAGTTATCTCTATAAATTTCAGTTATTTATTACATTGTTGCTAGCTATAACTAAAGCTGGCAGTGTCACTGAATCTATTTTGTAGCCTATGATTAAAGACAAAGGTATACAAATTTATCTAAGCTTTACATGGAGATATTAGAATCTAGCTCCAACTACAACAGACTGAAAGATTGTGGTCTATTAAAACTGTAGGAATAATTCTACCTACAGTAATTCTATAATTTTTATATAGAAATTTAAACTAAGAACATTCCATTTATTAGAAATTTTAGTTAGAAATTTATTCTAAGAACGTTTGTTTAGAAATTTATTCTAAGAGAACATTTCATAGTTTTTTAAAGATATTAAGTAATTAAACCCTAAGATATAAAGGTAACTACGCAAACTTTCCAGTTAATAACGAGCACCTCTAGAAAGCCAAAAATTTGCCATTTGATGATTTATAAGAATGTACCTTGAAGGCATACAAAATTCATTGCTAAAGGATCTCTCAAAGCTAAATCTTGCCTCTGGATATTTAAAAGAAGTTAGGTAGCATTAAGGCAAATAACAACATGTTTAAAAAGGTCTAATCATATTCCACACTTCAGAGTGTAAGCTGATCAGCTGAAGAGCTGGAAAAGAACTGCATACCCTTCCTATTTGCTTTCTGCCCAGCATATATAACATTTCACAAGTGAAAAGATGGATGGCAAAGGCAATTTCAACTTTTCTCTCAAGTACAGAGATCTACAGATAGGATGAAAGATTGAATGGCGAGCGATATTAACTCATTAGTTGTATTCCATATCCAAATACTTTCTCCTAAAGCACAAGATTCTGGCCGCCAAGATCCATCTGTTCCTAATTTCTACTCTGCCTGCAGTTCCATGGAAATGAAGCTCATCATATTGGTAGAAAGCCTCCTGCATGCCATATTCATTCCACTTCTTTTTGAAAATATAGCAGTATTTGAAAACAATGCACTTTTTCACTTCTTTATACTTCCCCCAACCCCATGATAAACGAATTAAATCAGCAAATATTGGGATTTCATCTTACATAAGAAAGTGGATTATTAAATAAGAAATAAAAGAGTAGCTTCAACTTTAATTGCCATAATTTCAAAAATATAAATTGTTAAATAAAATATTTGTGACATCAGTTATAATAAACTACTCATTCTATAACTTTCTAGCCATTAAGTAACCCCTCTTTCCAAAAACACAACTAAAACAACAAAAAAAAAGCCAGGGGAGACATAAAAACCAAAATATTTCCCATCAGCAGCAATATTCTAGGTAACAGTAGAACCATCAAACTGTAGTAGAAATACTGCAGATTCAATTCTCTTTTGTGATTTTTGTTAATAAAAAGCATTTTATTTAAATTATTTGCACATAACCAGTTTTGCCTAAAAAATATACCACAGAAAATCTGCTTGTAGTGTTTTTCCAGCCAACAGTTACCTTTAATACTAAGAGAAAACTCATTTCCAGAAATGCAGTGGCTGAGTTGCAATTCAGTTACTCCACCTTTTTCCATGACAACCGGTTTTATGTTATTCTGAAAGTGCAGCTGAGGGCAATGAATTAGAATCTCCCTTATCTACTCATCTCTCTCTCTCTTTTTTTTTTTTTTTCAGACGGAGTCTCGCTCTGTAGCCCAGGCTGGAGTGCAGTGGCGTGATCTTGGCTCACTGCAACCTCCCCCTCCCGGGTTTAAGCTTTTCTCTGGCCTCACCCTCCCAAGTAGCTGGGACAAAGGTGCGTGCCACCACACCCAGGTAATTTTCTGTAATTTTTTAGTAGAGATGGGGTTTCGCCATGTTAGCCAGGATGGTCTCCATCTCCTGACCTCGTGATCCACCCGCCTCGGCCTCCCAAAGTTCTGGGATTACAGGCATGAGCCACCGCGCCCGGCCTCATCTCTCTTAACACTAAAAAGCCTGGGGGTGGGATGGGAGGATAGACCTAATCCTATCAGCCAATGCTTAGTAGTTCTTTCCTTCATACCTTCATTTTCCATACCTCATGGAAACTGACCTCTCCCTTCTCAGATTGCTCCCAATCATGAAATTTATTTGAAACAAACGCCATGATACAAAAGATAGACACTCTACAGGAAACTCTGGTAAATCAATAAACTACAGATAGGATACAGTGCCTTACTTATTGTTAAATAATGGGGTTAATATCCCATCTTGAATAATTATTCTTGGATCTATCATTATCCTATATCAGAAAGCAGATTGGTTTTATTAGAGGTAAAAAATAATATGGAGGCTTAGTTTGATGAAGTCATCATTTATATAGACTGGACACCATTTCACATACTAAGCAAACACTTTGTGATAGGAGATTTCAAGGCATTTATCATATCTTACTATTCTCCTCCTAATTCTGGCAAACATGCTGGAAAACATATTCACAGAGGTACTCAATAATCTACGAATCTGCTGACTCATCTATAATATTCAATTGTTTCATCATAGAGTTACTACTAAACCACCTCCATCAATCAGAATAGATGTATATGGAGTAAGCAAGTCACCGTGGCATTAGCAGCCTACAACAATTGTGGAAATCTTTCCAGCAAGACTGCAAACCTGTCCAACTGGATTAAAAATGTCAATATGAAATGACTATGGCATATGAACTCAAGAAAAGAAAAAATATGGAGAAGGGTTAAAACAAAGATGACAGGAGACGGTGTAAAGGTGAGTGAAATAAGTAAGAGAAAGCAGCAGCCAGCTGGCCTCTGCATTACCATTATCAGGGTTGGTAAACATCCTACTTGCACTGGAGACTGTCTTCCCAATGTCAGCCAGGGACCGAAGGTTGGATTTCTTGGTTTGATGCCGGTGCTTCCGGAGCAAAGTATAGGTCACCTTATCCTTAAGTTCAGGTTTCAATAGGCCTGTCTCAATCTGATGGTCAACAATCATCTCTGGTACAAAAACAAAAGCAAAAAACAAAACTCAGTCACAAGACCACAAAGTTATTTTTTTACTCTAACTTTATGGATGTCACCCTCAAATTTAATAGCAAGATATTGTTTTCTAAATTTCTAATTTCCCATTTTATGTAAAAGATAAAGACACAGGGTACACAGATATGGGCATTGATGAGAGAGATACAAATATTAGAGTATTCATTTTATGTTTTTTCAGGCCCAGATATGATGTATTCACATAAGTCAGATTATCCTGTAACACAATAAGTCAGTAATTTATATTTTTCAATTAAAAGGGGAAGAGTCAAAAAGTTCATGTACTCATAGCAAATGTATATCAGAAATATAAATGATATTTAAAAACTTAAAAAGAGTATAGAAAATTAAAAGTAATGAGATTGTTGATTTTTAAAATCTATTTTCCCAAATTCTTCTGTGATGTTATACGTACTTAATAATAGAATACAGTCAAGGGAAACAGTATTTAATATCAGGTCATCTGAACACCAGTTAATCCAATGAAAGAAAGATTAAACTACAAAATTATGTTGTAGTCTTTTCTAAGAAAGGAGGCTTATTCTTATTGTTCAGATCCAACTGAAGACTTTCCAGTATATTTCCATTGGGCATTTTAAAGTATAAACTGACTGAAATTTTTAATGAAACTTTAATATCTTAGTCTTACTACCAAAAAAAAAGTAAAGTTTCTATTACTCTTTTTTTAGTATGATTTTAACCAGAAAGATGACTGTGTTTCATAGAAATTGCTCATAGGTCACTCTGCTGGAAGGTAAGTTCTTATGCCAATAGAAAATAAGAAACCCTCTTTCTCACAAGTCAGCATGTCAGCAGTATAGCATAAATGAAGCCTGGTACATTCTACTCTACATCTACATGACAGGCCAACATTTATCTCCATCCAGAATGGGGCTGAGGACAAAACATTACAGAATCTGTGCAAGATATGCATTGGTAGGAGTCTGTCTCAAGGTATGCAAGTAGACCTTTTGTCCTCTGCACAGAATGTGAGTAATGGATCCCATGGCTCCCTTTCTGGTACATGGATGCATCTAGCACACACTGATATTTTCCACTTGGGCAAACTTTAGTATATAAATGTAAAGAAACGAACAATAACTATTCTTTTCCAAAAGCCGGCAAGAAAATTGATGGGTACTGGTAGGATAACAGCATCTCCCAAGGATTCCCACTTCTTTGTAAAGAGAAGTTACAGATGTTCAACGGGTTTTGCTTGGGCATGACTGAATTTCTCAAAAGTCCATCTTCTAAACACTCACAGAATTGGCCTCACAGCCTATAGCTAGAAACTGGCAATTTACACAATGTACTATCAACTGTTTGGAAGCCAAGCAGAGGCTGAATCCAGGATTTTCCATCACATGCCTCACAGAGGTGCCATAACTGTCACATAACATGGGACCACTTGGTAGGGAGTCTGGGCAAGGCAGGAAGAGTTTCTCCCATAGAAATGTTTTGGTTTAGAGTGGTTTTTAGCTCTGAGTATTTTAAACTACACAAACCCCACTCAGCAAAACTATCAGAATTGATCCTGTAATTACAATTAAACCTCTCTTCCACAGTAAATAATTAGGTGCCTACAAAACACAACCCCTCTACTTTTCCTTTAAGTCCTTTTAAAGTGGAAAGTCCATTTTACAGAAGAACCAGAAAAACAAACAAACAGTCCCACCATGTCTGCTATGAGTGTTATCAAACTCCTACTCTAATTTCAGGGTTGTAGACTAAAGTGTTTCTTATCTACCCTTCCTGGCAGGGCCTCCCTCTATTCTCACCCTCCCTTGAAATCTCAAACCAATCTTTATGTATGCACAGCCAGTCCTCTGTTACTAATGCCTGGAAATCACCAGTTAGAACAGGTTAAAACATCTGTGTGGCTTTATGCCCTTCATTAAGTTTCCATTAAAACGGCCAACATTATAGGGATCTCTTTAAGTATAAACGACAAAATCCTTCAAAGGAAAGTGGGGGCAGTAACATTTCACAGCTACACTGAAATTAAGCCTTCGGTGTTCAAAATCCCACAGACACTACCAATTGGGAGAGAATGTGCCAACACTAGATGATAGCAGAGCTGAAAGGAACTTCATGGAGCATCAAGTTCAACCTCTTGCTATGCAGATGAGAACACAGGGCCACAGACTGACTTGCCCACAGACATGGACTGATTAGAGGCAAAACTCCCATATAAAACCAGGTTTTCTGACTCTAAGTTTAGATCTTTCCCCATGTCACACAATATTTTTCTTTATTTAAAAACTAAGCTCTAGAGAAACAAATAATTGATATACGCAGAGCTTTTGCAAACCAAGAGAATGATGGCCATGTGACAGAAGAATGGACAAAGATCACAAACATTCCTAAAAGAAATATAAAGGGCCAAAAATATATAAATAAATATTCAACTTCAAGATTAACTAAGATAATATATGTTTCTTATTGAATCAACCCCCATGATGTGAAAGGTATTCAATGGGCAATTCCATTTCTGATGACAATGTTGCAGTATTGACTAGGAATTACAAAAGCTCTGTAATATGTTCCGGGTTATTTAAAAATGAACATGCATTAGTTTTGTGACTAGAAAAAAAGTTATTGCCATTTTGAAAATGTAAAAGTTATAAAAAGTAAGAAACAATAGGACCAATACATCTGCCAACATGCACAGCTCAGGAATGCCTTTAAATATAAAAATGAGACTCCAAAAATAGAGCTACATTTTCCCAATTCACTTCCCATCATGGTAAAATACCTGAAATGGCTTATAATTTTTTTAACTTAAAAGGGGAGGAAAATTCCCATAGACTCGGCTTCATACGTGAATGACACTCTTTAAACGTAGAATTACAATGAGGATACTAATAATAAAGCTATTAAAATAATCTGTGAAAATGATGTTTTATCCTTTATAATACTTTAAAGATAAATTTTTCTATTAACATTCAGAAGGGGTTCTTCGTGAAAAAATCAAGTAGAAATCCTGAGAAGAATCAAAAATAGGCTGAATTTTTTATGTAAGTGTGAGAAGTAACACCTGCTTAAACAGTCGCGCATCATGGTGCAGGGCCCTCACATGGTGTGGCGCTGTCTTTGAGCCTGCAGGGTGAGATGCCTCTCAGAGGCAGGCTGGTGAGGGGTAGCAGGTGGACTGCAAAGGAAGATGAAAAGCAGCTATTGTTTGTTTGATATAATCATGCTTGCTATTATTTCTTTTTCTTCTCATTTGTTGATATAAAATTGGGGTGCGGGGGGAGATGCATCTTAAGATTTAGCTGTGCATAATTCTCAACTCAGAAGTATCAGCATGATTTGGGACAAAACAACTCCACCTCACCCACTGCTACAAAAGGATTTTTTAAAAAACAAATAACGACTATAACTTCTCAAGTTACTGTGCCATTGTCTGTCATTTAGATGAAATAAGGGCTCTGTTTCGTTCATGTTTTATCCTCTGTAGGGTTTTGATTAGTTCAGAGGATTAAGATGTTTTTTAGCTAGTGACACTCTTTCAAACATGCTCTTCTCCCCACTTCTGGAAATCTGGCCCTTTTCCTCCTCTTTGTTTTACTTATGATGTGTTATTTGTCCCTGAACTGTTTTTCTGTATTATCAGCTCCAGAATGACAGCACTGGCTCTCTGACTGCTTGCCCCAGGAACTGCAGAGCAAACATATTAGTGAGTGATGATACCTCAAAGTGACATAGTAGTGTCAAATTTTAACATGTAATGACAATTTTTAAAGTAAATGCATGGAGGTTAGAGAAAAAGTTCACAGCTGATAATAAAAAGTAACGAAAAATTGAAGAGAAACCACAAAATGCTTGGCTAACCTCTCTTATATGTAGTAAGTACCAAAACCTTCTCTCTTTGGCCATTCGCTAAAGACGTTCCAGTATAATCTGGTACTCTCTCTTCTACAACATGAAAACGGTCAGTTAGTTGCTGAAGACCAGAAGCTCCTTAAGATGGCTCTTCCTGGTGATGAAGATCCCAAAGACAGTTTTACAGCAACATCCAAGTGTGTAATTCAACTTTTAACTTTCATCACCCTTGCTGATCAGTTCCAAGCACAGCAGGGATGCTGTTCAACTGTTTCCAGCTCTGTCTACCATACCATTTGGAATCTTGTCTCCCGTTCATGAAGTCACTGAGTGTCTCTCTATCTGACTCATTTCTCTACACTCTGCTAGGTGACATGCAGAAATATCTGGATAAACTATTCATACTGGGATAGACATGTAAGTAGACAGCAAATACATCTGATGATCTTATTTAATGCTCATAACAACCCTGAAAGGTCCACCTTCATCTTCTTTTTATAGATGAGGGAATGAAGACTCCAAAAGAGTTCAGTAACTGGCCTTGCCCATGGTCATACATGCTAATAGGGCTAGACTTTAATTAAAACTCCCCAACATTAAATCCAGCATTCCTTCTTCAACATCACTCTGTATCTCACGGGAATTAATATATGACATCTTCCCATAGAGTAAGTATATTTTAATAGAGGACAAACCCTGAGCACAGTGGCATGAAACCCTAAGTGGGGAAAATTTAGGCAGTAATGATCATCTATGGTAAAAAATTGTGTTTTTTTTAATAAGGGACTCTTCCTGGTGACCCTTATTCTCCTCCTAGACTGCCTATACTCTGCCAAGTCATGATTTTCTTCTCCAGTTTGCCCTACATTTATGCACATTTGATTTATTTTCAACTTGTGTAATTTTTGACATCTTTGCTCCAGGTTAGTTCTTAAGGTCTGAGAATGCAGAAATTACAATTTTCACTCAAAAACTGGATTGATTGTTGCCAATCATTATACTTTTCTGGATAACAATCTTTCTTGCAGCTTTTAATGAATGAAAAAAGACAATGGAACAGATGGCCCAGAAAATAATTCTTTCTGCTTGCTTCTGTTTTTGTAGATGGGTTCCGATCTCCCTGGGTACCATAATCCAAGATCTCTTCTCATATATCAGATTTCCATTTTCAGCTTCACCTGCCTTGTTCAATATGAAAAATGCTATATAAAATTGTTTCCTCCATTATTTTCTAACTACAAATGCAGATTTGTACCTATGTTGACATGTACCTTGTCTCATTT
The DNA here is from genome assembly GCF_000001405.40 of Homo sapiens. Classification (NCBI taxonomy): domain Eukaryota; kingdom Metazoa; phylum Chordata; class Mammalia; order Primates; family Hominidae; genus Homo; species Homo sapiens. The sequence goes on along the minus strand of NC_000004.12, from coordinate 71,351,857 downwards.
ACAAAGTGGTAGATTTACAAACCCTGATTTCAGGGCCTAGAACAGTGTCTGGCACATTGTAGAAGCCCATGTACTACTGCTGAATAAATGTATAAAATAATTATTTCTGTCCATCCAGCATCTTTACATAAGTCCTCTCCCTTCTCCACTTGTATTTTTAGTAGAGGCAGGAGTGGGGTTTCACCATGTTGGCCAGACTGGTCTCGAACTCCTGACCTCAAATGATCCACCCACCTCGGCCTCCAAAAGTGCTGGGATTACAGGCATGAGCCACCACGCCCAGCGATACTTTTCCTTTTTAGTTATTTTTCATTCTGTATGCACAGATTTACATTCACTTTCACTTATTAGCATAAGATTAACATTATAAATGGAGTCTCTTTATTCATCCATCCTTGGTTATATTGGACTGGAAGTCCAGACACTAGATTTCTAGAATTCTTTGATCTTAGACTTGCACTGAGTTTCTCTGGACCTCAGTTTCATCATCTGTAAAGTAGGACTTAAATCATCTGTAAGAAGAGAAGTAGTCTAGTTCCTGGGTTAGGGTTGATTGTAGGCAGAAGTCAAGCCCCTTTAGCTGCATGTGAAGAAAGGCTGGGTGGGACAGGGATCCAGCAAGACATTACGGGTAAGTGATTGAGTCAGGTCACATTGGTGTCAAGCATCATTTGTATCACCACCATCAAAGTCACTGAACCTCATGGTGCAGGGCAGCTTTGGCTTCCTTTGTAGTTAGTACTTTGTGCGTTGAATGCTAACTCATCATGCTGAACACCTTGGGCACACACCACTGCATTCCAAACTGGAGCCATTGTTTCCATTTTCTATCAGTAGCTTGGCCTAAACTGCCGTATTATCCTTCAGATCTAGGTGTGCCAAAGATCATGTTTTTTCTTAAAAAGAAGTGCAGGGGCTCCACTTCTTATTCCTAGGAAATTCCATAACCAGGTGAGCACTGGACCTGTAGGGATGGCTGCACTTTTCCAAGGGGTCTGCAGTGTGCCTACCCTGGGATTATGGGGAAGAAGATGTGGATCAAAGACCTGCAGAAGGTGACCAGTGTAACATTCTTGTCTAATTTTAGACTTACTGCAAAGTTTCTTTGTATATCTGTAGACAAAAGGCTTATCTATGACATCCATTTCTTTACATTATAGATAATATGAATGCTGCAGCATTTGTGTTGGAAGAAATAGATTAGCTGTCAAGTGAGGCATATGTCTGGCTGATGTACATATACTTGGTTCTTTTTCGGAGAGCTTGTTAGTTAGATTTGCAAAGAAGCCCCACACTTTTCATGCATCTGAAGTACATAAGGTACAAGTGGCAGGTACCTGTAATCCCAGCTACTCGGGAGGCTGAAGCAGGAGAATCGCTTGAACCCAGGAGGCAGAGGTTGCAGTGAGCTGAGATCGCGCCACTGCACTCCAGCCTGGGCAACAGAGTGAGACTCTGTCTCAAAAATAATAATAATAATAAAATAAAATAAAAAAAATCAAAAACATAGGGAAAGGATTGAGAAGCAAAGCTAGAAGGAAATATTCCAAAATGCCAACAATGACCAGAGGAAGATGTTATGGAAGATAGTTTTCTATTTTCTTAATATTTGTGTATTTTTCAGATTTTCTTGCAATAAATCATACTAATGTTATAATGCAAAAAGAGAGAATAAATGTTATAAAACATTTAACTCTGCTTACAGTACTAGTCATCTGCCTTGATGGAGACATGTGGCTAGGGAAAGCCGAAAAAAATAGGATAAAATTCAAACAGCATACTTACCCACCAACTGTGGGAGAGAAGAAGCCTCCCGATCAAGCATGATGGATCCTTTCTCCATACATGTCCTCAGCTCAAATAAACTATGAAGGGACAATGTGGCCACATGGGGCTTGCTCCATCTTTCCCCACCCTGTTCCACTTTTTCTTCAAACTTGATCCACCTAGGAAGATGAGATTAGTGAAGAGCAATTAAAAGTGTTCTAACTTCCTCTAGAAATAGCAGTCTCAACCCCTCCATCTTCACCCCTTCCAGCACTTCCAAAATGTCTCTTTTTGTGGAGTATTAATAGCTTATTAGATCATTAATTACATAATCTTCATAAACACACCCAAAGAGAAGCACTAGACTGCTCCTTCCCCTGAAGTTAGAGAAGAAAAAAGCCAAGCAAGAGAAGCCAAAGCATCCTTGGTTTTATATCTGCCTATATGTAACCATGAGATCCTTAAGACCAATTATTTAACTAAATTTTTTAATAAGGTAGAAAAATATGCATTTCAAAATTCTCCATGTGGGTACAGCCTACAGTGCATAAAAATAGCCACCACTGTGAGGATTCTGTTGTGATTTCATGAGGCAAGTTTAAATAAGGTGAAATATCAGTGATGAACCAATATTTATCGCAGACATAAAAAACATGATGCGTGAAGTGGCAAGATGAATGTAAAATTTCGTTTTATTGATGCTTAAGGAAGACCGGCACGTTTTGTTGTGTCTTCCTTTAATATACATATCTCAGCTGATGCATATTCCCCTCTTATTGTGATTTTAAAAGCTTTACCCTTCAAGTCTGGTTCCATGTGTGTTTAAATACACACAAGCTCGGTGAACAACAGATTATTCTGATAATATGAGATATCCTATTAACCTTAGCGATGGAACAACCCTCTTTTCTAGCTTCTGCTTTCTAAGACTCCTAGACATTTTGATAACTTAGCAATATATAGCAATAAAAAACCTTAATGGAAATGAGAGCAAAACACATTTGACAGACTTTATATCCCACATATTACACAGACACTTCCTACACTGTTAAAGGAAAATGGGAAAGCAACATCGTTTTGCTATTCATCATGATACTAACAAAAAGGCTTCTTTCACTTTAAACCTTCTGAGAGATATTGAAAGAGATAAAGATGGAATAAAAATTGTTTTTCTACATTCTTCACCCAAAGGCTTAATGATTGAAAAATGTTTTCCTAGAGAAAGCTAAACGCTCACCTAACTCACTAAAGATGAGAACAAAGGGCAGAGATCAGAGGAAGCTCTACATAGGGTATTATTTATAGACCTCTTACCACCCCCAGAGGAGGGGAAAAAAAAACACATTAGTAGACCAGGAGTGAAAATAGATCAAGCGATCAGCCCACAATGTCAAAGAAAATTTAGAATGTTAATCAAGCCCAGCACCCATATGTTTCAGAAGTATTTTAGCCGTATCTAAAGACTTTCCCCTCCATGTGCCTCTCAGGAAGGCTCTCACAGCCAGGCAACTCCCATGTTAGTGGTAACCTTGTATCAACCTTACCCACAATTCTAAGACCCTCCTTCTTCTCCCTGTATCCTCCCCAAAAATGCAGGAAGGGAGATTTTTACTGTTTACCTCATGGTTAAAAAGTCAACGATAGCACCAAAGAAGTTCTGAAACTTCAGAACTGGACTTGGTTTATTTCTACAAAAGTAGCTGTGACACATTCCAAAACAGAATGAAAGACTTCTAGTGTGTGTGTGTGTGTGTGTGTGTGTGTGTGTGTGTGTGTGACTAAATTAGTATTTCTTCACTTTGATTCAAGTTAGACCACAGAAATAAAAGGAACTGGGAGAAAAAAAACGACAATTTTATATCACACTCAAAGAATTCTATGGGTTTAACCAAAACTGTAAAAGGTAATAAGGTGATTAGAGTTATTTTGAAACTAATTTATTTTTGATGGAGAATGTTACATTGGTTAACTTTAGGTATATCATCTTTTCATGCTTGCTCATAGAATCGCTAAGCATGTTTGTTGGTAATAGGCATATGAATCATATTTATATATGATGCTATAATTTATTGCTCAAGATAAGACTCTAGAAAAAGGAAGATATCATCATATATGAAAGCAAGTCAGAGTTATCTAGAATTATGTCATCTATCTATAAAGAGTGTAATGACTCCTTGATTTCTCTTGAATTCCTAAGAGTATGCTTATTTTCTGAGGGATAGAATATTTGGTCATAGAATTTAAGCCCAAGATGAATGACACAGGGCAGCTAGAAGCCCTGTAAAGGGGAGTGTTTTACAAGGCCTTTACTTCCTTCTTATCTTTCCTAAATGAGCCCCCACTTCTATCAGCTGCCAACAGCCTGTACTGCCAATTCTATTACTTAAAAAAAAACTAAGCCTCACTTATATACAGTAGTTCTTTTCTGCCATCATCCTCTCTATGGTCTGAATGTCTATGTCCCCACAAAATTCATATATTGAAATCCTATCCCCCAAGGGAATGGTATAAGGAGATGGGCCCTTTGGGAGGTGATTAGATGGATTAATGACTTTATAAAAGAGTCCCCAGACAGCTATCTAGCCCCTTCCACCACGTAAAGACACAATGATATGGTGCCATGTGTGAGAAAGCAGGCTCTCACCAGACACTGAATCTGACAATGTCTTGATCTTGGACCTCCCAGCCTCCAGAACTATAAGAACTAAATTTCTGTTGTCTGTAAGCTACCCAGTCTATGGTATTTTGTTATAGCAGCCTGAATAGGCTCAGACAATCCTCAACTGTCCAAATAATATAAGTTTAATAAGATTTTATCTAAAAAGAAAAAGAAGCAAAACCACTGCAGTTCTTTGTGGTCCATCTTTTATTTATTCCTCTCCATAGTTTATATTGTAGGCAACCTGGTTAGACTTAAATATGACTTTGAATACATTTAAAAAGTGCATTTGCAAAACATAAATCCAAACTAGGGTGGATTTATGAAATAGTATTACTCACCCTTCTGGATTACACCAGCTCTTTAGGTCAAGATTTAACCATAAAGGAATGGAAATATAAATTCTCAAAACTAGCCAGTTTCTTAAAATCTATATTTATAAGGGATAAATATTATCTCATAGCTCAGTTTAGCATTTATTTTACTTTAAGTTCAGTAAATATTGAATATTTTGATGATGTCATATTACAGCACAGCTTACAGCATAAGGAGAACTCTGGAAAAATGCCTATTAAATTGCTTTAAAATGTATTGCTCTAATTGTTTAAGGAACTGATTATACTTCCAACAAATGCATTTGGACATAAACTACTGGCTTTCCCATTTAAACAGATCATTTTCAGGTAGTTTCATTCCAGAAATGGCACATGCTTTGTCTAGCCTCCTCGCATATCAAGGACAAATTTGGATTTGGAAAATAAAAACAAAAACTGAAAACTACTCAGTTCAAATCAGAGCCCATTAAAGAAAAGGCTAAGGCAAAAGTACCAAAGTTCACCCTATTCAAGTGCCAATGAATCTGCAAAGGTGCTTTAGAACCATGCAATTACGTTTAAAAAAAAAAAACAGACTTTTTACTGTAGAGTATACTAAAAGCCACTATCTCCCCTTCATAATAACTATGAATAACTACATATTTGCAATAGTATACTAAAAGCCACTATCTCCCCTTCATAATAACTATGAATAACTACATATTTGCAATAAGTTTCCCACTTTCTTTTTGCTTCAGTACTTGACATGTTACAGAAAAATTTGTTTCAGAAGCAGGCTTTTTAAATACTTGCAATTACAAAACCGTTTTAACCTTGGAGGAGGGGTTTATTAGGTGAAGTTTATTCCAAGGTCTTAGAAGAATAATGATAAAATACTTTGCAGTTTAAGACATTTTCAGTGACTGCCAAACAAACAACATTTCATTCGTTTGTTGAAGAAAAAAAAGACCCACTGGGAATCACTGAATTTTGCAACTTTCCAATCATATGATTAAATATAATTAAGAAAAAAAAAGACCTCTAACTTAATAACATATCAGTTGTACAGTGGAAAACAGACATGACCTTTACACTAAATAAATTCCAACTACGTACAACTATTGAAATGATGATAAATGTCTTGCTAACTAACAAGTGCCTTATCACCCTAAAAGAAGCCAACGTTAGTGTGTACCTGGGAAAAATGAGGTTTTTAAGGAGAATTCTTAAAATTCTAGATCCACTATTAAAGTTATTGTACACAACTACATGGACATAACTATATATGATTACATAGATGATTAAATTCCTTGAGTCTTTTTCTTACAGAAAAATTAACTTGGCCTGAAATAGAATTTCCCAAAGTAATTCAGTAGAGAAAAGACAGAGAAGTCAGTGTAGACTGGGAGAGAGCAGTCTTTGCCCAAACCCACAGTATAAGTGCACATGTTGGTGCTTAATGGCCATGCCCTTAAATCAGGTACTTCAGATTTACCTGAAGTAAATCTGCCAAGCAGAAACACAAGTGGGTGTACATTTGTGGTGTCCAGTTGGAAGTAAAACATCAATACCCCTTTCCTTTGTTGGCTTGTGTTTGTTGAAACTTGTGATGGCTTTCCTTTATACCCAAGTTTGGCAGCACAGTTTGAATTACGCTGGGGGAGTTATCTTTAACAAACATTCATACAACAGTGGTTAAGTCCAGCACTGTCCATCTGAAAATTCACTGAAGAGAAACTGACAGCTAATAATCATTTTTGCAGAGATATCCCTACTCAAATGAATAAAGAATTTGGGCAGGGAAAAAAAAAGTCCCTTTCTCCTGACTTTGGGCCATCATCAAACTTGGATCATGAATTATTCTTTTACCAGTTTGCTTTATGAACCCATTAGCTGACACCTAGTCACCTAGACATTCTTAATGGAAGCACAGGCTTCTTCACCAATTCCAAACGATTTTTCAGGTCTGATAAGTCTACCCTTTTTACCATATTCAACTTGTGCTCTATTTTGGAAGAACCACTGAAAATTCAAAGTTCTAACTTTTAGGAAAGGGAAGAACAGGTAAAGGACGTAAAAGGGATGGTGATAGAGTTGAGAGTTACTTTAAACTTCATATAAATAAATACTTAATCTTGTTCATAGTATAACTACTGTGCTTTCCATGACTTAAAAGGGGACATCTCCCCCTATTATTGAAACAATTCTCATTTTTTTAGGCACAGGGCCAACCTGAAATTCCTGAAGTAGTACTACAGCCATAATAATGCTGATGCATTATTATCCTGATCCTACAAGAATATCCTAAACTGAACTTCAGATCTACTCTGCCTACAGATTTCCTCATCTCAATAATGTGTAGGAAATCATTAGCCATCTCAATAATATGTAAGAAATCATTAGCCAACTGAAAAGTATAGGTCTTAAAAGAGAAAGAAGGATGATATTGAGTTCTGTGGGCTGTAGATTTATAACAGAACCTACATGGAGCTGGAGAAGTCTGGAGAGTTAGCTCTCTATGAAATAAAATAGGCTATCAATTGCGACTTTCACAGAAAATCAAAATATTATCAATTTATAAGTTGGCCAGAAAAAGATTCATGTCACATCTTCATATGTAAAATGGATTCCTTCTAAGCATTAAACTTTTATTAGTCTGGTAGGTCTGAGGGCTTTTAATGGGGGGAAAAAACTATCATATCTGGAAACTAGACATCACAAATGGGAGTCAAAAATTACTGCAAAAACATTCTGACAGCAGGGTATGTCCCAGATAGTAAAGGTTACTGAAAAGCTGAATATTTCCAGAAGCATATTCACTCCACGCCTCTCCAAAGAATGTAGGTGGAGCAGCAAACCAAGAATCAAGGTTCTATTTCTCTATTCATTGATTCTATTAACCAGTCTTTGTTGAGCATGACCTGTGTGCCAGGTAGTTTCAGGCACTAGGAATACAGTGGCAAAACAACTGAAAATTTCTGCCCTCACAGAGCTTTAATTCTATTGGGAAGAGACAATAACAAGATATATGGTATGCTAAATGATGACAGGTGCTAAGGACAAAAATAATGAAAGATGAGGGATAGGAAGCATTGGGGGAAGGTTTCAATTATAGATAGGACAACCACTAAGCAGGTAATATTTGAATAAAGACCTGAAGGAGATGAGGACATGGGCCACGCAGATAACTGTGGGGGTTCAGGGAAGACAGAACATTTCAGACAGAGGGAACAACAAGTCCAAAGTTCCTGACAGATTAGCATGACTGGCCAGTGAGGCTCAAGCAGAGTGAAGCAGAGGAAATGAAAAGGAAGACAAGGTCAAAGAGATGATGGCAGATAATTCATAAAGGAAGTAAGAGCAGATGAAAAGAGATCAACTAATTAGGAGCCATCTGCAGCAATCTCAGTGAGAAATGATGGGATGAACTAGAGTTGTAGTAGTACTGAATGTGAGATGTAGTGAAATCTCTGAATATGTGAATATCTTTAAAGGTAAAACAGAATTTACCAATTGGTCAGATATTGGGTGTAGAGAAAGACAGGAATCAAGGAAGACTCCAATGTTTCTGGCTCAAGAACTAAAAGAATGGAATTGTCTATTGAGAAGAGGAAATCTTTAGGAAGAGTAGATCTGAAGTTCAGTTTTAGACATGTCAATTTTGAGAATCCTATTAGCCCTCCGATTAGTTGATTCCAATTAAATAAGGAATTATATCCGTGCTTTTATAAATGCAGATATCATCAATATATTAATGAAATAGTTTGAAACTTTAAACATAGGTCCCCTTCTAAGCTTTATCAATGGCATTCTGGGTACCTTGGGTCTTTCATTCCATAGCTTTTTATCAGTCAGAAAGAGAATAATTATACAGAACCCTGATTTGGTCAATTAATATTTCTAAGAAAGTATTATATTCAGAACAGTTGTGTCGAAGGCAATCAGTTCTCAACCAATCACACATTAAACAAATGTTTATTAAGAGCCTATTATGAATCAGACACTGCCAGGAACTAGAAATATGATAGTGAACAGACATGGTAGTCTCTCTGCAGATAAATTAATGTAATGAGGGAGACCATATGAAAACAATAATATCACATACATAATGAATTAATCGACAGCAATTACGGTAAGCCCTATAAAGAGAAGTTATACAGCGTGGACGTGACACACGATACACTCCCAACACTCTTCCTCTCCAGCAGTAGGGTGTCTTGGGGACAGACTACATCAGCAAAATGGCACACGTGCTCCCAAGGAAATAACGTCTCTAAGGATGGTAAAGTATTCAAAACCATCTTAATCTTTAAAAATCTTGAGTGAAAATCCTATGCTCCTATCATTCAATGTTGAATTACCTATACAATGAACTATAATCTCTCTACCTTTCTGGGACCAGGAATTATGTAAAATAACGTATGGTCTGCATTTGACTGAAATGAAAAACAGAAAACTACACCTGAATTATACTCTATGATAACAACTCACAAAGAACTTCAAGATGAAAATAAGAAAGTCAAAGTAGTCTTAGCTGAGTGTAGCAGTATACACACAGGAATTAAATTTTAGAGCTATGAAATATATATAATGTTAGGGAGGAGGCAACTCAATACGACCTTCATCTGATAAAAAAGAAATTCAAGCTCAGAAAGACTACATGACTTGCTCAAAGTGAAACAGCTAGTGAGCAGCAAAGCCAAGACTAGACCAAAATCTCCCAACACTTCAGGCTGCACCAGGACAATTCTCACACTGTATTTTTCTATCAGAAAGAAGGAAAAGAAAGAATGAAACAGATTCACTAGTAAAAAGCTTTTGCTTTGGAAGCCTTCTTTTGGAGGATGTTTTAGGAACTAAAATTTTACTTTACAGAGGATTTTTTTCTATACAGGTTATTGGTTCTGAGAGAGGGGAACAAGAAACAGTTGATGTATCCTGGGAGGAAGCCCCAAAAGAGCAAAGAATGAAAAGCTTCAAAAGAAAGTATTACAGATGAGGAGTGGAAATGTGTTATGAAAGCTTTTTTAATTAGAAGAAGAAAATATTAAGTAGCTATCAAACAGAAGAGTTAAACAATCACACCCACTGTAGATGTCTATTAGAAAGAGAATTACCCAGTAAATTGAAAATAAAGTATTTAAAAATTAGGTCTCTTTCCCTAATACTACTGTTGGGGCTAGGAGTAAAGCCGAATTACTTTTTTTCTGGGCATTGTTTAAGTTATGAAAGATAAGAAATTCTCCATCAGTTCTAAACATTTTTAAAGCAGTTTTTTCTGCAAGACTAAGCTACCTAGAAACTCTTGGTGAGGAATAAAAACTTCTCCCCCATTATCAAATAAATTAATTTATGAAGCTTCTCCAGTATTAAAAATCCCAAAGGGCTAAAGACATTCAATATTACTTAAAATTGTGGAAATAAAAATAAATCCATAAGCCTACAAAGCATAAGCCTAAGTAACTAAACTACAAAAAATCCAATTAACTTCATAAACACTTGATTACAAGTGGTATGATGTAAGAAATTTTAAAGTATGCCTCAGAAAATAAAAATTATTCCTCTAACTCTTAAAAGACTCTTCATCCATAAAGGGAAAGGCTATTGGCTTATTGCTCCTTTATAGCTCATCTGCTCTAATTGATTAAAGCGATTTTTAAAAATATTTTCTTTCTGACTCTAGAATTTCTTTCTAAGTCTATGTAGAAAAAATAGCAGCCATAAATACTTTTTCCATCTATAACCACAGAAGAAGACTTTCATCTATCTTTGCTTTGTTTTTCTTAAACTCAAAGCTGGGATAATGATTTGGTTTCCCTTATTCTCATATTGTAAGGTATTATATTAAACTTACTTCAAACCTTTTAATAAGATAGAGATCTATGTAAGATCCTCATTTGCTCACTGCTATATTCATGGTACCTAAAACAGTGCCTGACATAAACTATTCATTCAAATAACACTGGTTGAGTTGAATTGATTGGAATTAAATTACAGACTATAAGAGGTTTATCTTAACATTATCTTGTTTATGAAAGTGAAATACATTGGAATCAGCACATAATGATGACAATGAGAGACCAACAACTGCATTATAATCAAAGTCTTTGTATTACATAATTGCCTTATGTCACAGAAGATTCACCTGGAGAATATCTCTGAATCTGTATGTAAAAGAAAAGCTCTGTTATGAGATTAATGAAACCCCAGGTATTTGTGTAATGCTTAACAATTTACAAAGCATTTTCATACATATACATATACACATGTATGTATATATGTGACATTATAAATACATTGTATACTATATTTACATATATGTTTTATATACCATACATATATAATATGTAATAGGCATTATTATCCACTCTTTATTGATAATGAGACCAAAGCTCTAGGAAATCGAGTGTCTTGTCACTAAGAGGCAACAGAGTCAAAGTAAACTCGGGCCTCTAAACTCCAAACTCAGATGAACCTTCTACTTTCAGCTGGATATTTAAAAGATTACAGGTTTATACTTGAAATACAGTAGTCCCCTTATTCACAGGGGATACATTCCAAGACCCCCAGTGAATTCCTGAAGGCATGGATAGTACTAAACCCTATGTATACTATGTTTTTTTCCTGTATATAAAACGTAATAAAGTTTAATTTGTAAATTAGGCACAGTAAGGGACTAACAACAATAATTAATAATAAAATAGAATAAATACAACAATATACTGTAATAACAGTTATATAAGTGTGGCAACTCTCTCAAAATATCTTACTGTACTGTACAGTGAGTAACCGAAACCATGAAAAGCTAAACTGTGGATAACCTTGGGGGGACTACCATAAGAGCAACTTTCCTCATTGTTTTAATAATCTCTTTTTTATTTCATTTAATTTTTTGAGGCAGGGTTTCAATCTGTCACCCAGATTGAAGTGCAGTAACATGATCAGAGATCACTGCAGCCTCGACCTCACAGGCTCAAGTGAGCCTCCTACTTCAGCCTCCTGAGTAGCTGGGACCACAGGCATGCACCACCATGCCCGGCTGATTTTTTTTTCTTTTTTTTTTTGTAGAGATGGGGTCCCATTATGTTGCCCAGGCTGGTCTTGAACCCTAGGCTCAGGCAATCCACCTGCCTCGGCCTACTAAAATTCTGTGATTACAGGCACAAGCCACTGCACCTGGCCAAAACCCACCTCTTGACAGGGAATGAGTAATAAGTCACACAAAATCTCACAAGAGATCTTGGCATGTGGACACTGTGGAAACATATCTCTTGGCTGTCATTTTTGGGTACCTGAGTTTATTATCTCTCTAAAATATTTTACTATTAAATAGTATATAAATTGAGCTTTATTTCTAATTCCTTATAAAAGCCAAAATTATAGCAACATGGATCAATGAAACAATGCCCCAATAGTGAAATAAGAGGTGCCCTGCATTCATGTCAACAAAAAAGAAAAGAAGAAATAGAATTATTTACTCCTTATCCCAGCCAACATCATGCCCATTGGCCATTCAAAGTGCTAAGGCTAAAGAACGGCACTCCAGGATCAAGCATCTTGCCCTGCCCTTGTTTCCCTGGGTCAGTACTACATACAGTCAGCTATGCCTCACCTGGCTGTTTCCTTCCACTCCATCTCCTGCCCATCCACGGCCAGCAGCTCATCCAGTTCCGTGAAGAGCTGAGGGGGAGCTGGGCTGTCATCCTCCTCTCCCAAGATGAATCGGATGCGTTCTGCAGCAGGAGAGACTGCAGAAGTGAAAATACTGTGGTTAAACATTGGCTGGACAACCCTGAGGAAAGTGGAGCTCCGGGCTCTTCCTCTCTCCCCAAGGTTACTGGGCTTCCCTTCCACATTTTCAGTGGACATCTTTCCTGCTAAGCCTCCCAAATCCCCAATCTAAAGCCAAAAAGAAATCAAAGCCCTTCTCTATTCCTTTGGTTCTGAACTGTATCTTGGTTCTCCACCACTCTCCAGAAGGACAGCACTCCAATTCTGTGTGATGTGTCACAAAGAACCTTTAGCCCTCAGATGAGCTGAGGTCTAACCACTCACTTCCCCTCCTTCTCCACTTATGACTCATCCAAAATTATAAGACAAAAGCCAGCTTGAACCAGTCACTTTTTCATACAGCAGTGGGAGGGACAACAAAGTACCCCAATCCTGAGATCCCCCAAGTCCCCGCCTCCCACCCACCCTCCCTCTGTCCAATGCCTAAAGCTCATGCCCTCGCAGGCTTCTCCCTGCCAATAACTGGCTAACTGCAAAGTTGATGAAGGAATATTTAACAAGATGGGCCCTCTTCTTTACAGAATGGTAGTACCCAAAAATGTTTAGTCACACTTCAATGCACTTGAAAAACAAGCCCAAGTAAAATATTGTACACTTGAGGGAGAGAGAAAAAAAAAAAAAACATTTTCCAACACACTCAAGCACATAATTGAATGCCCTACTAGCTCCTTTTGACCCTATCTCCTGAAAATCATGCAATGAAAAATTAACTAGAATTTCCCCCAGGTCATGGGTTACTCCCTTTCAAAAAAAAAAAAAAGAAGAAGAAGAAGACGACGAAAGAAGAAAGAAGAAGAAGAAGAAAAGAAAGAGAGAGAGAGAAAGAAAAGCAGTTGGAAATTGATGGTCATGTTACAAATTTAAGGCCCACAAATACTCCTCAAAATCCCTGGGTAAAACCAACAATGTTATATACATGTGAATGCAGTTCAAGTACACACAAATATATTTATTATGGATAGACACACATACACACATGCATATATAAATTTGTAGAAATATATGTACACAAATGACCCAATAAAACCAAAAATCCCTACCATCTGAAAACTATTATAATACAGGACAGAATAAAATTCCATAGATCAAAATTTATTTAGTACAAATAAACCCATGAAAAATATTCAACCTAATTAAAAATCGAAACTAATCATTAAAATAAAATGTGTTTCACCTATTAAAATGTCAAAAAATGGCAGGGCGCGGTGGCTTACACCTGCGATCCCAACACTTTGGGAGGCCGAGGCGGGTGGATCACCTGAGGTCAGGAGTTCGAGACCAGCCTGGCCAACATGGTGAAACCCTGTTTCTACTAAAAAAATACAAAAAATTAGCCAGGCGTGGTGGCGTGTGCCTGTATTCCCAGCTACTCAAGAGGGTGAGGCAGGAAAATGGCTTGAACCTGGGAGACAGAGGTTGCAGTGAGCCGAGATCATGCCATTGCACTCCAGCCTGGGTGACAAAGCAAGACCCTGTCTATAAATTAATTAATTAATTAATTAATTAAATGTCAAAAATAAAAAAAAAAATGATAATCCCAACGTGGGCAAGGGTTTGGGAATCATGCACCCAGCACTTCTTGATTTATGTTACTGGTAGGAGCCTAAATGGAAACATCTCTCTAAAGGGAAATGCTTGAAGGACATGAAAATTTCTGGTGGGACATGAAAATTTTTAAATAGTGTATATATCCTGTGAGCCAACAATTCTTGTACTAGAAATACATTCATTCTAAATAAATAAGAGTTATCTCAAAGGTTTAGTGACAGAGGTGATCATTCTAGCATTGTTTATAACTGAGAAAACAGAAAAATCCTAAACATCCATAAAGGAAGATTGGTTAAATAAAGTATGGTACAACTACACAATGAAATACCACTCAATCATAAAATATGAAGTCAAAATAGCTGGACTTTTTTGACATGTATACCATATAAAATTAAAAATAAAAATAATACACATTAAATGATCCCATTTTAGTAAAGAAACAAGAAATATATATTTCTATAAAATAAAGCTAGGAATTGAGGCAGCCCTCACGGTGCTCAGTCTGATATGTGTACATTTCAGTCACCACAATTTAGATTAAATAACATAGTCCCTAACAATACAGTTCAAATTTCAGTTAACATGGTATATTAATAGTAATTTCATAAAGTACAAACTTTGCAGCTAGCTCTTCAGTCCATAAATCACTACGTAACTAACATGTGTGCATAATGATCATTGACCAATCATGGGGTGTTTCTTTAAAATATGTCAGTGATTGATCACTGCGTGTTTGTTGTTCAGTTCACACACAGACAGCAAAGTGTGTAGCTGTGTTGCCTTCTTGTCTCCCAAAGATAAATGCAAGTGACATGGATAATCAAAGACAGAACTGGACAACAAGAATGAAGGCAATGTACACAAACAAAAATTAATACTATTGGAAGTAAAATTTGTATCAAACGTAAATGGAGACGACGTAGCTAATCATGGAATGTAAACGATGCTGCCATTCACCATTGAAAGACTCTGTATATGCAGTTAGAGGAACTTAGTGAAGGTGAATTAATCAACATAAACAAGGAAAGTGATTGTAATGAAAAGGATGATGATGTCCTAGAGAAAGTGATACTGGCTAAAAACTTCACATTCAAGGAGTTTTAGGAGACATTTCTTGACATGGAAAGCACACAGGATAAAATGTAAGCTGATCCACATTTAGAGAGCATGACAGTTTGTCTAGGCATTGAAAAAAAATGCATGCTCTGTATCATAAGTTGTACAACAGGAAGAAGGCAAGCACTATTCAAACTACTCCTGATAAGACTGTACAATGAAACAATTTTAATATCAATATTTCTAATGTTTTAAATTACTGTGTACTGAATAAATATTAGTTTTACCTTTTTCCATTTCCCTATACCTTTATAGCTAACAACAAGAGAGACTGTAGTGATTTAAAAATTTTTAAAGGTCAAAGAGCAATAGTAACTGTTTTCATTGATTATTAGGATTGTTTTGCATAATTTCAGTTTGCAAAGTCTTTTTTTTACAGTCATGCACTACGGTACAAAGCAAGGACTTCTACATATACAGGCATATTTAAATACACAGGTACACTTTCAGTGTTATATGGTTTATTTCTAGGGCTTCTGTTTTCTTATGTTCACTTTTCTATAAATTCCAAAGTGTTTACAATTCACTCATGTATTCCATTCAGCAAATGTTTACTGAGCACTGTCTATGCTCTTAATTGGCTTAACAGGCTTTATCTTCAGCCTCTGACAAAAAGATCTCTGATCTTACAGAGTTTACATGTATGTAGGGAAAATAAATATTAACTAAGTAATTTATTCTTTAAATAAATAAGTAAATTAGCACATAAACCAATACCAGAAAAAAATCTGCTAAATATAAATGTATGCAGAACATTAAAATAAGGTAATTGAGTACATACTGATACAAGGTACAATGAATATGTTTTACTTTGTGATTAGAAATTTTTTTTTTTTTTGAGACAGAGTCTCACACTATTGCCCAGGCTGGAGTGCAGTGGCGCTAACTCAGCTCACTGCAAGCTCCGCCTCCCGGGTTCACACCATTCTCCTGCCTCAGCCTCCTGAGTAGCTGGGACTACAGGCACCCACCACAATGCCCGGCTAATTTTTTGTATTTTTAGTAGAGACGGGGTTTCACCGTGTTAGTCAGGATGGTCTCGATCTCCCAACCTTGTGATCCCCGCTCCTCGGCCCTCCAAAGTGCTGGGATTACAGGCATGAGCCACTGCACCTGGCCTGAAATTTCTTAATATCCCTGGTAGAAAATAATCTACAGTTCCAGGACTTTAATGTAAAAATATTTGCAATGCCTTTCCAATCATGAAATGGGAAGTCTAACTATTTTAGGCAATCAGGAGGGCATGAAAATGAAGAAATGACAGGCAGAATTTGGAGTCTGGACAATACTTCTAAGGAGTAGTGTGTTCACATTACCAAAAGTTTAGTCACTTTTTTCATCGTAGTGGTTCTGAAACTAGCAATCACAAATATAAATCACTTTTCATCAACATTCAACATCAAAGATCCCTAAATCAGAACTAGCTTTAATTTTTTTTAACTTTTATTTTAGATATAGGCGTACATGTGCAGGTTTGCTATATAGGTAAATTGTGTGTCACAGGGGTTTGGTGTACAGATTATCTGCCACCTAGGTAATAAGAATAGTACCCAATAGGTAGTTTTTTGATCCTCACCTTCCTCCCTCCCTCCACTTCACGTAGGCCCCTGTGTCTGTTCCCTTCTTTGTGTCCATACGTACTCCATAGAATTAGCTTCTAGAAGGGAGAAGTCTAGAGTCAGATAATCAACCTTTTGTCCATTTCTAAAGATGTGATGTAGGTTTGTCCCCACCTCTAACAGAAAAAAATAAATTGGTCTCCTGCCTAAAAAACAGCATAGATACTACATATCCCTGCTCGGCTCTCCTCCACAGAGCATTACTCTGTAGTCTGGCATTCTCAATTTAGCAAAACATGAATCACTACTCATTAGACAGCAACTCAGTGGTGACTTCTGCAAAATGGAATGGAAGAAGGATGTAACACTACCTCCAGGTCTTCCTCTCTAGGTACCATGCCTAACCCCTTTCATAGGTTGTCTTATTTATTACATATAGGCACCTGAGCAACCAGTATATCAATTTTGGGGGATTAAAATTCCAAAATCGTGTGTCATAAACTAGTTTGCAACTCCTGGAAGTTTCTACTGGTGCTGTACTGGGCTCAGAGCCAAGAGACTTGGGGTGCATATGACTTAGCGAGACACCAGCTTGGGAAGCCAAGAAAGTGCTTGCACCACCTCTCCCCCAACTCCAAGCAGTGCAGCTCTGGGAGAAACTCCTTCCTTCTGCTTGAGGAGAGTAGAGGGAAGAGTAAAGAGGACTTTGTCTTCCAACTTGGATACCAGCTTAGCCACAGTAGGTTAAGATACTAGGCAGAGTCTTAAGGCCCCAATTCCAGGCCCTAGCTCCCAGGTGACATTTTTAGACATACCCTGGGCTAAAGGGAACCTCCTGCTTTGAAAGTAAGGACCCAGTCTTGGCAAGATTCATCACCTGCTGACTAAGAGACCTTGGGCTTTGAATAAACATCAAGGGTACCCAGGAAGTACTTGCCATGGACCTTGAGTGAGATCCAGAGCTATGCTGGCTTCAGGTGTGACCCAGTGCATTCCCAGCTGTGGTGGCCATGGGGAGAAGTGCCTGCTGGATGAAAGGAGAGGGAAGAATGAAGGTGACTTTGTCTTGCAGCTTGGGCACCAGCTCAGCCACAGTGGAGCAGAGTACCAAGCAGGCTCCTATGATCCCCAATTCCAGGCCTTCGCTCTTAGACAGCATTTCTGGACCTGCCCTGGGCCAGAGAAGAGCCCACTTCCCTGAAGTTAGAAACCCAGGCCTGGCAGCATTCACCATAAGCTGACTGAATAGCCAGCTTGAGCCTTGACTGAACATCAGCAGTAGCCAGGCACGGGGCAGTGGCTGCCATGCAGAGAGGCTCCTTCTGCATCAGGAAAGGGGAAGAAAGAGTGTAAAGGACTTTGCTTTGCAGCTTGGGTGCCAGCTCAGCAGCAGCAGAATAGAGTACCAAATAGATTCCTAAAGTTCCCGGCTCCAGGCCCTGGTTCCTGCATGGCATTTCTGTACCTGCCCTCAGCTCACTGCCCTGAAGGGAAGGACGCAAGCCTGGCTGGATTCACCACATGGTGACTGAAGAGCCCTTGGACCTTGTCTGAACATTGGTGGTAGCCAAACAATGGTCACTGTGGGCCTTGGGTGAGATCCAATGCTGTGCTGACTTCGAGTCTGACCCAGTATAATCCCAGTAGTAATGACCACAGGGGTACTTGAGTCACACCTCCCCCAACTCCAGGTAGCTCAAATGGAAAGAGAGACTTCTTCTGTTCAGAGGAAAGTAAGAGAAGAGAACAAGAGTCTCTGCCTGGTAATCCAGGGAATTCTCTCAGATCTTAACACAACCACAAAGGTGGTAAACCTGCAAGTCTGTAAGAGTCACAGCATTACTGGGCTTATGGTGCTGCCTAACGCAGACATGGCTGCAGCGATATCATATCCAAAGTCATAGATCACAACAATCAATTCCCTTTGAATGCTTGAAAAGCTTTCCCAAGACAGGTACAAACAAGCCCAGACTGTAAAGACTACAATAAATACCTAACTCTTCAATGCTCAGACATTGACAAATATATACAAGCATCAAGACTATCTAGGAAAACATGACCTCACCAAACAAACCAAATAAGGTACCAATGACCAATCCCAAGTAACAGAGACATATGACCTTTCAGACAGAGAATTCCCAATAGCTGTTTTGCGGAAGCTCAATGAAATTCAAGATAACACAGAGAAGGAATTCAGAATCCTATCAGATAACTTTAACAAAGAGATTGAAATAATTTTTAAAAATCAAGTGGAAATTCTGGAGCTGAAAAATTCAACTGACATACCGAAGGATGCATCAGAGTCTCTCAACAGCAGACTTAAGCAGAAGAATTAGTGAGCTCGCAGACAGGCTATTTGAAAATACACAGTCGGCCGGGCGCGGTGGCTCACGCCTGTAATCCCAGCACTTTGGGAGGCCGAGGCGGGCGGATCACGAGGTCAGGAGATCGAGACCACAGTGAAACCCCATCTCTACTAAAAATACAAAAAATTAGCCGGGCGCAGTGGCGGGCGCCTGTAGTCCCAGCTACTCGGGAGGCTGAGGCAGGAGAATGGCGTGAACCCGGAAGGCGGAGCTTGCAGTGAGCGGAGATCGCGCCACAGCACTCCCGCCTGGGCGACAGAACGAGACTCCGTCTCAAAAAAAAAAAAAAAAAGAAAATACACAGTCAGAGGAGACAAAAGAAAAAAGAATGAAACACACCTGTGAGATCTAGAAAACAGCCTAAAAGGGCAAAGCTAAGGGTTATTGGCATAAAGAGAAGGGAGAGAAAGATTGGGGTAGAAAGTTTATTCAAAGCGATAATTTAAAAAGTAGAAAAACTTCAAACAAAAAACCGAACAATGCATCTTAAAGAACTATTATAGAAAAGCAAAATAAAACCAAACCCAAAATTAGTAAAGGAAGAAAAATAATAAAGATCAAAGCATGAATAAATGAAATTTTAAAAAAGCAATACAAAAGATCCATGAAACAAAAACCTGGTTGTTTGAAAAGATAAACAAAAATGACAAACCTTTAGCCTAAGAGAAAAAAAGAGAGAACCCAAATAAATGAAATCAGAGATGAATAGGCAGACATTACAACTGATACCACAGAAATTCAAAGGATCATTACAAACTACTACGAGCAACTATATGCCAATAAACTGAGAAACTTAGAAGAAATGGACAAATCTTAGACACATTCAACTTACCAAGATTGAACCAAGAAAAGACTCAAAACCTGAATAGACTAACAACAAGTAATTAGATTAAAGCCATAATAAACGGTCTCCTAGCATAGAAAAGCCTGGGACCAATGGTTTCACAGCTGAATTTAAAGAAGAACTAATGCCAATCCTATCCAAACCATTTCTTTTTTTTTTTTTTTCAATACTTTAAGTCCTAGGGTACATGTGCACAACGGGCAGGTTTGTTACATATGTATACATGTGCCATGTTGGTGTGCTATACCCATTAACTCGTCATTTACATTAGGTATATCTCCTAATGCTATCCCTCCCCCCTCCCCCAACCCCACAACAGGCCCCAGTGTGTGATGTTCCCCTTCCTGTGTCCAAGGGTTCTCATTGTTCAATTCCCACCTGTGAGTGAGAACATGTGGTGTTTGGTTTTCTGTCCCTGCAACAGTTTGCTGAGAATGATGGTTTCCAGCTTCATCCATGTCCCTACAAAGGACATGAACTCATCATTTTTTATGGCTGCATAGTATTCCATGGTGTATATGTGCCACATTTTCTTAATCCAGTCTATCATTCATGGACATTTGGGTTGGTTCCAAGTCTTTGCTATTACGAATAGTGCCGCAATAAACATACGTGTGCATGTGTCTTTATAGCAGCATGATTTATAATCCTTTGGGTATATACCCAGTAATGGGATGGCTGGGTCAAATGGTATTTCTAGTTCTAGATCCCTGAGGAATCCCCACACTGTCTTCCACAATGGTTGAACCAGTTTACAGTCCCACCAACAGTGTAAAAGTGTTCCTATTTCTCCACATCCTCTCCAGCACCTGTTGTTTCCTGACTTTTTAATGATCGCCATTCTAACTGGTGTGAGATGGTATCTCATTGTGGTTTTGATTTGCATTTCTCTGAGGGCCAGTGATGATGAGCATTTTTTCATGTGCCTGTTGGCTGCATAAATGTCTTCTTTTGAGAAGGGTCTGTTCAGATCCTTCGCCCACTTTTTGATGGGGTTGTTTTTTTCTTGTAAATTTGTTTGAGTTCTTTGTAGATTCTGGATATTAGCCCTTTGTCAGATGAGTAGATTGCAAAAATTTTCTCCCATTCTGTAGGTTGCCTGTTCACTCTGATGGTAGTTTCTTTTGCTGTGCAGAAGCTCTTTAGTTTAATTACATCCCATTTGTCAATTTTGGCTTTTGTTGCCATTGCTTTTGGTGTTTTAGACATGAAGTCCTTGCCCATGCTTATGTCCTGAATGGTATTGCCTAGGTTTTCTTCTAGGGTTTTTATGGTTTTAGGTCTAATATTTAAGTTTTTAATCCATCTTGAATTAATTTTTGTATAAGGTGTAAGGAAGGGATCCAGTTTCAGCTTTCTACATATGGCTAGCCAATTTTCCCAGCACCATTTGTTAAATAGGGAATCCTTTCCCCATTGCTTGTTTTTGTCAGGTTTATCAAAGATCAGATAGTTGTAGATGTGTGGTATTATTTCTGAGGGCTCTGTTCTGTTCCATTGGTCTATATCTCTGTTTTACCTACCCAAAACATTTCTAAAAATAGAGGAGGAAAGACTACTTCCAAACTCATTCTATGAGACTTATATTACCCTGATACCAAAACCAAAGGCAAATCAGAAAAGGAAAACTACAGGCCAATATCCTTAATGAACACTGATGCAAAAATTCTCAACAAAATACTAGCAAACCAAATTCAACACACATTAAAAAGTTCATTCATCATGACCAAGTGAAATTTATCCCAGGGATGCAAGAATAGTTCAATATATGCAAATCAATTAACGTGATACATCATATCAACAGAATGAAGGACAAAAACCATACGATCATTTCAATTGATGCTGAAAAAGCATTTGATAAAAATCAATATTCTTTCATGATAAAAACCCTCTAAAATCTGGTTACAGAAGGAACATACCTCAATATAATATTAATAGAAGAACAGACCTACACCTAGTATCATGCTGAATGGCAAAAAACTGAAAGTCTTTCCTCTAAGATCTAAAACAAGACAAGGATGCCCACTTTCACCAGTTATTCAACACAGTACTAGAAGTCCTAGCAAGAGCAATCAAACAAGAGAAGAAATAAAGGGCATTCAATTTGGAAAGAAGGAACTCAAATTAACCTTGTTTGCAAATAATATAACCTTATATTTGGAAAAACCTAAAGATTCCACCAAAAAGCTATTAGAACTAATAAATTCAGTTAAGTTGCATGACACAATATCAAGTACACAAAAATCAGTAGCATTTCTACATGCCAGCAGTGAACAATCTGAAAAAGAAATCAAGAAAGTAATTCCATTTATAATCATTACAAATAAAATAAGATACTTAAGAACAGACTTAGCCAAGAAAGTGAAAGATCTCTACAATGAAAACTATAAAACATTGATGCACGAAATTGAAGACATAACAAAATGGAAAGATATTCCATGTTCATGAATTAGAAGAATCAATATTGTTAAAATGTCCATACTACCTAAAGCAATCTACAGATTCAATGCAATCCCTATCAAAATACCAATGACATTCTTCACAGAAATAGAAAAAAAAATCCTACAATCTATATGGAACCACAAAAGACCCAGAATAGCTAAAGCCATCCTTAGCATAAAGAACAAAACTAGAGGCATCACATTATCTGACTTCAAATTTTACTATAGACCTACAGTAACCAAAACAACAGAGTACTGCCATAAAAATGACACACAAACCAATGGAACAGAATAAATAGAGAACCCAGAAACAAACTCATACATCTACAGTGAGCTCATTTTTTATAGAGGTGCCAAGAACATACATTGGGGAAAAACAGTTTCTTCGATAAATGCTGCTAGGAAAACTGGATATTAATATGCAGAAAAATAAAACTAGACCCTTATCTCTCACTATATACAAAAATCAAATCAAAATGGATTAAAGACTTAAATTTAAAACCTCAAACTATGAAGCTACTACAAGAAAACATTGGGGAAACTCCAGGATATTGGACTGGGCAAAGGTTTCTTGGGTAATACCCCATAAGCACAAACAACCAAAGCAAAAATGGAGAAATAGGATCACATCAAGTTAAAAAGCTTCTGCACAGCAAAGAAAACAATCAACAAAGTGAAGAGACAACCAAAAGATGGAAGAAAGTATTTGTAAACTACCCATCTGACAAGGAATTAATAACCAGAATATATAGGGAGTTAAAAACAACTCAATAGGAAAAATCTAATAATCTAGTTTAAAATGGGCAAAAGATCTGAACAGATCTTTCTTAAAATAAGACATACAACTAAGAAACAGGTACATGAAAAGGTGCTCACCATCACTGATCATCAGAGAAATGCAAATCAAAACTACAATGAGATCATATCACCCAGTTAAAATGGCTTTTATCCAAAAGACAGGCAATAATGAATGCTGGCAAGGATGTGGAGAAAAGGGAACGCTCATACACTGTTGGTGGGAATGTATAGCCACTATGGAGAATAGCGTGGAAGTTTCTCAAAAAACCAAAAACAAAACTACCATAAGATCCAGCAATCCCACCGCTAGGTATATGCTCAAAAGAAAGGAAATCAGTATATCAAAGAGATATCTGTACTCCCATGCATGTTTACTGCAGCATTATTCATACTAGCCAAGATTTGGAAACAACTTAAGTGAGCATCAACAGATGAATGGATTTTTGAAATGTGATATATACACACAATGGAGTACTATTCAGCCATGAAAAAAGAATGAGATCCAGTCATTTGCAATAAGATGGATGGAACTGGAGGACATTTTGTTAAGTGAAATAAGCCAGACAAATTTTGCACGTCCTCACTTATTTGTGGAAACTAAACATTAAAACAATTGAACTCATGGAGATACAGAGTAGAAGGATGGTTACCAGAGACTAAAAAGGGTAGTTGGTGGGAGCAGGTGGGGTGGGGGATGGTTAATGGGTACAAAAATATAGTTAGAATAAATAAGGCCTAGTATTTGATAGCACAATAGGGTGACTACAATGAATAATTATTTATTGTACATTTTAATATAACTAAAAGAGTATAATTGGAATTTATAACACAAAAAAATAATAAATGCTTGAAGTGATGGATACCCCATTTGCCCTGATGTGATTATTATGCACTGTCTGCCTGTATCAAAATATCTCATGTACCCCGTAAATATATATACCTATTATATACCCATAAAAATAAAAAATAAAAAGAAGAAAAGATAATACATAGTAGGGGAAATGCTATGGATAAAACTATAATAAGCAATAACTAATATTTTTGAATGGTTACGCTATCCCAGGAAATGTGTTAAATGTTTTGCATTTGTTATATCATTAATTTTACACAAGTCTATGAAATAGTTACTTTTATTATTCCCTTACATTACTCTTATAGACAGGGAAAATGCATCCTAAGAAGGTAAGGGACTTCCTCAAGATAACACAACTACTAAGTGATATGACTTCAAACCCATTTGTGTTGTTTCTAAGCCCATTTGTTAGCTGCCACACTCTAATGGTTAATCTCATTTTTTAAAAGAATTAAAGGAAAACACGATCAGATTGCTATATGAACAATATAGGCAGTAAATGTATTAGATTTCAGAAGACACGGAAATCACAGTGGCATATGAAATAGTCAGAAAGTAAATTAGTTGAAATTTGGTTCATTATTCACCAAAAGGCATTTTGCGAATGTACCCTTTTGGTTTTGGTATAGGAAGCATCCCACTGTGGCCACCCTGCAGGCTTCCAAAAAAATTGCTTTAATAGAAATAGTGATCACAATGAAGAATTCCTGCTGAGCATGACAAGTCTACATATAAATTCCCTTAAACAAGTTAAATGAGGACTTCTGGATTTCACATTTTCTTCTTTGCAGAGTCCACAATCTGGTACAATCTCAGCTTTCAAACCAAAGTATAAAAAGAAACAACTATTTTTAAGTTATTAATGTGCTATTCTCAACTGGTTTACATAGTTATCATTTTAAGTATTCATTTCTGTTTTTCATTGTGAGACAAAAGTTTGTAGGTAGATATCATGGTTGTTAAAACTTCCACAATTTATGTATTAAATATATCACAGTAGTTTTGTTTCCCCTAGAAAAAGACATCATTTTATACCTATGTCATGCTTTACAATAGCTCAGGTGCTCAGACCTAAACCAAATGGCTCCAACAGCTGCCTAGAGAATGCAGCTAATCTTCACAATCTTTCAAAGAGGCAGCTTTTTACTCTTTTTCAGAGATGATAATAGATAAGGCACTTTACAAATGCTTCGCATGAATGACAATCTCATTGAATCCTCAAAACAAACCTGTTAGGTAGATTGTATTACTATCTCCATTTTACACATGAGAAAACTGAGGCTTGGAGATGCATGTAAATTGCCTAATGATTCACAGGCACCCCAAGCAGTCCTCCCTGAGAACCCATGTTATCATGCTGACCCTTTGTTGACCACATGAAGGAATGAGGCTCAGAGAGGTTCAGCAAATTACTCAATGTCATACAGTAAGTAGCAGAGTTAGGATCAAACTTAGGTCAACTATTTCTAAGTCTAATGTCGTGGTGTTACACCTTTTCTCATCCTTATAAACTTGAAGCATACAATGTATCAAAGGACTGTCACGGTGGTGTATTTATCATTTGAAACAGCCCCCTAAGTAAGTCTGATAGATATCATTTTCCATTCATATTCCCCAGAAAGTAGAAACTCAGGCAAAGCTTATGTGCTAATGTTTATTGGGATGTGCAATTCCAGGATATCAAGAATAAGGGAAGAAGGGGCATGAGGCATGGAGGGAGGCTAAGTAGACATAAGGTAGTGCATTCTTATTAATAATAATTACCAGACCACTGTAACACTCTAAAAACACACTTAAATATATATATAAAATCCTCAAACTTCATTTTCACCTTTATAAATAAAAGAAATGAGAATAACTAAATGAATAAAGTTTTATAAACATATAAATGTTTAAAACACACACACATACACACAAACACACACACACATTGTAGTGGTCATCTGTTAGTAACCACCTTTAAGCTCTTTTTCTAATGACAGCATCCCATTTTCTTCTGGAGAACCATCTTTATACTTGTATAACCATTTGGTTTAATCCACAAGGCCCTATGACCCAGGTCTGAGCAATGAGAATATCACAACTTCTTGCCACACACAGCAATTCATTTTTGAGTGGGCAGTTGACCTGATATAGGTGAAACAGAGTAAATAAATGTCAGCCTTTTGCTAGAACTACTAAGAAATTAATCATTATGCTGAGAGGCTAAAATGGCAATAAAAGCTATGAAGTACAGATGGCCATCTTGCAACTCTAAGGGAAGAGTCTACCTAAGAATAAATTAAACATGTAATAACTCAGAAGCAAGGCAGATGTAGGTTTCTAATGCCTAGATCCACCCATGCCTGAAGTCAGCTATGTTTCAATCATACTTGACAATTACAATTTAAATTAAAAGCAAAATTGTTTTAAAGCAATCTGAGCTAAATTTTCTGCCATTTGCAACCAACAGTCCTGATATACCCTCCTATTATTCCATTTTAACAGGTTAAAGTAGAGCTAATTTCCATGTGTTAAGTGTATCACCAAACTAATTGCATTGAACAACCTTTTTTTTTAATGGAATCCAAGTTTTGGAGAGATGTGTACAAGTTACCTAGATTTTCTTCATGCCTTAACATACCTTTACCCCAACCAATCCAGAAAATTACCATCAATTTACATGTTAGCAAGCTATAGACAAGTAAATTAGACAGTTACTTTTTCTCTTTCAAATTAGCTAAGAAACTGAAACAGCCAAGTAGTATTCATTAAAATAGATAATTTTAAACATATTTAGGTATCCAAGTATTAATAAGCTCCCACTCAAGAAAAGCTGTCAATTATCACAAATTATCCTTAATATGCCATGATATTATTATTCAGCTATAGAGAGTCAACAGCATTAAGAGCCTGAGTTTCATAATATTATCAAACTACCTTAGTTAGGAGCAGAGTAAGTTCAATTTCAGCCAGCAAGTGGTGATAAAAACTAGAGTTTACTCAGACATTTTTAAGAAATATCTGTACCGTAGCTTTTTATCTTAAAAATGTAGAAAAATAATCTACCTGGGGTTTACATTACAAAAACGTTACATGGATTCAGGTCATATCTATAAGATACTTAGAATTCTTTAGAACATAAAGGTAGTACTCCTTGTATTCTATAACTTATTCTGTGTAGTTCTTTCCTAACTTCTGCCAAAGCAGTGGGTTAAAAAATTAAAACGAGGATTTCTGTCAGTGATGTAAATATGTATCTTTCTTTTTAAAACGCTGCTAAGCCATTCTCAAAGGGGTAGTCTCAATGATGGTACAGCAGTAAAGTAAGTTTGGTCCATGAAATTCCATGTTTAAAAAATTATTGGCCCACAGCCTTTTTGGTCTGCTGCTTCTTTTATTAATTATCCCAATTATATTAATTGTAATTATATTAAGCATATTATTAATATTATTTCAATATTCCAAGACTATCAGAGAGAAAAGTAAAATTCAAATCAATCATTTAGTTTTTAGCAGCCTCAATGGTGACCTAAACTAAGTAACTAAACTAATGATGAAACTAAACATTTTGACTTTTTCCGAATTTCACCTTCCATGATACCATTTTCCTCACTTAATCCAAGTTTGCATGGTATTCATGAGGCTTTGAGAAGAAATAGGTTCACAGAAACGGTAATCACCCAATTGCGCCATCTGCATATCGTAAGACTGCATTCCCCCTAATAAATTAACATCCCAAGAATTTGCTGGGTCCCCAAGGGATGTTTCACACATATTGATTCTTTTGGCTACAGCCCTCTGTTGATGCCCTCTATCTGCAAAAAAACACCTGGAAGGGGTACCGCATCACAGACACCATCATCAGAGTCAAGCATGAAACTCTCAATACTCTGCCAAGGATGTCAACTCCCAACGTTCCCAAGGATGCCAAAACAACACAGTAGTTTGGGGATGCCAAAACAACACAGTAGTTTGGGGATGCCAAAACAACACAGTAGTTTGGGGATGCCAAAACAACACAGTAGTGAAAACAAAACCAGGAGACAAAGAAGTCTAGATGGACATAATGGATAACAGGAATTTTGGGGGTAAGTACAGAGTTCAGAACATTGTGCTGTCCTGATTGAGACCCAAATTACGTCTTTTGACACATATCACATGCCAGAGAATTTCCAGAAGAAAAGCTAAGTGAGGACTCAAAAAAGAGGAATTCATGCAACCCCATCCATTCACCCACATTTAACCACCAGGGCATATCTGCCTTGTTAAAATTACAAGGTACCCAGTGCCTTAAGTATCTAAATAATCATTACTTCTAGTTGTTGTGTTTAGCTTCTTGTAGCCTTTTGTTCAGATCAAATTACTTTCCCCAAAAACCCAGCTATACCCAGATCCTTCCTTTAGTGAATAAAAAAATTCTTTCTTGTTGTTTGTTTATTCCAGTTCTAAATGAGTTTCTTGCACTTGCAACAACAGGCTTATTAACTTATATAATATGTATAGAAAAAAAACCACCAGAAGGACATACACTAAATGTTAACAATTATTATCCTTAAGTGGAAGAATTACTGATGATTCTCATTTTCCTTGTTTTCTTTATGTGCAAGTTCTAAATTTTCTAAAATTAGCATTAAAATCATATTTATAAGGAAAACAAGCCAATTAAGGTTTTTTAGTTGCTAAATTGAGAATAGTCATGTCAAATTAGTGCCACACACTTCCTTACAATATTTGAAACTGCAGAATCTCAATTATCTTTCTCAAAAATATGTTCAACACAAACATAATCTTACAGCACTTGCCTTTACTGCTGTTTAGGGACTAGAATAGCCAGTTCTGAACCAGGACTGGCCATGGTTCTGAACGCTACTTAACTGGGAAGCCACGAAAGCCAAAAAATAATCCCATGGGCATAGAACAATGGGGATGAGGGTCAAGGGAATTTCAAGCAAGTTGCATGGAAAGAAAGGACACTTTCTATAAACAGAACAGAAAACACTTATTAATTGAAATGGTAAAGAATATGGCTACCCAGCAACCTTTTCCTGAAGGACCTGAAAGTTTCTTGTGCATGTTATAACCACCATTTCCAGTTACTTTTAATTTCTCACTCCCTACATCACTTCTCTCCCTTCTGCCAGAGCTGCTATGATAAGGTTTACATGATGAATCACTCTGCTTAAGAGTGAACACATCAGCATTTTCTCCAGGTTCAACTTGGACCAATTATCAGAACAATTTATACCCCGAGGTTTCTAAAGTCAGACTCAATTCTCATCAACATTAGGAAATCTTCAAGATTCCCAAAATAAACTCTACAGATTTGTTCGAGTGCAACTATTTGCTATAGAGAGTAGCTAAATATATAGCTCCAATATTACTGTCACAAGCGCCACACTAATGCTGCCATTGGATGCTTTCACATACAAAAGAAGACATTCTCCTTCCTATAGACTCTCTGTCAAAATGCATAAGAATATAGAGGCACCGAACCTTAAAGAATCTTTAGGACTTCTGACTTCATCCCCACATTGCCAAAAAAATTCTACCCATATTACCTGGATAGCAATACTGAGAAGTGTGGTTTAAAAATACAATTTCTTTTAAAATCGGGAGAGGAATGGAGGCCTCAAGGAAATGTTACATGGATGCCTGTTCTTTCTTATTTGAAAAAAGGTGACATTCCCCACAGATGTATTAACGCTCTAAAGATTTTGCTGGAACTCTGAATGTAATACAGAAATGTCAACAAGATTCTACAATAAGGTTTTCTTCTTTTCTGTCTTATTTAGATCTGTTCTGAGTTGAGGGTCCAAAATTAGTGGCAGTGATCCTCAACTTTTGTGAAGTTTAATTATATTCTCAGTAAAGAAAAAATAAATATAACAGATCCTCCAACACTTCCTACTTGACATCTATAGTTTCACTGTTCTCAGACAACATAATGCTTCATTTGCCTTGTGCTATGGTTTAGAAGTTTTTTCCATCCAAAACTCAGTGGAAATTTAATTGCCATCGTGGTAGGATTGGGAGGTCAAACCTTGAAGAGGTGTTTATGTCATGAGGGTTCTGCCCCCAGGAATATACTAATACATTATCTGGGGAATGGATTCACCCCCTCTTGCTCTCTTTTGCCTTCTTTGCCCCTCTGCTTTGTGATGCCTTCTGCCATATTATGACACTCCAAGCAGGCCCTCCCCAGATGCCAGAACCTTGATGGTGGATTTCTCACCCTCCAGAACTGGGGGTGAGCCAATAAATGTCTGATCTTTACAAATTACCAAGTCTGTGGTATTCTGTGGTAGCAGCACACAGCAGCACACCAGCAACATATGTCTACTAATCAGCAAAGACCTAAAAACCAGGCCAGAAGCTGAAAGACCACTTGTAGAAACTGAGTTCGACTGCTTGAGAAATGGCATATGAATGACAAGAGTCTAAATATAAACACAAGTAAATGTTGATGCTTTTCCTCATTAAGCACCTTCCCAAATGACCAACAGAGATATGCTAAATCCATTCTCAGTAAATAATAAAATTGAATCAGCTAAGTTTTTAGGACCAACTTTTAACGCAGAGGTTCATAATTTGTTATAGAAATAAACTTCCTTCTAAATTATTCATATCACTTAACTACACAAAGCTGATAGAAAACCTAGATTAGAGTGGGTATGTGGGCTGGCTAAGGATATTAATTTTCTATTGAAGTGTGCTACAAATAAACTTATGCATTCTACAGAGTAATACTGACAAAAGTAAAGAATTCACCCCCTTTGACACAATCCGCTTTCACTATATTCTATCTCTACAACATTTCTTAATCCCTTATATTAGAAGCCTATATATAACACTTCAAGGCATCTAGAGATAACCTCAGTTCATCAGTGGCGAGATAAGTAAGTGCCATTTCAAAAGAGATTGATTATTAACAGCATCCTGTTCAGAAAGAACTGTTAGAGAAAGTATTTAGTCACTTCTAAGGCTTGGGGTAACGTGTAAGGCTTGGCTATTCCTTAACTGGGTGAAGAATTTCCAATTAATTAACTATCGATCATAAAACTTAGATTCCTTTGCCTTCTCAGACAACCCCTTGTTTAGATCCATCAAGTACCAGCTTAAGCTAGTTTGGAAACACTTTTGACTATTTATGACACTCTTTAAGACCTGCATAAGCTCAAATCTGGCTTTCTTAGAATTACACTGGTAAAACGCTTTAGCAACCTTGTAAAGTAGAGATTACGCATTCACCTGAAAATTGTCCAAATCCCTCTGCCACCTCTCTTTCGTGAGAAGGGCAGGAAAAATCTTCAGCAAAGTGGGGTGTCTGAGATTCAGTTATAGAAATGTATAAAGAATGAGTCAGGGAACTCCTACAAATGCAGTGGAAGGTGCTCTGGGCCTGATGAACGAGATAAGCCAAAATCCACAAGAGGAGGCCACAGTGCAAATGCCAGAGCAGCAAATTTCAACAGCAAATCTGAAGGGACCAGAAGGAAGACTTGAGGTCACGCTGTCAATTTAAGACTGAAAAGCTAGGGTAAGCTGAGATAAAAGCAACCCAGTGTTGATATGTAGGAGTCAAAGAACCTAAAGCTCAAGGCAGATATTAAATATGAATACCTAAGTTGTCTAGTAATATGAAAATGAATTAAAGAAGTGCTGTTGCTTGCAAGTGGTGTGGAAGGGGAAGGGATTGTTCCCAATAAGTTTTAGGAGAATTCACATAAGATACTAAAGACCCTCCAATCCTTCCCCCAAGTAATCAATGAAGTGTTTGCAGCAGCTGATTCCTATATCCTCAGAGAAAATGGATCTTCGTCACATTCATTTCAAAAGATGGGATTCTGCAAATGCACTCCTATCTAGTGGCAGCACAGGGAACTCACTTCATGAGATAATACAGCCCTGAGTCAACAGTAATCACAGGTGGAGTGATGGGATCCGAATTATAAGACCAGAATCTGGTGCTCAGCTTCAATTCTGACAGAGCAAATCCCTCCTTCTCCCTCTGACTCAGCTTCCCCAACTTTTTGACATATAATAACAACAGGAAGAGTGAAGAGAATACTAAAGGTACATCCATGGCTGGAGGAATCAAATTTTGCGATTCTGGCTTATAAAATTATATTCAGAAAGACCAGATAATGCTATTATATTAAGCAATCTACTGATGTATTATTGATTCTGGCACTTTTGATCTCATCTTTTCTTTGAGAAGTAATACCAACAAATTTTCAATACAAAGATTGAAAAAACTGAATCTGACATTCTTAGAGGGAAAAAATAATGCCAAGAAATATTCTCACCCTTTATTTACCCTGTTATTTAGTCAAAGATGTGTAGTGAGCACTAACTAGCAGTATTTAAATAACAACTACCTAAAGAAGTTGCATAATGAATGAATTTTTCAATGAATTTCCAATCAATCGTGGCCAAGATAGATAAACCTCAGTGAAAGTGACCTAAAGAGGTAAAGGCATATAACCAACTCCAGAGACCTAAGTAAACCTGAAAATCCAATGGAAAAATAAAGCACATGAATAGAATGAGGATTTCCAAAGACAGAATGAAAAGGAAAAATATGCACGATGGTTCACAGATAAAAAGAATATGTGGTGAAAGGAACTAAGCTATGCACAAGGGTAACTTACTGAAATGAATCTAGATGTTTTATGTACAGAACAAGTTTTGATTCACAGATCCTATTGATATCCATTTAAGTTTTCCTCTTTAAGTAGTAATCTGACTTAAAAACAAAACAGAATCAGCAATCCAAGAGACACCAATGAATATTAAACAACATTGGTTATCTCTGAGCTGCACCCAAAACACACACATATTAAGATTGTTATAGCCTAAGATATGTCCAGCCACTCTCTACTCTTGCATAGTGGAGATGTTAGGAAGTCTAATTCTCTACTACAATAGAACAAAACTCATGTCAAAATAACACATGTAAATCAGCCATTAACCATGTTCCTTAAAAAAAAAAAAAAAAACTTAATTTTTCAGAACAAGAACCTAAATATTTTTACAGACTCCATTACTGGTTTACATAAAAATAAATTATAGTTAAGTAAACTCTAAACTTCTGTCTTGTATACTCAAAGAAAAGCTGGCCAATGCCTAGTTCTTGTAATGTTATATTCACCTAATCCTACTTTAAAACACACCAAAGGGGCTATTTAAGAGTTACTTGTGATGTCAGCTAAATGAATTCCCTAAACAGAATTCTGAAAGTCAATTTCTAATTGGTTTTTTTCTTTGGTCACTAATATAAAATATGCCTAAATATTAAAATGTATTCTTTAGCTATTAAATCAGCTAACACTAAATTTTCTCCTACAGTGACACATCCATGTCATATAGATGTTTATGTCCAAGAATTCATTTCAAAAATGTCAACTGCAATTAAAATTGTTCTGAAATGTCTGCATGGTATGTCCTGCCGTGAATGACAATTGGTTAATTTGCCTATGAAATTAGCATGTTCTGAACTAAGTCAAAAGAATGTATCCTTTTACATGCTGAAATCAAGCTCACTTCAGAAATCAGTTTCTCCTCTATCTTGAATCTATTACTATTTAAAATGAGCAAAGACTTTGAGAACAATAACTTGGCTTTCCAATGTTATTTGGGGTGTGTACAAACTGAGCTACACATCCACTGCAGTCTTTTCTTCCAAAACTTATACTTCTATTTTCCATTATCACAAGTTTTATTTTTATTCTTTCAATTCATCACCACTTGCAAGACCTCTTCAAAAGACAGTTATGAGGTTTATTGAAGAGATTCTTCACAGCTTGCTTTCTATTTTTTCCTGGCCAAGCAATTTGGTAAGGACACTAGATTAGAAATATTACTTAATAAGAACATCTATTAATAAATAGCGCTTATTATGAACATATCTCCTTTAATCCTCAGAACATTCCCATAACCTAAGTATTATTTCTATATTCATATATGATATGTATTCAATGAGGTTATTGCATACATTACCCAGATCACATATCTAGTAGTGGGGAGATCTAGACTTAGCAGTTATGTAGCTTTGTCTGACCATAAAGTCCGTACTCTTCCTGCTATAGTGTGCTTCCCCCATCATTTCTATTTCTACTGTATTTGTGAACATAGGGCACCCTTCTAAATCCCACTGTCCAAACAGGAGATTTCAAAAACATATCTAGCCATTGGTTTGAACTCTTTGAAAATGAGGCATGTTAAAATCTTGATAATAACAATGCTTGTTTTTCTTTTTAAAATATCCAAGGACTATATATTACCAAATACTTTGCAATGAGTATTAAACTTTTCCTACACTAAGCTTGGGATTGAGCCATTATTCCTTTACTTTTCAACAAGCCATCCCTTCTATTCCTTTTAATTTATTTTCTTCTGATTTTAAATGGCTTTAAGAACTATCTAAATTCATTCCAGAGCTCAAACAACTTAGCCTATAAATTTGTCAGTTCTAACTTTGGGAGTTATAGATCTGTTTAAGAGTCAGATGAAATGCATATAAACACACGCAGGCAGAATTTTGTATAAAATTGACGTTAATGCTTTGGAAAATGATTTTCTTCACACTTGTCAAGCAACTTTCAAAAAAGATACTCATTTCAGGGACTAAACTCACCTCCTAGAGTTGCATGTGCCTAAGCTTCAAATGATGGGTGAACACTAGAAAAATACGAATAAAATCATCTGACAGTACACACACACACACACACACACACACACACACGCACACACACACAACCCTGTTACAGCCCTGTCTAGAGAACTTTATAAACACATGTGAGCCTGACATACTGGTGCACGCCTGTAGCCTGTTACTTGAGTGGCTGAGGCTGGAGGACTGCTTGAGCTCAGGAGTTCAAGTCCAGCCTGAGAAATACAGCAAGATTCTATCTCTTTAAAAAAATTCATAGAATGAGATCATGTCCTTTGCAGGGACATGGATGGAGCTCAAAGCCATTATCCTCAGCAAACTAACGCAGGAACAGAAAACCAAACACCGCATGTTCTCACTTATAAGAAGGAGCTGAACAATGAGAACATGTGGAACACAGGGAAGGAAACAACACACACTGGGGACTGTGGAGGTGAGGGGAGGGAGAGCATCAAGATAAATAGCTAATACATGCAGGGCTTAATACCTACGTGATGGGTTGATAGGTGCAGCAAACTACTATGGCACACATTTACTTGTGTAACAAACTTGCGCATTTGGCACATGTATCTGGAACTTTAAATTAAATTTTTAAAAATCATAATAAATAAATAAGTAATTTTCAAAAACCACATGTGAATTCTGTTTTTAAAAAAACGGCCTGTACCACCAGGGGTACCAGGGATCCCTAATCTCCACCATGGTGAAATATGTCAAACAGATGTTTACAGACACATCTCTTAGCAACATATTCCATTCCTATTAAAACATTTGCAGATCCACATTACAAATGCTTGCAGATAGAGTTATTTGTTAAGGTCCAGAATGTTCAGAGGGAGGGTTTTCTTCTAAACTTCAAGCGCAGCAAGACTTTTTCAAAAGTAAGGCTGTTGGCAAATAAATTGAAGCCCAGAGGATGACATTTTGTCAAAACAATCTGCAAACATTTATTTTGCTGCCACAGTTCAGTTGAAACTAGTTCCTACTGAGATACTGACACTGCTATAATGTTGATTCATGCTTTTGTGGCTTCAAAAATTAATAACCATAACTTTTGTTTTTTAAATGGTTTGGAATTGCCAGCAGTATGCTACCTCCAACTGGCTCTAAATAAAGCAGTTCATGATTTAAACTTGTTCTTAAAGGCAGAAATGCATCTTTCTTTGCAGCTTTGGATCCTAACTGGTTTCTTATGCAACAAAGTGAAGCTAAAGATTGTACCACTGTCACTACCCAGGAAGTGGTGAAATGGAACTTCAGTTTCCCTCAGTGATTAACTCAAAAAACAAAGACTTAATGTCTATGCTATGGTCATTAAATCTTCCATGTTACAAACCAATACTTTAGTATAATGTGTGTGTTCTTCAACACTTTAATCAGACAGAATAACTAAGGCATCCACCCAGCCTCAAAATATCTCTGTAAACCTCCATACTTTGTCTTTAAAGACTTTCACATTTCATATTTAAAATTAATAGTTCTAGGTTTACCTTATTATAAAAATACTCTTTCCAAATACCCAAATAAAAGGGATGTTTCAGGTAAATATATTTATACTGTACTCAACCCCAGAAGTACTTAGAGCCCAGTCTGAAAATTAAGTCTTCTCTGCCTCTATTGAAAAAGGTCCACATCAGTGCCTGTACCATGGCTTGGCAATGGCTTGACCTGAATCCAGGTAAGTATGACCAACTCTTTTGCATCCTTTCAGTTTCTTATCATAATAAAACTATGATTAAAAACTGTAATCACTATTCAATGTCTTTTGTCTATTTTTTGTTTTCCTAGAGAATCCAACTCAAGCCAAAGTAATTATATAGTTCAAAACAACTGTCTTCTAAACCTAGGTGGGCTGTAAACTATTAGGAGAGTAACTCTGGACAGGTCAGCTCTGCCTAAATCCACAGGGTCTGCATCAGTTTTAGGTCTGATACCAATTGGCACAGAATAGAGGGAGAAACAAAGAATTCTGTGGGAAAGGAAGAAACCTAAAAGAAGTCAGCCAAATTTCCAGTCTCTCAAGATTCAGATAGTTACTGTTCAGCTTGATAACTTTATAAACTCCAAGAAAATCAAACATACTATTATTTAATATGTCTAGCTTATCCAATCTCCCTTCAACAGCATGAATAAATAAGAGTTCCTTATGAGTACGCACTGCAGTCTGTAATTCTATCAGGTTATTGATAAATTCACAAACTGTTTATTTTATTTTATTTTACTTTAAGTTCTGGGATACATGTGCTGAACATCAGGTTTGTTACATAGGTATACATGTGCCATGGTGGTTTGCTGCACCTGTCAACCCGTCATTTGGTTTTAAGCCCCACATGCATTAGGAATTTGTCCTAATGCTCTCCCTCCCCTTGCACCCCACTCCCCGAAAGGCCCCAGTGTGTGTTGTTCCACTCCCTGCATCCATGTGTTATCATTATTCAACTCCCACTTACGAGTGAAAATATGCAGTGTTGGGTCTTCTGTTCCCCTGTTAGTTTGCTGAGGATGATGGTTTCCAGCTTCATCCATGTCTCTGCAAAGGACATGAACTCATTCTTTTTTATGGCTGCACAGTATTCCATGCTGTATATGTGCCACATTTTCTATATCCAGTCAATCACTGATGGTCATTTGGGTTGGTTCCAAGTTGTTGCTATTGTAAACAGTACTGCAATAAACATACGTGTGCATGTGTCTTTATAGTACAATGTTTTATAATCCTTTGGGTATATACCCAGTAATGGGATTGCTGGGTCAAATGTTATTTCTGGTTCTAGATCCTTGAGGAATCGCCACACCATCTTCCACAGTGGAACTAATTTACACTCCACCAACAGTGTAAAAGCATTCCTAATTCTCCACATCCTCATTAGCATCTGTTGTTTCCAGACTTTTTAGTGATCACCATTCTAACTGGCATGAGATGGTATCTCATTGTGATTTTGATTTGCATTTCTCTAATGACCAGTGATGATGAGCTTTTTTTATATGTTTCTTGGCCACATAAATGCCTTCTTTTGAGAAGTGTCTGTTCATATCCTTTGCCCACTTTTTGATGGGGTTGTTGGTTTTTTTTTCTTGTAAATTTGTTTAAGTTCCTTGTAGATTCTGGAAATTAGACCTTTGTCAGATGGATAGATTGCAAAAATTTTCTCCCATTCTGTAGGATGCCTGTTCACTCTGGTGATAATTTCTTTTGCTGTGCAGAAGCTCTTTAGTTTAATTAGATCCCATTTATCAATTTTGGCTTTTGTTGCAATTGCTTTTAGTGTTTTACTCATGAAATCTTTGCCCATGCCTATGTCCTGAATGGTATTCCCTAGGTTTTCTTCTGGGGTTTTTACAGTTTTAGGTTTTACATTTAAGTCTTTAATCCATCTGAGTTAATTTTTGTATAAGGTGTAAGGAAGGGGTGCAGTTTCTGTTTTCTTCATATGGCTAGCCAGTTTTCCCAGCACCGTTTATTAAATAGGGAATCCTTTCCCCATTGCTTGTTTTTGTACAGTCTCAAAGATCAGATGGCTGTAGATACGTGGTGTTATTTCTGAGGCCTCTGTTCTGTTCCATTGGTCTATATATCTGTTTTGGTATCAGTAACATGCTGTTTTGGTTACTGTAGCCTTGTAGTTTGAAGTCAGGTAGCATGATGCCTCCAGCTTTGTTCTTTTTGCTTG
Organism: Homo sapiens; assembly: GCF_000001405.40. Lineage (NCBI taxonomy): Eukaryota > Metazoa > Chordata > Mammalia > Primates > Hominidae > Homo > Homo sapiens. The sequence goes on along the minus strand of NC_000004.12, from coordinate 71,313,476 downwards.
GGATTGTCTTGGCTATGTGGGCTTTTTTGGTTCCATATGGAATTTAAAGTAGTTTTTTTCTAATTCTGTGAAGAAAGTCAGTGGTGGCTTGATGTGGATAGCACTGAATCTATAAATTACTCTGGGCCATATGGCCATTTTCACGATATTGATTCTTGTATCCATGAGCATGGAATGTTGTTCCATTTGTTTCTGTCCTCTCTTATTTCCTTGAGCAGTGGTTTGTAGTTCTCCTCGAAGAGGTCCTTCATGTCCCTTGTAAGTTGTATTCCTCGGTATTTTATTCTCTTTGTAGCAATTGTGAATGAAAGTTCACTCATGATTTGACTCTCTGTTTGTCTATTTTTGGTGTATGGGAATGCTTGTGATTTTTGCACATTGATTTTGTATCCTGAGACTTTGCTGAAGTTCCTTATCAGCTTAAGGAGTTTTTGGGCTGAGACCATGGGGTTTTCTAAATACACAATCATGTCATCTGCAAACAGAGACAATTTGACTTCCTCTTTTCCTATTTGAATTGAATACCCTTTATTTCCTTCTCTTGCCTGATTGCCCTGGCCAGAAATTCCAATACTATGTTGAATAGGAGTGGTGAGAGAGGGCATCCTTGTCTTGTGCCAGTTTTCAAAGGGAATGCTTCCAGCTTTTGCCCATTCAGTATGATACTGGCTATGGGTTTATCATAAATAGCTCTCATTATTTTGAAATATGTCCCATCGATACCTACTTTATTGAGAGTTTTTAGTATGAAGGGGTGTTGAATTTTTTCAAAGGCCTTTTCTGCATCTATTGAGATAATCATGTGGTTTTTGTCATTGGTTCTGTTTATGTGATGGATTACATTCATTGATTTGCATATGTTGAACCAGCCTTGCATCCCAGGGATGAAGCCAACTTGATCATGGTGGATGAGCTTTTTGATGTGCTGCTTGATTTGGTTTGCCAGTATTTTACTGAGGATTTTCACCTCAATGTTCATCAGGGATATTGGCCTGAAATTTTCTTTTCTTGTTGTGTCTCTGCCAGGTTTTCGAATCAGGATGATGCTGGCCTTATAAAATGAGTTAGGGAGGAGTCCCTCTTCTTCTATTGTTTGTAATAATTTCAGAAGGAATGGTACCAGCTCCTCTTTGTACCTCTGGTAGAATTCAGCTGTGAATCCGTCAGGTCCTGGGCTTTTTTTGGTTTGCAGGCTATTAATTACTGCCTCCAATTTCAGAACTTGTTATTGGTCTATTCAGGGACTCAACTTCTCCCTGATTTAATCTTAGGAGGCTGTACATGTCCAGGAATTTATCCATTTCTTCTAGATTTTCTAGTTTATTTGCTAGAGGTGTTTATAGTATTCTCTGATGGTAGTTGGTATTTCTGTGAGATCAGTGGTGATATCCCCTTTATCAATTTTTATTGTGTCTATTTGATTCTTCTCTCTTTTCTTCTTTATTGGTCTGGCTAGCAGTCAATGTATTTTGTTAATCTTTTCAAAAAACCAGCTCCCGCAATCATTGATTTTTTGAAGGGTTTTTCGTGTCTCTATCTCCTTCTCTCTCTCTCTCTCTCTCTCTCTCTCTCTCTCTCTCTCTCTCACAGCCTTGCACATTTGCTCAGGCTCCTCATTGCTGAGTGAGGGCAGTTCTGCTCTGATCTTAGTTATTTCTTTTCTTCTGCTAGCTTTTAAATTTGTTTGCTCTCGCTTCTCTAGTTCTTTTAATTGTGATGTTAGGGTATCAATTTTAGATCTTTCCCGCTTTCTCCTTTGGGCATTGAGTGCTATAAATTTCCCTCTAAACACTGCTTTAGCTGTGTCCCAGAGATTCCAGTATGTTTTGTCTTTGTTCTCATAGGTTTCAAAGAACTTTACTTCTGCCTTAATTTCGTTATTTACCCAAGTAGTCATTCAGGAGCAGGTTGTTCAGTTTCCACATACATGGTTTTGAGTGAGTTTCTTCATCCTGAGTTCTAATTTGATTGCACTGTGGTCTGAGAGACTGTTATGATTTCCATTCTTTTGCATTTGCTAAGGAGTGTTTTACTTCCAATTATGTGATCGATTTTAGAGTAAGTGCTACGTGGTGCTCAGAAGAATGTATATTCTGTTAATTTGGGGTGGAGAGTTTTGTAGATGTCTATTAGGTCTGCTTGGTCCATAGCTGAGTTCAAGTTGTGAATATCCTTGTTAATTTTCTGTCTCGTTGATCTGTCTAATATTGACAGTGGGGTGTTAAAGTCTCCCACTATTACTGTGTGGGAGTCTAAGTCTCTTTGTAAGTCTCTAAGAACTTGTTTTATAAATCTGGGTGCTCCTGTATTGGGTGCATATATATTTAGGATAGTTAGCTCTTCTTGTTGCATTGATCCCTTTACCATTATGTAATGCCCTTCTTTGTCTTTTTTGATCTTTTTTGGCTTAAAGCCTGTTTTATCAGAGACTACGATTGCAACCCCTAAGTTTTGTTGTTTGTTTGTTTTTTGCTTTCCATTTGCTTGGTAAATATTCCTCCATCCCTTTATTTTGAGCGTATGTGTGTCTTTGCACATGAGATGGGTCTCCTGAATATAGCACACCAATGGGTCTTGACTCTTTATCCAATTTGGCAGTCTGTGCCTTTTGGGGCACTTAGCCCATTTACATTTAAGGTTAATATTGTTATGTGTGAATTTGATCTTGTCATCATGATGCTAGCTGGTTATTTTGCACATTAGTTAATGCAGTTTCTTCATAGTGTCCCTGGTCTCTATATTTTGGTGTGTTTTTGCAGTGGCTAGTACCGATTTTTCTTTTCCATATTTAGTGCTTTCTTCAGGAGCTCCTGTAAGGCAGGCCTGGTGGTGACAAAATCCCTCAGCATTTATGCAAAGGATTTTATTTCTCCTTTGCTTATGAAACTTAGTTTGGCTGGATATGAAATTCTGGGTTGAAAATTCTTTTCTTTAAAACTATTGAATATTGGGCCCCACTCTCTTCTGGCTTGTAGGGTTTCTGCAGAGAGATCTGCTGTTAGTCTGATAGGTTTCCTTTTGTAGGTAACCAGACCTTTCTCTCTGGCTGCCCTTTAACATTCTTTTTTCCTTCATTTCAAGCTTAGAGAATCTGACAATTATGTGTCTTGGGGTTGCTCTTCTTGAAGAGTATCTTAGTAGTGTTCTTTGTATTTCCTGAATTTGAATGTTGGTCTGTCTTGCTAGGTTGGGGAGGTTCTCCTGGATAATATCCTTAAGTATGTTTTCCAATTTGGTTCCATTCTCCCCATCACTTTCAGGGACCCCAATCAATCATAGGTTTGGTCTTTTCACAGAGTCCCATATTTCTTGGAGGTTTTGTTCATTCCTTTTCATTCTTTTTTCTCTAATCTTGTCTTCATGCTTTATTTCATTAAGTTCATCTTCAATCTCTGATATCCTTTCTTCTGCTTGATTGATTTGGCTATGGATACTTGTATATGCTTCACGAAGTTCTCGTGCTGTGTTTCTCAGATCCATCAGGTCATTTATGTTCTTCTCTAAACTGGTTATTCTAGTTAGTAGTTCCTGTAACCTTTTGTCAAGGTTCTTAGAGTCCTTGCATTGGGTTAGAACATGCTTCTTTAGCTCAGAGGGGTTTATTATTACCCACTTTCTGAAGCCTACTTCTGTCAATTCATCAAACTCATTCGGTGTCCCATTTTGTGCCCTTGCTGGAAAGGAGTTGCGATCATTTGAAGGAGAAGAGGCATTCTGGTTTTGGGAATTTTCAGCATTTTTGCGCTGGTTTTTCCTCATCTTCATGGATTTATCTGCCTTTGATCCTTGAGACTGATGACATTTGGATGGGGTTTCTGTGTGTGGGGGTCCTTTTTGTTGATGTTGACGTTATTGCTTCTTGTTTTGTTAGTTTTCATTCCAACAGCCAGGCCCCTCTCCTCTAGGTCTGCTGGAGTTTGCTGGAGGTCCATTCCAGACCCTATTTGCCTGGTATCACCAGCGGAGTCTGCAGAACAGCAAAGATTCCTGCCTGCTCCTTCCTCCTGTATGAGGTGTCTGTCAACCCCTGTTGGGAGGTCTCTCTCAGTCAGGAGGCATGCAGGTCAGGGACCCACGTGAGGAGGCAGTCTGTCCCTTAGCAGAGCTCAAGTACCACGCTGGGAGAACCCTCCTTGTCAGGATCCACTGGTCTCTTCAGAGCCGGCAGGCAGGAATGTTTAAGTCCACTGAAGCTGCACCCACAGCCACCCCTTCTCCCAGGTGCTCTGCCCTAGGGAGATGGGAGTTTTATTTATAAGCCCCTGACTGGGGCTCTTGCCTTTCTTTCAGAGATGCCCTGCCCAGTGAAGAGGAATCTAGAAAGGCAGTCTAGCCACAGCCACTTTGCTGTGCTGTGTTGAGTTACGTCCAGTCCTTAGCATGGTCAGGGGAAAGCCACCTACTCAAGCCTCAGTAATGGTGGATGCCCCTGCCTCCACCAAGCTTGAGCGTCCCAGGTCGACTTCAGACTGCTGTGCTGGCAGCAAGAATTTCAAGCCAGTGGTTCTTAGCTTGCTGGGCTCTGTGGGAGTAGGATCCACTGCAGGAGATCACTTGGCTCCCTGGCTTCAGCCCCCTTTCTAGGGGAGAAAACGGTTTTGTCTCACTGGGGTTCCTAGGCACCACTGGGGTTCCAGGAACTACTGGGGTACGAAAAAAACACACGTGCAGCTAGCCTGGCATCTATCCAAACAGCAGCCCAGTTTTGTGCTTGAAACCCAGAGCCCTGGTGGTGTAGGCACACAAGGGAATCTCCTGGTCTGCGGATTGCAAAAACCATGGGAGAAGCGTAGTATCTGGGCCAGATAGCACAGTCCCTCACGGCTTTCCTTGGCTAGGGGAGGGAGTCCCCCGGCCCCTTGCACTTCCTGGGTGAGGCGACAACCCCCTCTGCTTCTGCTCACCCTCCATGGGCTGCACCCCCTGTCTAACCAGTCCCAGTGAGATGAACTGGCTACCTCAGTTGGAAATGCAGCAATCACCCGCCTTCTGCATTGGTCTCGCTGGGAGCTACAGACTGGAGCTCTTCCTATTTGGCCATTTTGCCAGATCTCCATAAACTCTTAATGACTATTATGTGCCAGTAACTGTGCACACTATAGTGCTCTGGATGGGCTTATATCCCAAAAGGGAAAAATCCACATGTAATGAGATCATTACAGTAATTGTGTTTTGATTTATTCATTTGTCAATAAACATTTATTAAACAACTACTATGTATATTGAGCCCCTACTAGGCACTGTGTTAGGGTCTATAACAGAACAATGTGGTATATGATTTTTTTTCTCAAAGCACTTCGGAAGCCTACAAGTATAGACTTCAGTTGGCTTGAGCATATAACATGAAAATGTGGCAAGAGAAGAGAAAGAAGACTATAAGAGTATATAGTAGATAAATCCTGAATGGCCCTATATACTTTGATAAGGCATTTAGACTTTATCCTATCATATGAATAGAAAAGTATTGAGGGCTGCAAGCAGGGAGTGGCAGAATCAGGTGTGTGTTTTAGAAGGCTATCTAGGGCAGTGCCATAGTTGGGGCAGTGTAAGAGGGAGGGTATTCAGCAGTTCTTTCCACACCTATCAAGTTATGATTAGTAGTTGTGGGCACCTATACAAGCTGACTGCTCTTTGCATCTTGACACTTTGGTTTTTATTGATTCCACACACCTTGAGAATACTTCCGTTTGTTTGCTATAATTCACGGTAGGCAACCTTGTTTCAAAGGTGTACTCAACATTTATTTTGCAGCTCTGCTCATGAATGCACTGCTTCCATTTATCAGACAACATCTGAAAAGATTACCTTATTTTCACCCATACTCTCTATCTAAACTAATTTGTAGCAAATCTAACTATAGCATTTCCTGCCATAACCCAATCAATGATGGTGGTGCTGCTGCTGTTGACGATTTAACAAGGCAATCAAAAATCACAGACTTCCATTTCCTCAGCTACTCTCATTCTATATTCACCACAATTAACCCTTGGTAACCAGTTATACTGAAGTATCTTTAAGAGCTTTTTGAATTGTTGAATGCAAAATCAAAACCAAGCTTTTAACCAGACAACACCTGTGTTTTCCAACCAGGTCTCATCAGCGATTCACCTTAAATAATTAAAAACACAGATTACCAGGTCTGAGTCTCAGTGAGGCATGGGGTGAAGGGGGAAATCAGAAATGTGTATAAAATGCATGTGCATACAATGCCCTGGGTGAGGTTATGAATTAGGCTAATTTGGTAAACCCTAGATGGAAGCTACTGTAGTAAGTTCCTTATAATTAAGGCAGCATTAAGCACATATTTTTTCTTTTAAATACTTTAATGAAACTTAGGCAATCACTTTAAGTAATTGCCACCCATTTAATGTTTACTGAAACAGTTTACAACTAATTCACATGCCATTTTCTAAATGCTTCAGGCTTACTTGGCTTTCCTACCGCGCATTAAACAGTTTGTTAACCATTAATAAAGAGTGAAGAAAAATCAGAATCTGGAGGTCATTTTAACAGTTAAAAGGGTCACTGAGAAGCATGACTTATAATTAGCAAAATACATGTGAGCTCCTTATGACATTAACCAGAACCTTATGATCCATTCTTTAAAGCAAGAGCAGGCGAAGAAAAAGCAACATCTTTCCTAAAATAAGTCACCTTTTCTTTTTGATCACTGTCAATCAGAAAAATTCTATTTTTGCAGGTAACTGAGTTATTTGTGAAGTGGCACTCTAATAAATGAACTCAGCATAAAATGTATCAAAATGAAAAATAAAAATTGCTAACTTTCATTATGCAATTACTATCCTTAGTGCTTAGTCTCCATTCAAATTCAAAGTTCTTTGCATTTAATTTTTTCCATTTAATAATGCTAGGTATTATTATGATTTTTTTTTTTGAGACGGAGTCTCACTCTGTTGCCAAACTGGAGTGCAGTGGCGCAATCTCAGCTCACTGCAACCCCCGCCTCCTGGGTTCAAGCAATTATCCTGCCTCAGCCTCCTGAGTAGCTGGGACTACAGGTGCAAGCACCACCACGTCTGGCTAATTTTTGTATTTTTAGTAGAGACAGGGTTTCACCATGTTGGCCAGGATGGTCTCAATCTCTTGACCTCATGATCCACCCGCCTCAGCCTCCCAAAGTGCTGGGATTACAGGTGTGAGCCACCGCGCCCAGCCTATTATCCCATTTTATAGACAAGAAAACAGAGGCACAGAAAGCTAACTAACTGCTCAAGGTCAGACAGCTAACAAATAGCAAAGACAGAAACTGAAACCAGGAAGTCTGACTTCAGAACCTATGCTCTTAACCACCCTGGTGTACTGTCACTAAGAGAATTAGGGACTTGAACTGAGTCCCTGTGGAGCTCCCTAAAGAGGTAGAGGAGCTATAACAAGAAACATAGGAAGGAATGGTTGTTGAAAACAAGTCCAGCTTGCAAATCAGTATCCAATTCACTACTGAGTGCCTACTATGTGTTGGACACTGCACTCAATGCTTTAGGAAATATTACTATAAAGATAAATAAGGCAGAGTGCCTTCTCATCTTCATTGCTTCTTCAATTGTCAGCTCTTCCATAAAACCTCCCCTGGCTCTGAACACTGTAATACCACTTTTCACACTGCATTATAAAATCTTCATATGTCTGTCTCTCCTCCCATTAGGCTATAAGTTCCTTGGCCCATGCGGGAATAGACGCCACGTGTTAGCTCCTTTTCCAGTTCCTAGATTCCTCGTACAGTGTGCCTGGACACACTGCTGTCTCTCTGTAGATGTTTTATGAATGCATGAACAGATGAAACACAGAGGACACGGAAGTGAAATAATATGCTCTGAGATTCACAGTGTGCTAGTGGTAAAGATGGGGAAAGGTTTTGCATATCCCAGCTCTACTCCAAAGTTCTGTCTAATATAACACATGCATCACACTAGTATCTTTTGCTAAAACTGCATGATTTAACATTTTAGCATACATTATGAAAAAAATGCTCACATTTCATCTTTATGCTTCATCTTTCATTTAACATGCTAAACCCTTATAAACAGGTGCCATTGCATACCTCACTCACTGTGTCAGGCCATGCTAAAGGGACAGTTGCAATTGAATCTTTAGAATGGAACAGACCTCTTAAGTAGCTCAATCTAAAAATGAAGGTTTAGATAGATTAAGTCAATCACCAAAGGTTACACTGCTAGTAAGAGACAGAACTGGAACTTAAATCTAACTGAAAATCCCACACTAGTAATAATTGTGCTATTTTTGTGCATTCAAAGATCCAAATCCCAACTTCACCACCTACTAGTTATGTGACCTTGGAAAAATTATTTAATTCCTCTGAGCCTCATTCTTTGAGGCAAGTAATTGAGAACTCACAGAAATGATAAGGGTTAAATAAGCTCATGAATGTAAGGTGTCAGTCACATAGTAGGTATTCAACAAATATGTATTGATATTCCCATCAAATAAGATTCTGCCCAGTAACTGAGCATATTTGTTAACAATTGATTTAGATAATATAACTTCTATTAATTGCAGTGCTATTAAAACAACTATGCTGGAATTTATTTCCCAACTAAAGAGTTCCAAGTTGTCCACAAAATTAAAATTTTGTAAAAGTAAGGTTTTTCAGTAAATACAGACAGCTATAGATTAAGACTCCTCTAAGACAACTTTTACTATCTCTTTTTAATCAGTAGAGATTCTAAAATACAAAGGTCAAAACCTTGCCCAAGGCTGAATCAGTCATTGAGAATCTGGACCCAGAATTTGGTCACATGTTCTCACTTAATCATAGCTGGCTTACTTCCACACTAAGGTATAGTTCCTTTTATAACAGCAATTATGTGACAATTAATTTTATGTGTCAACTTGACTGGGCTAAGGAATGCCCAGACAGCTGGTAAAACATTATTTCTAGGTTTGCCTCTTCTGAACGAGATCAGCATTTGAATCAGTAGACTGAGTAAAGAAGGTTGCCCAACCAATGTGCTTGGACATCATCCAATTTGGTGAGGGACAAAATCAAACAAAAAGATGGCGGAAAGGTGAATTCACCTTTGTGTTTAAGCTGGGGCATTCATCTTCTCCTGCTCTCAGACATCAGCACTCCTGGTTCTTGGGCTTTCAGACTCACACCAGGACATTGGCCCCCCAATTCTCAGGCTTTTGGATTCAGAATGAATTACACCACTGGCTTTCCCTGGTCTCAAGCTTGCAGACAGCAGACTGTGGGACTTTTCAGCCTCCATAATTACAACAGCCAATTCCTATAATAAATATATATACGCACATGTATATCTCCATATACCCTCTTGGTTCTGTTTCTCTGGAGAACCCTAATACAACTTCCCATATGAAACAGAGTTTCTACCCAGTAAAGGAAGAATTCAGAAGATGTAATTTCACATTCAGCCTCTGCCACATACTAGCTCTATGAATCAGGCCAAAGTTTCTTCATCGATGGAATGGGAATGAAATAGCTTTTTCAAGTAATTGTTATGGGGATTAAATAAGACAATGCATAGGAATAGGCCTAGGACAGAATCAAGAATATAATAGGCATTCAACAGATGTTGATGAAACTGAATCTGGGGTTTTCAAGATGCAGGCAAGTGTCAGTGTTTTTATTGCAAGTACTTAAATACAGAGAAGAAAGGAAGGACGGAGGGAGGGAGGAAGGGAGGGAAAAAAGGAAAAAAGGGAGGGAGGGGAAGAAGAAAGGGAAGTAAAAGAAGAAGACGAAGGGAAGAAAAAGAGATGTGAAAAACACCTAGCTGGGATGCTATAGCTGCAATTCTGTTTAGAAGGAGCAGGAAGACTTCAAAGTCACACAAAAGCCTATGATTTTGATCCTGAATTACAATGTTAAATTACGGCCTCCCATCTTATTCTTTCTGCTCATCCTAACAGAAACTGTGATTCCCAAGGAGCTAATCAAAAACTGAAACACAGTAGTCATGAAGAGATTCATCTGTGTAGACAGGAAGAGTTGTTTTTCAAGAGGAGGTCCATTAGCAAGACAACAGAAGATAAAAAGTGCCTTTAAGCATGAACAACAAAGAATCTGCAAACATTCTTGACAGAGAGACAGGGATATGTGTGAAATGCTAATAGGCATACTGATTTGCTGTGAAATAAACCTTACAACTGTGCAAATGCCATTTGGGCTACATTTTATTATAGATGACCAATCTGCTTTTCTTTACTCACAATGAAGCATTACATGAGTAATCAATAAACTCCTCTACCTCCCTTCTTACCATTTCTCTCCCTCCCTTGCCCAGCTAAATCCTCAGATTTGTATCTGTAATGTGCCTCACCTTACAAGCTATATAACTTAAGATCACTACCACATTCGCAGAAGAGACTAAAGCAGAGGAAAATGAGGTCTGATGGAAATTACTTTATGGAGAGAAAAAGACTGGCACAGCCTGATTTTTATACTTTCCTTAATGGCAGATGGTAAGCCCCATTTATAACAGAATATTGTAAACATCAGAAAAAAGTGATTACTACAAAAAGTGAAAAAGTCTAAGGAGACATAACGGAGCTTGAAAAACAATCTGTCTAAAATCCATTTACCAAAATCTATACTTGGGTAGAGTATAGACTTTGATGTTTTCCATCCCCAAAATACCCTATTTAGGCCTAACATGACATTATCCTCTTTTCCTATATGATTGCCAAGTTCCAATTTTAGTGTTACCTAAGAGTTACACATTGAAGGCTGGGGCATCATTGCCCTTGAAGGTCACCATTGAAATGATGTGTGTCTAGATGTGTGTCCCATCTAGAAACAGGCTGTCAAAAACTACACATTCAAGACCTAGTGCCTCTCTTCCAGAATCACAGCACACCAGGAGTGAACACTGCAGGTAGCGCACATCAAAGAGAATGAGCTACAGGCAACCCCATTAGGTTCAAGATTCACAGCTCATTTCCATACCTTCCCTTTGCAACACAGTTTGCTGCTTTATACTTTTAAAGGTAATTTTCATTGATAAGGGATACCTGTTACCTTCATACTCTGTGGAAGTAAGCAAAGAATCATTATGAGCATAGAGAAAAATCAGAGTCACAGAATTTTAGGTCTGGAAGGGACCTTTTAAGTTATATAGAAATATCATTTTATAAGTAAGAAGACAGAGGTTCAGAAACATTAAGGGACTTGTCCAGGCTCAGCAAGTTACTAGCAGAATCAAGATTTTTAAAAAATCATTATTCTTAGTGCATTGCTCTCTCTACCACTTAAACATACTTTATTAATAGCCTGATTGTTTCTGAAATTTTAAAATACTTCCTTTGCTAAGACTGAAAAAAAATCATCTCTATTTCCAAAGCTCAGAAGACTAAATATACAGCCTCAGACTCATATATGTAACCCCTCCCCATTTCTACAATTATCAATGCCCTTCCTATCTTGCAACTGAAATAAAATAACATCCTACTAAGCTATGCCATCTTTTGCAGTGCACCAAACATCAAATATAGAGAATAAAACTAAGACTGCCTTACTTTTGACTTATAGAAAGTGCTCTTCAGAAGTTTGGTGGGGAAGATGACAGATGACAAGGATTCTCTGCCTAAGCTTAAGGACCTGGCATTTCTCGAGAACCAGCTGGATTGCCTGCAGCGGCACATGGAAGACAAAGTCAACAGCAGAGGTGGCTGGGATGGCTCGCTATTGTCCTCCCCATTCCTCAAGGGATTCCTGGCTGGCTGTGGTGGCCAAACTGAAGACATCAGCTGTATTGGGCTTTGCAAGGGGCACCTGCGCTGGCAATCTGTGCAGCTCAGGCTATGCTGTGCCCAACATGGAGATGACATTGAAAGACTGACTATTTGCAGTCACTATGCAAGAGCCCGAATAGCTCTAGATGCTATGAGGGAGGCAGAATAAGGAGCTGGGGCCTGCAGGTAGAGACACTACTATCTGGATTCCCTGGCTGTCATCCATTTTTTCTCCAACTTTCATGCCGCCTTTATCCTTGCCTCCCTTCCTGCAGAGTGTGCACAGCACCTTGTCAGCCTGCACCCTAGATTCCTTCTTCCCTCTCCTAACTCCGTCAGACTGGCCCCAAGACTGTGGCTTCAAGGGCCACCAGTCCCTTACTCTTCAAGCCCTGACTATGGAGTTGGCAGATGACTCTGATCCTCAGTATCCTCTCTGGCAATGTTCCACGGCTCCTCCCTACTGGGAGGTGGCTCCATAACTTGATTTCCCGTAAATATGTTGCAATCCCACTCCCCTTGCTAACTACACCAGCCACCCAAGGTCTGGTGTGGGTATGAGTGTAATGGACCTTGATGCTGCTCCTATCTACTGCCACGTGTGGTGCCCATCCCCCATGCTGGCACTGTGCCATGTGGACAGCCAGGTGTCCTTCCAGCCCTCCTCAGCTGTGGAGCTGAGTTGACCAAGCTACTGTTAAGCACCTTCTCCCTTCTAGTGGGCTGGCAAGCATGGCTGTAGGGGGCCCCCACTCTGGCACTAAGCTGCTCCCTTCACATGATCAGCCCTGATCTATGGCACTAACAACAACCTGGTGATCTATCTTCAGTGTGACATGGACCCCAGCACCTACCACGTGCTGAGCAATCTCAAGATTGGAAGCGGGCCCTGTTCCACTGTCTCTGCCTCCAGCACTGCTTCTCTGCACCTCAGGGGTTTGCACTGCTGCTGCAGATGGCTGCGGGGGTCTGCTATCCACCAGATGGCCTGTAAGACCTTCGAAACACCCTTCCCAGGCCCCCTCCAGAAGCTGCTGCCAGCCCCATGCCCCTACATATCACTCCGCTGGGCCTGCTGCTCCTCATCCTGGACTGCCTCATCTCAAGCCTGTCGTCACTGCATACAGAGCTGCTCATGAAGAGACGGCAGCTGCCCCTGGCACTTCAGAATGTCTTCCTCTACACCTTTGGTGTGCTCCTGAATCTAGATCTGCATGCCGCTAGTGGCCCCGGCCCAGGCCTCCTGGAAGGCTTGTCAGCATGGGCAGAACTTGTGGTGCTGAGGCAGGGCTAAATGGACTGCTCCTGTCATGTCCGCTGTCATGAAGCACAGCAGCAGCATCCCATGCCTCTTCGTTGTGTCCTGCTCACTGGTGGTCAATGCCGTGCTCTCAGCAGTCCTGCTGTGGCTGCAGCTCACAGCCACCTTCTTCCTGGCCATGCTGCTCATCATTAGCCTGGCCGTGTGCCCGTGCTATGGCAGACGCTAGTCCCTGACCTCCTTCACCCTGACTCCAGACCCTGTATATTGGGTGCCACCATCAGAGCCCCCTCCCAGGCTTCCCTTCCACTTCCCTCAGCAGTCCAGTAACAACTGCCTTGTGAGAAAAGCTGGAGAAGTGAGAGGAGTCAGGTTATTCTCTGCAGATGTGCAGATGAAGGGGTAGCCCTAGGAGACATGAAAAATGGGTTTGATTAAGGAAATTCTTAACATCCTCCTGCCCTCTCATCAAGTTCTTCCAGACTAAAGAATTAAGAAAACATCAATACCTGGGCCTGAGAAATGATCCTATCCCTGCCTCATCCTGCATGAAAGCAGTTAATCAAAATGGGGTGTGCGCAACAAGTGGCTTTCCTTCCCTACTTTGGTCACCCCAGCAGAGCCACTGCCCCAACGCCCTCTGGCTGGCTGCTCCAGCCCAGCCCTGGTGTATGACTCTCCCATAAGGGACATTCAACCTCCCACTCTCATGCAGGAAGGACCAACTGCCACGGATTATACAAACATTACCCCAGCCACTCTGACAATCTCCCTCAGTTCCAGCAATGCCTAGAGACATGCCCCCTGCCCTCTCCACAACGCTGGCTCCCCAAATCAAGCCTTTGTTCTGGAAACCCCAGAGAGGGTTGGGGCTTGACTCATCTCAGAGAATATTGGCCCTGGGCCCTGGCTTAAGCCTACACTCCTGACCTCTCTGATCATCCTGAGAGCCATCTTGAAGCCCACAGCCTACTCGGAGGCTTATAGGAGGTACCATGCTTCTTATTCTGGGTCCTGTCCAGGCCAAGCAGTCTCCCAGCTCCCAACAGCCTGGGGAAGCTCTACACAGAGCATCCTGAGACCAAGTACAGGTCTCTCAATGTCTGACCAGGTACCTGTAGCTCAATCAATGTCTTTTCAATTACATAAGCAGTAAGGTCTTAATAAAGTGTTCTAGGGTGTACAGTGGTTCCTACAACCACACACACACAAAAGTGCTACTCATTTCCTTAGCACCTGTCTCCAAATGCCCTATTTCCTATGGCCTAAACAATAGAAAGACTGGTCAGTAGTCAATTGGCTGAAGTCATATATCCTTCACACCACTTTTCTGCCTCATGGATAGCAAAAATGAGAGTCTCTTAACTCAGCTAATTCCACAGTTCATTCAAACTCAAGATAAAACTTTTCTCTGAAAATACAAATGAGGCTCACATTATGAACACCTAGATGTGTTAGATGTCCTCCTTCAGAAAAGCTGTTATGAAAATAAACATAATAGCTAGAGTAATAAATAAAATTTGCTAAGATTTCCCTAAAGTTGAACCCTAGAGAACATTTTCAGCAGAAGAGTTAAAGGAGTTTCCAATGGAAAGAATGAGCACATAAACTGAAGATAGAGCCAATCAATGAAATGAAACTGGCCACTCATCTACGAGGCCAGAAGAATGAAAACCAAATCCCAACTCATCATCAGAAACCCTTCTCCAAACTAGGAAGCACAGATCCTACCCATATCTGAACCTGAACTACTTCCCATTGACACTTTCTAACCTAGAGATGGCCCCAGCATCCAACTGATAAAACATTTTCCAGGATGTGAAACTTGCCATAGGAAAACTGAATCTCTTTTCCTATGTTGTTGACTGTGTAAGCAAAGGACTCTCACTGTTACCAGAAGAGCTACATAATTTCTCTGAAAAGTGTGGAATACACATTTGACCATATTTATAAATTTGGTGACTCATAAAACTATTCTTTTAAAAATTGATAAATTTTACTTTTAAGCATCAATAAGTACTATAAAACACCATCAACCTTAATGGTTGAACTCAACCCTTAAAACACAGTCTTTCACAAGGCTGTGTAGAAACTAAGCCTTTATTTATCTCTGTTCTGTGCCTCCTCTTTTCTCCACCTAAGGCTGCTTGCAGATCCCAGGATGAAATTAGCACACCCGTGATTGTCACTGCTTAGCAGTAACCCTTATATAAATATACCTTTTGATGACCCAAGCTGGGTATATTAGTTCATATGTCTTCTCTGGAATTAAGACAGCTCATGGGGCATTTATTACTAACTTTTTATTGTACCAGCAAGACTAAATATAAAATATTAACAATAATCAACATTTGTGTGGCAGTTTATGGTTCACAAAATGCTTTTAAATATATTATCTCATTTGAAGCTCACAAGCCTCAACCAAGATGGGGAATGAAAATGGAAACAGAGCCTCAGAAAGGTCACAGTACTATTAAGTGGCAGAAGCAGAACTTGAACCAAGGTCTTCCAAATTCAAATCCTATGCTTTTTATACTTTGCCAAAGGAAATGAATGTATTGGTTAATTTTAAAATTATACATAAGATTTACCAATGCTGGCTGGGCACGGTGGCTCAAGCCTATAATCCCAGCACTTTGGGAGGCTGAGGCAGGCGGATCACTTGTGGTCAGGAGTTCTAGATCAGCCCAATCAACATGGTGAAACCCTGTCTCTACTAAAAATACAAAAATTAGCCAGGGGTGGTGGCACATCCCTGTATTCCCAGCTACTCAGGAGGCCGAGGCAGGAGAATCACTTGAACCTCGGAGGCGGAGGTTGCAATGAGCCTATATTACGCCACTGCACTCCAGCCTGGGCGACAGAGCTAGATTCTAACTCAAAAAAAAAAAAAAAAAAAAGATTCACCAATACATTCATTTCTTTTGCCAAAGAGTGTGTGTGTGTGTGTGTGTGTGTGTGTGTGTGTGTGTGTGTTTGTCTGTGTGTGTGTATCAAGCCAGAAAGCTAGATGTAAGGATAAGTAATTATCTTCTACAGCAACAACCACACACATGAAAACAAAGGACAGACAGTTTCTAACAATCTCAGTGTAATATGACTTTGCAGAGAAGATGTATGATGCTACACGGCAGCTGCAGTGCTCAGGGGTAGTAACAGGGTCAGTAAGCAAAAGAAGCTCAGAGTGTCTACCTGGAGACGCAAACTCATACCATGATCCTGGTGGTTCCCAGCACAAAGGCTGTAGCAGCATGCCTCTGGGCAGGGCACAGTTAATGTAGATTCTTCTAGGACTCTGTCCCACAGCCAAGTCTCTAGCTGAGTTTTACAAGGACCTCTTTGTCTTGGGCCTCCTCCCAATACATGGGAAACCTCAGAATGTCTCTTGCCACTGGGTGCAACTAAGCTTAGCCACTTGGTATTACTGGCTCTCAAGGGTGGCCAACTAGTTGAGCCAAGACATATTTCCAATACTTCTCAGTCCTACAAACAACCTATACATTGTAAGAACTTATCTTATCTTTAATAGAAGATTAGAGGATTTTTTTCCAGTAATACTTTAAAATCCAGATGAGAGAACGAACTAATATCCAATGAAGGATAATTTCTTATGTTCTGCCCTTTATTTTCTATCACCTAGCCAACAAAGCAAACAGGTATGTCTGTGAAATGACAGATCCACAAGGACAGAATACTTTTAACTTGAAAAACTGAGAGAGCAGATTTTCAAGTATGTGTAATAAGTGAAGAATTATTTGAGATTATCAACTCAAAAATATGCCAAACACACATAAGTTAACCACTTTTTTAAATTAAGAAAATATTATGGAGACAATACATATAGTTAGTAGAAATCATCAAATCATATTTCCATCTCTCCAAATACCTTTTGATTTTTAAAACATTATAATTTAGTCTACCATGTATAAAAAAAGTACCAATGGTTCCCCCCCAAAAAAATACACCCAACTCTGAATAAAAATAAACTTCAGGAATGTAGAGTTTTGCTATTTTTCCACGTTTCTTTTAATATAGAAATGCTGCCAGCCATTAAGAGGTACAAAGTGAATTTTCAGGTTAACAGTTTATTGATCATTATACATGAGACAAGTCAATTTATCTATTGCAAAACACAAGTTAGTATCTTTCTACATGTACATTTAAATGCGTGTAAATCCAAAGAGAAGAGAGTAGATGAATAACTCTTCAGTAGGCTCAGGGCAAATGTTTGAAGAGAGACTTTCACTTTCTGCTCCATTATTTATGCTCTGTATCATATAGCTTTTTATTTTCCATATTGTTTATACTATGAAAATAAAAACACAGTCATATTTTATTTGTATAAGGTATAAAAAGAAAGAAAATGAAAAAAAAAACAGGTTAAAAAGAGTTGGTTCAATTCTTGGACCATTGTATCACTGTATTCTTGAACCACTGTAACATTCAGTGGTTGTTAAACCTTAGATTTTGTCTAAGGTTATTAAACAACCACTGAATGATACAATGCCTTAGAAATGGAGGACTGAGGCCAGGCACGGTGGTTCATGACTGTAATCCCAGCACTTTGGGAGGCCAAGGCTGGTGGATCACGTAAGGACATGAGTTCGAGACCAGCCTGGCCAACATGGTGAAACCCCTGTCTCTACTAAAAACACAAAAATTAGCCAGGCATGGTGGTGTGCGTCTATAATCCCAGCTACTCTGGAGGCTGAGGCAGGAGAATCACTTGAGCCCAGAAGGCAGAGGTTACAGTGAACCGAGATCACACCATTGCACTCCAGCCTGGGTGACAGAGCGAGACTCCATGTAAAAAAAAAGAAAGAAAGAAAAGAAGAGGAGAGGAGAGGAGAGGAAAGGAAGAAATGGAGGACTGAGCAGATGCTGCAATAAATAAGCATCTTTGATTTAAAATAAGTGACATCATTAAGGGTTCCTCAAAATGAAAAGGCAGGAGAGAAAAGGCAATTTTCTTCTCCAATCAATTTTGAAGAATTATGAAAAGGAATTCAGTTCTATGATTGCTTCCTCTTTTAGGAAAATCAAGGTAAAACCTCTGAAAATTTCTTCTGTTGATATTTAAAAGGATGTATACATCCCACAATGAAAGTACCAGTCCAGGGGTTGCTGGATATACACCTAGGGTTTGCAGCTCCAGGGTCTAATCTGTCCCCTCAGCTCAAGAGATAATCCCTCACCATTTGTAAGTATAGAGAGATACAGCAACAGTTCCGTTCCTGTGAGTTAGAGTATCATGGGAAAAGACTCAAAATCTAAGCAGATAGCTCCTAAATCCACATCTACAACCATGATGTTCCTAAATTCAGTCCATCTCCAATGATCTACATTCCCAATTATCACTCCCTGCAGAAATGAGCTGTTTACCACTTCAAACATTGAAATTGTTAATTTCCCCCAATCAACCATATCTAAAAATTTAACATCTAAAAAAGTATACCTTATGCCTTCAGTAAACCTAAATGCCTGAAATTATAGCACAGTAAATACTAGTCTCAGAAAAGCAATGAGTTGTAAATCATTTGTTTTACTGAGTAAGATTGGATTTTTGTCATAGGAAAAAACTAAACTGTCTTTTTGACTGGTGACTTATGTTATAAATTAAATATAACTCTGCATATTATATTTATAACAATTATGGGCACCATTCATTCTTTACATATCACTAGCAGAAGAAAGCCAACTACTTTTGAAGCAGCAAGTCCGAAAGTTTACATTAAAAGAGGACCCACAGTAAAGTAGAAATCAGTTTGATAAAGGGTTGTCCCTGTCTTTGGTCCTAAATCCAGTGACATATGTGTCTTCTGTAATTGATGGCAAAATCTCTCTCACAAGCAATTTCCAGATGCCGTACTTAAAGTACAGTTAATCAGTCTTTGATTCATCATGAGTTCGGGAATGCTCTCCTAACAGGCACACTTGCTGGCTCACAGCAAAAGAAACATTACTACCCACTCCACTGCCATTAAGAAAACATTTCAAACATGTTTAATCTCTTTCAGGGCCAGTTGTAGACATACGTTCTTCCCCTAGCCAGGTTCCAACCAATTTTAAAACATCCAAACATGAACTTACATCAACCCATGATCTAATATGATGAGTTTACCAAGGTCTCCAACAACCTGAATCACATGCCAAGGGAAATACAATGAACAGGCCATTCTGCAGAGTGAAGACAAGTTCCACACCTGTCAGGGGGAATCTGTTTGACTGTAGCCCTAGGCAGCTTCACAGAAGACACCTTTCTTAACTGGGAGAATGTGCTTCTCCCTTAAATTCAAAGAAATCTTACTGCTTATTTTATTTAGTTTATTTTTGGAATTTCCCCCTCATTCCAGAAAGAATTGAAGGTCGTTACTAACATGCTTCCATTTTTAGGGGAACATACAAACTCTTCCTGGACGTTTTTGTCAGGTTAAGTTCTCCTTTGTTATCCATTAGGGAACTGAAGACCTTCACTTTTTTCTCAGAATTTCTTTATCATGTATTCCAAAAACCAATTCTGTAATAATTACCTCATCCTTCACTGATGTTATGAAAACTCACCCTTCCTGCTGATTCACAGTGAGATGACAGCTCACACAGTGCGTGCTTTCAACATGAGCGCTCAGACTAAGAGTGACAGCGATACGTTATAAGTTGTAATATATGCCCTGAAAGTTCAAAACACATGAGGTGGAAAGAAAAATAGTTATCCCAAACTTAAGTTCTAAAAGAATTATCTAACTGGACCTGAAGCCCCACTACTGAATTGACCTTGCAGGACTTTTTATGTGATACCATCAGTCTACCAACTCATGAAACCAGCTCAGTGGAATTTGGGAAACTTGACTATTCTCTAATCAAGATGTTGTTAAGGTGTCATTAATTGCATTATACAAAGTCTTCTTTATTTCTTTCTGGATTTTTTTTTTTTTTTAGACGGAGTCGCCCAGGCTGGAGTGCAGTGGTGTGATCTTGGCTCATTGCAACCTCCGCCTCCCGGGTTTAAGCAATTCTTGTGCCTCAGCCTCCCAAGTAGCTAGGACTACAGGTGTGCATCACCACACCCAGCTAATTTTGGTATTTTTAGTAGAGACTGGGTTTCACATGTTGCCCAGGCTGGTCTCGAACTCCTGACCTCAGGTGATCCACCTGGCTCGGCTTCCCAAAGTGCTGGGATTACAGGCGTGAGCCACCGCACCCAGCCTCCTTCTGGATTTTATGTTGATAATACTTGTGTTTCTCCTAAGCAAGTGATTTGTTTTTAAGTTGTGGTCTGTATTAATCAAGTAAGTAGTCAAGTTTCATATTTTGCCTTGGCAGGTAGAAATCTTAAAAACAAAATTGAGGCCGGGTGCGGTGGCTCACGCCTGTAATCCCAGCACTTTGGGAGGCCGAAGCGGGTGGATCACAAGGTCAGGAGTTCAAGACCAGCCTGGCCAAGATGGTGAAACCCCATCTCTACTAAAAATACAAAAAATTAGCCGGGCGCAGTGGCAGGTGCCTGTAATCCCAGCTACTTGGGAGGCTGAGGCAGGAGAATCACTTGAACTCAGAGGGCAGAGGTTGCAGTGAGCCGAAATCGCACCACTGCACTCCAGCCTGGGTGACAGAGTGAGACTGTCTCAAAAAAAAAAAAAAAAAAACAAAAAAAACCAAAAGTAAGACATACTCACACTATGTGATCATAACTATTCGATGATTTACATTTGTTCTTTCCTCTTTCGTTTGTACCTATCTTTTTTCCTCTCATTTTTTCCCGCCTATTTATTATTTCAATTCAATATACATCCTATATTGTATAGCAGCTGTTGGGAAAATCAAGAAATGTTGTGAATATCATAGTCAGGTATCAATTTGAACAAATAACCAGAAAAATTTCAGAATCCCAGGCAATCCAAGTTTAAGAACAGTTTCATGTTCGTCTGTCTAAATTACATTTTATAGAGCATTGGAAAACTCTGTATTTTATATCAGAGAAACAGCATAAGCAATTTAAGTTTTATTGCAGAGATATGAAAATCTATAGAAACATCAAAGTCACACCCTCAATTATGCCAAAGCTGTACTTAGTCCCTCCTTACTTCCTAGAACTTAGTTCCTAGAACTAAGGAGGGGCTAAGTACAGTTTTGCTATAACTGGGAAACTACCATCTGAACATAAAACTGAGCTAAAGGCCAAAATAAAATTTAATCTTTTCTTTACCTTCATTCTTTCTCAACCAATTTGTTGTGATGTGATTATAAATCAAAAATCACATATTTAACTCACCAGAAAAGTACTACATTTTCATCTAATTACACCTAAGTTAGACCGTATTATAGATTCAGGTTTTATAATTGAGACTACTGCTAATTAGTTGAATCGAAGATAAATTTAGAAGTTTGGTTTCTTTCTACAAATTTCTCTTCTTTTTTTTTATAGTCAACAATAATTTATTGGACATTTTAAAATAACTAAAAGAGTATGACTGGATTGTTTGTAACACAAAGAAAGGATAAATGCTGATGTGATTATTATGCATTGTATGCCTGTATCAAAATATCTCACATAATCCATAAATAGATACACCGACTATACCCACAGAAATAAAAACTAGGAGAGGAAAAGAAATTCTAACTACAACATTGGTAATAACTCATTCACAATTTGATAATAAAGTAATATAGAATTGTAAAGTACATTTTCACTCTTTTAAAAAATACAGCAAAGAGAATTTTAATTTTTTAATTTATTAGTAATAACAACTTGAGAATTGCATAGTATTAAGGCATCAATTCTAGGAGTGTGGGCTGAGGACCCTTTTGGGGTGCCTATGAGGGCAATACTATTTTACAGTAAAACTAAGACATTATTTTCCCTTTTCACTACAGACAAAAATTTAGCCAGCTGTGGTGGTGTATGCCTGTAGTCCTTGCTAATCGGGAGGCTGAGACGAGAGGATTGCTGGAGCCCAGGAGTTCCAGGCTACAGTGAGCTATGATTTTGCCACTGCACTCCAGCCTGGGTGGCAGAGTGAGACCCTGTCTCAAAAAAAAAAATCATGCATGAACAAAAAAACTATAGGTCAATGGATTTTAATGGCCACAGTTATGAATATCTTATCACTATTATTTCAGATCCCACATTATAACTAACTTTTTTTAAATTTTATTATTATTATACTTTAAGTTTTAGGGTACATGTGCACAACGTGCAGGTTTGTTACATATGTATACATGTGCCATGCTGGTGTGCTGCACCCATTAACTCATCATTTAGCATTAGGTATATCTCCTAATACAAATTTCTCTTCTTCAGTCATGAGAAAGTGTCTCTTGCCTTTTAAAATTTGAGTTCTTCACCATATCTAACTTATCACCTCCATTTATTCAACTAGACTGTTGTTTCTTACAAAATGGCTCTGTTCTTTTGGCATGATGTTAACTGTAGGTCATTAAATTTGGAGCTTTGATTCTGTCTTGACCAAAATTCTTTGGTGCCTCCACTTCCATGTAAATTGATATTAATTATTTTGGTAAATTTGAATCTGATTTTTATTATTTTCCACAACTCAACATCTCTGACAAATACTCCAAGCTAATTCATTAACATAAACCAAATAACAGGACCAAAGAAGAGGCTTTCTAACACTGCTCAGGTTTTACATTTTCCCAAAGATTTTTCCCAGAGCCACTAGGATCTTGTGAATCTAAATAGGCCCAATAGTTTAGCTCTGAGAGTTTCTCTCCCACATAATATAAAAATCACCTGATGGGTTTGTATAATATGAGAAATCTAACCTCAATTCCTTTCTGCAGTGACCTCACCATTTCCCTTGAAATATTGAAAACCCAGATACCCAGTCATATGTGCTAAAGCAATTACAGAAGGGATTTATTTATTAAACATTAATCCCCTTGTCATGCAGAGTATCTAGAAAATCCCTGATGCACTTTTGCACTGAAACTTCACTGGAAACAAATTTTTCTAAGTCTCCAAAGACCTTTCCCTTGAGAAGTCGAATAGGTCTTTCTCAAGTCTTCAATCCCCTTGACCTCTATGCTTCAGTTAGCACTGTTGAAATTCTCTCCTCGCATGGTTTCCCTGGGTGTTCTCTGTGTTCTTCTACTACCTCTTTGTCTCATTTGCTGACTATACTTTTTGCCTGCCTCCACCCCCTTGGCTGGCAGCTGCTTCTAAGGTTCCAAACTCAGCTTTCTGCATTTCTCCCTCAATAGTCACCACCATGATACATACTCCACATGCATTACTGAACTATCACCTTGCACAAATGCCTCCAAAGTCGATGGCCAAGACTTGAGCTCTCAAACTGTAATCCTGTCTAGTAACTGACCGGTCATCTCAGGATATGATTGCTACATCTGAAAAGTAGTATCTCAAAAACTGAGCTCATTTTTTTTCCTAACCCAGCAGACTTTCCCAAAGCCCTCCTCTAAACCTTCGTTACTTTAAATCTAGGTTACAAAACAGCTCCCTAATACTTTCTCCACCCTTAGCTCCACTACTCCAACCTATCATAGATGTTGCTGCCTAAATAATTACCAGTATCTGTCATTTTCAGCACATTGCATATACTCAAGAATCGATGGCATTTTCCTACTGTTCCCTTGAATCAAATCAATAATCAAATTCATCCCAAATTATCCACGGCCATGGAAGTTCCGCCTTGTCCTAGCCTGTGTGCTTGTTGTCTTGCTTATTGTCACTAACATGTCAAATGTGACTTGCTTCACTTCCAAACCTATGGCCTCACATATATCTTTCTTCCTCATCTCTGTCTGCCAATTTGTTTCTCTCCTCCTTCGTTACCCAATTCAAAATTCAGATCCTTCCTCAGCCAGCCCCATATCTTTGGCATCACTCTCTTAATCACTCAATACTTCCATTTGCACTGTTTTTTTTCCACTTATTGATATGTTACTTTGCAAGTGTTCTCAACTTGTGTTGGATGTACACGTTCTCTCTCTGCTAGATTATAAAACTCCTTGGAAGCAGGGAATTTCTCTTGCATAATAACATTTTAGTTCTTATATAAGAACATTTAGAATATGTTGGTACTACTTACAGTGCAGTACCAGCAGGTATCCACTAACTAGTTGTAATTAACAAAGTAGTTGTTATGGCTGGACAATGTCATAATTCTATATCCAAATCTGATATAAAACAATGCATATCCAAAACACATTTCAAACAAGAGTGCAAGGGAATCCCATTTTCTTCAATAAAAAGTTTTAAGTGATTCCATTATTGGCCTTTTCCCTCTTTAAGTGAGCTTTATTTCCTTTATTATGTTTTCCTTGTTAGCTTGTCCACCTGCTGAAAGGAAGGCAAATAATTTCTTATCTAACCTAATTATTTACTCCTTCCTGCCTGTACTGGAATCCTGGCTCCCAACCTGCTTTGCTCAGTGCTACTCCCAGAGGTATAACAAAGCACATTCCCAAGGTCAGCCCAGGCCTCAGCTTAAGTCCCTAAAGTCTGAGAACCTAGAATGTAATTCCAGCAGCCCACCAAAAAGTCAAGAACCAGCCTGTATTCTGCTGAAAGATACAAAGGTTATGCATATTTTGATTCCAATCATACAAAAAAAAGAAAAAATTAGAATTAGGATTGATTTTTTTAACTCATAAGATGGAATGAGAGAAATACCACAGACTTCTACATATCATTTCCATGGAGATTTTTTTAACTGAATAAATAGCTGAACTACACAAAATGTCTCAAATGAGGATACTGGCCTGATGGCTCACAACACCCTTCAAAGCCCTTCTAAAGACCCTACCCTAGGCCAGGCACAGTGGTTCATGCCTGTAATCTCAGCACTATGGGAGGCCAAGGGGGGTGGATCACCTGAGGTCAGGAGTACAAGACCAGCCTGGCCAACATGGTGAAACCTCGTCTCTACTAAAAACACAAAAATTAGGCAGGCATGGTGGCACACACCTGTAATCCCAGCTACTAGGGAGGCTGAGGCAGGAGAATCGTTTGAACCCAGGAGGTGGAGGTTGCAGTGAGCCGAGATCACGCCACTGCACTCCAGGCTGGGCGGCAGTGTGAAACTCTGTAAAAAAAAAAAATCCCCTACCCTATATTTGTTCTCTGACTCCTTGATTTCAGGCTAGACCATCAAGTGCTGCATAGACTGTCTCTATCAAAAAGCAGGTGCTCTGACATTTTCAGGGAATCTCTCTGAAAGAAAATCACTTACAAAATATAGGCCTAAACTTATATATCCCAGATCCGTCACTCATGGCTTTCAAGTAAGTCACCATGCAAGATAGAATCCATTTAGGTGAAAGGCCATTCTGCATGCTACCCCTTTCTGACACAGCCTCCCCTAGACTACCAGAAACAAGTGATATTAAAATGCAATTGGTAAGTATTAGAAGCTAAATGAATATGGACAGCTGATAAATGCATCTCAGTGGATAGAGATTTAAAAATGATTGAAAGATCATTCTGATCATTCAAGATGTCAATTGAAAGATATCAGGATAAGGTAACATATTAACTCCTGGGAATTTTCATCACCATCAGTAGTAGATGATATAAAGTCATGAGAAAAGCTTAACTTGGGATTAAAAAAAAAGATACTGCCAAGTCATTTATTCATATTGAATTCTCATGAAATTAGTTAATAGAAAATATTTTGTTTTGACTTCTAGTCCAGAGTCAGCTTCAGGGGAAAATGAATTAACATTTTGTTATTTCTTTTGTGTTGAGACTAATCACTGGACTACAACCAGAACCACCAGAATCAAAATTTTTCATTTTGAAATTGCATAAAGAAATCCAGAGTAAATACAGCATCAATGAGACTTTACTGTCAATGAGGGAAAAGCACTAGCACAACACTACAAGATGTATTTGATTAAAATAAATTTCTGATTTAAAACACAAAGGCCATACTGTACATTGAAGTTAGAAAGACTATACTGCCAAAGGCATGAGCATGAAAGGTCAAATGCCAGCTGGTATTAGTAATGGAAAAATAAGCCCATAAACGAAACACCAAACAACACTCAAAAGCCTATAAAACACAGGCCAATCCTACTGCTTCTTCAAGAAGAATGGCTAACATTATCAGAATGTATGCAGATCACAACTTATGCCTTTCCCACTCTTTGTACTTCTGAAGCGTGTGAAATCCTATTTTTATCAAGTTTTCTAAAAATGCACAATTGTATTTCATTTCATTTTAATTTTTATACTTTGAATGTCTGCTTTCCTTCCTATTAGATCTCCCTGTTGCTTTCTGTTCTTTCTAGAATGAGTTGTATAGCATGGCTTTATATAATGTATACTGGCAGCCTGCTATAATGTATAATGTGTACTGGTAACTTGCCTAGAAACACTACCACTCATCCTTCTTAGGACACAGACATCTAATTAGAAGACTATAATCAGGCCAGGCAATCTGCCTTAACAATACCCAGAGTGAAAGCATGAACTCCAGTGTCAGACAAACCTGGCTAAAGTCTTGGCTCTGCCATTGACTAAAGGCATGACCTCAAGAAGTTACTGTTACTTAGCCTCATCAAGAGCCAAGTTAAAAAAAAAAAACTCATAATAATTCTAAAAATAATAATAACATTTACCTCACAGTGTTTTATAAAGATTCAGAGAGAGAATGAATTTCAGAATGTACAACATAGTGCCTGGCACATAATAAAACCTGCCTAATTTCGAAGTAGTAACAATAAAGGTTAGAGTAACACTTCTACCATTTACTTGTAACCTTAAAGTTTCTCATTCATAAACTGGAAATAAAAATACTAACCACACAAGATTGTTATAAAGATCAACAGAGACAAACTAAGTGAAAATACTGTTTAATGGTATAGCTATACACAAATAGGAGGCAGTGTTTTCTGAATTTCATAATCCATAACAACATGTAATGTTTGGCCTAACTTTGCACAAAGTTATAGAAAACTGCTTGTGATAATTCCATTTGGTTGGTTGTTTCTGTATTTCAACACAGCCCAAGAAGAGACACATGCTAGGGAAGAATCCTAAGTCTCCAAAGCAAATGGCCCTTTGACAATACAAAACTAAGTATCCACCAGCTGATCAGTACAAAAGCATATGGTCCTTTACATCCAGTGCTTTTAAGCGTTTGGTCTTCTGTTGACTTCCAACTGAATCCACATGGAGTGCTTTTAGAAAACACTTCCAGGCTCCACCCCAATTTACTTATGCAAAATCTTTGAGAGTGAAGCCCAGAAATCTGAACTTTTTTTTTGAGATGGAGTCTCGCTCTGTCACCCAGGATGGAGTGCAGTGGCGCGATCTCAGCTCACTGAAAGCTCCACCTCCCAGGTTCACGCCGTTCTCCTGCCTCAGCCTCCCTGGTAGCTGGGACTATAGGCGCCCGCCACCATGCCTGTCTAATTTTTTGTATTTTTTTAGTAGAGACGGGGTTTCACTGTGTTAGCCAGAACGGTCTCGATCTTCTGACCTCGTGATCCACCCACCTCGGCCTCCCAAAGTGCTGGGATTACAGGTGTGAACCACTGCGCCTGGCCAGAAATCTGAACTTTTAACAAGACCTCCTAGTGATTCCAATGCTCATTTAAATTTGAGAATTCCTGCTTCAAAGTTTTGTTATGAAAAGTCATAATAAACATAGCTAACACTTGTCACTACACAAAAATTGTTCACTAGAAAACAAAAGAGTACCAAACAGATTAGATGACATTTTAATCTAAATACAAACTTTGAAATAGAGTAGCCAAAGTTCAAAAAAAATATTTAATTTCTCCTTTAAATGCATCTTTTCAATGACATCTCATAGAGTAATATGAGAATTGTTTTCTGAGAATTGTTTTATAGCTGGTTATTATTGTACAGTCAGGTTTCTCAGTGCTCCAGATGTTGACTTCACTTTTCCTAACACTTGCCCACTTGCCTGTGCCTGCAAGATAAGCAGGGGTTAAACATCAGCATACTTCCAGGTTCTGATGCTTCATCAAGCCCCAGCCCCCAGTAAACTTGACTGAAATACTACCACCCATCTTTTTGAGGCTACAGACACTGAATGAGAGGACTGTGATCAATACAGGCAATTTGCCCTCAGTCTCCCCAGGTGAGCCAGTGGGGGTAATCGCCACACAGAGCACCACTGACAGCACCCATCTCACTCACACCATCACCTCTTTCAACCTAAGAGGTTACCGAGAGTCAGGATAGGTTCACAAAGAACTTGTTATGCCAAGAAAGCCTTATTTCCTTTTTTGACTAAATGACGGCATCATTTATCTTGAGTTAAGCAAATATCTAACCCTATGCCCTACTAACTTACCAGTGCTCTATGTTGATTCCTTGATGCAGTGCTTAAGGCTTTGGTCACCATGGAGCACATAATGGCATCTGAATGTCACACTGAGGCACCTGACACCTGAGACTACTGAGACTCTGCCCAGCTCTTCAAGAGCTGCAGAGATCAATTTCTCAGCACATCTGTAATCTACTGCTACAGGACACCAGTTGGAAAGCTCACTCTAAGGAATATTACTCCATGACTAAATAACGGCCTAATCAGATTCCCCATTGAGGGCACCAGTCTGTTAGAGAAGTAGGTGGGCACGTAGTTACCCAAAGTGTCTAAGTCAGGGAACATCAGGAAACCAGAGGTAACCAGGGGACAACATAAAGCTCAAAATAATCAGCAGAACCCAAAATGTAAGAATACAGATATATAAAAGAAAAGAATGCGGAGCAAAATGATTACAAGACCAAGGTGCACAGGTGAGTTCATCATCCTTGTTTAAATGCAAACAGCCAAAAAGATGTAAAAACAGAGTTGACTGGTAAGCCAAGATCACCTTGAAGAAGTAATATACTGTTTTATCTAACATTATTAGCAATGACTTGAAGGAAGATAAATAAATAGAATATAGCTTATAAAAACATCACATCACCCAAAGCTAAGAGATGTTACAATTTATTCTAATTTTCAAGGGATGTTATGTGGAAGAAGGATTAACTGCATTATGAAGAGCAAAACTAAGACCAAAGGGTCAAAATCTCAGGAAGGCTAACTCTGAGTCAATGTAATGAAAGGCATTTTAGCAAATAAAACCATCCACACATGGAACGGACCACCATGCAAAGCAACTGGCTCTCTGGCCCTGGGAGTGTGAATTATGATCAGTCAGAAAAATCACAGCAAGGATTCTGTTTTGGTGACAGAGAGATTAGCTGGACTTTAAACTCCTTTTATACTCAAATTCAATGAAAAACATTTTAAGTAGAAACCAAGTCTTTCTACCATTAAAGGAGTAGTAATGAATCTGGCAAAGAGTATAAAATCTAAAATGATCCCAGTCTAAATTACAAGTAGAAGCCATTTATTTCCATTCTGGGAAATATAACTGATAGAGGCTAATTTTTACCTATGACATCATACTACTCCTAGCATTACTCTTACTACCCTTATCACCGTGGGTTGTTTCCCATAGAAGTTTAGACTTTAGAAGTCAAGACAAAGGGGGAAAAATGACTTTATTCCTGAAAGCTGACTGCTGAGAAAATTGTAAGATGATTGTTCACTCTCCTCATTTAGCATAAGGAAGCAAAAGGAGGAGGCATCTGCAGCAGGAGGACTATAAAAAGCTCATCAAGCACTTGGGTCTGAAAGGATGACACCATGGACCAGCCTGGGATCAGCTTACATTGAACTCTGCAGGGAAGTTCCCTAGGCTCTGGAACACATGCAAAACCAGCGGAAATGTTGTAGAGGAAAAGTAATCAAAGTTTCATACACAATCTGATTTGGTCTCCCATTTCTGTAAATAGCAATACATGCTTAATGGATACAATCTGATGATCTAGTGCAATTACTCTTAAGGAAAGAAAGTGGAGATATAGAAATAATGTTGACTCAAAAACCACTCCCCTGACAGCCTAACATTTTCTTCTCTGGAAACTGGGGTAACGAGGCTATGGACCTGGCACATATTAGAGAAGAGTGGCCTTCACACCCTATCCTGCCAAGATTCTGTTGGCTTCCCACCCACAAAAATCAAGATATTCAAAGCAACTGAGGCAAACCTAGTGCAACCCTGTGTGACTCTGACAACAAGAAAGAGAAGCTCCCCGTGGGTCAAATGTCAGGAATGCCCACATCTCAGCTATTGCAGACACTCTGTACCTAGATTCTCCTCCTACTCCTAAAAACATTGCCATGAAAGAGCACACAAAGATGGAATTCAGCTTTTCATTCAAATGCTTCAAAAGGCAATGAAAGAGAAATGAGGATCATGGGAGGAGGGAGATAGCGGAATGAAGGTTTCAATGATGTTCCAAAATATAAAACAAATCAGCAGAATTCTGGTCATTGTTGCTACACTGATCACAGTTTTGGGTGATCATAAAAGATGAAGAGTAGCATACCTTTTTGGAAATGCATGACAGAACACTTGGCAGGTATTTTCATAATAAAATTTCACTCATCAAATTTACTAACCAAGTCTATTCAGCATTTTCAGACCTCAGCTCTCAATGTAATAGTCCCTTTATCGTTGCGGAAAAATCCAGTCACCAGTCACAGATGTCCCACTCATTAGTACAGATTCCCAGGGTTTTTGGTCTAATTAAAAAATCTGAGCAAGCATGGGAGTTTATTCCTGTAATCTCAGCACTTTGGGAGGCCCGGGTAGGAGGATCGCTTGAGCCCAGAAGTTTGAGACCAGCCTGGGCAACATAGTGAGACACTGTCTCAAAAAAAAAAATCAGCCAGATGTGGTGGCACACACCTGTGGTCCCAGCTACTCAGGAGGCTGAGATGGAAGGATCTCTTCAGCACAGGAGGTTGAAGCTACAGTGAGCCCTGATCATGCCACTGTACTCCAGCCTAGACAATAGAGTGAGACCTTGTCTTTAAAAAAAAAAAAATCAGCTGGGTGCCGTGGCTCATGCCTGTAATCCCAGCACTTTGGGAGGCCGAGGTGGGCGGATCACCTGATATCAGGTGTTCGTGACCAGCCTGACCAACACGGAGAAACCCCATCTCTACTAAAAATACAAAATTAGCCGGGCATGGTGGAGCATGCCTGTAATCCCAGCTACTCAGGAGGCTGAAGCAGAAGTATCACTTGAACCCAGGAGGCAGAGGTTGCAGTGAGCTGAGATTGCACTCCAGCCTGGGCAACAAGAGCAAAACTCCATCTCAAAAAAAAAAAAAATCATCTTTAGGGATGCCCTTTTTCCTAACTCAGTTAGTTGCCTGTCCACTTGCCATAAACTATACTGCAATGGCCAAATGAATTATTTTCTGGCTTTTCACAGGGCCTACTTTTAATTTTACCAAAGCCATGGCTACTTTTTCTTTCCTAAGAACTCAGATCATTTTTTAATTTATTTTCTGCTCAAATCTCAAGCCAAACTTCTCAAGGTTTTTTTTAACAGGGTTCACTAAAAAGAAGTAAATGTTCTTTTTCAGAACTTGTATGCATGAACAAAAACTGAGGTCACCCAAATAAATGTAAGAAAGAAATAACTTGTATCATATAGTCATCTCATTCAGAAAATTAAAGGGAAACCAAAAAAAAAAAAAAGAAAGAGAAAAAAGAGATCAAATGACCCTTGCCTCAGTCACCAGTGCTACGTATTGTTCAAGACAAATCCACAGTTCACATTTCATTGGCAATACTAACGTATCACTATATTTAGTGTGGCATTATAATCTCTCAAATTATTTTGAAGGAGGAAGAATCTGCCAATAACCCACTGTAGCATTAGAAATATTTAAACACTTAATATAATACATGTTGTGTTATGTATTCCAAAGGGAGAATTTCCCTAACACGTTACACTTAAATGCAATATTAAACTTCAATTATCACTTCTCATATCAAGGTTTTATATTCTAATTAGCAAGAGAAAATGAAGATCAAACCAGAGTCCATTTTATTTTAAAAATTTCTTAGAACCATGTAATTTAAACCTAGAAGAGATTTCAGAGACTGCCTAGGGTCAAGGCCCCTTGTTTTTACACAGGAGAAAACCGGGGCTCATACTAGTTTCCCAAGTTGCAGAAAGACATAAACTCACTTAATGCACATGTGGCATTAGATCCCAGGCCTCCTGACATATATCCTAGTGTTCTTTTATATTATTATGCTTTCCGTCAAAACCAAACGTACTCTTGTTGCCTAATCATTGTTCAGCATTGTATTAAATACAAAGTTGGACTCAGACCCCAATTTGCAGCCCTTAAGCAGAGCGTTGAATGTGACTCCAGGCCCACTGCAGGATATTCAGTGCTAAACACAACGTCTAGCATCTGCTTTGTGATGAGCATCCATTGTCTAACTCAAAGTTAAGTACACAGCATGCAAACGCAAGTCAGGAAACAAAATTTGGGGTGAGAGAGCTACCTCTTGGATACCTGCTCTGCCTGAAATCTCCTAACTCTCACTTATGTAAAGATTCAGCTGCTCAAAAAAAGTATCAAATATATATTAATTCTCTCCTTTTTATTTCTTTGCAGTGACCACTTCCTGTAGCAGACATTATCTAAAAAAAAGTGGGCAACATAATAACTTTATGAGAACTTATTACTTGTGCACTTTCATATAGATATTTTCATATTTAGGTGAAAAATAAATGTTAAAAATAAACCTTGACCTAAACCTCACACCTAATACAAAAATTAACTTGAAAGAGATTATAGAGTTAAATGTAAAACTAAAAAATCTTTTAAAAGATAACAGAGAAAAAAATCTTCAGGACTAGGTCTTAGTAAAGGGTTTTGAGACATGACACAAAAAGTATGATCCATAAAAGAAAAAAATCAATAAACTAGACTTCACCAAAACTTAAAACTTCTGCTCTGTGAAAGACACTTTAAGAGAATGTACAGATAAGCTACAGGCTGGGAAAAAGAATGAAATTGGACCCCTATTTTATACCACTCACAAGATTAACTTGAAATAGTTTAAAGACAAATCTAAGCCCTGAAACCATAAAACTCCTAGATGAAAACAAAAACTCCATGATATTAATCTTGGCAATAACTTTTTGGCTATAATACCAAAAGCACAAGCAACAAAAGCAAAAATAAATACATGGGACTACAACAAACTGAAAAGTTTTTGCACAGCAAAGGAAACAATTAGCAAAATAAGCAACCTATGAAATGAAAGAAAATATTCATAAACCATATATCTAATACGGGGTTAAGAACTAAAATATATAAGGAATTCATGCAACTCAATAGCCAAAGAAAAAATGGTCAAAGAACTTGAATAGATATTTCTCAAAAGAAGACATACAAATAACCAACAGATATCTGAAAATGTTCAACATCACTAAACATCAGGGAAATGCAATATAAGACATTACCTCACACCTGTTAGAATGGTTATTACCAAAAGACAAAAGATTGGCCGGGCAGGGTGGCTCACACCTGTGATCCCAGCACTTTGGGAGGCCAAGGTGGGCAGATCACCTGAGGTGAGGGGTTCAAGACAGCCTGCCCAACATGGTGAAATCCCATCCCTACAAAAATACAAAAATTAGCCGGGCATGATGGCAGGTGCCTGTAATCCCAGCTACTGGGGAGGCTGAGGCAGGAGAATCTCTTGAACCCGGGAAGCAGAGGTTGCAGTGAGCCAAGATCATGCCACTGCGCTCCAGCCTGGGCAACAGAGCAAGATTCCATCTCAAAAAAATAAATAAATAAAAAAAAATAACAAGCACTGGCAAGGATGTGGAGAAAAGAGAATCCTCATACACTGTTAATAGGAATATAAATTAGACAGCCATTATAGAACACAGAATGGAAGTTCCTCAAAAAATCAGCTGTAGAACTACCATGTGATCAAGAAATCCCATTTCTGGGTATACATCCAAAGGAAACAAAATTACTATCTTAAGGAAATATTAATATCTGCACTCACATATTCAATGCAACATTATTCACCAATAGCCAACATATGGAATCAACACAAGTATAAATGGATAAAATATATAATACATACATATACGGATATATGTATATATACATACATAGATATATAATATCCAATGGAATATTATTCAGCCTTTGAAAAACAGGAAATCCTGTCATTTGCGACAACACAGATGAACATGGAGGATATTATGTTTAGTGGAATAAGCCAGGCACAAAGACAAATATTCCTTGATCTCACTTATATGTGGAATCTTAAAGAAAAAAAAATGTCATACTCAACAGAGGCAGAGAGCAGAATGGCAGCTGCCAAGGGCTGGTGGGATGGGTGGGAAGAATGGGAGGTGTTGCTCAAAGGGTACAAAATTTCAATTAGACAGGATGAGTAAGTTCTGGAGATCTATCGTACAGCAAGGTGACTATAGTTAATAATAATTTATTGTATACTTGAAAATTCCTAAAAGAATAGATCTTAAGTGTTCTCATCACACAAAAAATGATAACTACATGAGTGATGAATATGTAAATTAGCTTGATTATGGTAATTATTTCACGGTATATACATTAATCAAAATATCACACTGTATACCATAAATTTGTACAGCTTTTATTTGTCAATTATACCTCAATAAAGCTGGAAAAAAATGAAAAGCAACCTATGGAATGGGAGAAAATATTTTCAAGCCATATATCTGATAAGGGATTAATGTCCAAAACATATTAGGAACTCATACAACTCAACAGCAAAAATAGTAATAACAATAATAATAATGACAATCTCATTTTTTAAATGGACAAAGGACCTAATTAGACATTTTCCCAAAGAAGACATATAAATAAATGACCAATAGGTACAAGAAAAGACTTCAGCATCACTAATCATCAGGGAAATGCAAATTAAAACCACAATAAGACATCTGTCACATCATACCTGTTAGGATAACTATTATGAAAAAGACAAGAGGTGGGTGTTGATATGAAGCAAAGGGAACCCTTAGACATTGGTGGCAGAAATGTAAACTGGTACAGCCATTATGGAAAACAGTATGGAATGTCCTCAAAGAATTTAAAACAGAAGTACCATAGGATCCAGCAATCCCACTTCTGGGCTACTGGGATACATCCAAAAGAAACTAAATCAGTTTCTCAAAGGGATATTGGCACTCACATATTCACCACAGCATTATTCACAATATCTAAGACACGAAATGACCAAAGTGTCCATCCAGAGATGAATGGATAGACTGTGATATATATACAATGGAATATTATTCAGACATAAAAAAGAAGAAAATCCTGCTACTAGTGACAACATGAATAAACTTTGAGGACGTTGTGCTAAGTGAAATAAGTAAGAAAGAGAAAGACAAAGACTGTATAACTCACTTTTATGTGTAATTAAAAAAAAAAAGTCAAACCCATAGAAACGGAGAGTAAAAGGGCAGTTACCAGGGGCTGGGAGGTTGGGAGAATGGGGAGATGTTGGTCCAAGGATACAAACTTTCAGTTATAAGATGAATAAATTCTGGGATGTAACATAAAGTATGGTGACTATAGTTAACAATATCATACGGTATGCTTGAAATTTGCTACAAGTAGGTCTTAAATGTTCTCACTGAAGAAAACAACAGTAACTAGGTGAGGTGGTAGCTGTGTTAAGTAACTTGATTGCAGTAATCCTTTATCAACATATATGTATATAAAATCATTACATTGTACACCTTAAATTTATATAGTTTTATTTGTTAACTATACCTCAATGAAGCAGAAAAAAGACAAGCTACAGGCTGGCAGAAAATATTTGCAAATCACATATCTAACAAAGAATTCATATTTACAATATATACAGAACTCTGAAAACTCAACAGAAAAAGACAGAGCGAGAGAAAAAGAGAAAGAAAAACAGAGAAAGAAGGAGAGAGAAGTGAATGAGAGAGAGAGGAAGGAAGGAAGGAAGGAAGGAGAGAGAGAGAAAGAAAGAAGGAAGGAAGGAAGGAAGGAAAGAAAAAGAGAAAGAGAAAGAAAGAAAAAGAGAAGGAAGGAAGGAAGGAAAAGGGAAGGAAAAGGAAGGGAAGGGAAGGGAAGCCAAGCCAGTAGGAAATGGGCACAAGATATAAAGAGACATTTCACCAAAGAGGATACACAGATGGCAAAAAAGATACTCAACACCACTAGCCATTAGGGAAATAGATGCAAGTTAGGACTACAAGATTATCACTATACAACTATCAGAACAGCTAAAATAAAAAAATAATGATAATTCTAAATGCTGGTGAGAGTAGAGAGAAATCAGATCACTCATACACTGTCAGTAGAAAGCAAAATGATACAAGCACTCTGAAAAACAGTTTGGTAGTTTCTTTAAAAATAAAACACCCATTCACCACACGACCAAGCAATTGTACTACTGGGCACTTATCCCAGAGAAATGAAAACTAATGTCCATTCAAAAGCGTGTGCACAATTGTTCATAGCAGCTTTATTTGTTTTGGGGTTGTTTTGTTTTGTTTTTTGTTTTTTGTTTGAGACAGGGTCTCATTCTGTTACCCAGGCTGGAGTGCAGTGGCACAATCTTGGCTCACTACAGACTCGACCTCCTGGGCTCAAGTGTCCCACCTCAGCCTCCCAAGTAGCTGGGACCACAGGTGTGCACCACCACACCTGGCTTATTCTTGTCTTTTTTGTAGAGACAAGGTTTTGCCATATTGCCCAGGCTGGTCTCGAACTCCTGGGCTCAAGGGATCCACCTACCTCCACCTCTCAAAGTGCTGGGACTACAAGCGTGAGCCACCACACCTGGCCAGCAGCTTTATTTCAAAAGCCTGGAACCAGAAACAACCAAGATGCCTCTTAATATGTAAACGGTTAAACAAACTGTGGTGCATCCATACCACAGAATACTGCTCAGCAACAAAAATAATGAACGATTTGCAACAACTTAGATGGAACTAAGGGCACTATGCTAGTGGGAAAAAAAAAGAAGAAGATCTAAAAAAAAAAAAAGCAGATTCACATACCATATGATTTCATTTATATAGCATTCATGAAATGACAAAATTACAAAGATGGAAAACAGATTGGTAGTTGCCAGGGATAGGGATGGTGTGAAAGGAGGGGGTGTAACTATAAAGAGATAGCCCAACGAAGATCTCTGTAGTGATGGAGCTCTTCTGTGTCTTGATTGTGGTAGTAGTTACATGAATGTATACATGACAAAATTATATGTAACTACATCGCACCAATGTCACACATCATACGATGTCACACATCGTACCAATGTCAGTTTCCTGGTTTTGATATTACACTCTAATTATATAAGATATAACCATTGGGGAAATGGACTGAAGGATACATGAGACCTTTCTGTACTATCTCTCACAACTTCCTACAAATCTATAATCTTTTTAAAATAAAAAGTTTCTCAAAATTAAAAAGGCTGTATTATGCCAGTTTGTAGTGCTGCAGGATTACTCCAGAATGACTGCCATACTGTCTCCCCTTCTTTGGGTCCTCAATCTGCACTTGGATCTGGCTTGCTAATTGTCTTGGAAACTGCAGTTCAGTCATGAATGTTTACACTTTGTTATTCTCATGTTCATTCGTTTCAGGAGAGCCTGGCAGCCACATCTCGTGGATTTAACAGAGGTAAATCACCAGCTTCAACTTCATTTAGAAGCATGCCTTCAGAAAGATGGAAAAATCTTTCTACTCTTCTAAAGTTCTAATGTTGGTGGGAAATGGTTACTGATGCAGTAAGTTTGAGTTATTATGTAAGAACTAGGAAGCCGCAGCCCAATATAGGAAGGAAATGTGGTGTGGTACTGAAAACATTTGCTTGAGGGCCGAAGGCCTAAGTTAACTGTTTGTGCCACCTTGGCCAAATCACTTGTCCTCAGTTGCCTCACCTGTTAAATGTGGAGGTTTAAATAGGTAATTTGTGATGTGTCTGCCTGCTAAAAGATACTACTATTCTCAAAGTACTATCAAAGAAAAAAGAGCTCCTTTTCTGAGGAAAACCTTACTACCTTGAAACCTTGAAAGGCAAAGAACCAGTTATAGAATCTATCCTACGTTTAACCATCACCCCCTGTCACCAATATTTTAAGGTAAATTATGATAACCAGTTTGAACAAGTCTCAAATGAAAGGAAAACTTTTCAGGAAGTATTGTAGAAAGAAAGTGACAAGCCTTTCCAAGGCACCATGCCAACTGCATCTTCAGTTTAAATGATCCTTTGCTCAAGACAAAGTTGTTCTTTTGGAGGGAAAAAAAAATGTGTTCTGCTATTTAGACTTATCTTCCCTATTCATTTGATTCATTCATAGTTTCACTCTGCTGACAGCTCAGGGCAACTTGGAAAAGGGCTGTACTGGCACTGGCAACAATTAAAGCAAAGACATTTCCTGTGCCTGAGTCCTTTGGGTTCACTCCTGCTGTGGCAGTGAAAGAATTTTTTAAAGAAACTTTTTCAATCAAGGAAGGAAGCAAAACATCCTAGGCCTATGAATGAGCTGAGGACATTTCTCCAAAGGAATCAATGAAAGACAAGAAGGGGTCATTTGGCCTCAAATGGACATTTTAGAAAAAAAAACAGAATCTTCAGCAAACTACTTTTGAGTTTTTGTTTTATTTTGCATTTATTTCCTCTCTGTTTTGTTTGAGACTATTTGGAGAAGGTCTGGCAACTTTTTTCACTGACTAATTTATCTAGTTTTTTATGACCTAAACTAATTTAGAATAAAAGAATATGAGAGCTGGTAGGAAATGTAGAGATTATCCACACTGACTCTTCATTCCACTGCTCAGTAACTTGAAGCCCCAAACATTAAACGAAGTGTCCAAAAGTCAAAGAGCTAGTAAAAGGCACAGCTAGGCTAGAACTCCACCTCTTGAGTGTTTTCTCTGCTCTATCATGGGATCACCCTCATCTCTCTCAGGATGAAAAAAAATTCTACAGAGCCTGATAATCAGAACTTCTAACTCCTCTAAAGATACTAACTGCATTTGGGAACTGCACTTCTGACAACTGAATTACTTAGGAATGTTGTGTTTAGTGACCCCCACTGCTTGTCAAACTATTTGTTTTATTTCTTCATGTTTAATTCTATCTGAATGAACTCAGTACCTAGTTTATACCATTTTTAATGGGAAATCTCATATGGCACATACAGTTGGCCACTGAACAACACAGGTTTGAACTGCATGGGTCCACTTACATGCAAATTTTCTTCTTCCTCTGTCACCCCTGAGACAGCAAGACCATCCGCTCTTCTTCTTCCTCCTCCTCAGCCTACTCAATGTCAAGATGACGACAGTGAAAACCTTTGTGATGATCCACTTCCACTTAATCAGTAGTAAATATATTCTTTCTTCATTACGATTCTCTTAATGACATTTTAATAACATTTTATTTTCTCTAACTTTATTATATGAATACAGTATATAATACACATATAAAATGTGTTCATTAACTGTTTATGCTATTGGTCAACAGTAGGCTATTAGTAGTTAAGTTCTGAGGAGTCAACAGTTACACACAGATTTGACGGTGTTAGGTCAGTGCCCCTAACTCCCATGTTGTTCAAGTTTCAACTGTATTTACTTTAAGTTTATATGTCAGTCATTAGGCTAAGCACTTTATATTGATTATCTCATTTAATCATCACAACAGTTCCATGAGTCAGACAGTATTACCACCATTTTTCAGATAAAGAAACTGAGACTTAAAGAAGTTAGTTAACTGGTTCAAGGGCATGCATCTGAACCAGGTCAATCTGATTCCAGCATGCAACGCTTGACACATATGCTTCTCAGAGCTACTTCTCAACTACTTATCTATGCTTTCAAAACTTTATGCCAATTTTTTGTTTTGTAAAAAAAAAAAAAAAAGAATTCTAGAATCCTCAGTCTAATATTCAGTTTAAGGAGCAAGTCGGCTTTACCCAAAACCACCCTACTATCAGTAATACAAACACTATGCATTACCTTGTGAGGAAACGTATCAAGAACAATGTCATGAGACTGACCTTTTCCAAACTTTAACTAGCTTTTGGCCCTGGGGACTGAAACCAACTATGAACCAAACTACAGGAGCTCAATAGAGACATCCAGTCTTTTTACATTTCTCCCACTGCAAGAATTAGGGTGGTCGGGAATGGTCTCCTCATAACTAAGCAAGCAATATTATGCTTCTTCTGAATTCCTGCCCCAATTATTTTTAAGTTCTGCTTTTAATGATTTAAAAGTACTTGCATATGAACTGGTTTCATGCTCCCCCACAGTGAAGAAGAGGGGCATGTATATCTTTATCTGATCCACTATATATGTAGAGACAGACTAGTGCAGTGAGCCAGCCATTTACCTGCTGAATGCCCTTGGGTGCATTACTCACTTCTCTACATTTCATCTATAAAATGGAGTTAATAATTATATCTACCTCATAGGGTTGTTATGAGGCTTAACTAAGCTATTTCTTATCAAGCATTCAGAACAAAACTCAGTGAGCATTACCTATTCTTATTGTAGTGATGGTAGACGTGGCAGTTATTATTATGAGAACAATCACAAAATTGGAGTGACATCTTTCACATAATTTATTCTGGTATTTAATGACTGTCAAAAAGAACCATTCTAAATTAACCATTCTAAACTAAAATTATTATTTTGGCTGCATTTCCCAAAATTAAATTTGTTCAAATCAATTTGTGACATTGCTATATCTAGTACTTAATTCACCTTAGTAGGTTCCTCAGAGACCCCATAAAATAAAATCCACTGAAATATTTTTAAGGTTTTCTTGTAGTTGTGAAAAATCATCAGGAACAGCATCTTTGAACACTTTTCATGTCAAAGTCATATCCTTCATGCGTTATGATGTGGAACTGTGCACATAAAGCTCGACCACATGCCGAGGCTGACCCAACTGCCTTTTTAGGAAAATTCAAACTTGTCTCTAGGTCCTCCTGCAGTCATCTCAGTGCTGAGGCAAGATGGTCTTTCTTCCAAACAAGAGTCCAGATCCATTTTTTCAAGAGATTAACAACTTTACCACTTGCTTAACATGACGCCCTCTAGTACAATGGTAAAGCACATGCTAATTAGAGCCAGGAAGATCTGTGTCTGAATCCCGCCACTGAGAACCTGTATGTCTTTCAGTCATTTAACCTCCATGAGCCTCACTTTCCTTATCTACAAAATGGAAATAAGTACCTTCCTTATTGGGCTTCTGGGAAGACTAAAGAAGGTAGTGTATAAAGTGCTTAATATTCAATAACAACAACACATAGCCACAGTTAACACTCTGGGGAAACACTCTCAAGCAGCACCACTACATGAGCTTTTCTACAACTCACCTCCTACTGAAGCCTAGATGAGAGAAATGATGTTTACAGAAGACCAACCTATAATCTGGGTCCTGTAAAACATATCCTTGGATAAAGTAGAAACACTAGAAGATTATATATACTTGCATTTAGTTAATTTATGTCTCTAACACATTATAGGCAGCATGAATAGAATGGTGAGGACACAGGCTGTAGAATCAGACAAGGTCTGGATCTCAATTGCTGGCTTACTCCTTACTAGCTACGTGACCTTGAAGAAATAGTTTAAATTATTTGAGGATGAGTTTCCTTATCATTAAATGGTCACAATGATACCTTTAAAAGATAGTTGTGATCATTAAATGTTCATGAGGGTTAAATAAAATAAAATATGCAGAATAAAATAAAATATGCACTAGTAGAGTGCCAGACACATAATAGGCACCCAGCAAATGTTAGCCCCCTTGCAATGCATTTTTATGTTATTGAGTAGCTACAAATTTTTGTTGAGAGCATTATCTTCATTTATTCTTATTGCTCCTTATCTATGGCCTCAAGCAAAACAATTATTTTGAATACAATCCTAGTAAAATCTCCACTTCTCTGTAGCATGTTTTTCCTTTTCTAATAAGAAATATGTAACTGATTGTGCCTCTTTTTATCTTGGCTGCCAGGAAGCTCAAAGACAAATTAAATTCAACTGTAGGAACAATATTAATCCTAGTGGTTCTGGATATTGTGTGTTCTCCCTGGTTTGGTTTCTATTTCCACCCATATTTTATTATTTCAAGACCCCTCAAATCTTTTGTAGAATGTGAGAAGCTATTAACTAGCCAACACATTAATTCATTTCTGGGAGAAGATATCACTGTAGGTACTGTAAAAAGAGCACCAGATTTGGAATGTTCAAGTCCTAACTACTTCTCATACTTGTCCCCTCTCTGGAGGTAATTCATTTCACCTTTCAGATCTATATTTTCTCATGTAAAGCAGAAATAATAACCTCTAAATATCCCTCAGAATCATTTATGTATACAAGTATGCTTTGTAACCTGTCAAGCACTATGTAAAGGTCAGGTATTATTATTTTTATAATCAGAGAAGTGAACATTTAAACAAGTGAAGGTGTCCACATAGACATAATCTATGGTGCAGCACTGAGGACCCCTGCAGGCAAACGTGAAAGATGTGTAGTGGTGGGCACCCACAGCAGCCACCATGCTTACCTAGGCTGTCCAAAAAGCTATAGCAGGGATCCCTGGAAGAGAAGAGGCAGGATGGAAATAAATGTAAACACTTCAAGGGGCAATCCAAATTCAGTAAGTATCTCAAGCTAATTTGTTCTTTTGCTTTTAATCTAACTGATTTGCTTAGAAGACAGTGCAGATGAGACCATGGTTTGTTCCCCAATGAGCCTATGAGCTCCACCCCTCACTCTCACCAGGTCCATGCAAGGAAAGGTTGAGGGGAGCAAGGGGGCTTATAATGTGGGAACCCAACATCTATCCTTAATCCCCTACTAAGGACAGTGGATACATCACATAACTGGTACATCCAAAAGTATTCATATACTAATAATGTGAGTCAGAGTAGGGGATGTTTTTAAGTTCAGTTTGGGTTAGAACCAAGTAGCTCTTAATAATAAGGAGTGTGTTTCTACATTTTTAAGTAATTTGCTGATTTATTCCAGGAGGTCAAATGTTCTCACAGAATCCCCAAGTCTTTTATTCCAAAACCCATCCCCTTCACTAACAACTTAATGTAGCAGCCACTTGCCATAGAGAAGAGAAAGAAGGAAATTCCTAGTATTTTGGAAAAATAACAAGGTAGAAGCTGGAGTTAAAAGTCACAGGTTCTGCCGGGCACGGTGGCTCATGCCTGTAATCCCAGCACTTTGGGAGGCCGAGGCGGGCGGATCACCTGAGGTCAGGAGTTCGAGACCAGC
Source organism: Homo sapiens (assembly GCF_000001405.40). NCBI lineage: Eukaryota > Metazoa > Chordata > Mammalia > Primates > Hominidae > Homo > Homo sapiens. Next base: position 71,270,300 of record NC_000004.12, on the reverse strand, counting down.
CTGGCCAACATGGTGAAACCCCGCCCCTACTAAAAATACAAAAAAATTAGCCAGGCATGGTGGCAGGTGCCTGTAATCCCAGTTACTCGGGAGGCTGAGGCAAGAGAATCGCTTGAACCCAGGAGGCAGAGGTTGCAGTGAGCCGAGATTGCGCCATTGCACTCTTGCCTGGGGGACAAGAGCGAGACTTCATCTCAAAAACAACCAAAGGTCATAGGTTCAAGTCCCAGCTCTTCTCCTTGCTAATGTGTGAATGTGATTAAGTTACTTAATGATAATAACTAATATACACTAAGCTGTATTATTTGCCAGTGCCCTTTGAAAGCTTTATACTCAGGTAACCTTCACAGCCACCTGGTGAGGTATATTTCTTTATCATCTTACCTCACAGATCACGAGAATGGAGACTTAGAGCAGTCAAATTACTTGCCCACCATCAAAAAGCTCGTAAGTAAAGTATACTGGGATCTAAACACAAACTACGATTCCAAACCTATGGTCTTAACCACTGTATAATAGTTTTTTAACAAATTTTGCTTTCTTCATTTGTAAAATATGGGAAAAATAACACTGGCATTATATTTCTCACAAGGTTCTTACGAGGATTAAACATAATCATGGACATGACAGCCTTTATTAAGTCTATAGTACATGACAAATGTTATGTGTTCCCACTTAAGTCCATGCACATTTCCTAACACCAACTACTTGCTAGGCAAAGACACGCAATGCAATATGCCAAAAAGAAGTTACTTCTACATGTTCTGAACTCAGAAAAGAAAAACAAAAAAAAATTTTTAAAGACATCTGTGAAAATGAGTGACTGCTGTAATAAGAGCAGCCATGGCCAAGCTGATGAGCAACGGGAAAAGCCCGTTCAGAATCTGCCCACACCCTTCAGAAAGACACAACTGTCACCTAAACTGCTGGAATTTCAAATACGGTAAAAGCTATTATACTGCTACGATCATCCATTTCCAAGGCAACACACTTTCAAAGGAGTTTTCTCTAGAATTCAGTTGACTTTAGACCAATCAAGTGGAAAACAACTATTCATAGCTGTAATTTTCTAATTTTGAATATACCCAGCTTTGGAGAAATGAATAATGGAATCCTCCAAGATTTGACTGCACCCTATCAAAGGCTCCTCATTTTTAGCCCAACAACTCCACTATGTCAGCTTCACCATATAGTTAGTATAGAGGGTCAGACCAGAAGTCCAAAGACCTTGTTCTAATTCTGACTCCCAACACAGCATGTGTGACCCCAGGCAAATTGTTTAGCCTGTGGGAACCTCTGATTTGCATTTCTAAAACAGGAATAATGTTTGTTCTGATTGCATCAAGGGCTATGGAACAGTTAGGGTTCTGTGTATGAAAGCTTCTATATGTTATACAGCACTACACAAAAATAAAACATTTTGCAACATATAGTTAACGCGGCTTAGTCAGTTCCCTGAATGCCCTCTGAACTATGCACAAAGACCCAGAGAAAACTTTCAACACCATCCAAAATAACTTTGATGGAAAACTGCAACTTGCAGCAAAGGAGAAAAAAGCAAAGTGTGAAAACATAAAAAGTGCTCTGAGAAACATTTTATTACAGTCATTGAGGCCCTCCTGAGACCTTTTCTGATTTATTTTTAAAGAAAATACATTTCCTGATCACAGACTTCAAAAGTACAATGAACAAAAATACTCTGTTGTACTTAGTAATAAAGGTTTCAAAATTCCTCTGGCTAAAGAAAATCTCCCTTTGCATCAGAAATGTCTCCTCTTGTCCTAACTATGACAAAATAAGCTAACAAACCAAAACCAAAGTATAAATCGCCATAAACACTTCCATGCTCTGGTGACATATGTAAAGTCATTTTGGATGGACGACATTGAGGGAGCAGAAGCAGGGCTGAGGTTTTGTGTCCTCTTGACCTCGTCATCTGATCTCTTCCTTACATCACGTGAGTCACAGAAAGAAAAGGCCTGGGTATGATTTACAGCCAATGTTACTGAAATATTCACCCAGAATGAATTGCCCCTCCAACCTTCTATACTTCTAAAATTGTAGAATTGGTATCCTTAAGGGATTATCTTGGCTGCCAGTGGAGTAGTACATGAAAATAGACAAAATCATAGAGCCACTTGAGAAGATAAGAATGCACCTCACGTGTCAATGCCAAAAGCTTTTGCTGAGATTCACTAGTGGCAAAAAAAAAAAAAAAAAAAAAACACTACTTTATTTGGCACACTGATATCATAGGAATAAATATTTGCAGAAAAGGTTATAAGATGTAAGCAGAAGTTGGGAGTGGTTCTGCAGATAAACAATGTTGAGAAAAAACACAGAATCATAACCATAAAGCTCCATTTAAACTCAGGTTAAAAATCAGTACTTCAACTTACTGTATGCCTTATATATAGATGTGCTTTTATCATGGCATTTAATACACATAATTATTCATCTGAAATTGGTACGTTTCGTTTTCTTTTTTTTTTTTTTTTTTTTTTTTTTTGGCAGACTCTCACTCTGTCATCCAGGCTGGAGTGCAGTGCCATGATCTCGGCTCACTGCAACCTCTGCCTCACAGGTTCAAACAATTCTCGTACCTCAGCCTCCTGAGTAGCTAGGACTACAGGCACACACTGCCACACCCAGCTAATTTTCATATTTTTAGTAGAGATGGGGTTTCACCAAGTTGGCCAGGCTGGTCTCAAACTTTGACCTCGGGTGATCCACCCACCTTGGCCATTTCCTCAAATATTAGTCAAAGATAATGAAATTATTTTTTAGATGGAACTCTCCTCAATGAGGCCTCACATACTTGGTCAGTGTTGATGGCCTGCCTTAGATAACCACTCTTGTACTCATCATGCTTTCTCCTGGCCCAGAGCCTTGTTTTGTGCTCTTCTTGTGACCTGCAGTATTTTTTTCACTTACAGCCTTCACCAAAATTTTTTTTTCTCATCCTTCAGATCTCAACTCAAGCATAACTTTCTCAGAGAAGCCTTTCCTAACCTCCCTACCTTGATCAGAACCTACCTTTTATCAAATCTCACAGCACCATGGGCCACACTCCAACAGTACATACCAAAGGTAGAACTTAACATTTTTTTGTATGGGTATTTGATTAGTTAGTGTCTCTCCAAACTGACTACAAGCTCCCCAAGGGTAGAAAGTCTTTAATTTTGTTCACTATCATCACCCCAACATCTAGCACAGTACTTGGTACATGGTGTAGACCTTCAATAAATATTTTTGATGAAGAAATGGATGGATGAATGAGGCATCTCATCCTTCCTGATACTGATACTGATGTAGTTAGTAATTACCACATTCTCTTAAATTTATCTGATTTGTGTTATTTCCCCCACCAAAATGTCAGTTTTCATGAAATTTTCATTTCTATAGCCCCAGTGCCCAGGACTATGCCTAAAAAGTACTCCATAAATATTTCTTAGATTGGATTAAAGTGAGCTGAATTGAAATGAATTGACTTGCACTGCACTGAATTGAAGTCTCAGGGATCTTGCTGTATCTCTTTCCTCATCCTGTTACAGTGGCTAGCCAGGCGCCTGCCCCAGGACCATGAAGGATGATGACAAGCTTACAAGCTTACAGTTCATACAAATAGATCGTATCTCAATGAGATCATGCATTCATTTGGCTTTCTGGCCAGAAAAAAAAGAGTCGAAAAGCAGTTACATTAGCTTATTTCCTCTCGGGGAACCATGGAGAAAAGAGTAAAAGTCCCTACTTACCAAACAAAGTGCTGAGAAAATATTTTTCCATTTAAGAAGATGACAAATTAGTGAAAGTGACAAAAATAAATAAAAACTTACCACATACTCAAAAAGCTGCACAATTGCCTAAAAGCCAAACTGTAATTGTCAATGTGCTGGCATTTGGCACAGAGTTCAGGATTTCAAGGAAGCAAGCCACTCTTTTATGAACACTAACAGAAATGTCACAAGCAACTTTTGATTAAACTATGATTGTCACAGTATATAGGAATGAACTAACATATGGTATTTTTAAAATAAACTACTAACCACATCCAGTGGTTTCACAATTAAAGAATGGTTCATTGCTTACAAAAATTCCCCTAGACCCAGCTGTCTTCCAAAAAAGTCCCACTGCCTGACTCTGAATTTCCTCTGTCATCAGGCAGACTACCAAGAGGACAGCCTTGGATTTGGTGTGGACGCTCAGGGTAGCATCTTTGTTAAAGCTGGACCTTAGTCCAGCTTTATCTTGTGGCTGAACAAAGACTTGAGGTCACCTCCTATAAAAAGTATAAACTGAATTTTATACTTTTTAAATTATAGAATTGAAAGTTATATTAAATAATCTGCTAGAAGACTAGGGTATGTTTAAAAAGAAATTTTAGAAAGCTAAAGATATTTATCATATGGTATGCTGGTAATTTTAAAAATCAGGTATTAGGAAAAGGACTAGCATAACTATAAGACAAGGCCCAAGTTTCTTATAGGAGGAACATCTGGTAGAGATGAGTCTAAAACCAACACAAAGAGGTAATGATAACATAAGAATAAAGGGAAAATCGTTAGAGAATCACTATGATCATTTGAAAATCATGGTGAAAAAACTATCCCTAGGAAACTAAAGATAAGGCAGGTAGAGGCCACTTGAAACCGGTTTGAGGATTGGATGTAGAGAGCTGGTCCTATTAAGTTATAGAGAGCTCTATTTTGAGGAGGTAAGATGTTAGCCCTTGCCATTCACCCAGTGATTTTTCTTTAATCTCATTGTCTTTCTTGATGGCATTCTTCTACTTCCTCTGCTTCTTTCTCAGAATAAATCATCTCCTCTCTCTCCTTTTACTTTCAGTGTTATCCCTGCACTTCCCCCTCTATTCCCTGTGACTGGCCAAAATACAGAAATCAATGACATTTTTAAAACTCAATTGTTATTTAAAAATAAATATAGTCTCCAGGTTGTTTTTTCTTCTTATACATTGCCCTGATTGATTTCTTTTTCATCTGAACTTGTATGAGCCTTTTACAAAATCAAAGGTTCCCCACTCGCACTCAGTCACTAAAGACAGCACCTTCTCTCCATCTGCCAGAAGAGGAAAGCATCTTGGCCACTTCTTCCTATACACAAAAATGTACAAAGAACATCCTCAAATTTATCCTATTGTATTAACTGCTTAGATGTTTTTACTAATGTCAGAAAGAATCATAAAATAATAGGATAAAAGAGGTTTAAGGAAAATATAGCATAGACAGATTTCCAAAGTCAGTTTCACGAAGAGCAAAAAATCTATAAACCTTCCAAGTGTGGTTGGAGCATGCAAACAATAGCTCACAAAACTTTCCGCCACACTTTTTGAAAACTTTGGTTAGCATTTGATCTAACTGAAATGGCCACTGGAATGCCAGCTACCTATCTTCAGTCTTTCTTAACCAGCGTATCTTTTGCTCAAAACCTATATTTAGGAATCAGAGGACCAAGGAAGAGTATTAGCTGTGTCTGTGTGTGGACATCAATAAAAAATAATCTAAAATCCTTTTGAAGCGTTTTTGCCCATCTGCTTGGTTGTTGTTGTTTGTGGCATTCAGCAGTGTCACAAGAAGTAACAAAGTACAATTAGACAAATAATTGACTTAGGATTTTATAGTTGCTCATGCATGTGTTCTGGATACTGGGTGAATCTGCAGTAAATTTCTAGTTATAGAAACTGCTATTTCCATACCTTGGTAACAGAAATTGCCCTATTTTCTGAGGAAAACAGCTTCAGCTTTGAACGAACACAGCTAGCTAGACAGCCCACATGTTTATTAAACATTTGCATCCAGAAGTCATATTTTCCATTACACTTAAATTATTCCTACACAAAGCCTCATAAATGAAGTAGAATCAGTTAAATATAATTGGTTTATCTTGTGGTCTTTGTGGTAAAATTTTGATAAATGACAAAAGATAATGTTGATACAAAGTGTTTAATAACAATACCATCACCATCAGGAGTAGTTTCTAAAGTAAGGATATCATGTGCAATGTGTTTTTTTAAATAATAGAATTCTGCTAATTGGCAAATAGCAAAAGAATAGAACATTCCAGTTATGCTCTTGTTTCAGAATCAGTAAATCATAATCCTGACAAGGGTGCTAAAGTCATCTTATTTCATCTCTGAAAGCAACATGGACCTTAATCTGTATATCTATCCCAGATACACATATAGTACCAACTCTTAAAGTTCTCCATGTAAAAAAAACTCCGCAAACAGCCTCAGTGACACATTCAGTAATTAACAAATATCACTGCCATAAGTAACCTCTTTTATGCTCTATCCTCACTCAACACAGTGGAATATGAACCCTAAATAAATAATCATAAGCAAAGGCAGGCTTATTCCAACTCAGAAAGCTATACAGTTCTTTAAAGAAATGCTGTCTTATAATATTTTGCATTCCAACACTTACCTTCATGTTTTCAGGCATTTTAATATTGTAATATATTTCCCATAAGAAAAAAAAATACACAGGTAGCACTTTCATCTCTGTTTTAAAAACATGCACAATTTCTATTTTAATTATGTACAAATTAGTTATTGCAAATTGTAGAACTACAGCATAAAAAAAAGACTTTTCCTGGTATTCTCTCTTTTCATTGCACCATGATTCAACTCACTCTAGTGGACAGTTCTTTGGTTATTTATATTTTAATCACTTTTCAGTAAGGATTTAGGTTAAAGGGACAGCATTTTCTTAACCAAGATAGTTGTAAATTTTCTTGGATAGACCAGATTATTTTAACCTAATGGGTAATTTCTGGGCATTTTATTTACCTATCCACTCAACAAATATGCTATTGCAGAACATGATTCAAAAGAAGCATGCAATATTGCCTCTGCCTTTGAGTCTCTAATGATAATACTGAAGAGATGACATACATCTGAATGACAGAGGTAAGTCACCATTTGAAGCATTACATATCTAAGTATCAGATTGTGTGATGTAGATAATACTTGCTGCAAGAGTTCAAAAACTGGGGAAGTTATTATGAGTTCATAAAAATGAACTTAAGGTGGCCTTGCTGAGACACAGTACATCTATAATTTTCATTAAACTACATAAAATATTGAAAGTAGCAGAGGAAACTTTGTTACATTGTTGCTTTACTCATTACTTTAAGTAATGATGAGCAATAGAAGGATTGTTTGTTTGCACCGCATGTTCTCACTCATAGGTGGGAATTGAACAACGAGAACACATGGACACATGAAGGGGAACATCACACACCGGGGCCTGTTGTGGAGTGGGGGGAGGGGGGAGGGATAGCATTAGGAGATATAGCTAATGTTAAATGATGAGTTAATGGGTGCAGCACACCAACATGGCAAATGTATACATATGTAACTAACCTACACGTTGTTCACATGTACACTAGAACTTAAAGTATAACAAAAAAAAAAGAATTGTTGGCTAGATACACAAAACAAGGTCATTTTTCTATTCCCAAAGAAATGACACCCGGGGGGAAAGGGGAATAAATACTGTTTGCTAGAAAAAAAAAAAGGATTGTTTGTTTGTTTGTTATTTAATTAAGGAGAGACTATAGAACTAATATTTTAGATGTCTGGCAGCCTTGTCTGAAATAACTCCCTTCTATTTCAAGGATGAACTTAACGCTGAAATTCCAAATAAGAAGTATTGCCTTAGGAATTCAAAGGAAGTGGCAGACATAAGAGAAACTTTGAAGGAAAAACCAACAGCGCTCAGTGCATGGCTGGCTATGGAAGAAAAACAACAGAGAAGGATAAAGGATAACTTGGATCTTGATTCTATATTAACCAGGAAAATGGAGACTCCTTGCTCGCAACACCTCTATAAAAGTGATGAAAAGTCAAGTAAGACTCCTATCCATGGGAAAGTTATTAAAAGAGCCTAACATTCCTGCCTCCAGATTGTGGTCATGGAAGAATTCCGCAGAATTTATTTATAGAGTAGGCCCGTGGTCCCTCACCCCAACTACTTCTGCATTTATGAGTTCACACTCATAAAGCCCTGAATTTAAATCCCTGGTATTAAGAACCCTTGTTCTTTAAGAATTATTTCCTTCTATATGAAAAAATTCCTAAACAGAATACTATTTCAAGAAGACCCTTGCCAATACCTTTCTTTTTTTCAGTGCATTCAAATCACACACACTCACACAAACTCACAAATACACATTCAAGCTTCCTGCCTTGTAAATTTGAATCCCAAACCACAGGATGTGACCTGCCTTCCGCTTAGGTGGTAATGCCTGTGGCAGACAGTCATTTATACCCCATTTACTTCACTAAAGTAAATTTCACACTGAAATTCTGCACAGTATTCTGGTTTCCCCCCATTTTCCACCCTAAGTCACAATCTCTTTTTAGCCCTGAGCACCCCAGCACGTGGAGTACACTAGAACCCTTTGAGGTCTCCTGAACTCATAAGTCACTATAAATAGCAACAACATCAACTCTCCCATGACACGTGTAAACACACTACTCATAACATCTCATGGCATGATAACATGGAATAACTATTAGAATAGAATAGCCAGTGGCAACAAGAAATGAATAGTGTAAAATCTGCCATTTGAAGGGCACTTCAAGGTGACTTCAAGAGAGCTGCATTTCAGAAACTCAAGGCTCTCTAAGAGACTTATGCAGTTAACTGGCTAAAGAAGCAGAAGCACTATGACACAGTCCTCTTGTATTCATCAGCATCACAGAGGAATAAACAACAATTATTTGTACCACACAAAACACAACATTGTTGAGCCAACCCATTGCCATCAAAAACACAAGTATGCCAAATATTTTTCCTTTCTGCACAACACTGCCTCCAAATTGCTGACTTGTCCCACCCAACAGCCCTTCTTAACCAGATTAATTTCACAAAGAAACACAAAGAAAGAGCCAGAAAGAGATCCTTCCTGTAAAAGACAGAACAGTCTATTTGATTTCAGGCATCCAGAACGGGGAATTACAACTGCCGACTAAATTCAAGGACACCCTTGGTACACCAAGCCACTTGCTGGTGGCAGTATTCCACAAAAAAGAGCAGCACAAGAGACAGCACCTCTGCCCCTTGAAGTCCTTGTTCCCTTGGTCCTCTCACCTGCCAGCCAACGTGCAGACTGACACTCACTGGCAAGATAAGAGACTGAATTTAGGTTGCTTCTCTCAAATATGCCGTTAGGAGCCAAGAGCCAAGCCGACAGCTAAAGCAAAAGAACGCCTAGTGAGAATTTGTGGCAGAAAAGACCAGAAGAGCTTAAAGAATAGTGGTTATTGTTTACAAGGAATTAAGCTCTACAGAGTTTTAGCCTCAAGTTTTTGGCATTACCTGTGTATGATGGATAGGAAAAGATAAGCTTGAAGAAGGCAATCATAGTAACTCAAAATAATAACTGCTAACCATTATTGCTGACTACATGCAGTGCTCACTTCATGTTCAGAATACTATGATTAAAATCGATCATCCCCTTTTTACATATGAGGAAACTAGAGCACAAAGAAGTTAAGTAAATAACCAAGGTTACACTGCTGGTATGAACTGGGATTCAAACTCAAGTAATCTGGCTCAAATATGCACTCTTAACCACTCTGATATGCTCCCTTTCCAGCAAAATTACAACACAAGTGTCCCTTCTGAAAAGGCAAACTGTAAGTTTTAAAACATTTTTTAATATAAAAAGCTTTTGTACTCAGACCTAAAGACAAAGTACTTCCTCCTACTTATATAAGGTGAAAAATAGAGAAGGGGATGAAAGAGATGGTATAGTTTTATTGTGTTTGTGTTTTGTTTTTTAAACTGGGACAGGTCTACCTCATTTTCATACATTTCCAAAGCCTTTTCTCCTATATATAGATCGATTTTTGAGAATACCAATGGCATGTAGAAAATTAAAGAAACCTTATTTTATGGTATCAAAATTAAGGATCTTGCCTGAAAACATTTTAAAAATCAAGAAAAAGTACAAATGTACCAAGAAGTATGAGGTCAGGTTGGGAGGGGTGTGCACTGGGAAAAGGGGAAGTCAAATGACACAACACCAAATATTCTTGGCTCTTATGAAAAGCTACTCTGTTCATTTACCCGGAAGCACCAAACAAAAGCAGCTGCCCATTTCTCTGTTTCAGTTTCCTGAATATAACTGGATCACCAACCAGCATCCATTGTCCCAGGCTCACAGAACAATGTTCACTAGCATAAATCCATCAGTTCTGGTACACATCCAAAAAGCTAAAAAAGAATACCACAAGACTGAATGAGTGTCTGTATGGACATACCTAGCGCTATGATTCCACAACGGGCAAGACCTGTGTGTGAGAGGCAGTTAGCACCTCCAAGCATGAATGCATGTTCATGCTTGTCAAGAAATATCTTACACATCAGATCAAAATGCTGAACACGATGTTCTGTTTGTAGCTTTGTTTCCTACCATCTTACACATCTTCAGGATCTCTACAGTCACAAAGTAGCCTGTGATGCCCCCATAAGTATCCCTGGACACTAACAAAATGGGAGGCACAGAGGCCAAAACCATGTAGGCTGGGAAGGTATGCTGTGTTTCCAAAGCCTATCTCAGCCAGGACCACCTTCCCACCCACTTTTTGGGCAACCCTCAGAGGATGGCAGCTGCTAACTTAGAAAAAAAAAATGCACAGTGGAGGAGGCAAAAGGATTATTTTTAAGAAAGAGCACAATCTAACTTTTCTCTCAACCACCCACTCCACACCACCTCCTCATTCCCTTGTCTCTCCTGCTTGTTCTTCCATTTCACTTTCCTTCCCCAGCTTCTCTCTCCCCATGGCTCAGTGCACCACGCTCTCACACACGTTTCCTTCTCTGTGTCCCCAGCTGGGACACCAGCTCTGACGCCACACTGGGAATAGCAGCTGTGAAAGGACTTGGAGCTGCTGCTGAGCTCAGAGGGGGATACGAAGCTAGCTCGCTTCCTCCTCAGAGCTCCAAATGTGTAAAAATCAAACACTCATTTATTTTTTAGAAACCCGGTCTTGACACCAAAGCCATGAAGAAAATAGAAAGCGTTAGGTTATAAACTAAATGAACCTGTTAATTATGCCATCTCCTTAATGTGCCTAAATACTGGAAGATATTTCGTTTACTTCTTATAAATGCCCTTTCATGTTTTTGTAGAGACAGGGTCTCACTATATTGCCACGGATGAAGCACAGCAGCTATTCACAGGGGCAATCATAGAGCACTACAGCTTCAAACTCCTGGGCTCTGATGATCCTCCCACCTCAGCCTCTGGAGCACCTGGGACTATAGGCATGTGCCACGGTGCCAGCTCATGTCACCTTAATATGGCTTCTGAAGGGGGGCTGCCTGCTCTGTGGAACAGTGAGCATTTTTAAGTGTATATAAAAAATTAATGTGCCTTGCGGTTCAGTTTCATCCCTCACCTGTGGTTAACAAGCAGCTGCACACACTTGGGAGTTACCTACCCAGACCAAAATCCCACTTTGGCGATAGACAAAATAATGAGGCACTTTCCAAAGTGGGATAATTAAAAGCGAAGACCAGATTTTATGTGCCAAGGGAGAAAGGCAGGGCAGGGAAATATAAATACGATGTTCCAGGCTTAAAAACAAGAAAATCAGCTGGATCTCTATCTAGGATATAAGAAATATTTAGACCAATTAAAGCAATGCTTACGTCTTTCTCTGTAGTAATTCATTCATTCAGTTACTCCTCAATAAACACGTATGAAAAACACACTATGTGCCAGGCATTGTGCGGCGCCAAAGATAACAAAGTGAACAAGACAACCTGATCTTTGCTCTCACGGAGTTTACAATCCAGCAACAGCTCAAGACAAACCTGTAAGCTCTCAAAAATCACATGTTAAAACATATATTCTGAAGGAAACATAAGGCGTTGGGAAAGAATAATGAAGGGGAATCTGCACTAGAGAGAGTAGTAAGGAAAGGACTCTCTGAAGAGGTAAAATTTAAAAGCCAGAACATACAGGAACAGAAAAACTAACCAGGACAAGAATGGGCTGACCATTTCAGGAAGACAAGTTTGCATGAACAAAGGCCCTGAGGCAGAAAAGGTTTTAGCACCAAGGAACTCCAATATCAATGTATCTGGAGTAAAGTGAGCAAGGAGAGAATGGCACATCACAGGACTAGAAAGACACTGGGCCATGATGCCCAATTGAGGTTTTATTCTTAGGACAATGGGAAGTTTTCAGCAGAGGAAGGACATGATCCAATTTACACTTTATGATGATCAATGGTGCCTCTCTATGAAGAAATACTTAAAAAGCAGAGACTGCTGCAGTGTCTATGCAAGAGGTGATGATTCCCTGGACAAAAATGTGACCGCAAAACTGAAAAGAACAGAAAAATTCAGATCTATTTTAAATGTTGAACCAACAGAAATCATTGAAGGATTGCATATGAGGGTGAGAGCAAGGAAAGAATCAAAGATGACTCCCATCAAGTTACTATTTATATGTGGGCTTTTTGGTTTTTGTTTTTCTCAGAAGTATAAGCATCACATCGCGCACTGCCAGACACATGTGGGAACCTTGTCTATGGGACGTGGTATGTCTATGGACATAAGCAACTCAAACACCATAGGTCACAGAACAACAGAAACTGTTATGTGGCTGTTCTTGAGAGACAATAATAGTATAGTAGGCAAGTATTTCATTCAGTTTTCCCACAACAATTTTGTCATCATGTTGGTGCCAGAGCCCTATGGCTTCCCCCAAAATCATGGGGTTAAATGTCTTTCTATATCTAGGTGCAAAAACTCTGACTTTTAAACAGAACTGTACCAAATAATTAACTACCAATCCATCAAAGCAGCTGAGGATATACAGCAATTTCTAAGAGAATCTTCATGTCAAATTGGATAACTCATATCAAATATGCCAAAGGCATATTAGTGTATAACATTGATCAGCAGGAACAAAACGGTAAAATGCATACTTATAAATAATTTTTTTATGATCACTGAACAATTTAGTCCTTAACAACTGTCTCTCCATAGGATCCCTTCAGAAAACCAGTATACAACATAATGCAGTATTCCCCCAGGAAGAAACCTCTGAGGGGAAAGAGAATGGATTGCCTTGTTTATTTTAAATGCTGTATTCAAACTGGTCCCCAAATGCCACAGAATGCAACAGTATTCTATGGTTGATACACATGCGGTCTCAGCATCTTCCTGATCTGTTCATTCCTTATGACCTATCTGAGTGCTGCTGGCACTGTTTCCACTGCCCTTCTCAAAAGCTGATATATAATTTTAATCTCAAAATTCCTGGGCCTATTTGTCTAGGTGAGCACCTCTTTACTTTTTAACATTAATAGTGATGATGCACTCTTGTTCTAATCTGAAGAATGAAAGACAAGTTATAAAAGACACAGAGAGGAGAGAAAGAGAGAGAGTAGACAATCACATGCACAATGGACAGAACACTTGACACTGGCTCAGGCCTTGACAGATGGATACAGAGTAAATCAAGATAAATGGTAGTCATTTATTTGGAAAAGAATGTTATCTTTTGTTCCTCCAGACTATTAACTGTGCCATGTTTATGTGCATTTTAAGGCCTTTTCTCAAAACAGACTCCACTACCTTAATCGATATGTAAAGGATCCCTTTCAGACAGACCTTCCCCCAGTACTTCAGTGAAAAGTACATAACTTGAGTCTCCTGCCTTCTGGTCCTTCTAAGTCTTAAATTTATTTCAATGCTTTTAATTTAGATTTCATGATCCATCTCAAGCTCCCCTCCAAGCTTCTGTCTTTAATTCGATGGTCCACCTGTATTTCTCCTCTTAGCACCGCACTTCTCTAGCTTCCTAAGCCACCTGCTCAGTTCCAACGGTGAGACTATAAAAAATTCACATCACTATGCCTCACACCCTCTTTAATTTAACTCTGTAAATTCACTTTTCAACACCCTTGAGCTGTTCATTCTAATTTGGCCTGTCATCAACTGCAATGACTGAACCCGATCTTTATCTGTGCCATCCATAATGCATTTTATTGCAGGGTCCATATTTCTGCAACTGTAGCAAAGACATGAAGAATGTACAGAGCTCTGCCAACATGAAAAGCTGTCACTGTGTAACTCCTGTTGGGGAATCTTCCAAAATTGGCATGTGTTTCTACTGCACATATTCATTCTCAGTTCAGCCACAATATTTGGCCCATGTAGCCAAATATTCTCCACATTAAAGAAACAAAAAGCAACATAAACATACATCTAAACACACAGCCTATCCTATCACTTGAATTCAAGGGTGTTCTTTGACCTCCTGCTATTCTGCTCTTAGTAACACTTTTATCCAGTGTATGACATCTAATACATTCAACATCTTAACAACTGTGTCACTCTACAGATCTCTCTTACAGGATGATTTTCCACAATTCCTATTTAAATCACTGACCTGACTCATAACCTGGTTTTATGTCACCTGTAATGCTGACATTTGGTAAGATATGTAAATATATAGACATACACTCTCATCTTCACCTGCTGTCTCAACAGAACCTATTTCTAAGCATAAACCATGCAAAAAATTCTTTAAGAGTCTTCCAGTTACTGTTTATTGCTGTAGTTAAATACCATCTGCAATACTACCCTATTACACATAAAAATGTAGAATACACAGCTATGCCTAAACTTAGTCAGGCCTTTTCTGATCAACTCAGAATCTTACCAGATGACCTCCTAGATTAACCTGCTGGTACAAGCAAAGCATCTCCACAGACATTATCCTTTAGAACAGATTCTAAACATCTCAGTATTACAGTGTCCCTCCCCTTTAGCCACAAGATTCAAAAAGGTGTCCTTCTCAAAGATGTGGGAGTGAGGCAGAGAGAGGCACCAACGCTCAGAGAGTACTCACTGAGAGGTTTTAGGATGCTGCTGCTGGATTCATCAGCATTTTCAATATCTGATTTGTCAGAGTAGTTCTCAGAGATTCTCTCCTTTTCCTTCTTTTCTTTGTGCCCTGTCTTTCTCTTGTGACGTCTCCTTCTCCTGTAACTCTTCGGCACATGGACTCCGATGTAAATGGTATGGTGGCCTAAGGAAGGTACACAAATCACCAGTCAGTTCAAACCACATTCTCTACTGCAGACAAATTGCACAAGATACACAGATCAGAAGAAAATGTCTATAAATTCAACGTTACCATTCTATATTTGGCAAACTCTAGAAAAATAAAATTTCCTCCCAATTTTCAATTAGCTTCAGTATAATTCAAGCTAGTGGCTGACACTAGGACTCTGTGAGAGTGTACTCTAATTCTGTCCAGATAGACTACTTTTGTTTAGGAAAACCAAGGAATATCAAACTGGAAATCAGGAATCCTTCATGTTTGTCATACTCTGCCATCAATTAGTTGTCTGACCTTAAGCATGTATCTCTTAACCACTCTGGGCCTCTCATCATTTCTAGAAGGAGAGACTTAAACTGGGTAATCCCTAGAGGGCCCTCCAGTTTCAGCCTTACATGAGTCTATGATTATACTGGGTAGGGTTAGTGCCTGCTGGAAAAGGAGCTGCTGGCGCTGCAAAAATAAAGATTTATCAAAGTTCAAAAAGTCATTTTGCTGGGGGTAAGGCTTTACATTAAAACTTTTTTTTTTTTTTACCTAATCAGCAAAATAGAGACTTAGAACTGGGACAAACTGAGAAAAATAAGACATACTTGGAGAAAAGATTTTAGAAATACTCAAACGTTCACACTAGGAAACAGCTAAAATGAATGTCAGCTACAGTGCCATTCTCATTTTTCTTTTTTCATTTCCAAAAGTTTCTAAAAACTGGTTGTTGCAATGATAAAAATAAACCGAGCCCAGCAAAAATTGCCTTGAAGAGAAGGGCATGAGGAAAAAAGATTGTGAAATGCTTTCAGCTCTCTAGATGGAAGGAGCTGCAAAACTGACAAGTGGTATTATTTTTACAAAATCTAATAAGACAAAAAAGAAAGAAACTCAAAGTTCCACATCATTTTTTAAATTGAAAAACTTCTACTTTCACTTTAAATACAGCATAACTTCTGTATTTTAGGAACTACCATTTGAGAAATAATGTGAACATTTTTGTCTGAACTGCAAATTAGATTAGATTTTCTCATCTATGGGTTTTATTTCCCATTTCCGGAATTATTCCTTGATGACAACTTTGCAATGCCACAGCCAATATCACGTACCTACATGCAAATACATGTACATACAGTATGTATGATACAAACTGTCATGAACTACTTTCCACAGTAACCTACGGGGTATATCTAAAAACACCATAATTGGCAGGGGTGTTTCCTTAAATTGGCAGGCTTCAAAGAATTATATGCTCCTTCAGGAAAGATATTCCAGCTAAGCAATGCAGAACCTAAGTGAATGGGTTAGTATTCAAAAGAAGACATCAGATGCTTGAATGAAGTTGGAGGCATCTTTACATAAAGCAGGACCTCCTTCCCAACACACACGCAGCAACTCAGCTACTACAAAACACAGTGAAATTCTCCCCACAGAATGTGTGCCAGTGAGAAGTGTATCTATCATGTGTAACCATTTGCAAGCAAATGGTTCTCATGGGAAAGCTATATTATACTAGGAAGTAGGAAATGTCTCAGAAACAATGTGAATTAAGAAACAGTGTCAATTGTTTCCTGTGCTCCAGTTACTGAGGGAGTCCTGAAGTTTTATCTCAAGTCTTAACAATGTAAGTGAGCAAAGCCAACCAATTGCTTCAATAAATCAAACACGAAATGCTTGGTTGTTTTCAAGAAAACACACACAAATTAAGAGGTTGAAAAATTTTTTTAAACCTATCACATTAAATATTTTCTATTCACCTTATTAAATATGGCGGCTAAGCAAAAAATGGTAATTAAGCTATATTGCCATATGATGTTATATAGAAAGGTTTTTTAAATTATATTTACCCAAATCTGCATAGTACATTTGATCAAATCATTTAATAGACAGTCTATATGGGTGGATAAGATGCTAAGGTAAGATTACTGGCTAGGAAGTGTCATCATGGTCAATCTAATGAAAGAGTTAGGCCAGTTCAGAGAGTGAGCCATCAAACCCTGGAGAGAAATGCACTTGACTTTTTGGAACCTACTTTGAGTTGTCATTATCACATAAGTGGTGCCATTTTGTTCACATCGTGATGATAGGCATCCTCTCAGCAACAGATTCTGTCTATCCCCATTTCCTCCAACTCCTCCTTCTTGGTTTTCCCTGTGCACTTCCACACAGGTGTGGGAGCGTTCAGAATTGACACTGCACTGTGAAGTGCTATGGTGCCCAGAGGTCAAGCAGAAATGTTGTTCCTCTCAAGACATGCCAAATTTTAGGCATTTTAAAATCACCTTTACTGGGGTGTAATTTATAAACAATAAAATCCACTCATTTTAATGATACAGTCAATGATTTTAGTATATTTACAGAGTTGTGCAACGATCATCATAATCCAATTTTAGAACATTTCCACCAATCCAAAAAGATCCCTCATATCCATTTGCAGTCACTCTCTGTTCCCACTCCTGTCTAATGCAACCACTCTTGACCACGTTTTAAAACTCTTAGTGATGGCCTCTGCGAAGCTACCATTCTCTAGTACTCATATGGCAATGAACTTTTTGTAGACATCCTTACAGCACAATAAAATACAATATTCCCTGGATGAGGAAGATATTGCCTTCCAACAACTGCCAGAGGAAATCAAGCCACTGAGCTGAGCAATTCAAAACTTAAAGCATCCTCCTCCTCTCACATGTGATTGGTAACTAAATTTTCCTTTTCTGTCTTGTGTTCAGGTAGAGGACAAGGAACATAGTTCCATGGTTAAGCAAACCTTGAGGGGCTCAGGGACAGTGCTTTCTGCTCCATCAGTTACTTCTCAGCCTCTCTCACTTCAGCTTCCTTGCCTATAAGAAGAGAGCAAGATAGCCTTGCTTTGGTGGATGGGGTAATACAGACATGCTGTCTCAAAGGGACAATCAAATACTTAATAAGCTATATGTGCCAAGTAACCAAAACACCGAAAGTAAAATGAGCTGTAATGGAAGCTTTCTCACTGCCCCCACAGAATATCTGTCATCATGATCAATAGAAGCATCATTACTGTTGAAAATATGCTATGATTGATGAGAACATCACATGTGGATCTCAATATTTATTTTCATTAAAATCTCTTTACCTGTTTAAGGGATATGTCATGAAGACTGATGACTATTTTTAAAATTATAACTCATAAAATGACTGCAAGTTCTTAGGGGAGTCACAAAGCTGAGGATATAGTATTGTTTTCCCTGTAATATGAAAAGGAGAAACTTGACAGACAAGCTTTCCAACCCAGCAAGGGACTACAAAACAGTAAGACCATTAAAGAATCAGGGATAGTTAACCTGCTTCTTATACAGAACTTTTTAGGCTAAAAAAAAATTCTCCACTAGAAAACTCAGGAAATACTGCTTCCAAAGATAATGTAAAAAGGAGGAGTGGAAAAAATTTTAAGAGCTATAATGTATGAGGAAGAAGTGATCGTTTTAAATGTTATCAAAATAAATGTTACATTCTTGCTACTGAAACTTCATGAAGTAAAACTACTGGAATCTACATTTGACAGTGTTCATTTAGGTGTGCTGTCAAAGAGCATTCAGTCCTTGATTTGGCAGTGGCTTCAGTATCATGTGTTCAAATAAATACCCTGCATGCCTTTCTCTGACAGATGGTGCAAGTTCCCAACAAACTCTAAATATCTTGGGAATATCTCCCAATCCGTACCACAGCCAGTACTACTGGAAAGAAAACATGGCTTTCCTGGGTATCTCTGAATGTCAGAAATGATCACTACGTGATTCTTGTTTCTTCCCATCCTTACATGCTCCACCCCAGTTGCAAGTAGGAAGTACTATGATGTTAACTCATCCAATTATCCCAATTCCTGAAATATTTCTAACCTAACTTCATACTTCTCATAGTTGCTACAATGTTTTCTGGCAAACAAAAAACTTACACTTAGTAACTCTGGAGCCATTCAAATTAAGGTGGCTTTCACAAATACACATTTTGCTACCAAGGATGATTTAACACTTTGAAGTATGAAAACCTTCAAGCCAGAAAAGGGTTTTAGATCAGCCAAACTACAAATTCTATAGCTGAGTGGATGGTTAACAACATATGCCTCTATATGTAAGATACATCTATTAGCTCCTTCCTGGGAAACATGTTGCTGTGTTTACTGTACATACAGATGATAGCAACTATTTAGTGAATACTTACAAGCATGCCAAGCACTGCGAGGTGTTTTATATCTACCTCCTCATGCAATCCTGCTCCTATCCCCATTGTACAGGTGCAAAAACCACAGTTTGAGGAAGCCAAGGACATTATAACCATTTAACTTTGTATGAAGTGTTCTCTTCATAAAACCCCACAGGAGAAATATGTCTCTGTTCTCAGTATCAAGACTAGTACAGTGCTTCATCACTACTTTGATGGTGTGTTCTGTAAAACATACTATATTTATATCATAAATTTAATAACTTATTATGTCACCTTCCTCATTGGCTGCTAACAAGAGAATAGACAAATTTTAGGCAAACCCGTAGTGAGCATATAGAGTTTCATGACGTGCATTTTATACACAACCTCATTCTTCCAACTTTTCAACAGTTACTTTCCCTTCACCCTAAAGCTTTTTGGAATAAGGTAGTATATAATTTTTTAACCTGATATGTCAGTACTGTATTCTATCTAAAGGATCACCAAAGGACAGGTAAAATCTTTACCCAGAAGTCTACCTTTCCCCACCTCCCACCATCCATCCCCTACCTCCAGCCTCTTACATACATCTCTAATTAAACACTGAGGGATGTTCCAGATTTGATTTATAGCCACACTCTTACTCTTTCAGCTGAATTTCTGTTCTCTCCAGTTCAAAGCAAAGATTCTACAACATGCAGCATTTTATATACTTCTTTCAGAACTAATCAGCAATATTCCCAAAATATGAGTTAAATACTGCCTTCCCTGGCTTATCTAATATAACCTGGTCTTCTGCCAAGATGCCCAAGACATGTTGTAGCTATTGCCAAGAGGAATGTAGGTAGAACAAAATTAAGAGATTTATTTTTTTTTATTAAGAAAAGAAAAATGTAGAAGAGGCGGAGACCCTGGATGAGTGACAGATTATAAAAAGATGCTGCAAAGACTTTACTTGTTGGACCAAAAAAAAATCTCAGTTAAAAGTATATGCATAAGAAAACTTAAACCAAACTACAGTATCAAGTCCAGGCACAGTGGACACTGTGTGGTTGACACTTTTATTTAACAAGAAATGGACAAGTATGTATAATCCTAAACACTTTAATAATATACAAGTGATTTTTTTTTTTTTTGAGACAGAGTCTCGCTCTGTTGCCCAGGCTGGAGTGCAGTAGCACGATCTCGGCTCACTGCAGCCTCTGCCTCCCCAGTTCAAGTGATTCTCCTGCCTCAGCCTCCTGAGTATCACAGGCATGTGCCATCATGCCCAACTAGTTTTTTTGTATTTTTGGTAGAGGTGGGGTTTCACCATGTTGGCCAGGCTGGTTTTGAACTCCTGACCTCAAGTGATCCACTCACTTCGGCCTCCCAAAGTGCTAGGATTACAGGCACAAGCCACCACGCTCAGCCAAAATACAAGTAATTTGTTAGCTTATTATTCTCAAACCCATAAGAGTGTCCATAAGCAGCTCTAATAAGATACAAGCAAAGTAACATTGCTAATTTACTGGTATAAATACCAGCTCATGAGAAGAAAACCCCCTTCAAAAAGCACAGCATAATTTTGCAGTTACCAGGGGGTAAACCAGCCCTTTATGAAATTTTGCATGAGGGTCCAGACTCAGAACAAGGGATGATTTCTATTTTTATATATGGATAAGGGCAATTTTTTTACATAAAAAATAATGTGTTTATTAATAGATAATTACGTATTACATATGTCATTTATGTATAGATAATTTTGAATACTGATAAGTAATTTATTTTAATTTTAACGCTACCTATTACACAGGACCAGGCATGCAAGCAAATGACAAATGTGATGAAAAACAGGGAAATACTTTTCTTCCCACTGAACTGCATGGGAATTTTATATACTGAAAGCCTCCCAGAAATCCTCAAGGCAACCTGAGGTTCCCCAAGCAAGACTGATAAGAAATCTTAGCTTGTTACTTGATGTTCACTGAGCACAGCACTATTAATATTTAATATTTGATGATGATAATAATAGTGATAACAATCTCTAGGCAAGAACTAAGAGCTACAGAATAAAAGGTCTCAAAGGAGACACAAGCTTATGATTGTTAGCTAGACTCCTGTCCTTTAGCTCAGCAAACGTATGCATCTGTCTTCCAAGAGCTCATTTTTAATAAAACAGTTCTATTAATTATAGTCTTAGATGAAGGTGAGGCGCCTAAGACCACATACTGAAGTTAAGCTTCCTTTGAAGTTTCCATTATTAATGGCTGATAGTAAAGGCAAAAACTGACTGGCACTCTATAAAGTCTGAATTAGTGAATATGTTTATAGAAATACAACTTTATTATGTTCAGTGATCATCAATTATTTGAAAAGATCTTAGCTAGAAAAACAAGAATTTCCCCTTAAAGTTACTTCAGGAATCTACCTTAAGGAATTAACAAAATTAGAAATCAGGTTACCCTATGTAAACTGCAGTTCCTGAAGAGCTTTTCAATCTTCAAAGTTGATTCTCCAAAATAATGTTAACTTTGCTCTAGCAAAATCTTTCATATCTATAGATACAAAATGTATCTATATCTATATAATTATATCTATATAGATATAAATTTACCTATACAAATATCTATATATCTATCTCTATATAATCTTTATAGAGAGATTATATATAAATATATATTTATTTAATGCACATTCTGAATTAAACATAGTCTCCCACTGTGTCTGGTACACAAAGGTGCTGCATAAATGTTGATCCTATTTCTCCCTTCCCTTTTCAAAGGAGAAAAAAACAGAGCACAGTTTTTTCTCATTCCCACCCACCTCCAGCCCTGATAATAACTAACTTGTGAACACTCTTTGTTCTCCAGAACATTCACCTAGAGGAGGGCAAAAGAGTCAACCTCAGACCTATTCTTAACTTGTCCCTTAATCGGCAGTTTTAGCCATCCTACAGAGTTGAGCTCTTCAACAAAGGCAGCACCTTCCATAACCTCAATCTTCCCTAACTCTGTCCAGAAGCAAGGGCTTGGCAATCTCCACCCTGATTTGGGCAAAGTTTCCCCCAGAGCTTTCAATGGCTCACTGCCAATCTGCAGGAAACAGGTCTGTAAGTCCTTGTACTTGCTCCAACGAGACAGAATAGAGCCAAAAGGCCTAGGAAGTCCAGCACTAGGCAGAACAGTGCTCAGAGTGAGCAGAAGCCACCCAACGGGAAGACATGAACCCTCCACTTATCCCGACACCCAGAACCACCCCACACGGGCTACTGCATTGTAATATGCAGTACACATGCTGTCAGACAAAATCCACCTGTGAGCCAAACACAGAGAACTGACAGTTTCCAACATTTCTCTTTGGTCACCATTTGCACAACTGAATGGGAAGTAGGGTTGGAAGATAAAAAAACAATAGCTAATTCAGTGGTCATTGATAACTGGATTTGCAATTGCAGCCAGAGAGGCAGCTTAGAGAGACACATAAATGCACACGTTCACACTCTCATTCCAACCACATTGTCCATCTCTGACTCTATTATGGCTTCTCTTTTTGCAGTGGCCTAAGCCCTGGCTGGGCAATAGGATGAAGGGTCCTTGGTTGCTATAGACAGGTAATCTGCAATATAGTCAATACACTCATGGCTAATCAGGTATCAACTATTTAATATAATATATAAATATTATATATTTTAATATATGTTAATCTATTATCATAATTATATATCATATATGCAAAATATTACATATGGTTATATATCTTATATTGTATTAGTAGATGAACATATTTTTAAATATTATATCTTATATAAAATATTGATGTAAATATTTAATATATTAAATATTAATTTATATTTGTTATAAAATATAAATATTAAAGTTCACATTATTCCCTTCCTTCATATACACATATGTAGGTAAATGAGATGTAGATAATACCATAGGGCTATAACAATTACCCAGAACTAGGAAAAATGCTATGAGAGACTTCTGTTAACCTAGAATCCCAGAATCTTCAATACTGTGGTTTTCCACATGCACCCAGGAAAAAGAGGGACGACATTCATTGACACAGCAGCACATAATCACACTTTTAAAGTGGCCTAAAAATCACTTTAACCGGTTCAGCCTCTTCATTTACCAGTGATCTAACTAAAGTCAAATAGGCAATTAATGACGTATAGAGACTAGGACTCCTAGTGCCCCTGGATATATAAGCCTTCCTTTCCCATTTTTCCACTATCATGGTACCAGTCCTCCACCCATCCCTCCCATCCTCCACTGTCTGGAAAAAACAGCCAAAAGAATAATAACGATTAATCCTTTCAAGTTAGTAATTATTGAGAAGGGAAAAATGGGCTCAGGATTCTCTGGAAATGTTTGTCTTAGAGATACAGAATGACAAATTGAAATCCACCACCCTTAGTTCCATAAACTGCTCCAAAATATGACAATGTTCTAGCTGGGACATCTGTCTTCCCACTTACTACCAGGGGTCATTCAAATGCTGCAGCCAGTCTTATGTCTTCTTTCCCTCTCACCTCTCTGTAAGCTCTTTCAACACCTTTTATTCCTTTCAGGTCTTTCCACTTCCTGTTCTTCCAGGTGCTTCTCCTAGTTCTCATCCATCTCCCTACCTAAATTCCTTTTCCTCTGCAGAGGGAGTCAACCTCAAGCACACTCTTTTGGGATGAGCACAGCCTTGGGAAAGTCAGAACACGTGGATCCTTGTCCTAGTTATTCCAACTCCTACCAAGGTTACCTCGAGGAAATCATTTAACTTCTTCATGGTTCCTCTAGCCTATTGAACTAAATTTTCTCTAAGATCCTTTCTAGTTCTAAAACATCTATAATAATTCCAAATGTTTTAATTAGTTAAGTGAAGTGGAGCACATAGAGGGAAAGGCTAAACGTTTTCCAGCATCACCTCAAAGTCTCTTCCTAACTTCTCATAATGATAGTTTTCTCTTGGGCACTCTTATTCCCAACTAACCATGACACCCACATTGTTAACAAAAGTTACCAATCACCTTCTTTTTGCCAAATCCAGTAGCTACTATTTAATCCTCATCTTACCAGACTTCAAGGCAGCATTCAGCACTGTCAATTGCTAGCTCCTTATTAAAAGCCCTCTTCTCGGCCTCAGAGGCTTCACCCTCTTCCCAGTTTTCCTCCTACTTCTATGACTGCACTTTGTTAATCTCCAAATGTTGGCACTTGCAGAGTCCAATCGAGTCCTCTTCTCACTCCATTCTTTGACCCTGGGCAATATCATCCATTCCTATGGCTTTAAATGCTAGCTATATGCCTAGGACTCCCAGATTTATATCTCCATCCCTGTCCTTTCTTCTTAGTTCCTGCTTGTATAGTCAACTACCGGCTTCAGAGTTCTACTGCGGTATCTCACAGGTGCTTCAAATTCAATATATACAAAAGGCTAAACTCCTATCATCCCCCACCACTCTTCCTCCACTGTTCCCCATCTTACAAAATGGTACATGATCCCCTAAATTGCTCATAACAGAAATCCAGAAGCAGCCATCCCCATCCATACATCCACCCATCAATTCAACACATTTGTCTCCATCTTTTTTGTCCCCACTCTTGTCCAACCCAAAATCATCTCTCAGTTGAATCTTGGCAACAGCCCCCACACTTCTGTCTTTGCCCTCTTGGGACACTGTCTCCATCCAGCAGCCAAAGGAATCTTTTCTAAAATACAAATTTGGTCTTATCACTTCCTTGCTTAAAACCCTTCTGCAATGTTTCCTTAGTGCACACTCAATAAAATGCTAATATTTAGCATAACATAAAAGACCTTGAGTTATCTGGGTCCTATCCACCTCAGAACTCTCCCCCTGTTCACATGGTCCAGCTACTGTAGCCTTATTTCTGTTTCTCAAATGGGCCTACCTCTTTCTCACCTCTGGACCTTCACACATGCCTGCCTGGAATGCTTCCCTGATTCTTCACCTAGCAAATTCCTTTTCCTCTTTTAGGTCTCAATTTAATGTTATTCTGTAGGAGATATATTCCCTGGCCTTCCATGTAAACTCACCTACGTATGTGATACATCTCTAAAATTACCATGTCAACTAACCTTGTGTCCTTAAATAATGGCTGGTTTATTTGACTAAACAATAATCATGGTCCTAGTTACAATGTTATCACATTCAATGATACACATAAGCCTGGAAAAGCAACATATTAGAGGTCACACCTGCAACTGTTCTTACCATTTTGATCGGCTTAAAGAAAAAAAAAAAAAGCATGGTCCATCAGTTACTTAAATTTAGTAAGAAGAGTTAACGTAAGTACTAATCAACTAATCTGTTGATTACCAGATATTAGTATTAGCTTTAGTGTGAAAGTGTTCTGCAGTCACAGCAACCACTGGTGAGAAAGTGTTGCACATAAAGATAAATTACATACAACAATTACCTGCAAGGGAGATAATACCTTAAATTTATGCGGTTAATCCTGGGGGATTTCAAATTGCTTTACTTATATTCCTAGAAAAAAGTAGGAGATGAGAGGTGCAAATTCTATCTTGTACAAAAAACTGAGATTCAGAAATTAAGTAACTTCTTAATGGCTTACTGGAAGTATCAAGGTATTTTTCAGGTATTATCCAAAAATTCTTAGAGCATTTCTAGTAGGTGGCTAAGAAGATGGGTTACTCACTGCACTTTGCATGAAGGAACCATAACCACATGACAATGATTTGCCTTGTATTATGCAGAAAGGCAGTGGCAGACCAGGAACAGAAAAAGGTCCTGAGACTACTGGTCCACCACCATGTTCTCTAAACCATAGAACAGAAGGAATAAAAGCGAGTAAAAACTTGAATAATCAGATACTAATTTAATTTGTCAAACACACGTATCCATTAGATTCAATCATGGGCTTTCATTCTACCTTGAAGACATTTTCTTTATTTTTCAGTAGGAATCAAATTTCCTGTTGAAAATTTAATAATCAATTGGGGGTTGGGTAGTGATTTAACCCATCTATAACAATGTAATTCCATTCCTCTAAAGCTGATATACTGGCCAATGTTACTAAAATTTAAAACCTCTTTTTATTCCCGGAAGTTTTTGGCCTGGTAAAAGTTACTGAGCATTCCACCATGAAAATAGTCACTAAAATAATATTTCATGAGGTCTAAGTAGAGTCTGTTCTTCCAAAAATCAACAGAATATGAAGAAAGGTACACACATTGGATATAGCCCTTTGGATAGCTGCCTTCTAATTCTAACTCTATGGAAAGGCAGAAACAATTTACCAGATTTGAAAACTTTTCAGCTATTCAGAGAAATGAATTATTTAAGTCATCTATACTGCTGATTCAGTGGATGTCACTCACCACCCTCACTACCTTCACCTTTCATCCCACCTGGCAATCAGCAGATCCAGGGATGAATGTTGGAACCTCCCGTGAACCTATGCCATTGCAGGCTCTCACCTCAGTCACCTAAATGCAATCAGCCAAAAGAGTAAAATAAAATAAAACAAAATAAAATAAAATCTCACCAGCAAGCTCATGACAGCAACAAGAAAGCCTCAACTGATCTTTATTATATTCTTATTTTACTCATTCTCATCAGGCCCAATTCTCAGTTCTCCCAATGATTTCTAATCTCATGGTGATAAAAAAGGGGAAATATTTAGTTCAGGTTAGAATATATAGTAGTATTTCCATACTGTTGCATAATCTCATTTAATTGGCACCTAAATTACATAATGGCCAGTAGGAAGCAGAAGTATTCTAGTCTATGTGGCAGACAAGGGGAAATGCATTTCTATATGCATGTTTAAATACATATACACATACTAGACTCTTGAATCCTTCTCACTCGCAGAAAAACACTACATTCTTGAATCCATTTTCCAAATGAAGCAACATTGCAGGCTTTATTATACAATGGACAAGATTTGCGTTTTACCCAGTATACAATTATGGTTAATATCCCTCTTCTTGGAAAAAAAGACAATTTAACAAATTAAGGATAATGTGTATCAGAGCAGTCTAACTGTGAAAATTAGATTTCATACCCAGAGCTTAAAGGATGAGAATGAGTCCAAAGGCAAACAGAGAGTAAGCCTTGGGAAGTTTCAATGGATCATTCTGGCTTTAGTTTTCCAATATAAGAAGCAGTAGGTAAGTATGGTTAGGAAGGCAAAGGCTAGATGTAGGGAGAAATGAATTAAGCAAGTAAACAATATTTACACCAGTTACGATTTGTAGAAAAGATTATAATAACCAAAGAAAATTATATAAAATTATAAGAAAATTATAATAACTAAATTATAAGAAAATAATTAATTAAGTAATTAAAAGAAAATTATAATAACCAAAGAAGATTATAATAACCAAAGAAAATTATTGGTGAGGCTGTATCCATCAGAAAGAAAAACAACAGACAGTGGTGGAGTATAAAGCACTCCTGTTCCTAATGCCAGGTACAGCAGCAATTGCTGTTGGAAGTTCTTAAGAGTTCTAAGGTGAATGACATGCTCCATTGCTCCCATTTTACAAAGAGAAAAACCCATAATCTAAACTATAAGTTGCTTCCTTCACCTATGCAATGATTTGGCAATAGAGCAAGTTTTAAATTTTTATTCTCAAACTGATACTTAGTGCCTCTGCTTTGACAACACTTGAATAAAATAAACAATAGAGACTCCCCAAAATAAATATCAAACAACATGTCTCACTAATATGACCAGATAAAAAGCTTCTAAAAAGAAGCTCAATCTATAGGCAAAACTGCTATAAGTGTACTATTTCAGAATTTCTGGATCCTTGCCAAACACAATGCAAGTACCACGTGCAATTTGGTATGGCTTATTGCCATCAAAGAACACCAACACCTAGGATAGGAAATGGCTTCAAGAGGGCTTTGGCCGATACTATACTACCAGGGAATTCTCTGCAGTTGGAAAATTCTCAAATTCTCAGAAGAAATGTCTGATTCTAGTTTCAAAAACACACGGAACTATCATCAGCCTTCCTTGAAGTGAAAGAAATCTATATATAAATATTTAACTTCCCTGACACAGCAAGAGATGTCAGGCAGCTACAGAGCTAAGTGCTGCATACTTGAGGACCTCTGGCCAGCGTTCAGCTGAGGCCATGAGGAGAAAGGAGCAGGAAGCTGGGAAAGGTCTGTATGGGCTCAACCTGTTCTGGGAAACCTATGTTACTATTCAAGTACCAACTTTTAAAAACCTCACTGTATTTCTTTAAAGTGGGCCAATGTGTGGATACATTGTTTCCTTTTAAGAAGGCTTTTCCTTTAGCAGTATTTGCCCAAGAGTTTCCTCTGTACACACTGTTTTTCTGAGCAATTAGAGTGAACAGCAGAGAAGAGGTCAGCAAAATGCAACCGGACACTTATATCCAGCGCTCAGAATAGCCCCAGTCCCAACTTGGCCCCTCCCTGCCCATCCGATAGGTTTTCATTCACTCCTTCTCAGAAATTACGTTTTATACCATTGTAATAATTAAAAAATGTCTACCAGGCCCCAGTTTTTTTAGAAAAAAATACTACCTTCTCCAGTACACGAGTAGATGATCATCATATCCTCTAGCAAGAAATAGGTTTAAGTCATGATTTCATGTCTGTAAAATGTTGAGGTCTTGACTTCCAAAAAGACAAAAGCCACCATTTCATTATTTTAGTCTCTCTCTTCAAAAAACAGAGTAGGAGAATGAAAAAGTTTGATAAAGCAGAGGTGTTTAGGACCTTCTTTTTCTTATCAGTATAAATATATAAATGATATAAGTATGATAATGATCTCTGCAAAATCAAGCAGGAGTAATACCAAGGATAAGATGAGAGGCTATATCATTTCATTAGAATAAGAGTACTAAGATAACAAAACTTCTTTTTTCTTTTCCTTTTCTCTTTTCTTTTTTTGAGGCAGGGTATCACTCTGTCACCCAGGCTGGAGTGCAGTGACACAATCACAGTTCACTGTAGCCTTGATCTCCTGGGCTCAAACGATTCTCCCACCTCAACCTCCTGAGTAGCTGGGACTACAGGCATGCACAACACCCAGCTATTTTTTTTTTTATTTCTCTGTAGACATGGGGTTTTGCCATGTTTTCTGGGATGTTCTTGAATTCCTGCCCTCAAGTGATCCTCCCACCTTGGCCTCCCAAAGTGCTAGGATTATAGGCATGACCACCACGTCAGGCTTTGAGAACCAAATTTCTAACAAAAAAATTTAAAAAATATGTCAGAGTATTATACAAAGTGATTCTACATATGCTTTATTTAGTTTATGTTATACATTCATTTATTCATTCTTTCTCTTAACAAATAATTAGTGAATATCTACCCTGTCCCAGACCCTGACATACTTTTTTTACTTTTCCTGAAAACAATCCTCCTGTAAATTCCATGCATTTTCAACAACACTCCCTCCTAATGTCCATCAGTAGACATGTGAATTTGTAGAATTATTCTTCCATTGGGACAGATGGGTGCATACTTCCCACTGCATTAAGTTTTGAATGGAAGAGGAAAACCAGCACAATATAGCATAATAGCTCTAGGAGAGTACTGACCAAGCCTCAAAAATGGAGACACATTTCAACCAATACTGTGTTACTGCATCTTATATTTTCTGAGTTGTTGGTTGAACTTGATGTTAAGAAGAGGCCCCTCCTCATGAAGTCAGAGTTGCCAAGGCCTGCTGGGAGTTACCTAGCCTTGCAGAGCCAAAGCCTTATCTCAAAGGATAAGGTGGAGTTTGCTCTTTTCCCCTATTGCAAAATATGAGACTATTAAGTAATCTGTTTATATCATACAGATCCAAAATTCTGGCTGGCTTTTTTAGGAATAAAACATCCATAGGATTTTCTTCTGTTTTTGGAAAAAGTTACCTGGGACTGACTCTTCCTATCTCAATCTTCATTCACTACGTAATTAGCAATCACTACGTAATTGCTACGTAATTAGCAATTTCCCCCATCTATGTTTGAAACGAAAAGTGAGTGGTTGTTCCTCGTGGTCAACACTTATGGATCATTCTGGTAATGTTAATTTGTCATCTACAGACCAATTCTGTGGAAGCGTGGAAGGGCCTGGGTGGGAGCTGGGGCATTTTGATAAAGAAATAAATATGAATATCTGAAATACTGACATTTTAAAATGAGTTTATCCACAGTAACCCCTCTCCTCCTAAAAATGTTAACTTTAAAACCACGCATAGTACAAGGTAACCAGTGGAAGAGCAGATTTAAAGGCTTCTATTTATTTTAAAGATTAAAATTGGCACTTGGTTTCATTTTGAAAGAGTATCTCTTTAAGCCATTAACACATGAAGAAAATTATGTGACAATGAGGTTTAGGCCTTTAAATATATGCCACATAGATAAATTCATTACTTAAACAGATGACTCCTCTTGTGACTCACTCTGTGCTTAGTGAGTTTTGCAGTTGATGGTTTTCTATTAAGTTTTTAGAATGTGGATTAAGTGTCATGCCACCCACTGAGAGTAAAGTTGAACAAGGTGAACTGAGGGCGTGGTTTGAAGTCTCTCTCCTCAGAACCACAGCATTCGAAGCAACTAAGAGAGAGTATCTGGCTCTTCTTGCCTTCAGGTTGAGCTGACTCCAATCACCCCAAATTAGGGGACCCTAAGCACTTTTAAAGCACAAATATTTCAAAGTAACAAGAACTATCAGACCTTAGTTACTTTAATAATCACTTATTGGGAGTACATCTTATTTATGCAGATAACTGTAAAAAACAAAGTTTTATTTTAAGTTGACTTTGCCAAGAATGTTTACAAACATTGTAAACTTCTATGTTTATCCTAGAAGCAACAGAAATAACTACTTTCATAAAAGAAAATGTAAATAATAATATAAAGTGTTCCAGCTCCTTGCCTTTTGAATTCTGACCCTTAAAACTGAGGCATTCACTTCTGCCATAAATGTGCCAGGAAGCTACTTTAGAATAGAGATAACAGTTTGCTTTTCTTCAGATACACTCTTCTCTATGCAATTAAAAATATGAGATGGACTCATATCCTTGGGAAAAAACATTCCCCTCAAAATGTGAATACTTCTTAGAGGTCTTAACATAGGCCGTCTGTTTCTTCATTCTCAATCACTGGAACCATGGATGTGCCAAAAAACCCCTGTCCATTTCAACCGTTTTATACTATCACCTAGAGCTACTATAAAAATCTAAGACCTCCCACCCCCACCAATAAAGCAAGGTGAAAAAGGGGGAGGGTCAATTGGGAGAACACCAAATTAAAAATGAACAATTTTGTTCATTTCAAATGAGCAATTACTATAATTTCAAGGCTAGTACTGTAAGACAGTCAGCACTGTTGAAAGTTACCCACAAAATAATCCATAAGCAATCTTCTTATGGGGCTCAGGACTCAGCAACCGGCAACTATCTGAGCATGTCTTGGAAGAAATGTAGTCAGCTCAGGTGCCAATCAACATGAAAGACAGTCACTAAAATAGAGGTCTCATAAAAACAGGAAAACACACAAATCCATTTGGACGGTTTAATCATCACAAAACCAACACATTTCTTGAATTTTACAGATGTTTCTACCACCTTTGGTTGTGTTTCTGTTTCTTCTTAAAGAATCCTGGCTACAGATTTGTGTGCTATTCATTTATATTGTCGTCTTAATTTTGTGCTTGAAAATCAAGGGAAATAGTTCAGGAAACGCACTTTTTAGTCAAAGCCTTAAGAAACAGTATACAATATCCTATTTCAGTAGAGTACTGTCAATCCTACAGACCTTACAAACTCAAGAAGTGATTTACATCTCTTGTGAACCTAGCTAGAACATTATTCTCAAAGGAAAACACACGCACACAGTATATGTCACTCCCAAGCTTTTTCTACTTCAATTGTCTTAAAACTATAGGCTATTTGCTCAAAGCTACATTATTTCTTATATTCATATGCTATAACTCCTCTTTGCTTGTATCTCCTCTTTGCTGGTATCTCCTCTTTGACACTGGGACAGTGACAGAGTCACTAAAATGATGATTTAACATCATGGGTTCCAAGAATCTTAAGACAAAAGTTTTACTATTTTGCTTTCACCAGCTTGACATTTTCCCACAGCATGTTGCAAAAATGCAAGGAACCCATAAAACAATATGAAAGAAAATACTGTAGTTTCCGTTTTCCTAAGAAACTTAGGCATCAAATTCTTATTAGTCAGTCTCAAGAGCATAAATGCGGGAAGTTGAGGGGGGCGGGTGGAGGCGCCAATCCTCTAACACCACATGGGATGAAGAAACTTACTAAAGAAACATGAGAAACAACATGATAGCCACACTATTCAAACTGTTCCAAGTGGCACAGGAGCATCACTTGCCCAGTACCTGGTGCTCAGTCTGCTTGAAGAATCACTCCAGAACATACAATACTGACTCTCTTTTTCCCAAGCCCACCACCTTCTGGTTCAAGTTTGGGGCTGGCACTAAATGCTTACCACATGGCACCGGTCAGGTCAGAATCTCCAAAACACAAATGAATTGTCTCTCAGGTGACTTTAAATGGTGGAATTGATCACATGATTCACCTGCAAGTTTCATTTAACTTTGAGTATTGCCTATAACCCTGATTTTTAAAAATCTCATTATAAATATGAATAATAACATATATCTGTGATGCCTTCATATAATTATTTTAATAAATATTAATTCAGCTTTGCCTTCTATCAAATAAATAGCATTATTCCCACATTATTGATAAGTCAGGAGACAGGAAAAGGGAATGCCCGCTGAAAGTATTATAGCACCAGGTAAAACATAACTCTTCTTTAGTTTTTAACAGGCACTAGGAAACATCAGCAAAAGAGACTGAAGTTTTTTAAATAAAAAATGCTTGTCCATCTTTTCCTAACTGACAGTCATCCATGATTATCACTCTTAACATCTTCAGCTTAAACCCATTTCTCCTGCAACAATGGTATCATTATCCTTCTGTAGTATCTATATCTTTACACTACAAGCTACAAGAAAGAATATTAAAGATGCTGCTGAATATATTTATATAAATCGAGCAGCTTTCTTGAATTAGTCATTGGAAGGTGGTTAGTATTATCTGGTAAAATGTTTATTTTTGATGAAGAGGCACAGCTAACATAGGCACTTACTTTAAAATAAGACTTTTTTTAAACCAGGCAAGACCCATATTGAATCAGATTTTGATGGTCCAGTGAAGTTCTTAAAATTACTTTCTGTGTTGAAGCAAATGTAGAGATTGATGAAACTCTATAGAAAAGGTTTGGTGTTTCATTTTAAAAATGTAAGATATATGAAATGCATGAATGTTATTATCTATAGAGACATATGTATGTCAACAGACACTTTCCCAGACCCATAAAGCTCACCTTCTACTTCTTCTTCATCACACACATGCTTGAGGAAGGAAGCCCCTCTGTCCAGGACAGCTTCATCCTCCATCCTATAGTAATAAAAAAGAAAAAAAGAATGCTCAGACTTCTCCTGGAGCGAGCCACTTGGAGCAGCCCAGCTTCTGGGCAGGTTAACCTGCAAGCTGTTGTTCATGTTAGCAGGGCAGAGTCACTCTTCTTCTGGTGTCTGCTACTGCTTCACGCAGCTCCTCTCATCTGGTGCTCGAGAA
This sequence comes from Homo sapiens, assembly GCF_000001405.40. Classification (NCBI taxonomy): domain Eukaryota; kingdom Metazoa; phylum Chordata; class Mammalia; order Primates; family Hominidae; genus Homo; species Homo sapiens. Next base: position 71,236,395 of record NC_000004.12, on the reverse strand, counting down.
TATGCCGGTCCCACATAGCTTCAGTTCTAACCTTGAGAGGGCACCCACATAGACAGGTAAGAGAAAATAATCCCAATCCTGTAGGCAGGATGTTGGGGGCTCTCCCCTTTAGGGTTTTAAAATTCTTTTTAAAAAGGATGAAAGCAAAAAAAAAAAAAAAATACCAAGAGAGGAAGTTTGGTGTGTCTGGAGTGCTCGTGATGATCGTTTGTGGAAATCCAGCTTCAGTGCTTAGCTCTTTAAACACCCACTGCATAAAATGTATACCCTCACACACACACACATGCACACCCACCCACACGCAGAGAGCGACAGGGAGGTAGGCTAGTGCACAGTGGGAGCCTAGCTTCCAGCCAGCCTCTTAATATCAGCACAGCCCAGTATTCTCTGTTGAGTGGCAAGCTTTGAGTCACATGCTGGCCTTACGGAAATCTGACATCTGAGGATTATCCAGCAACCCGGCTTCGACAATACACACAGATACATGCCACCCATTCATTCATTTTCCACATTCTTATCACACATCTTTCTCTATGTATATCTGCCCTGTTAACTCTTCCCTGAAGGGCACAAAGTTCTTCATTTTGTAACCACATTATGCTGTCCTCCTGTCTCCTTACATAATAGGATCTACTCTGCAATTTCATATGCTAAATAAGACCTCAGAATCCATCCAAGGAATGACAGCGTTTTTAGGGCCTCCCGATGCCAAACACGCTTCTAGTTTATAGAATGAGTTAAGGTTTATTTCCATATTCTGCAGCTCCTTTTCATTGCATTAACTTTGATATACAGAATTCCATGAGGTCTATTTATAGTGAAAGCAGAAAGAAATCCTGAATTGCTCAAATGCTGCTTGTGTAGTACCAGTCTAGAAACAAAGAACTTTCTCTGGGGACAGCTGCTCTATGTCATACCGTACATGAGCCCTGCCAGAGAACCAAATGTTCATTCTGTATTCTATTCATCCAATTATATGCTCAGGCATTGAATATTGTAGGTCTGTTTTCCATATTGTCTGTATAACTTATTCTTGTGCTTCAGATATTTGTTATAATCTATGCGGATGTGCATTGAATTCATATTTTTGTCCTTACTATTTTAGAAGCATATCCATCTCACAAAGCAACCATCATAACATAAAAAGTGAGAAATTTGGTGTCAGGTAGCCCCCGGTTTAAGAAATCTAGCTCTACCACTGAACAAGTGTGCTACCTGGAGCAAAGTTTTTAGCTTTTTTAAGTCTCAGTTTTTCCATCTATAAAACTGGGGTAATAATATCAACCTTGCATTGACTCAACACAATAATATCAACCATGCATTGATGGCTTTGAGATTCAAATTAGGTAACATACCTAAAAGCACACAGTGCAGGACTCAGCACATACTACATGTTTAATTACTGTAAATTTCCTTCCTTTCTGCTTCCTTCCTTTTCACCCTGACCAGTCAATGGTGGACAATAGCATTAAGAAACTCATTACCTCTGGACACTTGCAAGATTTCTTCTTTCAATAATATCGGCCTTGTATATAATAGCCCATCCTGATATACATCATTTTCCTTCTCTATACTCAAACTAAAAATAGAAAACTGAATGCAAGCAGGATATGGGTTGGCCATCAAGATTCTGGTGGAAAAGAAAATTCCTTGAAGATTTGAGGCCGGCCGTGGTGGCTCACACCTGTAATCCCGGCACCTGTAATCCCTCGGCAGGCCAAGGCAGGCAGATCACTTGAGGTCAGGAGTTGGAGACAAGCCTGACTAACACAGTGAAACCCCGTCTCCACTAAAAATACAAAAATTAGCAGGCACGGTGGCACACGCCTGTAATCCCAGCTCCTCGGGAGGCTGAGGCAGGAGGATAACTTGAACCCAGGAAGCAGAGGTTGCAGTGAGCCGAGATAGCGCCACTGCACTCCAGCCTGGGCGAAAGAGTGAGACTCCGTCTCAAAAAAAAGAAAAGACTTAAGAAGTCAAGTCATTTACCAACTTCTCTAAGCCCCTGGTTCCCATGAGGATTAAATGATAAAGTATATTCACTGGTTCAGCAAATATTTATTTAGTGCCTGCTATGTTCCTCATACTCTTCAGAGAGAGGGAAATATATCTGTGAATCAGAGAAACAAAGTTCGCAAGAATTAATACTGAATAGATGAACAAGGTAATCTCAGATAGCATTAAGCACTTTGTGGAAAATAAAATGAGGCAGGGACTGCTTGGCACAGGGTGGTTCACATGAGGCTTCTGGATGACAACTGAGCAGAGACAAAAATGACAGGAAGGAATCAGTACTGTGAATATTTGCAGGTAATGTGTTCCAAGCAAAGGGAACAGCAAGTACAAAGGCTCTAAGGTGAAGACAAGTTTAGGATGTTGCAGGAACAGAAACAAAGTTAGTACAGCTGGACAGGGCTAGAAGGTCAACTTTAGGAGATGATATTGATTGGGCCACAAAACCAGGGTAAGGAGTCAGAATTTTAGGTGTTACGGGAGCCAATGAAGAGTTCTAAAATGGAGAGTGACTTGAACTGTTTTTCATTTTTAAAAGATTACCCTGGCTGCTATGTGAAAAATGGACAGTAAGGGGACAAGAGAAATTAAGAAAATATTGAAGGAGCCAGGGGAAGGCTATGGGAGAAACAAGTTGTTGGGGAACAAATCAAGAGTTCTATTTAGCCACTTTAAGAATAAGATGCTTATTACACATGAAAAATGAGCCATCGGACATACAAGTAGATGTCTGAGTCTGGAGCTCAGAGGCTCAGGATTAGAGATAAAAATTAGGAAACCAATGAATAAAGCTGGTACCTGAAGCTATTACTGGATGAGATCATCCAGGAAGAAAATGTAAAAATCAAGGAGTGGACCTAAGACCAAGTGCTGAGGCATGCCAACATTTACAAGCAGAGCAGAGGAACAAAAACAGTCAATGAGGTAAGAATCCAGGCAAGAGTGATGTCAAGGAAGTGACAAAAGGAGAGTACTGCTACCGAGTGGCTGAGAAAGATGGAAAGAGATGTAAAAAGCACTTTGGTCATGATCACCAATGTCTTCTAATTGCCAAATATAATTTTTACATACCACACACAGTAGCAGACACAGAGGAGGCATTCAGTAGTTCTCTTTTCTCTTTCCTGCATTCATTCATTCAGTAAATATTTACTGGATGCTACTACTATGTTGCAGGCACAAGCCAAGGCACTAGAGTTACAGTGAGCAAGACAGACAAGGTGCCTAATGCAATCACATCCACCTTCTCAAAGATTACCCTTAGCAATCCAGGCAAATAAGTTCAAAAGACAAGAACCCATCCATTACACATTTGTAGACATAGATAAGGATGACAGTTTAATGAGGAAATTTTCTTAAAAGACCTCAGAAGCACAACAAAATCCTGAAGCCCTGTGCTACTGCACGTACATTAATAGTGCCAGCTCCCCTTTAGAAAAAAGAGTGGTTTAGCTCACATTAACCCTTTCCAGTCCTATCAGAACTAACCCTTTCCAACCTATAGAGTCCAACACAATTTCATGTGGAACATCATTTCTGCACCCCACTATTAATCGAACTGGTCCTAAAGTCTTTTGTTGCCTTTTTTTCAAATTTCCTAACTAAAATGTTTAGCCTTGTGCCTAAGCCATTCCCAAAATTGCATGTAACAACCAAAGAAGTAAAAGAAGAAAAGCTGACACAGTGGCTCAGCCTGTAATCTCAATGCTTTGGGAGGCCGAGTGGGAGGATTGCTTGAGGCCAGGAGTTCCAGACCAGCCTGGGCAACATAGCAAGACCCATCTCTGAAATTTTTTTTTCCAAATTAGCTATGTGCAGTGGTGTGCACCTGTTGTCCCAGCTACGTGGGAGGCTGAGATAGGAGGACTGCTTGATCCCAGAAGTTCAAGACTTCAGTGAGCTATGATTAGGCCACTGCATTCCAGTCTGGGTAACACAGTGAATTCTCATCTCTAAAAGAAAAAAGAAAAACAGAAACAAAGAGAAAATAAAAACCAGCAAAAACTGGAGGGGATAGTAGAAAAGTTCAGAAAAACCCTCTTCCTAGGCTGAGAAAACCATCCAGCCTAACTGAGGCACTGTCACTATGTTCCATCTGAATTAGAGAGAGAGAATAATGATTGGTGCATTCCTTGGCTCTTTGATGCATATTTCACATTCCCTCCAAGACTATACATAGCAAGTAATTAGAAACTTCGTTCTTTCTGACAGACAATGCAGAGCATCTCAAAGCAGCCTCTTCCCTGTAGGAAGCAAAAAGAGGTGAGTGAGGCAAATGGAAAATATAAAACCTGTACACCCACAGCAGCCTTTCTCCAGAGCAGCCCTCACTCCTCCTTAGAAGTAAGTCCAGCCTGGTGCACCTAGGCTTCTGCACAAAATACAGGAATTCAGCACCTTTTCTTCATCTTTACACCACAAATGTCAATTATTTGGGTTCGTGTCCCTCCCCACCGCAAATCCTCTCAGCAGTTGCTTGCTATTATTAGTAAGACAGAGATATCTTTTAAAATAACCATCTGACCCAACTAGTTCCTCCTTCTATCAATAGGAAGAAATTAACTCATCCAGTCCTTAATCAGGCCCTCAAACCCATTCTTAAAAGTTCCTTTCACACAACCTGCATTCGCTGAAAACAAAGAAAGGGAAGAACATGTTTCTAAAAAGCTCCCTGGGTTGCTCACATCACCAGCATGAGGCAAAGTTCAGAATAGATTTGGAAGCTTCTCACCAGCATCACGGGGATAAGGGTCACACCAGTCAGTATAAAATCCACTCAGGGCCAATAATGCCTTCCTTCAGCCAGGCCTCTGACCGTACAAGTTATACCCTTTCTACAGAAGTCCACACCCAAAGCAAGGTTTTTCTTATTCTCTGTTATTCTGGGACACCACAATGATTTAACTGTAACACATGTCATATCTACTGCCAAAAGGACCGGCTTTCACCAGCCGGTCCTAATCACTGAGCAGGCTCGTAAGGGTGACTTAAGCCCAGCATGAGAAACATTTGTGCAAAACTGTCAGCCATTGGGTCTTGAGCACCCATCTACATTCCACCCCTCTAAGTTCCCACCCCCAGAGCCCATGCCAACTGCCAACGTGCTCACCAGCTAGTCCGCACAGCGCAAGCAGCTGCCACTCAGCCAGTCAGCACGTGGCAGGCCGCCAGCACACAAGTTTCAGAATGCAAGCCTGCCCCGTCACAGTGCTGCTAAAGGTTGAAGGTCTTGGAGTGTGCTAGCCTTTAGATTCGCCTTACTTGCCCTCCCACCTCCCTTCTCCCATCCCTCCCCTGTTACGCCTCCCACTGTAGCATTTCACTTGTCTCTATAGTAACAGCATCTGCTTTCAGGGTTAAAACTTTACACAGCACATTTCTCCTCCTAGCCCAAGCTTTTGCCAAAGGATGCAGTAGCAAAAAGCCTGCTGCTTTACCGTGAAGCCACCTGTTTCCCTGCCACCCAGGATTGCAGCTACTTTGTAAACTGTAGGATGAAAGCGACTGCGGTACTGAGCTCAGGGGAAGTGAAACAGAGCCTCCAACCTTGACACACTGGCTGGTGTGTAGAGGATCCACTCCGGAGCTTGTATACCCAATCCCAGAGCTAGCCCACTCTCTTCCACAGCCTGCTCTGCACTTAACGATGCTGCACATGGATCAAGTTCATAGCAGGGCTTTTTGATTCCATCCCAAAAGGCATCGGGGATGGCACCCTAGAGAGCAGCAGGGCACCAGTGTTTAACATGCCCATACCAGAGTTTAATATCACTGGTTCTCTCCGTGCATGCAGCTTAAAGTTTATTAGCTAATCTTGTATTTCAACTCATCCCACTTTATCCTCACCAGCTTGGTCTGTTTATGACATCCGGTGAACCCCATAATCTCTCACTTCACACAGCTTTCTGGTGCATAGCCAATGTTTAAACAGTTCTTTACACACATGCCCACAGACGCACACCAAAGTGACGCACACAGGGGAGTGACCAATGCTAGCAAGTGAAGAGTTTTATTATTAGCCATTTTTGCCATGAAAACTAAGTGTATACAAGGGCCTTTACTTGAGGACTGCAGTCTCAGAGTTCAAAAGCAGGCCTGTTACTTGGCTAATCTTGGATCAGATGAAAGACAAAAATCAGCATTTCACAGGTCTTTTTCAGGAGCTATACAGAATATAACAATCAGTACTGACACCTAAAATTATACACTCATACACACATTTCTGAGTTCTATTCCCTATTCAAATCATGTTTAAGAAGTGGGGGACTATTTCCATTATAAACCATTTGCAAACGTGATTTTTTTTTCATGATTCTAAACTTCACAGCATTTTATTGGTGCTTTTGTTGTTTTGTAAAATCTGCTCTGCACATTTTCAACATACACATAAAGAACAAGACACAATTCTCTAAGCCCCAGGCGACAGGGAAGAGCGATCTCAGTGGCTGCAAAGTGCACTGCCATCTTTTGGCAACATGTGTTCACTACAGGGAACCAAAGGGCAAGAAAAAGCTGCAACCATTCCTTTTAAAATTTCACAGGGGCTGGGAAAAAAAAAAAAAAAAAAAAACTTCGCAGGGGCTCTAAGAAGGCCTTTCATTCCCACAGGAAGTAAGACAGAACACAGTTGCTGACTTAACTATGCAGACCGCTGGAGCTCTGGACATCCATACTGGGGGAAAGGGACATCGGTGCGGCAAAACTGACAAGCATGACTGATAGCAGTGATGACTCCCGGAGATCAGCCAGCAACAAAGCGAAGCAAATCTCCTTCCCAGAGCTCAGGAGCACCCTAATCAGCCTGGAAATTTACACAGGCCCAGGGCCAGAGGGAAATAGGTGAGAGCCCCACACAAAATCAGACTGAGAGAACTGGATAAAAGGTGAAAATGCAACCCAGAGCAAGATCACGCCAAATCTAATTCTGGATTTATGAACTGTATTAAAAGTTCATTTGTACTCTTGGGCACTTATCCCAGAGAAATAAAAACTTACGTTCACCCAAAAACCTGTACATGAATGTTTACAGCAGCTTTAAGTATAGTAGAAAAGTCCAGAATTAATCCACATGTCTTTCAACAGGAGAGTGGTTAAACTATGGTACATCCATACCATGAAATACTGCTTAGCAAGAAAAATGAACAAACTATTGATACACACACCAAATTGAATGAATTTCCAGGGGGTTATGCTGAGTGAGAAAAGCTCATCCCAAAAGGTTACAAACTACATTATACAATTTATATGGAGTGACAAAATTTTAGAAATGAAGGACAGATTTAGGACAGATTCATGTTTGCCAGGGGTTAAAGATGGAGGTATTTGTTGTTAACAAGGGTAACACGAGGGACCCCTGTGGTTGGCTCTATTCAGTATCTTATCTGTGGATACATGGATCAACATAGGTGATAAAATCGTATAGAACTTAATACAGACAGAGAAGAGAGAGAGAGAAATTAGTACAAGTAAAACAGGAAATGTGAATAAAGTTTGGTGAATTGTATCAGTGCCAATATGCTGGTTATGACATTATACTACCTCTTTGTAAAATGTTAACCTTGGGAAAATCTGGCAAAGTGGAGCTTTTCTGCACCAGTAACCTCTCTGTATAATTTCTCAAATACGCATTTGAATCTACAATTACCTCAATAAAATTTTCAATTTAAAAAAGCTCATTTGTAACTCTGTTTTTTAATTTCCCCTAGAAACATTATTCTACATGGTGGTCAGGTACAATCAGCTGGTCCACCAACACACATGCAGAATCAGGCAAAACTGAATACAAAATCCCAGATGCACACTTTGTGTGTAAGCTTAGAAAGTTAACTAACCTCTCACTTCAGTGTCTTTTAAAATGAGCTTATACCACTTCAGAAGTTAGTTTAGGGAATTAAATAATTTCCTAAATAAATCCAACCAGTTTCAGTTAAGTCAAATATAAAGTTCCTAGGGCCCAGAGAATAGAGTATTAATACTCCTACAGACCCAGAGGTCATGATTCTGTCTCATGAGCAAATGCACGGGATTTTTGACTGGGGAGACCACAGATAAACTGTCCCTCAAACTATTAGGATCAAACTCTCCCTTTCCATCTTCTCCATGCTAGGGCTAAGTCTCCTAAACTCTGTCTTCAGATTGTTGATTGACTTCTGAAAGGCTGGAGCAGGCTCAGCAACAAAGGGCAAGAAAATAATTGATAGGAGAATGGAGACTCTGGGGTGAGAAAAGGCTCAGAGACCAGGGAAGGTGAAAGATGAAGGGAGAAAGTGCTGTGGGGGAGGGTATGAAGTGCTGAAAGGAGGACTTCATTCATGACTCCTCAGGACATTCCCTGACTTAGCCTACACTCACACTCACATGCTCCTTAATATTTTTAATGGACCATTTCACGTGCTTCCACAAAGACCGTGTGCTGCTTCTGACCAGAGTTCCATTGTAGAATACAGTAGTCTCCTTCCTCTGTCAGAAACCAAATACTTTGTCCTTCCAACATTTTCTCAGAGGTTTTACCGTTACAGACAGGAAAAAGAAGCTCCCTTCTAAACTCTTTTAGCTTTCAATCACCCTTCTTCAAGGCTTCTTGTGTGAAAATCAGAAAGGTCCTAAGACAGGAATCAGGCAAGATGAAATGGCTGGGCTCCTCCATATGACACACCAGCACAGAGGATGGCGACGGGCATGTTTATCCTCTGTCCCCTCCTCCCCACCACCATCAGCTCTTCAACCAAGAGCCAGACCCAAACCAGCAGCAGAATAAGGAAAGAAGAGCAAAGGGAAGAAGGGATGATACCCCACAGGACAATCACGGGAAAGGGAATATCTACAGCTGAAAGCCCACCCTGCAAGGCAGCTGTTAGTCAGTGGATGCCCCAAAATGCTCAGGTTTGATGTGAGTGTAGGATGGCTGGATTCCCATCTGCCTTCTCACCAGTGGTTTCTCTCTGGGCTCCCTGGATCTGAACTCATTCCCCTCTAAGCCATCCATTTATAAAACACACTTTGGTATCTCTCCTTTTAAAGTGCCTTCAGTGTTTCTTCATTACATGGAAGATGAAATCCAACTTGCTTAACATGAAACGTAAGCTCAGGTCCTACCATCCCCATGCCATACACCCTGAACCGTCCACCACACCTTCGTGTACATGCTATTTCCTCTAATTAATATATCATCTTAGTTAACCCATTCTTCAAAACCCAACTTAAGATCCAACCTCTCCAGAAGCCTCTCTACATTATCAGACATACCCTTCCCTGAGCAGAGCTATGCTCCTTCCTCTGTTCTCCATTGGCTTCCTGAATGTGCCTGCTTCTCATATAGCACGTTACAATGCATTGTCATTATAACTTATCATCACTCAACTGTACTTGGGCATGTCATGGCTCTTGTCCCCACCACATTATGAGCTCTTTGAGAGCAAATACTGTCTTTCTGAAGTTTTTCTACCTCTAGTATCAAGCATAGTCACTACACATAGTCTACTAACTATGTGTAGTGACTATGTGTAGTGACTATGAATGAATCAATTAATCAATTGATTCAGTGACTATGAATCAATCCATCAGTCAATCAACCAGTTAGAAATAGGCACAGTGAGGGCACATGCATGTTTGGTATTAAGTGGATCTGTAAGTCTAAAGGCCCTGAATGTGTATTTCAAACAACATAAACCCCATAAACAAGCAAATTTCCAATTACTTAGCCTGTTATTCAACTGAAGAAATAGTGATTTGTTCCAAAGAAAGGGGGGAAAATGGCTGTGCTATACTCCCTGAAGAGTATTATGTTTATGGTTGAATTAAGGGATTTTTCAAGCATATTTTTAACTATATAATTTTCTCTTTATAGACTAACATTAGATCTTAGCTCTCCACACAGACTATAACTATACTCTCAAATGTAGGGGTCAAATTAAATTCAAATGAGAATTTCCCCTTGTCTGCTAAAAAAGAAATTAAGAGGTACCTGGACCTGCCACATATTTGATTCTAAATAAAAGTTTGTTCCACGAACAGAATAATGAATGAACTTAAAAATAAATCACACCATAAACTACTTTAAATAGCCAGAAGCAAAGCCTGGCACAGTGGCATATGCCTAAAGTCCCAGCTACTAGGAAGGCTGAGGTGGGAAGACTGCTTGAGCCCAGGAGCTTTGAGGCTGTAGTGCGTTACAATCGTGCCTGTGAATAGCCACTGCACTCCGGCCTATGCAACATAGTGAGATCTATCTCTAAAAAAAAATAATAAATACCCAGAAGCAGCAGGAAAGTTATAAGAAAGTTCAATTTTGCTCATCAGGCCTGCAACTGGACAAATAAAACTCTGTAATGTGTTTAGGTAAACCTATAAAGAAGCTGGATGGCAGCTACCTGCAAATAAAATTAGGATTCAAAATGTCAATATAAGCCTTAAGCTCTAGAAATTGTAGCTTAGTTTTATGTTTATACACAGTCAGTGATAAATTATTTGTAGTAATTAGCACGGCAATAGCATGAATAACTAAAATCGTCAGTTAATTCATATTCATTGTAGTCTGTGACTTTTGCACATTTACTGTGGATTTCACAGTGATCTCAGATCAGATGCAGATTGGCAGGCAGATGGGGACTCAAGAGCAGGAGTTTGTTCCAGGACACAGGGCTGGGAGTCAGCTCCATGGCACCTGATCATGTACAGCCCCCTGACCCACCCACCTCTGACACACACAGCTGACATTGGAGAAGATGCCTTCTGAAACGGGTTTAGGCAAACCTTCCTACCTCTACCCAACATGGCAACCACAGTGTTCACATCTCCCATCCTGAACCACCACCCAGCTGGCAGGGATGAGGCTCCTGAAATTTTATTAAGTTCTTGCTACATGTCAGTCAGTGTGCTAAGCAACATACATGCATTATTTCCTTCTGGATGCCATCTTATTTTATCTGACTCAGTAACAGGGAAAGAACTGAAGGTTCTAGCTAAAGGATGTCAATACCTATAACAATGTAGGAACTGAGATTAGGGACTTTCATTATCTTTTTTTTTTTTTTAAACGGAGTCTTGTTCTGTCACCCAGGCTGGAGTGCAGTGGTACGATCTCAGCTCACCGCAACCTCCACCTCCTGGGTTCAAACGATTCTCCTGCCTCAGCCTCCCAAGTAGCTGGGATTACAGGCATGCGCCACCATGCCCAGCTAACTTGTGTATTTTTAGTAGAGATGGGGTTTCACCATGTTGGCCAGGCTGGTCTCCAACTACTGACCTCAGGTGATCCACCCACCCAGGCCTCCCAAAGTGCTGGGATTACAGGCGTGAGCCACCGCACCTGGCCCATTATCTATTAATTTTTTCAGTCACATTTTAAATACTTACTACTTGCCAAGTACTAAGCTAAATACTTCGTGATGATTATTTAATTCAATCTTCATGACAATGCCATGAGGTAGGGACTTTTCACACACCCACTTTAAAGTTCTAATTTTGAAGTTAAATAATTTGCCCAAAATCACACAGTACATGTGATGAGAAGACCAGGCATGCAGACTAATTTAGCAGTCCACAATTTTAACCACTCTACTATACTCTTTCATAATTAACTAATCAATGCCCACCAAGGATTATCTTCAAGAATATTTCTTCATACATATATGCCTTCTTATAATTTCAAATTACATCACTTACCTCTTTCCCCACTTTGGTGTGCCTACTGGCCAAAGACCGGAGCATCCTGTAGCAATCCCCCCCAAATCAATGTCTTTATTTTTATTTAGCAAACACTTAGGTAGTGCTTACTATGTCTTAGTTACTATTGTAATTGCTTTACAAATATTATTAGCTCATTTAATACAACAATCCCATGAGATTTGTACTGTTTTTATCACCATCATATCTGAAATACAGAGAAATTAAGTCACATTCCCAAAAAAAACCACATGGCTATAACTGTTGATGTCAGGATTCAAACCCAGGAGGACTAGCTCCAAAATCTGTTCTCTTACCCACTCAATGTCAAGCTGCCTCTTTTTAGCCAATTCGACTGATCTGTTAAAACTCTCCAAATATCTTGGGGAGTCTTGAGCTCTGGCAGTTGAGGAACAAGAGCGGGAGGAGGAAGTCAGGACCAACACCTACAGTGGGTCAGTGTTCGCAGGACCAGGTTGTGGATGAGATGGGCTGTGAGGATTCAGGCTCTTGGGAAGGGACTGAGAGGATCAGGCTCAGAGAAGAAGTGGCTGTAGGGACCCGGGCTCCAGACGGGACTTAGGGAACGGCTATGGATGTGAGTTCTCCAGTATCTGAGGGAAATCTGTCTGGGAGGAACAGGATTGTGAGAGCCCGCATTCCTAAGAGGAGAGGACCGGAAAGGAATGAGGTGTGAAGACACGGGCTCCGGAGAGGTAAAAATGGGGCAGTGAGGACCTGGGCTCCTAAGTGGCAGAAGAGGAACAGTGAAGATCCGGGCTCCTAAGGATCAGAAACGGGGCCACGAAGACTCAGGTTCCTGAGGGGCAGAAGCAGACTGAGAAAATCTGAGTTCGGAAGGGAACAGAAGCGGGCAGTGAAGACGGGCTTCTGTGGGAATGGGATCTGGGCTTTGAGACTCCGAGTTCATGAGTCTCGGAACAGGGCTGTGAGGACCCGAGCTCCTAAAAGCATTGGATCTAAGGGACCATGGATGTGAGATCACCCTACAAAGGAAAGGGAAATGGCGGCCTACTTGGCTTTGGGCAGGCTTTTCTTGTGCCAGATACTCAATCTAGGAGGCCCACATGCAAGCATCTTCATTTTCTGCTTCATTCTTGGGAATCAGATGTAAAGTTGAAAATAGTTTGAACTGTTTGAACTCAGTTATATACTTGATAAGTTCTTTAAATCCCATTCCACTCAACCCTGATTGAGCACAGATCTCTGCATCTCAAATAAAAGAATGTCAGTGCAGGCCGGGCACGGTGGCTCACGCCTGTAAAACCAGCACTTTGGGAGGCCGAGGCAGGCAGATCACGAGGTCAGGAAATTGAGACCACGGTGAAAACCCGTCTCTGCTAAAAATACAAAAAATTAGACAGGCGCGGGGGTGGGTGCCTGTAGTCCCAGCTACCCGGGAGGCTGAGGCAGGAGAATGGCCTGAACCCAGGAGGTGGAGCTTGCAGTGAGCTGAGATCGCGCCACTGCACTCCAGCCTGGGCGACAGAGGGAGGCTTGGTCTCAGAAAAAAAAAAAAAGAGTATCAGTGCAAAACAAAAACAAAAATAAAAACTCTAGGAACCTGGGATCACAAATATTAAACAGACCTTTAGTGAAAGAGTAGACTCACTGAATAATTAAAGAGTATACAGACCCTTGACATTCATGAACATCCCCTCCCCAGGCCCATTTTGCAAATTCCCCAATTCACAAGTATCACACAGCATCTAATTTCCATCTGCCAGCTCAGCCTCGGCTCACCACTTGGCCACATGGTTGTCCACCAAAGCACAAACCCACTACATGGTATGACCCTCTAGGGCTGCTAGCAAATAGTTGAAATCACAATTGTTAAATTCACACATGCCAAGGAACTACTGTATCAAAAGCCAGAAGAGTGCATCACTCACCACGTGGGCTGCACTACTAAGCAGAAAAACAACTTTTATCTCATAAACTTTATGAGCACAGTTCACTATTACAAGAACATTGAAGACATTTCTCTAGTCTGTGTTCCCTTATTAAAATGTCTCTTTCCACAATGCTGTTCAAAGTTTATCCTTCATTTTTCCCAAGAAATCTCTCAGTGTACACTTGTGATCTAATTTTCCAAAGTTTAATTCATTTACTCATTCATTTATTCAATTTATTGAGTGTCTGCTATGACTAGGCATTATTCTAGGCACGAAGGATGAATCCATGGTGGGAAATAGACAATACCCAAAATTTAAAAATCGTTGCATAATGTGTTAAAAGTTGATACTACAATGGAAAAATGTAAGCAAGGAAGAGATTTAGGGAATGCTGGTTAAACTGGGTAGTGGTGCAGTTTTAAATAGGTAGTTAAGAAAGGCCTCAACGAGTGATAGTTGATCAAAGATTGAAAAGGGTAAGGAAGTGAGACTTGCAGTTATGTGAGAGAACAGCAAATGCAAAGGCCCTGAGGCAGGAAATAGCCAGGAAGATTACTGGAACATCAAGGAGGCCAGTAGGTGGTGCAGAGTGAGTCAGGAGGGCTGGAGATAAAATCAGAGAGGTGAAGGTAAAGGAGAGGCAGGCTGCTTTGGGTCTGGAAGGCTACTGTATGAAGGGCTTTAGTGCTTACTCTGAACAACTAGAAAGCCACTGGATGGTCTAAGCAATAGAGTGATACTTCCTCGAGCTTATAGTCTTTACCTAAGTCTCTGTCATTATATAAACATTTCCATTAAGGTGCTTCCTGAAACCTGCTTAGAAGGTCTTTCTGGGGCCACAACTAGTGTAGCACAGAGGTTACAGGTGGGGTCTGCTGGATCAGAATCCTACAGCACCATGTCAGAACTTGACCCAATCCTCTGCAGATCCAAAAATGAATCAACACACCTTAGGAGACTTCATCCCGAGGGTTCAGAGCCTTGACCTTGACTTCTGCCTTGTGAAGGTGCTGAGCAATGTTTCAGTGCTCATGACAAAGGCCAATCTGCATTAACTTGTTAATATAATCTTTATCAACTTCTGCCAAACTAGCTCCAAAGTTCATGACTCAAGTTGTTGCCACTTGAAACCTCGCCTACCTAAATCTGCCCCAGGGATGGCAACACGTAGTGCTAGAAGATGCCAAAGCAGATGATTAATATGTGGATATCATGAGAATAGCATAGAGCTTATTGTTGGTGTTTTTTTTTAACACCCACGATTCAAATTGATACCTTAAATAAAAAAGGAATACATTTAAAGTTGTTTTAAACTATGAGTTTTCTGATTCCATGGTTACACTGACTGCACTTTGGGGGAAAATGCCCTGAGCTTGTCATCCTTTGCCATAAGAATGACATCCCGTGTTTGGTTCTAGCCACTTGTTTGTACAAACAGGAGTGGTCCACATTGTGGAAGGACGTTACATCCCAATTTAAAAACACTGTCCTTCACAGTGGAAAGCAGTAAGGTGATCCTCAAAGAGTTAAAAGCAGAACTATCTACCATTCAACCCAGCAATTCCATTACTCGGTATATACCCAGAGGAATATAAATCATTCTACCATAAAGACGTATGCACATGAATGTTCACTGCAGCACTATTCACAATAGCAAAGACATGGAATCAACCTAAATGCCCGTTAATGACACTGGATAAAGAAAGGGTGGTACCAATATACCATGGAATGCTATGCAGCCATGAAAAAGAACAAGATCATGTATTTTGCAGGAACATGGATGCAGCTGGAGGCTATTATCCTCAGCAAACTAACCCAGGAACAGAAAACCAAATACTGCATGTTCTCACTTGTAAGTGGGAGCTAAATGACAAGAACTTATGAACACAAAGAAGGAAATAACAGACACTGGGGTCTACTTTAGCGGGGAGTGTGGAAGGAGGGAGAGGAGCAGAAAAGACAACTATTGGGTACTGGGCTTAATACATGGGTGATGAAATAATACGTGCAACAAACTCCCATGACATGCGTTTACCTATGTAACAAACCTTCACATGTACCCCCAAAACCTAAAATAAAAGTTAAAAAAAATAAATAAAATAAAATAAAAACACTCTCCTTAACTCTGAGAGAAAAAAGACACCCATAAGACATAACTATCTAATGTGACACATGGGTTGAGATGCTAATTCAAACAAATCAACTGTTTAAAAAACTATTTTGAGACAATCAAGAAAGCTTGGATATTAATTGGGTATTAGACGGTACTAAGGAATTATTATTAATTGTATTAGGTATGATAATGGTGGTGAGGTTATATATATTTTTAATGTCTTTAGAGGCATATGTCAGAGATGTTGCAGGTTCGGTTCCACTCCACCACAATAAAACAAATATCACAATAAAGCGAGTCACATGAAATTTTTGTTTCCCAATGCATATAAAAGTTACGTTTATACTACACTGTTGTCTATTGTGTGCAATAGCATTATGTCTAAAAAATGCACATACCTTAATTTTAAAATTCTGTATTGCTAAAAAATGCTAACAATCACCAGAGCTTTCACCAAGTTGTAATTTTTTGCTAGTGGAAGGTCTTGCCTCAACTCTGATGGACAATAAAGTTTGCCTCATCAATTGATTCTTCCTTTCACAAAGTATTTCTTTGTTGCATGCATTGCTGTTGAACAGCATTTTACCCACAGTAGAACTTTTTCCAAAATTGGAGTCAATCCTCTCAAACCGTGCTGCTACTTTATCGACTAGGTTTATGTAATATTCTGAATCCCAATCCTTTGTTGTCATGTCAACAATGTTCACAGCATCTTCACCAGGAGCAGATTCGATCTCAAGAAATCACTTTCTTTGCTCATCCATGAGAAGTGACTCCCCATCCATTCAAGTTTGTCATGAGGTTGTAACAATTCAGTCACTTCTTCAGGCTCCACTTCTAATTCTAGTTCTCTTGCTATGTCCATCACTTCTGCAGTTACTTTCTCCATCGAAGTAATGAATCAAAATCACCCATAAGGATTAGAATCAACTTCCTCTTAAACTTCTGTTTCTGTAGATATTTTGGCATCCTCCCATGAATCATAAATGTTTTTAATGGCATCTAGAATGGTAAATCCTTTTCAGAAGGTTTTCAATTTACTTTGCCCAGACCCATCAGAGAAATCACTATTTATGACAGCTATTGCCTTACAAAATGTGTTTTTAAATATAAGACTTGAAAGTCGAAATTACTCCTTGATCCATGAGCTGCAGAATGAAAGTTATTTTAGCACACATAAAAACCACCATTCATCTCCTTGTACCTCTTTATCAGAGCTTTTGGGTAACCAGGCACTTTGTCAATAAGCAGCAAAATTTTGAAAGTAGGTCTCAACGGTGAGCTTAAAATATTCAGTAAATCATGCTATAAACAGATGTACTGTTATCTAGGCTGTGCTGTTCCATCTTCAGAGCATAGGCAGAGGAGATTTAGCATAAATCTTAAGGGTTGTTTTCACTTTCTTGTCATTGGTGTATTCACTGGAGTAGCACTTCTAATTTTCTTCAAGCACTTTTCCTTTGCATTCACAACTTAACTAACGATTGCGGCAAGAGGCCTAACTCTTGACCTATCTTGGCTTTTGAGATGCCTTCCTCACTAAGCTTAATCATTTCTAGCTTTTAACTTAAAGTGAGAGACGTGCTACTCTTCCTTTCACTTGAACACTTAGAGGCTCTTGTGATGTTTCTGCAGAAAAGTGAGCTTCCCTGTGATCCTAGAAGAATAAAAACTCTCCAAAAACTAATACAGTCCCTTGTATTACTAGACATTGATGGGATACAAGGGAAAAGAAGAAGAAGGATGTTCCCAGTGACAGCATAGTCCCTTCTTGCCAAACACAGGATACCTATTTTTCCCAAGGAAGTAATATTACATTTGTTGCTTAGGTTCCAAGGCCAACTCACAAAGTTCAATTTTCTGAAAATGTGGCCAAATTATAGAAATAATAATAAAATTTAATATAATAAGTGCTTTATATGAATTATTTAAGCTTGACTACTCGTCAATGAAATAGCTGCTACTATTATCATCCCCCTTTTACAGATGATAAAACTGAGATTTAAAGATGCAAGCAAGTTGTCAAGTTCACACAGCTACTAAGTGATACAACCCATATAGATTATTAGCTCACAGTATCAAAATTACTAATAATATTATAGTGCTAATAGTACTGTTTTAGGTATATTATGGGTGAAATAGATTTGTACGGATTTGAATGGGTCTGGAACACTAAGCACCATTCTAATATTGCTTTCTACAGTGAAATACATTTTGAGTTTCAAACAACTAAATAATAAATATAAAGTGATGGCATTCCAAAATTAAGTTGGAAGCAGCACACGTATTTGTTTAGAAAGGTCATCAAACAAGTGACTGAAATTAGAGCATAAATACCAGTGTTACCTCTAATAGATAATCACAAATAAAATTAACCATAACCAGTTGAGACAAACCAACTCTAAGAAGAAATTACATACGCATGTTGTCTAAGGTAACTTTTTGCATTTGCTTTTCTCATTATCTCAAAACTCCATTATTTGGATAAACACAGACCTCTGAAGACCAAAGTAAAACATCACTCACTTCTTAAAGAGCTGTTCAGTATCATGACATCTCCCTTCTGGAGATTTGGGACTTGCTTATGAACTATTACCTACTTGGATCACTTTACATGCCACTATTAAAAAAGAAAGAATTATTTCTTCTTGTAAATATCAGAAGAAAAGTCCCATTGCCAAGAAGAGTCTTAGAAAAAGCAAAGATCACTTTCCCTACACTCTCCATTTGTTTTAACTTTCACAGTCCCCCCAGCTCACTAGCTTCAGCCAAAGCCAAAAAGGAAGAAAAGCCAAAAGCAGTGCATGTCAGACTGTCACTACCACATTCCAGCCTTGATGAAGACCTCAGAGTCTGTTTTGTAAGTCTTCCTGCCTCTGCTTCCAGTTCTATAAAAACCAACAGTCAATCAGGAAATGCCAGCTAAGTACATATGATGCCACTCTTATACCAAATAGAAGTGATGACCAGCTGAGAGTTTCCTATTTCTGTTACAGTCATAGAATCATTTTTGTTTACAATGGTCTTTGAAAAGCAACCATATAATAAGCATCTACAGATAAAAACTACTCTCTAAGCTACATAAATGCCATTTCGTTGTTGGTGGTTTGTTTTTGTTTTTGTTTTTTGAGATGGAGTCTCACTCTGTCACCCAGGCTGGAGTGCAGTGACACGATCTCAGCTCATGACAATCTCCACCTCCCAGGTTCAAGCAATTCTCCTGTCTCAGCCTCCCAAATAGCTGGGATTACAGGCACACACCACCACACCCAGCTAATATTTTGTATTTGTAGAAACGGGGTTTCACCATGTTGGCCACGCTGGTCACAAACTCCTGACCTCAGGATCGCCCACCTCAGCCTCCCAAAGTGCTGGGATTACAGGCGTGAGCCACCACACCCAGCCCATAACTGCCATTTTGTTAGTACCCAAATCATTTATTGCTCCATTATACTGCTGATTTGCACTGTTTTATCATTAGAGCTGACAGCCCATTCATTAGTAGAAACATATTATTCAGTCTCAGTAAGGATTAAATTGCTTTAAAAAAAAACTTTAATGTCAAAGCAAATCTAAAGTGGTATTTCTTGCTCAATTCTTATTCTCCACATCTTGTCCCACTCACACAGTTTCTTTAAAACAAAATTAGTAAAGAATTTTTATAAAGTGAATGTAATTCAAGTTACCAACTCTCTAAGCCTCCATTTTCTCATCTGAAAAATGGACTTAGTAATACCCACATTGTTCAGTTGTGGAGAAGCTATGGGATAACAGACACAAAAGCACCCTGCGTGGTAGATACTTAGCATAGAGCAGGTAGACAAGGCACGTAGCTAGTATTGTCATGCCGCAAGTCCTTAATTTCTCCCAGACAGGCACAAGTTCATAAAGGTCAAATTGCTGCCACCTGGCACAAGTTTATGACGGTCACATTACTAGCAACTGGCGGAGAGAGAATTCAAACCCAGCTCTGACTCCAATGCTCCATGCCATGCTCCCTCCTCAGCATGGAGCAGGAGGGATAACCAGATAGCCTTCCAAAGTCTTTTCTAAGCTTATTAGTTCCAAGGTGGAAGCCAAAAATAAAGGATAAGAGGAGCTTCCCTCTTTTGAACCTTGCAGGGAATCAAGGAAAGAAATCATCAAGCATGTGCCTCTTGATATATCAGAGGTCAAATTTCTCAACTTGTTGATAATAGTCAGAGGACTAACTGGGCACATGGCTGAGGCATGGAAATGGGCCAGCTGGGCATTTTTGAAAGGTGGTCACCCTGGGAAATACAGACCTGTTTGTGTAATGTTTTTGACAAGAATAAAACTTAAAAATGACCCCAAATGCCAATTTTTAAAAATCAGAATAAAAGAAACATTAAAAATAGAAGTGACAGAGGAATGAAAGCAAGAAAAAAATGTTATTTCAGTTAACACATCTTTGGTAAGAACTAATTTTCTGAAATGAATGGTTTCTTAAATAGAAATGATAGCTGGGAGTTGTGGCTCACGCCTGTAATCCCAGCACATTGGGGGGCCAAGGTGGGTGGATCACTTGAGGCCAGGAGTTCGAGACCAGCATGGCCAACATGGTGAAACCCCGTCTCTACTAAAAATACAAAAGTTAGCCAGGCCTGGTGGTGCACGCCTGTAATCCCAGCTTCTTGGGAGGCTGAGACAGGAGAATTGCTTGAATCCGGGGTGGGGGCGGAAGATGCAATTAGCCAAGATCACGCCACTGCACTCCAGCCTGGGCGACAGAGCAAGACTCCATCTCAAAAAAAAAAAAAAAAAAATAGAAATGACAAAGTTGGTAGACAAGCAATAATAATTTATTTTGTTCGGTAAAACAACTGACTCTGTACAATGCATTACAGAATTATCAATAATGATAATTATATGTATCGTTTGTTGAGCACCCACTGTTTGCTAGCCCCTTTGGGACGGTTCACTTGTGATCATCACGGCAGCACACACCCAGTAGTTACCACTAGCTCCACTTTACATAGGATGAAACACAGTCCCATAATCATAAAGTTAATGTCCTGAGGTTACAGAGTCTAAAAGGGAAGAGATGGAAATTCACACTTAGATCTGTCTGACTCTAAAACCCATGCTCTCCTTACTGAATGTGAAAGTGCCTGGCACAGGGTTCATTTGACACTGCCACCCTCCTTATGAACCTGGGAAAGGAACGAGGTGGATGGAGCCTTCCTGGAGGATCAGACCCTTCCTGGAGGATCAGTGGAAGAGCATCACCTTCTCCTCAAGAATCAAATGAATAGTGCTTGAAATGGTGAAACTGAGAGTAGAGTATTATTTGAAATGAGTGCTATTATGACAATAAGGTGTTTTGAAAGCATAACCATCTGCACCTTGGACAGGACCAGAACACAAAGTTCTTAGTAAAACAAAACAAGAAAAAAGCAGTCAGGAGCGAATTAATAAATTCAGGGGAAATAAAGAAACCCAGCTGTGATGTTTTAGTCTACCCTGTACTATCAACAAGATTGAGGAGAGGACAGAAGGATGGACTAAATGACATTTGTGATCCAACATTTGTGATACCGTTGTAATAGCATAGGGTATTACTTTGAAGATACTCAAAGAGTTACACACAATTTATTTATTCTCTCAGCATGCCTAGTTGCTAATAAGATAAGTAACATATTGACTCTGGGTTAGAGATCAGATAATTCAGACAAAAAGTCCTAAGCACACTAGGAAATCACAGCAAAAGCAAAATCATAACCCAAGTTGCCAGTATAGAATGCATAAAGCTGCATAATGCATAAAGCTACTACTGCATCAACTGTGAATCCTCATGGTTCTAAACCAGGGTTGGAGTAAGTTTCAAGTGGGTGGAGATGCCCCTCACTCCTGGGAGCTGCCAGGCAGGGCCAGGCAGAGCCCAAGCCCCAGGCCAAAAGATGTCCAGACTGTTTACCCAGTGTACCATGCAAATATTATTATTTACTGAGCACTCTGTGACATGAAAAAGATTCAGAAACATTAGTAAATAAATCTATTATTTCACCAACTTTCTTTTTTTGCTCAGATCATGTGCCTTATTGAATCAATTTAAGTACACAGCAAAAAATAAACACAGAACTCAACAAAACAAAATCAAAAGCCCGCAAGAGTAAAGATATGGGACAGTTTTATGTACGTAGGATAGGGTACGAGTGGTGGCGGGACCACATCCCTGACTTCTGGGTTATATACAAGGGTCATATATCCTGTCTCTCTGCCCCATCAGCCTTTGCCATGATGATGCGTTTATGGAAAACAGAATTGAGATCACCAACTTTCTTGATCAGGAAATGCTAACATGTACCTGGAAATCCTAGAAAATCCACAATGTAACTGAAGTTGCTTTAATTATCATTCCCTTTCAAACCTCTTCCCTCCCTACAGGGCCATTAGCCAGCGTCATCCTAGGCTGAGGATGACACACTTCTGAAGTGTTGTATACGGGGCTGTGTAAACCAAGTTAGGAGGCCACAGCTGGGAGCACTTCTATACCCCTCGGTACAGGATCAGTTCATGCCAAAGGTGTAGCCTGTGCACAGTTCAGTTCTCCACACAAAACCCCAGTACATCTGGGTACCTGGGGGCCATGTCAAGAAAAATGATTGGGATGCTAAGTGGCCAACTGAACAAGCATAAAAATATTGCAAGGGAGCAGCCTACGTAGGGTGTAGAGAACAGGGAGTGTCTTGTCAGCTCAGGCTGCTATAACACAACATCATAGACTGGGTGGCTTAAAGAACAGACATTTATTTCTCACAATTCTGAAGACTTGGACGTCCAAGATCCAGGTGCTAGCTGATTCCGTTCCTGGTGAGACCTTCCTTTCTGGCTTGCAGAAGGCCACCTTCTTACCATGTCCTCCCATGGCCAAAAAGAGATCATCTCTCGCATGTCTCTTCTTACAGGGGCACTAATCCCATTGATGAGGGCTCCACCCTCATAACCTAATTACCTCCCAAAGGTCTTACTTCCAAATATCATCGTACTGGAAATTAGGGCTTCAACTTATGACTCTGGGTGGGGGTCAGGGTGGATACAGACATTCAGTCCATATCAGGGAGATTTTCTTCTCACCTTTTCATCTTTTACTCTATCAATATACATCAAGGTGCACAATCATAATGACAGCCACAGAAATGACTCTTAATAAAGAGCAATTAGTATGCCATGAAAACTCAGTACTCCAGTAAGATCAAATTGTGTGGTGACAAAAGAGTCCCCTGCTTTCAAGCCCACCAGCCTGAAAGCAGAGCTTTCTTGTGTTTTAGTCTCAAAAATAAGAACAGAGGCTTCTCTATGTCTGCTTTACCAGCTCCTTGTAACATGTCAAGAGTGGCACTCATGAGCCAATACTTTATGAGGTAAAATCCAGCATTATTTCTAGTAATGACAATAAAGGAAGGGACAAACAGATGCAAATCAGCAACACCCTGTATGCAGGAAAATACAGAATTCTGAGTTATCATCAGGTCTTATGCAGTCATGCATTGGTAAATGACAGGAAACATTCCAAGAAATGCATCGTTTGTCAATTTTGTCATTGTGTGAACATCAGAGAGGTTCTCACACAAACCTAGATGGTACAGCCTCTTACACACCTAGGCTATGTGGTATAACCTATTGCTCCTAATCTACAAACCCATACAGCACATGACTGTACTGAATACTGTAGGCAATTATAATACAATAGTAAGTACTTGTGTATCTAAACATAGAAAATGTACAGTAAAAATACAATAATATAAATTTATGGGACTGCTGTCATATATGTGGCCCATCATTGACCAAAACATCGTTATGCAAGGAATGACTGTATTTACTTCTCTCACCTTTGGACACTTTCCCCCAGCAACAGAGGAGCTTTAGCCTCATGGTAATCACTCTGCTCAGCTCCCTAGTACCTATCCCATGCCAGTTTATTTAATGTGACCTGGCCTACCCAAAACTAAACCTGCTACCCTATTCACACACACACGTGCACACACACAAACGCGTGCACACAGGAAATGTCATTGCCATTGTGGAATATGGCCCACCTCATCTCATTCATCTAGTCTCAACCTTCCCCTCACACTTTCATATCCCATGGTTCTCCAACCCCATTGTGCCTCTGTCCTGTGGATTCCAACTCTGGTCTTAGTGACCATCTGGTTTTTCTCATTTCTGGTGAGCCCCTCTGACAGCAGGTCAGCACTGGTATTCACCCTCTGCTCCCAGCAAGGGCAACCCCCACCTTCTGCCCAGCTCCAGAGGCCTGGGCCTCTTCCTGGCTACTCTCCCAGTCAGACATAATTCTGCCTAGATCCATTCCTGATCCTGAGGATTCAACACAGGATGGTGACTACATTAAAACTAACCCCGAATCTAACCAAGTGAGAAACCTAAGCTCAGTGAACAGCCCATTAGAGAAAAAGCCAGAGGGTTCCAAACCCCAGAATAGTAACAATAGAGATAAAGAACTCAAAATTTTAGGGGAAAATTAGACAATTTTAAAATTAGACCTAAATTATTCTTTCAGACAGAAGACAGAAAGCTGGAATGACTCTTTGAGGGCAGACACACTTGTACAAGCCAAGGCTGGAAGGTTAGATTTTCTTAGATGGCATCTTAGTTGTCTTCACACACAACCAGTGAGACATCCTCACAGTTGGCTGGCTTCCTTGGTGAGGGAGCACTGCAATCATCACATCCGTGAATTTGGTTGTAAATCTTACAAACCCTGTCTTAGGTAATTCTAAAAAAAATCCCTGGTTTTTAGCGTCTAATTTTCCTTCGCTGCAAGAGCCAAAGTTCATTTTTGCACAACTCCAGGCCTGACAGTCATCACCATGTGGCTTTGATAAGCTCCATAAAGCATTATAAGCTGTTCACACACAAAAAAAAAAAAAAAAAAAACAGATAAATTCAAGTGACACTATTACTAATGTGTTTACTCTCAACTTATGGGGGACATGACTTTAAATTGTCAAATGTTCCATCTTCTTAGCAATAAAGATTTGTGAAAAATCTGTCCACCAAATTAGGGCAGAGCTCCAACACTTCAGGTTTTTGCTCAGATTCATTGGGGAGCTGTTAAACATACCCACATTTTTAAAACTTCAGAGTGCAGCAACATTGAGGTCACTCCTAAAAACTGGTATATTCGCAATTAGGATGGACAGAAATTTATTGTTAGTAGTTTGTGTTACAGACCCAAAGTATCCTTCTACCTCCTGGTAAAAACAACCTCATGGTGTGAGCTATCATATACCATTTTGATATCTTAATTTTGCAAATTATTTGGAGTTTCACAGGTAATATATAAAAAATTCTCTATGTTAAATAAAGTATGGTGATGACAGACCTAAATTTACAGAATACAGAATCATAGGAGAATCACTATGTCTTTATATTGTTAAAAGCAAATAAAAGATAAATCTTTTCTGAATCTGCCAAAAGCCTAAAATCTGTAGGAGTAAGTAAAGGAAAAGACAAAAGGTAATTATAAAAAGATAAACTGTTTTGTGAAGGTATTTTGTGGTAAAAGTATATGCAGTCACCCTGTCATACAACGATATTATTTGAAAGCAATCTAACAACCACATGGATCTGTGCAAAGGAATAAATGTTGCCAAGACAAATTACAAAGAAAAACATTCTGAATGCGAGTTTTCTTTGTCATATTTTGGCTCGAAGTCTTTTCACATTTTTCAGACAATTCTTTGGAAATTCTGAGTAGCAAATATTTTTTCTCTATCACTTTTCATCTTTATAACTGCAGCTGCATGCCTCCAGTTCAGCTCTCCTGGACAACTTCTTATTGAGTACCTACTCTGCATCAGTCCATGCTAGAGACTGATGACATAAAAAATGAATAAGATACAGACACTTCATTCAGGAGATTACAGACTACTGAGGTAGAAAAATATATAAACATAACAACATAGCTTCAACCTCCAACAAATATACTTTTTCAAGATTTAAAAGAGATTCTTCTGATCATTTTGTTTACACAGTGTTCCCAGTAACAAGAAGAAAGCCTTCTCCTTAGTTGTGTTAATTTCCCTAAGATTTTCCTTGGGGTAAGTGTGGGGAATGGAAGGACAGATGGAGAAAGAGAAATCACAAATAACATGTTATTTTGTGAGAAATAACCGATAAGAAAATGTTTCCTGAAAAATTACCAAAGATTATGCATTTTAACACATACAATGCATTGCCCACAAACTAAAGTTTCTCAGAGAAGACATTTACTTTCTTCAACATTTCTGGCAACTGTTACTTTGGTTCTAGAAATACATTAAGTATGTTTAAGTCATCATGTTTTTTGACAGATTGCATAGATGCTGTGATTTCTCCTTAAATTAGATAATGGCTATTAAACAGCCAAGAAGGATAATGGTAAACACACCCTTGCTTACTGCCTAGAAAATTACACAGGGGGTTGCAGCTCCTGCTTGCCCAAAGGAAGCAATCATTGACTATCCCTACAATACCAGCAGTGCTCAGGCCAACATGCAGGTGAGCTCAGGGCGACACCCAGGGCTACTCAGATGGGCACCCCATTGGTGTCCACACTGGTAGTTACAAAAAGCACCAGAAATATGTGATATCATTGCCAGCATGGCAGGCTTCAAAAGACAGGCAACTAAGGTGAAAAGCAAAAGGAAAAAAGAGATAAACATGGTCACAGCGTTCTCCGGAAAAGTGTATAAATGTTCAATTCTCAGAGACTTTCATGGTTAGACCACAAAAAGCACTGGAACAGTCCCTCCAAATAACATACAACCAAATAAAAATAATAATGATGAAATAAAATACAGTGCTAAAATCTCCTGAAAACTGTAAATAATAGTTAATCCAAAAATACATCATAATTTATTTTTCCAATTTTTAAGCATAACTCACCACAATAGCAAAGTCAGCTACCTTTAAAACCTAGGTTTTAAAGGTATTTCTCACAATACTCAGGAAGTATTTCTCACAATAATCAGGAAGGAAAAAAATAAATAGGTCTGAAAATCAGAGATTGAGCAATTTGAGTCCAATTGATATGCAACTGCAGAGTACTAACAGATTGAAATGCTCATAATTTTCTGAAGAAAGATACAATAAAATGAAAATCTCCAAAATGCATTACAGGTAGCTACTGGTACTCATATTTTATGATACATCTTTATTAGCTGCAACAATGTGATCTAAGTGTTGTATTCAAAAGAAGAAGAAAAGAAAGGTTTCAAGCCTCAGCACCTGTGAACCTCAGACACCCTTCACTTGACCCTGTTCTTGCAACATCCTTGTAGAATTCTGTTTCTAAATGTGTCTGCCCTGTCTCCCCCAGTAGACTGTTACACATTAGGGAGGAATGTGCCCTGCTGCTTCTTTTTTCCAAGATCCTAACAGAGTGCTCAATAGATGACTATGAAATAAAAATGCCACTGTTCATTTCAAAAGTTAGACATAATACACTGTAGCCAATAGCACAGATAGTATGAGGGTCCTTTTGATTTGCATATTATATTGAGCATGGGGGGAAAAAATATGTGCCCTTGTCATATAAAGTAACTTATGCCACACTTATTCTGATCATGCAGAATAAACTACAAAGGCAAGAAAATTTGACACAAACTTTCTGAAGACTTTCAGCATTGCATAAAGAGCATAAAGCCATTCTAAAGATCAGGTTTCTAGCGTAACCAAATTTGTCTCTATAACCAAATATTCCAGCTGATTGCTAGCCAATTTCAAGTCTGGAAACTCAAGGAAAAAAAAACTGAGAAATATTCATCTCATGTCAAACCTTTGGTCCTGGCTCAAGAATTACACTCAAGTGAGGGTCACGTGAATATCATCTAATGTCCTCAAGAGATGGTATAAATGGTGTGGGACACTGATTCAGGCATCTTAGAACCCAACTTAACTAGGTTAACTTGTTTTTCATACAATCATAAAAAGAAAGGTGATTTAAAATAGAAGAGTCCAGATGACAACAATAAAAGAAAAGGCCGTAATGGGAAAGAAAACCATAATTAATAAATCATTAAATGAGATTATGAGATTTTAATACCAAAAAAAAAGGCTTGCTTCTACACATTCTAATGTAGGCCCCTTTTAATATAATGTGATAAATTGTGTAATACCACATTTTATTTCCAATTATTTTTTCATTTTACAGATAATGATTAGCCAATAATATATCTGGATACCTGTAATAGTAACATTGTTTTATTATATATATATATATTTTTTTTTTTTTTGAGACGGAGTCTCACCCTGTCGCCCAGGCTGGAGTGCAGTGGTGCGATCTCAGCTCACTGCAAGCTCCGCCTCCCGGGTTCACACCATTCTCCTGCCTCAGCCTCCTGAGTAGCTGGGACTACAGGTGCCCGCCACCACACCCGGCAAATTTTTTTGTATTTTTAGTAGAGATGGGGTTTCACCATGTTAGCCAGGATGGTCTCCATCTCCTGACCTCGTGATCCGCCTGCCTCGGCCTCCCAAAGTGCTGGGATTATAGGCATGAGCCACCACGCCCAGCCAACATTGTTATATTATTATAATTTGTCAAAGGAGGAGAGCAGCCAGGCACAGTGGCTCAGATCTGTAATCCCAGCACTTTGGGAGGCCAAGGCAGAGGGATGGCTTGAGCCCAGAAGTTTGAGACCAGCCTGGGCAACAAGCAAGACCCTGTCTCTATAAAAACTAAAATTAGCTGGGCAAGGTAGCACGTGCCTATAGTCCCAGCTACTCAGGAGGCTGAGGTGGGAGGATCACGTGAGCCTAAGACGTGCAGACTGCAGTGAGCTATGATTGCACTACTGCACTCCAACCTGGGCAATGGAATGAGCCCCTGTCTCCCCGAAGAAAAAGGAGGAAAGCCTTCCAAAAATTTCCTAAACTCAAATGAAAATAAAGAGGAAAAAACAGAATTCAAGCATTAATATTTTTCTACACAAAGAAAATAAGCCTTCATGCAGTTCTTAGAAATACAAATTAACTTGAAAAACCATGAAGTAATTGATGGAGAATGTGAAGTAGCAAATTTTGCATCACTTCCAATACTTCCTTTACCACTGCAGAAAAATTATCATCTAAGGCTATCTGATTTCAATATTTTAAAGTGTATTTCATAGTCAAGTGACTTCATTTAGTTTTTTTGTAAACAAGTGAAAGTTAAATACCCACCAAATGTTGGGAAATCATAGTTGTTAAGATCAACAGTAATTTGCACCTATAGATATACTTTGCTTTAAGGATATGGAAGCACATGCTATAAATTTATCCTCACACATGCTTACAGATTTTTAAATTGTTCTAATTCTGAATTAATAAACATAGAAATATTCTATGCAGGAAGACCATCTGTCTAGACATACTAAAGCAGATGAAACATTTCCAGGAGACTTCAGACTAGTGTCAATAAAACAAATCGTCAATTCTCATTTATTCAAGGGACCATAGTGTTTGGAATAGAGCCAACACCTCATTTCTTCTTATTGTCCTTTCAGCTGCCAGTATCTTATCTATCTTATGAGCAGGCATCACTTCAGAAATGATGACAAAATTAAAATTATTCAGTTGAGACAGGTGGTACTGTTCTCAATATACACTACAGTATTTGATTTTCCATTACAACCTTATAAGATTACTAGTACCATTATGCTTATTTTACAGAAGAGGAGCACATGGATGTCAAGTGAATTCCCCAAGACCACAGTCATAGTAGCAAAGTAATATGATCGTCCAAGCTGATTCCAGAGGCTGAATACTTAACCACTGCATGATTCGCTTGCAGTAGATGATTATAGTAGAGGAAATGAAACCCCAAACCAATCACTAGGGTCGGAAACCTCTCCTTCTAAAATAATAATAATAATAATAATAATAATCAAAATGAATGTGAATTTCATCAGTGAAATGGTTCCAACTACTGGTTTTAATGAGATTCACAGATTATTGACAGATTTCAACCCATATATTCAGCCCCAGGCCCTCAGTTATAATTCGGAGTTAACAGTTTGATCTTTCTTGCTTATCTTCTTACACATTTGTCAAGTCTAATATATATTCATAAAGCATTATACTCAGAACTAAACAGTTTTGAACTCCACTGTATTGTACTATTTTATTCTTTATCAATGACCTGTTTTCAAATTACTGAAGTTGAGCAAAATTCTCAAAATTATGGAAGGCTTCTTCCTAGATAAGCACTTATAAAATTCTGACATTATAAGCCAATAATTCTTAACATTTTGGGGGGCCATGAGCCTTTTGGAAATCTGTTGAAAACTGTGAATTGTAACCTAAAAATAAAATGGATATATGAATATATAATTTAAATGTGGCTATAGTTTCATGAGATTATTGAACACTCACACCTCAAAGACCAACAATGAACTTCAATTAAAATACCCTAGTCTTTTGGTCTTGTTTTCCATATTTAATGATTCTCTTATATTCCAATACTCCTTTAAATATCAGCCTTCCCCTAATGAGTTATAATCATGATCTTATTTGCAAAATTTCACAGAAAATGTGGTCTTATTAACAAAGATTAAATTAGTATACAAACTTACAGGAAAATAACTACTTTGCTTATGGAAAGAACTATAGAGAGGCAAAGAATTATCCTACTTCCCAAATGCGTTCTACGACATAGTCAATGAGCAATTTCCCACAAAAAGGCTATCAAAGCACTCATGTTTGAATGTGAGCTAAATTACAAATGCACAATTAAAGTTGCCTTATCCTTATGGGCATACCCTCTCTAGATCTGATAGTAAGAAAGTCCCATGACTGATGGTAGATAAAATAATCTTGATCATTACCTTTCCAAATTTAATGTACTGTAGTTAAATAGCCATGTTCACTGGTTTTGACTGCATCATTGCACTTTCTGATCTTTCTGATAAGAGAAAAACATTAGATTTTTTGGAGGTGATGTCTTGCAGCTGACAGGCTCTCATTTTATTTTCATTCAAATTTTGGAGGAGTCAATAGCTAGAAACTGACCTTTTGTTTTGTGGTCCATAAGGGAACCTAGTCAGTATTAAATATTAAATATTTGTGTGTATGCCCCAGTTTCAGTAATGTCATAAATATGCTGGACATACTTCTCCAGAAAAAAATAAATATATATACAAATTCTGTATACAACAATATCGAGGGGTTTCTCTGAAGCCCAGCTGTGGGTCTCAAACTTCATGATGAAGAAGATATACCTGCATTCAATAGACAAGTGTTTAGCTGACACTTCTGATTTGGGGGATGGGGGGGCCTTACCTCCTTAAAATGACATGGAAGAAATCTAACTCTGCTCTGCCTTTAAAGATGTTAATCGTATGCAAAGAAACAACATTCATCAGAAATAATCACCATAGCATTCTCTTTGTTATCTGGTGGGTTTCTCAAAGCATAAAGGGATTGACTGCTCTCAAAGTAAGGTCCTGGCTCTTTTCTATTTCAAAGGTTGAGAAGCTGAGGGATGGGGAGCCTTCTGCATCTGCCACAGTGACTCCATCCTGCATCTCTCCAGAGAGCTAATCAGTAGATATTCTGACGCTGGCAACACAAACAAGCTGGGAATTAGTCTGGCTAATGTAGGTATTGTCTGCTAGGACAGTCACCACCTACCTTGTAAATTCTAACCCACCTCCTTCCTAAAGGTCCTGTCACACCATCACCCATGACCTCAGTCTCCTCAGGATGTATGCGTTAAATCCAGTGTTAAGATGTACGTGTTAACCCCAGTGTTAGCCATCTTATTCCATATTTATTTTGTCTACATTAGCCTCTCTCATTGTCTTTCT
Organism: Homo sapiens; assembly: GCF_000001405.40. Taxonomy (NCBI): domain Eukaryota; kingdom Metazoa; phylum Chordata; class Mammalia; order Primates; family Hominidae; genus Homo; species Homo sapiens. The sequence continues at coordinate 71,204,878 of NC_000004.12, read as the reverse complement.
TGTTCTCTAGTTGTTTTATATAAGTTCATCCTCAATATATGTCATACAGTGCAACTATACACTGTTAGACATATACATGGTCTATATTCATTATTCCTCAGGCTCCAAGGTTAAGTTAGACTAGAAAAACTATTGTTTAAAATGATTCATTTCTTTAATATATTAAAGTTGTTTTTGAAATGTGATTTTTTTTCCACTTAAAGTTATCTTTATCCCTCCTAGTTCCACCAGGTTTTCTGCATGCTGTATTTACTAGTTACAAAGAGACTATACTAATAGCAAAGACTAAACTTGCTAATATTTAATATTCCATTTTAAAAAATAGTATTGCAAAATGATGAACAGGCAAAAGTAAGATGAAAAGTGAAACCTGTATGGAAACAAGAAGAATAAAAAGTTTTCAAGTACTCAACATCCTTGGTAACTTTTCCCATGACCCTGTGATTGGAAACCAGGACATCATTTAAAATGCTGGTCACCTTGGAAAGCAAAGACACCTCTAAAAATAAAAATCAACATTTCCAGACTCTGTCATAATGGCTTCCTGGTAAACAGAAAGACATGCTTGCTATTCTACGCCCACATGGGGGTTGTGGCAATTAATTATTTAACATTTGGAAAGTGCTTTGAAGATAAGAAGCTAAGTGCTAAAAATCATCATCAATTTTCAGGAAACCACACTTAAAGTGAACCCACCAGGTTTATTGTTGGAAACTGAACCATTAGCATAAGGACATGTTTTCTTTTTCCATTTCATTTAGACCATTAGATCAAATAGCCAACACCGCATGGAATCTTCCTCTCCTTTTGATAAACCTTTGAGTGACCTGTGGGTGAAAAACTACTTGGTTTTCAGAGAAAATATAAATTCTAATAACATGGCTTTTCTGGAATTTACAGTGTTTCGCTTATTAGGTATCTTTCCTCTTCTGCCTTTTACTTAAATTACATAATAAACAGTGAGTTTACTAAACATGTCACATGTAAAACTTTGTGAGTGATTAAAATCTAGTTTAATATACTTCTACTAACTAGTTATCATTTAAGCAAACATTTATTCAGGTGTCCCTGACCGCATTACATTTACATATTTAGATGAACAATCCCAAGACTTGATTAACCTTTATACTCTAAATGAAAGTAATAAGCCATTCTATTTAAATAAACAAGTGTTTTGGATCAACAGATTTTCCTTCTTACAATATGTTCTGGTTTGCATTTATTCATTTAAAAAACTTAGGTCAATGGCCCAAGATTGAGAAATGCATGTTTTTCGCCAAGGTATAACTAAAATCCACATAAAAACCTACCTACATGCATGCTAACAAAAAAGAGGGCATTAAGTGGTTTTTAAATTGGGAGTCATGAGCAGGACCCTCTGCAAAGTCATCACACAGTAACTGTGGCTGGCTTCGGATTAAATATACAAGAGTAGAAATTTCACCTACACCCATTTTGGACACAATACATAATTTTGTCCAAAATATTATTTTTACTTCACTATCTCTTACGCAGTGAAAGATCATCTATACCAATGTCATAATTTCAGGTTTTTGAGAATTAAAAGCTACACTAGCATTATCTTCTTGGATATAGAGTTGTTTCCCATTAAATCAAGCTCAACAATGTTTCTCTAAAAAGAGGGTTTATGTATTTTAATCCCCTAAATACACAGTTTTAAAAGTCATCTTTCTAAAAGGAGAAAGGACTTGTTATGCAATACATTGTTACCACTCATCATATATAAACATTAATACATTTTTACACATCTAGTAGTCTACCTCAAATCTTTTATCCATATTCACTCTTCCCAAACACCACCCTCCGCCAAAATGTGGAACTAAAATCTTAAATGTGTTATATATTCTTAGTCTCAATAGGAAAAAAAACGTTAGCTGGTTGCTGAAGTGAGAAGATTTCCATTAGGTTCTTGGCTCACATAACAAAAGTAACCATGGAATTCTGCATAGAACCCACAACAGATTGCTCAACTCAGAAACAAGGTTAATGTCTAAGAAAGTTAAGCTAAAACAAAATTTCTTGTTGACAGCTTGATGATTACTGTGTATTCCATGTAATCCTCATTTTCTACAGATCATCATATAATAAATATGTAGATAAATTACTTTCCATGGTTCATTTCTAACAATCTCATTTCTTTAAAAGAAATGGAGAATAAGTACGAGCAATTTAAATTAAAACTGGGGAGGAAAATGGATTCAAGGAAGCCCTCTTTTTTAAAAAAAATTTTCAAAGAAGGTGTTGTATTATTTCCTCCTCCACTCCGCTGGCTTTATTAGGGTATACAAATAATGGATTACTGGTACAAACAGAAGACATGTTCACACTTGATATTTTAAAAGAGTGTTTTGTGGCATACATTTTTAACTCTCTGCTTTAATGTTAACGGTGCAATTAGATAGTCCCTTAAAAATAAACAATACAACATAGTTGCCATATTTGAGGAGGTGGGGGAAGGGTGAGTCATTTCAGATAAAATGTTTTCCACCCATTTGAATATGAAGGAGATAAAAACTGTCCAAGGGAATTAGCCATGTCCTAAAGTGAATGAGAAATGAATTGGCAGAGACTGCATCTCCATGAGAACATTACTTTGAATCAAAACCAAATTTCTAAAACATTCCAGGTGATTTGCTCTATATTTATGGAATTTAAATACGGAAATGAATGATTCTGAAATGTTTAAGAAATAAAGCAATTTAACTGTCAATGCTATATGTATTGGTTATATGTTCTAATGTTTATATCTAGGCCTACAGTGATGGGATAGTTGAAGACCAACACTTCGAGGAGCTTCTCAGCTGGACACTATCCCCTGGTTATGAACTGCTCTTATCACACCAGTCTCCAACTCAACAGCAGTGAACTCTCTGTTAACTCAGAGATTGCTTATCTAAGTTACTTTGAGGGAGGCCAACAACTAATACACACATACTCCTAAAACTTTTATCCACCATATGTCCAAATCCTTCAAATGTCATCATCAGTAATCACTTCTTTTGCATCTTTCTTCTGGTAAAAATTAAAAACACAAATGGTACAAAAACACATTATATGTTAAATCATTTCTTACTAAAATATTGTCAGATGTTTTCCTCTTGCAAAGAAAATTTAAAAAAATAAGGAGAGTATTAACAGCTTTCAGACTCACAGCATATTAGAAGAACCACACTATAATAGAGGTAGGGCTGATAAAGTCAGGTATGATCATAATAACGAACACCTAAACCATACTGACTATGTGCTATGCATTTTTCTAGGCATTTCACATTCATTAACTTACTTAAACTCTAGGAATTAAAGAAGGTTGGGATAAAGAACTTGGAAGCACAGAGTCCCCCGTCATAAGGCACGAAGTCTTTGGTGCTGTGCTGTGCAGCCCAGATCTCCCCTGCAGAACAGAGGTGCTTCCCCAGCTGGTGGAGTGTTCATTGATGACGCTCAGCTCAACCTTGTTCTAGAAATTACCTTAGCCAAAGAGAGCCGTCTGACCCAAGGTCACACCCCTCTCCAGAGGCAGCCCATATATCATGACCAGTTGTTGTGGGATAAAGAGGCCTAGCTTCCTTATCTGGGGGCAACTCTAAAGGATCTCTCTCCCCAGCTCCAGAGCTCCTGATGGGTTCAGCTGAGGCCTCTGTTACTGTCTTGCTCTTCAGCTCCTCCCTCTTCCCAGTCCAACTTCCTTAACTCCCCAACAGGTAGTGTCCCTCAGTACAAGTCCCAGTAAACTTCTTGCACAATCTCACAAACTGTTTCACAGGGAACTCAGCCTAAGACAATGGTAGAGACAGGATTCAAGCCTGGGCTCTCTGGCTCCAGAGCTCATGCTCTTAACTCGCACAGGGAAACCCTGACAGTCATGGAGGATTTGGAAAACAACTTTGATGGGAGTTTCCAACGACCTCAACAGCCTATTGAGCCAAGAGGTCTCAATAAAAATAACTGAAACTTGCCACATGATTACTGGATCTCAGCAACCTTCTCAAAGCCCCCCAGATATTCGTGGGGTGTGTCAGCTGTGCTCACCACTCATCCTTTTTTTTTTTTAACTATACTTTAAGTTCTGGGACACATGTGTAGAACCTGCAGGTTTGTTAGATAGGTATACACCTGCCATGGTGGTTTGCTGCACCCATCAACCCGTCATCTACATTACACCCATCCTTTCATATCCTTCCACTCAGGCCCCTTTGCTGATGGCCAATGGCCAGTCAATAATGCCACTTTCCAGCCCAGGATACATTTATACATCCTTTTGCTTATCCTTTATGTTGTAAAGAGGGTGTCATAGCTGTGTCTAAATAAGGATTAAGGCATAATGACATGGAAACACTCAGTGTAGGAGCAATAACTTCACATGTCTCCAGACCTGAGACCACGTCTGAATTATATAATGAATACCAACAGATGAACAAGAGCGAAAATTATATTGAATATGTTGAAACAGAATAGAAATGTGTGCAACTCATTTTAAAATGATGTACATCAGAAAATATCTTAAGATAATTTTAGACAATTAATAAGCTTCAATTATCAGAAAATTCAATTAAAATGACTACTTCATACTCTATTGACAGCAGATAAACAGGCCACTCTTGTAATTTAAGCAGACAGGTTCACAGTTTCTCACAATCAGCCTCCTCAAAATATGATTTCCTCTTCCTTGATTCCACAGACCCTGCATAGTACCTACTAAGGCTTTCACATCATCCCACCCCTGCTCCCCAAGCCATAGGGGTTCTGTCAGATCCCACATCCCCAGACAATCACCTAAGGACTAAATCCTCACTTTCTCTACAGAACTAAGAATTTATTCCATCAGCTGTCAACTCAAGTAGCAGCCTGGGCCACATGCTCTAACCTGCTTTTTCCTGCTGTTCTGGTTTTTATATAAAAGACTCGTGGGCTGGACACAGTGGTTCACGCCTGTAATCCCAGCACTTTGGGAAGCTGAGGCAGGTGGATCACCTGAGGTCAGGGGTTCGAGACCAGCCTGGCCAACATGGTGAAACTCCATCTCTACTAAAAATTCAAAACATAGCCAGGCATGGTGGTGCGCTCCTGTAGTCCCAGCTACTCAGGAGGCTGAAGCAGGAGAACTACCTGAACCTAGGAGGTTGGAGGTTGCAGTGAGCCGAGATTGCGCCACTGCACTCCAGCCTGGGCAACAAAGCAAGACTCCGTCTCAAAAAATAAAAATAAAAATAAAAAAAGGACACTGTGTTGTTCAAGCCCATGTGGCAGAATCCATCTATCACACAAGCTAAAAGCTGTAGGCCAAACAGGAATACATGGCACCAGACTTTCCAGGCTCTTTAATTTGCATACACAGTATTACATTTAAAAAAGCTATCCAAGATGATGATTTTTAAACTCACCCAAAATAAAATATATTGCATTTATTTGGAAAAGTAAACTTTTTCAGAGTAGTGAGATTATACCAGATAAACCCCAAACCAAAAATGTTGGTTTCAATTCAGAAATAACATCCAATTTCATGTTATCAGTAGCAAGGTGTGGACTTGTTTCATAGAAATTGTATAAGGAAGTCTAAGTGCTTATTTTATAACCTCAAATGTAACAATGCATTTACACTAGTGCCTTCCAGTCAAGGTCAAGAGCTGAGATAAGACATGCTGAGGCCAGTAAACTTTATAGGAACTGTCATGTGCGGTCAGACCCACAATCCTCTAGACCAACTTTCAGTGACACCTGACGACATCAAAGAACAGGAAATTATTCTACAAAATGATAAGTGACTTGAAGAAAGTTCTGTGAAAAGAGGATAATCCTGGGTAAAGTCTTGAGTAAAGAGAGAATAACCACCCAAAAGATTAGGTCTATTTACCAAATGTCCATCTTCTCTTTTAAATTGTATAAATACTTAATCCACCCAGTGATTTGCTCTGGACCTTCTCCTGTTAGAGTATCCAGTTTCTCCTCTTGTGGTAAAAACATCTGCTCACATAAATACCCACTGTATAAACTTAAACTTTTTAAAAATTTAAGCTAAACCTACTTCTCTCAGTTATGTATTTTTTTATTATTTTTTATTTTGTAGAGACAGGGTCTCACTATGCTGCCCAGGCTGGTCTCAAACTCCTGGCCTCAAGCAATCCTCCTGCCTCAGCCTCCTAAAGCACAAGGATTACAGGCATGAGGCACCCAGCCTATTTCTCTCTTATATGTGGTGCTCCTAGTTCTGATATTCTTGGATTTGGGGTAAGTGTTCATGACCATTACAGGCTTTGGTGAGGTCTCCTTTCAGACTTTACACTTCATTGTTCAAGACCCTAAGCATTCAAATAACTTTCTGTGTGTTCTCTTAAAGAAACTCCTCCATTCTCATGATATGCAGCGTGTTTCTCTAGACCCTTCCCAGTTACATCTGCCCTGAGGTGCAAGACCAAACCCTCAAAGGAATATTCTAGACAAGACTGCATAAAGTTCAGATACATGGACAAACATAGAAATATAGCACTTAAATATTCCTATTAAGAGATAATTGAACTCAAATGCATGTTCAAGTGTAATATTTATCAATATATTAAGGAGTAGTGAAACACTGAGATTTCACTGGAAATATTATGCATATGTAATAAATGAAACATCTGTTCTAAAACGTCTCAATATATTGTGCTTTCACATATATTGTAAGGTAATGACATGCACCTAACAGAGATGTATAGAACAATGATATTCTCTCACCTTTACATAAAATCCAGTGTTATCATGCTGCCCTAATACCTGTACCATAAAGAAGTTCTACTCTCATTCACTTTTATTTGCATTCTATTTTCCAAAGATTTTATAGGAACAACATTTGGACTTCAAACTCTTAGTTCAATGTAATCAATATGATAAATATTTTTTAAATGATTTGAATGAGGCAAACACCAAATTCACAGAGATATGAATAAATAAGTGAATGAATGACTCTTCCTTCTTGCCTGCCACATGAGCACCTTTTCCAACGGAAACCCACAACCCCCCAAAATAGAGAGTTAGTAGGTGTCTCTAATTCTATTTTTTATAATCTGTGGTTATACATATAATCAGTGATTAATAAATACATATTTCTTCAGAGCAAGTATAAAAATTGCTATTCCTTATAAATCTTTTTTTTATTATTATACTTTAAGTTCTAGGGTACATGTGCACAACATGCAGGTTTGTTACATATGTATACATGTGCCATGTTGGTGTGCTGCACCCATTAGGTAAAGGCCTTTTTAGGCATCTTTAAAGTGGTGTTCATTGGGGGAAGCTAAGTAAAGCATACAGAAAAACTCTCTGCACTGTATTTTTGCAACTTCTAGTGAGCCTGTGTTTAAAAACAAAAAGTTATTTATAAAACTGCTAACAATTCATTTTTAATCTCAAATAATCAATAAGTAAAATTTATCCAACTCAAAGAACAGATCAAATACAGTCATATCAAAATAAGTTAATTAATTTTTCCAAGAAACTATAACATATCACAAACCATAATAACAAAGACTCATCCCCAAAGATATGGGTTCCAAACTTCATTACAATGAATTTCACAAAAAGTATGTAAAAAGCCTAATAGCAATGATCACAGCTACTGCATTGGAGGAATATCTCCAGAAGAAATACAGTTTTGTTTTTGTTTTTTTGAGACGGAATCTCGCTCTGTCGCCCAGGCTGGAGTGCAGTGGTGCGACCTCACCTCACTGCAACCCCCACCTACCAGGTTCAAGCAATTCTCCTGTCTTAGCCTCCCAAGTAGCTGGGATTACAGGTGCCCACCACCATGCCTGGGTAATTTTTGTATTTTTAGTAGAGATGGGGTTTCGCCATGTTGTTCAGATTGGTCTTGAACTCCTGACCTCAAACAATCCGCCCACCTCGGCCTCCCAAAGTGCTGGGATTATATGCGTGAGCCACCGTGCCCAGCCAGAAATACAGTTTAAATAAAGTTGGATAAGATAATTTGGCATCTCTGGTCTGTCTGCATTTTTTTTTTTTTTTTTTTTTTTTTTTTTTTTTTTTTTTTGGAGACAGAGTCTTGCTCTGTCACCCAGGCTGGAGTAGAGTGGTGCAATCTCGGCTCACTGCAGCCTCTGCCTCCCAGGTTCCAGCGATTCTCCTGCCTCAGCCTCCCAAGTAGCTGGGACTATAGGAGTTAGCCACCGCACCCAGCCAGTACACATTTTAAAAATACTAAGTATCCCTCCATTAAATAAGCATTTTCTGGCCACCGTGAGGACCATGGGAAAGTATACTGTGTAGACAACATGAACACATATGAAACAATTAAAGGGCAGTGCAAAGCAGAAAACAATAAAGTGATCAATTCAACTGCAGAATTCACTGCCTAAGGTTTTGGCAATAAAAATAGGTAAGTGTTTGAACTATATTTTCTTTTGATGCTTTTGGAGTGGTGTTTTTATTTCATTTCTTAATATATTTTTCAAGAGAAATTATCTAATCTAGTTTATCTAAATCTTTTGAGACATTTCCTATCCGCCTTCTCCCTTTTCCCTGGCAAAGGAGCTCAACCTGTGAAAGTGCAAATGTGTGAGCTGCGTGTCTCTGCTTAATCGTTAATGCTCTGCCATTTTCCAAAGCAACTGTAATTAGTACTTTAGCAAAGTCCCTACCATGAGGCCCTACTCGCTGCTAACATCGTGAGTGCTCATCTCACATTCCTAAGGACAGAGTCTCCAGAGGTCAAAGGAATTGAAGGAATTTGTGAAGCAGTTCAACTGTGATGTCTCACTGCAGCTGTGGTCACACAGTACTCAAGGAGAGAGTTTCAGGAGTGCAGCCATCAACACTCAAGATTCCATGAAACTTTCAGCCTAACTGATGGTCCCACTGATTACTCACTCAGAACAAAACATATTTCACCAAATATCACTTTCAGGACTTCATTCCTGATCCTTCTGGGGTAGAAGGTGCAAAAACCTGGTTTGTATTAGAGACATTAGGAATATTTCAATAAGGCCAACAGATTTCCATGCTGAAGGGCACAAGAAATGGAAGAGCTAATCCCATTCCCTTTGGAGTTCAGTTTAGATAGTTTAATTGTCATAATCCTATTTGTTAAACAGGTATCCTTCCCTAAATCCATAGTATACCCTTGTTTTTTAAATCCCATGTGTCAAGTAAGAACCGAAAGGAGCCTTGCTTCCAGCTTTAAATAAAGCAATAACCAGGCACGCCTGGATGCATTTGTTTTAAAAAGAGCCAGTTTAACTTCTCAAAGGAATGAAATCACTCAGAACAGATGAGATTTTTCTGAAATTCACTGTTTTTAAAACAGTAGTTTAACAGGGTTCACCATAACTACCCCTTGTATTTATTTCAATTTTCCTAACATTATGTCTGTAACAGAAAACAAAAGCTGTTTACTATACCAGATGATTCCATTTTCCACTAAATCACCCTAAATTGGCCACATTTGCGTCAAGCACACAAGGTATACTACCTAATATGTAAACGTCCTTATAAAATGTAGACTGACTTATGTTATTCTGAAGTAAAATGTTACATGCTCAGTATTCTGAGTACCACAGAACAGCTATACTTAAATGATGGCAGCAAACACCCAAGACCCCCATAAGCTCTTTAAAAAAAAAAAAAAAAAAAAAAAAACTCAAATACAGGAAAAAAGGAAAAGAACATCAGTCTTTGGGTAAGAAAATCTAACTAGATTTCTATATAGAAATCCAAGTTTCTTCTGCTGCAAGCCTGATTTTTCAAAGGGATACCTACTGTTATTTAAAGGAAGATCATGTAATTCCCCAAAACAAAAATCATACACATTTTAATTCTATTTAATTTAAAAATAAAAATGATATGCCTCCAAACCACTTTTTGAATAGTCACAACATCAAGCCAAAGCTGAAAATCAGACCTATCAAAGGGTTAAGAATTGTTGCTTTACACAAATGTATATAAGGTGTATGTTGTTTGCTTTCATATTATAATCAACATATCTGTGAAACACCTTATTTATATTAAGCTGAAAAGGTACTATAAAAGCTCCAGTTTTCAGCTATTCTTCATCCTTGAATGTTCAATTTTACACAAAACATGGTTTCCAAAGTATTAGCACTGGAGAACCCACTGTAATATTTTAAATCTGGAAATTTGTGGCCATTCTAATTATAGAAGCTAAAAATATTCAATGTGTAAGCTTTGGGGATCACTCATGGAGTGAAGAGCAGTGTAATCATTTTCAAGGGTTCTCCAAGTCGTGTGTGTTACTTGGAGGCATAAATTCAATATGAACTATATAGAAATGGGTGATCTCAAACTGCTGGCTCTTAGACTCAATTTTTCAATATGATGCTTGATGAACCTTGGTTCCAACTCAGCTTCAGCAATAAAAAGTAAAAGTCCTAGAGAAAAAAAATATATAAAGCACAGCTTGAGTCACTCAGAGTAACGGTTTAAGAAAGATACTTAAATGTGTTCATTCATTCAGCCAACAAACATTTATTAATATGCCAGGAACTGTTCTCAGTGCTGGCATAATTCAACTCAAGAATAAGGAATGTTGAAGAATACAATAACAATAATAATAACTAACATGTATGGCCATTTACAGTGCTGAACAAGATTTCATAAAGATCACTTTATCTGTTCCTCATAACTCCTCTGTGAATGAGGTTTTATAATTATTTTAATAATGAAAAAAGACACGGATGTTTTTTAAATTCTCAAAACAACTAATAAGTAAGAGAGCTAGATGTTCAATTCATACCTTCCAAATACAAATCTCCATTGGTCATTGGGCAATACAACATTACAAGATGCTCTACTTTTATGTAAAGCATTGAGGACAAGTTCTGCATGTTTCTGAGTACTGTATTAAAGTTATTTAATATTGTTTTGGTTTGGGTTTTTTATTTTTTAGGGATAAAGTTTCGAAGATCCAGACTATCATCTTTACAAGTTCAAAATGTTTGTAATCTCTTTATCCCATGAGTTTACTTATCAGGTGGAAGCATTGGTGAATGAGTTTGCCTGGTTAGCTGAGTCTTCTAAACAAATAAAAGAACTGAACTCCCCAAGTATTAAAATCTTCGTTACTTGGGAAAAGATACTGGATAAAAACTTCAGGAGCAAAAAACATGAACAAGTACTTTACGAAAAAGTGTAGACAATAATCATATGAAAAGATAGACAAGGTACTCTGAGAAATGCAAATTAAAACTACACTGTGATACAACTATACATCCGATAGAATGGTTTTAAAAAAAAGACATACAAAACCCCTTTTGTAAGGATGTGGGGTAGATGATACTCTCACACAATGCTGGTAGGAATGTGAATTAGCACCAATTCTGAAGGAAGGCACTATCTACTAAAACCGTCCCATCAATTAAACTGGGAAAACACACAACTGAAATTCCCACATGGGCCGGGCGCGGTGGCTCACGCCTGTAATCTCAGCACTTTGGGAGGCCAAGGCGGGCGGATCACGAGGTCAGGAGATCGAGACCATCCTGGCTAACACGGTGAAACCCTGTCTCTACTAAAAATACAAAAAATTAGCCGGACGTGGTGGCGGGCACCTGTAGTCCCAGCTACTCGGGAGGCTGAGGCAGGAGAATGGCGTGAACCTGGGAGGCGGAGCTTGCAGTGAGCCGAGATCCGGCCACCGCACTCCAGCCTGGGCGACAGACAGGGCGACATGTTCACCAAAAGACATACGTAAGAATGCTCATAGCATCACTATTCATAATGGCCAAAAACTGGAAACAACCCAAACAAAATTAGTAAATCAAGAACAAAATGGATAAATGTACTGTGGCGTTCTTCTAAAGTGGAACACTATGTAGCAATGAGAATAAACTGATGCTTCACACAAAACAAGAAAGAATCTCACAACATAATGTTGAGCAAAAGAAGTCACACACAAGAATACACACCGTGTAATTAACTGACAGAAAGTTCAATGAGAGGTGAAAGTAACCATTATCTCAGAAATTAGGAGAGTGGTTACCTTGGTGGGAAGTAATGACTTGAAGAGGGAGTTAGAGGAGACTTCCGGATGCCAGCAATGGTCTATATTTTGGTCTTGGCACTGGTTATATGGACATGTTCACTTAGGTAAATCGCTGAGATGTCCACTGATGGTATGATGACATACAATTTTCTGACCATATGTATTTCAATAAAAACTTAACAGAAGGAAGAGGGGAGGGGAAAATAAGGAAGAGCTGAGAAAGTGGGGGAGGGAGAAGGGGGTGTAATGAAGTGATGCTATAAGAGTCCAAATCTAAATAGTCCTCAACCACTGTGTTTGCTTTAGTTCTTACTTCTGTCTACCTCTTCCTTTACTACCACGCTGTTTTCAGGCACTTTTCAATGTTTTCTATGTATTTGCCAATAAAGCCCATTTTCGTCTTCTACTTTGTAGTTTACTGTTTGCTATGGGATTAAAAACTTTATAATCAATCATAGAACAGTATGGGTATTAAAAGTAAACTGACTCTGAGGGATGTCCTAGGAGTAAAGTGAATTCTTTTTAATGTATTTACTTTTTTACCCTCTATTTTGCCTGCTCAGAGACTTTTTTGCTGGGGAACATGACAAATGTAGGAGTTCCAAATAGATGAAGTTGTTACTAGATCTTATCAGTGAATATCAGATCTCCAGGCCAAAGCTAGAATTAACTAACATAGAAGTCCATATCCCACAAGTTTACTTACTTGCAAATAGTATTAAGAAGAATATTAATCAGTGAATATACTTTAAAAAAAGAAATCACCAATTTCCTCTTAAATAAGAAGACGTCTTCAATATATTAAGAGATTTTTCTAGTTGTGTCACCCATAGAATATTACAGCGGTGTTAAACATAACATACTCCTTTCTCATTTTGTATTTTTATTCATATTGATTTTTTTAATCCCCAAAAAAGCATACTAGGAGTTTTATTTACAACTTTCTTAAGGTTTCTAATACAGAAATTCGAGTTAAATTCAAGTCAAGGAGTATACCTTTTCCACACAACTATCCACAAAGTAAAAATACAAAACTCCAAAATATCAGTTGGTGGTTATTTATTTCCTTTAACATCCTAATTTCACTTAATTTCTTTCTATGTTCATTCTACATGAAAAACAAAAGTTAGCTCTCAAGATGGTAGCTAAAACTGGTACACCCAAACTGAAAATTCTTCTCTCATGAAATACTCCCTGGATTGCAGAAACTGAAATAAAGTTGCGGCAAGTGGGCACTGCTACTGAGCAGAATTACCAACAGAAAATGGAAACCATCACTTTAAAACAGGATAAACTTTTATCTGCTTTAGTATCTTCTGCTGTGACTAAAAGGACATTCACCCATTCATTGACAGTCATTCGACAAACATGTATCACCAGTCAAAAGATTAAAATACTTATTCCTACCTCCACCAATAATTTGTAGTTAAGTTTAAGAAAAGCATACAGAGTTCTCTGTCATAGTTTCCTCTTCATCTCAATAAGCATAACAATCCCTTATATTTACTTAGTTTTCAGGAAAGAAGAACAAGATGATGTTTTGGTTTACACAAACAACTACAGAGGCACATAGTTTCAACATTACTGTTTCTACCACTATCTTTTTCCAGTACAGAGGCTCCTAAATGTACGGTGGGTTATGTCCTGATAAGCCCATCATAAATTGAAAATATTGCAAGTCAAAAATGTGTCTAATACACCTAACCTACCAAACATCATAGCTTAGCCTAACCTACCTTAAATGTGTTCAGAATATTTACATTCGCCTACTAGGCAAAATCATCTAACACAAAGCCTAACCTATTTTACAAATAAACTATTGGATAGCTCATGTAATTAATTGAATACTGTACTGAAAGTGAAAAACAGAATGTTGTTACCAGTACTCGAAGTATAGATCCTACTGAATGTGAATGCTTTCACACCATTGTAATTCTGAAAAATTTTAACTGGAACATCATAAGTCTGGAACCGTCTATATTCAGCATCAAGTAAGACATTATCATTAAGGAATAAAATTATTGGCATCATTAGGAAGATTGGAAGAAAAAGTTTTATCTCTCCTTTGCCACAGCAAGTAAAGCCATTAGCATTTATACACTTGTTCATTTTTTACAGACAGGATCTCCCTATGTTGCCCAGGCTGAGGTGCAGTAGCTATTCACAGGCACAATTTAATAGCAATTTTATGGGCACAATTTTAGAGCACATGACAGCCTCGAACTCCTATGCTTAAGTGATCCTCCCAACTCAGCCTCCAGAGTATCTGGGACCACTGCACCTGGCTCTCATTGTATTTTCAATGTCTTGTTAGAAATGTCATTGCACTGCTGAGACTACCAAATGCAATAAAAGCCATTGCCACAGAAGTATTACGAAAGTAGTTAATATGGCTTCCGACAAAATTAAATCAGCCACCTCTACAAATGAGTTGTGTCTGTGTGTGTGTGTGTGTGTGTGTGTGTGTGTGTGTGTGTGTGTGTAAACATACATAGACAGAACTGAGTAAAGGAGACTCCATCCCTATTGCTGGAAAAATAACCAAAGCTGTGCACTACTGAGGATAAAAAGATCATCTTCATGTCAGAAGAACAGCAGCATATTTTCCATTTTTGTGACCCAAACGTATCAAGAGTTTATATATTGGGAGAAAGGCAAAATGTATTTGGAATACAACTTAGCTGACCTCAAATAAAACTTTATTCCTCCTTTCCTCTAAGATTCCTACATTATGTAAAAGTAGTAAGATCCAGTTTTGTAAAGTCTTACTAGCTTCCTGGATGTTCTTTATCCATTTTGCTAAATGACTCCCTAAAAATACATAAATTTCATAAGTCACAGGTTGTCCTTGGAAACAGCATCAACTGAGATCCATGTTCTGCTTATAGCTTCCTTTGTCCCATCAAATCATGCATTCTGATTCCTTCATTTAGCAATCAAGAAAAAAACACTTAGAAATGTTAATCATCATTAGATTTTCCTCTTCTCAGTTTGTTCTTTCCACTCCCAATCTTATCTATCAACTCTGGTCTTAGATTTCATTCATATTATTTTAAATAAACACAAAGAAACTCCAAGAAACAGATATGTATCTCGCCACACTTAAGTCCAGCAGAGTCTCTCAGGACGCTTCTCCTCTAACAATAGCAGTCCTCATATGAGGTCTACAGCGCTCACAGAGGCAGGCAAGGAATCCTGTTTATTTACATGATTCACCAGCTAGTGTGCATTTCTTTAAGTGTTGTCTTTTCCTTTAAGATGTAAGCTATGGCCAGATATCACTCTTGTTATCGGAACAAGGGATCAGAACCTCAAAACTGTACCTGCCAGCACTCAGCGAAAAATGAGATTACCATCAGGGCCTACTGGAAGTTGTCCCAAAGGTTACCCGATTTCTATCGCATTATTCCTCTAAATCTGATTGCCTTTATTTCTTTCACACAACATTTTTGTAAATCCAAAATGTCTCTTAATCATTTAGAAGACTGAAATCATAGTACTAACATTCAAACATCTAAAATTATTTAATATTGACTACGTGAACTAAAAGAAATACATTAATCTAAACTGAGAGTACATTCTGTCAATCTCATTGGGTAAGGTGTCTAATGTATGTTTTTAAGTCTCCAGAAATGACCCCAAAAGAGCAAATGGCACCAAAACCCTCATTCTGAAGTACACTTAAATCCAAAATGTTGGGGGTTTCTTAGTTTTCAGTTTTTTTAACATGGCTGGGACTATCAAAATATCCCATCTTGTCCTTGTCACCCCCACTCCTACAAATGTTCTCTGCCTCAACAGCTCATAATGTAGTGGTACTGCTTTCCTGTCTCCATCTACATATATGAGAGTTTCTCTGTCATCTTACTTGACAGTGTGGGATACAGTTAAAACAAATCATTCAATTTCAAGATCTACCACAAAGACCAGAATCCTATCAGTACTTTTAACTTTAAAATGAAAGTAAAAGTTTTTTCTCAGCTATAAAAGTTATAGAAAAATAAACAGGCACACTTCCTTTGAATGAAGTTATACTAATATCTTCAGTCTAAGTACTAAAATGACCATGTAAATTATTTACATGCTAATATGAAAGACACAAGAAAGAGAGCTGTAGTCAGAAACGTTTTCAAAAGACATCACATTGGCTATAAAAAGCTACTGAATATTGTTCTAATGGCATTGACGAATCTACTGAAATCACAATGAAAAAAAAAAGCCCAAATGAGCAATGTACACTTTAATTAATTTAATTCAGGTAGTATTACAACTCCAAGTCCCAAGATACAAGAAAAAAGAGAAATACAGTACAACACAGTGTCTCTTAGGAAAGGAACTGCTGCAGGATTTGAGACAATGAGCGTTTAGTACAGCCCAGTGTTCTTGATTTCTCATTAGGAGCAACTTTCCAGGGCACTGAAGCGAACCAGGAAAAGAAATGGGGAGGGTAAGCCAAAGGGGTCGCTGCTCTTCAGTGTCAAGTTGGAAAGAGCTTGCTGCGATCAATTATGCTGAGAAGGTAGGGCCTTGAGAGGGAAGGAAGGATAGAAAAAAACAGTTTTACAGGGCGCTGAAAAAAGTGATAGAAGAGAGGTAGAACTGCTTCCTCCATCTTTCACGTCAAGTTCAAGTTTTTCTTTTTGTTCTATAAGAACTTTTGTCTTTATGGTGCTTGCTGCGGTTTGCTGATGTAGTTCCCAGGTCCTGCCTTCCTCTGGTGACTTATTAACGGACTGGCAACGGCTGAGTAAAATGCACTTAAGAAAAAAGAAATCACCTCTCTTTGCCAAGACTCACATGCTGCCCAGTACCTGAGGGAGAGCTCCGTTGTCGCTGGCCAAGAGAAATTCCAGTTTAACCTATGCCTCCCCTAGCCAAATCCATTGCAAATAAATGTGTGTGTGCCACTTGCAGAGAATCTGCCTGACTCACCCCCCGCCTTTGGCGTGCCAGGGAGAGATGTAAATGCTCCGTCCTGGAGCTGGCAGTGAAGTGGGGGCCGCGGCCTCGGTAGCACCAAGAGTCCCCAAATCTCCCCCTGTGATGGGTTTAGGGATGTGTTCCTCTCAAGCAGGTGCCTGGTCACAGGGCGACCACCCAGGCTCACAGCAACACACGTGTCACTGAGCCCGAGCCCAGCCCGCCGCAGAACTGGCCCCGCAGTCCTCGTAAAGACGCCCAGTTGCGCGCAGGGGACTTAGCAGTGAGGGAGAAGCAGACCACCCAAACTCTTCCTCTAAACCCTAAGAAGGAAAAAAAATACTTTTCCGCGGAAGCAGCCTCCACACACCGCCCGCGCCCAGCTCAGGGGATGCCCGGCCCGCAATTGACCTCTCTCTCCCTCCCAGGAGCGCGCTGAGGCCGCCTGCGCGCCCTACGGAATCGGCCCCCGGGCCCGCGCCCGCCTCCGCCTTGGAGCGAGGGACCCCATCGACCCTCCCGGCAGCTGCCGGGGCCGGGCGCTCACCTCCTGGGGTCTGGCTTCCGTCGCTCCTCCAGTTTGGCGGCGGAGTGTGGGGCTGCAGCGGCCACTGCCACTGCCGCCGCCGCCGCCGCCTTCGCTGCCACCGCGGCCGCCGCCGCCACCGAAGCGCTGCCCGGCGCGCCGCCGGGGTTGGAGGCTGGGGGGCCGCGGAATCCCTGGAGGCGCGAGCCCGGGACGCGGCGGGGCCGAGCCGCGGGAAGTTGTCTGCGCCGGGCGCGGAGCGAGCGGGGCGCCAGTCACCCGCGCCCAAGTAGTCACAACTTTGCCGCCTGGGTGGGTGCGCGCTCCGGAGAGAGGCGAGCGCGGGAGAGCGGGGCAAAGGCGCTGGGGCGGGAGGGTCTTCGGAGCAGGCAGGACTGCAACCTGAACGGCCCGCGAGGAAAGGGGAAAGGTGGCGCGGGGGGATGTCTACACAGCCTGTGTGGTGCGCGGCGAGCGAGTGTGTAAGAGCGCGGGCGTCTACTCTACTTTGCCTCCTGCAGCTCCTGCATATTTATGGGGATCTCTGATGTTCCTGCTAGTAACTAACACTGCAGCAGTGGAGCCCAGCCCAGGCGCCCCTCGGGAGCAAGCCGGGGTGCGGGGGCTCACGGAAGGCGGCCGCGGCGGAGGCTGTGCCGCGAGCGCGAGCCTGCGATCCATATTTAAAGCCGTAAGTGGCCTCGGCCGGCCCCCTGCCCTGCCCTCGCTCGTGCCCGCCAGCCCGGCCCCCACCGCTCCGGGCCGCTGCTCGGCGTCAGCCGCCCGGGCATCGGCGGCGGGGAGGGGCCTCGAGCCGCGCCGCCTCCGCCGGGGGCTTGGGCTCTGTGCGCAGCGCCCGCCCGGAGCTGGCGGAGGACCCGGCTCCGGACCGGCCGCTCTTGCCTCCCAGGTTCCTTTTCTCTCACGCCCTGGGCTGGGTCCTAGGTCCAGCTTTTTGTCCTACTCAAAAGAGTTCCCCAGTGGGGAGAGCCTGTGCTTTCATGCAGAACTAAAATTGCGTGAGTTTCCCAGCTCAGATCACTCTTGACTCTACTTTATAAAACTTGGGGCGTATAGAGTGCTGCCATAACACAGTATTAAGTAATTGTTCACCTTTAACAAAAGATGTCTGAAGATAACGTGGTTGTCAACTGTGTCCTTCACTTATGTCACTGATGCCTTTCTGTCTTCCTTGGGAGTTAGGAAAACAGCCTTAGCAAAGTGATTATTTGTATTTATTCTGTTCCTAAGTCTAATAATGAGGTTCAAGTACTCTTTGCCAAGCAAATAATATATCAGTGATCCAGCACCATTGCCATTGGTAAACTATTGAATCATAAGTAAACCATTAAGATATGAACAGACTGTCAGCACAGACACACCATCTATTGTTCTGGGTACTGCTAGAGAGTAGTCACTTAATGGATTGCAACCACATGGTATATCATGCAAGTGTATATCATTTTCTAGTAATACATATTATATGTAATGTGTATGTGGACATCACTGACCAAACTGTGTTTTCAACAGTAGCCACCAAAATGCATAAAGCTCAAGAGAAATAATTTAACATACCAACTGCTCCTGGTCCCCAGTATTTCTTCAATACAAAGCTATAGCTTATAGGACCTCCAAGAGAAAAAAAAAATGAGGGTAGGGAGGAAATAATTTGAGGACAGAGGCTTTTCTTTCTAGTATTCAAAACTGGAAGAGATCCAGAGATCCATGGTGCCTCACCAGTGCTTGGAAAGCAGGTATGGAGCCTGTGTCTTTTAAAAAGTTTCTATCTTTAAAATCCTTAGTTAATGCTCAGAAGGCACAAGGAAACACGCCAATCTGATGTCTGAAATTAAAATGTACTGTCATGTGTCTGTTGTCACATCTGGCTCACATATATGTTCACACATTCTACATAACCCAGTGCAGTGATATATCACTGGGAATTTTTCATGGGAAACTCAAAACCAAAGATAAAACAAAAATTTAGCTTTAAAGTTTTCACCTAAATGATTATGTTCTGTTTCTAGGCTAATGTTAAAATTAACTTTCACTCCCTGAGCAGGCAGTTAGCAAGAATCAGCAACCGCAAAGTAAGCTAACAGGCAAAGGGAAGTCACTTTTGTATTAAAAATTTGCCATTGCTGTTCAGCAGTTTTTCACACTGTGGATTATGTATTTCAACATAGCTGGCAATTTCTCATTATAATCGTGAAGCAGCCATGAACACTCAGTGCTGGTGAATAAGAAAGAAAAAGTCCAAGAAACACATTTTTCAAGCATTCTGCTGCAAAATATATCAAACTTTCCTTCACGTAAGTTAAATAGGTAACTCCTGAAGGCATTTCAGTACAAAGATTGGCAAGAATTTACCCTAAAAGGAGCATAAAGTTGGTTTGTGGGGTGGGAGGCAGGGAGACAATGAGAGTACTATAGAGGTGAGATTTGGTATGTGTCTTAAATTAATGAGAAAAAGAGTCTTTGGCAAAGCGTTGACAACCTCTGTTATCATTTTCATTACTTGATGTTTGCTATCCCACAATTAAAAGAGTGTTCTATTTCCTTTCCTATTGATTAGTGTCCAGTAGTTGAGATATACGTGTTTTCCTTTGAAAGGTCATTGATTAATTTTTCTTATAAACTCTGCATGTGATCACTTTCGATTGCTTTTCCGGGTGATAACAATGAATCCTGAGATTTTTGTTCACCTCTCCTAAAACTTGTGCCATGTCTCTTGATTCTCATAAGCACAAAGAAAGATTTATTAGTTCTTTTTGTCTTGGGGTTCACACAGCTTGGTGACAAGAAGAATGAGCAGAAAAACTGATGGAATTAGAAAAATGGTGTAAGTAAGCTTTACTGATAATGATTTGTTTACTTTTTAATCAACAACTCTCTGTACTAAAGGACTTCTTAGAATACCAGCCCAGTACTTAGCTTATTAATCAAATTTCTTTCGTATCATCCAAGGTCCTAATAGGCATCTAAAGAAAACAGAAAGGAGGAAGGACCTTTGTTTCGATGACAAGCACCATCTAGTGGCAGCAGGTGATGACGACATAATGTCTCTAAGAAGAATGAAGATGAAAGTTTTCGAATAGGTAGTCCAGGCATTTCTGGTCGCTTATAGGCATGACATTCTTTGATTCTAAAACAAGAAGTTGTATGTAGTAGAATAATGCAATTGATCGGCCCTGCGTTGATTATTGAAAGTAAGGTGCCGATGTGACCTGCAGATAGGATTATTAGCATAGAATTTTCTCAGTATTTGTGTGACTGACTAGGTCCTTAAAGACTCTGTATTTAAGTTTCCTCATTACATAAAATAGGAAGAGTGATGGCTTGTCACCATATGTTGTCTGTAAAGCACTGTGTTCAACAAAGAGCAGAATCCATAAATATAACTATTATATTTGGATTTTTTCACTATTGGGAAAAAAGGTGAAAAATATTGTTGGATGTTTCTCCTGGAGTTATACAAAATTATAACATTCATAGGCATTTCATATTGGGGCCTAAACAGAAAGGTGGTAGGAGATAACATTATAGCTTGTTACTATAAACGTCAAAGACTGATCAGAGATGTTTGTCAATATCAAGTCCTTTTTAAATAGGTGGTTCATTGGCGAAAGTCTGACCAACATGTTGCTACACAGAATAGAGATTTTCTTTGTGCTGATATTTGTTTGGACTTGTAGTTGTTTGCAACAGAATGATCATTAAAGTTGTCACTCTGTATCAATTTTGTTAACCACTTCATTGTGTAAGAGTAAGAAATGAGAAAAAGCAACTTTTGTTCTTCTCATTCTAAAACCAATCTGGGATGAAAGATAGATAGATATAGATCGATAGATAATAGGTCACCAAAGGCCTCATTTTTGTTTCACTTACACTCCAAGAGTATTCATATTCAGTCTGGCAAATTCTTGAATACATTCAACTAATCTAGATTTATAATTAACATTCTCTTCCTCAAACCCCAGGTTTAAAAATACCTGTAGCCCCTTTTTATGAGGAGAGAATGAAGGTGAACACAGTTTTTGGAAGCTGTCAGCACAGCATGAGCTGGGGAAAATAATTTTATTTGGTTAAACGTGTGTCCCAAGTTGCTTCACAGCTTTAGCAACTGAGCTCTCAACCATATCCAACTGTCGTTTTTAAAACACATGCCTAAAGTCAACTATCAGTAGAGGGTTCTAACTTCTGAAAACAGGAGCTTATCTCAGTTAATGTCAAGGAAGGCAGGTTATTCAATCTGAGTCTCAGTTCCCACAGCATTAAAATCAAGGAGCTTAAGATAATACCCCAAAATTCAGCAATTCCAACAGGATACCAGAATGATTTCCTCTAATAAAATTGAACAATATGTGATAGAGAAATATGCAAATCTTTCAGAAATGGTATCAACATATTTATTACGAAAGCTCTGTTTAATAACCTTAGGCCAATGTTTCAGCCCCTTCCTCCTGCAGGAATTCTCCCATAGATCAGCATAACACAGGACACAGACCTCTCTGTTTGGAAGGAGAAGGAAAACTTAAAATGAGCTACTAAGCCACTAAAACCCAGGCCCCTGATTTAAAAGATTGGTCTGGTTTTAGGTACGGTGGTAGAGAATTATGTTAGACTTCTCTATCAGAACAGACTCTTGGGGCCCTTGGACTCTCATAATGTGAGAGAGAGTGTGTGTGTGTGTGTGTGTGTGTGTGTGAAATGTACATACACGTGATCAGACTAGCAACTTCCCAGACACAGAAAGGTGTTTTTTCCTTTGTATCCCACTGGCTTCCTGCCTCCTTGGGAATTGAATGGGCCTACATAGCAGGCCACTTAAAAGCTGTTCCTCCTTTTTGGCCTATGGACCAAGTCATGCGGATTCAGCTGTTCCATTGCTTGGAGACAGGTTTCCCTATGGACTAACCGACCACCAGATCCAACTGGCCTATTACCGTTCACATCCCACTGGTCTGCTCTTTAGACCAGGCCTATCTTGGAGACCACAGCACCTCAGTCTCCTTGCAAGTAACAAAACAGTTGATGTTGCTAGTACCCATCTACCAGACTCATGTCTTCACGGAAAACACTGCAAATCAAAATCTGAATATTAAACGTTGGCTCCTTTTTCCCCTCTGCTTAGGGAAAGAGCACTCTGAGCAAATGTGCCTTCATGGCATTTCAATTTACCAGTGCCAACCAAAGGATGCTCAGTTCTACCACAGAATATGGGGCATGGTTGGGTCATCCATTCAGTCAACCAATATTTATTAAGAACCTACTTATTTTGTGTCAAGAACTCTTCTGGGTGATGGATTCCTAGAACAAGAAAAGTTCCTGCTTCATGGAACTTACAAGTAAACAAATAAGTGGACAAAATAATGTCCATTATCTTGGAATGCTAAATGCAATGAAGTGATAAATGCTATGAAGAGGGTGTCCAACTATCCCAGGTCACATTGCCAATTTACACCTGTTATCCTTCTGTAATGATAACAGCACTCCCTTTCACCTCAAAAGGAAGACATAGTGAGAAATTGTAGAATCCCCTTAGCCCTAGAAGAAATAAAGCACAGAGATGTGATAGAGTTGACAGGGCAAGGGACAGCTGCTTTCAAGTGGGGGGGTCAAGGAAGGTCTTTCTGAGATAGGAATGTTCGAGGACAAATCTGAATCAACAAGACATAAATATGAAAAATTGTAAAGGCAACTTGACAGTACAAATAGCATCTGGCATGGTGCCTTACACACAGTAGGAACTCAGTAATTATAGAATGATTGATGGCATTCCTTCTTTTTTGGAACATTAAAAATAGAGAAGCTTACTTACCCAGGATATATTTCTATTAAGACAGATTTCAGGCTTCACAAATTCCTTATGACATCATTCTTCTTACACAATAACATTGGGACTCTATCTGTGTATTTATTTGCATGTGCATAAAGCATCTCGTGAAGGATACATGAGCAATTAAAAGCACTATTTGCTTCCAGGAAGGGGAACTAGAGCAGGCATAGGGAGGAAGACTTATCACTGAATCATTCATACTTTACAAATTATTTTTTATTATACTTTAAGTTTTAGGGTACATGTGCACAATGTGCAGGTTAGTTACATCTGTATACATGTGCCATGTTGGTGTGCTGCACTCGGTAACTCATCATTTAACATTAGATATATCTCCTAATGCTATCCCTCCCCCCTCCCCCCACCCCACAACAGGCCCTGGTGTGTGATGTTCCCCTTCCTGTGTCCATGTGTTCTCATTGTTCAATTCCCACCTATGAGTGAGAACATGCGGTGTTTGGTTTTTTGTCCTTGTGATAGTTTGCTGAGAGTGATGGTTTCCGGCTTCATCCATGTCCCTACAAAGGACATGAACTCATCATTTTTTATGGCTGCATAGTATTCCATGGTATATATATGCCACATTTTCTTAATCCAGTCTATCATTGTTGGACATTTGAGTTGGTTCCAAGTCTTTGCTATTGTGAATAGTGCCGCAGTAAACATACGTGTGCATGTGTCTTTCTAGTAGCATGATTTATAATCCTTGGGTATATAGCCAGTAATGGGATTGCTGGGTCAAATGGTATTGCTGGGTCAAATGGTATTGCTAGTTCTAGATCCCTGAGGAATCGCCACACTGACTTCCACAATGGTTGAATTAGTTTAGTCCCACCAACAGTGTAAAAGTGTTCCCATTTCTCCACATCCTCTCCAGCACCTGTTGTTTCCTGACTTTTTAATGATTGCCATTCTAACAGGTGTGAGATGGTATCTCATTGTGGTTTTGATTTGCATTTCTCTGATGGCCAGTGATGATGAGCATTTTTTCATGTGTGTTGGCTGCATAAATGTCTTCTTTTGAGAAATGTCTGTTCATATCCTTTGCCCACTTTTTGATGGGGTTGTTTGTTTTTTTCTTGTAAATTTGTTGGAGTTCAATGTAGATTCTGGATATTAGCCCTTTGTCAGATGAGTGGGTTGCAAAAATTTTCTCCCATTCTGTAGGTTGCTTGTTCACTCTGATGGTAGTTTCTTTTGCTGTGTGGAAGCTCTTTAGTTTAATTAGATCCCATTTGTCAATTTTGGCTTTTGTTGCCATTGCTTTTGGTGTTTTAGACATGAAGTCCTTACCCATGCCTATGTCCTGAATGGTATTGCCTAGGTTTTCTTCCAGGGTTTTTATGGTTTTAGGTCTAACCTGTAAGTCCTTAATCCATCTTGAATTAATTTTTGTATAAGGTGTAAGGAAGGGATCCTGTTTCAGCTTTCTACATATGGCTAGCCAGTTTTCCCAGCACCATTTATTAAATAGGGAATCCTTTCCCCATTCTTGTTTTTGTCAGGTTTGTCAAAGATCAGATGATGGTAGATATGCAGCATTATTTCTGAGGGCTCTGTTCTGTTCCATTGATCTATATCTCTGTTTTGGTACCAGTACCATTTTGTTTTGGTTACTGTAGCCTTGTAGTATAGTTTGAAGTCAGGTAGTGTGATGCCTCCAGCTTGGTTCTTTTGGCTTCGGATTGACTTGGCAATGTGGGCTCTTTTTTTGGTTCCATATGAACTTTAAAGTAGTTTTTCCAATTCTGTGAAGAAAGTCATTGGTAGCTTGATGGGGATGGCATTGAATCTATAAATTACCTTGGGCAGCATGGCCATTTTCATGGTATTGATTCTTCCTACCCACGAGCATGGAATGTTCTTCCATTTGTTTGTATCCTCTTTTATTTCATTGAGCAGCGGTTTGTAGTTCTCCTTGAAGGGGTCCTTCACATCCCTTGTAAGTTGGAGTCCTAGGTATTTTATTCTCTTTGAAGCAATTGTGAATGGGAGTTCACTCATGATTTGGCTCTCTGTCTGTTATTGGTATATAAGAATGCTTGTGATTTTTGCACATTGATTTTGTATCCTGAGACTTTGCTGAAGTTGCTTATCGGCTTAAGGAGATTTTGGGCTGAGACGATGGGGTTTTCTAGATATACAATCATGTCATCTGCAAACAGGGACAATTTGACTTCCTCTGTTCCTAATTGAATGCCCTTTATTTCCTTCTTCTGCCTGATTGCCCTGGCCAGAACTTCCAACACTATGTTGAATAGGAGTGGTGAGAGAGGGCATCCGTGTCTTGTGCCAGTTTTCAAAGGGAATGCTTCCAGTTTTTGCCCATTCAGTATGATATTGGCTGTGGGTTTGTCATAGATAGCTCTTATTATTTTGAGATACATCCCATCAATACCTAATTTATTGAGAGTTTTTAGCATGAAGCATTGTTGAATTTTGTCAAAGGCCTTTTCTGCATCTGTTGAGATAATCATATGGTTTTTGTCATTGGTTCTGTTTATATGCTGGATTATGTTTATTGATTTGCATATGTTGAACCAGCCTTGCATCCCAGGGATGAAGCCCACTTGATCATGGTGGACAAGCTTTTTGATGTGCTGCTGGATTCGGTTTGCCAGTATTTTATTGAGGATTTTTGCATCGATGTTCATCAGGGATATTGGTCTAAAATTCTCTTTTTTTGTTGTGTCTCTGCCAGGCTTTGGTATCAGGATGCTGCTGGCCTCATAAAATGAGTTAGGGAGGATTCCCTCTTTTTCTACTGATTGGAATAGTTTCAGAAGGAATGGTACCAGCTCCTCCTTGTACCTCTGGTAGAATTTGGCTGTGAATCCATCTGGTCCTGGACTTTTTTGGTTGGTAAGCTATTAATTAGTGCCTCAATTTCAGAGCCTGTTATTGGTCTATTCAGAGATTCAACTTCTTCCTGGTTTAGTCTTGGGAGGGTGTATGGGTTGAGGAATGTATCCATTTCTTCTAGATTTTCTAGTTTATTTGCGTAAAGGTGTTTATAGTATTCTCTGATGGTAGTTTGTATTTCTGTGGGATGGTGGTGATATCCCCTTTATCATTTTTTATTGCATCTATTTGATTCTTCTCTCTTTTCTTCTTTATTAGTCTTGCTAGCGGTCTATCAATTTTGTTGATCTTTTCAAAAAACCAGCTCCTGGATTCATTGATTTTTTGAAGGGATTTTTGTGTCTCTGTTTCCTTCATTTCTGCTCTGATCTTAGTTATTTCTTGCCTTTTGCTAGCTTTGGAATGTGTTTGCTCTTGCTTCTCTAGTTCTTTTTTTTTTATACTTTAAGTTTTAGGGTACATGTGCACATTAGGGTGTCAATTTTAGATCTTTCCTGCTTTCTCTAGTGGGCATTTAGTGCTATAAATTTCCCTCTACACACTGCTTTGAATGTGTCCCAGAGATTCTGGTATGTTGTGTCTTTTTTCTCGTTGGTTTCAAAGAACATCTTTATTTCTGCCTTCATTTCGTTATGTACCCAGTAGTCATTCAGGAGCAGGTTGTTCAGTTTCCATGTAGTTGAGCGGTTTTGAGTGAGTTTCTTAATCCTGAGTTCCAGTTTGATTGCACTGTGGTCTAAGAGACAGTTTGTTATAATTTCTGTTCTTTTACATTTGCTGAGGAGTGCTTTACTTCCAACTATGTGGTCAGTTTTGAAATAAGTGTGGTGTGGTGCTGAGAAGAATGTATATTCTGTTGATTTGGGGTGGAGAGTTCCGTAGATATCTAT
The DNA here is from genome assembly GCF_000001405.40 of Homo sapiens. NCBI lineage: Eukaryota > Metazoa > Chordata > Mammalia > Primates > Hominidae > Homo > Homo sapiens. Next base: position 71,177,831 of record NC_000004.12, on the reverse strand, counting down.
TAGGTCCGCTTGGTGCAGAGCTGAGTTCAATTCCTGGATATCCTTGTTAACTTTCTGTCCCATTCATCTGTCTAATGTTGACAGTGGGGTGTTAAAGTCTCACATTATTATTGTGTGGGAGTCTAAGTCTCTTTGTAGGTCACTAAGGATGTGCTTTATGAATCTGGGTGCTCCTGTATTGGGTGCATATATATTTAGGATAGTTAGTTCTTCTTGTTGAATTGATCCCTTTACCATTATGTAATGGCCTTCTTTGTCTCTTTTGATCTCTGTTGGTTTAAAGTCTGCTTTATCAGAGACTAGGATTGCAACCCCTGCCTTTTTTTGTTTTCCATTTGCTTGGTAGATCTTCCTCCATCCCTTTATTTTGAGCCTATGTGTGTCTCTGCACCTGAGATGGGTTTCCTGAATATAGCACACTGATGGGTCTTGACTCTTTATCCAATTTGCCAGTCTGTGTCTTTTAATTGGAGCATTTAGCCCATTTACATTTAAGGTTAATATTGTTATGCATGAATTTGATCCTGTCATTATGATGTTAGCTGGTTATTTTGCTCGTTATTTGATGCAGTTTCTTCCTAGCCTCAATGGTCTTTACAATTTGGCATGTTTTTGCAGTGGCTGGTACTGGTTATTCCTTTCCATGTTTAGTGCTTCCTTCAGGAGCTCTTTTAGGGCAGGCCTGGTGGTGACAAAATCTCTCAGTATCTGCTTGTCTGTAAAGGATTTTATTTCTCCTTCAATTATGAAGCTTAGTTTGGCTGGATATGTAATTCTGTGTTGAAAATTCTTTTCTTTAAGAATGTTGAATATTGGCCCCCACTCTCTTCTGGCTTGTAGAGTTTCTGCCAAGAGATCAGCTGTTAGTCTGATGGGCTTCCCTTTGTGAGTAACCCGACCTTTCTCTCTGCCTGCCCTTAACATTTTTCCTTCATTTCAACTTTGGTGAATCTGACAATTATGTGTCTTGGAGTTGCTCTTCTTGAGGAGTATCTTTGTGGTGTTCTCTGTATTTCCTGAATTTGAATGTTGGCCTGCCTTGCTAGATTGGGGAAGTTCTCCTGGATAATACCCTGCAGAGTGTTTTCCAACTTGGTTCCATTCTCCCTGTCACTTTCAGGTACACCAATCAGACGTAGATTTGGTCTTTTCACATAGTCCCATATTTCTTGGAGGCTTTGTTCATTTCTTTTTATTCTTTTTTCTCTAAACTTCTCTTCTCGCTTCATTTCATTCATTTGAGCTTCCATCACTGATACCCTTTCTTCCAGTTGATCAAATCGGCTACTGAGGCTTGTGCATTTGTCACGTAGTTCTCGTGCCTTGGTTTTCAGCTCCATCAGGTCTTTTAAGGACTTCTCTGCATTGGTTATTCTAGTTAGCCATTCATCTAATTTTTTTTCAAGGTTTTTAACTTCTTTGCCATGTGTTCGAACTTCCTCCTTTAGCTCGGAGTAGTTTGATCACCTGAAGCCTTCTTCTCTCAACTCGTCAAAGTCATTCTCCGTCCAGCTTTGTTCCATTGCTAGTGAGGAGCTGCATTCCTCTGGAGGAGGAGAGGCACTCTGATTTTTAGAGTTTCCAGTGTTTCTGTTCTGTTTTTTCCCCATCTTTGTGGTTTTATCTACCTTTGGTCTTTGATGATGGTGACGTACAGATGGGGTTTGGTGTGGATGTCCTTTCTGTTTGTTCGTTTTCCTTCTAACAGTCAGGACCCTCAGCTGCTGCAGGTCTGTTGGAGTTTACTGGAGGTCCACTCCAGACCATGTTTGCCTGGGTATCAGCAGCGGAAGCTACAGAACAGCGGATATTGGTGAACAGCAAATGTTGCTGCCTGATCGTTCCTCTGAAAGTTTTGTCTCAGAGGAGTACCCGGCCATGTGAGGTGTCAGTCTGCCCCTACTGGGGGGTGCCTCCCAGTTAGGTTACTCGGGGGCAGGGACCCACTTGAGGAGGCAGTCTGTCTGTTCTCAGATCTCCAGCTGTGTGCTTGGAGAACCGCTACTCTCTTCAAAGCTGTCAGAAAGGGACATTTAAGTCTGCAGAGGATTCTGCTGCCTTTTGTTTGGCTATGCCCTGCCCCCAGAGGTGGAGTCTACAGAGGCAGGCAGGCCTCCTTGAGCTGCAGTGGGCTCCACCCAGTTGGAGCTTCCTGACTGCTTTGTTTACCTACTCAAGCCTCAGCAATGGCAGACGCCCCTCCCCCAGCCTCGCTGCCACCTTGCAGTTTGATCTCAGACTGCTGTGCTAGCAATGAGCGAGGCTCCATGGGCGTAGGACCCTCCAAGCCACGCGCGGGATATAATCTCCTGGTGTGCCGTTTGCTAAGACCATTGGAAAAGTGCAGTATTAGGGTGGGAGTCACCCAATTTTCCAGGTGTCATCTGTCACCCCTTTCTTTGACTAGGAAAGGGAATTCCCTGACCCATTGCGCTTCCTGGGTGAGGCGATGCCTCGCCCTGCTTCGGCTCACGCTTGGTGCGCTGCACCCACTGTCCAACAATCCCCAGTGAGATGAACCCCGTACCTCAGTTGGAAATGCAGAAATCACCCGTCTTCTGCGTCACTCATGCTGGAAGCTGTAGACTGGAGCTGTTCCTATTCAGCCATCTTGGCTCCACCCCCACTTTTTAAAAATTTTAACTGTGCACATAGATTGCTTATTTTTAAATGAAATTTGGATTTAAAATATATAAATTATTCCATTTATCTGCCTATGGATAATTTTCCATATGAATAAGTATATAATTTAAACAGAAGCCTACCTGATAGATTAATACTTTTACAAACTATGACACAGTGGCTACTGAGACACCAGTGACAAGACTAGAATGTCTAACCCCTTTCATAGTTATTGGATGTTGTTCGGTGCCAAAAGTATTTGCTCACTTCCCACCTGGGCTCCATTCAAATCAGTGTCAGAAAAGGACAAAAAGATTTTCGGAAGGAAATTGCTGTAATCCCAAAATCTGGGAGGTTGAAGCATGAGGATTGCTTGAGCCTGGGCTACATCGTAAGCCATAATCATGCCACTGCACTCCAGCCTGGGCAAAACAACAAGACCCTGTCTCAAAAACAAATAAAAGAAAATGTGTTGCTTTTTTCATTATAAAAGCAATGTTGTTTTACTTTTAAATCATCATAAAATAGAGAAAAATAGGTGGAGTGGCAGTAAAAAATATCTCTTTCTGAGAAGACTTTCATATTTTTACATATTTCCTTTGCATAATTTAGATTTGTGGTTTCCAGTTGATTGACCATACTGTATTAAAAAATGGTGTGTGGGCCAGGTGCGGTGGCTCACCCCTGTAATACCAGCACTTTGGGAGGCTGAAGTGGGTGGATTACTTGAGTCCAGGAGTTCGAGACCAGCCTGGCCAACATCCTGAAACCTTGTCTCTACTAAAAATACAATTAGCTGGGCGTAGTGGTGCACACCTGTTAATACCAGCTACTTGGGAGGCTGAGGCACGAGAATTGCTTGAACCCAGGAAGCAGAGACTGCAGTGAGCTGAGATCATACCTCTGTGCTCAGAGGCAACAGAGTAAGACTCTGTCTCAAAAAAAAAAAAAAAAGTGTGGTGTGGTCATTGAGCCTAATTTTGAGTGAGGACAATCTCTTTTGTCATAAAACACAAATTTTAAGAGATGTGGCTAGGAAAAAAAAAGGAAATTGGTTCCATCTTTTCAAACCCAGTTCATAGCTGTTGTACTTTTATCTAAGCACAATTCCAGAATTTCCCTTCTGTTTATAAAAATTCCAATGGAATAAGCTGTCTATTGACAGTTTCTGCTATCTGGCAACTAAAATATTGATAGCCTCATTAACAACAGTAAAAATAATAATATGGCCAACACCTACATAGCCATTCCCATGTTTTAGGGTCTGTTCTAGTAAATTAACTCATTTAATCTTAATAAAAATCCCCTTGTTAGTAGTGGTATCACTTTCTTTCTTGTTGTTTTATTTATTTTTTGGTGGTATTACTTTCACCTTCACAAGAAGCTATATGTCTATCAGAACTCCCTACATTTTCATACATGGTCAACTGTTTCAGATTTACTCAAAATTTGAGGGAGTTTGGAGTTGAGTTGGATTGGTCTTTCTCGGTCAACTTAAACATCTGGTCCAGAAGGGTTAGATAATTGTTGGGGATAGCCAGGCACAGTGGCTTATGCCTGTAATCCCACCACTTTGGGAGGCTGAGGCAGGCAGATCACGAGGTCAGGAGACTGAGACCTGGCTAACATGGTGAAACCCTGTCTTTACTAAAAATACAAAAATTAGCCTGGCGTGGTGGCATGTGCCTGTAATCCCAGCTACTTGGGAGGCTGAGGCAGGAGAATCACTTAAACCCAGGAGGTGGAGGTTGCAGTGAGCTGAGATCGTGCCACTGCACTCCAGCCTGGGTGACAGAGGAGACTCCATTTCAAAATAAATAAATTAATTAATTAATAATAAAAGATAATTGTTGGGGACATCCACACAATAGAACACCTAAATTACATCTACTTCTCTCATTTCAACTGAACCTGACAGAGCACATATATACTGATATCAATACCTACATATACTTCTGAGATATCAGCTATCCAAAAACAGAATTTTGGAATTTGGAAATACTAGACTTTGATTTTATTTCTTTTTTATCTTGACTACATTTTGCCACAGCTATCTCACATGAGAGTTTCAATGGTGTTTTCTTCTACCTTCTGTCACAGGTATGTGCTTTCTATCTGCAGTCCTTCCTATGGGGTGCACAGTAGAAATACAACATATAGTTTTGAAAGTCATTAATAATTTCCCATGCACTGGTAACACCATGGTATTTGTTTATAATGTACTATATAGAAAAACATAGTACAGACAGTACTACAAAGTATGTATAAGGCTCAGTACTATACACAGTTTCAGGCATTCACTAGGGATCTTGTAAAGTATCCATAGTGGTTAAGGGGAGGACTACTGATACTGTGACTTTAGCTTTTTGGTTTTTCATGATAAAATAAGCGGAGGAGGGAAATCTTTTTCTTGGTGTTCTGATGGTGGTGCTGGTGTTTCATATCTAGGCACTGAGCCTGATGCTAGTAATCTTCATCCCTAAATTAAATTTCGAGACTTTTATCTCTGTTTACAAAAAAACTAACATTTTACTCAGAATTACACAGAAATTAGTGGCAAAGGCCAACATATCTCTTTTCATTCAGCAATTTTTACTTGCTTAAACTTAAAGAAGATTCATATTCTGCAAACATTTGTCAGAAAATATCTGTGCTAGGCCAGGCACGGTGGCTCACGCCTGTAATCCCAGCACTTTGAGAGGCTGAGGCGGGCAGATCACAAGGTCAAGAGATTGAGACCATCCTGGCCAACATGGTGAAACCCCATCTCTACTAAAAATACAAAAATCTGCTGGGCATGGTGGCATGTGCCTGTAATCCCAGCTACTCAGGAGGCTGAGGCAGGAGAATCACTTGAACCCATGAGGCAGAGGTTGCAGTGAGCCAAGATCACGCCACTGCACTCCAGCCTGGCGACAAAGCGAGACTCCGTCTCAAAAAAAAAAAAAAAGAAAGAAAAAGAAAATATCTATGCTAGAATATGTAATGGTGAAGAAGGAATTGGAAGAGGGAGATTGTTTTTGAATTATTGATAGGTAAACTCCTTTCCTCTCAAGCTTTCATCTAAGTGTTTAAGTAACTTTGATCCAAGGAAAGTAACCCCACATTACTTCTCAATACTCAATTTTTTTCATAGGTGTAGTGATGTCTTGGAACCAATAGCCTGGTGTCCTAGTCCAGGGAAGTTATTTAAAATAAATTCTAATAAGGGAAAAAGAATAAGAGACAAACAGAACAAAGTAGAAGAGTTATAGACAACTCTCTCTGCCTCCACCAGTAGCCCTCAAATTTCATTACTGCTTCTTTGATTAAATTAAAATACAGAAAGTATTGACTATTTATTTAACACTTTGCCTATCCTGGCAAGAGTAAAAGACATTCCATTTAGAGAAACAACTATTCAAAAGCTTCTGCTGACATTGCAGTTACTATTTGGAATAAAGACCAGAGTAATCAAGTAGATGGAGGTGATTTTTCAGAGAATGCAAAAGAAAATTTACATACTAGGTATAGTGGTGCTGTACTAATAAACTGCTTTCATAATCTTGCTTTAGCATGGACCACCAGTCAAAGCAAATGGAAGTCACCGCACGTAATACTAAAAAAGTTTAAGCAAATGAATTCAATGCTGCATTCAATCATTAATAATACTATATAGCTACTGTTGTCAAGTATGTCCTAATTCCCATGGAAACTAGACAACAGGATAAAAATTACCCCTGTTCTACAATTGAGGGAACAGAGGCTCAGAAACATCAAGTGACTGACCTCAAGTCACTCAAGTACCAAAGTTACGAAGCCAGGGTTCTGTAACTAGGCTTAGGCCTATGCTCTTTCTACTATACTGTGCCTTCTCAATCTACCTGTAGGAGGTACATAAAGAAAGTTGGCACCACTTGGTCCTTGATGGATAAAGTATGACCTCCCAACATCCACACTCTCCTCTCCACACTCTCCATTTGCAGTCCAGCCTGCACGCAAAGCCACGTTAATTTTCCTAAAGCACTGTTTTGATGAACCTCCCACCATTCTTAAAAAAAAAAAAAAAAACAAAACAAACAAAAATTTTTCAGTAGTTCTTCAGTAATTCTTCATCAACTGTTGAATGAAATCCATGTTATTTAGCTTGGAGTTAGTAGCATTTCATGACATGGCTTCAACCAGCTGTATTTGCTACTGACCCCATACACAGTTTGATTCTCCACTCAGCCTAGATTTCTCACCATTTTCTAAACATGTATTTTATTTTCTTGGTCCCAGTCCCTTGCTCATGCCATGTATTTTACCAGGAATGTCTTTATTTCCTCAATTTTCATCTCTACCTATTAAAAGCCTTATTTTAAAATATCCAATTTAAATGTTGGCCTAATCAATATTCTCTGATTAGTTCAGCCCTAAAGACCTCTCCTCCATACTGATAGCATTTAGACTATGCCACTTAAATGTCACCAACACCATCACCAGTATTGAGGCTTTTGGTATATGTTTCTTATATCCTCCACTAAATTTTAGGCTCTGTGAAAGTAGGAAATGTGTCTTATGCATTTTTACATTATTTGTCTGCTCTAGAACAGTCCTATGCATATAGTAGGCTCTCACTAAAAGCTGAATGAATAAATAAAACAATTAATAAATGAAGTTAATAATGTTTACAAGTTCAATTATAGTAAAAGCCCCCTTGATAGGTAATATTGAGACCAAAAACACTTGTAAGTTTTAATTCTTCTGTGACTAGTCATGTAAAAGTCATCTTTTATATTCAGCTATTGGCTTGAGTAAAATATGGGTAAGTTTTCATGAGAAATTAGACTTAAACATGTAATTTTCCTCTTGTTTTAAACTGTCTTTCATTTATTCATTCAAAAAATATTTATGGAATGCCTATTATACACAAGATTCAGCAAAGTACTGAAGAAACAGGGATGAGCAAGATAGACAAGGCCACTGTCTTCAGGAAGCTTAACTTCTAGTTGATAAGAGAGGCAGTAAACAAGTAAACAAACATATAAAATAATAAGATAATTTCTACTATAGAAATAAATAGGATGATAAAGGAGAGAGTAATGAGGTAGAATATTTAGATTGGCTGGACAGGGAAGGCCTAAGGAGGCAACAGCTCACGTTAAAGGATCCAGCCATGCAGAGCATGTTGGGGAATGTGCTCTAGGCAGAGAAAACAGCAGATTCAAAGGCACTTGAGGGTTGAGGAACAAAGGGAGATCGGTGACGGTAGAGCACAGTGAATGAGCAGAGAGAGTAGTGATGAAATGAGGTTTGGAGAAGGAGGCAAGAGACAAATCTTGCAGGGTTTTGTAAGTCTAGGAAGGAATTAAGATCTTATTCCAAGTGCAATCAGAAACTACTGAAGATTTATAAACAAGGGTGGCACATGATCAAATTTAGAATCCGGGAAGTTCATTCTTAGAACTGAACTGGCAAGAAGGCCCTTGCCACATGCTGACACCTTGATCTTGGACTTCCCTGCCTCCAGACCTGTGATACAATATATTTCGGTTCATTATAAATTACCCAGTCTTATTGACAAAGTGAAGAGACAACCCACAGAATGGAAGAAAATATTTGCAAACTACCCATTTGACAAGGGATTAATAACCAGAATATATAAGGAGCTCAAACAACTCTATAAGGAAAAAACTCAAGTAATCCAATTTAAAAATGGGCAAAAGATCTAAATACACTTTTCTCAAAAGAAGACACACAGATGGCAAACAGGTATATGAAAAGGTGCTCGACATCATCGATCATCAGAGAAATGCAAATCAGAACCACAGTGAGATATCGGCTCACCCCAATTAAAATGGCTTTTATGTAATATAAATTAGTATAACCACTATGGAGAACAGTTTAGAGGTTCCTCAAAAAAATAAAAATAGAGGCTGGCATGATGGCTCACACCTGTAATCCCAACACTTTGAGAGGCCAAGGCAGGTGGATCACCTGAGGTCAGGAGTTCAAGAACAGCCTGACCAACATGGTGAAACCCCATCCCTACTAAATTAAAAAAAAAAAAAAATAGCCAGGTATGGTGGCACATGCCTGTAATCCCAGCTACTTGGGAGGCTGAGGCAGGAGAATCTGGGAGGCGGAGGTTGCAGTGAGTCAAGATTGTGCCATTGCACTCCAGCCGGGGCAACAAGAGCGAAACCCCATCTCAAAAAATAAATATAAATAAATAAATAAAAATAGAGCTGCCTTATGATTCAGCAATCCCACTCCTAGGTATATACCCCCCAAAAAAAGGAAATCAATATATCAAAGAGATATCTGCATGCCCATGTTTATTGCAGCAGTGGTCATAATAGCCAAGATTTGGAAGCAACCTAAGTGCCCATCAACAGGGGAATGCATAAAGTGTGGTACATATACACAGTGGAGTACTATTCAGCCTTAAAAATGAATGAGATCCTGTCATTTGCAGCAATATGGATGAAACTGGAGGTCATTATGTGAAGTGAAATGAGCCAGGCACAGAAAGGCAAATTTCACATGTTCTCACTTATTTGTGGGAGCTAAAAATCAAAACAATTGAACTCATGGAAATAGTAGAAGGATGGTTACCAGAGGATGAAAAGGGTAGTGGGGGTGGTGGGGGAAAGTGGGGAGGGCTAATGGGTACAAAAAAATAGAAAGAATTTAAAAGACCTGATATTTGCTAGCACAACAGTTTGACTATAGTCAAAAATAATTTAATTGTACATTTAAAAGAGGCCAGAAGCAGTGGCTCACGCCTGTAATCCCAGCACTTTGGGAGGCTGAGGCAGGCAGATCATCTGAGGTCAGGAGTTCGAGACCAGCCTGGCCAACATGGTGAAACCCCATCTCTACTAGAAATACAAAAAATTAGCCAGGCACAGTGGCGTGGGCCTGGAATTCCAGCTACTTGGGAGGCTGAGGCAGGAGAATCACTTGAACCCAGGACGCGGAGGTTACGGTGAACCGAGATTGCACCACTGTACTCCAGCCTGAGCAACAGAATGAGACCCCATCTCAAAAAAAAAAAAAAAAAAAAAAGAGTATAATTGAATTGTTTGTAACACAAAGGATAAATGCTTGAGGTAATAGATGCCCCATTTACCCTGGTGTGATTATTACACATTGCATGCCTATATCAAAATATTTTATGTAACCTATAAATATATACACCTACTATGTATTCACAAAAATTATAAAAATTTTAAAAAAACAAATAAATAATTTCAAAAAATAAAAAAAGACATTACCCAGCCTTAGGTATTCTATTTTAGCAGCACAAAACAGACTAAGGCAGGGGTGAGGACTGAAGATAGAGAGAAGTGAATAAATTTGAAAGACATTTTGGAGGTAGAACTAAGTGAACTTGTTGACACATTAGATGTAAGAGTTGAAAGAACAAGAAAAATCAAAGGTGACTCCTACATTTTGTTTTGGAAATGGTGCCATTTTCTAAGATGGAGAAACTTGAAGACCAACAGTGGGGAAGACAAAAATCACTGTTTCGATTTTTGAGGAAAGAGAAAAAACTATTTTGAACATAAGAAGTTTGAGATGTCTATTAGACATCCAATTCTAATAAATAATCAACATCACAAAAATGTTAACATTTCACTTTTAACATAACACTTACATTCTCCTGATTGTATACTCACTTTTTCTTTGGCCAATGTCACAGATTATATTTCCCAAAGAGGGTCTCCCTAACATCTCCACTTCCACATCCTCTTCTCTGATGTGACCTCGCCACTCCCCTTTCAAAAGGCAGAGTCTAATTCTCATCTCCTTAAAACTGGATGTACTTGGGACCGCTTTGACCAATACAGCACAGTGGAATAAGGCTATGTGGCATAGATGATGCAGCTACTACTTTGTTTGCCAGAATAGCCATGCTTGGAGACTTGAGCTGCTGTATAAGAAACCCAATTGTCCTAATGCTGCCTTGCTTGGCTCCAAGCCAAGCTAGTTGGAGTGGCCACATGGAGAAGCCACCTCTCTGTAGGTAGTCTGGTTAGCAGCTCTAGTCTTCAAGTCTTCCCAACACAGGCACATGTGAGTCAAGGAACCTCCAAATGATTCCGACTCCCTGCCATCAAATCACTCCAGCCCTCAAATCTCTTCAGCTGGAATCCTAACCACTATGAAGAATAAGCAAGCCATTTTTCTGTGCCCTGTCCTATCCCACAGAATCTGTGAACATAATAAAATGCTTATTGTTGTAAGTTACTAAGTTTTGTAATAATTCATCAAGCAGCAGTGGTATTCAGATCAGCCAGTTACTCAAACATTCAAGGAAAAAATACATCTGAACTATAATCCTATCTGCCTGTACAGTTCAACCCTACATTCTAGAGGAGCATGCAATCTCCAAACAAAATTTTTAAACTAAATGTCATTTCACTTACCCAAATGAAGTTTAAATAACTGTGTTAGTGGTAACTATGAGACAGACAAGGAATCTGAAGCTCAGACATAAATTGGGCACTTAATTCTTCTTGGAAAAATTAAGTTTGATAGTACTGTGTATTCAAATTTCATAAAAGCTAGAGTCAAAGGAAGACACATTTTAAAACCCTGATGCATATTTCAAATCTCATGATTTCATTTACATTCCATAAGCAGTTTTCCTGCAGATACCTCTAAGTTCACAGAAGTAGAGCTACAAATAAAATAGACTGCTTATGGATAAAATTATTATGTATGCCAAACAGGGCATTGGAACACAAAGCTGTTTTGTTTACACTGTATTTTTTCTTTTATTAACACCCCATATTTTCTCTTCACCTTTCTTATGAGACCTGTGAACTAACAGAATTTGGTCTTTGTTATTAAGATAGTTCTTTCAAAAGAATACCTTGATTTGAAAACTGTTTTAATGCAACAAACTAAACTTTAAAAGTATATTATTTTCCTAGGGATTAGGACCTGCTATCCTTTGAGTGAATAAAGTCAATTTGTTTTGCCTCTACAACAATCAAAAATATTTAGTGGCTGATCACTCCTTCATATGGGTGAGTACAGCAAGTGTTAACAATAAACAATATTTCCCAAGATAGCAGTTTTTTTAGCCACTGCCTCCTGACTCTAACAGTGCTGCTATTTAATAACATTTCACTCCTTAGTAAACCAATAAGATCTTATTACCCTTGCAGATCCATTATCAATAGGAAATTTTTCTTTTTATGGACAAAACAACTGGACTCAAGGCTCTTGGCTTTACTTCTGCTTTCACTATTATGCTCTGTGGATAATACCAATATTGGTACTTGCTCAAAATGTTAAGATTCTGGAAGCTCCTAAAAAACAGTAACTACATGTGCTCACATTATTTTTTTTTTCATTTCTTTCCAAAAAGTAAACTAACGCACCTAGCATTTAAAGCCTTAGAATGTTCCAGCTGCCATATAGAAATTTTTATTTTGGGACTCATTGGGTCACATTTTAATGATGTACTGTAACAAGAAGAATTTCAAAATAATGTTTTTTTTATTAGTTAAATTCATTTTTTAATTATCATTATACTTTAACTTCTGGGATACATGTGCAGAATGTGCAGGTTTGTTACATAGCTATACATGTGCCATGGTGGTTTGCTGCACCTGTCAACCCATCATCTACATTAGGTATTTCTCCTAATGCTATCCTGTCCCCTAGTCCCCCACCCCCTGACAGGCCCCAATGTGTGAAGTTCGCCTCCCTGTGTCCATGTGTTCTCTTTGTTCAACTCCCACTTATGAGTGAGAACATGTGGTGTTTGGTTTTCTGTTCCTCTGTTAGTTTGCTGAGAATGATGGTTTCCAGCTTCATACATGTCCCTGCAAAGGACATGAATTCATTCTTTTTTATAGCTGCATAGTATTACATGGTGTATATGTGCCACATTTTCTTTATCCAGACCATCATTGATGGGCATTTGGGTTGGTTCCAAGTCTTTGCTATTGTAAACAGTGCTGCAATAAACATACGTGTGCAAGTTTCTTTGTAGCAGAATGATTTATAATCCTTTGGGTATATACCCAGTAATGGGATTGCTGGGTCAAATGGTATTTCTGGTTTTAGATCCTTGAGGAATCTCCACACTGTCTTCCACAATGGTTGAACTAATTTACACTCCCACCAACAGTGAAAAAGTGTTCCTATTTCTCCACATCCTCTCCAGCATTTGTTGTTTCCTGACTTTTTAATGATCACCATTCTGACTGGCTTGAGATGCTATCTCATTGTGGTTTTGATTTGCATTTCTCTAATGACCAGTGATGATGAGCTTTTTTTCATATATTTGTTGGCCACATAAATGTCTTCTTTTGAGAAGTGTCTGTTCCTATCTTTTGCCCACTTTTTGATGGTTTTTTTGTTTTTTTCTTGTAAATTTGTTTAAGTTCTTTGTAGATTCTGGATATTAGCCCTTTGTCAGTTGAGTAGATTGCAAAAACTTTCTCCCATTCTGTGGGTTGCCTGTTCGCTCTGATGATAGTTTCTTTTGCTGTGCAGAAGCTCTTTAGTTTAATTAGATCCCATTTGTCAATTTTGGCTTTTGTTGCCATTGCTTTTGGTGTTTTAGTCATGAAGTCTTTGCCCATGCCTATGTCCTGAATGGTATTGCCTAGGTTTTCTTCTGGGTGTTTTTATGGTTTTAGGTCTTACGGGTTTTTTTGTTTGTTTGTTTGTTTTGTTTTTTCATTTCTTTCCACAAAGTAAACTAACACACTTAGGGTTTAAAGCCTTAGAATGTTCCAGCTGCTATATAGAAATTTTTATTTTGGGACTTACTATGTCATGTTTTAATGGTGTACTATAATAAGAGGAACTTCAAAATAATGCTTTTTTTTTTTTTTTTTGGAGACAGAGTCTCCCTCTGTTCCCCAGGCTGGAGTGCAGTGCACGATCTCGGCTCCCTACAACCTCCACCTCCCAGGTTCAAGCGATTCTCCTGTCTCACTCTCTTGAGTAGCTGGGATTACAGTCATGCGTCACCATGCCCAGCTTATTTTTTTATTTTTAGTAGAGACAGGGTTTCACCATGTTGGCCAGGCTGGTCTCAAACTCCTGACCTCAGGTAATCTGCCCACCTTGGCCTCCCAAAATGCTGGGATTATAGGTGTGAGCCACCATGCCCAGCTTATTTTTGTATTTTTAGTAGAGTCGGGGTTTTGCCATGTTGGCCAGGCTGGTCTCAAACTCCTGACCTCAGGTGATCCGCCCACCTTGGCCTCCCAAAATGCTGGGATTATAGGCGTGAGCCACCACACTCGGGCTGCTTTTCCTTTTTTCTGAAGAGTTTGAATGTAGGGGCTTGTTATATTTCATGAGTGTATACTTAATAAGAAATAGGACAAGAAATTAGTTTAAACCAGAGGTTGCCAGACTTTTTCTGTAAAGAGTCAGATAGTAAATGTTTTGGGCTTTGCCAGCCATACATTCTTTGTCTCAACTACTCAGTTCTGCCACTGTTGTGAGAAAGCAGCTATAGGTGATATGCAAATAATGGATGTGACCAGATTTGGCCACAGAGGGCCACACTTTGCCAACCCCTGGTTTAGACTAAAGGCAGACTACATTAATAAAAATATATTGAAACAGAATCACATTTATCGATGAAAATATCTTTTAGGTCTTCTTAGTAAGTCTATATATCTACTGTTTTGTTTTATTTTAGACTATACCATGCCTCCTCACTCAGCCCAAACTTCTGTGTTGAAGCCGACTGAGATAAGTCACTTATCATATTACATCAATGATTGGAATGCAACAAAACTGCTCTGTGACATCACAGCAGAAGAAAACAGACCAAAGACTATATCTGGTATTTTGGAGTTAAAGGGAAGTATAGAAATACTAAGACTAGAATATCTAGCAAAGCAGTCTATTACTTTGTACAGATACATCTAAATTAAAATGTGGCTGATTTGGGGCACACTCCTTGGAAGCACTAATGCCACACACCATGAAGTGCACACTCCCATTTCACTTAAAGTAGACAACCTAATAAAACTGGAATGACAAAAATAAAGCCCACACCCTAACTACTCTCACTATGAAGTAAAAGTGAAGATTAACTTCATAAAAAGTATTAACGGTCTGTCTACCCCTGTGACCAAATAATGCATCTGATGTTACCAACCTGGCCTAAAATTGTTTTCTTGCCAGTTTGTGCAACCAATCACTTTCTAAAAAGTTCTTTCCTTTCTATCTGTATGATTCTGATTTCTAGCTCCCTGACCCCCAGTCTGTGTCAAAGATTGAATTATTCCTCATGACGAACCATAGTACAATTTTAGGAACATGGTTCTAGTGAAAAAGAATGTTCCCAAACATGGCATATACAACAAAATCAAGAGCAATAGAGCAGGCGAAAAAGAAATACAATTGAAATAGCAAATAAATGTTTGATGGGTCCTTAAGCGTCTTGTCTCTCTAACCTTACGTAATAAAAGTTTGACCACACATGGTAGCCGTAAAGAATTATCATAATTATTTTTTCTTTTTCTGGGTTTTAATACACCTAGACCCAAAATCAAACACAAAGATAAAATGTTCTTTCACAGTGATAATATATTGTTCTTTCCTGAGCTAATCTCTTTAATCCACTCTCCCCTGTGGTCTACATTCATTAGTGGTTCACACCCCTCTCTCATGAACTATGAATCCATTTAAAAGATAAGGACAAGGAGCAATAAGAGATTAGTTAAAGGTTAGCAGAGACTGAACTTAGGAGTTCTGCTGCTTAGGCTTGAACTGAGACCACAAAAACCTTGGAATTGTCTGATTAAGAGTACCTGACAGTGGTGCCATCAAACAGGATGTAACTGTCCTACTCCCTGTAGGAGGATTTGCCTATGAATATTACACTTTGTGGCAAGAGCACAACAGAAAGGGCATGCGCTTTGGAGTCAGGCCACCCTGGATTCAAAGCATGGCTCTCCTACTTATTATCTCAGTAACTGATCTTATTATGGTGGTAGTGACAATGTTGATGCCGGTGGTGGGAGTGACGGTATTACTAGTAGTTCAGTGACCATGCAAAGACACAATTTACAGCACCAAAATAATTGTAAATAACCCTCTCAGTCCACCAAACATATTGAATGCCTCAGTCTATATTCTATCTTCAACTGGGGTGAGCAAGAATAACCTCTTCAAAGTGATGTTGATTGAATTAAGGCCACTGCTTGGCATGAAAATAAGCACTAGAATAGTCTTCATTATTAAACTCATTATTTCCTATGGAATTGCAAAACTCACTGTAATTCTATACCCAATTAGTAGATTGGGATAGGAGTATGGTCAGAATTAGAGAGGAGAGGAATACATCCATTTCTACACCATTTTATTCCTTTCATAAACTCTGAGAACAGATTAAATAATCCATGTAGGTATACATTGTTCCCTGTCAGCATCATGTTGTCTTTCTTTCATCTCTTAAAAGGTCTTGACAAAGTTATCCTGGCACACAATATTAGACCTACAGCATTTAATTATCTTTTATCACCTGCCAGGCTCCTACACTGTTTTGCAGCATTCATTCATTCATTCAACAGTTAATAGCATATTATGTGTCAAACACTGCTCAGTAGTGGGAATAAACAGCAGTTCACAAAACATAATATAATCTTTGTCCTCATGAAGCTTACTGAAGAGTTCCTATGAAAGATAAATATTAAATGAATACACATGTAGGCAATTCATTAATTACAAATAAGGTTAGCCAACAGTCATCATTAAAAGAGAATAGCTGGAGACCTGCCCTATGGAAGTCTAGTGAACCATCAACTCTATACCTAATGGACGGCAACTGGAGACGACTTTCTTGTCTCCACATTCCCTGTCACTGACATCATCCCCTCAGTAAAACACAACAATAGGATATAGCTGATGATGCTTGGCTAGGGCAATAAGTGTTCGTGTAGAGTTAATGAAATAATCATATTGCTACCTGACAACTTTTCTGACTCCATAACACTGTACTTCCCTTTAGGGAAATAGCACAAATTATTTACTTAATGCACAGTGAGAAGCCTATTTGCTTTGTGGGGAAGGGCTCAGGTTAATGTCTCTATCAGAATCCATATCTCATCTGATATGGGCTCACTCATAACTCATCTTCTTAAGGGAAAGTCAAGTTGGAAACACTGGAAGTCTCTCCGCCCTCTGGCCCTCAGCAGACATACCCCAGCCCCCAGGCATAGAGCCCTAATCAGTACTGTGAAAATACGGTTTATTTGCAATGTTTTTCATCTTGAAGTTTTTTATATTTATCTGGAGGATATTTATTATTGAAGGTAACCTACTTCTCCAACACGTAGATCTTCCTTCAGAACTTATCGAAGCCTCATTTTTATAATCTAGTCCATATGTGAAAGGAATGTGTGCCAGTAAAGAAAAATTAGTGCAAATCCTTTTGTTTTTAATTATAAGGTGGTGGTTGGTTGTGGTAGTGGGGGTATTTTGACTCTATTCGGTGGGGATATTTTTAGTCAAATCCTCTTCATTGATTTGCTTTCTTAGACCAATGTTTGCTTACTTGCTTGCTTTTTTTTTAATCATTCCTTTCTTTTTTTCTAAGCTCCTACCTTTCCTCATCCCTCATCTAGTCCATCTCCCATCTCATAATACCCTCCTCAACTCCATATTACCGCCCCTTTCCCTCTGTCCACATTTCCCCTTATTTCTGGTTTCTTCTCCTCATTATTTAAGCTGGTTCCTGAATCTGTGAGTGTTCCTTTGATTACTACTAAACTGCTATAGAAATGAAAGCGTTCCACATGAGAATAGCTCAATGTATAATAGAAGAATTACAATTTTATCAAGTACCCAAATGGCGCTGAACAAAATTTGGCATTTATAATGGCTGTCCTTGTGTTCTTGAAAAGAAAAAAAAAAAGCCTGGAGTTAACACTCACCCAGACACATGAATAAGATAAAACAATAGGGAATGTATTTAGTTCCTCCTAAACAGAGATTGTCAACCAGGAAGAGAGAGTATTGGGTCATGAGTAAGATTAGTAACTATAGAATCAGACTACATGGGTTTTAATCCTGGCACATTCATTTACCAGCTGCATATCTTTGGTTGATGTTACCTAGTTTCTCTAACGCTGAGTTTTCACATTAGCAAATAGCCTCTACTTCATCAGGGTGATGTAAAAAGTACATGAATTAAATAGATGTGAAGTGCTTAGAAAGTCTGGCATAGTAAGCATTCAATAAATGTTAGGTATTATTATGACAGATTCCAAATTGCAGAAATACACATCTTTCTTTTCTGAACTATACTATAGAAAAATACTATAGAAAAATCAAACTATAGAATACTATAGAATAGAACTATAGAACTATAGAATAGAACTTTAGAATGCTGTAGAAAAATCAAACCAAATGCATTGGAAACTATGCTCAGATTTTTATATAGGCTAGTTGATCATCACTGAGTAATACAGGGCTCTACAAAAAGTATTGTATCTTCACATTTAATGAAAACAGTAATAATAAAAGTAATACTTTTGGCCCAGCAACTCCATTTTTAAGAATTTCTCCTAGAAAATATTTACCCAAGTTAGCTGGGTGCTGTGGCTCATACCTGTAATCCCAGCACTTTGGGAAGCCAAGGAGGGCAGATCACTTGAAGTCAGGAGTTCCAGACCAGCCTGGCCAACATGGTGAAACTCTGTCTCTACTAAAAATACAAAAATTAGCCAGGTGTGGTGGCACATGCCTGTAATCCCAGCTACTCAGGAAGCTAAGGTGCAAGAACCAGGAGGCAGAGGTTGCAGTGAGCCAAGATCACGCCACTATACTCCAGCCTGGGTGACAGAGCAAGATTCTGTCTCAATAAGACAAAAATTTAAAAAAAATAAAATATTTACCCAAGTCAATAAAAAGAGAAAGAGAGAGATAGAAAAATTTATACAAACATATTATCTGCATCATTGTTTGAAGTTGTAAGATTAAAAAATTGAAAAAACCCTGAAAATTGGTTAAAACTCTATGGTCTATCCATTCAGCTATCCACAATGCAATGTTAGGAAAAAGTCAGTAAGTTGCAGAAGAGTGCTATATGCAAGGCATGATACCATTTTCATTATCTAGATATAGATATGTAGCTATACACATATACACATATATGAACACACACAAATTTGTGTCTCTATTTTTCTTTTATAATTACAATTTCTCCTTTTCACTTTGTTATTTTATTTTTTAATAAACAACATATATTTTTAATAAAACAGATATGAAGTACTGCGAAATCCACCCAGGTATTTCATGGACAAAAAGACTGGACCCTTAAGTGTCCCAGGTGAAAATAAAGGGATACGCCACTTCAGCACTCTCTTCTCCAAATCACATCCCATTCTCCGTGAAGTGCACTCTGAAAAGCACACACAAGCTAAATCATCTCTTGCTGGTGGCCCACACATACTTTACCCATACTCTCCTCCGCCCTCACCCAGAACACGAACACAATGAGTGGCAAAGAGAGATGAAGTCCTAGTAGAATATCCAGAAACCAGTCTGATGGGAAATCAAAATCTATATTGATAGAAGAAGCGCCTGCCAACACCAAATACCCTGCTCAAAGTCAGTCATTCCTTTTTCGGCTCATTGCTACAAGGCTAAAGGGACTTGGGAATTTGATGTTTCAAAAGGAGGCCCTTTGCCATTCTAAGTAAGTGGCTGAGGGAAAGTCACCATAGAAACCATCACTTGAATTTGGGGGGTATTTAAAACCTCAATTCAGCATCTGAAATCCATAGCTTGCCTTTGAGAAACATTCCAGCTTTTCAAAAAGCTTTGGGTAAGTGGGAGCAGAGGATCAGTGGTGTTGATTAGTCTGTTTATTTAGCTGATAAAATGAACTGCTTTTTTAGGCACAGTAGTTGGTTTCCTTGCCAGTGTAAGCAGAAAATTGGATTTGTTGTGTTCAGACATGCCCTTTCATTCAGGTCACAGTTGTACATTTGTAAATCTTTTTATCATATTTAATATCTATGGAGATGCTGTGTGGCTACATGTTTATATTACTTGTTCCTAAAAAATAAAAATAAAAGGGAGAGAGAAAGAGAGAGAGAGAGAGAGACACACACACACACACACACACACACACACACACACACACACACAGAGTCAAGGATGTGTTTGCCTGACATTCTCATTTTTTAATTGGTCTTTTCCCATAAACTTCAGTTGTTGTTTATAGTTTCTTCCTCTTATAAACACCATAGCAAACAGGGAATATCTCATGAAATTCATTTTTCATCATTTGATAGTCTGGAAATTTTAACTGAAAATATGGCTTTAAGGCAGGTGGGTGTTAACTTCCCTGATCTATAGAGTTTCTTAGTTGGTTTTATTTTCCTCTTCCCACTGTTGCTTTCCTTGTTAGAGATGCCAGCAAGCAAAGAAGCTGGTCGCTGTTTCATCATTTCTCCCTTCTCAAGGCCTCCTCTTACAAAGATTCTTACATGTGTAGTGTAATATCCAAAAGGCAGACACCAAAGGCAAACTAAGGTACACAAAATCCAAAGATCAGAAGGTCTTTGAATAATCAAAAACTGGCTGAAAATTATGTACTAAGTTAATGTAATTAGAATATTAAATGTCCTTTCAAATTTCCTAATTTCAGAGCTATGAATTTGTACATTACATTCTATAATGTATGCAAAAATAGTAAGTGCAAAGCCAATGATAAAATATTGCTTATGCTAATTTTTATCATTTTGGTATGCAAAAGATCTAGACATAAAAAATCTTAAAATTTGATTCAGAAATATATATTTTAATGACAATTTTTATTCATATCAGGTGAAAAGATATTTTCCAATTACCAGTTTGATCTTATTACAAGCACATTAATATATATTGTATTAATATGTATTACTTTTATATGAAGAAAAATAATAACATTATTCTGATAGTTGATTTCTAAGTGGCATGGCTTTATTACACACACTACTAACTTTGGATTGCATTAGTGCCTAACAATTTATATAATTATTCCAATTTCCTTTTTCTTTGATAGTGACGCACACTCAACTTTGCCTCAAGAATTCTTACAGATATCAGTTGAACTTCACAACTCAGGTTTGCAGACCTTCCATAATTGCAGGTTGGAGTGGTGTATTTACATTCACAGATTAAGGAATAAATAATTAAACAATCTATGAGTAATCCAGCCATAATTAAGCTATTTAGACAAATGCTGGGTAGGAATAGTCTCCTTTCTCGAACATGAAACATTTTCTTTATGACATGCCATTCTGAATCTCAATTTAGAATAACTAATAAAAATGATCGTAAATCACTTTGTAAAAATAAAACTCCTAAGCATGAGCTGAATAAGTGCTATTAATTAAAGCTGTTAAGAGTTTGGAGCAGAAAAGAATCGTCACCTCAGCATTGTTGAAACGAGGCCAAAAACTACTGCTGATGAAATGCAAGAAATCAGGAGGAAAATAGTAGTGGTAGCAAAGATGGCTTCACTGTAAGCCTCAAATTGTTTCAAGGGCTGTTATGTTATGTATCTTTTTTTTTCTTCCTCATCCCCTGTTACATCTCTTTTGATATGGTATTTCTATATAAGCTGCCTACAGAATCACAATGTGTATGTGTGTGTGTGTGTGTGTGTGTGTGCGCGCGCGCGCGCGCATGCGCGCACACACTTATTTGGACATAAGCCAACTTCTCTCAAGGTATAATTTTACCGTCTTTATACCAATAAGTTTAATTGTATCAGAGTCAATTGTAGTTAGAGTTCTATGATTTTTATTTGCAAAATTTGTGAGTGCAGAATAGCCAAAACTATAAGAACTTATCAAAAGCATGACATGTGTACCTAAGGTGTGCACATAACTGTGCACAGAGTGAAGCATCAGCATAATAAAATTTTTGTTAAGGCTGCAAATCAAAAAAAAACTCATTTACCTCACCAGACTGTGATCAGGTATCAAAAAACCTTTCTGAGGTTCACCAAAACTTCTAGCCAATGCATGAGCAATACAGGGTATATGGAAACCCAACTCACTTCCCACCACAACAGCCTCCTTGGCGGCACCCTGTGGAATTCTATGCCACAGAGTTGGCCTGGTGATGCCCTGCATCATCATTCCCACAAGTCCAAAACTTGGCTTTTATGTATAATAGGAAAACAACATAATAAGGAAGAACAGACTGAGCTCCTCTTTATTAAATTCGTGTATGAAAAGCCAGCAGCAATCATGTGTATTCTTGTTAATTTTGTACGGTCTGCTGTATAAAGAATCATGACTTGCAAAGTTTATGCGTACATATATTACCAAGAAAGGCAAAATTTGCAATAGCTGTCATATCAAATGGACTTTTAAAAAATACAGACATTTATTCTAATTTATGCACTTAAGAGTGCCCCCAATTAATTGGGTTATTCTGATAAATTCATACAAAAAACAACAATAAAACAGAAATACAGAGGAAAACTTTCACCAGGTGCAGTGGCTCATGCTTGTAATCCCAGCTCTTTAGGAGGCTGAGGCGGAAGGATCACTTGAACATGGGAGTTCAAGACCAGCCTGGGCAACAGAGTGAAACCCCATCTCTAAAAAAACAAAAATAATAATTAGCTGGGCGTGATGCAGCACCTGTAGTCCCAGCTACTCAGGAAGCTGTGGGGGGAGAAGCGCTTGAACCCAGGAGTTCAAGGCTGCAGTGAGCTATAATGGTGCCACTGCACTCCAGCCTGGGTAACAGAACAAGACCCTATATCTTAAAAAGGAAGAAAGAATAAAATTTTCATAACATGGAGCTTCCCCTTAATTGTGGCTACCAGCTCCACAACTTTGGACTATCTTAAAGATGAGACCACTGATGTTTCTTCTTTATTTGGTTTTTTAATAATTAAGCACTTTTTTTGCAGTCTGAAATGGAGATACCTTAATTCAAATTCCACTCAGCAGAAACTAGTACTATTCACAGATGAAAGAACCACAAGAAATCCTATAAAATTATTTTCATCTCAATTTGTTTAACATACAGAATTATTATACACCAGAAGTAGAAGGGTCCATGGGAAATTATCTGGGTTGGTGGCTTTCAAACTTTTTCAACGTTAGACCCACTGTACACAAATTCACACATACATACACACACACACACACACACCCCATAATACAAATAAAAACAAATATCACAAAATGCTCATTGTGACCCACTAAATTGATTTTGTGACCCACTAGGTGGGTTGCAACTCACAGTTTGAAAATTTAGACCGTATTGTAGCTTTGGTAATGTATAAGAATAAAAGGAATTATGAATGAAATTTTTTCTTTTTTTCATTTTTAAATGATAGACAAAATGAACTCATAGTACATGTGATTTTTTTCCATAACACTGATCATCAAATTTTCCTTCACAAATATAAGAAATAATGATGGTAAATTATTTACAATCATCTTTCCTTAATTGGCATAGATTTGCTTTTTTTCTAGTTTCTTCTTAATCTATTAAATGTAGAATTATGACGTTTATTCTCCTGACTTTGTCACTAACTTATTTTAGCATTTCTATTTTGCCTCCAGGTGTTAATACTTACAATATTTATTTCTTTTTATTTTACTTTAAACCAACACCAACATACATTTTCATAATAATTACCCAATTCTATCAATCCCGGTTGTTAACTAACTTACCCAGAATTCTTTGTTGATTGTACACTGGAAGGGCAGGTAATTCTTTACTGCATCCTCTCTTGTATCTATCCTATTCAAGCATCTTCTTTCTTCCTTCCTCTAAAATTATCATGGATTTGACTAGAATATTCTTATGCTGTGTATCCCACACAGCTCATTTTGTTTGCCCCAACTCTCTACTTTCTTCCAATGAAAGCGTCCACACTCTAATCCTGTGACCAAGTTCCTTCATCACAGCTTGCCTATGAGGCAGTGCTTCCCAGTGTAGAGCCAGCACCCCTCTATCCAGAGCTAGCTACCATACCTTCATAATACCAAGCCTTTGAAGAGCCATAGCCATAAGCTCATTTCCAGGAAGATAGAAAGGTTATCAAGTCTGTAGAGGCAAAGCTCCTTGAACAAATGCAAACCCTTGTCAGTGACCCTCACATTGGCTGTTTTCAAGCCCTGATGACCAGCATAGACCTTTTAGAGGTCACCTCTCCTGAAAGGAACTCCCCAATCATAATCTACTCCAAATCCGCATATGTCTTGAATTATGGTAGGTCTGAACAAACATCCAAGACTGTATGACATTGTTTTGTTCACCTCACTGCCTCATCACTCTCTCCTGTGTGCTAGACTAGACTGGTGGCTACTGATGCTCCTGCATCACATACTGATGACCCTGATTATGTGCTTCCAGCCCACTGGTGACAAGAACAAGGGCGTGGAGTAGAGGGTCAATAAGAGGCATTGAGAGAGAATGAGTAGAAGTCCTAAAACATTTCCATCTGTCTCTTTACTGGCTACTAATCGGTGAAGTAGACAGCGAGTCTGGCCTTTTGCTTGTAAGGTGTAGTGTAGATAATGAAATATTTTATTTCTAACAAAGACGAAGAAAAAAAACCAAGACATATTGAGTGCCTACTATGTACCATGCCAAGTGCTGAAGGCTTTACATGTGTTATTTCATTTAATCTTCACACTACTCTCTGAAAAAAAGTTTTAGAACCCTTCATTTTACTGATGAAGGAAGTGAAGCTCAATGAGGTTAACTAACGACTAGCCAATGGCCAGAGACATCTAACAGGAGGAGAGCTGGGTTTCAAAACCAGGTCTGTCTTTTCGTCACTCCCTAGTACTTCCAGGAAGCCAGTTGTGATGATTAATACTGAGCGTCAACTTGATTGGATTGAAGGATGCAAAGTATTGATCCTGGGTGTGTCGGTAAGGGTGTTGCCAAAGGAGATTAACATTCAAGTCAGTGGGCTGGGAAAGGCAGACCCACCCTTAACGTGGGTGGGCACCATTTAATCAGCTGCCAGCTTGTTTAAAATATAAAGCCTAGCCTCCCAGCCTACATCTTTCTCCTGTACTGGATGCTTCCTGCCCTCAAACATCAGACTCCAGGTTCTTCAGTTTTGGGACTCGGACTGGCTCTCCTTGCTCCTCAGCCTGCAGATGGCCTATTGCAGGACCATGTGATCATGTGAGTTAATACTTAATAAACTTCCTTTTATTTTTATATATATATATATATATACACACACATATATTTATATATATACACATATATATTTATATATACACATATATATTTACATATATATACACACACACACATATATATAGGATATATATATGTGATATATACCAGTCCTTTTCATCCAAAATGACACTTTCCTGAGGATAAAATAATTCTTCCTTTTATTTAGTGAATGAGCAAATGGAGAGTATTATGCAGTATAGAGATGAGGGGAGAAATGAAGGTGAAATAAGCATAGAAAAAAGATCAAAGAAAGTGGGCTGGGAAAGGCAGACCCATCCTTAACCTGGGTGGGCACCATTGGGTAAATATTTTAGGAATCTGATGCACATGTGCGTCAAGAGATGTGTAAGAATGTCCTTTAACCTGAGGAAGCTGATTGGAAAAAAATAGTGTGTCCATAGTACCTCAGGTCATAATAGTGAAAGAAATAATGCAGAGAACCCAAATGCCCATTAAGAGTAAAACCAGTAAATAAATTGCTGCATATACTCAAACAATGGATTATTATACAGATATGAAAACGATGAGCTACATGTGCACATATTAACATGAATTATTCTCAAAAACATAATCTCGAGTGAAAGAACTAAGTCTCATAGAATAACATTTCAAGTGAAAGAATCCCCCAAATGTAATGTTGAGCCAAAAAAGCAAGTCATAGAAAAATGTACACAGCATGATTCCACATATGTAAAGTTCAAAAATGGGCAAAAATATATGTTGTATTATTTAGAGATAAGCATATATGTAATAAAGGTATTAAAGATCAGAGGAAATATTAACACAAAATTTAGAATAATGGTTACCACTTGGTGAGAAGGGAATACAGAAGGAGAGACGTACAGAAAACATGTAATGTAGGAGTAGTCTTCTAGGTCTTTAGCTAGCTGATAAGAATGTAAGTATACTTTATATTATTTTCTTAAATTATTTATAGATACACATTATATATACCCTTTCTATATATTTAAAGTTCTTAAACTTTTCTGAAAGAAAATTTTTTTTTGAGAGGGTTTTGCTCTGTCACCCAGGTTGGAGTACAGTGGCATGATCATGGCTCACTGTA
This sequence comes from Homo sapiens, assembly GCF_000001405.40. Taxonomy (NCBI): domain Eukaryota; kingdom Metazoa; phylum Chordata; class Mammalia; order Primates; family Hominidae; genus Homo; species Homo sapiens. The sequence continues at coordinate 71,151,961 of NC_000004.12, read as the reverse complement.
GTCCCAATACCTGGGACTACAGGTGTACACCACCACACCTCTAATAAAAATTTTTGTATTTTTAGTAGAGATGGGGTTTTACCATGTTGGCCAGGCTGGTCTCAATCTCCTGACCTCAAGTGATTTGCCCTCCTTGGCTTCCCAAAGTGCTGGGATTACAGGCATGAGTCACCGTGCCCGGCCTTAATTTTTTTTTTTTTTTTTTAGTAGAAATGGGATCTCCCTATGTTGCCCAAGCTAGCCTTGAACTCCCGGGGTCAAGTGATCCTCCCGCCTCAGCCCTCCAAAATGCTGGGATTACAGGTGTGAGCCACCATGCGCAGACAGGAAATATTTTTTACGTATAAAAATATACACAAGAATATGCAGAAGAGAGAAAAGGCCTAAAAAGTTGATGAAAAAGAATAAACAGAGGAAAGAACAGATGGTGTTAAAAAACAGTAAATAAGTAGAGGTAAAAATGACATTAAATGTCATTAAAGGTAAAAATGACAAAGGCTATGTCAGAGAGAGAAAATGAAGACTTCATCAGAGATCACCTTGGACCATCAGAAGAGGTCAGCAGGTCAGCAGAACCAGAGAAATGCACTGAATTAGTTCCTTCAGGCCAGTACTCTAAAGAAGTAGGGCAAAACCTACCGTTGATATAGTCTATATGTCATTAAAATGAGTAAGATGTTTGTTATTAGGAATACATGTTTAAGTTAAACACACAACAAATGTTAGTCATTGGAAGAGGTTGGCAGCAAACCAGTAGACGCAGTCTACCAGTGCTGTGGCACAGAACATTCTGTGATGTTGGAAATGTTCTAAATATTCACCATCCATGTGGCAATTTAATATTTGAATTGTAGCTAATGTGACCAAAGCACTGAAATTTTAATTTGATTTAAATTACTTTAAAATTAAATATAAACAGCCACATGGGGCTAGTGGCTACTGTATTGAACAGCACAGGATATTTTCATGTCCTCACAATTAGAAATGAAAATCATGCAAGAACAATTTGAGGCATGGTCTTTCAAATAGCAAACTATTTCTTCCCCAACATACCTGATTGAACCATAACTCTTCTACAAACATCCCCAGATTCCAGACCTTTGAGCGCATAGAAGTAAAATATAAGAAAAATGCAGAGAGCTAATGGAAAGGGGAAGGGAGGCCATAGAGAGATAGTGGTCCCAGAACACTTGGCAACTTAAGGACCGCAAGCTGCCAAAGGTGAATTCGGGTCACAAATCCCAAGCGCTCTCACCTGCACTTCTCCCATTTCCATCTCTGCACACTTATATGAAGAGTTTGCTAGTTGAATGCCTTGATGGAATAAAGCAAAGGATTTCATTTTTTAAATCATCTTTTCTGCTTGTCATGCTGAATGGCAGCACCTTTATAGCATTTTGCAAACTAAATTCACATTTCCATTTAGGTAACGCATTTAGTTGAGTCTTCATTTGCCTTCTGCTGACTAAAAAAGGCTCTGTATTTACTGGCTTAGTTCTCTCTCTGCACATGAGGGAATCAGGATATTTACATACCACTATTTCTGGCTGAAACCAAACCTTGGTTCCCAGAGGAAGGCAACTTGCAGACCATCTCCATTTATGAGAAGGGCATCTGTTTCCCTAACCACATCTTAACATATGGCTCTTGGTTCTCCCCAGAACCCAGTTGCTATTTCACCCATTCCACCTTCAGCCAAACCCAAATTTCTGTTTCCAGATACTCTGTTTCCCTAGGCAACATCAATGTGTACAGAAACTCACTGCTTGGACACTCCAAGGATTGTCAAGGCTCAACATTTATTTTTGTAACAATACCAAAGATTAATAACATATTTTCTTTTTCAGTCATAAAATTCAAGGGGTATTGAAGCATTAAAGATGGTTTTATGAACATATACTACAGATAAGTAATTATAAGCAGGTATATTCACATGTATATAAAAAACCTAATCGTGTACCCTTGAGCCTAAAATGAAAGCTTAAGTTTTTTAAAAAAATAAAGAACATTAGTTTTAAAAAAAGGAATTCACACTTAAGTTGATCAAAAATTAAGTTAAGCCAGATGGCTAATTGGATTTAGGGGCTCCATTTGATGAATCAAAAAATATTACCATTGTTGAAAGTAAGCCAATAAAACTCTGGCTCTGGCTGCATTTTCATGGTGATAAGAACAGAAAAGCCATTAGTAAACAGTGAATCTCATCCAAACCTATCAGCACAGTTGACAAAACTGGTTTCAAGTAAAGCCTCAGAAGGTAAAAGGAAAACATGGCCCTCCTTAAGCCCCCATTCATATTTGGAGCACAGAGCCCAACATGTGACTGATGCCTAACAAACATTTGTTGAACACATAAATGATGAGAAATAAAGTAGAAAGTGCCTCCTTACCTAAGAGGACTTGCAGAATTTCTTGCTCACACCTGAAAGTTGTTTAGAGCTCTCCTCTCCAGTTTGATCCAGTAGCTGAAGGAATTTAATCCTCTCACACCCAATGCTTTTAATATACAAAATTTATGACTTCCTGCTCCTTGATCAAGTAGAGCTGTGTCTTGTTTCTATAACCTTTTTTAATCAATGCCCCAAAATCATATCAGAAAGGAGCCCAGAAAAAGACTATCATTTGGAGGAAAGAATCTTCTTATAATTTTTTTTCTCTGTTGAATCTATTTTGGGGCCTTTACTTTTAAACCAATAATAATAATAATAATGAGTGCCTTCATGCCATCTTCTAAAAAATAATGAGAACATTCAAGAAAGAGAATCATGCCATTCTAATTAAACTCACTGAGTACACCTGGCTTCAACTACTTTGTTTAATGTCAGTTTCAAGACCTAAGGCTATTTCTAGAGAGGACCTTAGAAAATTAATTTCTTTGAATAGCTATTATTAAAAAGTCAAAAAATAATAGATGTTAGCAAGGTTGCAGAGAAAAAGGAATGCTTATACACTGTTGTTGGGAGTGTAAATTAATTCAACCATTGTGGAAGACACTGTGGCAATTCCTCAAAGACCAAAAGACAGAAATACCATTCAACCCAGCAATCCCCTTACTAGGTATATATGCAGAGAAAGATAAATCACTCTATTATAAAGACACAGGCATGCATATGTACACTATTCACAATAGTAAGGATATTGAATCAACACAAATGCCCATCAAGGGGTATTTAGAATAAAGGAAATGTGGTACACATACACTGTGGAATACTATGCAGCCATAAAAAAGAACAAGATCATGTCCTTTGCGGGAACATGGATGGAGCTGGAGGCCATTATCCTTGGCAAACCAACACAGTAACAGAAAACCAAATACCACATGCTCTCTTTTATAAGTGGAAGCTAAAGGATGAGAACACATGAATGCAAAGAAGGAAGCAACACACACTGGAGCTTATCAGAGAGTGGAGGATGAGAGGAAGGAGAGGATCAGAAAAAATAACTGTTGAGTACTAGGCTTAATACCCGGGTGACAAAATAATCTGTATGACAAACTCCCATGACACAAGTTTACCTATATAACAAACTTGCACATGTACCCCAACTTAAAAGTTAAATTAAAAAAAGAAAGAAAATTAATTTCTTTGGAAGGTTTGGAGATCCAGTTTCTTTTTAGACAGACCCAGGACTTGTTTCACAAGGTCCCAGAAGAGCTCGAGAGAGACCAGTGGGAAAAACTTTAGCCCAGAGAGATGTTGACTCAATATGAAGAAGAGCTTTCCAATTGTCAGAGCTGTCTCTAAAATTATAAATATCAGATGTGCTATCTCAGGAACTTGGAAGTTCCCTGTCACTGCTCAGGCAGAGGCCAGAAGCAGAGAAGAAAGATGGAACATAAGTCAGTAGTGGGGTCGGTGATCTTTAAAGTCCCTTGCAGTTGTAAGTTTCTATGATTCCATGAGTCTCCTCCTGGCATTCTGAAATAAGTTTGTGAATCTAGTCACTTACCTGAACTTTGGAGGGCAAGGAAGGACATGGAAGAAAACACTAAATCTTGCTCACTGGTCAGGCCCAGGACTTTCTTGAAACCAGCCCAGTTCCCTCTAGAGTCACAGCTTATGGAGTGTGCTCTGTCCTCCCTCGGGACAACCAGGCCAGACTAGTACATTTACCAGGCATGTGGAATTCAACCAAAACAAATTCAGCCTTATAAATCTGGTAAACAGCTATTTTTCTGGCAACAATGCAGATGGGTGGTGGCAATGCCCCCTCAGGACCCCTCCTCAGAAAGACCCTACCTGGACAACCGTGAGATCCTACTGATTTTAATTCTGTGTTCTGAAATGTGATGTTCCATGTCACAATGCTATAAATTAGCTTGATATTCTGACAAGTGAACCCCTGCTGTGATTAAATCAAGCCCCATTTCTTTCCTATTTCCTCCTTCTCCAACTGTACTCCATCATAGAGCACTGGCAGAAAAACCCAAGTCCTTGGTTCATCCAGGGGAGAAGTGCAAGGAGAAAGGAAGGAAAAGCATCACTGTGGTGTGTGGGTTGCTTCCCCACAGTTGATTTTGGAATTCATCTCTCTGACTGCCTATTACTCACTGACCATCATGAACCACCACCTCCAAGGAGAGTTGGGAAAAAGGCAGACAGAGGTGAGGAGGATGAAAAGAAGACAGGAAGAGCAGGGGAAGAGAGAAAAGGCAAACATAAAGGAGAAGGAAGAAAAATAAAGAAATTTAAGAGGAGAAATTTGAAAGGAGAGAAAGGGGAGGGCTTCTTGTTAAACAACAAAATTCATATAATTCCTAATCCCCTGTGTAATTCTCTCAAAAAAGAGAGAAAAGTTTGTTTACCATTATGTAATGGCCTTCTTTGTCTCTTTTGATCTTTCTTGGTTTAAAGTCTGTTTTATCTGAGACTAGGATTGCAACCCCTGCCTTTTTTTGTTTTCCATTTGCTTGGTAGATCTTCCTCCATCCCTTTATTTTGAGCCTATGTGTGTCTCTGCATGTGAGATGGGTTTCCTGAATACAGCACACTGATGGGTCTTGACTCTTTATCCAATTTGCCAGTCTGTGCCTTTTAATTGGAGCATTTAGCCCATTTACATTTAAGGTTAGTATTGTTATGTGTGAATTTGATCCTGTCATTATGATGTTAGCTGGTTATTTTGCTCATTAGTTGATGCAGTTTCTTCCTAGCCTTGATGGTCGTTACAGTTTGGCATGTTTTTGCAGTGGCTGGTACCAGTTGTTCCTTTCCATGTTTAGTGCTTCCTTCAGGAGCTCTTTTAGGGCAGGCCTGGTGGTTACATAATGGTAAAGGGATCAATTCAACAAGAAGAACTAACTATCCTAAATATATATGCACCCAATACAGGAGCACCCAGATTCATAAAGCAAGTCCTTAGTGACCTTCAAAGAGACTTAGACTCCCACACAATAATAATGGGAGACTTTAACACCCCACTGTCCACATTAGACAGGTGAACGAGACAGAAAGTTAACAAGGATATCCAGGAATTGAACTCAGCTCTGCACCAAGCGGACCTAATGGACATCTACAGATCTCTCCACCCCAAATCAACAGAATATACATTCTTTTCAGCACCACACCACACCTATTCCAAAATTGACCACATAGTTGGAAGTAAAGCACTCCTCAGCAAATGTAAAAGAACAGAAATTATAACAAACTGTCTCTCAGACCACAGTGCAATCAAACTAGAACTCAGAATTAAGAAACTCACTCAAAACCGCTCAACTACATGGAAACTGAACAACCTGCTCCTGAATGACTACTGGGTACATAATAAAATGAAGGCAGAAATAAAGATGTTCTTTGAAACCAATGAGAACAAAGACACAACATACCAGAATCTCTGGGACACATTCAAAGCGGTGTGTAGAGGAAAATTTATAGCACTAAATGCCCACAAGAGAAAGCAGGAAAGATCTAAAATTGACACCCTAACATCACAATTAAAAGAACTAGAGAAGCAAGAGCAAACACATTCCAAAGCTAGCAGAAGGAAAGAAATAACTAAGATCAGAGCAGAACTGAAGGAAATAGAGACACAAAAAACCCTTCAAAAAATCAACGAATCCAGGAGCTGGTTTTTTGAAAAGATCAACAAAATTGATAGACCGCTAGCAAGGCTAATAAAGAAGAAAAGAGAGAAGAATCAAATAGACGCAAGAAAAAATGACAAAGGGGATATCACCACCGATCCCACAGAAATACAAACTACCATCAGAGAATACTATAAACACCTCTACGCAAATAAACTAGAAAATCTAGAAGAAATGGATAAATTCCTCAAAACATACACCCTCCCAAGAATAAACCAGGAAGAAGTTGAATCTCTGAATACACCAATAACAGGCTCTGAAATTGAGGCAATAATTAATAGCTCACCAACTAAAAAAAATCCAGGACCAGATGGATTCACAGCCGAATTCTACCAGAGGTACAAGGAGGAGCTGGTACCGTTCCTTCTGAAACTATTCCAATCAATAGAAAAAGAGGGAATCCTCCCTAACTCATTTTATGAGGTCAGCATCATCCTGATACCAAAGCCTGGCAGAGACACAACAAAAAAAGAGAATTTTAGACCAATATCCTTGATAAACATTGATGCAAAAATCCTCAATAAAATACTGGCAGACTGAATCCAGCAACACATCAAAAAGCTTATCCACCATGATCAAGTGGGCTTCATCCCTGGGATGCAAGTCTGGTTCAACATACACAAATCAATAAACGTAATCCAGCATATAAACGAACCAAAGACAAAAACCACATGATTATCTCAATAGATGCAGAAAAGGCCTTTGACAAAATTCAACACCCCTTCATGCTAAAAACTCTCAATAAATTCGGTATTGATGGGACGTATCTCAAAATAATAAGAGTTATCTATGACAAACGCACAGCCAATATCATACTGAATGGACAAAAACTCGAAGCATTCCCTTTGAAAACTGGCACAAGACACGGATGCCCTCTCTCACCACTCCTATTCCACATAGTGTTGGAAGTTCTGGCCAGGGCAATCAGGCAGGAGAAGGAAATAAAGGGCATTCAATTAGGAAAAGAGGAAGTCAAATTGTCCCTGTTTGCAGATGACATGATTGTATATCTAGAAAACCCCATCGTCTCAGTCCAAAATCCCCTTAAGCTGATAAGCAACTTCAGCAAAGTCTCAGGATACAAAATCAATGTGCAAAAATCACAAGCATTCTTATACACCGACAACAGACTAACAGAGAACCAAATCATGAGTGAACTCCCATTCATAATTGCTTCAAAGAGAATAAAATACCTAGGACTCCAACTTACAAGGGATGTGAAGGACCTCTTCAAGGAGAACTACAAACCCCTGCTCAATGAAATAAAAGAGGATACAAACAAATGGAAGAACATTCCATGCTCATGGGTAGGAAGAATCAATATCGTGAAAATGGCCATACTGCCCAAGGTAATTTATAGATTCAATGCCATCCCCATCAAGCTACCAATGACTTTCTTCACAGAATTGGAAAAAACTACTTTAAAGTTCATAAGGAACCAAAAAAGAGCCCGCATTGCCAGGTAAATCCTAAGCCAAAAGAACAAAGCTGGAGGCATCACGCTAACTGACTTCAAACTATACTACAAGGCTACAGTAACCAAAACAAAATGGTACTGGTACCAAAACAGAGATATAGATCAATGGAACAGAACAGAGCCCTCAGAAATAATGCCGCATATCTACAACTATCTGATCTTTGACAAACATGACAAAAACAAGAAATGGGGAAAGGATTCCCTATTTAGTAGATGGTGCTGGGAAAACTGGCTAACCATATGTAGAAAGCTGAAACTGGATCCCTTTCTTACACCTTATACAAAAATTAATTCAAAATAGATTAAATACTTACATGTTAGACCTAAAACCATAAAAACCCTGGAAGAAAACCTAGGCAATACCATTCAGGACATAGGCATGGGCAAGGACTTCATGACTAAAACACCAAAAGCAATGGCAACAAAAGCCAACATTGACAAATGGGATCTAATTAAACTCAAGAGCTTCTGCACAGCAAAAGAAACTACCATCAGAGTGAACAGGCAACCTACAGAATGGGAGAAAATTTTTGCAACCCACTCATCTGACAAAGGGCTAATATCCAGAATCTACAATGAACTCAAACAAATTTACAAGAAAAAAACAAACAACACCATCAAAAAGTGGACAAAGGATATGAACAGACACTTCTCAAAAGAAGACATTTATGCAGCCAAAAGACACAGTAAAATGCTATCATCACTGGCCATCAGAGAAATGCAAATCAAAACCACAATGAGATACCATCTCACACCAGTTAGAATGGCGATCATTAAAAAGTCAGGAAACAACAGGTGCTGGAGAGGATGTGGAGAAATGGGAACACTTTTACACTGTTGATGGGACTGTAAACTAGTTCAACCATTGTGGAAGTCGGTGTGGTGATTCCTCAGGGATCTAGAATTAGAAATACCATTTGACCCAGCAATCCCATTACTGGGTATATACCCAAAGGATTATAAATCATGCTGCTATAAAGACACATGCACACGTATGTCTACTGCGGCACTATTCACAATAGCAAAGACTTGGAACCAACCCAAATGTCCAACAATGATAGACTGGATTAAGAAAATGTGGCACATATACACCATGGAATACTATGCAGCCATAAAAAATGATGAGTTCATGTCCTTTGTAGGGACATGGATGAAGCTGGAAACCATCACTCTCAGCAAACTATCACAAGGACAAAAAACCAAACACTGCATGTTCTCACTCATAGGTGGGAAATGAACAATGAAAACACATGGACACAGGAAGGGGAACATCACACACCGGGGATGGTTGCATGGTGGGGGGATGGGGGAGAGATGGCGTTAGGAGATATACCTAATGCTAAATGACGAGTTACTGGGTGCAGCACACCAACATGGCACATGTATACATATGTAACAAACCTGCAGGTTGTGCACATGTACCCTAAAACTTAAAGTATAATAATAATAATAATAAAAAGGAAAGAAAATGGAAAAACCAGGTACTTCACATAAAGTGCCAAATAGTTCTTTGGAAAGGTGGGAGGAATTTTTGGGGCCAGTTTGCGCATGCCTAGAATTGTCAGTTGGCAGGGTCATGGGCATGGGATCCAAACCAAATTAAAGCTGTAGAAAGCTAAAAAAAAAAAAAAAAAAAAAAAAGAGTGAGAAAAGTTTGTGCCTTTGGAATGGCTGGAGAGAGTTGCATTCACTCTACTATATTTTCAACTGCTAGATAGCATCTCCAAGAACAACAGAAAGATGCTGCAAAAAGCCGAAGACTCAGGTTGGTGAATTTCCTCTGACAGGAGGTAGCCTCGGCTATGTCATTACTGGATACCTGACATTGATAACATCACTCTCCTGCCTGGGTAACAGAGTGAGACCTTTCTCAAACAAACAAACAAAAAGAAAGAAAGTAAGAAATTTAAGGTAGCATCACTGAGGCACTATTTTCTCCTAAAACAGGGAGCAGCAAAAGCCATAGTTGAGTTTGAATGCCATAGATGCCTGAAGTAGCCCTATAAGGTCCCAGAAAGATTACTTTAGCCAACGCCCAAACAGAACTCTTTCTCCTCTGAAGCTGCATTGCTTCCCACTCTTTTTATATGCAGTGTTTAGTTTTAGTTTTAATATGTTTGTGTTAGTTTTAGTAAAAGAAAGCGGCTACTCATGAGGCAAACTTGCAACTAGCAAACTCATTGAGAAGCTCTGTCCTAAAGCTATACTGCTCACCGCAAAATATCTTACAAGTTTTTATGAATTAGGTCTAATTATAGAGCAGTGAGTACCTATAGTTTGTATCAGAAGTTTTCTTACTCCTCTTTGATTAAACCTGTCTCTATTATATACACACACACATACACAAAAAGTTTGAGATCAGGTCTGATGCAATTTTGTATTCCCCACTCTAATGCTTTGGATATAATAAGTTATCAGTAAGTGCTATTATATTGTAGGGCCAGCCTTTCAATTAAAAGATGGGAAAGGTTAGAAAGTAGCTACCTAAGCTAATGAAATTGTCTTCTTCCTTATTCATTCTTCTATTCTCCAAACATTGATTCAAGCCAAGCTTGAGAGCTTTGCTGATTTAATTCAATTCACTTTAGTTCTCACTTTAGTATATATCAATGAATTGATTCATCCATCCAATATTTTTTAAGCATAATATGTTCCAGGCACTGTTCTAAGTGTTGGGGAATACTAATAAGCAAGGCAAACAAGGTTCTTGACAATTTGGGACTTATTTCCATGGGGAAAACAAAATACAAACAAGTTTTTACAATATATTTATTTATGGCCATGTGGTTATGTAGACATTTCTGAAAGAGTGAAGACATTTGAGCTGAGACCCAAGTGAAGTGAGAGGGAGCAAGCCAGGCAAAGGTATGAGGGAAGGACAACCAAGAAAAGAAGCATGCCCAAGAGAAGAACATGCCCAAAAGGAGAAATACACAGCTTCTGAGATGGGAAAATCTTGAAATGTTTGAGACAGTGTAGCTGGAGCAGCATGAATGAGGGAAAGAATAGTGGAAAATGAGCCTTAAAAGATCACAGGGGCCTTGTAAACATGGCTCTGTATGTAACAGAAAGTGATGTAAGGGTTTTAAGCAAGCAGGTCACATGATCACTGTGGCTATAAGATCATACTGAAAGTGGGGCAAGAATGAAAGCTTACATTTTTCACTTATATGTGGAAGCTGAAATAATCGAACTCATAGAAGAAAAGTATGGTTACAGAGGCTGGGGAATGGGGAGGATGGGGAGATGAGAATCAAAGGGTACAAAATCTCAGACAGAAAGAATATGTTTTGTTTTTCTTTTTTGAGTTCTATTGCTCAGTATGATGAACGTAGTTAATAATAGAATATCATACATTTCACAATTGCTAAGGAAGTAAATTTCAAATATTCTCTCCACAAAAAATGCTAAGTATTTGAGGTAATGGATATGTTAACTAGCTTAATTTAATTATCCCACATTATATTCATAAATTATAACATAACTTTGTATCCCACAAATTTTGTATATAATTCTAAGTTTTCAATTTACAATTTTTAAAAACAGTGGAAGCTTAGGAGTCTTTGCAATCATCCTAGTGAGAGATGATAGGTGGTATCTTGAATGACAGGTGTAGCAGTGGAGGTGATGAGAAGTGGTCATATTTGACACACGTTTTGAAAGTAAGCCAACAGATCGTCATATGATGAGGAAGGAAATAAGAGAGGAATCAAGAATGAGTCCTAGGTTTGAGATCTGAGCAACTTAATGCAGTGTAAATGGTGCAATTTAATGAGATGAGGCAGGCTGGGGCAGTGAGTGGGGTTGGGGCAGAGCAGCTTTGGAAGGAAAAATCAAAATAATGTGTTTGTGATGCCTGTGATGAATACAACTGGAAATTCAAGGCAATTAAATATATGAGTATGGAGATTAAAAAGAGTCACCGTTGAAGATATACATTTGGAAGTCATTAGCAGAGGTTTTGTTTGTTTGTTTTGTTTTTGCAACAGGGTCTCATTTTGTCGCTCAGGCTAGAGTGCAGTGGCACAATCATGGCTCACTGCAACCTCAACTTCCTGGACTCAATCAATCCTCCCCCCTCAGCCTCCTGAGTAGCTGGGACTTCAGGTGCGCATCACCATGCCCAGCTAATTTGTTGTATTTTCTGTAGCGTCAGGGTTTCACCATGTTGCCCAGGCTGGTCTTGAACTCCTGAGCTCAAGCCATCTGCCTACCTTCGTCTCCCAAAGGTCCGGGATTACAAGCGTGAGCCACTATGCCTGGCCAGCAGAGATTTTGTTTATTCCCATTGGATGCTATGTGTTCAAAACAACCCATTTAAAAATAGCTTCACTAGAAAATCCAAGAAAAGGGAGAAGCTGGAAAGAGAAAATTAAGCACCTTGACCATCCCAAACAGAAGCAGAGAGGATTAAGAGAGATAGTATAATGGGTACAAATATACAGTTAGATAGAAGGATTAAGTTCTAATATTAAATAGCAGAATAGGGTGACTATGATTAACAACAATGTATTGCATATTTCAAAATAGCTAGAAGAGAGAATTTGAAATATTCCCAACATATAAAAATGATAAATGCTCAAGATGGTTGATATCCTAAAAACCCTGATTTGATCATTACACATTCTATGCATGAAACAAAATATTACATGTACCCCATAAATATGTACAAATACTATGTATCAGTGAAATAAATAAATAAAATTGAAATAAGGAAAAAAGAAGCAGATTAGCAAGTGAATGGCCAGAGCAAACTATACGAATCTGGAAGAAAATGCCCACAGGTACAGAGATGGAGACATTCGCAGATGGATGTGGGCTGGGGCATGCTGAAAATCGCCAGGAACATGGGCAGGGCTTATCATCAACTGCTAGGGATGCCCACAGGGTCGGAAGTATTTCCAACATGAGCATCTTACTTTCTAGGCTTCTAAAAGTTGGAGTTTGGCCTGATAGAACCTCACCAGGGTTCTAGTGTGAAAACAGGGGTGAACAACCTCACAGTCTCCAGAAGTGGGGCAAGGCAGGTGTTGTAAATGGATGAAGAGGACCAGGAGTGGGACAGCAATAAGCAGGAAGATTGTAGAAAAGTGGAGGATTTCAGCCTCATCCACAGGAGGCGGCCAATTCACACCAAAAGTCAATGGTTGCTAAGTGGGAGTGAGGTCCAGTGCTGCCAGAAATACACACACACACACACACACACACACACACACACACACAAAGAAAAGGGAATTTAGTTTGATGACTTTGATTAATCACCATTACCCTTCCAACCGAATGATCCCTTGTGGTTAAATAGAGAAAGAAGGATCCATTATTGCATTATTGACTCACTGATTCTTTTTTTTTTTTTTTTTTTTTTTTGAGACGGAGTCTCACTCTGTCGCCCAGGCTGGAGTGCAGTGGCACGATCTCTGCTCACTGCAAGCTCCGCCTCCCGGGTTCACACCGTTCTCCCGCCTCAGCCTCCTGAGTAGCTGGGACTGCAGGCGCCCACCACCACGCCTGGCTAATTTTTTATATTTTCAGTAGAGACAGGGTTTCACCGTGTTAGGCAGAATGGTCTCAATCTCCTGACCTCGTGATCCGCCCTCCTTGGCCTCCCAAAGTGCTGGGATTACAGGCGTGAGCCACCGCGCCCGGCCAACTTACTGATTCTTTACCTGGCCCCCAACATACCCAACCAGCCTTCTTCCCTCCTGCAAAATAAAGAATTCACGTCCACTGGCAGGGAAGTGTGAATCACTGTGATAAAGGTGGAAGCATACAGTCAGTCCAGAAAAGAAATGGTGTTTGGATAATCTGTGAACCTTGAAATTAGCTTGTTCAAGAGAACTTTGTTCACTGACTGTACAGATCCTTGAAGATAATATGAACCGAGTGAGATGTAACAGTGCACGAATTTCCCTAAAAGAAGGACAGAAAGGCTTGGTGTGTCCTTGGCTGCACCTTTATTTTCCTGCTAGGCAAGTTCTTTCCCATAGGCTCTGCTTAATGTGTTGCAAGAGAGTTTACACCAACCATGATCGTCATTTGATTGGAACCTGTGCTTTATCATGTTTGCCTGGACAAGCCTTGAGAAAGAGCCTGGCCTGAAAACTAATATTAAAAAAAATTGATTAGTGAGGCAAGCAAGGAATGGATAGTATTAATATATTAATAGAGGTGATAACACTGGCCTCCACGAAGAGTTCACTTATTGACCCCTCTGACTGTGTTTTATTCAAAGTAGTGAATAAACATATCCTCCATTAATCAACTTAACTACCTGGTTTGTCATTCCAAGGGCACACTAACATATTGCATGAAATCTATCTTTTAGAGACCTGCTATGACACTGTTAAATATAGAAATGAATTTGGCAAATATAGCCATGGAGCATTCTTATTGAAAATCTAACAAGATATTTTGATTAGGGCACAATATCAACAAAAGAGAAGCCCCCAGTGCATTTTCTCTGTGTGTTAGAAACCTCTCTTATCAACCAAAGTACAGTATTGGGTTTGTTTCTTTGTGAAATTTCTTTGTGACTGAAACTTCCTATTAAAGTAGTTCTTTGTCTTTATACTTGTGAGCAAAACAAGCGAGAAACGAAAAAAACGTTTTCCTTGAGTTAACACAATGGACTTCAACCTCAGCTGCTTTATTCAGCTCCACTTCTTTTTCTGTGATGAAACCAGTGATTAGAGCTGCCCTTGGAGCTCAAGTTTCCAAGGTGGACAGGCAGCAACCACTTGAGAATTTTCTATCCTAAGATTGTTGGCTGTCCATGAAATTTGCAGAAAGCAAAGGGAAGAATGAAGTTGTGGCAGAACTAGGAACTATTAGAATGAGAGTTTGTTCAAGTAACGAGACAGTTCTAAAAGAGAGGGTGGTTAAAGGACCTTGTATCTTGAGATCAGGAATGCAGTGGTCATGTTCACTAAATATTATTTAATGAATTAATTAATGAATGGATGGAAAAGTCACTTCAGGCTAAGAATCTAAGCACCACTTTCCATGCCATAGGAGGAATGCTGGGCAGACTGATGTCTAGATAGATAAGTGATCAAGAAGTTTCTTGGATTAGCAATCAATGGAGGATGACTCTTGAGGAACTTTGGTGTGGGGACAAAAGGAAATATGACAGGGATCCAGTTATCAGAACTGGGGTGAAAGATGAGGGCTTCTATCATAACTTCAATATAGAGTCAGAGTGGAGTCAGCGGGCAGATGTCTCTCGGCTTGGAGCTAATTATTTTCTCCTTGATTACAGTGGAGTCTGGGGCAGAGCTAATCTTATCAGTAATAGAGATCTGCTCCACCTTGGAAAGTTGGTGAACAAACTGGTAAGGGAGCCAGACTGGTCATGATATTATATTCTCAAAAGTTCCTGTAGCCAGTTTTATGGCATAGAACTACCAGGACACAGAGGTACCTCTTCTTTGGTCAAGAGTAAGAGCATAGACCTTGGATTTAGGCAAAAGTTTCAGCTTCTTCATCTAACATTACCCTGGAGATAGTAATACAGCCTCTTTGTATGTAAAGCATGTAATGTGCTTAATACTGTGCCAACCTTATACTAAGTTGCACCAAAAAAAATGCTATTGCTGTTATTATTATTTCAGGGATTATAGAGGGATGCCAGACTCATCATCTCATTTAGCCCACCTAACACTCCTTGAGGTAGTACTGCTATTACCACATGTATATTAATGAGAAACTGAGAATCCAAGAGATTATGTAACTTGCTCAAAGTTACATAGTTAATGCATGGGGGAAATGCTATCTCAAATCAGTTCGTCTGACAGCAGAACCCTTACTCTTACAGTATACTGATCCTTGAAATTATAAAACCATAACTGAGTCTTGAGTCCTTTTTGGAATCTCACATGGTCCCTCCAAGATGGGTCCTCAGACAATGCTGTACATCACCACATGGGGTTAACAGGCAACCCCGCACTAACACTGACTCTTCAGTGGTCACTAAAGGGCAAAAATTAGCTCTGCTCTAAATCTGTTCCAAGTGGCAGGTGAACTTCTGGCTCTCTCTCAAGAGAACTCAAAACATACATTCCTATAGAAGATTAGTGAGAAAAGCATTCAGCTATGCATGAGGGCTCTTCTGTAACTACATCAGGCTTGAATCCAGTTCTGCTGGTCTCTGGTTTGTCAATGACATGTTGTTTAGTATTGAGTTCCCTAGCCCTAGAGCACCCAGCTAAAGGCCCTGAGATAAGATGAATGCTAGACACAGAAGTATTAAAACAGGGTTTGTGGTAAACACCTGAGCCTGTGCTCACAAAGGGCTTGGCTCTAAAGCTGCCCATCCAAAGGGACAGCACTATGGGTGGGAAAAGAATGTTTAAGCTCTTATGGTTCTTCTGTCTCTGCAGCACTATGAACCTCTAGGAGAGAAGTTCAGAGGGTTTGAAAACTTAATCAGAACAACATCAAAAGTGCTGAGGGCTTCAGTAAAGTCCAAAATACTGCGTTCTTTCAGGAGACTGGCTAGGCAAGGCATCGACAACTCAAAGAGTACAAGTATTCTTCCCTGGGTTTCAATGAAGATGGGACAGAAGTTAAATACCATGAGATACCACATGATCTCACTTAACATAGAATCTAAAAAAGGTGAACTCATAAAAGCAAAAAGTAGAATGGTGGTTGTCAGGGGTGGGGTGGTGGGGATTGGATTATGTCAGTCAAAGGGTACAAAATTTCAGTTAGGAGAAATAAGTTCAAGAAATCTATTGTAAAATGTGGCAACTATAGTTAATAACAATGTATTGTATTCTTGAAAATTGCTAAAAGAGTAGATTGTGAGCCGGGCACGGTGGCTCACACCTGTAATCCCAGCACTTTGGGAGGCCAAGGCAGATGGATCACCTGAGGTCAGGAGTTCGAGAGAAGCCTGGCCAACATGGTAAAATCCCATCTCTACTAAAAATCCAAAAATTAGCCAGGCATGGTGGTGCAGGCCTGTAGTCCTGGCTACTCAGGAGGCTGAGGCAGGAGAACCTCTTGAACCCGGGAGGCTGAGGTTGCAGTGAGCCAAGGTGGTGCCACTGAATTCCAGCCTGGGCAACAGAGTGAGACTCTGTCTCAAAAAAAAAAAAAAAAAGAGTAGATTGTGTTCTTACCACAAAAATTAGTATGTGAGGTAATACATATGTTAATTAGCTCAATTTAGCCATTCCACTATATACAGTTCAAAACATCATATTGTACATGATGTATATACACAATTTTTATTTGTCAACTCAAAATAAATTAATAGATAAAAGAAGATTGAATTTAAAATATTTACATACATACATACACACCATGGAACTTATGCTAAAGAACAGCTTTATTCCTCTGCAGTTACTTAAAGGCTTATCGGAGCCCAGCGATGGACTCATGGCAACTGTAACCCCTAGCAAGCACTAACTATGGTTTATGCCAAATGCCATCCCCCTCAGGAGGAAGCTTCATCATCCTTGCTGGTTTAGAGCTGAAGGTCAGCTCTTAACTGCACAGAGGAGGCAAAGCTTGCTGGCACTCCCAACATCCTACCTAAAATTCAGCACTGAGCTCTCCAGACACTACCCTTTCCCTATTGAAGAAGTAGGACTGGGGTCCACAGTAACAGACTCAGCCTGTGGACTAGTACAGCCTTGTGGACTTTGCAAAAGACCAGATAATTAGAAATGAGCAATTGCCAAAGCTCAGCGCTACTGAGGCCCTCAGCCATGCTAAAGACAGCAACAGAGGAGGGAATCCCTGGCCTCTGGGGCTTCTATTCGGAGCAATACACTCTAGTATTCAGTGATATTGAAAGGCTAGAAAAGCAAGTGGCAAGAGAAGTACACAGAGCAAGTAGGAGGGTCTGGTTTTAATGGAGCAAAGTTTAGAACAAGATTTGAGTCCCAGAATGAGGATACAGAAACAATGTACATTTCCTCCTCCTTCACCAAAGAGCTTTCTCCCTTTACAGGAAAACTGGTGTAGACAACAAGCCTTATAAGCACTATCACCAAGGCCAAGGCCACAGTATAGGCTAATCTGGACATGGATGGATGGCATGATAAGCAAGACCAGTAGGAGAGTTTCTGATACAAAAACTGAACAGGCCAGCAGTGACATGGGAGAATATACCCCTGGCCCAGGAATCTGGGAGTATAGCTTCAAGCAGCCTGACTAAGCTTTAAATATTCTTGAAGCCTTGTGTTTTATCTTGAAAATTCAATAGAACCTCATATTTTATTTCATAATATAACCACGTTAATTCATATAAAAATATAATGATTGAAATGAGAATTTTGAAAATCTTTATTTTCAGGTAAAATCAACTTTGGGGTAAGATGATTCATGTATATGTCTCACAGTTCCCCACCTCCTTGGCACACCATCCCGTATACCTCAATGCATTCAGGACTCTGTTTGCAAGCCAGGAGCATAGTAAAGGCCTAGGACAGCCTCCAGAAAACTTCATGGGGAAATCAATGGTTGTGCCAGCAAGACAGAGCAAGGTATTTGATAGCTACCAAGAGGACAAAGCCTGAAAAGAAGAGTTTCAGTCCTTGAAAGTTCTAGAAAGAGTAGGGCAGGTCCCTAAGACTTTGAGCAACGGGGGTGCCAAGTTCGGTATCAGGGCAGCGACAGCCATAAGAATCAGGAAACCAAACTGGGAGATGATTACATCAATAGCCCCCAATGAGTCACACTTCCTAGGACTCACATCTATGGAGTCCCTCTCCTTGAAAGTGAGCCACCCTTGTGACCTGGCAGAAGTGATGCTGTGCTAGTTCCAAGACTAGCCTAAAAAAGGCCTGGGACTTCTGCGTTTGCACTCTGGAGGAAGGCAGCCATAATGTAAGGAATACGACTACCCTGGACCACTTTGCTGTAAGGAAGCCCACGCTGGCCACACAGAGAAGAACCTGGGAATCCTGCCAACCAAGGCACCCTTGGCTGACTCCCGCAGCTGAGTTCCAATTTGCCAACTATGTGAGCCAGCCATCTTGGAAGTTAATACCACATAGGACAGAATCACACTGTCCTTGCTGAGTCATAGCCAAATTAGATAATCATAAGCAAACAAATGATTGTTGTTTAAACCAGAGTTTCATGGTGAACAGATAACTAAAACATACGGTAAAGCTTAGCCTCACAGAGCTATTCAGGAAATAGGATCCAAGTGAGACCTTAAGAAGATGTCTTAATGGTTCCCATGTTAACAACCTAAGGCTCCTACAATTCTTCTAGAGGGGTTCAGGGATACGAAACTAAGAAGGACTCAGTGCTATCACTCATTTCCAAATTACAATAAAAATTTTCCAAATTTGCACAAATTTCTACAAATCTCACCCTGGTTAAAAAAAAAATGGTAATTCATCAAATGCACTTACATTAATTGGCATTCAGTGCAAGTCTGTAGGCTTGTCAACTCCTATCGTGTTAGGGGCTTGCTAGTTCCCACCATGTCCTCCACATGTTCACTGCATTGGAGTGGCCTTTAGCTGTCTCTGTCTGGCCTATGCAGTGCCCAACACAGTGATACACACATGCATGTACTTAATATCCCAAAGAGGACAATGATAACAGAGACTTTGATTACTGGATTGCTTAGGGTCAGTTAACACTAGCTGTGGCCAATAGTGGAAAAGGAAGTATTACTTAGAAAATTCCAACTAGGCACACAGCTGGTAAAGCTGTTGGGCAAAACATGATGATTTTTTTCTTCATCTTACTATGCAATACCAGTAAGCAGGCAGTTGCAACAGAAGTAATAGTCATCAAGATCTTATTATAATATGCAAGGCTTTGGAGGAAATCTACAAGATCTCTCTGTCTGTCCCTCTGTATCCAGGCACAATTTAACTCATTCCCTACCCTTGCTATAAAAAACACTTAGGAAAAAGCATTAAGTATTGTCCAGGAGGTAGTATCCATCCAGCTAAACCTGCTGTAACTGCTAAAACCAACAGCAGCCTCAGCTGCAGGATGCCACTTCTATTTCCATGGAAATAGACAGGCTTTGGGCAAATTCGAAGAACATGCTTCAAGATAATTTTGCAGCTTTCTTTGAGCTGAGACATGCCGTTAGCTGATATACATTTTAGAGCCCCCGTCAACATGTGTCTGGAGAAGGGGTGGATTAATAATAGCTTACATTTCTATAGTGCTTTTCATCCAAAAAAAAATACCAAACAAGAAAAACAAGCTGAATCTTTTCTTCTTGTTTAAAGGAAAAAACACTAGTGATTTTTAAAGCAATCCTAAACACTGGAACTAATTATAAAGAAATTCACTTTTTTAAAGTGTCAGGACAAAATTATTATTTTTTAAAACTTAAATAGTATGCACATTGCTCCTAAAAGCTCACAAAGATATGCCGTCATCACCATTTTGGAAGGCTATCATTTCTTTCCAACAAAGACAACAGTTGCAGTGCCAGTAGATTCAGAGACATTATGGGTGAACAGAAAAAAATAATAATAATAATTAACAATGGTACAGGAAGCTCCATCTGGAGTGTCTGATAACACAGTGGGAGATGGATACAGATGGGAAAATGTGGGTGGCACAGGGTAGAGCTTGTCCCGATCTCATGGGCTCGGGACTCCAGACACACTCAGATTAGTATAGGCTTTGGTTTTCTGCTCCCTGCTATTCAAATGGAACTAGCCAGGCCAGAGCCAGCATGTTTTACCACTGTCCAGAAAATCTGGGATGGCTCTTGATCACAATCTGGCATCATGACAAGGTCAATAATGCATTTACCAATGTTTAATAATCCTAGATTAATACAGCTTTTCATTCTCTAAAGTGCAGATTCTTTATCTTTAACCCAAGTAATTTGCATATACTTCCACATAGTAATTCCAGGCACAATGCTGCTTATTCTGAGCTTTTTACCCTGATTGGCAGCTAATTAGAACCTTGAAATGTTGGCAGGTGTCGTGATGAAAAGGCATCATAAACCCAGCTACAGCACAGACAATGGGTCTTTAATCATCTGTTTAAGTCACGCAGTTCCCAGTGATCTCGAGCTTTTAGGATGAGTAGTTTCTTGATCCTGGAGGACTGCTGAGCAAGGAGGACCTCTGCTGTTATAAAAGAACCAACATCTTTAGAGGGACGGCGAAAGTGCACTTCAGAAACAGACAAAACAGAAAGGAGCAAACAGAAGGATGCTTAAAAAGGAAACAGTTGCTTTTTCTGTCAATTTTTCTTTCTACAGAGATGCCAAACTAGTATGAGATGGACAGACAGATCCCCACTCTCCCATCCGCCGTTGTTAGTGAACATGATCTCATGATGAATAAGGCAGAAAAGTCAGTGGTTGAGAAGACAAAATTATCTCGTCATTCTTTCCCTTTAGTGTCATAGTTTGAGATTCTAGCATGTATCACTCACTTGATATTCATCATGGGGATTACATTCTCAGCACGGGATAGATGTGTACAGGGGAGAACTTTCCTCCCACTGTGTCACTGGAAAGAAAAGGCTGTCACCATGACTGCCTTCACACAACCTCCTCTCACAGAGAGCTCTCTCAACTACAAAGATATCTCCCCTCAGCTTGAGTTTTCCTAAAAAGGTATTGATTCCACAAATCTTCACAGAGGATCTACTATTTGCATAGACTTATGTTAGGTGCAGTGAGGGATACAAAAGTATATGAGCGAGGTTTGCCTTTGAGAAGCTGCAAAAATAAGATACATACGCATTACAACAAATAATACAATAAAAGAGATGCTTCAAAGTATGATATCACTTAATGCTAAGAGCATATTGAAAATAGTAAGTGACACTCATTTAACAAAATAAGTATGATATCACTAAGTGCTAAGAGCATATTGAAAATAGTAAGTGACATTCATTTAACAAAATGAGGCCAGGCACTGTGGCTCATGCTTGTAATCTAAGCACTTTGGGAGGCCGAGGTGGGAGAATTGCTTGAAGCCAGGAGTTGAAGACCAGCCTGGGCAAAAAAGTGAGACCCCCTTCTCTACAAAATTTAAAAAACAAAATTAATTAGCCAGCATGGAGGCACATGCCTGTAGTTCCAGCTATTCAGGAGGCTGAGGTGGTAGAATTGCTTAACTTCAGGAGTTTGAGAGTGCAGTGAACTATGATTGTGCTACTGCACCCCCACCCAAGCAATAGCGCAAGATCTCATCTCTTAAAAAAAAAAATAATTAACATTACAAGAGAACTCTGGCAATTGAAGAGGTCAGAGGAGTCTTTGAAGCACAGGTCCCTGAAGACGGATAAGAGGATTCATTTTTAACTTTTATTTTAGGTTTAAGGGTACATGTGCAGGTTTGTCATATAGGTAAATGGCATGTCACAAGGGTTTGGTGTACAGATTACTTCATCACCCAGGTAATAAGCATGGTACCCCATAGGTAGTTTTTTAATCCTCACCCTCCTTCCTCCCTCTATCCTCAAGTAGGCTCTAGTGTCTGTTTTTCTCTTCTTTGTGTCCACGTGTACGCAATGTTTAGCTCCTACTTATAAGTGAGAACAGGCAATATTTGGTTTTCTGTTCCTGTGTTAGTTTACTTAGGATAATGACCTCCAGCTCCATCTGTGTTGCTACAGAGGACATGATCTCATTCTTTTTTTTTTTTTTTTTTTTTTTTGGTGCATGGTATTCCATGATGTATATGTACCACATTTTCTTTATTCAGTCTATCACTGATGGGCATTTGGGTTGATTCCATATCTTTGCTATTGTGAGTAGTGCTGCAATGAACATACATGTGATGTGTGTCTTTATGGTAGAACAATTTATATTCCTTTGGGCATACACTCAATAATGGGATTACTGGGTCGAATGGTAATGCCATTTTGAGTTCTTTAAGAAATTGCCAAACTGCTTTCCACAATGGCTGAACTCATTTACATTCCCACCAGCAGTGTATAAGTATTCCCTTTTCTCTGCAACCTTGCCAGCATGTTATTTTTTGACTTTTTAATGACAGCCATTCTGACTGGTGTATGATGGTATCTCACTGTGGTTTTAATTTGCATTTCTCTAATAATTAATGATGTTGAGCATTTTTTTTCATATACTTGTTGGTCACATGCATATCTCCTTTTGATAAGTGTCTGTTTGTGACTTTTGCCCACTTTTTAATGAGGTCTCTTGTTTTTTGCTTGTCAGCTTGTTTAAGTTCCTAACAGATTCTGGATGTTAGACCTTTGTAGGATGCATGGTTTGCAAATATTTTCTCCCATTCTGCAGGTTGTCTGTTTATTTTGTTTATTGTTCCTGTTGCTGTGCAAAAGCTCTTTAGTTTAATTAGATCCCATTTGTCAATTTTTGTTTTTGTTGCACTTGCTTTTGGCATCTTCTTCATGAAATCTTTGCCAGATCCTATGTCCAGAATGGTATTTCCTAGGTTATCTTCCACGGTTTTTATAGTTTTAGGCCTTACATTTAAGTCTTTAATTCAAAGGCGGAGAATATTTGAGTAACCCAGAAAAAAAGGAGACACTCGAAGTTGAAAGTTAGGGTAGGATTTACTTAGATACTAAGACACTAGGGTAGAAATATAAAGACTTGTTTTAGGGATTGAGAGTAATTCAGGCCAGCTTAAGAATGGAGAACTTTGGGTCAAATTTTGAATGTCTTTGGCTGAGTGTGGTGGCTCATGCCTGTAATCCCAGAACTTTGGGAGGTCAAGTCAGTCAAATTGCTTGAGTCTAGGAGCTTGAGACCAGCCTGGCCAACATAGCAAAACCCCATCTCTACTAAAAATACAAAAATTAGCTTGGCACGGTGGTTCACACCCATAATCTCAGCTACTTGGGAGGCTGAGGTGGGAGGATCATTTGAACCTGGGAGGCAGAGGTTGCAGTGAGCCGAGATCATGCCACTCCACTCCAGCCTGGGCAACAGAGTGAGACCCATCTTAGGAAAAAATTGACTGTCTTTGATACCCCAATTTTTTTTCTTTTTTTGAGACAGGGTCTTTGATATGGTTTGGCTCTGTGTCCCCACTCAAATCTCATCTTGTAGCTCCCATAATTCCCACATGTGGGGACCCAGTGGGAGATGACTGAATCATGGGGGCGGGTCTTTCCTGTGCTGTTCTCATGATTGTGAATGGGTCTCACGAGATCTGACGAGATATGATGGTTTTAAAAGCAGGAGTTTCTCCACACAAACACTCTCTATGCCTGCTGCCGTGCACGTAAGATGTGATGTGCTCTTCCTTGCCTTCCACCATGATTGTGAGGCCTCCCCAGCCAGGTGGAACTGTGAGTGGATTAAACCTCTTTCTTTTGTTAATTGCCCAGTTTCAGGTATGTCTTTATCAGTGGCGTGAAAACAGATTAATACAGTCTTGCTCTGTCACCCAGGCTGGAGTGTAGTGGCACGATGACAGCTTACTGCAACCTCTGCCTCCCACGCTCAAGCGATCTTCCCACATCAGCCTCAAGTAGCTGAGACTACAGTCCTGCACCACTGGGTTTCATCACGTTGCCCAGGCTGGTCTCAAACTTCTGGACTCAAATGATCCTCCCGCCTTGGCTCTCAAAGTGCTGGAATTACAGGTGTGAGCCACCGTGCCCAGCCGATACTCAAATACTTTGAATTGTACATCTTATCAGTAAAGACTTTTGAGCATACACCCTAATCGGTGTTATGTATGTATGTACATATGTATGTTCATAGGTACATATATTGTGTACATATATGTATAACAAACTGATATACTATATACTTTATATAACATATCTTAAAAAGTGAAATAAAAATTATTTTAAATATCTTTATTTATGGTACAAAGTCCTTTTGGTCATCTCTGAAAAAAATAAATATTTTTAATGAGAGCAATATGATTTAATATACTTTTTGTTAATCTTTATATAACACTTGGTGACAATGTGATTCAAAAGTCTGGCATATTTATTTTAATTCAATAGTTGATTTTAGTGGCTGACATAGGTACCAAAAGATATATGGGTGGGATTTTTGTTCACTTTTAAATAAGGAAGTCATCTCAAAAGAATTTAAGTTCAGCAATGTTCTATACTTTATTCAGCACCAAATGCCTCTAAACATTATTATAGTATGTGTAGCTGTTTGACTTCGTTTTTTGAAGATAGAGACACATTTGCCATGAAGCTTAAGTTCAGGACCCCTCGCTAGCATGGGCATCTCCCCTGGAATGTATCCATATGGCCATATGTTTCTACAAAGGCTGCAAAGGTGAGATTAAGGTAAGATCGTTTGACTACAATTCCTTTCCACTCTGATTTTCTTCCTTACACTTCCCTTCATGTTAATACGATGTTAGCATGATGGATATAAGTGGCTGAAAGCATTTTTGGGGTCTGAATAAGAGGAAGTAGAGCTCTGAATATATTTAGTTTGGGTTTAGTGGGATATATTTATGTGGTTTCTAGGCTGTCCATGTGTAGTTAAGTTATCATTAGCCATCCCAGTAGAGGATGGCTTCCAGGAATACTCCTGCCCACTGTCTGAGTCACCTGTGGTGGTGACGTAAAGGTGCAGAACCAAAGGTCATCTCATATATGAATGTGTTCTATGGCATGCAGAACCAAAAGTATGTGGAAGTGGATAAGAAACAAGGTTTGAAATTATGGAACCAGAAGCTAGTCTGTTGAAAATGTTTTGAGTCATAAGATATGTGAAATTATAAGCAAAAGATTTGTTTCTCACTAGAAATTCTCTCCTCATATTCATATTTTAAGTAAATATGAATTACATATTTTAAGTCATCATATTCAAAGTAAACCATAAATTTTTAGTTTTACTTTTACTGTAATCACATAAAATAGAACTTATTATTCCTTTGTTCATAATTTATCACAAACCTGTAGCAATACTACAATCAATAAGTATGTCTATATGCAAAGTCACATGTTCTATGTTTCCCAACTTAAAAGAACACATCTTAGGATGTCTCATTTATCTTGTCCTGGTGAAATCTGGTAATTCTAAATAACATGGCATACAAAATTGCCACCAAATAGCAGAACAAATAAAAGAAACAAGCATTCTTATGACATAATTCCTGCACATATTTATTCATAAGTCAAAACATAACATGAGAATAATTTGATTATATAATTATGTGGCTCACTACAAAATAACAGCAATTTTTAAATACATTTGAATTTTCTCAGACTAGTATTTATTAGTTCAAAGAGGATTTAAAGTTAGTCTTGCATGATAAAATATGCACATCATTGAAATATTACAGCTCATATATAAAGAAACATGAAAGAGGTTCCCCAAAATTTCACAATTTAAGAAATCTATATAACAGTACTAATAGCAAATTATTTTCAGCTATAAAAAACAAATTTTGATGAGCCGTGCTAAAGAAATGATCTATCTATCTTTAGAAAACATTACAAAATAATCATCACATGAAA
The DNA here is from genome assembly GCF_000001405.40 of Homo sapiens. Taxonomy (NCBI): domain Eukaryota; kingdom Metazoa; phylum Chordata; class Mammalia; order Primates; family Hominidae; genus Homo; species Homo sapiens. Next base: position 71,126,012 of record NC_000004.12, on the reverse strand, counting down.
AGGCAAAGATGCAGCTAACAAAATACAGAAAAAACGTATGATAGAGGCATGTCAGCAGTTGATTTATAAGAATATTGCTACTTTTTTGGATCCTGTGTTTGTAGTATTTCCTGCTTCTTAAAATGAGTGATCTGTTGTGATTTCTTATTCTAAATAGATGTTCATCTGATTTTGCATTTGCAAGTTTATATTTTTTTCTCCTAGAGTCCTCCAAAATCAGCACAGATTCAAGCTCCACAGAACCTGAATCTGTCCTTTTCATGTGTTTAGTTTATTAATATCTTGCTAATTTAATGCCTTGATACCATTAACTAAAATCTCCAGCACAATACATGCCTAAACTGAAATTTATTATTAAATATAAGATGAATTCCTATTTCAAATTGTTATTTCAATAATTTTGAATCTTTTGGCCAAAGCTTTGTCAGACCTGATTAGGTGCATTCTCTTTTTTAGAGAGAGTCTGGCTCTGTCGCCCAGGCTGGAGGGCTGTGGCGTGATCTCAGCTCACTGCAATCTCCACTTCCCAGGTTCAAACAATTCTCGTGCCTCAGCCTCCTGAGGCCTGTGCCACCCTGCCGAGCTAATTTTTTTGTATTTTTAGTGGAGACAGGGTTTTGCCATGTTGGCCAGGCTGGCCTCCAAGTCCTGGCCTCAAGTGACTTGCCCCTATCAGGATTACAGGTATGAGCCACTGGGCCCGGTCATAGTTGCATTCTTTTTACTACATAATGTGGTTTACAAAGTTTTCACACCATGAATAAAAGTAACACCTTGGCCTTTTTGTTGTTCTCTTATACTTGCAATTACTATTCTCTACAATCTGTGTTTTCTTTCCTGAAATTTTTTTAAGCCACTTGCCTATACATAAATCAAATAATAAGTCCATAACCAGATACATATAAATAGAAAAATATCACAATATGCTAGAAGCTAATCCAAAAAAAATGCAGTACCAATGCTATCCTCTCAGCACTTGAACTCTAATCATTAATTCCAGATATCTCAGATACCATAAGCAATACATGATCATCTGACATACAGTCTGAAAGATAGTTCCTGTATCAATATCTGTGTAGGAAACATTAGCAAAATTTAACTTTTCTTCCCTTTTAGTTAAACACATATATAATTATTTACGTAGTGTGGAAATAGGAACTAAAAGTTTGGCTACATTCTTGCCTAGGCCAATGGATTGTCCTTCACATCTCCTGGGTCCACACCCCTCGCTTTGGAGATTATTTCCCTAGTTAAAGGAAATAAGAAAAAAAGAAAACACTGAAGATCTTAGAGCAGGAGAGAGATATTAAAGCAATATTTTTGGTAAATAATTTTAGCAATGCTATTCAAGAGGCATTGAACACTAGAGATTGAAAGTAAAAATAAGAAAGGAAGTGAGCGCAATAATTTTTAAAGAGGTGATGTGAATGAATATTAGTATTGAAATGAGAATGAGAAACAAGGAACAAGAGCAACAAACCTGATAAAGACGAATGTACAAAATTTACAACACTTACCATTTAGGTTTTAGAAGTGTGGGCGTGGCTGGGCACGGTGGCTCATGCCCGTAATCCCAGCACTTTGGGAGGTCGAGGGGGGTGGATCACATAGTCAAGAGATCAAGACCATCCTGGCCAATGTGGTGAAACCCCGTCTCTACTAAAAATACAAAAATTAGCCAGACATGGTGGCGGGCACCTGTAGTCCCAGCTGTTCAGAAGGCTGAGGCAGGAGAATCGCTTGAACCAGGAGGCAAAGGTTGCAGTGAGCTGAGATCGCACCACTGCACTCTAGCCTGGCGACAGGGCAAGACTCTGTCACAAAAAAAAAAAAAAAAAGTGTGGGCCTAGGGTGTTTGATTAACTGATATGTGTTCTGTGGTTATTTCATATACCAAATTCTCAGACTGTCTGTGTGTCCCTTGGGAAGGTAGGGTGCTAAAGTGCCACAACCACCCAAATAAACATGCTAGAGAAATCAAAGTAGTGCACATAAACATATGGGATTCAGCTGCCTAATTAAAATCCTAGTGAGCCAACAGCAACTTCAACTGTTAAGAGTTCAGTGACTGCCAGAAGTAAGCATCAAATTAGATACTCAAAGTGGAATATCTTAAATCTGTCCCAATTGATGCTTTTAATACAAAATTAGCAAATTTTTAAACATCAGTTAAAACCATCTCAGACAGAAATATCCAAACGTTATAACAAATTTTAGATGTATAGAATGATTTGGCGCAAAAAAATAAAAGTCCTCAAACGGTGCACTAGATCATTCTTCTTGTTCACAGACCAGAGCAGTAAATAAGACACGACAGAATGAGGAAGAATACCATTTCACACTATTCCAAAAATGTCTGTATTATGAAGCTTTTTGTTTTTTACATTTACTTATTTTACTGTTGCTAATTTTTTTCAAATTAGTATATACTTCAGGTAAAATATTAAATAAAAGTCTTTTAATAAAAGCTCTTCTTCCCTACAAATACTCAGTTTCCCATTCTTGTCTCTATGATCATATTTAGCTAATTTAGCAATTACATGGGTTTGAATTCATTTTTTTCAAATTTTGGGGTGATTCCTTGATCGTCTCCCAACAATCAATGTTGCTTTGAGAAATCCAATGACAATGCTGAGTTTTTCTTCATTGAAAGCAATCTACATTTTCTCTTTGGAAACTTTCTTTTTCCCTAGCATATTACAATGTAATGGTTATATGCCTTTTTCATTCATTTTAAAAGCATTCAAGGTGCCCTTTTGATCTAGAAATCTGCCATAGTTAGCTCTTATATTGTTTTATAAAGTCCTCCTCTCCATTTGCTTTCTCTCTTCCTGGAACACCTTTTAGTTGTCTGCTTCTTTAAGTCTCGTATCTTCTCTCCTATTTTCCATATCTTAAAACTTTTCATTATACCATCTAAAGATCTTCTGTTGCTTTTCGCAGGTATTGTATTTTTGCTTTTCAAGAGATCGTTCTTGTTCTCTTTTATCTTTTCATTTTATCTTGTTCTTGTTTTACAGGCATTAATATTCTTCTTATCTAAGAGATGAGAGTTTTAAGATTCTCTGTGCTATCCCTGATTCCTCTGGATTTATTTCTCCCTTAAGCAAATTTTCTACCCTTCTTTACTGTTTCTTAGTCACCTGTTCATATTGACATGAGGCAGACACACACATAAAATGATTGAAAGTCCTGTGTATACGAACAGTGTTTTAATCAATGGATTTCACTTTGTGATGGGTAGGCAAGGAGATGCCGAGGGGGGATGGTCTGGGAGAAACTCTACGGCCAGCATGTGGAAGCCTGAGACAGTTCAATTTCTTCAGAGTAAAAACCTCCTATCTGCCACCGGAGGGTAGGCACCTACTGTCAGTGTTACACAATCAGTCTGTTTTAGGTCCTACATCTCACCTCTACTCTTTTTTTTTTAAACCTGGCATCTCTGAACCTGAAGTCTCATAAAGTTCTGTGGGGTCAAATCAAATTTTTATAATGCTATTGTCTTCTTCTGAAAATGCTCAGTGGTGGAATTCTACCACATAGCTGTATCAGTCACCTCTATTTCAACTTCTTTCTGATTCCAAGATTTTGTTGAGATCTTTCTGGCAGCCAACAACAGCTAAAAAGGTTTTTAAGATCGCCCTCTCACTGAAGGTGACTAAAATTGTCAGATCAATTTTTTTTTTTTTTTTTTTTTTTGAGACAGAGTCTTGCTTTTGTCTTCCAGGCTGGAGTGCAGTGGCGTGATCTCGGCTCACTGCAACCTCTGTCTCCCGGGCTCAAGCAATTCTCCTGCCTCAGCCTCCTGAGTAGCTGGTGTGTCCGGAATTGGTGGGTTCTTGGTCTCACTGACTTCAAGAATGCAGCCACGGACGCTCGTGGTGAGTGTTACAGTTCTTAAAGATGGTGTGTCCGGAGTTTGTTCCTTCTGATGTTTGGATGTGTTGGGAGTTTATTCCTTCTGGTGGGTTCGTGGTCTCGCTGGCTTCAGGAGTGAAGCTGCAGACCTTCACAGTGAGTGTTACAGCTCTTAAGGAAGCGCGTCTGGAGTTGTTCATTCCTCCCGTCCGGAGTTGTTCATTCCTCCCAGTGGGTTCCTGGTCTTGCTGGCCTCAGGAGTGAACCTGCAGACATTCGTTGTGAGTGTTACAGCTCATAAAGGCAGTGTGGACCCAAAGAGTGAGCAGCAGCGAGATTTATTGCAAAGAGCGAAAAAACAAAGCTTCCACAACGTGGAAGGTGACCCAAGTAGTGCTGCTGGGGCAGCCTGCTTTTATTCCCTTATCTGACCCCACCCACATCTTGCTGATTGGTCCATTTTACAGAGAGCTGATTGGTCCGTTTTGACAGGGTGCTGATTGGTGCATTTACAATCCCTGAGCTAGACACAGAGTGCTGATTGGTGCATTTACAATCCTCTAGCTAGACATAAAAGTTCTCCAAGTCCCCACCAGATTAGCTAGATACAGAGTGCTGATTGGTGCCTTCACAAACCCTGAGCTAGACACAGAGTGCTGCTTGGTGCATATACAATCCTCCAGCTAGAAATAAAAGTTCTCCAACACCCCACCCCACTGAGGAGCCCAGCTGGCTTTGCCTAGTGGATGCAGTGCCAGGGCCGCGGGCGGAGCTGCCCGCCAGTCCCACGCCTGGTGCCTGCACTCCTCAGTCCAGCGCCGTGCACCTGCACGCCTCAGCCCTTGGGCAGTCGATGAGACCGGGCGCCACGGAGCAGGGGGCAGTGCCCATTGGGGAGTCTCGGGCAGCATGGGAGCCCACAGCCAAGGGGAGGGGGGAGGGAAGCGGGGGAGGCTTGGGCATGGCAGGCTGCAGGTCCTGAGACCTCCCTGTGGGGAGGCAGCTGAGGCCCTGCAAGAATTCGAGTGCGGCGGGCCAGCCAGCCCTACTGGGGGACCCTGCACACCCTCCGCAGCTGCTAGCCTGGGTGCTAAGCCCCTTACTGCCCTGGGCCGGCGGCGCCAGCCTGCCACTCCAAGTGCGGGACCTACCGAGCGCGTGCCCACCCGGAACTCGTGCTGGCCCGCGAGGGCGGCGTGCTGCCCTGGTTCCTGCCGGCGCCTCTCCCTCCACACCTCCCCGCAAGCAGAGGGAGCCGGCTCCGGCCTCGACCAGCCCAGAGAGGGGCTCCCACAGTGCAGTGGTGGGCTGAAGGGCTCCTCAAGTGCAGCCAGAGTGGGCACAGAGGCCGAGGAGGTGCCAAGAGTGAGTGAGGGCTGCCAGCATGCTGTCACCTCTCACTGGGATTACAGGCACCCGCCACCACGCCTGGCTAATTTTTGTATTTTTATTAGAGATGGGGTTTCACCATGTTGACCAGGCTGGTCTCGAACTTCTGACCTCAGGAGATCCTCCCACCTCGGCCTCCCAAAGTGCTGGGATTACAGGCATAAGCCACCGCATCTGGCTATTTTTCAATATTTTTTAAAGCATCAAAAAGATCCCAAGATATAAAGCGATTACCAGGCCAAAACTGAAGGAAAAGTAGAGACTAGAGGGAAAAGCCAGCACAGAAGCAGGATTTCCCTGATGGCATCTGGCAGCCCAGGAGAATAAAATCAAAGCGCAAGGCCCACACACTGTGGAGATTCTACTAGGAAAAGCTCTCCTCAGTAAGCTGGAGTTCCAAAGGACTGTAACTTCAGAAAACAGTGAAGCATTATCACCCTGGTGGAACAAGAAACCTGGAACCATGATCATGGTTAAGCCGTAATCCCAGACTGGTACTTGCTGCTGCCTGACAGAAGCAATACAAAACTTCTCTAGAGGCGGCACCTTAATTTTGCACCTCAATTTATATTTGTATAAATAAACTTTTAATATAAACAATCCACAATCAAAGGACACAAGAAAAAGAAAAGCTCCATGAGAGGGAAACAGTAGAAACCACAAGCATAAGAACCGAGTTCAAAACCTTCCAATATTATCAGACACAGAGATAAAAAAATTCACTATGTTTAAAAACATAAAAGACAAGCTTGCAAATATCTTCAGGAAAGAGGAAAATACACAAAGTGACATAACAAAAATTTGAAAGAAACAACTTCTAAAAACAAAATAAAATGGAAAGCTCAACAAACCAGTTTAATAGCAGATTAGACATGACTGAAGACAGAGTTCATCAGAAGTAATGATCAAGAAATGCACAATATAAAGACAGACTAAACATACTACAGCGTTTGAGAGACATGGAGAATCAAGTGAGCTTGTCTCACTTTATTGATTTAATTGAAGTTCCATAAGGAGAAAAAAGAGAAAGATGTAGAAGCAATATCGAAGTAACAGCTTCCCAGTACTAATGAAAGATTTCAAGCCAGATTCAAGCCAAATGAATCCCAAATAGAATAAATTTTTAAAAATTCAAACTGATACACATCATGATGATACTGTGCAGCCTGGATAACATAGCAAGATCCTATGTCTTAAAAAAAAAGAATTAAACTTAGCCAGGTGACCATGGTGGCACACACCTGTAGTCCCAGCAACTTGGGAGGCTGAGGTGGGAGGATCATTTGAACCTAGGAGTTTGAGGCTGCCGTGAGCCATGATTGTGCCACTGCACTCCAGCCTGAACAACAGAGAAAAACCCCAACACTAAAAAAAAGGAAAAAGAAACTGTAAAACCCCCAACTACAACAATAAAAAAGCATAAGTGCACTCATAGATAAAAAGGAGATTAAATACAAATGAGTAATAGGCTGACAGTTAACTTCTCAACAGAAAACACTGGAAGCCAGAAAATAGTGGGATATATTTCTTAATAGACTATGTTTTAGGGCAACTTTATTTTCACCGCAAAGTTGAAAGTACAGGGGGCTCCGATATACTCCCTGCACCAACACATGATAGTAGCCTTTCCACTATCAGCAACCCATACCAGAGTGGTACATTTTTTACACTTGATGAACCTACATTGACACATCATTATCGCCCAGATTCCATAGTTTACATTAGAGTTCACTTTTGGTGTTATGCTTGCTATGGGTTTAGACAAATGCATAATGACATGTATCCACTATTAGAGTAGCAGATATAATGGTTTTACAGTCCTAAGAGTCCTCTGTGCCCCACTCTCATTTTGCATGAATCATTCCACCTCCCTGAAAGTCACTGTCTGCTCTCCCAACCATATCTGGTCTATTTCCCTGTAACAAATAAAAACCAAATTACAATATAAAGCTTTCCCATATCTCCCTCCTCTGAAGTCCTGTGCAGTTACAGAGTGTGAATATAAAGTAACAAGGACTTCTTTAAATGAAGAAGAAATCAGAATTTATTAAATAATATCCTTAATATACTAAAATATTTAACAACTAGAATTCTACATCAAATAATCTGTCAAAGATAAAGGCAAATAAAGATATTTCCAGAAAAGCAAAAATAGGAGCATTTTACTACAAATAGACCTTCAAGTAAAGGAAATTTTAAAGGGTATATTTGAGGCAAAGGGAAAGTACTCCCAGATAGAATGAAAGAAGACAGAAAAAAATAAAAAGCAAAATAAAGTGATAAGTACATAAATCTAAATAAACATTATCTGCATAATATAACAATAGTAATACCCTGTGGTCAATCAATTCATGCCAAAAATATCATGTAAGATGAAAGTGAGGTATATGAGGTTAAGGTATCCCCAGGACCTTGTATTATCGAAGAAAAGGATAAAGGTGTTGATTTATTTTAAGCTTTGATAAATTAAATACTTATGTTGGAATTTTCAGGGAAACCACTAAAAAATAGAAATAGAGTATATGATATCCAAATGCAGTTAAGGTAAAAAAGCAATAAGAAAAAGATAACTAGAAAATGTATTTAAAAGGCCAGGCATGGTGGCTCATGTCTGTAATCCCAGCACTGTGGGAGGCCCTAGGTGGGCAGATCACCTGAGGTCGGGAGTTCGAGACCAGCCTGACCAACATAGAGAAACCCCATCTCTGCTAAAAATACAAAATTAGCCAGGCGTGGTGGCGCATGCCTGTAATCCCAGCTACTTGGGAGGCTGAGGCAGGAGAATCACTCGAACCTGAGAGGTGGAGGTTACAGTGAGGCAAGATAGCACCACCACACTCCAGCCTGGGCAACAAGAGTGAAACTCCGTCTCAAAAAAAAAAAAAAAAAGAAAATGTATTTTAAAACTAAGAAATAAACTTATGGATTTTGCATAGGACAAAGAAGGAATCACAATGGAAATTATAAAATACCTTGAACTACAATATAATTGACTATATATATGTAGAGAGAGAGGGAGAGAACCCTTTCCATCTTGGAAGGGTCAGCAGTTCACCCTTAGAAAGATAAATCATTATGCCAGATTGATAATGTGGAAAATCTCCCAAAAGATAATGGCTTTTATTTTCTTCTCTTTGACATTGTGACTATAAAGAGTTTTTATTCTTTACTTTCATTTTAGAGAAGTCTCTAGAGGAAAGAGAGATGAACATGTTTCAATCAGCCACATGTTTCACTAGGTCATTTTAAACCTCTATAAAAAATAGCACAATCTGATGCATTGTTTCTTTTTTTCTTTCAGAATTTTAAAATTTACCGTTAAAACAAACAAACAATCTCTACCTATATTTTTTATTTCAAGCACAGGACAGAATCATTCACAAGCCATCTATATTTCTGAGAATTTTTCCTGTTTTCAGAGACCTTCTAAGATAAACTTCCAACTCCTTTCATTACAGGACTATGTTTATATTTAAAACATTTTTGGTGGGATGTGGTGGCTCACACCTATCATCCCAGCACTTTAGGAGGCCAAGGCAAGAGGATTGCTTCAGCCTGGATTTCGAGATCCGCCTGCACAACATAGCAAAATTCTTTCCCTAAATTAAAGATAAAAAATAAATTAGCCACTCACGGTGGTGCACACCTGTAGGCCCAGCTGCTTGGGAGGCTGAGGTGAAAGGATCACTTGGGCCCAAGAGGTTGGGGCTTTAGTGAGCCATGGTCACGCCACTGTACTCAAGCCTGGACAATAGAGTGAGACCCTGTCTCAAAAATAAATAAATAAATAAACAATTTTTACAAGCATTTTTTTTTTTTTTTGAGATGGAGTTTCGCTCTTGTTGCCCAGGCTGGAGTGCAATGGCTCAGTCTTGGCTCACCGCAACCTCCGCCTCCCGGGTTCAAGCCATTCTTCTGCCTCAGCCTCCTCAGTAGCTGGGATTACAGGCATGTGCCATCATGCCCAACTAATTTTGTATTTTTTGTAGAGACAGGATTTCTCCATGTTGGTCAGGCTGGTCTCGAACTCGCAACCTCAGGTGATCCACCCACCTCAGCCTCCCAAAGTGCTGGGATTACAGGCGTGAGCCACCACGTCCGGCCAACAGGCATTCTTAATACACACTCAAACACCTTCCTCACATTAACCCAGGTAATTAACCAGCTTCCTTACAATGAAAACCAGCTATTGTCTACCTTCTGATCTCTATTTTTTCTCCTTAATCTAATTGAAGTAAAGCAATATTTAGTGTGGCTTAGAAAGAAGATGCACAGAAAATGATTACAGAATTCCAAAATTTAAGCATTGTGTGGCTGTAGGTGTGCAGGAGCTATGTGTTGACTCGTTTTGTATTAAAGGTAGAAAATTCTAAGCTAGGTATATTACTTGAAACAGAAAATTAGTTTAACAATAATAATAAAAGCAAACAAAAACAATCTCCAACTGGACTTAAACGTGTTGACAAACTACATAAGCTACGAAGTACATTTTGCTTTCCTAAATATACATGAGTTAATCAAGATACCAAATACTGGGATTGTTTGGTTTATTAATAGAATGTATGTTGAATAGGCCGGGCGCAGTGGCCCACACCTATAATCCCAGCACTTTGGGAGGCCAAGGCAGTGGACCACGTGAGGTCAGGAATTCAAGACCAGCCTGACCAACGTGGTCAAACCCCATCTCTACTAAAAATACAAAAATTAGCCAGGCGTCGTGGTGTGTGCCTGTAGACCCAGCTACTCAGGAGGCTGAGGCAGGAGAATCGCTTCAACCTGGGAGGTGGATGTTGCAGTGAGCCGAGATCGTGCCACTGCACTCCAGCCTGGGCAACAAGAGTGAAACTCCGTCTCCAAAAACAAAAAATAAAATAAAAATAAAAAGAATATATGTTAAATACTTTTTAAATGGAAAGTTATCTATGATTAGAAAATAACATTTTATTCATTATTTCAAATATTTTAGAGAGAGTTCTATTTCCAAGAAACAGACAACCTGCTGAATAATAAAGTTTGTTCATCTTACATGACAGCACTCTATTCTCAGTAAATATGCAGTTTACTGAATTCTCATTTGTTTTAAAAAATCTGTATTAGTAAAGCAATTTGTAAAAATAACAAAATTTAACTGTTAAGAGAAAGCACATTGCCCTCTAAACCTAACCATTTTGGAAAAACACAGTAGAAGAGTAAAACCAGACAAACTGTTTATTATGAAGACACACATTAGGTCAAATTCTACATCAACAAATTTCAAGTCATCAAATTGATTCCCAGTATGTCTAACTGTTCTCACCTCTACCTCTCTATTCTATTGACTTTGCTCAGCTGGGTTTTTTGTTTTGTTTTGTTTTGTTTGCTCTTTTTTGTTTGTTTGTTTGTTTGTTTGTGTGTTTCCTTCTTTTTTATTTATTTTTTTATTTTTTATTATTACACTTTAAGTTTTAGGGTACATGTGCACACTGTGCAGGTTAGTTACATATGTATACATGTGCCATGCTGGTGTGCTGCACCCACTAACTCGTCATCTAGCATTAGGTATATCTCCCAATGCTATCCCTCTCCCCTCCCCCCACCCCACAACAGTCCCCAGAGTGTGATGTTCCCCTTCCTGTGTCCATGTGATCTCACTGTTCAATTCCCACCTATGAGGGAGAATATGCGGTGTTTGGTTTTTTGTTCTTGCGATAGTTTACTGAGAATGATGATTTCCAGTTTCATCCATGTCCCTACAAAGGACATGAACTCATCATTTTTTATGGCTGCATAGTATTCCATGGTGTATATGTGCCACATTTTCTTAATCCAGTCTATCATTGTTGGACATTTGGGTTGGTTCCAAGTCTTTGCTATTGTGAATAATGCCGCAATAAACATACGTGTGCATGTGTCTTTATAGCAGCATGATTTATAGTCCTTTGGGTATATACCCAGTAATGGGATGGCTGGGTCAAATGGTATTTCTAGTCCTAGATCCCTGAGGAATCGCCACACTGACTTCCACAATGGTTGAACTAGTTTACAGTCCCACCAACAGTGTAAAGGTGTTCCTATTTCTCCACATCCTCTCCAGCACCTGTTGTTTCCTGACTTTTTAATGATTGCCTTTCTAACTGGTGTGAGATGGTAGCTCATTGTGGTTTTGATTTGCATTTCTCTGATGGCCAGTGATGGTGAGCATTTTTTCATGTGTTTTTTGACTGCATAAATGTCTTCTTTTGAGAAGTGTCTGTTCATGTCCTTCGCCCACTTTTTGATGGGGTTGTTTGTTTTTTTCTTGTAAATTTGTTTGAGTTCATTGTAGATTCTGGATATTAGCCCTTTGTCAGATGAGTAGGTTGCGAAAATTTTCTCCCATTTTGTAGGTTGCCTGTTCACTCTGATGGTAGTTTCTTTTGCTGTGCAGAAGCTCTTTAGTTTAATTAGATCCCATTTGTCAATTTTGTCTTTTGTTGCCATTGCTTTTGGTGTTTTAGACATGAAGTCCTTGCCCATGCCTATGTTTGTTTGTTTGTTTTTTGAGAGCGAGTCTCGCTCTGTCACCCAGGCTGGAGTGCAGTGGCGCCATCTCGACTCACTGCAAGCTCTGCCTCCCCGGTTCATGCCATTCTCCTCCTCAGCCTCCTGAGTAGCTGGGACTACAGGCGCCTGCCACCACGCCCGGCTAATTTTTTGTATGTTTACTAGAGACGGGGTTTCACCGTGTTAGCCAGAATGGTCTCAATCTCCTGACCTCGTGATCCGCCGGCCTCGGCCTCCCAAAGTGCTGGGATTACAGGTGTGAGCCACCGCGCCCGGCCTGTTTGCTTTTTTAAAAAGTACATTGGATTTAGTCTGCTAATAAGGTATAACTACTAATTACTTTGTTTATAGAAAGATATCTCCCATAAAGGAACAGGAAAAATGGCTTCTAAAGCTAATAGAGCATGCATTTTTAATATGTATTGAAATGTTTAACAGATTTAATTTTTCAGGAGTGATCCATGTCTCTTTGGATACCAATCCAGTAATTTCCCCTTTGTACACAATATGCCACATTAAAATGTGCCACTAGACCCCTAACCCGGTGAATCTCACTCCATAAGTTATGGGACATGGTTATTATATTGTAGGCATCTTTAGAAACCAGTGGTTCTCTATTAAAGTGCATGACCACCGCAATTAAGGATGGAAAGGGAACAGAGTCCAGTTGAAAGTGCACAGGGGAGCTGGGCAGAATGTAATTTAATTATCAGAGTTGGAATTTGTCCAGCACTCTACCTGCCATAAGGAAAGTCTCCTGGGATCTTCAGTGCCCACTAGTGGTCAGGATTCCAGCTTTACAGCCATCCAATTAAATTGCCAAGCACATCTTCTGCTATACCATAAGTGACAGGGCTGGGGAATCCACTCTGCTAATGAAGTATCTGGGGCCTTGTGTCAGTTTCCCAGAGGATTTTTCAGGGTATGTGGATATGTGTACAAGGCCAAGTAAAGATGAACCTAATAAGAAGTACTTCCATTATGGATAATGAGCAAGAGAGACTTTAACCATCTCTTCTCCACCTGATTAGTGTTGGACAATCTCTACAGCATAAATTAGAATACAATTGAAAAACGAGGAACTCTGGGCAGTCTCCAGGAGCCTCCTCCACTCAGTTTCTTCATTATGGTCAAGCTCAAAATGTACACATTGCTTTGCATAGTCCCTCATGCCCTCTGGAGGAATTCACCCTCGCACTTTACAGCAGATCTTACTTCAGGATCTCAATCTACTCTTCAAGATCAAACTGCAGGGTAAAGGTCCTCATTTTCCCATATTTTTAGATTAAAATATGACTCCACCTTCTTCAATTTCCCCCTTTTAAGGAAGGACAATGATACCTGTCATCTCAACAAAATCTCAAGAATGATCACTAAATATTTTTTTCCAAAGTGAAAAGTAGGAAAGCCCCTTCAAATTACCTAACGCAGTGGTTCCCAGACATTATTCCATTAACCAGGAACACTAGAATCACTTTTAAAGTTTATTAAAAAGAGAGATTCCCAGGTCCCACTCCAGATCTACTGAAACAGAATGACCAAGTATTGGAGCGGGGTATTTGAATTCTCTACAAGCCCACAAGGTCAGTCTGCTTGTTTGGGACCCAAGACTGACTTCCTTTGGAGGCAAAATAACAAAGGCCCAAGGTGTGATTCTGAAAAGAAAACTTTATCTATATATCACACATAATGCACACAATATCTTTTTCCCTTTTCTGTGTTTATTTTGTTTCCTTTATGCATAGCTTCTATTTTAGATCCCATCATCTCAGTTATCAAGTTTAATTTATTTCTTCCCAGGAAGCATTGTGTAAAATTACTCTGGGATTTTATGAAAATTGATGCTAATTAACCCGACTATATTTATTTTCACACTCAGATAATATGAGTAATCCATGAGAGACATTGAACTTTAGACACAAGGGAAGTTAAAACTCCTATGACGCAAATAGAGACATTAGAAAAAGACTATTGGACAATTTAAAACTAACCGAATGCTACTCTTTCCTGTTACTGTGATTGATGTTCCAACATAATTGTTTGTTTTTAATTAGTGGAAAGGAGATGTTTGAAGACATTGCAGAAATCTGGTGCCATAGCAGCCAGAGTGGAAGGAAGATAGCCAAAACTTGCCTATGCAATTGAAATTTTATTCATCTGTAAACTCAGATGGTTGTAGCACAGGATGTCTCTCAACTCCTTACTTGGTCAAAACTGCCAGCAGTCTGTGAATATTAAGAAATTTAAGGCCAAGCACAGTGGTTCACGTCTGTAATCTCAGCACTTTGGAAGGCCGAGGCGGGTGGATCACTTGAGGGCAGGAGTTCAAGACCAGCCTGGCCAACATGGTGAAACCCTGTTTCTACTAAAAATACAAAAATTAGCTGAGTGTGGTGGCACGTGCCTGTGATCCCAGCTACTCGGGAGGCTGAGGCAGGAGAATCACTTGAGCCTGGGAGGCAGAGGTTGCAGTGAGCCAAAAAAAGCACCACTGCACTCCAGCCTGGGTGATAGAGTGAGATTCTGTCTCAAACAAATAAATAAAAAGAAATTTAGCGGCCAGGCACAGTGGCTCAAGCCTGTAATCCCAGCACTTTGGGAGGCCAAGGCGGGTGGGGTGGATCACCTGAGGTCAGGAGTTCAAGACCAGCCTGGCCAACATGGTGAAACCCCCATCTCTACTAAAAATACAAAAAAAAAAAAAAAAAAAAAAAAAAAACCTGAGCGTGGTGGCAGGCACCTGTAATCCAGCTACTCAGGAGGCTGAGGCAGGAGAATCACTTGAACCCCGGAGGCAGAGGTTGCAGTGAGCCAAGATCACGTCATTGCACTCCAGCCTGGGTGACAAGAGCAAGACTCTGTCTCTAAATAAATAAATAGAGATTAAGAAGAACAAGAACATGCAACTTAGCAGTCATCTGATACCCTTACATCTGGCTTTTATGTGGCTTTTAAAAAGAAAAGCAGGAAATATTTGTAGGCCAAATAGGGTGACAAGTTGTCTACGTTTATTCAGTACTGAGAGATTTCCCCAGGACACAGGATATTTTCAGCATGAAAACCTAGACAGTCCCAGGCAAACCACCATGGTTGATTATCATAAAGCCAGACACTGAGTTCATGAGATTAAATAATTTTTTTATCCTGTAAATATAATTAACCTTTAGGCATACTGAGAGGTGAAGCTGGAGTTGCCCAGATTTTGAACAAGTGGCTGGAACCTGACAAGCTACTTCTAATATTCTGAAGTATCCCAACCATGATTAGAGTATAAAATAGCATCTGAGAGTAAAAGGACCTGATTTTTTTAGATCAAGTTTGATCTGATTAAAGGGCAACAGAGCACTTGAGAAGGAAATGTAGGTAAACATCTTTATTAAAGAGGGGCCTGGGGATTGTATTGTACACAGAACTAAATTATACACAGTACTTCAAACTGAAGAGCCCATTACAAAGCAAATCATTTAAAAAGAATCTAGAGCCTCCCAAACAGATATTATACAATGACCTACAAACAAAACATCAGTTGACTTCTCTCAGAGTAAACATGGATAGCCTTAGTAAGCATATCTAATTACCTAAACTCCCCAGCTCATATTTCTGACCATTAGATATGCCTGCCCTACGAACTTAGGCAAGAACAAGGATCCATCCATGGAACTTCTAAAGGTTAATTCATACAATTAAGGAATTATTTCGTTTCACTTTAAAGTTAACATAAAAGTTACCATGAGATTTGCCCAGGTACAGTGGCTCACATCTGTAATCCCAGCACTTTGGGAGACCATGGTGGGTGGAATACCTGAGGTCAGGAGTTTGAGACCAGCCTGAGCAACATGGTGAAACCCCATCTCTACGAAAATTAGCTGGGCATGGTAACATGTGCCTGTAGTCCCAGCTACTCAGGAGGCTGAGGTGGGAAGATCTCTTGAGCCTGGAATGTCGAGGCTGCAGTGAGCCATGATCATACCACTGCACTCCAGCATGGGCAGCAGAGTGAGACCCTGTCTAAGAAAATAAATAAATAAATAATAAAAATTAAAATGTACACTAGGCCACAGAGGATGCTGGGAAGATGATTGAATAGAAAGCACCAGGAATCTGTTTCCCCACCCAGACAGTAATTACAATCCAGCAATCTGCCTGATGCAACGATTTTGGAACTCTGTAGTCTATTGAAGATTTGCAACTTCCAGGGGAAAACTTGGATGGTAAGTTGCAAATAATTTTCATCAATTTCAGCTCTTAGCTCAGCAATAGCTACCCATCCTCCTTCCACCCCCATCCCACTGGCAGGCAGTTGTGCATGTGTTCCTAGAGCAACCTTGCACACAACTTTGGGAGCAAGGCTAGATTTTTAAAAGCACCCTATTTCCCCTTTGGTAAAAAAGGTAGAAAAATTGCCGGGTGTGGTGGCTCATGTCTATAATCCCAGCACTTCGGGAGGCCGAGGACGACAGATCACTTGGGGTCAGGGTTTCGAGACCAGCCTGGCCAACATAGTGAAAACCCATCTCTATTAAAAATACAAAACGTAGCCTGGTGTGGCAGTGCACACCTGTAGTCCCAGCTTCTTGGGAGGCTGAGGCATAACAATCTCTTGAATCCAAGAGGCATAGGTTGCAGTGAGCTGAGATGGTGCCACCGTACTCTGGCCTGGGTGACAGAGCAAGACTCCTCTCAAAAAAAAAAAGGTAGAAAAATAAAAATAAAAATAAAGGACCCTGTCCTCCAAATATCAGGGACCTGAGCTCCAATCGTTGATTGCTGCCTCTGATCACAGAGATGCAACAGGGAGGCAGTGGCCATTATTGTTTACCTCCCTCCATTGTTGCAAGCCTCTCTCCCTTTGGTTGAAGTGACTTCCAGGGGATTTAAAGGATTGGTGCATTTTCCCCCCTTCGTTTTTCTCTTTTTCCTCTTTTGGGAGCCAGACTTTAAAGACTAGGACACTCAAAAGCAACTACATATATGGGGGAAATTAGAAAATCACCATGAATGCCCAGGAAAAGATGTAGGCTCTGAAAAGATCTTCAGTTCATACCTAAGGCAGATTCTCAGCACAGAGACAGCCTACAGCAATCAAAAAACAAAAACAAAAACAGCAAACCCTGAGGAAGAGGAGAATCTGATTTTCAGAGACATCACATTATTAGAGTCAAATATCCAGATTTCAACAAAAAATCACAAGATATGTAAAGGAATAGGAAAATATAGCCCATTTAAAGAAAAAATATATATAAACCAACAGAAAATGTCCCTGAGAAAGACCTAATGGCAGATCAACTAGATAAAGGCTTAAAATATCTGTCTTAAAGATGCTTAAAGAACTAAAGGAAGACATGGAGAAATTCAAGAAAACAATATCTGAACAGATTGAAATACCAATAAAGAGATAGAAAACCTGAAAGGAAACCAAAAAGAAATTCTGAAGTTGAAAGGCAAAATAACTGAAATTAAAAATTTCAGACTTTCCAGGATTCCAGAATGAGAAGAGAGAGAGAGAAAGGGGTTGGAAGAACAGTTGAAGAAACAATGGCTAAAAATTCCCCAAATTTGATGGAAATATATGAATATAAACATCCAAGAAGCTCAACAAACTCCAACTAGGTTAAACTCAGAGACCCATCCTGAGACACATTATAATTAAACTGTTAAAAGACAAAGGCAAAGAGAATCTTGAAAGCAACGAGAGAGCAGCAACTCATCACATACAAGAAATCTTCAATACAATTATCAGCATATTTCTCATCAGAAACTTTGGAGGCCAGAAGCAGTGGGCTAATATATTTTGTTTAAAGTGCTAAAAGAAACAAATGGTCAACAAGAATCCTATATGCAGCAAAATTATCTTTCAAAAGTGAGGGAGAAACTAAGGCATTCTCAGATAAACAAAAATTGAGGCACTAGAATTGCCCTGCAAGAATGGTCAAGGGAGTCCTCTAGGTTGAAATGAAAGAACATTAGACAGTAGTTGGAAGCCACATGCACAAATAAGATTGTAATAAAAATAAACACATGGGAAATGATAAAAGCTATTACTACGATAATTTTGGTTACATTTTGTTTTCTACATAATTTAGGAGATTCATTTTTAAAAGAAATTATTAATTTGTGTTTTGGGACACACACTGTAAAAAGTTGTAATTTTGTGACATCAACTAAAAAGAGTGGAGAGTGAGCTACAAAGGAGGAGTTTTGGGTGTTATTGAAGTTAATATGGTATAAATTTAAATTAGAGTGTTATAACTTCAGGATGTTAAATGTAACACCCATGGTAACCACAAAGGAAATAGCTATATAGTATATGCAAAAGGAAATGAGAAGGAGCTTAGACAACCGAGTGAGACCCTGTCTTCACAAAAATTAAAAATTAGACATGGTGGTGTTTGCCTGTAGTCCCAGCTACTCAGGCGGCTGAGGCAGGAGGATTGCTTAAGCACAGGAGTTTGAGGCTGCAATGAGCTATGATCATACCACTGTACTCCAGTCTGAGCATTAAGGTGAGACTCTGTTTATAAGAAAAAAAAAAACAAGAAAGAAATTAAAGAAATGAGAAAGGATTAAAATGTTTATCTGTAAAAATCAACTAAACAGCCGGGTGCAGTGTCTTTTGTCTATAATCCCGGCACTTTGAGAGGCCGAGGCAGCGTATCATTTGAGGTCGGGAGTTTGAGACCAGCCTGGCCAACATGGTGAAACCCCGTCTCTACTAAAAAATGCAAAAAAATTAGCCGGGCATGGTGGCATGTGCCTCTAGTCCCAACTACTTGGGAGGCTGAGGCAGGAGAATCCCTTGAACCTGGGAGGCAGAGGTTGCAATGAGCCGAGAGGGCACCACTGCACTCCAGCCTGGTTGACAGAGCTAGACTCCATCTCAAAAAAACACCAAAAACAAAAAGTCAACTAAACACAGAAGAAGACAGTAATGCCGGAAATGAAGGACAAAAAAGATATAAGACATATAGAAAACAAGTAGCAAAATGGCATAAGTCCCTTCCTATTAATAATTCCTTAAAATATAAATGGATTAAATTCCCCAAAGACAGAGATTGGCAGAATGAATAAAAACACATGATCTAACTATATGCTATCTATATGCTATCTACAAGATAGATAACATATCTCACTTTAGATCCAAGGACACTAACAGATTGAAAGTTAAAGGATAAAAAAAATATTCCATGCAAGCAATAACCAATAGGGCATGGTGGCAATAATAATACAGACAGATAGACTTTATTTTTTTTTTAATTTCTCTGTATTTTTAGTCTCTTTACAGACTTTTTTTTCTTATTATTTATTTATTTATTTATTTTTATTATACTTTAAGTTTTAGGGTACATGTGCACACTGTGCAGGTTAGTTACATATGTATACATGTGCCATGCTGGTGTGCTGCACCCACTAACTCGTCATCTAGCATTAGGTATATCTCCCAATGCTATCCCTCCCCCCTCCCCCCACCCCACAACAGTCCCCAGAGTGTGATGTTCCCCTTCCTGTGTCCATGTGATCTCATTGTTCAATTCCCACCTATGAGTGAGAATATGCGGTGTTTGGTTTTTTGTTCTTGCAATAGTTTACTGAGAATGATGATTTCCAGTTTCATCCATGTCCCTACAAAGGACATGAACTCATCATTTTTTATGGCTGCATAGTATTCCATGGTGTATATGTGCCACATTTTCTTAATCCAGTCTATCATTGTTGGACATTTGGGTTGGTTCCAAGTCTTTGCTATTGTGAATAATGCCACAATAAACATATGTGTGCATGTGTCTTTATAGCAGCATGATTTATAGTCCTTTGGGTATATACCCAGTAATGGGATGGCTGGCTCAAATGGTATTTCTAGTTCTAGATCCCTGAGGAGTCGCCACACTGACTTCCACAACGGTTGAACTAGTTTACAATCCCACCAACAGTATAAAAGTGTTCCTATTTCTCCACATCCTCTCCAGCACCTGTTGTTTCCTGACTTTTTAATGATTGCCTTTCTAACTGGTGTGAGATGGTAGCTCATTGTGGTTTAGATTTGCATTTCTCTGATGGCCAGTGATGGTTAGCATTTTTTCATGTGTTTTTTGACTGCATAAATGTCTTCTTTTGAGAAGTGTCTGTTCATGTCCTTCGCCCACTTTTTGATGGGGTTGTTTGTTTTTTTCTTGTAAATTTGTTTGAGTTCATTGTAGATTCTGGATATTAGCCCTTTGTCAGATGAGTAGGTTGCGAAAATTTTCTCCCATTTTGTAGGTTGCCTGTTCACTCTGATGGTAGTTTCTTTTGCTGTGCAGAAGCTCTTTAGTTTAATTAGATCCCATTTGTCTATTTTGTCTTTTGTTGCCATTGCTTTTGGTGTTTTAGACATGAAGTCCTTGCCCATGCCTATGTCCTGAATGGTAATGCCTAGGTTTTCTTCTAGGGTTTTTATGGTTTTAGGTCTAATGTTTAAGTCTTTAATCCATCTTGAATTGATTTTTGTATAAGGTGTAAGGAAGGGATCCAGTTTCAGCTTTCTACATATGGCTAGCCAGTTTTCCCAGCACCATTTATTAAATAGGGAATCCTTTCCCCATTGCTTGTTTTTCTCAGGTTTGTCAAAGATCAGATAGTTGTAGATATGCGGCGTTATTTCTGAGGGCTCTGTTCTGTTCCATTGATCTATATCTCTGTTTTGGTACCAGTACCATGCTGTTTTGGTTACTGTAGCCTTGTAGTATAGTTTCAAGTCAGGTAGTGTGATGCCTCCAGCTTCGTTCTTTTGGCTTAGGAGTGCCTTGGCGATGCGGGCTCTTTTTTGGTTCCATATGAACTTTAAAGTAGTTTTTTCCAATTCTGTGAAGAAAGTCATTGGTAGCTTGATGGGGATGGCATTGAATCTATAAATTACCTTGGGCAGTATGGCCATTTTCACGATATTGATTCTTCCTACCCATGAGCATAGAATGTTCTTCCATTTGTTTGTATCCTCTTTTATTTCATTGAGCAGTGGTTTGTAGTTCTCCTTGAAGAGGTCCTTCACATCCCTTGTGAGTTGGATTCCTAGGTATTTTATTCTCTTTGAAGCAATTGTGAATGGGAGTTCACTCATGATTTGGCTCTCTGTCTGTCTGTTGTTGGTGTATAAGAATGCTTGTGATTTTTGCACATTGATTTTGTATCCTGAGACTTTGCTGAAGTTGCTTCAGCTTAAGGAGATTTTGGGCTGAGACAATGGGGTTTTCTAGATATACAATCATGTCATCTGCAAACAGGGACAGTTTGACTTCCTCTTTTCCTAATTGAATACCCTTTATTTCCTTCTCCTGCCTGATTGCCCTGGCCAGAACTTCCAACACTATGTTGAATAGGAGTGGTGAGAGAGGGCATCCCTGTCTTGTGCCAGTTTTCAAAGGGAATGCTTCCAGTTTTTGCCCATTTAGTATGATATTGGCTGTGGGTTTGTCATAGATAGCTCTTATTATTTTGAAATACGTCCCATCAATACCTAATTTATTGAGAGTTTTTAGCATGAAGGGTTGTTGAATTTTGTCAAAGGCCTTTTCTGCATCTATTGAGATAATCATGTGGTTTTTGTCTTTGGCTCTGTTTATATGCTGGATTACATTTATTGATTTGCATATATTGAACCAGCCTTGCATCCCAGGGATGAAGCCCACTTGATCATGGTGGACAAGCTTTTTGATGTGCTGCTGGATTCGTTTTGCCAGTATTTTATTGAGGATTTTTGCATCAATGTTCATCAAGGATATTGGTCTAAAATTCTCTTTTTTGGTTGTGTCTCTGCCCGGCTTTGGTATCAGAATGATGCTGGCCTCATAAAATGAGTTAGGGAGGATTCCCTCTTTTTCTATTGATTGGAATAGTTTCAGAAGGAATGGTACCAGTTCCTCCTTGTACCTCTGGTAGAATTCGGCTGTGAATCCATCTGGTCCTGGACTCTTTTTGGTTGGTAAGCTATTGATTATTGCCACAATTTCAGATCCTGTTATTGGTCTATTCAGAGATTCAACTTCTTCCTGGTTTAGTCTTGGGAGAGTGTATGTGTCAAGGAATTTATCCATTTCTTCTAGATTTTCTAGTTTATTTGCGTAGAGGTGTTTGTAGTATTCTCTGATGGTAGTTTGTATTTCTGTGGGATCGGTGGTGATATCCCCTTTATCATTTTTTATTGTGTCTATTTGATTCTTCTCTCTTTTTTTCTTTATTAGTCTTGCTAGCGGTCTATCAATTTTGTTGATCCTTTCAAAAAACCAGCTCCTGGATTCATTAATTTTTTGAAGGGTTTTTTGTGTCTCTATTTCCTTCAGTTCTGCTCTGATTTTAGTTATTTCTTGCCTTCTGCTAGCTTTTGAATGTGTTTGCTCTTGCTTTTCTAGTTCTTTTAATTGTGATGTTAGGGTGTCAATTTTGGATCTTTCCTGCTTTCTCTTGTGGGCATTTAGTGCTATAAATTTCCCTCTCCACACTGCTTTAAATGCATCCCAGAGATTCTGGTATGTTGTGTCTTTGTTCTCGTTGGTTTCAAAGAACATCTTTATTTCTGCCTTCATTTCGTTATGTATCCGGTAGTCATTCAGGAGCAGGTTGTTCAGTTTCCATGTAGTTGAGCGGTTTTGAGTGAGATTCTTAATTCTGAGTTCTAGTTTGATTGCACTGTGGTCTGAGAGATAGTTTGTTACAATCTCTGTTCTTTTACATTTGCTGAGGAGAGCTTTACTTCCAAGTATGTGGTCAATTTTGGAATAGGTGTGGTGTGGTGCTGAAAAAAATGTATATTCTGCTGATTTGGGGTGGAGAGTTCTGTAGATGTCTATTAGGTCTGCTTGGTGCAGAGCTGAGTTCAATTGCTGGGTATCCTTGTTGACTTTCTGTCTCGTTGATCTGTCTAATGTTGACAGTGGGATGTTAAAGTCTCCCATTATTAATGTGCGGGAGTCTAAGTCTCTTTGTAGGTCACTCAGGACTTGCTTTATGAATCTGGGTGCTCCTGTATTGGGTGCATATATATTTAGGATAGTTAGCTCTTCTTGTTGAATTGATCCCTTTACCATTATGTAATGGCCTTCTTTGTCTCTTTTGATCTTTGTTGGTTTAAAGTCTGTTTTATCAGAAACTAGGATTGCAACCCCTGCCTTTTTTTGTTTTCCATTTGCTTGGTAGATCTTCCTCCAACCTTTTATTTTGAGCCTATGTGTGTCTCTGCACGTGAGATGGGTTTCCTGAATACAGCACACTGATGGGTCTTGACTCTTTATCCAATTTGCCAGTCTGTGTCTTTTAATTGGAGCATTTAGTCCATTTACATTTAAAGTTAATATTGTTATGTGTGAATTGGATCCTGTCATTATGATGTTAGCTGGTTATTTTGCTCGTTAGTTGATGCAGTTTCTTCCTAGTCTCGATGGTCTTTACATTTTGGCATGATTTTGCAGCAGCTGGTACCGGTTGTTCCTTTCCATGTTTAGTGCTTCCTTCAGGAGCTCTTTTAGGGCAGGCCTGGTGGTGACAAAATCTCTCAGCATTTGCTTGTCTGTAAAGGATTTTATTTCTCCTTCACTTATGAAGCTTAGTTTGGCTGGATATGAAATTCTGGGTTGAAAATTCTTTTCTTTAAGAATGTTGAATATTGGCCCCCACTCTCTTCTGGCTTGTAGAGTTTCTGCCAAGAGATCAGCTGTTAGTCTGATGGGCTTTCCTTTGTGAGTAACCTGACCTTTCTCTCTGCCTGCCCTTAACATTTTTCCTTCATTTCAACTTTGGTGAATCTGACAATTATGTGTCTTGGAGTTGCTCTTCTCGAGGAGTATGTTTGTGGCGTTCTCTGTATTTCCTGAATCTGAACGTTGGCCTGCCTTGCTAGATTGGGGAAGTTCTCCTGGATAATATCCTGCAGAGTGTTTTCCAACTTGGTTCCATTCTCCCCATCACTTTCAGGTACACCAATCAGACGTAGATTTGGTCTTTTCACATAGTCCCATATTTCTTGGAGGCTTTGCTCATTTCTTTTTATTCTTTTTTCTCTAAACTTCCCTTCTCGCTTCATTTCATTCATTTCATCTTCCATTGCTGATACCCTTTCTTCCAGTTGATCGCATCTGCTCCTGAGGCTTCTGCATTCTTCACATAGTTCTTGAGCCTTGGTTTTCAGCTCCATCAGCTCCTTTAAGCACTTCTCTGTATTGGTTATTCTAGTTATACATTCTTCTAATTTTTTTTCAAAGTTTTCAACTTCTTTGCCTTTGGTTTGAATGTCCTCCCGTAGCTCAGAGTAATTTGATCGTCTGAAGCCTTCTTCTCTCAGCTCGCCAAAGTCATTCTCCATCCAGCTTTGTTCCATTGCTGGTGAGGAACTGCGTTCCTTTGGAGGAGGAGAGGCGTTCTGCGTTTTAGAGTTTCCCGTTTTTCTGTTCTGTTTTTTCCCCATCTTTGTGGTTTTATCTACTTTTGGTCTTTGATGATGGTGATGTACAGATGGGTTTTTGGTGTGGATGTCCTTTCTGTTTGTTAGTTTTCCTTCTAACAGACAGGACCTTCAGCTGCAGGTCTGTTGGAATACCCTGCCATGTGAGATGTCAGTGTGCCCCTGCTGGGGGTTGCCTCCCAGTTAGGCTGCTCGGGGGTCAGGGGTCAGGGACCCACCTGAGGAGGCAGTCTGCCCGTTCTCAGATCTCCAGCTGTGTGCTGGGAAAACCACTGCTCTCTGACAAATAGACTTTAAATCAAAGGATTTCAGTTTTGCAAGATGAAAAGAGTTCTGGAGGTAAATGGTGGTAATTATTACACAACAGTAAGAATATAATTAATATAATTGAACTCTTAAAAACTATTAAGATGTGAAGAATGTCATTTGTTTGAATGTCAATGTAGTTTGATAGGTACAGCATTGAATCTGTAAATTGCTTTGGGTAGTATGATCATTTTTATGATTTTAAGATTCTTATTAATGAGCATGGAATTTTTTTTGTTTTTTTGTTTTTTTGAGACGGAGTCTTGCACTGTTGCCCAGGCTGGAGTGCAGTGGCGCAATCTCAGCTCACTGCAAGCTCCACTTCTTGCGTTCAAGCCATTCTCCTGCCTCAGCCTCCCGAGTAGCTGGGACTACAGGCGCCCGCCACCATGCCTGGCTAATTTTTTGTACTTTTAGTAGAGATGGGGTTTCACCGTGTTAGCCAGGATGCTCTCAATCTCCTGACCTCGTGATCCACCTGCCTCAGCCTCCCAAAGTGCTGGGATTACAGGCGTGAGCCACCACGCCCAGCCGAGCATGGCATGTTTTTCCGTTTGACTGTGTCTTCTCTGATTTCTTTGAGCAGTGTTTTGTAATTCTCATTGCAGAAATCTTTCACCTCCCTGGTTAGTTATATTCCTAGGTATTTTATTCTTTTTGTGGCAATTGTGAATGGGACTGTCTTCCTCATTTGGCTCTCAGCTTAGCTGCTGGAGTATAGGAATGCTGGTGATTTTTGTACATTGATTTTGTATCCTAAA
This sequence comes from Homo sapiens, assembly GCF_000001405.40. Taxonomy (NCBI): domain Eukaryota; kingdom Metazoa; phylum Chordata; class Mammalia; order Primates; family Hominidae; genus Homo; species Homo sapiens. The sequence continues at coordinate 71,100,749 of NC_000004.12, read as the reverse complement.
ACTTTGCTGAAGTTGTTTATCACCTGAAGGAGCTTTTGGGGTGAGACTGTGGGGTTTTCTAGATACAGTATTATGCCATCTGCAAACAGGGACAGTTTGACTTCCTCTCTTTCTATTTGGATATCTTTTCTTTCTTTCTCTTGTCTGACTGCTCTGGGCAGACCTTACAATACTATGTTGAATAGATGTTGTGGGAAAGGGCATCCTTGTCTTGTGTCAGTTTTCAAGGGGGGTGCTTCCAGCTTTTGCCCATCCAGTATGATGTTGACTGTGGTTTGTCATATATGGCTCTTATTATTTTTAGGTAGTTTCCTTTAATACCTAGTTTATTGAGAATGAAGGAATGTTGAATTTTATTGAAAGCCTTTTCTGCATCTATTGAGATAATCATGTGTTTTTTTTTTGTCTTTAATTCTGTTTATGTGATGAATCACATTTATTGATTTGTGTATGTTGACCCAATCTTGCATCCTGGGTATGAAGTCTATTTGATCGTGATGGATTAGCTTTTTGATGTGCTGCTGGATTCGATTTGCAAGTATTTCATTGAGGATTTTGCATCTATATTCATCAAGGATATTGGTCTGAAGTTTTCTTTTTTTGTTGCATCTATGACAGATTTTGGTATCAGGATAATGCTGGCCTCATAGAATGAGTTGGGGAGGAGTCCATCCTCCTCAATTTTTTGGAATAGTTTCAGTAGGAATGATACCAGCCCTTCTTTGTATACCTGGTAGAATTCAGCTGTGAATCTCTCTGGTCCTGGGCTACTTTTGGTTGGTAGCCTACTTATTACTGATTCAATTTTGGAGCTCATTATTGGTCTCTTCAGGGAATCAGTTTCTTCCTGGTTCAGTCTTGGGAGGATATATGTAGCCAGGAATTTATCCATCTCTTCTAGGTTTTCTAGTTTGTGTGCATAGAGGTGTTTATAGTAGCTTCTGATGGTTACTTTTATTTCTGTGGGTCAGTGGTAAAATGCCCTTTGTCACACCCTTTGTCATTTCTAATTGTGTTTATTTGGATCGTCTCTCTTTTCTTCTTTATTTGTCTAGCTAATAGCCTATCAATCTCATTAATTTTTTTACAAAACCAACTCCTGGATTCATTGATCTTTTGAATGGTTTTTTGTGTCTCAATTTCCTTCAGTTCAGCTCTGATTTGGGTTATTTCTTGTCTTCTGCTAGCATTGGGGTTGGTTTGCTCTTACTTCTCTAATTCTTTCAGTTGTGATGTTAGGTTGCTAATTTGAGATGTTTCTAACTTTGAGATATGGATATTTAGTGCTATGAATTTCCCGCTTAACACTGCCTTAGCTGTGTTCCAGAGATTCTGGTATATTTGTTCTCATTAGTTTCAAAGAACGTCTTTATTTCTGCCTCAATTTTGTTATTTACCCAAAAGTCATTCAGCATGTTGCTTAATTTCCATGAAATTGCATGGTTTTCAGCATGTTTTTAGTCTTGACTTCTATTTTTATCACACTATGGTCCAAAAGTATGTTTGGTGTGATTTCAGTTCTTTTGCATTTGCTGAGGATTGTTTTATGTCCAATCATGTGTTTGATTTTAGAGTATGTGACAATGAGAAGAATGTATATTCTGTTGTTTAGGGGTGGAGAGTTCTGTAGAGATCTATCAGATCCATTTGGTCCAATGTTGAGTTCAGATCCTGAATATTTTTGTTAATGTTCTGCGTCAATGATCTATCTAATACTGTCAGTAGAGTATTGAAGTCTCCCACTATTATTGTGTGGGAGTCTAAGTTTCTTTGTAGGTCTCCAAGAACTTGCTTTATAAATCTGAGTGCTCCTGTGTTGGGTGCATATGTGTTTAGGGTAGTAAGGTTTTCTTGTTGAATTACCCTTTACCATTATGTAATACCCTTGTTTCTCTTTTTTGATCTTTGTTTAAAGTCTGTTTTGTCTGAAATTAGTACTGCAACCCCTGCTTTTTTCTGATTTTGATTTGCTTGGTAGATTTTCCTCCATCCCTTTATTTTGAACCTATAGTTGTCATTACATGTGGAATGGGCCTCTTGAAGACAACCCACCATTGGGTCTTGCTTTTTATCTAGCTTGCCACTATGCACAATTTAAGTGGGACATTTAATGCGTTCATATTCAAGGTTAGTATTGGTGTATGTGATTTTATTCCATCATTGTATTGTTAGCTGGTTATTATGCCAGTTTCTTTTTGTGGAAAAAACTATTTTAAAATTCACATGAAACCAAAAAAGAATCTGAATAGCCAAGGCAATCCTAAGCAAAAAGAACAAAGCTGGAGGCATCATGCTACCTGACTTCAAACTACACTACAAGTCTACAGTAACCAAAACAGCATGGTACTGACACAAAAACAGACATGTAGACTGATGGAACAGAATAGACAGCCTAGAAATAAGACCACACACCTATGATCATTTGATCTTCAACAAATCTGACAAAAGCAAGCAACGGGGAAAGGGCTACCTATTTAATAAAATGGTGCTGGGATAACTGGCTAGCCATATGTAGAAGATTGAAACTGGACCCTTTCCTTACACCATACACAAAAATCAACTCAGGATGAATTAAAAACTTAAATGTAAAACACAAAACTATAAAAACTCTGGAAGACAACCTAGGTAATACCATTCTGGACATAGGAACAGGCAAATACTTCATGACAAAGATGCCAGAAGCCATCACAACAAAAGCACAAATTGACAAATGTGATCCAATTAAACACGAGCTTCTGCACAGCAAAAGAAACTATAAACTATCAACAGAGTAAACAAACAACCTACAGAGTGGGAGAAAATATTTGCAAACTATGCATCTGACAAAGGTCTAATATCCAGCATCTACAAGAAAGAAACAAATATACGAGAAAAACTTCAATCCCATGAAAAAGTGGGCAAAGGACATGAACAGAGACCTCAAAAGAAGACATGCATGTCGCCAACAATCCTATGAAAAAAAGCTCTATGTCACTAATTGTTAGAAAAATGCAAACCAAAACCACAATGAAATACCACCTTACACCAATCAGAATGGTTATTATTAAAAAGTCAAAAAAATAACAGACGCTGATGAAATTGCGGAGAAAAGGGAACACTTATACACTGTTAGTGGGAGTGTAAATTAGTTCAACCATTGTGGAAAGCAGTGTGGTGATTCCTTAAAAAGCTAAAAACAGAACTACCATTCAACCCAGCAATCTCATCAATGGGTATATACCCAGAGAAATATAAATTATTCTACCATAAAGACACACACATGCAAATGTTTATTGCAGCACTATTCACAATAGCAAAGACATAGAATCAACCTAAATGCACATCAGTGACAGATGGGTAAAGAAAATGTGGTATATATACACCATGGAATACTATGCAGCAACAGAAAAGAACGAGATCATGTCTTTTGTGGGAACATGGGTGGATCTGGAGGCCATTATCATTGGCAAACTAACCCAGGAACAAAAACACCAAATACCACGTGTCCTCACTTGTAACTGGGAGCTAAATGAGGAGCACTCATGAACACAAAGAGGGAAACAACAGACACTGGGACCTACTTAAGGGTGGATGATGGGAGGAGGGAGAGGAACACAAAAAGTAACTATTGGGTTCTAGGCCTCGTACCTGGGTGATGAAATAATCTGTACAAAAAACCCCCATGACATGAGTTGGCCTATATAGCAAACCTGTAAATGTACCCCTAAACCTAAAACAAACAAACAAAAAGGTTAAGATGGCAAATTTTATGTTATATGTATTTTGTCACAATAAAAATGTGAACAAAAATGTAAGTTTATAGTTATACAATCCACTAATTCATAAAAGAACTCAGCTTTTTTGGAGGTGATGATTATGTTCGCAGAGACAGTAAGATGATTTCCATTGCAATTTATTAAAACAAGGTAGACAAAAGATCCAACGACAATGCCTTGTCCCTAAATCCAGTGGACTCATTTCAGTCCTTATCTTGACTGACTTCTCAGCCACACTTAACATTATTCATTGTTCCTTCTTTCTAGATGAACAAAATATCAAACTTAGAAAAATAAGACTTCTAAATATAAATTCCACAGTGTCCTGTCAGCCATATTGGAACTCGCAGCAAAAAGAAAATTCAGTAATTCGGATCCCATTTTTATTTAAAATGTGATGTTTTGTTCATCATGGATTTTTTGCACTAACGATTTTTTTAAATATTGCATTAAAATAACATTTATCTCAATTACTGAGTTTTTTGGCACCTTTTTAAATTTTGTGCCCGAGGCAAGCCCCAGTCCTGAAAAATTCTCTCCTTTCACTTCTGCGATTCACCGTCTTTTTCTGAACTGTCCTTCTCATCTTCTTTGCAGTGCTTCTCTGCCTGTCAACTAAATGTCAGTGTTTTTCAGTGTTCTGTTTTGGGTCTTCTCTCCTTTCTCTATACATACCGTCTGGGTTACCCTAGCTACTACTGTATTCTATTGATTCCCAAATTGCTTCCTCCCCCCTTTAGCCTCCAGCCACCCTATGCAGAGAATTTAACCCTAAACTAACCTTATTTTCTACCTTTGTGAGTCAGTCAATCCTTGTTCCTATGATGCATTTCCAGAGGCATACTTCCCACCTCCCAGTGAAGTACTTCCTCCTGCCAAAATTTAAACTGTCCCACCAAAACCCTCTCCCGGCCTTCCTCATGCCTGCCTATATCCTAGAGTGCAGGAAGGGAGAAAAGGAGACAAAAATCCTCCAGGCCTTCCATTTTACCCTTCTCTCCACTTTACCCTCCAATTGCTCAAATGTGTAAAAATCTCTCTCACTTTCATACATGCTGTCTTCTCTATCTGGAATCTTTATTTTATAAGCAAACTTCTACTCATCCTTCAGGTCTCAGACTACATATCCCTTCCAGAGAGACTTTCTCTGACCTTCAGATTATCTTAGGTTCCCCTCCTATGTATACCTACAGAACTCTGCAATTTCTCTTTTATAGCCCTCATTATACATTATTATAACTAGTTTCATTTTCATTTTCCATACTAGGCCATAAGCTCTATGACAGTAGGAGCCATACCCTTCTTGTTCACTATTATATATATCCAGCCCTAACATAGTACCTAGACCTTATCAGTCACTGAAGAAGTATTAATAATTATAGGAGGGAGGGAGGGAAGTCAGCAAAAATCAAACACCATCTAAACAGAACCTATGCAGGCAATGCGCAGTTGAGCAAATGAGCAAAACGCAGCAGATGCAAAGATCACAAAGCCCACCCATTGTCAGGAAGCAGCTAATTAGAAAGTCCTACATTTTCTTAATCCTGGAGCAAACTCTTTTGCTAAATAATCAGAACTCCCCACCCTGGTGCTGTCCATATAAAAGGGAGAGCACAGTCCATTTGTTGTCTTGGCTGTCCTGGGGCCTCTGAACATCTTGGCAGACCCTGCAGGGCCATCTGTCCTTTAGCCTCCCTCCTGAAACTCATCTCTGCTCTTATGTGATCAAATGCTCTCCCCATTGATCTTTTCCAGGATATAGGGTTTTACTTACAGTTTTCTAGGTACTGCATTTCACCAAAGAGTGGTAGAGAATGGCTTCACGTAGAAGTAGGGAAAGAGATTCAAGTTTTCCAAATCCCAAATGCTTACCATGAAAAGTTTAGAATCCTTTTTCAACATAGTGCTCTCTGAAAAGATTATGCTGATTAAACAGTATGCTCCTGTTGTATAGTGTTTAAAACTAACACATATGGTTTTACTGATCATCAGTTTTACTGATCAACAATTTGAAAGAAGTCTAATTCCATAAGTTAAAAAAGTACACCTAATTAATTAATGCCTAACTTTTAGCCTGTTCATTGAAAACTGATGTGTATATATATAACAAAAATCAACAGACTCCCCCTGGAAAATATAGAGCTTGGCTCTGAAGCTTCACTGAAGACTGCAGGAGAAGACAGAGAGACCTTTCTTGTCCTGGAAAAATGAGGACTCGTGAACCACACACATACTTTAACACAAAACATCCAGCTTCTGGTAATCCCCCAAAAGTGTGAAATGGTATATTTTTTAAAAAACAAGGAATAGAGAACTTTATTAGCCATACTGCATGTGGCTAATATTTCCTGTTAACATATTGGGATTTGTCAAAGAAAATCCTAGAGCTTCCCCTAACTACATATCCTTACATCTACCAGCTGAGACTCACAAAGCTAATAAACCTCACCAGCAAATTAGCATTACCTATAAAAGTACTGCAGCCTTAAATATTACAACATGGTAGAGCTGAATGTAAATCTCCTTGAAAGTATTTTTCCTGTATCACAATAAGCAGGAGGCCTATTTATAATGTAATGCCAAAAATAGACACACAGTGCTTAGTATTTGGAAAAGGATCTGTACATGCCACTCTACTCTGGAGAAGCTCTTAGAAGTACTTTTCCAATACATTTTCCCTGGAATCTCTCTCTCTCTGATCATCAATATGTGAGCCATAGGTGATTTGAACCAGGCAGGACAAGACACCCTGATGAAACAAAACTTGATATTGTCAAAAGATAAAACTCCCTTGAAGATGACCACTACATTTTATGACTGTATGCCACTCGTGGCTTACCATGCCATATCCTCATATTTTCTTCTAATCAGAAATTCATAAGGGAAATCTGTGTACCAAAATGTTTAATAAGGGACATATTTTAGATTTTTTTCCCACAGAGGACAGGGTTACCAGCCCCTAGCACTTTTTTTTTTAACAGTCTGGCTGATAATCTGGTGCCAACACCAACTGCTGGTTAAATAATCTCATCAGCCAGGGTGAGGCTTTTTGTTCTCCTGCTTTTGTGACTTCATTTTTCGAACATTTAAAGTTGCCAACAATCCCAAATGGTGTCTCATTACTTCTCTCCAGTTTGTTTCTATTTGAAGATAAAAACTATTTTATTTGGAGCAAATTATAATAGGATGCAAAATGACCCACCATTGTAAGACCAACAAATAGGTAGGTCCCTATAATGGTTTGAAAAGAAAAACTTTAATATCAAGACACAAAGGGGGAAAATGCATCTCCACGCTCATTTTTCACCTATTTTACCAACAACAACAATAGCAATCATTTATTGAGTACCCACCAGTATCACAAGAAGAACTCTGGGAGTTTAAATTGCTGAAGCTAAACTTAGGCAGTTTATCAATTCAAAACAAGTCAGGATATTCACTTACAGAACAAAAAGGTTTTTCTATCCCTAACTATTTATGATTTAAATCTTTTTTTCTTAAAGTAAAGACAGAAAGGAGGTAAAAATAGGCCAATGCAGTGGCTCACGCCTGTAATCCCCGCACTTTGAGAAGCCGAGACAGGCAGATCACTTGAGGTCAGGAGTTCAAGACCAGCCTGGCCAACATGGTGAAACCCTGTCTCTACTGAAAATACAAAAATTAGCTGGGAATGGTGGTGCATGCCTGTAGTCCCAGCTACTCGGGAGGCTGAGGCAGGAGAATTGCTTGAACCTGGGAGGTAGAGATTGCAGTGAGCCAAGATGACGCCAGTGCACTCCAGCCTGGTGATAGAGCAAGACTCTGTCTCAAGAAAAAGGAAAAAAAGAAAAGAAAAAACAAAAGAGGTCAAAATACAAGACTGGTTTTTGCCATATATGACTTTATTTTATTTTTATTTTTGAGACAAAGTCTCACTCTGTTACCCAGGCTGGAGTGCAGTGGCGTGATCTCGGTTCACTGCAACCTCCGCCTCCTGAGTTCAAGTGATTCTCCTGCCTCAGCCTCCCGAGTAGCTGGGACTACAGGCGCACGCCACCACGCCCAGCTAATTTTTGTATTTTTAGTAGAGATGGGGTTTCACCATGTTGGCCAGGGTGGTCGTGATCTCTTGACCTTGTGATCTGCCAGCCTCGGCCTCCCAAAGTGCTGGGATTACAGGCGTGAGCCACTGTACCCGGCCCATATATGACTTTCTTACTTACAATAGGTCAAGCATCAGTGCTCAGGTTTATAGCCAGAAGAAGTTACAACACAATTATGGGTATCTGTAAAAAGAAAAATAACAATTACTTGATGTATCTCAAATAATACAAAAACTCTTAGTGATAGTATGATACCTCAAATTACCTAAACCCATGTAAGAATCTCTTCTTCTTGCCCTCCTTTCAGGTTCTATTCTCAGCATTCTGTTTTTAGGTTTTTGCAGTGTTTTTTCTGATGTAACATGACGTGCAAATTCCCAGTAACCCCCAAAATACTTAAAATCAAATATTTCTTCCTAGAAAATGTATAGGAAACTGTCTCGACAAATATCTCCTTATGAACTTCTATAAATTTATCTACTAATTCTTACTAGGGTTTGGAATATGTAAATATCAATATTCATTTTTAAAATATCTGTCAACATGAAAAAGTTTGTATAAGAAAATGTAGGAAAAATAGAATCCTAGTGAAATATAAAAAGAGAGAAATCTATTGAAATCCATCAACCATATGAATTTTACTTCTCTAAGTTAAGAGAAGCTTCTACTTAAAATGAGCTTTAGAATAGAAATTGCAGTCCAGTGATCCTTACTGAACAGTTTGCCAGTTCCTGTTTACATGTTTACATTATCTTGCATCCCTTAATAAAAGTCATCTTTATATTGCCTTACTGAGTTACATACTTACTGAGTAGTAACTATGAGTAGTAACTCTATGTGTTACTAGTCTGGTAACACAGAGTCTGGTACTTGATACCACAAAGGATAAAACTCCCTTGAAGATGGCCACTACATTTTATTACTGCATGCCACTCTTGGCTTACATAGAATGTTACTACTCCGTAAGGCAATATAGTTCCAACACAGTTCTCAAAGATTTAATATGCAGGAAAAAATGCAGTAAAAAAGAACAAACGCAGTTTTTAAAAATGTTTTGTTGTTATTACAGATACTGTTATATTTGGGAGAGAGACGGCTTTGCAGAATACATGCAGTTTTGCAAAATGAGTACAAAACTAGTCTTAGGAGCCAGATCCTAATAGGGACATGTAGTATTTCCCAAAGATGGGATCTCTTTATTTTCTGTCCCTGTGAAAGAAGTTAAATTTTCAGAATGTCCATAGAAACGCTGATTGTGAGTAGACTATGACCCATTGCTGGCTACCCGAGAATTTTGGACTTAACCAATACCACCTCCTCAGTTCATCCACAGGATTAATCTAAAAATATTTCCTGGCCAGGCCGGGTGCAGTGGCTCACGCCTGTAATCCCAGCACTTTGGGAGGCCGAGACAAGCAGATCATGAGGTCAGGAGATCGAGACCACCATGGCTAACACAGTGAAACCTCGTCTCTACTAAAAATACAAAAAAATTAGCCAAGCGTGGTGGCGGGTGCCTGTAGTCCCAGCTACTCGGGAGGTTGAGGCAGGAGAATGGCGTGAACCCGGAATGCGGAGCTTGCAGTGAGCCAAGATCATGCCACTGCACTCCAGCCCGGGCAACAAAGCAAGACTCCGGCTCAAAAAAAAAAAAAAAAATTTCAAGGCCAGGCACAGTGGCTCACGCCTGTAAACCCAATGCTTTGAAAGGCCAAGGTGGGTGGATCACCTGAGGCCAGGAGTTCAAGACCAGCCTGGCCAACATGGTGAAACCTCATCTCTACTAAAAATACAAAAATAAGCTGAGTATGGTGGTGCGCAACTGTAATCTCAGCTACTCAGGAGGCTGAGGCAGGAGAATCACTTGAACTCAGGAGGCAGAGGTTACAGGCAGCTGAGATTGTACCACTGCACTCCAGACTGGGCCACAGGGGAAGACTGTTTCAAAAAAAAGAAAAGAAAAACAAACAAACAAAAATGTCCTCAACATGAACGACCTTCTGTGTGAATTCTCCTTGTATTCAGTACCCTTATTTGGCCCAACTTCCTTCTGCATCCCTGGCTACAATCATCACAGTTACTGTTTTGTCTTAGTAGAGCCATTTGAAACAGCCTTTCTCTGAACAACTCTGACTAATTGTTTCACAATAATTTCGGAAGAAAAAGTCACTCTGAAGAGGTTCCCATTCTACCTTTAGCATTTTTCCCAGCAAAGAACAACCCTTGTTTCTTTCAATTGCATCCGTGTATTTTGGCTGCATGCCTACAAAGAGCAGTAATACAAAACAGTTTTTCTAAGAATGAAGATGGAGTCACTAAAATCTTGCAGGCCACAAAGTCTCCCCTTCCCAAACTGATAGCCTCTCACTCCCTTTATCTTAACACATACATTTTTATTTCTTAATAAAAACTGTTACCCAGCATGAACGATGCAGAAGACGGGTGATTTCTGCATTTCCAACCGAGGTACCAGGTTCATCTCACTGGGGAGTGTCAGAAAGTGGGTGCAGGACAGTGGGTGCAGTGCACCGAGCATGAGCCGAAGCAGGGTGAGGCATTGCCTCACCTGGGAAGCACAAGGGGTCAGGGAATTCCCTTTCCTAGTCAAAGAAAGGGGTGACAGATGACACCTGGAAAATTGGGTCACTCCCACCCTAATACTGCACTTTTCCAATGGTCTTAGCAAATGGCACACCAGGAGATTATATCCCACACCTGGCCCAGAGGGTCCTACACCCACGGAGCCTCGCTCATTGCTAGCACAGCAGTCTGAGATCAAACTGCAAGGTGGCAGCGAGGCTGGGGGAGTGGCGCCCGCCATTGCTAAGGCTTGAGTAGGTAAACAAACTGGCGAGGAAGCTCGAACTGGGTGGAGCCCACCACAGCTCCAGGAGGCCTGCCTGCCTCTGTAGACTCCACCTCTGGGGGCAGGGCATAGCCAAACAAAAGGCAACAGAATTCTCTGCAGACTTAAATGCCCTTTTCTGACAGCTTTGAAGAGAGTAGTGGTTCTCCCAGCACACAGCTGGAGATCTGAGAACAGACAAACTGCCTCCTCAAGTGGGTTCCTGACCCCTGAGTAGCCTAATTGGGAGCACCCCCCAGTAGGGGCAGACTGACACCTCACATGGCCGGGTACTCCTCTGAGACAAAATTTCCAGACGAACGATCAGGCAGCAACATTTGCTCTTCACCAATATCCACTGTTCTGCAGCCTCCGCTGCAGATACCTAGGCAAACAGGGTCTGTATTGGACCTCCAGCAAACTCCAAAAGACCTGCACCTGAGGGTCCTGACTGTTAGAAGGAAAACTAACAAACAGAAAGGACATCCACGCCAAAACACCATCTGTACGTCACCATCATCAAAGACCAAAGGTAGATAAAACCACAAAGATGGGGAAAAAACAGAGCAGAAAAACTGGAAACTCTAAAAATCAGAGCGCCTCTCCTCCTCCAAAGGAACACAGCTCCTCACCAGCAATGGAACAAAGCTGGACAGAGAATGACTTTGACGAGTTGAGAGAAGAAGGCTTCAGACAATCAAACTACACCAAGCTAAAGGAGGAAGTTCGAACCCATGGCAAAGAAGTTAAAAACCTTGAAAAAAAATTAGACAAATGGCCAACTAGAATAACCAATGCAGAGAAGTCTTTAAAGGACCTGATGGAGCTGAAAACCATGGCACAAAACTATGTGACGAATGCACAACCCTCAGTAGCCGATCGATCACCTGGAAGAAAGGGTATCAGTGATGCAAGATCAAATGAATGAAATGAAGTGAGAAGTTTAGAGAAAAAAGAATAAAAGGAAATGAAGAAAGCCTCCAAGAAATATGGGACTATGTGAAAAGACCAAATCTACCTCTGACTGGTGTACCGAAAGTGACAGACAGAATGGAACCAAGTTGGAAAACATTCTGCAGGATATTGTCTATGAGAACTTCCCCAATCTAGCAAGGCAGGTCAACATTCAAATTCAGGAAATACAAAGAATGCCACAAAGATACTCCTCAAGAAGAGCAACTCCAAGCCACATAATTGTCAGATTCACCAAAGTTGAAATGAAGGAAAAAATGTTAAGGGCAGCCAGAGAGAAAGGTCGGGTTACCCACAAAGGAAAGCCCATCAGACTAACAGCTGATCTCTCGGCAGAAACTTCACAAGCCAGAAGAGAGTGGGGGCCAATATTCAACATTCTTAAAGAAAAGAATTTTCACCCCAGAATTTCATATCCAGCCAAACTAAGCTTCATAAGTGAAGGAGAAATAAAATCCTTTACAGACAAGCAAATACTGAGAGATTTTGTCACCACCAAGTCTGCCCAAAAAGAGCTCCTGAAGGAAGCACTAAACATGGAAAGGAACAACTGGTACCAGCCACTGCAAAAACATGCCAAATTGTAAAGACCATTAAGGCTAGGAAGAAACTGCATCAACTAACGAGCAAAATAACCAGCTAACATCATGATGACAGGATCCAATTCACACATAACAATATTAACCTTAAATGTAAATGGGCTAAATGCTCCAATTAAAAGACACAGACTGGCAAATTGGATAAAGAGTCAAGACCCATCAGTGTGCTATATTCAGGAAACCCACCTCAGGTGCAGAGACACACATAGGCTCAAAATAAAGGGATGGAGGAAGATCTACCAAGCAAATGGAAAAAAAAAAAGGCAGGTATTGCAATCCGAGTCTCTGATAAAACAGACTTTAAGCCATCAAAGATCAAAAGAGACAAAGAAGGTCATTACATAATGGTAAAGGGATCAATTCAACAAGAAAAGCTAACTATCCTAAATATATATGCACCCAATACAGGAGAACCCAGATTCATAAAGCAAGTCCTTAGAGACCTACAAAGAGACTTAGACTCCCACACAATAATAATGGGAGATTTTAACACCCCACTGTCAACATTAGACAGATGAATGAGACAGAAAGTTAACAAGGATATCCAGGAATTGAACTCAGCTCTGCACCAAGCAGACCTAATAGACATCTACAGAACTCTCCACCCCAAATCAACAGAATATACATTCTTCTCAGCACCACACCACACCTATTCCAAAACTGACCACATAGTTGGAAGTAAAGCACTCCTCAGCAAATGTAAAAGAGTAGAAATTATAACAAACAGTCTCTCAGACCACAGTGCAATCGAACTAGAACTCAGGATTAAGAAACTTGCTCAAAACCGCTCAACTACATGGAAACTGAACAACCTGCTCCTGAATGACTACTGGGTACATAACAAAATGAAGGCAGAAATAAAGATGTTCTTTGAAACCAATGAGAACAAAGACACAACATACCAGAATCTCTGGGACACATTCAAAGCAGTGTGTAGGGGGAAATTTATAGCACTAAATGCCCACTAGAGAAAGCAGGAAAGATCTAAAATTGACACCCTAACATCACAAATAAAAGAACTAGAGAAGCAAGAGTAAACACATTCCAAAGCTAGCAGAAGGCAAGAAATAACTAAGATCAGAGCAGAACTGAAGGAGATAGAGACACAAAAAACCCTTCAAAAAATCAATGAATCCAGGAGCTGGTTTTTTGAAAAGATCAACAAAATTGATAGACTGCTAGCAAGACTAATAAAGAAAAAAGAGAGAAGACTCAAATAGATGCAAAAAAAAATGATAAAGGGGATATCACCACTGATCCCACAGAAATACAAACTACCATCAGAGAATACTGTAAACACCTCTATGCAAATAAACTAGAAAATCTAGAAGAAATGGATACATTCCTCGATACATACACCCTCCCAAGACTAAACCAGGAAGAAGTTGAATCTCTGAAAAGAACAATAACAGGCTCTGATATTGAGGCACTAATTAATAGCTTACCAACCAAAAAAAGTCCAGGACCAGATGGATTCGCAGCCGAATTCTACCAGAGGTACAAGAAGGAGCTGGTACCATTCCTTCTGAAACTATTCCAATCAATAGAAAAAGAGGGAATCCTCCCTAACTCATTTTGTGAGGCCAGCACCATCCTGATACCAAAGCCTGGCAGAGACACAACAAAAAAAGAGAATTTTAGACCAATATCCCTGATGAACATCGATGCAAAAATCCTCAATAAAATACTGGCAAACCGAATCCAGCAGCCCATCAAGAAGCTTATCTACCACGATCAAGTGGGCTTTATCCCTGGGATGCAAGGCTGGTTCAACATATGCAAATCAATAAACATAATCCAGCATATAAACAGAACCAAAGACAAAAACCATACGATTATCTCAATAGATGCAGAAAATGCCTTTGACAAAATTCAACAACCCTTCATGCTAAAAACTCTCAATAAATTAGGTATTGATGGGACATATCTCAAAATAATAAGAGCTATCTATGATAAACCCACAGCCAATATCACACTGAATGGGCAAAAACTGGAAACATTCCCTTTGAAAACTGGCACAAGACACGGATGACCTCTCTCACCACTCCTATTCAACATAGTGTTGGAAGTTCTGGCCAGGGCAATCAGGCAGGAGAAAGAAATAAAGGGTATTCAATTAGGAAAAGAGGAAGTCAAATTGTCCCTGTTTGCAGATGACATGATTGTATTTCTAGAAAACCCCATCGTCTTAGCCCAAAATCTCCTTAAGCTGATAAGCAACTTCAGCAAAGTCTCAGGATACAAAATCAATATGCAAAAATCACAAGCATTCTTATACACCAATAACAGACAAACAGAGAGCCAAATCATGAGTGAACTCCCATTCACAATTGCTTCAAAGAGAATAAAATACCTAGGAATCCAACTTACAAGGGACGTGAAGGACCTCTTCAAGGAGAACTACAAACCACTGCTCAAGGAAATAAAAGAGGATACAAACAAATGGAAGAACATTCTATGCTCATGGGTAGGAAGAATCAATATCGTGAAAATGGCCATACTGCCCAAGGTCATTTATAGATTCAATGCCATCCCCATCAAGCTACCAAAGACTTTCTTCACAGAATTGGAAAAAACTACTTTAAAGTTCATATGGAACCAAAAAAGAGCCCACATTGCCAAGTCAATCCTAAGCTAAAAGAACAAAGCTGGAGGCATCACGCTACCTGACTTTGAACTATACTACAAGGCTACAGTAACCAAAACAGCATGGTATTGGTACCAAAACAGATATAGACCAATGGAACAGAACAGAGCCCTCAGAAATAATGCCGCAAATCTACAACTATCTGATCTTTGACAAACCTGACAAAAACAAGCAATGGGGAAAGGATTCCCTATTTAATAAATGGTGCTGGAAAAACTGGCTAGCCATATGTAGAAAGCTGAAACTAGATCCCTTCCTTACCCCTTATACAAAAATTAATTCAAGTTGGATTAAAGACTTAAATGTCAGACCTAAAACCATAAAAACCCTAGAAGAAAACCTAGGCAATACCATTCAGTACATAGGCATGGGCAAGGACTTCATGACTAAAACACCAAAAGCAATGGCAACAAAAGCCAACATTGACAAATGGGATCTAATTAAACTCAAGAGCTTCTGCACAGCAAAAGAAACTACCATCAGAGTGAACAGGCAACCTACAGAATGGGAGAAAATTTTTGCAACCCACTCATCTGACAAAGGGCTAATATCCAGAATCTACAATGAACTCAAACAAATTTACAAGAAAAAAACAAACAAACCCATCAAAAAGTGGGCGAAGGATATGAACAGACACTTTTCAAAAGAAGACATTTATGCAGCCAAAAGACACATGAAAAAATGCTCATCTTCACTGGCCAACAGAGAAATGCAAATCAAAACCACAATGAGATACCATCTCACACCAGTTAGAATGGCAATCATTAAAAAGTCAGGAAACAACAGGTGCTGGAGAGGATGTGGAGAAATGGGAACACTTTTACACTGTTGGTGGGACTGTAAACTAGTTCAACCATTGTGGAAGTTAGTGTGGCGATTCCTCAGGGATCTATAGCAAGCAATGCCATTTGACCTAGCAATCCCATTACTGGGTATATACCCAAAGGATTATAAATCATGCTGCTAGAGAGACACATGCACAGGTATGTTTATTGTGGCACTATTCACAATAGCAAAGACTTGGAACCAACCCAAATGTCCATCAATAGTAGACTGGATTAAGAAAATGTGGCACATATACACCATGGAATACTACGCAGCCATAAAAAAAGGTGAGTTCGTGTCCTTTGTAGGGACATGGATGAAGCTGGAAACCATCATTCTCAGCAAACTATCGCAAGGACAAAAAACCAAACACCGCATGTTCTTACTCAGAGGTGGGAATTGAACAATGAGAACACATGGACACAGGAAGGGGAACATCACACACCGGGGCCTGTTGTGCAGTGGGGGCAGGGGGGAGGGATAGCATTAGGAGATATACCTAATGTTAAATGACGAGTTAATGGGTGCAGCACACCAACATGGCACATGTATACATATGTAACTAACCTGCACATTGTGCCCATGTACCCTAAAACTTAAAGTATAATAAAAAAGAAAATAAAATACAATTTAAAAAACTGTCATTTGGTGTGGGTTTAAATGGGAGTTGAATAGGTTCGTGGAGGTTGCAGATAAGTTGAAACATACATATGAAAAGACCATTTAAAATTGTGTTTAATGTAGTGAAATAATTCAAGTTATTATTATAGACTATACTTCAAGGCGATCTTTACATCCGATTATTAATAATGCTCTTAGAAGATGTTAAGATATTGAACAATTCCCTTGAATTAATATCGAATCCTCAACACATCAAAAAGTCCATCTTGCCTTTGAAGCAGGAGTGAGATGGTCTTCCATATAAGCTCATGGTTATAAGAGCTTTGTAGCTAGTCCCTCCTCATCCCTTTTTGAACACACATAAATGCACACACACAGAGACAGAGAGAGAGAGAGAGAGAGACAGCTCCAGCCAAGAGGCAGAAGTAGATCTTACATAGATCCCACTACCAAAATAGAAGTGTCTGCATTCAGCTAAGCGAATAACCATAACAAAGATGAGCAGAATGCTTACCATGTGCCAGGCAATGCACTACAAGTTCTATATGAATTATTTCATTTAACCCTCAAAACAACTCCATAAACTATCCATTAGGACTTTGAGACTGGTGGGGGCGGGGGGCGGGGATTAAAATGTTTAGAGAAAAATTCAAGCAACTAGAACGGAGTGAAGCTGGAATTCAAGCATGGATTGTCTTACCCCAGAGCCCCATGCTCTTGCTGTCCCAGGCACAGCATCTCCACCAACCTCATATCAACCCTTAGAGCATCTTCAGGTCATCGTTTCAGGGCTCATAACTTTGGAGTCTGTTCTTGTCCTTTAGCTGCCCTGTCTGTCACTTCAGGTATCAGTTTATTTCATTCAACATTGGAGACAAATAAGGTAAGACAGCTTCTGTTTTACCTTAATAATCAGAATCAGGAAGGAGTAATGAAATTTTTCAGAGGTAATAAGGCAAGAGTTGGAAGAGTAGGAAAAAAGGGAATTTAAAGTAGCTATTGGCCCCATCAATTGAGAAATGAGTAGAGTCTCAAATATAATCTCTACAGTAGTTTAAATGAATGAATTACATCTAATGTATGAACATGGAAAAAAAACTAAAAAACTTAAGTTTAAATGAAAAAAAAAACAAGTTGGAAAATGTGATGCACTGAATGCTATCATACATTTAAATTTTAAACCCATAAAATAATATTAAATAATTATTTGGGCATATGCACTTATATAAAATGTATTAAAACATTTATGGGGGCTGAGCATGGTGGCTCACGCCTGCAATCCCAGCACTTTGGGAGGCCGAGGCAGGTGGATCACCTGAGGTCAAGAGTTGAAGACCAACCTGGCCAACATGGTGAAGCCCCGTCTCTACTAAAATACAAAAATTATCTGGGCATGGTGGCATGCGCCTGTAATCCCAGCTACTTGGGAGGCTGAGGCACAAGAACTCCTTAAGCCTGGGAGGCGGAGGTTACAGTGAGCCGCGATCCTGTGACTGCACTCCAGTCTGGGTGACAGAGCTAGACTCTGTCTCCAACAAAAAAAAAAAAAAGAAAATTATGGGAAGAAAAAAATCCTTACTTCAGGAATGAATGATTATTTCTAGAGGACCTAGGGAGTTATGGGCTAGGGAGAAGTAAATAGATGACTCAGGGAGTTACATACACACACTGTCACTGTATCTGTAATGTATTGATTTCAAAAAATCTGAAGCAAAATGGGAAAATGTTAACATTTACTAAATGTAAGTGGTGGCTACATGGTATTGTTATATTAATCTCTATTGTTTCCCCAATGTTTGAAATAGTTTCTCTCAACATAATTTTCTGATTGTTTTATATAGATAAATAGATACTCTTCTCCTGAGGAAAGAGAAGACCATTGGAAAGACACTGATGGAAGAGTTCCCTGCACCAACCAATGATAAACACCAAGAACATGCAGCAATTTGGTGGCTGTTCTAGCAGGCAGGCAAGGGAGGGGGAAGACGTCAAAGTAATGGTTAAGTTGAGAGTAGGAAGACAAGGAAGATGGTGAGAGGATAGAGTGTTCTATAGTGGTGGGGGGGACAGTTATTTGCAAATAACGTGTTTGAAACTTGAACTATATAACTGGCTGCAAATGCAGAGTGCTTCGGCTAGGTTGGAGCTGAGACTCAGATACATCCAAGTTAAGCAGAATAAGAGAACTCATCCCCTTCATCCCTATAGTACAGAATCTATCGGAATAAACTGAATTGCTAGATACTACAGACGCTCCTGGGAAAATAATTAAATCTTGACCCAAAATAGGTTTAACATATATACAACTAATTAAGTGGAGGAAGCAAAATAAGTAAGATATAAAGAGAGACAACAGAAAATTTACCAAAGGGAGCAAGGTATTTGGATAGTACATTTAGCAAAAGAACCTAAGGGTTGAAAGGCAGTGAATTTAGCAGCTAATAGCACAGACACTGGGGACCCAGGCATTCCAGCCATATGTTTGAGCCCTGTGTGTATGAATTAACAGCTGTCTCACAACCTGAAACTTTGGGGCACAAGCCTTCCCACCACTCCCAAAAGCAAAGAAACAAACATTCTATTTTTATTTTCAAAAACAGAATTGGCCAAGATATTAGCAGGAATCCCAAATGAGAAGGAGCCGGTGGTAGCAAAGTCCTAGATTCCCGGGTTCGAAGACAGATGCAACATCAGAGTTCCAACTAGATCAGTTCCAAATGGTAGTTCTGGCTGCAGCAAGACCAGTGCAGCTCAATTCAGAATAAAGCACTCTGGGATCTAACTCATTGTGCTTTAGGGCTAACCAACCCTGTTCTAGAACCCTTTGTTATCACTGTAACGTAGAGCAAGGAAACATCCTTTTTCTCACTTTGCAAAAGCATCACTGGCTGAGGTACCTGAGATAAGAGCTACTCCAAAGCAGCCATGGTGGGGGTGTGGAGTACCAGCACCAGCACAGCTGCAGTGAGACCAGTGTGACAGCATCACAGTTTTCATTGGGATCTGCAGCTGGCTGCATTAGCAACAGCAGAGTTCCAGTTTTGGCATCTGTGGCAACCCAGTTTGGGAATCTCAGTGGTGAGCTCTAAGCCCAGGCTCTGCATGAATAAATGAAAAACAATTTGTGGGGGAATTTCCACAAATATACAGAGGAAAGGAACTTCCACAAAGAACCATAATGGGTAGCTAAGATGCAGAGCCATTAAGATGTGAATGCTTTTGTACTCTCAGGGTGGGAAAGGCAGAGATGTTCAAGTCACAGTAACTTGCTGCTGTGAAAAAATGGCATGTTTATGAAACACTTTGTGCTTCAGAGGAAAAATATATAATAAAATAAAACACAAGTTTGAATTAGATTTTTCTTCCTGATGGTTTTGCCTCCCTCTGAGATACAGAATCCAAGAGGAGTTTTAGTAAAGGAAGGAAGCAGGGGGATATGTGGAGGAAGAAACTGCAGCTGATTAAATATTTCCACTTATGTATTTTGTGATAAGAATATCTTCATTTACCAACAATCATAAACAGGAATACCTGAGCCTGTTTTAAATGGAACTCTATGTAATAGCTAGAATTTTAGTCTACAGAATGAAACTATAAAAGATGAGGTTACAGCATACCTAAAGCAGGGACTAGTGGGCTTACAAACCCAGGTGAAATGAGGAGGAGCTGGGCAGTAACAGTCACCAGAGTTAGCCTCAAGTCTAAAAGTGCTCACAACTCACCCCAGAACACTAACGAGCCCATTAGCACAAGCAATCCTTAGTTTACAAAGTATTTGAATATATGAAGAAAGACAAAAATAATCAAAGTGAGAAAGGCAGGGATGGGGAAAACACCTGAGACCATTCTGATGTGATGCTGAAAATTGTCCAGCAACATTTATGGCCACTTGGAAGGGAAAACACTCATCCTTTTACATGTGCCCTATGTTGAGAAGAATTTTAGCCAATTGGTTTATTGAAAGCGCAGGCACTCTTACTTACCCAGCACTTTGCCCATATCAGGAATCATGCCTTCTTCCCTGAGAGATCTGCCTCTGGCTTAAGGGGTCCCATCAGTTGACATCTAGGAGAACAGCAAAGAGAGAGTGCACGCTGACCCCAGTAGACCCAGCCCTGACTCCAGGAGAGGGCATATGGGACACTCGTGGGTAGTCTCTACCTTCCGGAGTCTTGCACAGGTATAAACACATAGCGTCGCAGTGACAGATCACATGGGGACCAGGAGAGATGCTTGCATGCTGCACTCCTGCTGTCAAGGTAACAACTGCCTTCGATTCCTGGCAACAGGATCCTTTCAGACCTGCTGTCAGAGAAACTAAGGGATTAGCCAGACTTCTTCCACTGGAGAGGTCACCACCCTCCAGAGGCTGATCAATATATTAATCCCTCCAGAGAGGGGTGTTGCTGGCAGCACACGGGCAGGAGAACTGCTTGCCCGCATTTCTCTGTTGTGGGGGACACAGCCCCAAGAGTCCTTATACTTCATACCTTCGTACTGCTTTCAGCATACACTTAAACCGCACTCACAGGGGAGTCTGTCTCCAGACAGTGACATATGATGACTTGCTGGCAGCCTGGCCTCTATCAGCAAATCATAGCATTTTCTTTACATCTTTTTTTTTTTTTGAGACAGAGTTTCATTCTATCACCTAGCCTAGAATGCAGTGGCACAGCCACTGCTCAC
The DNA here is from genome assembly GCF_000001405.40 of Homo sapiens. Classification (NCBI taxonomy): domain Eukaryota; kingdom Metazoa; phylum Chordata; class Mammalia; order Primates; family Hominidae; genus Homo; species Homo sapiens. The sequence goes on along the minus strand of NC_000004.12, from coordinate 71,079,717 downwards.
TGCAGCCTTGACCTCCCAGGCTCAAGTGATCCTCCCACCACAGCCTCCCGAGTAGCTGGGACTACAGGTGTGTGCCACCACGCCCAGCTAATTTTTTGTATTTTTAGAGAGATAGGGTCTTGCTATGTTGCCCAGGCTGTTGTCAAACTTCTGAGCTTAAGTAATCCTCCTGCCTCAGCCTCCCAAAGTGCTGGGATTATAGGCATTAGCTACTGCACCAGGCCCACAGCACTTCTTTTTGGTGAAATTTGAATCCTGTCATCATAGTACTTGAAGGTTTGATGATACTTGGAGATCATTCTGACTAGGATTTTGAATGAAACAGCAGGCCTAAAATTCAAAGCACAAAAGGATGTGTTCCTTCTACAGCTACAGATGCCTTCACACTGCTGTATATGTGTCCCATGTTTCACCTGCCTCGGGCTTGCGATAGGAATGCCTGGCCATTACCAGACCCCAAACACCCTCTCTCCTTCCTAGGAGGTGTCTCATGGGTAATGATGATCACAGCCTGGCCAGAGAAGCACCCAGAGGCATGTCACAATTTCACCAAAGCAGGGAATAACTATTCATGACCTCAATGTTAAACTGTTATACAAGGCTGGGTGTGGTGGTTCACGCCTGTAATCCCAGCAATTTGGGAGGCTGAGGTGGGCAGATCACTTGAGGTCAGGAGTTTGAGACTAGTCTGACCAACATAGTGAAACCCCATCTCTACTAAAAATACAAAAATTAACCAGGCATGGTGATGCATGCCTGTAATCCTGGCTACTTGGGAGGCTGAGGCAGGAGAATCGCTTGAATCAAGGAGGCAGAGGTTGCAGTGAGCAGAGATCATGCCATTGCACTCCAACCTGGGCAACAGAGTGAGACTCTGTCTCAAAAAAAAAACAAACAAACAATAAAAAACACCTGTTATACAAATCCCAAAGCAGCAATGCTTTATTCTCCTAATGTGCCAGAGATTTTCATGAAAATATCTCCTTATCGTTTTACGACCGAGCCCTTCCTAGCACTCAGATGGGGTTCTACGGGAGCTAGAATGAGTATGAGCTGAGCGAAGAAGGCCTCAGTGTGCCCCCAGATTGAAGCACAAACATCTTAAAATTTGATACTCAATGTGTTTATTTTTTCTTTTGTTGCACTAATCAATTTTTTTAAAATCATTCTAACTCTTACTTAGTCTGTGCAAGATATTTTACTTAAGCCTTTCCAAGATTCTAATGCCCCATGCTCCTCCCAAACTCCAGCCTGCTTGAATTGATAATTCTCTTCTCAGAACAAACTCTACCACTTCCCCCTACACCTTGCATAGACTTCTAAGCAACTCATTACACTTACTAATTGATGTACATGTGTCTTCCTAAAAAGGCTATGTACTACTTAAGAGTGGGGCTCTGTTATTCAACTTTGGATTCTTACATGGAAAAAAAAATCTGTCATCTAGTGGGCATTTGGCTAATGTCTGGCAAATAAATAAATAATGAATGAATGAATGAATGAATGCTAATTGTACATTCAAAGATGGTTTGATGCATTTTGAGGGCCCACAATGTGTTGGTTAACCTCAAGAATCCCTTTATGAGACCATAGTACTCCTGCATCCAATTCTTTTCTCCTGCTATCTTTTTTACACAGAATATATTTTTTAATAGTTTCTAGAATCCTATCTTATCAAGATTTTTTGCAAGTAATGGGATGAAAAGAAGACCTACCCTATCTGTACATATATTTTCCTGAGACTCACACTTGATTAAATAAATATGTTTTCATTGATTTTTCTAAAAAATGTATATTTAGCCATTAGGTATATTTGCTAGATAGACATTCTTTTGCCTGTTAATGTATGGGAAAATGCTTAAAAGTGTATTTTTGTTGGAAGGAACTAGGGGAGTGCAGTAGGAGGAGAAATAGAAATAGGGTGATCCATAGCAAATCTTGCTTTCAAATTCTTAGGCATCATTAAGCAGAATAGAAAACAAAACCGTCTGCTACAATGCTCATTATTTCTTATTTACTTTTTTCATCATAGATAGCCTGTAGCCAAACTTTCTCAGCCAAAATATTGATTGTCTCTAACACATGGAAAATATAAAAACAAACACAGGCAAAATGGGTATAGCAAGTAGCTGGTCCATTAGCCTGGATAATGATTAATTGAATAAATATCTTCTTTGGGTCTTTATCTTTGTCTACCTAACACAGAGTGTGATAGGTAGAACGAGATAGAAACCAATATTAAAAGTACATACTCAGGGCTGGGCAAGATGGCTCATGCCTGTAATCCCAGCACCTTGAGAGGCCAAGGTGGGAGGGATCCCCTGAGGTCAGGGGTTCGAGACCAGCCTGGCCAACATGGTGAAACCCTGTCTCTACTAAAAATACAAAAATTAGCCGAGCATGGGGGTGGGCACCTGTAATCCCAGCTACTCGGGAGGCTGAGGCAGGAGAATTACTTGAACCCAGGAGGCAGAGGTTGTAGTCAGCTGAGATCTCGCCACTGCACTCCAGCCTGGGTGACAGAGCGAGACTCCGTCTCAAAAAAAAAAAAAAGTACATACTCTAAAAATCCAGGACCACTAATTAATCAACTTCAAACATAACCTCCTTACATATTTTATTTTATATATATATATTTATGTATATATTATATATTATGTATATGTATATGTATTTTTACATATATGTATATGTGTTTTTACACATATATATGTATATGTATTTTTTTTTGAGACAGGGTCTCACTTTTGCCCATGCTAGAGTGCAGTGATGCAATCATAACTCACTGCAACCTCTGCCTCCCAGGCTCAGGCAATTCTCCTGTCTCAGCCTCCCAAGAAGCTGGGACTACAGCCCTCTCCATCATGCCAGGCTAATTTTTGTATTTTTTGTAAAAATGTGGTTTTGCCATGTTGCCCCAGCTGGTCTCAAACTCCTGCACTCAAACAATCTGCCCGCTTCAACCTTCCAAAGTGCTGGGATTACAGGTGTCAGCCACTGTGCCTGGCCTTATTTTTTAAAGTTCATATTTATAAAACATTTTGCAAAAATAGATGGCTTTTAATGTTAAATGAGAAATACATTCCCAACTGCCACAGAAGAGTTAAGCACATTGCAGAAAACCCAAAGAAACAAACCTTCACATTAAAGTGCCCAGGATTAAAGTTGATACTTTTTTTTTTTTTAAAGACAGAGTCTGGCTTCATTGTCCAGGCTGGAGTGCAATGATGCAATCTTGGCTCACTGCAACCTCCTCCTCCCGGGTTTAAGTGATTCTCCTGCCTCAGCCTCCTGAGTAGCTGGGATTATAGGCATGTGCCACCATGCCAGCTAATTTTTTGGTATTTTTAGTCGAGACAGGGTTTCACTATGTTGGCCAGGCTGGTCTTGAACTTCTGGCCTCCGTTGATCCGCCCAGCTCAGCCTCACAAAATGCTGGGATTACAGACAAAAGTAGATTCTTTTATTCATTCAACAATATTCTTCAAGCATCTGCTTCATTTTCCAGATAACATTCTCGGGACTAAGAACACATTCTAAGCACTGAGGAATTCGTTTTGTCCTCAGTGGAGTTTACACTGTAGCTGAGGAAGAAAGACAATAAATAAATAAACAAAAATATAATTTGTTAGGTTGTGATAAAAACAATAAGCAAACATGAAGTAGGGTAAGATAGGTAAGGGGAAACAGGGGCAGGTTGACGGGATTGCTATTTATTTATTTATTTATTTATTTATTTATTTATTTATTTATTTATTTAGAGATGGAGTCTCGCTCTGTCGCCAGGCTGGAGTGCAATGGCAATCTTGGCTCACTGCAACCTCCTCCCAGGTTCAAGCAATTCTCCTGCCTCAGCCTCCCGAGTAGCTGGGACTACAGGCGCCCACCACCATGCCTGGCTAATTTTTGTATTTTTAGTGGGGACGGGGTTTCACCATGTTGATCAGATGTTGAACTCCTGACCTTGTGATCTGCCCACCTCGGCCTCCCAAAATGCTGGGATTACAGGCGTGAGCCACCGCGCCCGGCCGTGATTGCTATTTCAGATTGGGTAGTCAGCCAAGACATTTGAGCGGAGACCTGAAGGAAGAGCTGGAGTGAGCCATGGAGAGAGCTGGCGGAAACACCCCAGGCAGCGTGAACAGCAAGGGCAAAGTTCCTGGGACAACAGTGGGTTTGGCATGTTCAAGGAACAGCAGAAGCCAGTGTGGCTGATGTGAAGTGAGCAAGAAGGAAGGGGGTGAGAAGTGAAGCTGGAGATCACGAAGTACCTTACAGAGCATGGCAAGGGCTTTTGTTTTTTCTCTGATTGAAATGAGAGACAAAAAATAGGATTGCATTTCCTTTGCCTCACTGAAAAAGACAGTCCCTTATGTCCATCTGGGATGAAATGGAAGGTAAGAAAGAAATACATTAATAGAAATCACAATAGCAAGGAAGGAAGAGACTAGTCCGGATGAACAACACACTGCTTTGAAATCCACTTTAAGATCCTAACATAGATTCTTGCGATTTTTATCTAAAACATTGTTAATAGTAGGCTGACATTCGTGATTTCCTTCAGTCTAAATGCAGTAACCTCCTATTTTCCCATCAGGTGCAATAAGAATGCTAGTCTAAATTCAGCCTAATCCTGGTGCTAATAATAGCGCAAATGTGAAGAGCGTCTCTGAGCTAGAGATCCCCAATTTTGGCTTCTGAATTAAGCCTTGTTATATGTCCTCCAGGTTCAAGCTAATCCTTTTACTCTAATGAACAAAGTTTAAGGAGAGGCACTGACACTGTACCAGAAGTAGAAGTCAGAACAAACAACGATCAAGCACTAGCCAGGCAAATGTGCCAGCGTGAAGTCATTTCGTCTTCCTGGTTGCTGTATTTTTAGCAGTCCCTGCTGAGCAACTCATTTTCCCACACTGAGGCCACCAGGACAATTTGCCGACAGAATTTGCACACAGTTGCACAAACTACTTTGTTTAAATCTCATAACCTTTATTTTCTTCCTTCATTTTTCTTTTTGCTTGCTCCCTTCCCTCTTTCCCTCCCTTCTTCCTTCCTCCCCTTCTTCCTTCCTTTCTCTTCTCCTTTTTCTCCTTTCTTCCTTTCCTCTTTCCTTCCTCCTCCCTCCTTTCCTTCCTTTCTTTTTCTTAATAATCATGGCTACGTCCTAGACATAACTCCTTTAAAGTTTCTCACTGCTTTTTTGAAAGACCTTGCTGTGTTTAATTTTAATGGTGAGTTAAGTACAAAGAAAGGAACATCTGTTTTGAACAACAATGAAGTTTGTTTTGTGGAACTCAATTTCTCCTGGTGAATTATATTTCTAGTAAAATACTTTAATGGTCATTTCTGCAAAACAGATGAAAAATTTTTCTTTAAAATAGATGCCAGTCAGGGAGCTATATGGGAACTCTTGCTGGTGCAGCCTCAAGTCTCAGCCTATTCTCCTCTTTACAGCTCTCAACACCTGGATTCTTATCTTCCCAGACTCACTGGGATTTGAAGATTCTCATTTATTATTTATCACTATGGAGAAACAGAGTGACAGAAATAAATGATGTCACTAAACTTTTTAAAGTTCCATCAAGTTTTTCAGGTAATTAATCCCTATTCTATACTGACATCTAACTAGAGGTAAGCAAATCTCTCTTATAGTAGCACCTTTCCTGGATTTTTTTTTTCTTTTTCTTGAGACAGCATCTGGCTCTCCCGGGCTCAAGTGGTCTTTCCACCTCAGCCTCCCAAGTAGCTGGGACTACAGGCACACACCATCACACCAAATTAATTTTTGTATTTTTTTGTAGAGACAGGTTTTCGCCATATTGCCCAGGCTGATCTTGAACTCCTGAGCTCAAGTGGTCAACCCGCCTCAGCCTTTCAAAATGCTGGGATTTTAAAGGTGTAAGCCACCGCACCCGGCCTTTTCTGGATTTTCTTAGGAAATTCCATCCATCAAGTATTTATACAGCATTTTTTTTATGTGCAGGTACTGTTCTAGGTGCTGGAGAGACAGCAGTACCAAAAAGGGGGTAAAATTCCTTACACTAGTAGAGCTTACATTCCAGTGGAGGGAAACATACATTATAAAAATAAATATGTGAAATATAGTTTGTGAAGTGGTGATAAATGCTACAGAGAAAAATCAACCAGAATAGGTGGAGAGGTGGGGGTTGTGCACTTTTAAATAGGTGGTCTGGGAAGGTCTCACTGAAAAGGTACATTTGAACAGAATACTTGAAAGAATCAAACATATGAGGCACCCTTGCAGAAAGCATTTTGACTTCATTTCCTTTCTAAAAACATATTCTCCAGGGTGGTTTTAAGGAAGCATATTTTATAGCCTTTTTGATTACTTTACAAAAATTTAAATGTGTTAGCTCAAAGATGACCGCTCTCACCATTATTATCTAACATTGCTCTGGAAAAGATAGTAGCCAATGAAACTGGTCAATAAAAGAAATTAGGTATAAAAATAGCAAAGGAAGAGATAAACTTCATAATGTGTAGATGATCTATCAGTTGTTAAACTTAAAGGGAAAAAAATTGCAATTAAAAGAATTCAGCAATGTGACTGGTTACAAAGTTAATATACAAACATTAATTGCCTTCATATGTATTAATACAATCAACAACCAGTTTAAAAATCCAAAGGAAGGCTGGGCACTGTGGCTCACACCTGTAATCCCAGAACTTTGGGAGACCAAGGCAGGCGGATCCCTCAAGCCCAGGAGTTCATGGCGAAACCCCGTCTCTACCAAAATAATAATAATAATAATAATACAAAAATTAACTGGGCATAGTGGCATGCACCTTTAGCCCCAGCTTCTCAGGAGATTGAGGTGGGAGGATCGCTTAAGCCCAAGAGGCAGAGGTTAGAGCAAGCTGCAATCACGCCACTGCACTCCAGCCTGGGCAACAGAGCAAGACACCTGTCTCAAAAAATAAAAATAAAAAGGAAGATAAACCCCCATTTATAATTGCAACAACAAAAAAAAGGACCAAAATATTAGGTTCATGATTAGAAAGATTCAACATCATGAAGACAGCAATTCTCTCTTTAAAGCTATAACTGTAATGTAATCCCAATAAAAATATCAACATAATTTTTGTTAGAAAAATAGCAAGCTGTATCTAAAGTGCATATTAAAAGGAAAAAAAAAGCCATAAGGCTGGGAAGCTCTAAAAAATAAAAAAATGAATAAAAAGAGAAGACTATGCCTATCATTTTTATTTTTATTTTGAAGCTTCACTAATTAGAATAGTGTGGTACTACTGAATGGGTGATAAATTGCTGAATGAAACAGAATAGAAAGTCTAACAATAGACATAACTATACTAAGGAATTTAGTCTATGACTAAAGGTGGCTTTGCACACCAGTGGAGGAAAAGATGGATTAGTTAGTATATGGTTTGGGAACAACAACAGCCATCTATACAAAATTTTAATGTCATATCCTTCATACCAAAATAAATTTTTAGTACATAAAAGTTTTAAACGTAAAAACAGAAACATAACATAAAGCATTAGAAATAGGAAATAATTTTTTAATAGACTCAGGGTAGGGAAGACCTTCCTAAGTATTATACAAAAGATTGTAACTATTAAAAATTGATCAATTCAAATACATACAAATTTTAAAATTTCACATGGCAAAAGGCAAAATTAAAAGAAATATTTTTGCAACAAGGAGAAAAAGAAACATTCGTGCTTTGCTGGTAGAAGTAAAAATTGGTGCCAGCTCTGTTGAGAGTGATTTGGCACTATTAAAATTAAATTTTCAAGTGTACATGCCTTTAACTCAGAAATTCCACTTCTAGGAATTTATTTCATACATCTATTGACACATATGAAAAAGATATGCACAAGGATATTTATGCAGCATTATCTGAAATATCAAAATATTAGAACAATTGGGATACATCTGTATAATGGAATCATATGCAACCTTCCAAGAATAAGGCAAATCTATATGTATCAATGTGGAATGCTCTTCAAGATAGTAGAGTTAAATAAATGAAGAAATAGGGAACTTAGTATGCTACCATTTGTGAGATTTTTAAAAAGAATCACACAAACACACATGCTCAAACATCTCTGGAAGGATAACTTAAGACGCTAGTAGCAATGATTGCCTCTGGGAAGGGAACTAGGACCAGAGAATGAAAAAATAATCTAATTTTCAATTATATTCATTTATAGATTTGAATTTTGTGCTGTATGTATGTTGTGCCTACTCAAAGCAATAAAAAATATTTTAATACTTTAAAATTAACAGATGTTTGTTAAAATATCTTTATCAATAGCCCCACACTATGGAAACCAAGGAAATGTATTTCTTAAATTACTAGATAAAAACAAGGAATCTAGATTCTGGTCTTAGATCTTTCCATTGAATCATTTTAGAACCAAAACACAGCTTTTTTCTTCTTCTTCTTTCCTTTTTTTTTTTTTTAAGACGGTCTCACTCTGTCGCCTAGACTGGAGAGCAGTGGTGTGATCTCGGCTCACTGCAACCTTCACCTCCTGGGTTCAAGCAATTCTCTGCCTCAGTCTCCTGAATAGCTGGGAGTACAGGAGTGTGCCACTGTGGTCAGCTAATTTTTGTATTTTTAGTAGAGATGGGGTTTTGCTATGTTGGCCAGGCTGGTCTCCAACTCCTTGCCTCAAGTGATCCACCCACCTTGGCATCCCAAAGTGCTGGGATAATAGGCGTGAGCCACCACACCCAGCCAAGACAACTTATTTTTAAAGGTTGACCTTTTCCAGCTCTTGAATTTCTGAAACTTACTGAGAAATGGATGCAACAGAATGCTGCTATTCACAAACCTGATAGTATTTTTTAATGCAGATTTTTGGGTTCCATACCAGAACTGCTGCCCCAGCCTCCCACTCCACTTAGCACCAAGGTTTAAAAGTCAGTTTCCATTGCAGTCACATCTCTAGGTTCATCTTCACTCATTCTCTGATGTAAATGTCCTCGATTTCTTTTGTGCTTGTGGAAGCATTTCAGAATTGTTTTACATTCAAACCAGTATTTTTAATTGCTTTTTAATAGAATGAACAAACCAGATTTCTAGCCCACTATGTCACCAGAAACAGAATTTGCAAATCAGTTTCTCTAATTTTGTACTGATCATATTTAATCATTACAGCTATTTAAATGTTCTAGTTCTCCTTCATTTGGGAGCAGGGTGATATTTCATTTCCCTATTACCTGGAGACTGGCCATTGACTTTGGCCAATAAAATATGAAAGTGTCGTACATTGCTTTCATCAAGAAGCCTTTAAAAACCAATGTACAAAGTCACAATATCCCCTTTCCCACCTTGGCAATTGTAGACTCGTCTGACAAGGTAAAGACTCCTTCATTCTGAGTGACTAAGTAACTGTAATAAACAGAGCCCCCCAAAGTGATCAACATTGGAATATAATGTAATTGAGAAATCAACTTTTGTTGTATGAAGCCACTAAGACTTTGCAGTTTGTTACTATAGCATCACCTAACCTATACTGACTGATACACAGGAGTCCACTGTGTTACTCTTTACACTAGTAAAGTCATTCATTCAGTCAGTCAACAAATAAGTATCTTCCAGGTGCCACTCAGTTTGCTAGACTCTAAGAAACAATAGTGAAGGGGAGACAAACATAAACATATAAAACAAATAAATGAGAAAATCTTCTGATTCTTTGACCTGTAGCCTAATCCAAAGACAGACTTATGAGGGTTATTTGTGAGACAGGAAATCCTTAAACAGCTGGTTCCCATTTCTATTCTTACAGCATCTGCATTGAGACATTTGGAAAGCATAATATCAACTCTAAAAAAAAACTAATTTTATTCATTAAGAAAATTAAATGCTGTACTTTTAGAAAAAGAGAAGCGTTCAGAAACAAATCATTGTGTGGGAACTTAGGGAGGTTAACAATTATCATTCTGGCTTAAAGTAGTTGTAAATAACTGTCCAGAGAAAGAGTAGAAGCTAAATGTTTTTCAACCAGTGCTTTTGGGGTTGGTAGTATATAAAATAAGGATAAAGTGACTTGGAGATGTTGAGAAAACTGGTTTTAATAACATCATCTTTTCGGTGTCCATGATCTCTAAGGGTCCCAATCAAAATTTGGAAAATATATGAGAGAAATGCAAATAGCTGCCAATAACAGAAAATCCTATAAACAGCAGCTTAACAAGAAAGTAATTTTCTCATGTAGCAAGAAACTCAGAAATAGGTGGACCAAAGCTGGTGCAGCCTGTCAAGAGTGTTATCAAGGAAATAATTTCCTTCTTTCTACCTGCTCTGTCGTCTTTCAAGTCTGTTTGGTTTTGTTCTTGTTTTTGTTTTTCTGTTTTTTGGTTTTTTTTGTCCTCAGGGATACAAGATTGAGAATGTACCTTTGGCCTCTATGTCCATGTTCCATAGAAAGGCAGAAAAGTACAAAGTCTAATCCTTGTAAAGTTTCTTTAAAGACTACTCTGCCAGACTTTTTCCTTTCATCTCATTAGCCAGAATTGGTCACATGACTACTTTTATTTGTAAGGGAATCTGGAGAGGTGAATATTTTATCTATGTATGTGCCTGCCCTGAAAAAAATAATGATTCTCTTTAGTAAGAAAGAAAAAGAGAATATGTATTGTATAGGCAACTGGCAGGGTCAGCCAAAGGCTGCCCTCTAACAAACGTGTAACTCAATGGAACCAGTTGGGAATGTCTGTCTTTGGGATGCAGCAACACATCACAACTGTCATATATGTCATGACAAAAGACTGAACTTATTCCTAATCCTCAAACTTTGTATCAGTCACTCCCATTCATGATGTTTTATGTAAAAAGCACTGCTAAAAATGGCTGTCCCATGTTAAGTAATGGCACACACCTGTAATCCCAACACTTTGGGAAGCCAAGGCAGGCAGATCACTTGAGCCCAGGAATTTGAGGCCAGCCTGGGCAACGTAGTGAGATCCCCTCGTCTCTACAAAAAAATGCAAAAAATTAGCTGGGTGTGGTGGCGCATACCTGTAGTCTCAGCTACTTGGGAGGCTAAGGTTGGAGGATCACTTGACACTGAGAGGCGGAGGTTGCAGGTTGCAGTGAGCGGTGATCCCGCCACCCTAGCCTGGATGACAGAGCAAGACACTGCCTAAAAAAAAAAAAGAAAAAAAGAAAAAAAGGTTGCCCTGACAAAACTAATGTATGGTGATGAAAATCAGACTAGTGGTTATCCTTGGGAGTAGGTAATGCCTAAGAGAGAGAGCACACCTGAGAGTCTGACGGTACCAAAAATGGTCTGTATTTTGATCTGGGTGGTGGTGAGATGGATGTATATATACTTTAAAATGTTTGTTGAACAAACAGTGGCCAGGCGCAGTGGCTCACGCCTGTAATCCCAACACTTTGGGAAGCCAAGGCGGGCAGATCATCTGAGGTCAGGAGTTCGAGACCAGCCTGACTAACATGGTGAAACCCCGTCTCTACTAAAAATACAAAAATTAGCTAGATGTGGTGGCACTTGCCTGTAATCCCAGCTACTCGGGTGGCTGAGGCAGGAGAATCACTTGAACCTGAGAGGCAGAGGTTGCAGTGAGCCGAGATCATGCCACTGCACCCCAGCCTGGGCGACAAGAGCAAAACTCCATCTCAAAAAAAAAAAAAAAAAAACGTTTGTTCAAAAAGGCCATATGCAGTGGCTCACATCCATAATCCCAACACTATGGGAAGCGAAGGCAGGAGGATTGCTTGAGGCCAGGAGTTTGAGACCAAACTAGGCAACATAGCAAGATCCTATCTCTACAAAAATTTTTAAAAATTAGCCAGGTGTGTTGTCTCAGGCCTGTAGTCCCAGCTACTCAGGAGGCTGAAGTGGAAGGATCACTTGAGCCCAGGAGTCAAGGCTGCGGTGAGCTATGATCATACCAGCGCACTCTAGACTGGGCAGCAAAGTGAGACCCCCAACTCAAAAAAAAAAAAGTTTAAGAGGCACAGACTTTATATAAACTATACCCCAATTTAAGAAGAACTATCCTGGTATTTCCTTTTATTCAGTCACAACCTATTTAGGCCTGGGTTATCCAAATTGCTCTCTCTTTCTCCCCTACTAAGAATCAGACTCGTAGATTCAACATTCCAATGGCAGATAGTACAAATGCAAAGTCACAAGGAAAACAGAAACACAAATACATTTAGCTGGCAGGGAGATCAAAGAAAAGTAAATAATGAACTATGGCTTCATCAAACATTTACAGAACAGCACAGTGCAGAACAAAATAGCCAATAATCAAGATATACGTTTGAATAATATTTGTTTTAGAGCAATTTATTTTCAAATTTGCAATTGGTTCTAAGTCTTGCATTTAAATCTAACATTTTTAAGAGATTATAATAGAACTTTGGTTAATTGTGGTTTTAGAAACTATAATCTTTCAAAGCTTTAAAAAATGTTTTTGAAAATTAAAAAAAAAAACTCTTTCCTTTTTGAGATTCTGTGTTTGCATTGCCCTACTGTTCAGTGACCTATATGTCAAAGCAGCTGCCAAACACTATGGTAGTACTAAGAAAATACATTTGAACTGCTTTTCACACTATTTTTTTTTTCTCTGCATGTGTGAGAGACTTCCCCATTTTCAGGAAGAAGTTGTAGAGAATTGCTTTCCTTAGTTCTGGCCCTCTGCCTCTTTCGGTCAAAAATACAACACTCCCCACTACCTCATCTCTACCCCCTTACCTCTCAACAGAAGTAATTTTTGGCAGGAGGCTAAAGAGCGAAGTAAAGTCATAGGCCAAGGATGGCCAAAGTCAATGAACTCTAGGGCAAACCCACTAAGCTCCCTCCCAGCACAAGCCAAAATTTGAGGGGTATAGGATAAGCAAAGTAACTGAAAAACAAACTGCAACAAGGAGTGCCACTGGTAGGAAGGAACTGCCTGAAATTCACCCAAGAGCACCAGGCTGCCCCATCAGCAATAGTTTCTTCAGTAGGGATTCTATCGATTCTGAGCTGGTAGTAATATGAGGCCAAGAAATAATCAGACATCAAAGAGAAGAAAGAACTTGATAGTATTAACAGCAATTATTCCCAATTTGATTAATTTGTCTTTTCTCAAGGAAAAATTACAAAGAAAATTTGGAATTTACTCTAGCCCTGCTAAAATACACCTCTCTGGAACTGTTTCTGCTATGTATGAATCAAAAACTTCTTATTTTCTAAATTTTTATCATCTCAGGGATTTTTGTAAAGGGCTACACCTTTAAATCCTTTAGAATGAGACAGCTGTGTTATCACGGAAAGGGAATGCACCTTGAACCAGAATATCAAATTTGAAAGTCATAGCTTTGCCACTTACTAGATATAAAATGGGAAATAATACCTAGCTTCACAAAGCTGTTATAAGGAATAATGATGTTTTGTGCCCTGTAGTAGCGTATACAAATGTAAGGTATGAAAGAGGCAGTATCACCAATTAGAAACATCAGAGGCTTTGGATCCAGAGAGATCCTGGTTCAAATCTCAGCATTATTACTTTGACCAAGTTAAGTCCTTTGAACTTCAATTGCCCCATCTGGACTGTTGCAAAGATTAAATATTAACATCTATAAAAGCCCAGTCATTTAACAAGACATCCAGTAAATGACAGCTATTATTTTGAGGGCTTTTTTCTTCCATTTATTAATAGTCATTTTTCATTCATTGATTCAAGAAATACTTATTGAGCTGTGTTAGATATTTATTGTACTGTATTAGAGTATAATGGAAGGCATATACAACTCCTGCCCTTGTGGAGTGATCATCTAGTAGGAGGCACAAACAAATAAATAGGCAATTACAATATAATTTTAGATATATTAAAAACCACAGTTACTTTTGTACCAACCTAATACAATAGCAAAAGTATATATGGTCCTATGGGAGCCCAGAGGAGAGACACTTCATCCAGACTTAGGATGGTACCTCAGAGAAAGTGACATTGAAATGATAACTGAAAGGTGAGTAGGAATTGTCGAGTGAAGGGAAGGATGTAAGGGCAATTTTCCAGACAAACACATGCGCAAAGTCCCAGAAGCAAGAGAGATCATGTTAGCCAAAGATAATCTCAAAATATCCAGCAACACGTACCCTTTGTTCTGGGATTAGAATATATATATATTGTCAAATAGATCTTTCTGTCCTTTTCCTGTCGATTTATATCACGTCTTTCAGCCTTTCATCGACAAATAGCAATTGAAGAAAATATATTTTCATCTTCAGCCAAAATCATACCATTAGCAAGTATAAATTCCATTCACCAATCACCATTATCATGTATAACTTTCTCATTATATGGCCCAATAATTCACAACATATATTCTTATTTCAGTCTGGTGATACTCCAAGCATAGCATCAGACTGGATGACGATGGGCAAAATACCCCCTACCCTTCATTAACTTAACAGTACAATCAGAAAAATAAAATAAAATGGATGATGTAAAACACCATACGGTTAAATGTTATTTGAATGGTTGAACAATAAATATAATAGAAACTTAGACAAGGATGGCTCATGACAAAAATCTTATAAATGCCACTGTAGCTTGGGAGTATTTTCCTCATATCATTCAGTGAGGCATATGGCCTTACTATATACAGACAGCTTTGATGAGTTCATTCGTTCAGTCATTCAAAAAATATTCAAAGGTTTATTATTATATTTTATACAACAGGGACAGAGATAAAGACCCTACTCATGCAAATCTTATATTTTTGTTGGCAGAAGAGGAGGCAATAAACAGAAAAACAAGTTAACACCTTGCATGGATACCTTATTGAATCTTCAAAGCAACTCCATGAGGTAGAATTATCACCCTCATTTTATAGAAGAGACAGAAGGATGTTAAATAACTCGTCTACGATTAGATAGCTAGCAAGTGGCACAGCGCAAATTTTAACCTAGGTCTATCAGATGCTAAAGCCATTCCACTCCACTGCTGAAATGTTCCATGTCCATGAACCACAGAGATTGCTGGAGGCTGCCCTAATACGTGACCAGTCCTGAAATTGTGTGCCCAGGATTTAGCCAAGTGGTTCTCACTCTTTCCTTCCACTTAGCTAGGTCCTGACATATTTCTTACTCCTGCGATGGCCTTCCTTCCATCTGCATTGCTTTTAATTTTTATTTTGGTTTTCATTTCAAATTATCACTACGGGTTCAATTTTATCCAATTCTCTCCTCTACTTTTAACATCTTCAACAAATTCTCTGTTCATTTTCCTAATTCACCAAAACCAGTTATTGATTAGTACTATTATATTCCCCTTCAAAGGCATGACTCTAATGGGCTCTGCAGCAACTGTGGAATATTAAAAGGATTGCTGTAATTGGAATTATACATATTAACAATAGCTCTACCATCAAGCAGTTAAGAGCATTGCACTTTTCTACATTATCTCATTTCATCTTTTCACTAGAACTGCAAGTTACTAAAAATTGTCCCTGATGAAGAATTGAGGTTCAGAAAAGCTGAATTACTTGCTCAAGGCCAGGATACAGTAAATCCAGGTCTGGCTTCCCACTATACCATACATATTGCCTCTCTAAAATTATAGAAATCACAGAAATGTGGATTTGAAAGAGCCCTGTAGAACCTATTTTTTTTAATTTTTTATTTTTAATGTTTTGGGTACATAGTAGGTGTATGTATTTATGGGGTACCTGAGATATTTTGATACAGACATACAGTGTGTAATAATCAAAGGACCTTTAGGTCCTTTGTAAACAATAAAGCACTTTGCAAACAATAAAGCACTTTACAAATGCTCCCTGACCTTTCTTTATAAGCAGGTTAGACCTGTAAAAAAATTATTTTTAAATGTAAATCATTTGGGGTGGATACTCCTGTATATAATACATCACTGATTTCACAATCACAAATTAAATAGAGCACTATATCCATACCTTTTCCTAGTGGCAAAATTGTTTTACATTACCACTACACACAAGACGAAGTTACAATGCAAGTGTCTCTCAAACTCTTTTGGACAAGAAAAATACCAACTTTGGAACAGGTATGAAACAATAAATTTCATCTTAAATATACAGTTATGTAAAATAATTATATAGCTTGAAATAGGGCTGGCTTTAAATAAATTTTCTAATATAACTTTATTAGAATTTTTACACATATTAAAAATACCAGGTACAAACAATTATTGTAATTATAATAGAAAATAAATATTTTCTTTTTTCTTATTGAGAATTTGACATTTATTGACTCATTTAATAAAATTCTTTAGTTATGAGAGAATGATAATTTAACAATAGCTAAGAAAAGTTAGTGAAGGAAGCTAGAATTGTAATAAAATAATAGAGGCAAAAGAAAAACTACGTAACACATATAACCTGACGTTTAATGGAGATTTTGGCAAATTACTGTACCCGACAACAGAAACGTTTCAGAACACTTTATAGAAACTACCAATAAAATTGGTTAAATTGTATTATTCGTAAAATGCCCACATGTATGCTCGTTTAAAATGATCCATGGGTATGACACTAAGTCCTTTTATCCAAGTAAATAGAAAATTCCATTTCTCTATTAACTTTCTACTTCTTTACCATTAAAATTCATCTAACTTAGTGCATTAATCTTAAAATCTGTCATTTCCAGGATTGCTTCTGTGTGTTCTTCTCTTGGCATTCATATTGTTTCTCTTTCTTTTCCAAGGATCTTATTCTAAAATACTATAAAAATATATGAGCATATATATACTTGCGTGTGTGCACTGTATTTGCACCTTTTTCTAGATTAGTATTTCTTTTAACAATGGATGAAAATCAAATCAGGACAGAAGGTTCATCGCTTCCTCACCCCTAATTAAGGCAGAAAGGTGAAAATACATCATGTCGTTTGTGTGGCATATGCCTACCACACTAAAAGAAAATATTTATTGTTTTACTTACAGTCAATGTCCTTCAAATTGTCTGTGGTAATATGTTTTTCAGCAATGTCGTCTGAAAAATCAAAGAAATCCACTTTTCTACCTTCTAAGCTTCTTATATCTTCTGAATGATGCACGCTCAAGAGTTGCCAAATGAGATGGGCAAAGGCAGCCAAATAGGACCTCCTAGCCAACCTAAAAATAGCAGGTGGTGGTGGACAAATATACCATTTTTCCCTTGCTCTTTTTCTTCCCTCTAAGGGATAGGTACCATAAACATGCCTTGTTGAAAATTAAAACAGTACAAAAAGAATTCTATTCCCTCTTGCCCTAAGAACTAGAGAAATGATCAGTTTTAAAATGTGTGCCTTTTCAGCAGGAAGATGTGAAAGTCAAAGGAGTTATTTTTGCATTTCTTACAGAAAGATTCTCATACCCAATTTCCATTTGTTCTAAAAAGAAAACTGACCACAACTTGCTGGAATCGAGAGTTGCGTTTGCCTTTTATTTTTCTTTCCTGGAGCTCCTTGAATAATAACTATTAACATTTTGTGTTTTATAGTTCACAAAGCCCTTTCACAGATTTTATATTATTGGCTCCTTACAACAGCTTGTAAAATAGTGCTTCATCTAACACACACAAGCATGAGCAAATAGAATTTCTGGAGAAAATGTTATAATAAATTTTCTTAGATTAGAGGTGTTTTATAAATGTAAAAACTGGGACTACAGGCACCCGCCACCATGCCCAGCTAATTTTTTCTGTATTTTTAGTAGAGACGGGCTTTCACCATTTTGGCCATGCTGGTCTTGAACTCCTGACCTCAAGCAATTCACCTGCCTCAGCCTCCCAAAGTGCTGGGATTACAGGTGTGAGCCACCATGCCCAGCCAATAGCTGAAACTTTACTTGTACTTTTCAAACATTATAGAATCAAGAAATGATGGGCATAATTGCATTAAAAAATAACAGACATAAGAGAATTTTCACAATATACTTTAAGGGAAAAAAGCAGGGCACAAAATTGAATCTACAGCATAATCTCAACTTGGTAAAAAAGAAAAATTAGATGCAAGTACATAAAGCTGGAATACAATAGTCAGTTAGGATAGTGTTATCTCTGCATGATGGGATCCACAGGTCTATTTTCTTACTTGAACATTTCTGCAATCTCCGAATTGTTTTAATGGGCATATTGTTTTGTGTTTTTGAGAAAGTGTCTCACTCTGTCACCCAGGCTGGAGTGCAGTGACATGCCATAATCATAGCTAACTGCAGCTTCAATCTGGCATATTGTATTTTTATAAAGAAAAAACATGTTTACATTTATTGTCATTGCCAACTGGAGAGCAAGTGGAAGTAAAAAAATCACCTCAAATTATAAATCAATGGAAAACATTAATATACCCAATTTCTAACTTATAAAATGTTTAGCTTTATGTCCATTAAGTTAGGTACAGGTACCTCTCATATAACATTGAAAAAGGCTTTAATAAATATTACTGATAATCAAATCTTAGTATAAGAAATTATGTATTATTACATTTCCAATACCAAAGGTAGGATTCCAGTTTCTGAATGTAGACAAAATATCTCTAAAGATGACAAATACACACAAATGTAGAAAACAGGTCTATGCATATGTGTATATGCACACACATGAGGATATATGAAATTCAGTATTTCTAGTAAACTATACTTTCCATTAATCTATACTTTTTTATTTATAATTTTCCAGACTGTTTAATTTTCTGTATTAAATAC
Organism: Homo sapiens; assembly: GCF_000001405.40. Lineage (NCBI taxonomy): Eukaryota > Metazoa > Chordata > Mammalia > Primates > Hominidae > Homo > Homo sapiens. The sequence goes on along the minus strand of NC_000004.12, from coordinate 71,061,046 downwards.
TGCTCTAGCCCCCATGAAATTGGGAATGCCTCCCCTTGCCTTGATTAGTTTGTTTACAATAAAATAGAAATTGCAGGATACCAAGAGATGGAGATGAGTCAAAGGATTTCATTCACGTTCCTTTTAGTCCGTATTAAATAAAGTGTTACCCAGGTATTACCCAGGTGTTACCTGCACTGCTCCACCAAAGACGGCATTCTTTTTTTTTTTTTTTTTTTGAGACGGAGTCTCGCTCTGTCGCCCAGGCTGGAGTGCAGTGGCGCGATCTCGGCTCACTGCAAGCTCCGCCTCCCGGGTTCACGCCATTCTCCTGCCTCAGCCTCCCGAGTAGCTGGGACTACAGGCGAAAGAGGGCATTCTTTAACTGTCCGAAGAGTCTGAAGTGCTGATGGGATTTTGCCGGCAGCCTGCAACCATGCCCTTGGAGGAAGATCTGAGTAACTGTTTGGGTAAAGGTGAGGTAAAGAGTATTCTGCTTCTCTGATCACTTCTCCAGAGCAGAAATATTGGACTCATGACACTAACCATATTCTTTTACCCAAATAAAAGAAGAGTAATAGGCTTCTAACTTTTACAAGAACAGAAAGAGCAAGGGCAATTTCTAAACAGACTTTCAAGATAATTTATAGGTATTAATAGCTATCTATTTAATTTATCGTAATACTAATACAAAGTTCTCTTTGTCACAACCCATCTTCTAGAAAGGGGTGCAAAGATCTTTACATACCTTGCTTAAAAGCAATAGATAATAACCATAGCCTATTAATCCCATCTATATCCCAAGAGAAAGGTCTCTTGGTGTTGAGTATCAAGCATCAAATTCTCCTGAGAGTTTTCCATAACAAATATTTATTATTTTTATCATCTGAAAACAATAAACACAGGTTTACATTTTAAAATTACCAGACCATTTACATTCACAAAGGAAAAATTATACTTTTATTAAACATTAATGGAGATACTAAAAATATTTATATTGAACACCATTCAAAAAATAAAAGTACAGAAAATAAAACTAAAGTAGAATGCTAAGAATCTGGATAGCAATCTAATTACCTCTATGTAGTTTCAAACTTACTCAAGGGAAAGAGTAATTCCTAGCAACTTAGCTATTTCTTCACCAGTCCCTGATATGCAGTAGGAGCTCAATGAATATTTGCTGAATAAATAAATTTAACGAGCAAACCTCGGGGGAGGAGCCAAGATGGCCGAATAGGAACAGCTCCGGTATACATCTCCCAGCCTGAGCAACACAGAAGACGGGTGATTTCTGCATTTCCATCTGAGGTACCGGGTTCATCTCACTAGGGAGCGCCAGACAGTGGGCACAGGTCAGTGGGTGCGCGCACCATGCGCGAGCCGAAGCAGGGCGAGGCATTGCCTCACTCGGGAAGCGCAAGGGGTCAGGGAGTTCCCTTTACTAATCAAAGAAAGGGGTGACAGACGGCACCTGGAGAATCAGGTCACTCCCACCCGAATACTGCGCTTTTCCGACGGGCTTAAAAAACGGTGCACCACAAGATTATATCCCGCACCTGGCTAGGAGGGTCCTACGCCCATGGAGTCTCGCTGATTGCTAGCACAGCAGTCTGAGATCAAACTGCAAGGCGGCAGCGAGGCTGGGGGAGGGGCGCCCGCCATTGCCCAGGCTTGCTTAGGTAAACAAAGCAGCCTGGAAGCTCCAACTGGGTGGAGCCCACCACAGCTCAAGGACGCCTGCCTGCCTCTGTAGGCTCCACCTCTGGGGGCAGGGCACAGACAAACAAAAAGACAGCAGTAACCTCTGCAGACTTAAATGTCCCTTTCTGACAGCTTTGAAGAGAGCAGTGGTTCTCCCAGCACGCAGCTGGAGATCTGAGAATGGGCAGACTGCCTCCTCAAGTGGGTCCCTGACCCCTGACCCCCGAGCAGCCTAACTGGGAGGCACCCTCCAGCAGGGGCACACTGACACCTCACACGGCAGGGTACTCCAACAGACCTGCAGCTGAGGGTCCTGTCTGTTAGAAGGAAAACTAACAAACAGAAAGGACATCCACACCAAAAACCCATCTGTACATCACCATCATCAAAGACCAAAAGTAGATAAAACCACAAAGATGGGGAAAAAGCAGAACAGAAAAACTGGAAACTCTAAAACGCAGAGCGCCTCTCCTCCTCCAAAGGAACGCAGCTCCTCACCAGCAACGGAACAAAGCTGGACGGAGAATAACTTTGACGAGCTGAGAGAAGAAGGCTTCAGACGATCAAATTACTCTGAGCTACGGGAGGACATTCAAACCAAAGGCAAAGAAGTTGAAAAATTTTGAAAAAAATTTAGAAGAATGTATAACTAGAATAACCAATACAGAGAAGTGATTAAAGGAGCTGATGGAGCTAAAAACCAAGGCTCGAGAACTACGTGAAGAATGCAGAAGCCTCAGGAGCCAATGCAATCAACTGGAAGAAAGGGTATCAGCAATGGAAGATGAATGAAATGAAGCAAGAAGGAAAGTTTAGAGAAAAAAGAATAAAAAGAAACGAGCAAAACCTCCAAGAAATATGGGACTATGTGAAAAGACCAAATCTACGTCTGATTGGTGTACCTGAAAGTGATGGGGAGAATGGAACCAAGTTGGAAAACACCCTGCAGGATATTATCCAGGAGAATTTCCCCAATCTAGCAAGGCAGGCCAACGTTCAGATTCAGGAAATACAGAGAACGCCACAAAGATACTCCTCGAGATGAGCAACTCCAAGACACATAATTGTCAGATTCACCAAAGTTGAAGTGAAGGAAAAAATGTTAAGGGCAGGCAGAGAGAAAGGTCGGGTTACCCTCAAAGGGAAGCCCATCAGACTAACAGCGGATCTCTCGGCAGAAACCCTACAAGCCAGAAGAGAGTGGGGGCCAATATTCAACATTCTTAAAGGAAAGAATTTTCAACCCAGAATTTCATATCCAGCCAAACTAAGCTTCATAAGTGAAGGAGAAATAAAATACTTTACAGACAAGCAAATGCTGAGAGATTTTGTCACCACCAGGCCTGCCCTAAAAGAGCTCCTGAAGGAAGCGCTAAACATGGAAAGGAACAACCGGTACCAGCCGCTGCAAAATCATGCCAAAATGTAACGACCATCGAGACTAGGAAGAAACTGCATCAACTAACGAGCAAAATAACCAGCTAACATCATAATGACAGGATCCAATTCACACGTAACAATATTAACTTTAAATGTAAATGGACTAAATGCTCCAATTAAAAGACACAGACTGGCAAATTGGATAAAGAGTCAAGACCCATCAGTGTGCTGTATTCAGGAAACCCATCTCACGTGCAGAGACACACATAGGCTCAAAATAAAAGGATGGAGGAAGATCTACCAAGCAAATGGAAAACAAAAAAAGGCACGGGTTGCAATCCTAGTCTCTGATAAAACAGACTTTAAACCAACAAAGATCAAAAGAGACAAAGAAGGCCATTACATAATGGTAAAGGGATCAATTCAACAAGAAGAGCTAACTATCCTAAATATATATGCACCCAATACAGGAGCACCCAGATTCATAAAGCAAGTCCTGAGTGACCTACAAAGAGACTTAGACTCCCACACATTAATAATGGGAGACTTTAACACCCCACTGTCAACATTAGACGGATCAACGAGACAGAAAGTCAACAAGGATACCCAGCAATTGAACTCAGCTCTGCACCAAGCAGACCTAATAGACATCTACAGAACTCCCCACCCCAAATCAACAGAATATACATTTTTTTCAGCATCACACCACACCTATTCCAAAATTGATCACATACTTGGAAGTAAAGCTCTCCTCAGCAAATGTAAAAGAACAGAAATTATAACAAACTATCTCTCAGACCACAGTGCAATCAAACTAGAACTCAGGATTAAGAATCTCACTCAAAACCGCTCAACTACATGGAAACTGAACAACCTGCTCCTGAATGACTACTGGGTACATAACGAAATGAAGGCAGAAATAAAGATGTTCTTTGAAACCAACGAGAACAAAGACACAACATACCAGAATCTCTGGGACGCATTCAAAGCAGTGTGTAGAGGGAAATTTATAGCACTAAATGCCCACAAGAGAAAGCAGGAAAGATATAAAATTGACACCCTAACATCACAATTAAAAGAACTAGAAAAGCAAGAGCAAACACATTCAAAAGCTAGCAGAAGGCAAGAAATAACTAAAATCAGAGCAGAACTGAAGGAAATAGAGACACAAAAAACCCTTCAAAAAATTAATGAATCCAGGAGCTGGTTTTTTGAAAGGATCAACAGAATTGATAGAATGCTAGCAAGACTAACAAAGAAGAAAAGAGAGAAGAATCAAATAGATGCAATAAAAAATGATAAAGGGGATATCACCACCGATCCCACAGAAATACAAACTACCATCAGAGAATACTACAAACACCTCTACACAAATAAACTAGAAAATCTAGAAGAAATGGATAAATTCCTTGACACATACACTCTCCCAAGACTAAACCAGGAAGAAGTTGAATCTCTGAATAGACCAATAACAGGATCTGAAATTGTGGCAATAATCAATAGCTTACCAACCAAAAAGAGTCCAGGACCAGATGGATTCACAGCCGAATTCTACCAGAGGTACAAGGAGGAACTGGTACCATTCCTTCTGAAACTATTCCAATCAATAGAAAAAGAGGGAATCCTCCCTAACTCATTTTATGAGGCCAGCATCATTCTGACACCAAAGCCGGGCAGAGACACAACCAAAAAAGAGAATTTTAGACCAATATCCTTGATGAACATTGATGCAAAAATCCTCAATAAAATACTGGCAAACTGAATCCAGCAGCACATCAAAAAGCTTATCTACCATGATCAAGTGGGCTTCATCCCTGGGATGCAAGGCTGGTTCAATATATGCAAATCAATAAATGTAATCCAGCATATAAACAGAGCCAAAGACAAAAACCACATGATTATCTCAATAGATGCAGAAAAGGCCTTTGACAAAATTCAACAACCCTTCATGCTAAAAACTCTCAATAAATTAGTTATTGATGGGACATATTTCAAAATAATAAGAGCTATCTATGACAAACCCACAGCCAATATCATACTGAATGGACAAAAACTGGAAGCATTCCCTTTGAAAACTGGCACAAGACACGGATGCCGTCTCTCACCACTACTATTCAACATAGTGTTGGAAGTTCTGGCCAGGGCAATTAGGCAGAAGGAAATAAAGGGTATTCAATTAGGAAAAGAGGAAGTCAAACTGTCCCTGTTTGCAGATGACATGATTGTATATCTAGAAAACCCCATTGTCTCAGCCCAAAATCTCCTTAAGCTGAAGCAACTTCAGCAAAGTCTCAGGATACAAAATCAATGTGCAAAAATCACAAGCATTCTTATACACCAACAACAGACAAACAGAGAGCCAAATCATGAGTGAACTCCCATTCACAATTGCTTCAAAGAGAATAAAATACCTAGGAATCCAACTTACAAGGGATGTGAAGGACCTCTTCAAGGAGAACTACAAACCGCTGCTCAAGGAAATAAAAGAGGATACAAACAAATGGAAGAACATTCCATGCTCATGGGTAGGAAGAATCAATATCGTGAAAATGGCCATACTGCCCAAGGTAATTTACAGATTCAATGCCATCCCCATCAAGCTACCAATGACTTTCTTTACAGAATTGGAAAAAACTACTTTAAAGTTCATATGGAACCAAAAAAGAGCCCGCATCGCCAAGTCAATCCTAAGCCAAAAGAACAAAGCTGGGGGCATCACACTACCTGACTTCAAACTATTCTACAAGGCTACAGTAACCAAAACAGCATGGTACTGGTACCAAAACAGAGATATAGATCAATGGAACAGAACAGAGCCCTCAGAAATAACGCCGCATATCTACAACTATCTGATCTTTGACAAACCTGAGAAAAACAAGCAATGGGGAAAGGATTCCCTATTTAGTAGATGGTGCTGGGAAAACTGGCTAGCCATATGTAGAAAGCTGAAACTGGATCCCTTCCTTACACCTTATACAAAAATCAATTCAAGATGGATTAAAGACTTAAACGTTAGACCTAAAACCATAAAAACCCTAGAAGAAAACCTAGGCATTACCATTCAGGACATAGGCATGGGCAAGGACTTCATGTCTGAAACACCAAAAGCAATGGCAACAAAAGACAAAATAGACAAATGGGATCTAATTAAACTAAAGAGCTTCTGCACAGCAAAAGAAACTACCATCAGAGTGAACAGGCAACCTACAAAATGGGAGAAAATTTTCACAACCTACTCATCTGACAAAGGGTTAATATCCAGAATCTACAATGAACTCAAACAAATTTACAAGAAAAAAACAAACAACCCCATCAAAAAGTGGGCGAAGGACATGAACAGACACTTCTCAAAAGAAGACATTTATGCAGCCAAAAAACACATGAAAAGATGCTCACCATCACTGGCCATCAGAGAAATGCAAATCAAAACCACAATGAGATACCATCTCACACCAGTTAGAATGGCAATCATTAAAAAGTCAGGAAACAACAGGTGCTGGAGAGGATGTGGAGAAATAGGAACACCTTTACACTGTTGGTGGGACTGTAAACTAGTTCAACCGTTGTGGAAGTCAGTGTGGCGACTCCTCAGTGATCTAGAACTAGAAATAACATTTGACCCAGCCATCCCATTACTGGGTATATACCCAAAGGACTATAAATCATGCTGCTATAAAGACACATGCACACGTATGTTTATTGCGACATTATTCACAATAGCAAAGACTTGGAACCAACCCAAATGTCCAACAATGATAGACTGGATTAAGAAAATGTGGCACATATACACCATGGAATACTATGCAGCCATAAAAAATGATGAGTTCATGTCCTTTGTAGGGACATGGATGAAATTGGAAATCATCATTCTCAGTAAACTATCACAAGAACAAAAAACCAAACACCGCATATTCTCACTCATAGGTGGGAATTGAACAATGAGATCACATGGACACAGGAAGGGGAACATCACACTCTGGGGACTGTTGTGGGGTGGGGGGAGGGGGGAGGGATAGCACTGGGAGATATACCTAATGCTAGATGACGAGTTAGTGGGTGCAGCACACCAGCATGGCACATGTATACATATGTAACTAACCTGCACAATGTGCACATGTACCCTAAAACTTAAAGTATAATAATAAAAAAATAAATAAAAATAAATAAAAAATTAAAAAATAAATAAATAAATTTAACATTAAATGAATTGCCTAATGTTTAATATTTATATCAAAGACATTCTCCCAAGAATCTCAACCACCATTCCAATCCCACTCCCCAGAGGTAACCACAATAAACAGTTTGGTGAATCTCTTTCTGCACATATGCCCTACATACTTTTTATAAAGAAAGAAATGGGGTCATATTATAACTACTTCCACTTAAAAAATACAGTGGATATCTTATAATAGTTCTAGCTTATTCATTCTTTTTAGTAACTGCACAAACACCAATTATCTAGATATTTTCATCAACAAAGACATTGAGTAAAATAATGATACTAATAGTAATGGCTAACATTTATCAAGCACTGCTCCGCTCATCGAAATGGCACCATTTTATAGGTAGGTACTATTGTTTATGACTCTCTTATAGACAAAAAAAAATTGGAATACATTACTTGCCCAAGGTTATAATGACTTGCCCAAGGTTAGACAGTAAGGAGCAGGGCCAGGATTTATAGCCAGCATTCTGGCTTAGGAACCTGTGTTCTTAATTATTACTGCCTCCAAGAAGTTAAAAATTTTGAAGATAAATTCTATCAACAATGACAGTTGCTATATACCACATGTAAACATAATAGGACATAATTTTTTAAACTATACTGGAATCTTCTATGCTTAGTATTGCCTTCAAAGTAACCATACAAAGAAGTTATTTATACTGTGTAAGTACTTAGTTTAGGGTCTGCTGTTAGTCAAAAACATTCGATTTAGTAAAAAACCATGAATTTCCTTCAGACATACTTTATAAATGAACAAGAAAGTAGGTCTGACTGCCTTATTGCTATCTTTTTTTAATAACCTGCTTTTTTCAAGTTTGACTACCCATCTTATTCACTATACTTGTCACTAAATGATTTATGGCCATTTAAAAAACCATATCCAGTAACACACACACGAAAAACCTGAACCACATTTTTAGAATATATGACCCAGACTCCAAACTCAGATCCAAGAGTGTTTTGAATAATGGTAGTCTTTGGAATAAACATACAGTCTCTGAAAGTAACTATTCTAAAGAGGACAATATTCAATTGGCAGTTTAAGGTCGTTTTGCTTAAAGTTATTTGCCATACTCTACAAGCTTATTTCATTTATGCTATGGTTTTTTAATGTTTTTGTTCCTTTCAAAACTCATGTTGAAACTTAATCCCCAATGCAACAGTGTTGGGAGGTGGGCCCACCAGGAGGTGTTTAGGTAATAAGGGCGGAGCCTCATGGGTTAGAGCCTTACTAAAAAGGGCTGGAGGGAGTGGGTTTGCTCTCTTCCGCTCTTCTGCCAGGTGAGGAAGTTTCTCCCTTCTAGAGGACATGGAGTTCAAGGCACCATCTTGGAAGTCCTTGACACCAAACCTGCAAATGCCTTTATCTTAGCCTTCCCAGCTTCTAAAACAGGGAGGAAATAAATTTCTGTTCTTTATAAATTACCTGCTTCTGTGGTATTCTGGTTAAGCAGCACAAAATGGACTAAGTCAATATACCAATCTAGCAACGAGTTCATGTCAACCAACAGCAAAATAACACGCCATATTGACAATTCGGTTCCCAAGCCAATACTCGCTTTGATAGTATTGTATAACATATCAAAATAGTGTTGGTGAGCCAAGCAGAGTGTAAATTGTTTTATAACTTTAGCCAATTTCCATATTTACTCTTTCAACACAAAGCGATTCCGCTGTCACTGACAGTAACGGCAGTGACAAAATTGCAACTTTAAGAGGTGCTTTACCTTTGGCTAAATCTTAATAAACAGAGAATAACAGTAAAAACAATAAAAAATAATGTGCGCACATGCACACTCACAAATATATTCAATATTACAAAAAGGCAGCATTACTACCAACATTTTGAAGTGACACCAAAGAACATTAAAAGGTTTCAGAATATAGGTCTGACACAGTGGCTCACACATGTAATTCCAGCACTTTGGGAGGCCAAAGCCAGCAGATTATGTGAGCCCAGGAGTTCAAGTCCAGCCTGGGCAACATAGTGAAACCCTATCTCTACAGAAAAAAAAAAAAATAGCTGGGTGTGGTGGCATGCACCTGTAGTCCCAGTTACTCAAGAGGCTGAGGCGGGAGGATTGACTGAGCCTGAGGGTTGAGGCTGCAGTGAGCCATGATTGCACCACTGCACTCTAGGTTGGGCAACAGAACAAGATGGTGTCTGAAAAAAAGAAAATCTCAGAACGATAGGTTTCACCTACCTCTGTTACTGAATCACTTTCTATATCATCTGTCCAAGTTCCGGGTAGTTCCATAGAATAGTAAAAATAGCTATAAGCTTCTCTGTGTACATTATTACTAAGTAAATGGTAAACAGTCTTGGAAGACAGCCATTAATATTTGGTCTGAGTGAAAATTAAAACATTAAATTTCCTGGAAACCTGTTAAGCATAATTACCTAACCTAGTACTATCCCTTAAATACCCAACAATTGATATTCTTCAATCTAATACCAAAAGAAGCAGCTGGGAGTTGTATAGCAGATTTTCTTATATTAAAGTAATTCTAAAAGTTCTGCAGTTTTCATTGCCTGTATTTAATCCAACAGCTCATTTTATTTGTCCCCCTGAATCTGTACGCATAAAATCTCACTCAATGAAATATTTATTAATCAATAATACTGTTAGTCTGGTAGTGCAAGAAACCTCTCATCAGCTACTATTTTTTTCCAACCACTCACCATCAAAATAATGATGCTTAGATTATAGCCAGAGCACAATAAAGAATCAAGTGTATAATGACCTCATGTGGCAAGTGGCTATAATTACTGATTTTTTTCCCCACTAAATTAATATTTTATTTATTTTTTATTATTTTATATATTTAGGGGGCTACAAAGTGATGTTATATGTATCAAATGTGAAATGATCAAATTAATTAACATATTAATCTAATTAACATATCCATCACACATTTTTTGTGATGAGAACATTTGAAATTTACTCAGTAATTTTGAAATATACATTATTATTAACTATAGTCACCATGCTATGCAATATATCTCAAAGAACTTATTCCTGTTGTCTCACTGAAACTTTGTACTCTTTGACCAACATCTTCTCATCCCCCACCTCCTCAGCCTCTGGTAATCACCATTCTACCCTCTGCTTCTATGAGTTTGATTGTTTTAGATGCCACATATAAGTGAGATTATGTGGTCTTTGTCCTTCTGTGCCTAAGTTATTCCAGATCCAAACATATTGTCGCAAATGACAGAATTTCCTCCTTTTTATTTTTATTATTTTTTATTTTTATTTATTTTTTGAGATGGAGTCTTACACTGTTGCCCAGACTGGAGTGCAGTGGCGTGATCTCAGCTCACTGCAACCTCTGCCTCCTGGATTCAAGTGATTCTCGTGCCTCAGCCTCCTGAGTAGCTGGGATCACAGGCATGTACCGCCATGCCCGGCTAATTGTTATCTTTTTAGTAGAGATGGGGTTTCTCCATGTTGGTCAGGCTGGTCTCGAACTCCTGACCTCAGGTGATCCACCTGCCTCGGCCTCCCAAAGTGCTGGGATTACAGGCATGAGCCACCCAGCCCAGCCAGAATTTCCTTCTTTTTAAAGGCTACATAGTATTCAATTGTGTGTATATGCCACGTTTTCTTTACTCAATATTACTTCTTGGCCTTTTGGCTAAGATCAAGTGTGAATACTGCTGCAATGAACATGGGAGTGCAGATATCTCTTCAATATACTGACTTCAAATCCTTTCGATATATACCCAGAAGTGGGATTGCTGGAACATGTAGTAATTCTTAATTTTTTTATAAAGAAAAAAATTATATTTTATTATATATTTACATATTTTATTTTATTTAAGTTCTTTTTTCTTCAACTTTTATTTTAAGTTCTGGGGTACATGTGCAGGATGTGCAGGTTTGTTACGTGGGTAAATGAGTGCCATAGTGGTTTGCTGCACAGATCATCCCATCACCTAGGTATTAAGCCCAGTATCCATTAGCTATTCTTCCTTATGCTCTCCCTTCCGCCACACTCTCTGACAGGCTCCAGTGTGTGTTGTTGTACCCCATGTGTCCATATATTCTCATCATTCAGCTCCCACCTATAAGTGAGAACATGCAGTGTTTGGTTTTCTGTTCCTGCATTAGTTTGCTAAGGATAATGGCTTCCAATTCCGTCCATCCAATTCCATCCCTGTCCCTGCAAAGGGCATTATCCTTTTTATGGCTGCATAGTATTCCACGGTGTACATGTACCATATTTCTTTAACCAGTCTATCATTGATGGGTATTTAGGTTGATTCCATGTCTTTACTATTGTGAATAGCGCTGCGATGAACATATGTGTGCATGTATCTTTATATCAGAATGATTTATAGTCCCTTGGGTATATACCCAGTAATGGGATTGCTGGGTCAAATGGTATTTCTGCTTCAAGGTCTATGAGGAATCACCACACTGTCTTCCACAATGGTTGAACTAATTTACATTCCCACCAACAGTGTAAAAGTGTTCATTTTTCTCTGCAACCTCACCAGCATCTGTTATTTTTTTACTTTTTAATAATAGCCATTCTGACTGACGTGAGATGGTATCTCATTGTTGTTTTGATTTGCATTTCTCTAATGATCAATGATGTTGAGCTTTTTTTCATGTTTGGATTGTTGGCTTCATGTATGTCTTCTTTTGATACGTGTCTGTTCATGTCCTTTGCCCACTTTTTAATGAGGTTTTTTCATATAAATTTCTTTATGTTCCTTGTAGACTGGATATTAGACCTTTGTCAGATGGATTGCAAAAATTTTCTCCCATTCTGTAGGTTAACTGTTCACTCTGATAATAGTTTCTTTTGCTGTGCAGAAGCTCTTTAGTTTAACCAGACCCCATTTGTCAATTTTTGCTTTTGTTGCAATTGCTTTTGGTATTTTCTGCATAAAATTTTTGCCCGTGCCTATGTCCTGAATGGTATTGCCTAGATTTTCTACTAGCGTTTTTGTAGTTTGAGGTTTTAATCCATCTTGAAGTTTTCTTTTATTGTTGCATCTCTCCCAGGTTTTGGTATCAGGATGATGCTGGCCTCATAGAATGAGTTAGGGAGGGCTACCTCTTTTTCAATTTTTTGGAATAGTACCATTAGAAATGGTACCAGCTCTTCTCTGTACCTCTGGTAGAATTCAGCTGTGAATCTGTCTGGTCCTGGTCTTCTTTTGGTGGGTAGGCTATTTATCATTACCTCAATTTCAGAACTTGTTATTGTTATATTGAGGGATTCACTTCCTTTCTGGTTCAGTCTTGGGAGGGTGTATGTGTCCAGGGATTTATCCATTTCTTCTAGATTTTCTAGTTTATGTGCACAGAGATGTTTATACTATTCTCTAATGGTTGGCTGTATTTCTGTGGAGTAAGTGGTGATATCCCCCTTATCATTTCTAATTGTGTTTATTTGATTCTTCTCTCTTTTCTTCTTTATTAGACTAGCTAGCAGTCTATTTTATTAATTTTTTCAAAAAAACACCTCCCGGATTTGTTGATATTTTTGAAGGGTTTTTCATGTCTCTATCTCCTTCAGTTCAGCTCTGATCTTGGTTATTTCTTGTCTTCTGCTAGCTTTGGAGTTTGTTTGCTCTTGGTTCTCTAGTTCTTTTAGTTGAGATGTTACGATGGTAACAAGATCTTTCTAGCTTTTGCATGTGGGCATTTCATGCTATAAATTTCGCTCTTAACACTGCTTTAGTCGCACCCCAGAAATTCTGGTACATTGTCTCTTTGATCTCATTAGTTTCAAATAACTTCTTGATTTCTGCCTTAATTTCATTATTTACCCAAGAGTCATTCAGGAGCAGGTTGTTCAACTTCCATGTAGTTGTGTGGTTTTGAGTGAGTTTCTTGAGTTCTAATTTAATTGTGCTGTGGTCTGGGAGACTGTTATGATTTCAGTTCTTTTGCATTTGCTAAGGAGTGTTTTACTTCTGACTGTGTGATCAATTTTAGAGTAAGTGCCATGTAGTGATAAGGATGTATATTCTGTTGAATTTAGGTGGAGAGTTATGTAGATATCTATCAGGTCCACTTGATCCAGGTCTGAGTTCAGGTTCTGAATATCTTTGTTAATTTTCTTTCTCAATGATCTTTCTAATATTGTCAGTGGGGTGTTAAAAGTGTTGTGTGAGACAATTGTGTGACAGTCTGTCTCTTTGTAGGTCTCTGAGAACTTGCTTTACGAATTTGGGTGCTCCTGTATTGGGTGCATATATATTTAGTATAGTTAGCTCTTCTTGCTGAATTGAACCTTTTACCTTTATGTACTGCCCTTGTCTTTTTTGATCTTTGTTGGTTTAAAGTCTGTTTTGTCAGAAACTAGAATTGCAACCTCTGCTTTTTTCTGTTTTCTGTTTGCTTGGTAAATTTTCCTCTATCCCTTTATTTTGGGCATACATGTGTCTTTGCACAAGAGATGGATATCGAAGACAGCACACTGGTAGGTTTTGGTTCTTTACCCCGCTTGCCATTCTGTGTCTTTTAATTGGGGCATTTAGCCCACTTACATTTAAGGTTAGTGTTGTTATGTATGAATTTGATCCTGTTATCATGATGCTAGTTGGTTATTTTGCAGACTTGTGTATGTGGTTGCTTCATAGTGTCACTGGTCTGTGTACTTCAGTGTGTTTTTGTAGTGGCTGGTAATGGTTTTTCCTTTCCATATTTAGTGCTTCCTTCAGGAGCTCTTGCTAGGCAGGCCTGGTGGTGACAAATTCCCTCAGCATTTGCTTGTATGAAAAGGATCTTATTTCTCCTTCACTTATGAAGCTTAGTTTGGCCAGATATGAAATTATGGATTGGAAATGCTTTTCTTCAATAATGTTGAGTATTGGCACCCAATCTCTTCCAGCTTGTAGGGTTTCTGCTGAGAGGTATGCTGTTAGTCTGATGGATTTCCCTTTGTAGGTGACCTGGCCTTTCTCTATGACTGCCCTTAACATTTTTTCTTTCCTTTTGACACTGGAGAATCTGATGATTATGTGTCTTAGGGTTGATCTGCTCATGGAGTATCTCACTGGAGTTTTCTGCATTTCCTGAATTTGAATGTTGGCTTGTCTTGCTAGGTTGGGGAAGTTCTCCTATATGATATCCTGAAGTATGTTTTACAACTTGGTTCCATTCTCCCCATCTCTTTCAAGTACCCCGGTTAGTTGTAGGCTTGGTATCTTTACATAATGCTATATTTCTTGGGGGTTTTGTTCATTCCTTTTCATTCTTTTTTCTCTATTCTTCTCTGTCTTATTTCAGAAAGAGTCTTCAAGCTCTAAGATTCTTTCCTCCACTTGGTCTATTCTGCTATTGATACTTGTGATTGCATTGTGAAGGTCTTGTGTTGTGTTTTTCGACTCCATTGGGTTGGCTATGTTCCTCTCTAAACTGGCTATTCTGGCTATCAACTCCTGTATTGTTTTATCATGATTCCTAGCTTCTTTGCTTTGGGTTACAGCATGCTCCTTTAGCCCAGTGAAATTCATGATTACACACCTCTGAAGCCTACTTCTGTCAATTCAACCATCTCAGTCTCAGCCTAGTTCTGTGCCCTTGCTGGAGAGGTGTTGTGGTCATTTGGAGAAGAAAAGGCACTCTGGCCTTTTGAGTTTTCAGCATGTTTGCATTGATTCTTTCTCATCTTTGTGGGCTTATCTACCTTCAATCTTTGAGGTTTCTGACATGGTGAATGAGGTTTTTGTGGGGTCTTTGTCATTGTTGTTGTTTTGTGTCTGTTTGTTTGTTTTAACAGTCAGCCCACTCTACCATAGGGCTGCTGTGGTTTGCTGGGGGTCCGCTCCATACCCCAGTTGCCTCATTCTCCCGTACCTGGAGGTATCACCAGCAAAGGCCATGAAACAGCAAAGATGACAGCCAGATCCTTTCTCTGGAAGCTCTATCCCAGGGGGTACTGACCTGTTGCCAGCCTGCACGCACCTATAGGAGATGTCTGGAAACCCCCATTGGGAGGTCTCACCCAGTCAGAAGGAATGGGATCAGGGACCTGCCCAAAGAAGCAGTCTGGCTGTTTTTTGGTAGAGCAGTTGTGCTGCATTAAGGGGCACACTTCCTCATCCAAACTGCCTGCAATCTCCAAAGCTGACAGGCTGGAGTGGCTGAGTCCACCAAACCGCAGAGATGACATCCACCCCTCCTCACAGGAGCTCCATCCCAGGGAGAGATCAGAGCTCTGTCCATAGAACCCTAGCTGGAGTCGTTGAAGCTCCTGCAGGGAGATCCTGCTCAGTGAGGAGAAATGGATCCAGGTGCTGCTTAAAGCAGTCTGGCCACAATCTGGCAAGGCAGCTGTGCTGCACTATGGGGGACCCTTCCTCCCAGACTGTCTGTATTCTCCACAGTCAGCAGGCTAGAGAAGCTAAGTTGATGGAACCGCAGAGATGGCAGCCACCCATTCCCCTGGGAACTTGGACCCATCTCAGGTGGATTTCAACCCGCTGCCATTGGCTGGCTGGGATTCCAAGCCAGTGAGTCTTAATTTGTGAGGTGCTGTGGAAGTGGGGCCCATAGAACGACATTGCTTGGCTCCCTGGATTCAGTCTCCCCTTCCCAGGGATATGTACGGATGAATTTCCTGCCTTGCTGGAGATCCCAGGGCCGGAATATGTAAAACTCCTGGGTCTCTATATGTAAGCAGGTGCTCTGCCAAGACTTCACACAGCTCTGTGTATCAGACCCAAGGCCCTGGTGGCGTGGGCTCATGAGGGGATCTCCTTATCCACAGTGATATTATTTGCTTCTGTGTCCCTGCCCAAATCTCATCTTGAATTATAATCCCCCCATATCGAGGAAGGGACCTGTAATCCCCACATGTTGAAGGAAAGTGGTTGGATCATGAGGGTGGTAGAATCACAAGATCGTGCTGTTCTTGTGACAGTGAGTGAATTCTCATGAACTCTAATGGTTTTGAAAGTGGTAGTTTTTACCTGTGCTCTCACTTCTCCCTCCTGTCACCTGTGGAAAAGGTGCCTGTTTCCCTTTCCACCATGGTGGTAAGCTGTCTGAGGGCTCCCTAGCCAGGAGGAACTGTGAGTCAATTAAATCTCCTTCCTTTATAAATTCCCCAGTCTCGGGGGTATTTCTTTCTTCTTTTTTTTTTTCTTTTTGAGACAGAGTCTCACTCTGTTGCCAGGCTGGAGTAGTGGCCTCATCTTGGCTTACTGCAACCTCCCCTTCCCGGGTTCAAGCGATTCTCCTGCCTCAGCCTCCCAAGTAGCTGGGACTACAGGCGTGTGGCACCACACCCAGCTAATTTTTGTATTTTTAGTAGAGACGGGGTTTCACCATGTTAGCTAGGATGGTCTCGATCTCTTGACCTCGTGATCTGCCCGCCTTGGCCTCCCAAAGTGCTGGGATTACAGGTGTGAGCCGCCAACGGACTAATGCATGCAGGCTGCAAAGATTCGTGGGAGAAGTGTGGTTTCCTAAGAGTAGTCGCACAATAACTCACTGCTTCCCTTGGCTGGGGGTGGGGATTCCTTTGGCTTTGTGCCACTCCCAGGTGGGCCATCACCTTCCCCACCCCCCACTTTTCTTCCTTCTCTGTATTGGGTTGTCTAGCAGTCCCAATGCAAGAACCTGAATATTTCAGTTGAAGGTGCTGAATTCACTCACCCTTCTTCATTCCTCTCCATGAGTGCTGCAGACCACAGCTGCTTCTAATTGGCCATCTTAGATCAATCCCCATCATGTAGTAATTCTATTTTTAGTATTCTGAGGAAACCCCATAATTTTACATAATGGCTGTATTAATTTACATTCCCATCAACCGTTTACAAAGGTTCTCCCTTCTCCACATCTTCACCAGCACATGTAGTCTTTCATCTTTTTGATAACAGCCATTCTGACAGGTGTGAGATGATATGTCAGTGTGGTTATAATTTCCATTTCCCTAATGATAAGTGATGCTGAACAATTTTTCATATATATCTGTTGGCCATTTGTGTGCCTTCTTTGGAGAAATGTCTGCTCAGGTCCTTTGACCATGTTTTAATCAGATTGTTTTCTTTTTATTGTTTGAGTTTCTCATGTATTTTGGATATTAACCGCTCCCTCATTAGATGTATTAGTATAAACTGCAACTATTTTCTCCCAATATGTAGGTTGTCTCTTCATTCAGTTGTTTCCTTTGCTGTGCTGAAGCTTTTTAGTTTGATGTAATCACATGAGTCTATCTTTGCTCTTGCTGTCTGAGCTTTTGGGGTCAAATCCAAAAAATCATTGCTCAGAACAATGTCATGGAGATTTCCCTATGTTTTCTTCTTGGAGTTTTATAGTTTCAGGCCTTAAGTTTAAGTCTTTAATCCATTTTGGGTTGATTTTTGTATATAGTATAAGATGAGTCCAATTTCATTCTCCTGCATGTGGAAATCCATTTTTCCCAACACCTTTATTTAAAAGACTACTCTTTTCACATTGTGTTTCTTGGCACCTTTTTTTTTTTTTTGAGACTGAGTCTTGTTCTTTTGGCCAGGCTGGAGTGCAGTGGTGTGATCTTGGCTCACTGCAGCCTCCACCTCCTGGATTCAAGCAATTCTCCTGCCTCAGCCTCCTGAGTATCTGGGACTACAGGCATGTGCCACTACAATCAGCTAACTTTTGTATTTTTAGTAAAGACAGGGTTTCACCATGTTGCCCAGGCTGATCTTGAGCCGCTGATCTCAAGTGATCTGCCCGCCTCAGGCTCCCAATGTGCTGGGATTCCAGGTGCGAGCCACTGCACCTGGCCTTCGCACCATTTTTTAATAACAAATATGGTTATATATTAATCCAAATATACTTAAAAATCACCTTAAACATCAATGGTCTAAACACACCAATTAAAAGACAGGGGTTGTCAGAGTGGATAAAAACAAGACCCAACTATATGTTGTGTCCAGTATTATCATTGGAGATTTTAATACCCCTCCATCAGTATTAGACAGACAGATCCAGCAAGCAAAAAATTCAGTAAGGAGGCCGGGCGCGGTGGCTCACGCCTGTAATCCCAGCACTTTGGGAGGCCGAGGTGGGCGGATCACGAGGTCAGGAGATCGAGACCATCCCGGCTAAAAAACGGTGAAACCCCGTCTCTACTAAAAATACAAAAAATTAGCCGGGCGTAGTGGCGCGCGCCTGTAGTCCCAGCTACTTGGGAGGCTGAGGCAGGAGAATGGCGTGAACCCGGGAGGCGGAGCTTGCAGTGAGCCGAGATCCCGCCACTGCACTCCAGCCTGGGCGACAGAGCGAGACTCCGTCTCAAAAAAAAAAAAAAAAAATTCAGTAAGGACAGAGTTGAATTCGACAACACCATCAATCAACTGGATATAATTAACACCTATAGATTACTTCATCCAACAGCAGCACAGTACACATTCTTCTCAAGCTCATATAAAACATTCCCCAGGATAGACTACATTCTGCACCATAAAGCACACCTTAACGCATTGAAAAGAATAGAAATCATACAATATTTGCTCTCAGACAAGGAAATTAAACTAGAAATCAACTACAGAAAGATGGCTGGAAAGTCCCAATTACTTGAAAATTAACACATTTCTAGATAACACAGGGGTTAAAAAACTCTCAAGACGCTGGGCGCAGTGGCTCATGCCTGTAATCCTAGCACTTTGGGAGGCCAAGGTGGGTGGATTGCTTGAAGTCAGGAGTTCAAAACCAGCCTGACCAACATGATGAAACCCCGTCTCTACTAAAAATACAAAAAATTAGTGGGTATGGTGGTGCACACCTGTAATCCCAGCTACTCGGGAGGCCAAGTCAGGAGAATCAGTTGAACCCGGGAGGCAGAGTTTGCAGTGAGCCAAGATCATGCCACTGCACTCCAGCCTGGGCGACAGAGTGAGACTGTCTCAAAACAAACAAACAAACAAACCTCTCAAGAGACATTTTAAAATATTTTGAAGTAAATAAAAATAAATTTTAAAATAAGATGTAGTGAAAGCAGTACTCAGACTGCAATTTATAGCATTGAATGTGTATATTAGAAAATAAGATCTAAAATCAATAATCTTTGTTTTTACCACAGGAAATAAGAACAGAACAAATTAAATCCAAAATAAACATAAGAAAAGGAATAATCAAAATTAGAGCACAAATCAGAAATAGAAAATAGGAAATCAATAAAGAAAAATCAGTCACACAAAAAGGTAGGTCTTTGAAAAGATCAATAACAATTGCTAAGCCTTAGCCAGACTAACAAAAACAGAAGACACAAATTACTAACATCAAAAATGAAAAGGGGCCAGGCGTGGTGGCTCACATCTGTAATCCCAGCACTTCGGGAGGCCAAGGCAGGTGGATCACTTGAGGTCAGCAGTTCAAAACTAGCCTGGCCAACATGGCAAAACCCTACATCTACTAAAAATACAAAAATTAGCCAGGCATGGTGGCAGGCACCTGTAATCGTAGCTCCTCAGGAGGCTGAGACAGGAGAATCATTTGAACCCAGGAGGCAGAGGTTGCAGTGAGCCGAGATCACACCACTGTGCTCCAGCCTGGGTGACAGAGCAAGACTCCATCTCAAAAAAAAAAAAAAAAAAGCAAGAAGGGACACAACTACAGCTCCCATAGACATTAAAAAGTTAATAAAGGAATATTATAAACAACTCTAGGCCCACAAATTTAATAAACAAAGTGAAAGAATCAACTCCTTAAAAAGCACAATCTGCCAAAACTCACAGAAGAAATAGGCAATCTGAATGTCTGTATCTTTTAAAGAAATTGGATCAATAATTAATAACCTTCCAAAACAGAAGTCAATAGGCCCATATTGTTGTGTTGGTTAATTCTGCTAAATATTTAAGGAAGAAACTACACCAATTCCTACAAGCAGAATATTTCCTGACCCATTCTATGCAGCCAGCATTATCCCAATACCAAAACCAAAGACATTACAAGAAAACTACAGACCAACAGCTTTTATGAACATAAATGCAAAAATCCTCAGTAATATATTAGCAAATTGAATCCAACAATATATGGAAAGAATTATACAGTATTATCAAGTGGAATTTATCCTAGGTATGCACATTAGTTTGTTCTCTTGCTGCTATAAAGAACTGCCACAGGCTGGGCATGGTGGCACACACCTGTAATCTCAGCACTTTGGGACGCCAAGGTGGGTGGATCACCTGAGGTCAGGAGTTTGAGACCAGCCTGACTAACATTGTGAAAACCCAGCTCTACTAAATACAAAAAATTAGCCAGCTGTGGTGGCGCATGCCTGTAATCCTAGCTACTTGGGAGGCTGAGGCAGGAGAATTGCTTGAACACGGGAGGCAGAGGTTGCAGTGAGCTGAGATCGCATCATTGCACTCCAGCCTGGGCAACAAGAGCAAAACTCCATCTTAAAAAAAAAAAAAAAAAAAAAAAAAGAACTGCCAGAAAATGGGTAATTTATAACAGAAAGAGGTTTAATTGACTTATAGTTCAGCACGACTAGTGAGGCCTCAGGAAACTTATAATCACTGCAGAAGGGGAAGCAAACATGTTCTTCTTCACATGGTGGCAGGGAGAAGAAAAATGAGTGCCCAGTGAAGGGGAAGCCCCTTATAAAACCATCAGATCTCACAAGGACTAACTCATTATCATGAGGACAGGATGGGGAAAACTGCCCCCATGATTCAATTGTCTCCACCCGGCCCCTCCCACAACACGTGGGGATTATAGAAACTACAATTCAAGATGAGATTTGGGTGGAAACACAGCCAAATCATATCAGTATGCAAGCCTGGCTTAACATTCAAAAATCAATTAATGTAATCCATCACAATAGCAGGCTAAAGAAAAAAATCAAAATCACATTGATACTGAAAAAGCATTAACAAAATCAAAAAATCATTCATGATAAAAACTCAGCAAACTAGGAATAGAGGGGCAATTTCCCCACCTTGAAAAGAATATCTACTAAAAGCCTACAGCTAACATTATATTAATGGTGAAGAACCCGAAATTCTACCACTAAGATTAGAAAGAAGGCAAGGATGTCTACTCTCACCACTGCTCTTCAGAATCATACTGGAAGTTCTAGCTAATGTAATAAGACAAGAAAAGGAAATAAAAGGTATACAGATTGGACAGGAAGAAATATATACAATTCTCTCCCTTCATAGATGACAGTCTATGTAGAAAATCTGAAATAATCACAAAAAAACTCCTGAAACTAATAAGTGATAATAGCGAAGTGGCAGGATACAAAGTTAATTTCCAACATCAATTGCTTTCCTATAAACCAGCAATAAAGAGGTAGATTTTGAAATAAAAACATTACCATTTACATTACCACTCCTAAAAATGAAATACTTAGCTTTAACTCTTACAACACATTTACAAGATCTATATGAAGTAAACTATGAAACTTTGATGAAAGATGACAACTAAATGGAGAGATGTTTTGTGTTTATAAATAGGAAGAATCAACATTGTCAAGATGTTCAGTTCTCCATAACTTGATCTACAAATTCAACACAATCTCAACCAATCCCATGAAGTTATTTTGTAGATATTGACAAACTGATTCTGAAGTTTATATGGAAAGGGCCAGGCGTGGTGGCTCATGCCTGTAATCCCAACACTTTGGGAGGCCAAGGTGGGAAGATTGCTTGCACACAGGAGTTTGAGACCAGCCTGGGTAACATCACGAGATCCCGTCTCTACAAAAAAAAATTGAAATTATCTGGGCATAGTGGCATGTGCCTATAGACCCAGCTACTCGAGAGGCTGGGGTGGGTGGATCGCTTGAACCCATGAATTCAAGGCTTCAGTGAGCTGTGATGGCACCACTGCACTCCAGCCTGGGAGACAGGGTGAGAACCCATTTCAAAAAAATAATAAAAAATAAAAATTAGGTTTATATGGAAAGGCAGAGGACTCAGAATGGCCAACTCAATGTTAAAGAAGAACAAAGTTGTAGGACTGACTCTATCTGACTTCAAGATTTATTATAAAGCAACGGTAATGAAGACAGTGTGGTATTGGCAAAAGAACTGGTAAACAGGCCAATGGAACAGAGTAGAAAGCTCAGAAATAGACCTACAT
The DNA here is from genome assembly GCF_000001405.40 of Homo sapiens. NCBI lineage: Eukaryota > Metazoa > Chordata > Mammalia > Primates > Hominidae > Homo > Homo sapiens. The sequence goes on along the minus strand of NC_000004.12, from coordinate 71,038,714 downwards.
AAATATAGTCAACTGATCTTCAACAAAGGAGCAAAAGTAATACAGTGGAGAAAAGACAATCTTTTCAACAAAGATTGTTGAATGGTCAACCATCTTTGTAGACATCCACATGCAAAGACATAAACCAAGACACAGACCTTACACCTTTCATAAAAAATTAACTCAAAATAAATAATAGACCTAAATTTAAAATGCAAAACTATAAAATTCCTAGAAGATAACTAGATGACCTTTGGCAAAACAATGACTTTTTAGCTACAACATCAAAGGCACTATCCATGAAAGAAATAACTGATAAAACTGGACTTCATTAAAATAAAACACTTGTGCTCTATGAAAGACAATGCCAATGGAGTAAGACAAGTCACAGACTGGGAAAAAAATACTTCCAAGAGACATGAAAAAGGACTGTCATCCAAAACATACAAAGAACTCATAACTCAACAATAAGAAAATGAGCCCCAAAACACAAACAGAACCTCACCAAAGAAGATACACAGATGGTAAGTAAGTATGTGAAAAGATGTTCAACATCATGTCATTAGGGAATCAAAATTAAAACAAGATACCACTACAGATCTACAAGAGTGACCAAACTCCAAAACAATAACAACACCAAATGCTGAAGTGGGTGTGAAACAATGGGTACTCTTTCATTGCTGGTGGGAATACAAAATGGCACATATCCACTTTCAAATACCATTTGACCATTTCTTATAAAATTGAATATATTCTTACCATGCAATCCTGCAACTGCTCTCCTTGATATTTACCCAAAGAAGCTGAAAACTTAGTCCATATAAAAACCTGCACATGGATGTTTATAGGAGCTTTATTCATAATTGCCAAAACCTCAGAACAATCAAAACATCCTGCAGTAGGTTAGTGGGTAAACTGTTTTACATCAGGTGATGGAATATTATTCAGCACTAAAAATAAATGAGTGATAAAGCCATGAAAAGACATGGAGGAAACTTAAAAATACATATTACTAAGTGAAAAGTGAATGAAGCCAATATGAAAAGGCTACATACTATATGATTCCAAGTATATGACATTCTAGAAAATGCAAAACTATGAATATAGTAAAATGATTACTTGGCAGGGATGATAGGGATGAACAGGCAGAAACGGGGATTTTTAGGGCAGTAAAAACAATGGCAGATAAATATACGTTTGTCTAAACACACTGAATGTATAACACCAAGAATGAACCCTAATGTAAACCATGGGCTTTGGGTAATATGTTGATGTAGGTTCATTAATTGCAACAAATGTACCAAGTATGGAGGTAAATGCTGATAGTAGGGATGGCTCTGGAGGGCAAAGGAGGAACAGTGAGTATATGAGATGCTTTACTTTCTGCTCAATTTTGCTAGGAACCTAAAACTGCTCTTAAGAAATAAAGATTTTTTTTTAATGTTTTATTTTGTGTATGTGTGTGTGAGCAACAAGGCTGTTTATTTCACCTGGGTGCAGGCGGGCTGAGTCCGAAAAGAGAGTCAGCAAAGGGTGGTGGGATTATCACTAGTTCTTATAGGTTTGGGATAGGCGTACAAAGTACCTTCTTAAGGGCAGGCTGGGGGGGTAGAATATTACAAAGTACCTTCTTAAGGGCAGGGGGGTGGGGGGGAGAATATTACAAAGTACCTTCTTAAGGGCAGGGGGGTGGGGGGGAGAATATTACAAAGTACCTTCTTGAGGGCAGGGGAGAATATATTATATCAGGGTGTGGCAGGAACAAATCACAATTGTGGAATGTCATCAGTTAAGGCTATTTTCACTTCTTTTGTGGATCTTCAGTTGCTTCAGGCCAACTGGATGTATACATGTAGATCACAGGTGATATGATGGCTTAGCTTGGGCTCAGAGGCCTGACATTCCTGTCTTCATATATTAATAAGAAAAACAAAACAAAATAGTGGTGAACTGTTGGGGCAGTGAAAATTTTCACGGGTGGTATGGAGAGATAATGGGCGATGTTTCTCAGGGCTGCTTCTAGCGGGATCAGGGGCAGTGTGGGAACCTAGAGTGGGAAAGATTAAACTGAAGAAAGATTTTTGGGTAAGGGGTGATGTTGTGGGGTTGTTAGAAGGAGCATTTGTCGTATAGAATGATTAGTGATGGCCTAGATGCGGTTTTGTATGAATTGCGAAAGTAAAAGGAAGACACATGGTCCAAATGAGAGAAGGAGAAAAACAGGTATTAAAGGACTAAGAATTGGGAGGACCCAGGACATCCAATTAGAGAGCGCCCAAAGGGGTTCAGCATAATTATTTGCTTGGTTGGCGAGTTTTTGGGCTCTATCCTTGAGTTTTTTTATGTTGTCATATACCAGGCCAGACTGATTTAGGTAAAAACAACACTCTTCATTTAAAAATATACAGAGTCCTCCTTTTTCAGCAGTGAATAAATTGAGGCCTCGGCGATTTTGGAGGAAAGAGGAATGCAAAGCCTGCTGGCTTTGTTTGTTAAAGAAGGATTAGAAATGGCTAGGAGACAGTGAGTGAGATTGATACTGTGGTGGAGATAGCTGGGGAGAGGTAGAGGGTGGCATAAGAATGGGAACGAGAATAAGAGTATAAAAGTAAAGAACAGGACTTGATCAGGATGAAAGTGTTGGGGTGTGTCCTGTCAGCAAAGATCATCTATCCACTCCAAGAGGGAGTCAAGAGTGGAGGATTGGGGATAGACATTCACAATGGAAAGGAAATGAGAGGTTTTAAGAGGCGGGATAATGGCTTGTAACCTACATAGAAGAGGTTATGAAATGATGACAGAATAGAATGGGCCTGTGAGGCTGGAAGGAGATATTTTCCTTTGTCCAAGAACCATTTGCCTTGTGTGGGAACAGATTGATAGGTGGAAACTTCAGTAGGAGAGTAAATAGGAGTGACTAATGAAAAGGAGAAAAACTGGCCATGAGGGACAGAAGTTGGAATGCTAGCTGCTTCTTTAGCTACCTTACCAGCATAAGCGTTGCCCTGAGTGATGGGATCTGATGCCTTTTGATGGCCCTTGCAGTGAATGACCCCAGCTTCCTTTGGAAGTAAAGTGCCTTTAAGAAGAGTTTTTATTAAAGAGGCATTAATGATGGAGGACACTTGCATAGTGAGGAAATTTCTTTCTGCCCATGTAACAGCATGGTGGTGCAGGATATGGAAGGCATATTTACAGTCAGTATAAATATTGACGCCTAGTCCCTTTGTAAGAGTGAGGTCCCAAGTTAAGGCAATGAGTTCAGCTTGCTGAGAGGTAGTGGAGGGGGCAGAGCGGTAGCCTCAATGATAGATGTGGAAGATACTATAGCATAGCCTGCCTTTGCTGGTGAGTGGTGATTAGGCCTGATCAAACTGCCATCAATAAACCAGGTGTGATCAGGGTGAGGAACAGGAAAGAAGGAAATATGGGGAAATGGAGTGAATGCCAGGTGTATCAGAGAGATACAGTCATGCAGGTCAGGTGTGGTATCAGGAATAATGTGGGAGGCTGGATTGAAGTCCCGGCCAGGAAAAATGGTAATTGTGGGAGACTCAACAAAGAGTGAGTATAGCTGAAGGAGCTAGGGGGCAGAAAGTATATGCATCAAGTGTGAGGAGGAAAATAGATTTTGAAAGTTATGGGAACTGGAGAGAGTAAGTGGAGCATAGCTTGTGATTTTGAGGGCCTCTAAAAGTATTAAAGCAGTGGCAGCCACTGCACACAGACATGAGGGCTAGGCTAAAACAGTAAGGTCAAGTTGTCTGGACAGAAAGGCTACAGGGCGCAGTCCCAGCTCTTGTGTAAGAACTCTGACCGCACAGCCCTGCACTTCAGCTGTGTGTAATGAAAAGGGTTAGGATGAGTTAGGGAGAGCTACTGTGGGAGCAGCTTCTAGGGCTGTTTTTAAGGAACGGAAAGGAGTGGCGAAAGGATTTAGGATCTATGGGGTCAGCTAGGTTTATCTAGAATAGAATAATGGGTTGTGGAGGGAGGTACTGAGGATAGGAGAGTATATGGGTTTGGCACCACAGGGTGGATAGGCAAGACCATTGGTTGATAAAGCACAGATCCTGAACTAACCTGTAAGACTTGTCCGGTTTTTGGACAGGTAAAATGGGGGAATTGTAAGGAGAGTTTATAGGCTTTAAAAGGCCATGCTGAAACAGGTGAGTGATAACAGGGTTTAATCCTTTTAAAGTGTGCTGTGGGACGGGATATTGGCATTGAGCGGGGTAAGGGTGATTAGGTTTTAATGGGATGGTAAGGGGTGCATCATCTGTCACCAAGGAGGGAGTAGAGGTGTCCTATACTTGTGGATTAAGGTGGGGAGATACAAAGGGAGGATGCGAAGGAGGCTTTGAACTGGGGGAAAAGGTGGCAATGAGGTGTGGCTGTAGCCCAGGAATAGTCAGGGAAGCAGATAATTTAGTTAAAATGTCTCGATCTAATAAGGGAGCTGGGCAGGTGGGGATAACTAAAAAGGAGTGCATAAAAGAATGTTGTCCAAGTTGGCATCAGAGTTGGGGAGTTTTAAGAGGCTTAGAAGCCTGGACGTCAATACCCACAACAGTTATGGAAGCAAGGGAACCAGGCCCTTGAAAAGAAGGTAATGTGGAGTGGGTAGCCTCCGTATTGATTAAGATGGGGACAGACTTACCCTCCACTGTAAGAGTTACCCAAAGCATCTGCGATGGTCCAGGAGGCTTCCGAGGCGATCGGGCAGCATCAGTCTTCAGCCACTAAGCCGAGGACAGCTGGGAAGGAGTCGGCCAAGGAACATTGGGTTTGGGCTCCAGGGGCTTTAGGAGCGGCAGCGATGTGAGTCGGATAGTCTGACCTCCAGTGGGGGCCCACACAGGCAGGACATGGCTTAGGAGGAATCTTGGGCACCGGGCATTCTGAGGCCCAGGGGCCAGGCTTTTGGCATTTGAAGCAAGGTCCACAAGGATGTTTTGAAGGAGCCCCTGGGAGCTGTGGCTTGGATGTTCTGAAGTTCTTGTATGCTGGAGACATGGTTGTGGGTTGTCTTACAGCAGAGGCAAGTAGCTGTAACTCAGAAACACGTTGCTGTCTGGCTACCTCCTCTCTATTATTGTACACCTTGAAGGTGAGGTTGATTAATTCCTGTTGTGGCGTTTGAGGGCCGGATTCCAATTTTTGAAGTTTTCTAATGTCAAGAGCTGACTGGGTGATAAAATGCATATTGAGAATAAGACGGCCTTCCTCTGGGGTCTAGGACAGTAAAGCATCTAAGGGTTGTTGCCAAACGGGCCATGAACTGCACTGGGTTTTTATATTTGATGAAAAAGAGCCTAAATGCTAACTGATTTGGGAGAGGTCGGATAAAGAAAAAAGGAGCATTAACTTTGACTATGCCTTTAACTCCAGCCACCTCTTCAAGAGGAAATTGTTGGGCAGGTGGGGAAGGGCTAGTCGCGGAAGGAAACTGTAAGCCAGACCGGGTGTGAGGAGGGGAAGTGATAGAAAGATTATAGGGTGGGGGAGCAGAGGCTGAGGAAGAATTGGGACCTGGCACAGCCTGGCAAGGAGCAGCCTGGGTAGAAGGGGAGAGGTCAGATGAGTCCGCAGAAAAGGATTCAAAGGACTCAGAGCTTGGTGTGGAGACTGAAGGAACAGACAGGAGAGAAAGAAGAAGGATTTGGGATGAGTCGCATTAACTTTGACTATGCCTTTAACTCCAGCCACCTCTTCAAGAGGAAATTGTTGGGCAGGTGGGGAAGGGCTAGTCGCGGAAGGAAACTGTAAGCCAGACCGGGTGTGAGGAGGGGAGGTGATAGAAAGATTATAGGGTGGGGGAGCAGAGGCTGAGGAAGAATTGGGACCTGGCACAGCCTGGCAAGGAGCAGCCTGGGTAGAAGGGGAGAGGTCAGATGAGTCCGTAGAAAAGGATTCAAAGGACTCAGAGCTTGGTGTGGAGACTGAAGGAACAGACAGGAGAGAAAGAAGAAGGATTTGGGATGAGTCGCATTGGGAGCAGAGACTAGGGAGGGACAAATGTGTAAAAGAATGCCTAGACATCAGGCACCTCAGACCATTTGCCCATTTTTCAACAAAAATTATCTAGATCTTGTAGGATAGACAAATTGAAAGTGCCATTCTCCGGCCACCTGGAACTACTGTTGAGTTTGTATTGGAGCCAAGTGGTACTGCAGAAGAAAATAAGGCATTTAAGTTTTAGGTCAGGTGTGAGTTGAAGAGGTTTTAAGTTCTTGAGAACACAGGCTAAGGGAGAAGGGGGAATGGAGGGCGGAAGGTTGCCCATAGTGAAGGAGGTAAGTTTAAAGAGAAAGGTAGAGACACGGGGAAGGGGGTGGGCGAGCAGCCCGGGGCTGCAATGTGGGTGAGCAACCAAAGCAGACGTCCCCGCAATTGACTTGCCACCAAGGGAATGTGGGTGAATCACCAAGGCAGGCTCCCTGCAGTGATCAGACACCAATGAAATGTGGGTGAATAATCAGTCAGGCGTCCCCACAGTGATTAAACACCAAGGGAAGACTGTCTTCCTGAGTCCATGACCGGCGCCGGAGTTTTGGGTCCATGGATAAAATGTGTCTCCTTTGTCTCTACTAGAGAGGAAAAAGAACTGGAATTGGAAGGACAGGGAGATTGACGAGACAGGCTGGAGAAGAGAGTGAAAAGACCGCTTACCGGATTTGAAATTGGTGAGATGTTCCTTGGGCTGGTTGGTCTGAGGACCCAAGGTGGTAGGTGCATCTCTTCACAGAGTGAGGGTGAGAACAGGGGACTGGTCTCCCGAAGGAGTCCCTCTGACTCGGGTCTTTGGCACCAAATGTCTCTCGCGTCCGTGTGAAGAAACCACCAAACAGGCTTTGTGTGAGCAACAAGGCTATTTCATCTGGGTGCAGGCGGGCTGAGTCCGAAAAAAGAGCCAGCCAAAGATGCTTTAAAGTTTATGAATTAAAGTAAGACATAAAACTGGTAAAATCCAAATTAGGTCTGTAGTTTAGTTAATAGTAGTACACCAAATTTAATTGTTTTGATAAAATATTATTGTTAAATAAAGTTATCATTGGGAAATAACTGAGTGACAGGTAAACAGGAACTCTGTAATATTCTTGCAACTTTTATGAGTCTAAAGCTATTTCAAAAAAAGCTTTTAGCGCAGGGCACAATGGCTCGTGCCTGTAATCCCAGCGCTTTGGGAGGCCAAGGCAGGATGATCACTTGAGCCCAGGAGTTTGAGACCAGACTGGACAACAATACCCCATCTATACAAAAAATAATTTTAAAAAATTAGCCATCATGGTGGTGAAAGCCCTGTAGTCCCAGCTACTTAAGTGGCTGAGGCAGTATTGCTTGAGCCCAGGAGTTTAAGACTACAGTAAACTATAACTGCGCCACTGTACTCCGGCCTAGGCAACAGAACAAGACCCTCTCTCAAAACAAAAAAAAAAAAAAAATTAAAAGAAGAGGTAAGTTAGTCAAATGAAGAAGGCTATTATTTACCAGACTTAATGTTGCAATGTATCTAGCATTTTTCAAAGGCAATAACATCTATATCTCTATTTTAGAAACATTTTACAACTCTGTTCTTTAACATATGACAGACTTAAGTTCTAGGTGGCTCGGTATAAGTTTCAAGTTTTAGGCATAGCAGAAGAGAAAATTCTGGATGAGAAAAATAAGTCTTGTATTATTAATTACCTTTCTAGGAGAGCAAACTATAAAGAGCAATAAATAAATTCTAATGGAAGACATGATATAGGTAATAGATCCAAGAGATAATCCAGACCACCATTAGGCTCAATTCTATTATGACCACCACACTGAGACAACTTTTGAGTCATGACAAATAAATAATAAATTTTTATTAGCGTCTTTTCAATTCTACAAATTTTAAAAGTCATTATACATTTTTAAAGGTTACTAAAAATCACTGAAATATGTCTCCACTTAAAATGGAATCAAAGTAATTTATACAATTTTCACCTTTAATATTCATAATTTATTTAAAAGTAGAATAAATTTTAATTCTAAAATGATTATTACATCTTTTTAGAACTGAAATTACATTTCAATGAGTGTAGCTCCACTGTAGTTCATAAGGTTTATACTTAAGAAATATTTAATTAACAAATTAATTTATACCAAACAAAAACAAACTAAAAAAATGCATACGTATAATGAGACAGTTTATGTATGGTAATTACAGATTTGAAATTAAGTCTCCTTTGCAAAGATCAGTGCGTCTGGACTGGTTAATCCACTAAATTATCATCTTTGAATAAGAAACCAAAAACAAAAATGACTTGGAAAGAAAAATAGTAGTTTAAAAGTGAAAATGACTCTTCCCCTTATTTTAAAATACATAAAATTTTCTAAAACGTAAAATGGAAAGGTTTAATACACAGGAAAAACACTGCACACCTTAACTAAACAAACTAGAAAGAAAATATATTTATATACAGAACTAAGATGAGTCCATTCATTATTTTTACAAATATTCACATAGATGGTTTAGAGATAAGTAGTTAAGTGTGTCTCATTAATTAATGGATGCTTTCTAGCCTCTGTCTTCATTAATTTTATTTCCTATTCAACAAAAAATAATGCTTTCAGGATATATTACATATAGAGCAATATCATTTTTATCAGTAATTTGTCTGAAAAAGAGAAAAACTTAAAAGCAGAACCCTACAAAGCAAAGCAAACTACAAAGCAAAGAGTAATCACAGTGTTTGCAAAATAGAAATGTGTGACTTTAACTTTATAGCAGGCTGCCTAATTAATCCAGACAGTAGAGAAAGCAGACTGAGGCAGGAAGTAAGAGGTGGGACTAAACTGTTAAGAAGATAATAATTTAAAATAAAACTTCAGAATCCTTATTCTAGGGATTCCTTTAATTCCACTTTGCAACTTTTAATAGGTACACTAATTTACACAGGACACACTACCATTTACTATGTAACATTAAAGCTTTCAGTTTAAGAAACTGGTCACCAACGAAGTGAGAGGCACCAGGGAAAAAAGCCAACCTGCTGAGGAAGACAAAAGAGGGGAATGACAGAAGGAAGCTGGATCTTTTATAATGTAGTTTAGTCACTATGCTGATACTGGAACCATCTACCTCTACATTTCCTGCTATGAGAAATAATGTCTTTGTCTTTAAATGTCTTTTTTAAAAAAAAAACAAAAGAAAAGAAACTGGTCAAAAAGTTTTGCATAAGATTCATTTTAAAAATCTTTTTTCCTTAAAACAAAAACGATTAAAAACTTGGGTTTTCTAAAGAAACTTATATTAATATGAAGTTACGAAGATACACAAAGCTGAAGTATCTGGAACCATTTGGCTGCCTGTAGTCTTCAGCAAGATCACAAAGTACTCAAAAACTCTTTGACCTGAGGAAAGGAAGAAAAAAAAATCAGTATAATTCCTTGACTAATTTGAGGTATCTAATATTCATCTTCATTTAAAAGTATATAATAGTTGAAGACCCCAGCTGTATAAGTAACTACCACAATGCCATTGCATTTACTTTCCAAAGAAATATTGTTAAGGCCGGGCGCAGCGGCTCATGCCTGTAATTCTAGCATTTTGGGAGGCCGAGATGGGTGGATCACTTAAGGTCAGGAGTTTCAGACCAGCCTGGCCAACATGGTGAAACCCCCCATCTCTACTAAAAACACAAAAATAGGCCAGGCGCAGTGGCTCATGCCTATAATCCCAGCACTTTGGGAGGCCGAGGCGGGCAGATCACCTGCGGTCAGGAGTTCGAGACCTGCCTGACCAACATGGAGAAACCCCTTCTCTACTAAAAATACAAAATTAGCCGGGCATAGTGGCACATGCCTGTAATCCCAGCTACTAGGGAGGCCAAGGCAGAAGAATCGCTTGAACCTGGGAGGCAGAGGTTGTGGTGAGCTGAGATCGCGCCATCGCACTCCAGCCTGGGCAACAAGAGCAAAACTCCGTCTCAAAAAAAAAAAAAAATTAGCTAGGCATGGAGGCGTGCACTTGTAATCCCACCTACTTAGGAGGCTGAGGCAGAACTGGTTGAACCTGGGAGGTGGAGATGGCAGTGAGCCAAGATTGTGCCATTGCACTCCAGCCTGGGCGACGGAGCAAGACTGTCTCGAGAAAAAAAAGAAATATTGTTAAATACTTCAGTAGTAAAAGATGAATGACCTAAAAGGTCATTTTAGGAGTTATTTATTGCTCTGTCACCCAGGCTGAGTACAGTGGTGCAATCAAAGCTCACTGCAGCCTTGAACTCCTGGCTAGGTGCACACCATCATGTCTGGCTAGTTTTTGTTTGTTTTTTATAGAGATGAGGTCTCACTATGTTGCCCAAGCTGGTCAGGAACTCCTGGGCTCAAGCAGTCTTCCCACCTCAGCCTCCCAAAGTGCTGGGATTACAGGTGTGAGCCACTGCATCTATCAATCTAAGATAGATATAGTTCTAAAATAGCTGTAACACCAATTTTATAATCTCTTCATTTAAATATCATAGACCACTGACATATGCAGCTTTAACACTGATAACATTAATAAGCACAATAGTTCAAGCAACTTTGAAAATCAAACATGTAGTAGATTTGTCATGTTTCTGAAGCACATATGTGAATCACATACTTTGCAATGTCAGTGTGTGCAGAAAATCATGTAAGGAGTCAATGAACCTAGCCTACTGACCATAATGTAAGAATATGCTTGTTCTCTACATATTCTAGGCTACTCAATAATTCTCAAGAAACAAAAATTATTGCCTTGTAAAAATACCTTAATAAGAAAGTCAACTGCTAGCATTATTAATAAAAGTAAATATAATAATGTGAAATGATTCTTAGTCAAAACAAAGAAGTGTTAGATAAAATTAAAAAGTGATTTACAAAGTCAGTTAAATTGATGGTTGGCTGTTAATACTTAATGCTGACTTTTCATTTAATAGTATTGTAAGTGAATTTATCCTATATTTTTAACATCATTAGTAGTATGAAGAGGTCATTGGAATTTTCCAGATAAGCTTTAGTTCATACCATGGGAAAAACAACTACATGTATACGCTACAGTAGTTACATAAAATGTCAAGATTTTCAAAATCCTTGATATATCCCTTATGAATGTCAAGTCTCTATTAAACAGCAGACATTATGCCACAAAAGAAAGGAAAAATCAAATTTTTCTCAAAACTAAACCAAATTGTGCTTTCTTCTTTATAGCTTAATCACTCAGTTATCAACATGGGTATAGGGATATTTGTTATACCAATTCCCTTACTATTCTCTCTCAAATATTCATCAATAAATTCTCACCCATTCCCTTTATCAATATGGGCACCACTCACTTAACAGAATATAGTCAACTCCCAGTGATTTGGGCAATAAATGAACTGTGATTAAGACAATGACTCAATGATTAAGTAATGTCAATTAATCCTTGACATGATCCCAAATGAAACTCAAAACTAAAATCCCTTAATCTCAAGACTTTGGCCAACATAAAAATAGATGAGATCCATATCCTGTAACTTTAAATATCCTCCATATTGAATTTAGTTGAAAAAGATAAATTTAATTTCACAAGCAGTTTATTATTAAAGTATCTAAAGATTGGTGGTGTAGGGAAGAGAGGAAGAAATGGGGACAAAGCAGAGAAAAAGGGGGTGAGAAAGAATTTTTGTTATTATAATTTTACCTATCCTACAGATAGAGGCACTAAAGGATAAAAAAAAATCCTTATTTTATTTTTATTTATTTAATTTTTTTCTAAGATCTGTCAGATTCTGAGATTCCGAAGGATCTTTATTTTAGCTCAGGCCACAAAGCTAGAATTTAGTCAGGACTGGAATCTTAAACAGTCCAAAATCTTCTAAAGCTCTTAACTGTTTCTTAATGTAACTTTATGGAAGCTTTTCTGTTAGAAAATTGTTTTCTCACCACTCAGTACACTTTTTTAGAAAAAACAAATATTTGTTTGTAGTCTGTCTAAATCTACCTTTTCAACCAGACTTTCATATTTGTCTTTAAAGTCTTCATTAACATCCAGTGTTAAGATAGGCACCTCTTGAAGATAATCGAAGTTGGTTCTGTTTAAAAAGAGAGATTAATAAAATAATCAGAAATTCAACAAAAAAAAGAGAGAAACATTAAAAATTCATTCGTATGTCCTTGGAAAATCAAAATGTTGTCAATCATTTACACTAAAGTTACTTTGCAGTACTTCATCTGGCAGCCCCTTCTTTCTCATCTAGATTTACCATATGGAGCCCAAAAACTTAGGTACAAAATATATACAGCTGGGTACTGTAACATATGATTCTCTTCAAAAACAAATAGCAGTCAATAAAGTAGGAATTTCTGCATTTTTAAAGATGAGAAAACTAAAGCTCAGAATTGTCATTCTGAAGCTCAGAGGCTATCCAAGGTCACACACCAGTAAGACTGGACTTGAGCCAAGATCTGACTAATAACAAAGTCTATCCTCTCAACAACCACGCTATACAATCTCCCAAGTCAAAATTCTTTCTGAAAGAGTACCTAAATAATGTTCAGATATATTCCTACTTTATCACTTAAAGTGAAATTTCACATATTACGCTATCAATACCACCAAGGGATACTAGTTATAAAAACTTTAAGTAAATAGGATCTCATTGCAATCAAGAGAATGAAAATCTATACCTAGTTCTGGAAGATACCAATAAGCAAAACGACTGGAAATTTTACATATTGCTAGTCATATCTTCCAAATTTTAGATTAAAATTTAACAAAGGTAACAAAGGTATTTAAAATGAATAGTAAATAAAAATAAGTCTTACTTCAGTGTCCTATGCAGGAGCCAGCTTTCATGTTTATAATGAAGCTTCTCTAAATATTCAAGAGGAATGCCTTGCTCTTCATTTCTTCCCCGTAAATATATTCTATGTAAGCATGTCTAAAAGCAAGTAATAAGAGATGGAAGAAAAAGGCAGGGAACAATTATTCTTGTCTGCTGCCATCAAAATTTTCTTTTCTGTGTCTCTCTACTCACGCTAGCCAAAATCTCTACTTATTACTTCTTAAAAGCTGAAATAATTCATTTTTCCCTCCATGAGCTTTTCAGCCACTTGGTGGCTCTAAGCCAAGCAGTACTTTCAAAAATAAGCCTATAAATTTTTGGTATCCATCCACACATGAAATATACTAAGTTTGATAAAAAGGAGAAAAAAATTAAACATCTACTTAAAATGTTCAGAGACAACAGCTAAAAGGTATGCCAATCTATAAACATAATCTTACTTTGCTGTTAACCAACCTTGATTACAAAATATCTATGTTCAGTTCACATAAAACCACTAAAGACAGTGGTTCTTAATGTGATGAAAACTCTATATCAGCACAACCAAAACAACTTTGGAATGTTTTATGCCTGTCCTATATCTGCATTATCAAATAAGGTAGCCACCAGCCACCTGTGGTTTTTAAGCACTTGAAATATGGCTAGTGTGGTGACCAAGGAACTAAATATCTAAATTTTATTTAATTTTAATAACCCTAAATTTAAATAGCCACATTGGACAGTGCAGCTCTAGATAACGGTCCCCCAAAAGCACACATACATAAAAAATTTCGTATAATTTGTGGGGGCTCATATACCATGAGAAACTCTTCATGCATTCCAAGAAATAAAAGCCTCCAACCTAAATGACATGCATAAGACCATGGCAGCATACAAACTGTGTTTCAAACTCTACTCTAAATTCTCTTTTCAATAATTAAACAATCCTTTCATCCAAAGATATCAGAAACAATACTGATGAAATTATCAGTATCAAAATGAAATTATTAGTATTATTTATGTTTTTGGTGTTTGTACTATTTTCATAACTTTAAGAAACCTTTTCAAAAATAAAAGTGAATTTCAAAATTATTATATTTGCTAAATTCTAGCTTAATAGTGACTATAAATGTTTCAAGCAAAATGAAATTATTCATATTCCTTATGTTCTTTTTCACATTTTTATTTACTATTTTTGTAATTAAAAACAAAAAAATTCAAAAATAAAAGTGAATTTCAAAATTCACTTTTGAAATTGCTAAAAAATTGCTAAATCCTTGCTTAATGAAGAACAAAATCTTTACTTAATGAAGAACAAAATCATCCGTTGGAATAGGAAACCTAATTTCTTTGAAAACCCAGCTTCGACAGCAACACAGTATTCTAATTTTAGGCCAGAAGTCATAACATTTACATTCATCAGTGCCTACCCTGTGACTTAAGGAAAAAATGAGAATTAAAAAACAGAAACAATAGAAATGCACGCACCAAAACCAGAAAGCTTCTGATTAAATGTAAGATCTTAATATTTAGGTTAGTTTTATGAAAGGCATCTATTTGGTCATCCTGTATTCATTATATAACATCATATGTAACTAGAATAGCTATGTTACAACCTATCACAAAAAGCACCTTTTCAAGTGAGCTCCCTTAATGGAAAATGGCAAGGGTCCTCTAAGTCTTTTCCCAACGATAGCTGCCATTATCCACTCATTCCAAGGCACAAACAACCATAATAAAATATTTCTTGATATGGACCTCCATCAACATTGCCATTCATTCAGTAAATATTTACTGAGCTCCTACTATATGCTCCAACAGTGCCCAGCACTGGGTGTTCTAGGCAATGGAAATTCAATAGTAATCAAAATGCCCAAGGTCCCACCTCATGAAGCCTATATTCTAGGAGTTGCTTGACCACATTCATTACTTTAACTGTGATGAATGAGAAGAGTCTGCAAATGTTAGAAAGAAATAATGAGTAAAATAAAAAAGAATTGAGGAAGCACAAAGAGCCTAAAACAGCAACTTGCCCAGTCTGGGATTCCAGTTTGCTGAGAAAAAAGAATGCTTCTATCTACACAGTTACAAGTTTCTAATTTAGAGGTGGGGAGTGGGAGGTTGGGAGGCTGGAGTTAAACTAAATTGCCCTCATTATATACCACTGAAAAGAGTTCTAAATATTTCTTTAAATTTTCAGTGAAACACATTTTTATTGGGTTTTACCTCTGGAGTGGCTTGAAGATAAATGATTCCATCCAATTCAAGGCTTTGGCCAAATTGGTTATTCATCCAGTCATGCCAGTCTTGATAAATTGTCCACTCTGTCTCATTCATGCATTCAGATTCATACAAATTAGATGCAAAAATATACCTAAAAGAGAGTCTTCATCAACACATGTATCATTTCAAAAAAAAACAACAAAGAAATAAAAAAGAGAACAGGAACATGAAACATTCTCCTAAATCCAGTGGCACATAGTGCCGTGGAAAGCAGAAAAAGACAAGAGTCTTTCCATCATGTTTTTGGCCAATGGTTCTCAAAATACGGAGTGAGGACCCCATTAAGTCCCCAAGATCTTCTAAGGGGTTCTGTGAGAGGCCAGATTACTTCATATACCAATATACTTCAAACAAACAAACATACCATAACAGATTAAATACAGAAGCATAAATAAAAATCCAGCTGTCTTTTAATAAGTGAGGCATTAAAGATATCTGCAAAAATGTAAAGCAATGATATTCTTCTAGCTACTTTTTATTTTAGAAAATATAACTTTTTGTCAAATGTATTTATATTAATATGTAATGAATTTATTATTGCTAATTTTAAATCATTTTTGTGCATCTTAATTTCTAGTAATGTTAAGTATCAATAGGACATGCTCTTTGGACACCTCGATAGTTATTAAGAATTGAAAAGGGCCCTGAGATCAAATGTTTGAGAACCTCTGTTCTGAGCTAACTTTGGAGGTCAAAAGAATCCTAGCATAAGTAGGGCAATTCTAAGGCCCCTTAGAGACTTTTATCTTCTTGATCCAGGTAAGAGTCTAGGATATAGATCCAGATTTAACCAGAGCAGATGAGAATTTTAAAAGGGTTAGAGGGAAAAACAACTTCTCTGCAAATTTAAATGAAATGGGCACCACCATATTCCCAACAGTTTCTATGGAAGCTGAGGATTATAAATGCAATAACTTCCCTAATGCCATTAGTACCAGACTGCTGAGGGATTTAAATGTCATTTTCCATCTTAAATCCCCAGCTCAGCCATTCATTATTACTAATTCCCAGGAAACATTAAAAAAAAAAAAAAAGTCCAGTTCTAAGATAAAAACTTCAAATGGCCACGTACAAGCCATTTATACATACCTGTCACTATACACAGATCGTTCAAAAAATAATACAGGTTTCTCTGCATCTTTGAGCTTGCCATTCAGAGAGGCAAGCTGAGCTCTTATTCGACTGAGACAGGCATATGTTTGGAAGGTAAAAGACCATCGTTCAGGTTTCTCATACATCATCTGAAGAACATTCCCACCATTTTTCTGAGACATTGTAAGTTCCTATTTTGAATGTGCAAAAAGAAATAAAAAGCAAAATTAATGGTCAATAGGGCTATTTTAATTTTTAAGGCTAAAAAATAAAAGTCAGATAAATAAATGTAATCATGATCAGCAAAACCAAGATGATTAAGTTCCCTTTCTCATACTCTTTCCCAATATATTTTTCAGATTGTCTGAGGTCTGGAAAATCCTTAGATCTTTCTCACAAGAGGTTACAAACTAATAACCTATGGAAGAAATCATTGTTTGGTCCAAAAGTCCTTTTTAAAACTTTGACTTAGTTTGTCAATAGTATTGTCAATATTTAAAAGCTAAATAATTTCACATAAAATATTTGGATTTACATCTTCTTTTTTTTCTTTTTTGAGATGGAGTCTTGCTCTGTTGCCCCAGCTGGAGTGCAGTGGCACGATTTCAGCTCACTGCAACCTCCACCTACCAGGTTCAAGCAATTCTCCCGCCTCAGCCTCCCAAGTAGCTGGGACTACAGGCGCGTGCCACCATGCCCAACTAATTTTTTACATTTTTAGTAGAGACGGGGTTTCACCGTGTTAGCCAGGATGGTCTCCATCTCCTGACCTCATGATCTGCCTGCCTTGGCCTCCCAAAGTGCAGGGATTACGTCTTCTTTTTAAAAATGAAAAAACCAAGCAGTACCATGCCCATATTCCCTCTTGGCAAAAATCAGCTAGAATCAAGTCACAGATGCCTCCTTTAGATGGGATATATGCTCTCTGGCTTATTAATCCCCACCATTCCCGGATGATTTTCATAACAGGCCTGATATATTCATTTGGCTGTCTGGCCCCTTTAGGCATTTGTATTTGTAACCCTCCAATCTTCTAATATAATACAATAGTTCCTGCCCCAGATTTTGCAATTCAATAATCTTATTGTTAGAACCACATTTTACATGTTGAGGAAAAATACAAATGTAAATTTTAAAATGAAGTAAAAACTCTTATCATCTTTTATCTGAGTTAGAAATAGCAGGCCGGGCGCGGTGGCTCACGCCTGTAATCCCAGCACTTTGGGAGGCCGAGGCGGGTGGATCATGAGGTCAGGAGATCGAGACCATCCTGGCTAACAAGGTGAAACCCCGTCTCTACTAAAAATACAAAAAATTAGCCGGGCGCGGTGGCGGGCGCCTGTAGTCCCAGCTACTGGGGAGGCTGAGGCAGGAGAATGGCGTGAACCCGGGAAGCGGAGCTTGCAGTGAGCCGAGATTGCGCCACTGCAGTCCGCAGTCCAGCCTGGGCGACAGAGCGAGACTCCGTCTCAAAAAAAAAAAAAAAAAAAAGAAATAGCATCTGGAACACATGAATTATTTTTCTCTTTCTATAAAGTTTTCCTAGTTCTGTCCATCAAAAGGCCTATAAACAATGACAACATTGTAGGAATATACAAAAATATCACCCAGATTATAATCTCTAAATACCATTTCCCACTGAAAGGAATTAGAATTCTGATTCTAAATCTGGGGAAGAAAATATACAAGATGAGCTTCATCTTGTATATTTTAGGAAACTACTACAGACCACTGGGATTGTGCCAAGGACAAAGGAGCCAACATAAATAAGCTGCCACTGGTCAAAGAAAGAATAATTTGAACATCGAAAATGAATGGGAGGCAAAAATCCATGAGTTTATAATTCTAAACAAACAAACAAAACTCTAGTCATGTTTTGAGGCTCCTAAGGCACAAATTAATTATTCTGGGAATATGTAGGTAAAAAGAAAAAAAAAGTCCCATTTTATTTTGGCCTTTCCTGTATAAATACTTTCAGGGTAATAAAGTGGTATATGAGGAAGAGGTCTTCTTTCCTGAAGAATCCCAGCCAATAAATTCAGAAGGCTGGAGAAGGAATATCACCTTTTACAACACCTACTAATATACTGCAATGAGGCAACAATTAGCAATAGATGCTATCATTAGAGAAAAGTTAATTGGGAATTTTACAACGGATGAATCAATCTGACAACAGCTAAACTGTTTGATTTTAACATCACAAAACACATCTTCTTGATGTAAAGAAATACACATCACCAACTAGGAATCTTGCCAAAAAAGAATTGAAAGTAAATCTAATCAAGCCTGTCTCTACCTATAAATTTACTGGAAATACAGAGAACTGAAAAACATGTTAAATTTTACCAGAGATACACTCAGCCAAAACCAGAATGAGGAAAATTATGTAGAACAAATGACCCTGTTTCTTCAACAAATAAATTATAAACAAAGAGACAATCAATAGATTAAAATTTAAAAGGCATATCAAGGGCAGGCCCAGTGGTTCACGCCTGTAATCCCAACACTTTGGGAGGCCGAGGCAGGCAGATCACCTGAGATCAGGAGTTCAAGACCAGCTTGGCCAACATGGTGAAACCCTGTCTCTACCAAAAATATAAAAAATTAGCCAGGCGTGGTGGCACGCGCCTGTAATCCTAGCTACTCGGGAGGCTGAGACAGGAGAATCACTTGAACTGGGGAGGCAGAAGTTGCCGTGAGCTGAGATCATGCACTGTACTTCAGCCTGGGTGACAGAGCAAGACTTCATCTCAGAAAAATAAATTTAAAAAAAAATAAAAGGTATATCAACCACCAAATGTAACGTGTGTGAACCTGGTTTGGCTCCTAATTTCAAAAAATTACGAAAACATTATTAGACAATGGGGAAATATGAACACAGACCGGATAAGATGATAAAAAGAATTATTAATCTTTTAGATGATATGTTTTAAAAGACTATATTTCTAGAGTTCTCTGTGAGTCTGTCTTTTCCAGATGAAGTAATATATTCTCTAAGATAGAGGTTCTTCAAAGTATAGTAGGAGAAGCTCCAGGGGTCTCTGGATCTTTTCAGGAGGCTAAAGTTCTGGAGATCTGTTCATAATGACCTAAATATGCTTATAATACTACTGAGCTGTATACTTAAAAATGGTTCAGATGATAAATTTTATATTTTTGCCACAACAAAAAAATTAACTAAAAAAGACCACATACCTCCTTTTATTTTAATTTCTCAATAAATATAATCTCTCTTGCCCAAAGCAATTTCAAAGTTTACTATATTAAAATAACTTAGAGAACCAATCTTGATTCATCACCTAACAAAAAAATAATAAACTAGTTCTAAAAATACAAATATGTAAATTCAAACTGAATCAAAAATCTGAAATAGAATTTTCAGCTATGAAGATGTTATTGTCTCTTAGTTTAATAGTGTAACAAATTAGAAAATTAACAGTAAGCCAGGGTATCATTATCTGGTTCCTCAGGATAACTTATGAGTCATATAAAACATTTTCTTTTGATCCTATGCATGAAATTTGAGACAAATTGCTAGGGTTTTTTGTATGCAATTATAAATGTTAAGAATATTAAAAATTTATCCAGCCAGGTGAGGCAGCTCAGGCCTGTAATCCCAGCACTTTGGGAGTCCGAGGCAGGCGGATCACTTAAGCTCAGGAGTTCCAGACCAGCCTGGGCAACATGGCGAAACCCTGTCTCTACAAAAAATACAAAAATTAGCCAGGTATGGTGGCGTGCACCTGTAATCCCAGCTACTCCGGAGGTTGAGGTGGGAGAATTGCTTATGCCTGGGAGGTGGAGGCTGCAGTGAGCCAAGATTGTGCCACTGCACTCCAGCCTGGGTAACAGAGCAAGACTCTTGTCTCAAAAAAAAAAAAAAAAAAAAAATCTAAAAAATACTGTGCATCATCTTTACCAAACTGAATGTTAATTTTATCAAGTTCTCCCCTCTGCAAACTATCCAGATAAAAAATATGAATGTGTCAGAGTGAAACTACATTAAATACAAATTGGTAGAACATGGTTAGATAGAAAGCAGTTTAGCTACATTTGTGGGAAAAAAAAAACCTGTACCTTTTGGCCCAATTAATTCCACTGTTGAAAATTTACTTTAAAGAAATAATCTAGGCCGGGCGCAGTGGCTCACGCCTGTGATCCTAGCACTTTGGGAGGCCAAGGCGGGTGGATCACAAGGTCAGGAGATCGAGACCATCCTGGCTAACACGGTGAAACCCTGTCTCTACTAAAAATACCAAAAAAAATAGCGGGGCATGGTGGCAGGCGCCTGTAGTCTCAGCTACTCGGGAGGCTGAGGCACAAGAATGATGTGAACCTGGGAGGCGGAGCTTGCAGCAAGTTGAGATGGCGCCACTGCACTCCAGCCTGGGAGACAGAGCGAGACTCCGTCTCAAAAAAAAAAAAAAAAAAGAAATAATCTAGAATACAAATTTAACCACAAAGGTATTTATCACAAGGCTAAGCGAATAGGTTATCATTCCACTATTATTAGGCATTTATATTAAGTAAATAATAGTACATGCATACAATAAATTAGGCTGCTGTTAAAAATCATTTACAGTAAATTTTTAACAACGATTTTAATTGCCCTGATATATAAATTTTTTTTTTATACTTTAAGTTCTTGGGTACATGTGCACAACGTGCAGGTTTGTTACATATGTATACATGTGCCATGTTGGTGTACTGCACCCATTAACTCGCCATTTACATTAGGTATTTCTCCTAATGCTATCCCTCCCCCCTCCCCCCACCCCACAACAGGCCCCAGTGTGTGATGTTCACATTCCTGTGTCCAAGAGTTCTCATTGTTCAATTCCCACCTATGAGTGAGAACATGCAGTGTTTTGTTTTTTTTCCCTGCGACAGTTTGCTGAGAATGATGGTTTCCAGCTTCATCTATGTCCCTACAAAGGACATTAACTCATCCTTTTTTATGGCTGCATAGTATTCCATGGTGTATATGTGCCACATTTTCTTAATCCAGTCTATTACTGATGGACATCTGGGTTGGTTCCAAGTCTTTGCTATTGTGAACAGTGCCGCAATAAACATATGTGTGCATGTGTCTGTATAGCAGCATGATTTATAATCCTTTGGGTATATACCCACTAATGGGATGGCTGGGTCAAATGGTATTTCTAGTTCTAGATCCTTGAGGAATCACCACACTGTCTTACACATGGTTGAACTAGTTTACAGTCCCACCAACAGTGGAAAAGTGTTCCCATTTCTCCACATCCTCTGCAGCACCTGTTGTCTCCTGACTTTTTAATGATCACCATTCTAACTGGTGTGAGAGGGTATCTCATTGTGGTTTTGATTTGCATTTCTCTGATGGCCAGTGATGATGAGCATTTTTTCATGTGTCTGTTGGCTGCATAAATGTCTTCTTTTGAAAAGTGTCTGTTCATATCCTTTGCCCACTTTTTGATGGGGTTGTTTTTTTCTTGTAAATTTGTTTGAGTTCATTGTAGATTCTAGATATTAGCCCTTTGTCAGATGAGTAGATTGCAAAAATTTTCTCCCATTCTGTAGGTTGCCTGTTCACTCTGATGGTAGTTTCTTTTGCTGTGCAGAAGCTCTTGAGTTTAATTAGATCCCATTTGTCAATGTTGGCTTTTGTTGCCATTGCTTTTGGTGTTTTAGACATGAAGTCCTTGCCCATGCCTATGTCCCAAATAGTATTGCCTAGGTTTTCTTCTAGGGTTTTTATGGTTTTAGGTCTAACATTTAAGTCTTTAATCCATCTTGAATTAATTTTTGTATAAGGTGTAAGGAAGGGATCCAGTTTCAGCTTTCTACATATGGCTAGCCATTTTTCCAGCACCGTTTATTAAATAGGGAATCCTTTCCCCATTTCTTGTTTTTCTCAGGTTTGTCAAAGATCAGATGGTTGTAGATGTGTGGTATTATTTCTGAGGGCTCTGGTCTGTTCCATTGGTCTATATCTCTGTTTTGGTACCAGTACCATGCTGTTTTGGTTACTGTAGCCTTGTAGTATAGTTTGAAGTCAGGTAGCGTGATGCCTCCAGCTTTGTTCTTTTGGCTTAGGATTTACCTGGCAATGCGGGCTCTTTTTTGGTTCCTTATGAACTTTAAAGTAGTTTTTTCCAATTCTGTGAAGAAAGTCATTGGTAGCTTGATGGGGATGGCATTGAATCTATAAATTACCTTGGGCAGTATGGCCATTTTCACGATATTGATTCTTCCTATCCACGAGCATGAAATGTTCTTCCATTTGTTTGTGTCCTCTTTTGTTTCATTGAGCAGTGGTTTGTAGTTCTCCTTGAAGAGGTCCTTCACATCCCTTGTAAGTTGGATTCCTAGGTATTTTATTCTCTTTGAAGCAACTGTGAATGGGAGTTCACTCATGATTTGGCTCTCTGTTTGTCTGTTATTGGTGTATAAGAATGCTTGTGATTTTTGCACATTGACTTTGTATCCTGAAACTTTGCTGAAGTTGCTTATCAGCTTAAGGAGATTTTGGGCTGAGACGATGGGGTTTTCTAAATATACAATCATGTCATCTGCAAACAGGGACAATTTGACTTCCTCTTTTCCTAATTGAATACCCTTTATTTCCTTCTACTACCTGATTACCCTGGCCAGAACTTCCAACACTATGTTGAATAGGAGTGGTGAGAGAGGGCATCCGTGTCTTGTGCCAGTTTTCAAAGGGAATGTTTCCAGTTTTTGCCCATTCAGTGTGATATTGGCTGTGGGTTTGTCATAAATAGCTCCTATTATTTTGAGATACATCCCACCAATACCTAATTTATTGAGAGTTTTTAGCATAAGGGTTGTTGAGTTTTGTCAAAGGCCTTTTCTGCATCTATTGAGATAATCATGTGGTTTTTGTCTTTGGTTCTGTTTATATGCTGGATTATGTTTATTGATTTGCGTATGCTGAACCAGCCTTGCATCCCAGGGATGAAGCACAATTGATCATGGTGGATAAGCTTTTTGATGTGCTGCTGGATTCAGTTTGCCAGTATTCTACTGAGGATTTTTGCATCGATGTTCATCAGGGATATTGGTCTAAAATTCTCTTTTTTTGTTGTGTCTCTGCCAGGCTTTGGTATCAGAATGATACTGGCCTCATAAAATGAGTTAGGGAGGATTCCCTCTTTTTCTATTGATTGGAATAGTTTCAGAAGGAATGGTACCAGCTCCTCCTTGTACTGCTGGTAGAATTCGGCTGTGAATCCATCTGGTCCTGGACTTTTTTTGGATGGCAGGCTCTTAACTATTGCCTCAATTCCAGAGCTTGTTATGGGTTTAATCAGGGATTCAACTTCTTCCTGGTTTAGTCTTGTGACAGTGTATGTGTCCAGGAATTTATCCATTTCTTCTAGATTTTCTAGTTTATTTGCGTAGAGGTGTTTGTAGAGGTGTTTATAGTATTCTGTGATGGTAGTTTGTATTTCTGTGGGATCAGTGGTGATACTCCCTTTGTCATTTTTTATTGAGTCTATTTGATTCTTCTCTGTTTTCTTCTTTATTAGTCTTGCTAGCGGTCTATCAATTTTGTTGATCTTTTCAAAAAACCAGCTCCTGGATTCATTGATTTTTTGAAGGGTTTTTTGTGTCTCTATTTCCTTCCGTTCTGCTCTGATCTTAGTTATTTCTTGCCTTCTGCTAGCTTTGGAATGTGTTTACTCTTGCTTCTCTAGTTCTTTTAATTGTGATGTTAGGGTGTCAATTTTAGATCTCTCCTGCTTTATCTTGTGGGCATTTAGTGCTATAAATTTCCCTCTACACACTGCTTTAAATGTGTCCCAGAGATTCTGGTATGTTGTGTCTTTGTTCTCATTGGTTTCAAAGAACATCTTTATTTCTGCCTTCATTTCGTTATGTACCCAGTAGTCATTCAGGAGCAGGTTATTCAGCTTCCATGTAGTTGAGCGGTTTTGAGTAAGTTTCTTAATCCTGAGTTCTAGGTTCGATTGCACTGTGGTCTGAGAGACAGTTTTTTATAATTTCTGTTCTTTTACATTTTCTGAAGAGTGCTTTACTTCCAACTATGTGGTCAATTTTGGAATAAGTGCGATGTGGTGCTGAGAAGAATGTATATTCTGTTGATTTGGGGTGGAGAGTTCTGTAGATGTCTTTTAGGTCCGCTTGGTACAGAGCTGAGCTCAATTCCTGGATATCCTTGTTAACTTTCTGTCTCGTTCATCTGTCTAATGTCGACAGTGGGGTGTTAAAGTCTCCCATTATTATTGTGTGGGAGTCTAAGTCTCTTTGTAGGTCTCTAAGGACTTGCTTTATGAATCTGGGTGCTCCTGTATTGGGTGCATATATATTTAGGATAGTTAGCTCTTGTTGTTGTATTGATCCCTTTACCATTATGTAATGGCCTTCTTTGTCTCTTTTGATCTTTGTTGGTTTAAAGACTGTTTTATCAGAGACTAGGATTACAACACCTGCCTTTTTTTTGTTTTCCATTTGCTTGGTAGATCTTCATACATCCCTTTATTTTGAGCCTATGTATGTCTCTGCACATGAGATGGGTCTCCTGAATACAGCACACTGATGGGTCTTGAGTCTTTATCCAATTATCCAATTTTCCAGTCTGTGTCTTTCAATTGGAGTATTTAGCCCATTTACATTTAAGGTTAATATTGTTATGTGTGAATTTGATCCTGTCATTATGATGTTAGCTGGTTATTTTGCTCATTAGTTGATGCAGTTTCCTCCTAGCCTCGATGGTCTTTACAATTTGGCATGTTTTTGCAGTGGCTGGTACCGCTTGTTCCTTTCTATGTTTAGTGCTTCCTTCCGGAGCTCTTGTAGGGCAGGCCTGGTGGTGATAAAATCTCTCAGCATTTGCTTGTCTGTAAAGGATTTTATTTCTCCTTCACTTATGAAGTTTAGTTTGGCTGGATATGATATTCTGGGTTGCAAATTCGTTTCTTTAAGAATGTTGAATATTGGCCCCCACTCTCTCCTGGCTTGTAGCGTTTCTGCCGCGAGATCCACTGTTAGTCTGATGGGCTTCCCTTTGTGGGTAACCCGACCTTTCTCTCTGGCTGCCATTAACATTTTTCCCTTCATTTCAACTTTGGTGAATCTGACAATTATGTGTCTTGGAGTTGCTCTTCTCGAGGAGTATCTTTGTGGTGTTCTCTGTATTTCCTGAATTTGAATGTTGGCCTGCCTTGCTAGATTGGGGAAGTTCTCCTGGATAATATCCTGAAGTGTGTTTTCCAACTTGGTTCCATTCTCCCCATCACTTTCAGGTACACCAATCAGACGCAGATTTGGTCTTTTCACATAGTCCCATATTTCTTGGAGGTTTTGTTCATTTCTTTTTACTCTTTTTTCTCTAAACTTCTCTTCTCACTTCATTTCATTCATTTGATCTTCAATCACTGATACCCTTTCTTCCAGTTGATTGAATCGGCTACTGAAGCTTGTGCATTCGTCATGTAGTTCTCGTGCCATGGTTTTCAGCTCCATCAGGTCACTTAAGGACTTCTCTACACTGGTTATTCTAGTTAGCCATTCGTCTTTTTTCAAGGTTTTTAGCTTCTTTGCCATGGGTTCGAACTTCCTCCTTTAGCTCGGAGAAGTTTGATTATCTGAAGCCTTCTTCTCTCAATTCGTCAAAGTCATTCTCCGTCCAGCTTTGTTCCGTTGCTGGCGAGGAGCTGTGTTCCTTTGGAGGTGAGAGGCGCTCTGATTTTTAGAATTTTCAGCTTTTCTGCTCTGTTTTTCCCTATCTTTGTGGTTTTATCTACCTTTGGTCTTTGATGATGGTGACGTACAGATGGGGTTTTGGTGTGGATGTCCTTTCTGTTTGTTAGTTTTCCTTCTAACAGCCAGGACCCTCAGCTGCTGGTCTGTTGGAGTTTGCTGGAGGTCCACTCCAGACCCTGTTTGCCTGGGTATCAGCAGCGGAGGCTGCAGAACAGCGAATACTGCTGAACAGCAATTGTTGCTGCCTGATCGTTCCTCTGGAAGCTTCGTCTCAGAGGGGTACCCAGCCGTATGAGGTGTCAGTCTCCCCCTACTGGGGGGTGCCTCTCAGTTAGGCTATTCGGGGGTCAGGGACCCACTTGCAGAGGCAGTCTGTCCGTTCTCAGATCTCAAACTCCGTGCTGAGAGAACCACTACTCTCTTCAAAGCTGTCAGACAGGGACATTTAAGTCCGTAGAGGTTTCTACTGCCTTTTGTTCAGCTATGCCCTGCCCCCAGAGGTGGAGTCTACAGAGGCAGGCAGGCCTCCTTGAGCAGCGGTGGGCTCCACCCAGTTCCAGCTTCCAGCCCACTTTGTTTACCTACCCAAGCCTCAGCAATGGTGGGCGCCCCTCCCCCAGCCTCACTGCCGCCTTGCAGTTGGATCTCAGACTCTTGACATATAAATATTGTGGGGGGTGGGGAAGAAACAAAATACAAAACTGTATACTGTTCTTTCAAGTAAGATCTATGGTTATCTCTGGATAATAAGGTTATAGGTAAGTTTTAGTCCCCTCTTTTGATAATTTCTAATATTTCCTTAACTTCAAACAGTAAACAGGTATTACTTTATAATATTTTTTAAATTACATATCACCTCCACCAAAATTTAATATATTACATTATTAATTCAACTATGTAAAAGATACATACAGAGTGGTAGGATTATGAATAACATTTATTCTGTTCTCTATAATATATGTCCATTTTCACTTTATGAAAGAATACTTCATTGTTATAGGAAGTACAGATTATTGTCAAGGTAAGTGAAAAATAGAAATATCAAGGTCAGCTATAAAATCATTTATCTTTTAATTCTAGGTCTAATCTTTGTAAACATTGCAAAAGAGTTGAATTAAGTTCAACTGTAAAAGATCAGAGTCTACCAAACAAGATAATTATAAAATAGCCAACAGGCCAGGCATGGTGACTCATATGCCTAATTCTAGCACTTTGGGAGGCCGAGGCAGGCGGATTGCTTGATCCCAGGAGTTTGAGACAAATCCAGACAACATTGGCAAAATCCTATCGCTATAAAAAATACAAAAATTAGCCGGGCATGTTGGTGTGGGCCTGTAGTCCCAGCTACTGAGGAGGCTGAGGTGGGAGGATCACTTGAGCCCAGGAGGCGGAGGCTGCAGTGGGCTGAGGTTCACCATTGCACTCCAGCCTGGGCAATAAAGCAAGACTCAAAAAAATACAAGCCAACAAAAGTTATCACATCTATTCAAAAGGTACAAGTGGAAGTGCTTTATCAAGCATTCTTAACTAATTTTCAAGAATGACTTACTAAGGGACAGAGCAAGACTCCGTCTTAAAAAAAAAAAAAAAAAAAAAAAAGAGACCTCACACCTGTAATCCCAGCCCTTTGGGAGGCTGAGATGGGTGGATCACTTGAGGTCAGGAGTTCAAGACCAGCCTGGCCAACATGGTGAAACCCCATCTCTACTAAAATTACAAAAATTAGCCAGGCGTGGTGGCACATGCCTGTAATCCCAGCTCCAGCTACTTGGAAGGCTAAGGCAGGAAAATCGCTTGAACCTGGGAGGCAGAGGTTGCAGTGAGCCAACATCACACCACTGCACTTCAGCCTGAGCGACAGAACGAGACTCCGTCTCAAAAAAAAAAAAAAAGAATGACTTATTAAAAGTAAAAAATATGCTGTTCTGTCATAAATAAGTATGGTTTACACCTTCTTTATCACAATTACTAGTTTTTCAGTGGCTTATTAGTGGTAAGAAGTATTGGATAAAAGTAAAATAGTACGGGTAATGCGTATGTTAATTAGCTTGGTTTAACCATTCCACAATGTAGACATATTTTAAAACATCATGTTGCATACCATAAATATAATTTTTATATTATATATAATTTATATTATGTATATAATTTTTATATTATATATAACTTATGTATATAATTTACATTACATATGATTTATATATAAATATAATATAAAATTAAATATAATTTTTATCTGTAAATTAAAAATAAAAATATCTTAATTTTTTTAATTAAAAGTAAAATAGTACTTCACAATAATAGTGATCCTCCAAAAGAATTCAGCTCAATGAAAAAACAAGACAGAGACAGCTTCCTAACAGACTGCATATCTCAAAAATAAGCTAAAAGGAAACAATTAAATCAAAACTTTGGGCCTAAATAATAACATAAATCACCACATAAAGTACATTATTATTATTTTTAAAAACGTTCCATACCAAGATTGCTAATAATCTGAGTGGTATGTTTTAAAGATCATTCTCACCAAGAGAGATTTGGAGAAGGGAGAGAACATAATCTTTGGTGCTTTGCCTCTTACTATTTTGCCAAAATTAGGAGTACCTTATCAATAGTATAGCAACATTTCGGCCACTAGGTGGCAGGTTAAAAAAAAAAAAAAAAAGCTAAAACAGCAAAAGCTAAGCATATGGGTGCACAGTAAGTTGCTAAACGAAGAGATCAGAGGTACCAAAGGCCCAATTCTTCCAAATCTACAAATGCCAAGAAGTGTGATGAAACAAGAACATCAAAGTAGGACTGACCTTGCCAAGGTTAGGTCTGAAAACAGTCACTTCTCATCACTAACAGCATTCTAAGAAAAATTGACATTTGAATAGTGGGTGATTCATACTATAACCTCAAGGAATAGATCAAGGATGAGTCTGGGGAAGAAGGACTACTGGATGAAGAAATAAAATCTCACTTCTTGAGTTTAGTGGAAGAAAATATCCAAAGATACAGGGAAGCCACCCACCCAACCATCCTCATATTCCACAACTATATCTCAAAAATACTACCCCCTCTGTACAGAAGTACAGAGAATTAACAACGGAGCAGTCCCCAATACACACAAAAAAGCTGAAGCTACCTTCCAAGAATGTGCACCAAACTCTAACAAAGGTAATCAAATTGTAACATCATGAAGACATGACCAGATTACAATAAACGGCCTGATAAAAGAATATGTTAATAATAATAGGATCACCTGCATGCTAGTTATAAAGAATGGCCAGTTTGGCATTCTGAATCAAGTATATGGAAAGAAAATGTCCCATCCCATAAACATGGATATCAGATTCAGAAAGCCATTAAGTCTTAAAATGAAGACAAATGTATTAATGCATCACAGTCTGATGACACAGTCTGATTAACATGATTTAACTAATCCCTCTGGGCTCTGATTCCAAGCTCAACAGACAACCTTATTATAAATTGTCTTGTCTTATATACGAAAGCAATGTTTTTCAACTTCTCTGCAACCTAACTAAAGAGTTCAGTATACTCCCAACAGTTAACAGTGATTCACTAGGGTGATGACTTTTAACTATGAGGCATCCCACATATTTGAACCTCCAAGGGATTGTTATTTTAAAAAGCACCCGAATCCTTGAGATTCTTTCTTGTGTGTACAAATTATGGAATACATGAGAAATTTTGTACATGTATATAATATGCAGTAATCGAATCATTCAGGGTGTCCATCACCTGAGTACAATGTATTTTTCCATTCTACCTTGCTATAAAACACTGAATTATTTCTTCAAGCTTCCTGTATATCTGTACACTTTAACTCACTCCTCTTCATCTTCCCCTCCTCCTACCCTTCCCAGTTATTGTTATCTATTTTTCCACACTCTATCTCCATGTGTTCAAACTGTTTAGCTCTCAGACATTCTTATGACTTCCTTCCACTGGTTGAGAATTACGAACCAAATAAAGAATAAACTGATCTAAATTCAATTACCTTAATGATTACATTTCTTTCTGCAAATTAAAATTTTTGGCATTTTGGTTTTATATGTCAGTTTCTGTGCCCTTGGTTAATGTGAGGCATGCTGAGAGTCAAATGACAAATATGTCAACGGACCTTAAATGGAGGTCACCTAGTCCAATACCCTGTTTAAGAATACCCTCTATTTTCCAACATTGGTTTAATCTGGTTAGTTTCTGTCTACTACCTGAGGATAACTGCACTGACAGCTGACCCCAGAAATAAAAGGAAAAAGAGTTGCTTTTAGAACTCCAGTCTCTCCTTCAAAAGCTAAGCAAACTTGAGTAGGTACTTCAGCGAAAAGCTACATTAAAAATGCAGTGAGAGAAGACAGATGGCTCAGAGGAAAATGGGCAAAAGGACCCAAGTGGGCACTTTGCAAAAATCAAAATGACTAATAAACATATGAAAAGGAACACAGCCTCATTAGCCAGCGGGGAAATACAAATTAAACAAAAAAATAGTAAACACTCAGCAGAATGACAAAAATGAGAAAGCCAGACACTACTAAATGCTGGCAAAGACATAGATTAATGAGAGCTTGATTACACTGGGGGGAGAGAAAATTGGAAAGCCAGTTTGGAAAACAGGCATCATAAGCATTCCCAGTAATTTTACTTCTTATTCCTACAGAAACTTTTGCATGTATGCGGGTGAATTTATGTTCACAGCAATGCTGTTTACATAAGCAACTAAATTGGAAATCACTCAAAAATCAATTAAAGGTATAAAATGGACAAACAGTGATAGACGAATAAAATTAAATACTATAGGCCCCACATAGTGGCTCAAGCCTGTAATCCCAACACTCTGGGAGGCTGAGATGGGCAGATCGCTTGAGCCCAGGAGTTTGAAACCAGCCTGGGTAACATGGCAAAACCCCGTCTCTATAAAAAATACAAAAATTAGCCAAGCCTGGTGGCACACAGGCGTGGTGGCCTATGGTCCTAGATACTCAGGAGGCTGAGGAGAGAGGATCACCTGAGCCAAGGGAGGTTGAGGCTGCAGTGAACCATGGCTGCGCCACTGCACTTTACCTGGGCAACAGAGTGAAATCCTGTCTCAAAAAAAAGAATATTTTTAAAAAACAAAATTCAATACTATATAGCTGAAAATAAGCTACAGCTGCATATAATATGGACAAATTTCATAAATGTATTAAGTAAAAGAAGCGAGAGGAAAAAAGGCAAACAATGTAATTCCACTTATATAACATTCAAAAATAGACAAAACTAAATTATACTTAGAGGTATGTTCATGTATGCTCAAACAATTTTTAGGAAGCAGGAAAATTATTATCACAAAAGAATGGGAGTAATTACCCCTAGCGGAGTAGTAACGTAGGAAAGAAGATATAGTGATTGGAGAAGGCGAACAGGGATTTCTGGAATGATGATGTCGTATTTCTTGACCTGGATAATGGTTATAAAGATGTCAACTTTAAAACTGTTCTTCAAACTGTACATTAGCTTTTACCTACTTTTCTACAGATATATCATGTCAAAAATGTTTTTAAAAAGAATCAAATAAACAAATTTACCCACTTTAAAATTCTACTGTAGACTAACCTTGCCTTTCCCCAAAAATCAGATATAAAACATCAATTTCTTAAGATAATGAGGTCTATATGGGAAGAAAGCCCCTTTAAGATTTAGTCCTGGATATCCTAAGGATTGGGGTGTACTGAATTAGGCCCTAGGTCTAAAGTTAGCTATGCCTGGCAAATAGAAGGTGTATGAAAAAGTATTTTTGGTTATTCAAAACCATATATTCTCAAAGTCCATGGAATATCTTGCTAGTGATTCCTCTTTGCATATGTGATTTACATTTTAAATATTCAATTATTATTCCCAGAATTCCTTATACCAACAGCTAAATTTTTTTAGATACTTTTTTTTCAATTTTCTGTACTCCTCAGATCAAAGTAAGTTGTTAGCATACATTTCCATTTTTAAGGTTTCTGCCTTACTGCTTTCAATTTCTTTTTTTCTTTTAGACAGGGTCTTGCTGTCACTCAGGCTAGAGTACAGTGGCATGAGCATGGCTCACTACAGTCTCAATTTCTTGGGCTCAAGCAGTCCTCCAACCTCAGCCTTCCAAGTAGCTGTAACCCCAAGTGCAGGCTACCACACCTAGCTAATTTTTAAA
Source organism: Homo sapiens (assembly GCF_000001405.40). NCBI lineage: Eukaryota > Metazoa > Chordata > Mammalia > Primates > Hominidae > Homo > Homo sapiens. The sequence continues at coordinate 71,006,650 of NC_000004.12, read as the reverse complement.
TTTTTTGTAGAGACGGGGTCACCCTATGTTGCCCAGGCTGGTCTTGAACTCCTGGGCTCAAGCGATCCTCTGGCCTCAGCCTCCCGAAGTGCTGGGATTGGCTGCTCTGCCTATGGAGTAGCCATTCTTTATTGCTTTACTTTCCTAATAAACTTGCTGTCACTTAAAAAAAAAAAAATTCCAGGATTACATGCATAAACCACCACACCTGGCCTTGCTTTCAATTTCAATTCTCATTTCTCCAGAAACGAAAATCTTAGCAACGTCTCTCTCACACATACAACCATACATTTTGGTATTTAAAAAAATGACACTGAACTCTGTCATTCTCTTTCTTCCTCATTTGCAGTGCAGAACGGTAAAATGCTGCAAAATTACAACTTCTGCCCAGAGTGAAAGTCTGGCAAGAATGAAAGTAAAAAGAAATGAGAGTAAATGACAAAAGGCTTGAAAGGTAAAATTCAGTTACTGAATAGTAGTTTTTCTTTTTCTTATTTGCTTTTTTTTTTTTTTTTTTGGTGTTTTTGTTTTTTCTGTTTTTTTTTTTTTTGAGATGGAGTGCAATGGCGCGATCTCGGCTCACTGCAACCTCCACCTCCCGGGTTCAAGCAATTCTCCCGCCTCAGCCTCCTGAGTAGCTGGGATTACAGGCGCCCACCACCACGCCCAGCTAATTTTTGTATGTTTAGTGGAGACAGGGTTTCACCATGTTGGCCAGGCTGGTCTCGAACTCCTGACCTCAGGCGATCCACCTGCCTCGGCCTCCCAAAGGGCTGGGATTACAGGTGTGAGCCACCGCACCCGGCCTTATTTGCTTGTTTTTAAACAAAATGTGAAAAGACACTGAAGGGTTGGGCATAGTGGCTCAGGCCTGTAATCCAAACATTTTGGGAGGCTGAGGCAGGCGGATCACCTGAGGTCAGGAGTTTGGGCCCAGCCTGACCAACATGGAGAAACCCCATCTCTAGTAAAAAAAATTAGCCAGGCATGGTGGCCCATGCTTGTAATCCCAGCTACTTGGGAGGCTGAGGCAGGAGAATCGCTTGAACCCGGGAGGCGGAGGTTGTGGTGAGCCAAGATCGAGCCATTGCACTCCAGCCTGGGCAACAAAAGCGAAACTCCATCTCAAAAAAAAAAAAAAATTAGAAAAGACAATGAAGGAATTTAATTTGCTGTTAGATTTTTTAAAACTTTTATTATTTAACTTTTTAAAAACTTTTAGATTCCCAGGCAAGATGGCCAAATAGGAACAGCTCTGGTCTGCAGCTCCCAGTGAGACCAATGCAGAAGACGGGTGATTTCTGCATTTCCGACTGAAGTACCCAATTCATCTCATTGGGACTGGTTATACAGTGGGTGCAGCCCACAGAGGCCAAGCAGAAGCAGGGTGGGGCATCGCCTCACCTGGAAGGTGAAAGGGGTGGGGGAACTCCCTCCCCTAGCCAAGGGAAGCCTTGAGGGATGGTGCTATCCAGCCCAGATACTAGGCTTTTTCCCACAGTCTTCACAACCCGCAGACCAGGAGATTCCCTCGGGTGCCTACACAAGGGCCCTGGGTTTCAAGCACAAAACTGGACAGCCATTTGGGCAGACACGGAGTTAGCTGCAGGAGTTTTTTTTCATACCCCAGTGGTGCCTGGAATGCCAGCGAGACAGAACCGTTCACTCCCCTAGAAAGGGGGCTGAAGCCAGGGAGCCAAGGGGGCTGAAGCCAGGGAGCCAAGTGGTCTTGCTCAGCAGATCCCACCCCCACGGAGCCCAGCAAGCTAAGATCCACTGGCTTGAAATTCTCACTGCCAGCACAGCAGTCTGAAGTCAACCTGAGACACTGAAGCTTGGTGGGGGGAGGGGTGCCCGCCATTACTGAGACTTCAGTAGGTGGTTTTCCCCTCACAGTGTAAACAAAACCACCTGGAAGTTCAAGCTGGGCAGAGCCCACCACAGCTTGGCAAACCCCTGAAGCTAGACTGCCTCTCTAGATTCCTCCTCTCTGGGCAGGGCATCTCTGAAAGAAAGGCAGCAGCCCCCGTCAGGGACTTACAGATCAAACTCCCATCTCCCTGGGACAGAGCATCTGGGGGAAGGCGTGGCTGTGAGTGCAGCCTCAGCAGACTTAAACAATCCTGCCTGCTGGCTCTGAAGAGAGCAGTGGAACTCCCAGCGCAGCGCTCAAGCTCTGCTAAAGGACAGGCAGCATCCTCAAGTGGGTCCATGACCCCCATGCCTCCTGACTAGGACACAGCTCCCAGCAGGGGTCGGCAGACACCTCATATAAGAGAGCTCTGGCTAGCCTCTGGCAGGTGCCCCTCTGGGACAAAGCTTCCTGAGGAAGGAGCAGGCAGCAATCTTTGCTGTTCTGCAGCCTCCGCTGGTGATACCCAGGCAAACAGGATCTGCAGTGGACCTCCAGCAAACTCCAGCAGACTTGCAGCAGAGGGGCCTGACTGTTAGAAGGAAACTAACAAACAAAAAGCAATAGCATCAACATCAACAAAAAGGACAACCACGCAAAAACCCCATCTGAAGTTCACCAACATCAAAGACCAAAGGTAGATAAATCCACAAAGATGAAGAAAAGCCAGTGCAAAAAAGCTAAAAATTCCAAAAACCAGAATGTCTTTTCTCCTCCAAAGGACCACAACTCCTCGCCAGCAAGAGAACAAAGCTGGATGGAGAATAAGTGTGACGAATTGACAGAAGTAGGCCTCAGAAGGTGGGTTAATAACAAACTCCACTGAGCTAAAGCAGCACGTTCTAACCCAATGCAAGGAACTAAGAACCTTGATAAACGGTTACAGGAACTGCTAACTAGAATAACCAGTTTACAGAAGAACATAAATGACCTGATGGAGCTGAAAAACACAGCATGAGAACTTGGTGAAGCATACACAAGTATCAATAGCCGAATCGATTAAGTGGAAGAAAGGATATCAGAGATTGAAGAAAAACTTAATAAAAATAAAGCGTGAAGATAAGATTAGAGAAAACAGAATGAAAAGGAACAAACAAAGCCTCCCAAGAAATATGGGACTATGTGAAAAGACCAAACCTACGTTTGACTGGTATACCTGAAACTGACGAATGGAACCAAGTTGGAAAACACATTTCAGGATTATTATCCAGGAGAACTTCCCCAACCTAGCAAGACAGGCCAACATTCAAATCCAGGAAATACAGAAAACATCACAAAGATGCCCTTGAGAAGAGCAACGCCAAGACACATAATCGTCAGATTCACCAAGGTTAAAATGAGGGAAAAAATGTTAAGCGCAGCCAGAGAGAAAGGTCGGGTTACCCACAAAGGGAAGCCCATCAGACTAACAGCAGATCTCTCGGCAGAAACCCTACAAGCCAGAAGAGAGTGGGGACTAACATTCAACATTCTTAAAGAAAAGAATTTTCAACCCAGAATTTCATAACCAGTCAAACTAAGCTTCATAAGTGAAGGAGAAATAAAATCCTTTACAGACAGGCAAATGTAGAGGGATTTTATCACCACAAGGCCTGCCTTACAAGAGCTCCTGAAGGAAGCATTAAATATGGAAAGGAAAAACCGGTACCAGCCACTGCAAAAACATACCAAAATGTAAAGACCATCGACACTATGAAGAAACTGCATCAACTAACAGGCAAAATAACCAGCTAGCATCATAATAACAGGATCAAATTCACACATAACAATATTAACCTTAAATGTAAATGGGCTAAATGCCCCAGTTGAAAGACACAGAGTGGCAAATTAGACAGAGTTAAGACCCATCAGTGTGCGGTATTCAGGAGTCGCATCTCACATGCAAAGACACACAAAGGCTCAAAATAAAGGGATGGAGGAAGATTTACCAAGCAAATGGAAAGCAAAAAAAAGGCAGGGGTTGCAATCCTAGTCTCAGATAAAACAGACTTTAAATCAATAAGCATGAAAAAAAGACAAAGGGCATTACATAATGGTAAAGGGTTCAATGCAACAACAAGAGCTAACTATCCTAAATAGATATGCACCCAATACAGGAGCACCCAGATTCAAAATGCAAGTTCTTAGAAACCCACAAAGAGACCTAGACTCCCACATAATAACAGTGGGAGACTTTAACACCCCACTGTCAATATTAGATCAACAAGACAGAAAATTAACAAGGATATTCAGGACTTGAACTCAGCTCTGGACCAAGCAGACCTGAAAGACATCTAGAGAACTCTCCACCCCAAATCAACAGAATATACATTATTCTCAGTACCACAGTGCACTTACTCTAAAATTGACCACATAATTGGAAGTAAAACATTCCTCAGCAAATGCAAAAGAATGGAAATCATAACAGTCTGTCAGACCACAGTGCAATCAAATTAGAACTCAGGATTAAGAAACTCACTCAAAACTGCACAACTACATGGAAACTGAACAACTCCTGAATGACTACCGGGTAAATAACGAAATTAGGGCAGAAATAAATAAGTTCTTTGCAACCAATGAGAACAAAGACATAACGTACCACAATCTCTGGGACACAGCTAAAGTAGTGTTTAGAGGGAAATTTATAGCACTAAGTGCCCACATGAGAAAGCAGGAAAGATCTAAAATCGACACCCTAACATCACAATTAAAAGAACTAGAGAAGCAAGAGCAAACAAATTCAAAAGCTAGCAGAACACAAGAAATAACTAAGATCAGAGCAGAACTGAAGGAGATAGAGACACGAAAAACTCTTCAAAAAATCAATGAATCCAGAAGCTGGTTCTTCGAAAAGATTAACAAAATAGATAGACCACTAGCCAGAATAATAAAGAAGAAAAGCGGGAAGAATCAAATAGACACAATAAAGGATCACCACTGATCCCACAGAAATACAAACTACCATCAGAGAACACTATAAACACCTCCACGCAAATAAACTAGAAAATCTGGAAGAAATGGATAAACTCCTGGACACATACGCCCTCCCAAGATTAAACCAGGAAGAACTCTGGTTTAATGAACAGACCAATAAAAAGTTCTGAAATTGAGGCAATAATATCCTACCAACCAAAAAAAAGCCCAGGACCAGATGGATTCACAGCTGAATTCTACCACAGGTAGAAAGAGGAACTGGTACTATTCCTTCTGAAACTTCCAAACAATAGAAAAAGAGGGACTCCTCCCTAACTCATTTTTTGAGGCCAGCATCACCCTAATACAAAAACCTGGCAGAGACACAACAAAAAAAAGAAAATGTCAGGCCAATATCCCTGATGAACATCGATGCGAAAATCCTCAATAAAATACTGGCAAACCGAATCCAGTAGCACATTAAAAAGCTCATCTACCACGATCAAGTCGGCTTCATCCCTGGGATGCAGGGCTGGTTCAACATACTCAAATCAATAAAACATAATCTATCACATAAACAGAACCAATGACAAAAACCGCATGATTATCTCAATAGATGCAAAAAAGGCCTTCAATAAAATTCAACATCCCTTCATGCTAAAAACTCTCAATAAACTAGGTATTGATGAAATGTATCTCAAAATAAGAGCTATTTATGACAAACCCACAGCCGATACCATTCCCTTCAAAAATCGGCACAGGATAAGGATGCCCTCTCTCACCTCTCCTATTCAACATAGTATTGGAAGGTCTGGCCAGGGCAATCAGGCAAGAGAAAGAAATAAAGGGGATTCAGATAGGAAGAGGGGAAGTCAAATTATCTCTGTTTGCAGATGATGACTGTATATTTAGAAAACCCCATCATCTCAGCCCATAATCCCTTATGGTGACAAGCAACTTCAGTAAAGTCTCAGGATACAAAATCAATGGGCAAAAATCACAAGCATTCCTATACACCACTAACAGACAGAGAACCAAATCATGAGTGAATTCCCATTCACAATTGCTACAAAGAGAATAAAATACCTAGGAATACAACTTACAACGGATGTGAAGGACCTCTTCAAGGAGAACTACAAACCACTGCTCAAGGAAAGAAGAGAGGACACAAACAAATGGTAAAACATTCCATGCTCATAGATAGGAAAAATCAATATTGTGAAAATGGCCATACTGCCCAAAGTAATTTACAGATTCAATGCTATTCCCATCAAGCTACCATTGACTTTCTTCACAGAATTAGAAAAAACTACCTTAAATTTCATATGGAACCAAAAAAGAGCCCGTATAGCCAAGACAATCCTAAGCAAAAAGAACAAGGCTTGAGGCCTCATGCTACCTGACTTCAAACTATACTACAAGGCTACAGTAACCAAAACGGCATGGTATTGTACCAAAACAGAGCTATAGACCAATGGAACAGAACAGAGCCCTCAGAAATAATACCACACGTCTACAACCATCTGATCTTTGACAAACCTGACAAAAACAAGCAATGGGGAAAGGATTCCCTATTTAATAAATGGTGCTGGGAAAACTGGCTAGCCATATGCAGAAAACGGAAACTGGACCCCTTCCTTACACCTTATACAAAAATTAATTCAAGATGGATTAAAGATTTAAACATAAGACCTAAAATCATAAAAACTCTGAAGAAAACATAGGCAATACCATTCAGGACATAGGCATGAGCAAAGACTTCATGACTAAAACACCAAAAGCAGTGTTAACAAAAGCCAAAACTGACAAATGGGATCTAATTAAACTAAGGAGCTTCTGCACAGTAAAAGAAACTATCATCCAAGTAAACAGGCAACCTACAAAATGGGAGAAAATTTTTGCAATCTACCCATCAGACAAAGGGCTAATATCCAAAATCTACAAGGAACTTAAACAAATTTACAAGAAAAAAAAACAAACAACCCAATCAGAAAGTGGGCAAATGATATGAACAGACACTTTTCAAAAGAAGACATTTATGCAGCCAACAAACATGAAAAAAAGCTCATCATCACCAGTCATTAGAGAAATGCAAACCAAACCCACAATGAGATACCATCTCACACCAGTTAGAATGGTGATCATTAAAAAGTCAGGAAACAACAGATGCTGGAGAGGATGTGGAGAAATAGGAATGCTTTTACACTGTTAGTGGGAGTGTAAATTAGTTCAACCACTGTGGAAGATAGTGTGGCGATTCCTCAAGGATCTAGAACCAGAAATACCATTTGACCCAGCCATCCCATTACTGGGTATATACCCAAAGGATTATAAATTATTCTACCATAAAGACACATGCATATGTATGTTTACTCCAGCGCTATTCACAATAGCAAAGACTTGGAACCAACCCAAATGCCCATCAATGATAGACTGGATAAACAAAATGTGGCACATATACACCAAAGAATACTATGCAGCCATAATAAAAGAATGAGTTCATAACCTTTGCAGGGACATGGATGAAGCTGGAAACCATCAATCTCAGCAAGCTAACACAGGAACAGGAAACCAAACACCGCATGTTCTAACTTGTAAGTGGGAGTTGAACAATGAGAACACATGGGCACAGGGAGGGGAACATCACACACCAGGGCCTGTCGGTGGGGTAGGAGGCAAGGGAAGGGTTAGCATTAGGAGAAATACCTAATGTAGATGACGGGTTGACGGGTGCAGCAAACCACCATGGCATGTGTATATCTACATAACAAACCTGCACGTTCTGCACATGTATCCCAGAACTTAAAGGATAACAACAAAAAAAGAAATTTTTATGAAAAAGAAAACTTTTATACTTTACTTAAAGTGCATAAATCTTGAATGCATAGTTTGATAAATTTTACTTTCCTTTTTTTTTTTTTGTTGAGACAGTGTCTCATTCTGTCACCCAGGCTGGAGCACAGTGGCGCCATCTCAGCTCACTGCAACCTCCGCTGCCTGGGTTCAAGAAATTCTCCTACCTCGGCTTTACAAGCAGGTGGAATTCAGGTGCCCACCACCACGTTCAGCTAAGTTTTGTATTTTTAGTAGAGACGGCATTTCACCATGTTAACGAGGCTGGTCTTGAACTCCTCACCTCAAGTGATCCGCCCGCCTCAGCCTCCCAAAGTGCTGGGATTACAAGCGTGAGCCACCAACCCCGGCCTCAATGCATGTTTAAACATATAGTCACCCCTCAGTAACCTCAAGAATTGATTCCAGGTTCCACACAGATACCAACATCCACATATACTCAAGTCCTTTATGTAAAATGGTGTAGTATCTGCATATATCCTCCCAAATAGTATAAATCATCTCTAGATTACTTATAATACTTAATACAATGTAAATGCTATATGAACAGTAATCCTTTATTATTTGTATTTTTTTGTATTATTTCTTTCTGAATATTTTCTATTCATGATTGGTTGAATCCATATCAATCTGAAACCCATTGATATGGAGAGCCAACTGTATATATATCCATGTAACCACCACCTAGATGAAGATATATACCTAAAGCGAGATTTGAAAGTTTTATTGAAAAAGAAAAAGAAAAAGAGATTAAGTACTACTGCTCCTCTAAACCAAGAGGCTTTTATCTACTTAAATTTTATTTTCATACCTCAAATTCATCTTGAGTACTTTGAACATTGCACCATCTGGCAACAGGTTCAGGAACCACTTCCCAATCTTCACACAATTGTTTAAGGATATTCACAAATGTTGACTTCCCTGCAGCTGTTGTGAGGAAAGATAAAATTGAGGAAGAAAAGTTGTCAGGAAAAAAAGATGTCAAGTAGTCATTAGCTTTTGCAAGATTTACAATAGCAAGCAACATAAAAAGCCCAAAACATTCAACTTTCTAAACTTTCTCTTCATATTTCTTTAGAAGAAAATGAAAAGGCTCCCTGCCCAATTTCATTAAGCACATTTGTTTTTTATTACGTTTAGTTTAACAATATATTATATTTAATAGTAGGGACAGTCTTGACCTAGAAGTAATACTCCTAATGGCCACCACACCCTTTATATCTGAAGTCACCAAATGTGGTTGTATTAGACATCTCTGGTTAGCATAATGTTCTCTCTCTTTCCCTGTGTGTGCGTGCACACACACACAGATGAACATATAAATAACTTCAATATACTTACAAGCAAAGCTTCCTCTTCCTTATAAATTAGATCCATGGGGAGTAGAAAGAACTTACCTTTGACTTGCAGAACTATATTTAAATCTAGGACATTAGACAGGGCAATAGAAAAGAAGAAAAACCTGGAAGAACTTTAAAGAATTACACACAGAGAAAAAACAGGAGCGAGGCAGTAAAGAAGGTGACACAGGTAGACAGTTTAGAAGAAAAACACAAAGTAAACTGTATCCAGAGGAGAGGAGAAAAACTTTTAACGATAAACTGGATAACAGTGAGATTTAATCATGGTAAAAACACTGGCCACCAAAATTTAGTATGGAGAGTGTAAGCTTAGGGACTGTACAGCATTTAGAAGAATGTTAAGTGGAAGTGAAAGCATATAGAAAGAACACCCCACATTCACTGAGCTAGATGGAAGAGGGAAAGGAGAACATGATGTTCAGAAATAGCACCCAAGGAACAAATAAAAAAATTAGGCATCCACCAGAGTCTGAAAGCACTTAAGGCTACAGCATTCAACTTTCTTCTGACACTGCTTACAAGCAGAAAAATTCATATGGTCATACTTAAAAAGTCTAAGAGTAATAACAGTTACATTTAGTTCAAGCAGAGTAATAACAGCTAGAGTTCCCAATCACACTAACACATCTAGTTCCTTAACTTATTGGGGCAAAGTGGGAGCTAGAAAATAAGCTAATTAATAAATTAATTTTCTATGAAGGCAAAGGAGAACAAGAACCAAAGACACTGATGTTAATACTTTAAAAAGTCATGGAAACTAACAGAATTCCTAATGCCAAGCAGGCATTATAATGCTGAAAGTCATTCTGAACAGACTATTAAGATGAGAAGCAGGTAAGTCCTCCATCAATCTAACATAAGGGAACATTTGAGTAACACAGAACATAAGAAGATGGGTTATATAAATATAAAACTAAAACGACCAAGTAAAGTTCAAATTCTAGGAAAAATAGAGGAATTGCAAAATAGTTTACGCACAGCTTAACAATTTGTGCATTTACAGCTTATTTGGATCTGGCAAATAAGGTGAAGGAGACATGAACAAAAGTGCAAGACCAATAATGAACAGTAACTAACAAAGTCTCAGTGTCAGGGAGACGAAAAATGGCAAGGAACATGCTCCATCTAAACACCAATTGTTGTCATACAGAAATGCAGGCCCGGTGTTAACAGATCTTCAGATTTTTCAAAAGAAGCCAAGAATCTAATTGTTTATGGGAAATCTCAAAACGTTTTCGAGTTAGCAACAAATTTAATTTTTTTTTCTTTAGACACAGGGTCTCACTCTGTAGCCCAGGCTGTAGGGCAGTGGCACAACCACAGCTCACGGCAGCCTCAAACTATAGGTCTCAAAGATCTCCACCTCAGCCTCCTGAGTAGCTAGGACTAAACGTGCATGCTAACACAACTGGCTTTTTTTTTTTTTTTGAGACTCTGTCACCCAGGCTGGGGTGCAGTGGTGCCATCTCAGCTCACTGCAACTTCTGCCTCCCACATTCAAGTGATCCTCCCACATCAGCATCAGCCGCCTGAGTAGTTGGAGCTACAGGCGTGATCCACTGTGCCTGGCCTAATTTTATTTTTATTTTTCTTAGAGACTAGTTCTCACTATGTTGCCATGCTAGTCTCAAACTCCTGGCCTCAAGCAATCCTCCTGCCTCAGCCTCCCAAAGCACTGGGATTACAAGCTTGAGCCACTGGCCAGTAAAATTTTTTTTCAACCTGTGCAGGCCAATATTGTGCAATTGCAGGCTATCAGTTCACAACTACTTTCAGTGTAGGTAAAGGCAAAATCAGTGAAGAATTTTAAGCAGGGGATAACACATGACATTTGCATACAAAAAGACCGTTGCAGAAGTAGTTAAGAGAAACTGGAGATGGGATGATATATTAGGAAATTATTTCAGCTGCTGAAAAGATTAAAGATGCTTTGAGGAAATATTTCTAAATATGATGCTACCTAACTGGATTGGAGAGAGGGAAAGGGGATGAATGTATTGTGGTATTGATCCGAGGGGTTATTCATTCAACTTTACTGTTTTGTTTCTGTGTTTTTAACAGAGTCTTGCTCTGTCACCCAGGCTAGAGTGCAGTAGTGTGATCATGGCTCACTGTGGCCTTGATCTTTGGGCTCAAGCAATCCTCCTGCCTCAGCCTCCTGAGTAGCTGGAGGCACACCAACACATGCAACTAATTTTTTAATTTTTTTGTGGAGATGAGTTCTCACTATGTTGCCCAGGCTGATCTGGAACTCCTGGACTCAAGTGATCCTCTTGCCTAAGCCTCCCCAAATCCTGGGATTACAAGTATGAGCCTCCATGCCCTGCCTCAAATTTACTTTTCAGATGGCTTTGTTCAGCCACTTTCTCCTGTCTTTATATATGGTCTTCTTTATTCAGTAAGCAGCTGTCAGAGATTCCATACTAGTAAACATGCACCCTCAAATAACTTACATTGCTAATTATATCATATGGTCTTTCTACTGGTGCTTTAATTCTGGAGCAATGAAATAAGAAGTCCTCTTTGAGAATGCAGTTTTTCTATTCATTTGAATGCTTAAAGCATCTGCTTGCCTGGCCTTTTTCAAGAAGGTACAGTGCTTTGAATGTGGTAAGAATTTTAAAAAATTTGCTGTATGCATGAATGACCAGCACCCAACCTGGAGCTAAAAAAATTTTTTTTTAAATCTATCAAAACAGGAAGTTTCAGGGGTAGGTTTCCTGTGGTTGGAGATACAGAAGAATCGGACGTTGGTGTGTATCTTGCAAAGTGACAGGCATGGCCTAGTCTGCCCCCCATCTGAGTTAACAGAAACGTTAGTGGTCTTTGAATCATAATCCAATGTTTACTTGGATGTGGAGTAAGGGGTGAGGAACTCCATGCTATTAAGATCATTAAAGACCTCTTTGCTTGTACTCGAATGTTTCGAGTTTCGTTAATAATATAGCTAAAACAATGCTTCGCTAATAATATAGCTAAAAAACTGTAAACAACCCTGAGGTCCACAACTAGAAAATGGATAAACGATGGTACATCCATGCAATGGAATACTACTCAGCAATAAAAAGAAACAAACTACAGACACAAGTAACATGAATGAATTTCAAAAGCATTATGCTAAATGAAAGACGCCAGACACAAAAGGCGATATAGCCTATGATTCCATTTATATGGCATTCTGGAAAAGGCAACACTTGCAGGGATAGAAATCAAATCAGTGGGTGCCAGGGAATAGGAAGGGTGGAGGGGGCTGAATACAAAGGAGCAGGTAGGAACTTTCTAAGGTGATGAAAATGTTCTGTATCTCGATCATGGTGATAGCAAAAGGCATAATGTTTGTCAAACCTCATAGAAGAGTACACCTAAAAAGGGTGAATTTAATGTAAGTTACACCTCAAGAAATCTAATACCCTTCCCCCGCTTCCCTTTGCGAGTTCCCAACAAAGAGGGAGCAGAGGTTCAAAGCGCGCCTCACAGAGACCGCAGGCCTGGCGCCCAGTCTGACCCCGGGGACCGCAGTCACCCCGTGGAGCGGGAGGTAAGGGAAGGATGCTCTGGGTGGGAAAGGAAGCCGAGGCCGCGTCCACACCGCCAGGCTGGAGGGAAAGCCCTCACCGAGTTGCTGCAGAGAGATGCGGCGAAGGGAAGCTTCAGCCACTGCCGCGACACCCCAGCCTTGCGTCCCACATTTCCGGAGGCTCCTTACCGATGTTCCCTTCGATGGAGATTTTCTTGATGCGGGTCCCCTCAGAGCTGGCTGAGAAAGACGGGCAGCTTCTCTTGGGCGGGGTGGCCATTCCTTAGTCTTGTGGCGGCCCAGAGCTCGTCCGGCAAAGAGGGCTGGGAGGCGGCCACGGGTGCGCGCACTGGAGCTCGCGGCGCCGCTAAGCCAGATCCTGACCTGCCGGGTCAGCTAGTGAGCTCACCGGCCCGCCGGCGGGTGTCGGGGTTTGACTTTGGCGCGCGGAGGCAGCTGAGGACACTGGCGGGCCTGCGGGGCGGCCCCGCCCTCCTCAAGCCGCGCTCCCTAGCTGCCCCTCGGCCCTCGCCCGCCTCCAGCGCGGGTTCCCGCGTGCGCGCTCCGCACGCCAGGTCACGTGAAGGCCGGGGCGGGGCCGCGCGTGTGGCGGAAGGCCTCTACCCCAAGCAGCCAGGCGCCCGGGCAGGGCGCGGGAAGAGGTTCCGGAGTCGGGTGGGGAGGAAGGGTGGACCCCAGAGGCCTGAGGGCGCTGGAGGGCAGAGGGCGTCACCTGCAGTGGGCCGTGCCAGGCTTTGGAAAACCCGCCTCTCTAGTGGGCCTGTTGGAGATGAACAGACGCGTCTGGACAGAACTGGATAGACTTAAAGCTTTGAACTCATCTGGGGAGAAGGCACTGTGTGGTAGGAAAATCAAATGGATTTACTCTGGCTTCTCAGCCTAGAGGAAGACTATCAGGCGAAGTGCCGTCCTTGGGAATCGCACTGCCCACTTAGAGAGCCAGGCTGTTTTCTTCTATGTGCTTTTCATTAATTAACGAAGTCTAGTGCCAGAAATACCGTCATTAGCCCATTTACCTGCCAGTGGGAAAACAGGCACTGAGAGGCTGCTTGTTCCAAGTGTCAAAGTCAGTAAGTGAAACTGGGATGGGAATTTAGGTAGTCAGATGCCACCCACAGGAGGCCTTTCCAGATCTCCCATACCGCTTTCCATTTGATTTGGATGCACGACCATGCTGTATAGAAGTTAGCACGTTGGGTAGGTAGGTTTCTGTTCAGCTGTTAACTCAGCCTGCCCGACACCTGGCACATAGGTAACAAAATGTACTGTATGTTGAATTTTTGAATGCCTACTCATGTGCCATGTACTCTGCTAGAATACTCATCTAGATGGGACAAATGCAGTGTAGGATTTGTCCCAGCTAGATGAGTGCATTTTTAGTCAGGGTAAAGACCTAATGAGGCAAGAGAATAGGGAATTAGGGTAACCAAGGGTTAAGGCATAAGCAAAAGAACAGCAGGTGCAGCAATTTCTAGGCAAGACTAGGCAGCATACAGGCCACACCTTCACTCCTGTGATTACAAGACAGAAGTTTCCACATCGCCTCTGATTGTCCTCGGCCATCTCCATTTCAGCCTCTGATTGGTCGCAGGCCAATCCTTCATAGGGTGCAACCAATTGGACGACTGTAAAGGGCACCTAGGGATTTACCAAATTCTTTTAGCCTAGTAACCCTTAAGAACACTGCAATTGGGACTCTTGAAGCACTTGGTTCGCTTCAATAAATTTGTGCTTTTGTTACTTCGTTCTTTTGTTGTTTTGTCTTTCGTTGCTTCTTTTGTTGCTTTGTTTCTACGTTTTGTTCAATTCTTTGTTCAACACGCCAAAAACCCAGACAACTCAGTCAAGACTTCCCATCCAGTAACACTAATAAACCGGATATTACCCAGTCTGGAAGTTATCTGGTCCAAATTGTCTACAGAAACCAAAGGCCTTGCTATTCTTTTTTACATTGCAACTATCATCAGACCTGAAATGCATCTAAATGTGTAGCCAGAAGGGGAAAACGGTGACTCCATCCTCAGAAATAAAGAGCAGAAATTAAAATGTGAATCCTCGGGGATCACATTTTCCAGGATTAAACAGCAAGAATCATTCTATGTAACTGCCCTATATTATTCTGTTATGCAATTATTTTGTATATATTACTTTTACTTATCCCTATAGTGATTAATAGCAAGATCCTAGGAATATAAGAGGCCTGAAGAGTTGTCATCAGGTATAGCAAGGAAGTTGGGAGAAAGGTGCTGCGGAAGCTAATAGGTATCACATTTCACAGCCAAGCTTGGGGGAAAACTCATGAAATGGTAAGAGTACTGGCAGCTACCGAGAGGAGGAAGGCAAGTCTCTTGAGACCTTCAACAGGAAAGCAGAGCTGGTCCTGGATGGATGTCATAAAGAGGCTTGGGGTTAAGGAGTAGAAATCTCCAAGTGTGGTTTCCACAAAAAAGACCCACACAAGAAGTATCTTACAATGATGAAGAGTTTAAGCACTGGAAAATGAAAGATTTCAAACACCAGTTCTACCAGTTTCTGGCTGCAAAAACTTGAATTCATCTGAGCTTAAGAGTATACTTTGAAAAATACAAATGTGGGAGGCCGAGGCAGGTGAATCGCTTGAGCCCAGGAGTTTGAGACTAGCCTGGGCAACATGGCAAAACTCTTGTCTCTACAAAAAATAGAAAAATTAGCCAGGCGCCTGTAGTCCCAACTATTTGGGAGGCTGAGGTGGGAGAATTACCGAAGCCAGGGAGTCAAGGCTGCAGTGAGCCAAGATCATGCCACTGTACTCCAGTGAGATCCTGTCTCAACTAACAACAACAAAGTAAATGGGGGAAGCAAAGAATCTAGCTTTTTTGGCATTAAGTCCAGCATAATTTCCCATTTTCCTACATGACCTGGGGGTAACACAAGGAGAGAACAGAGAAAAGCACTTTTCAAAACATCTTGATTTTTGGTCCACAATCTCTTATCTAAAACCCTGGCAGCCAGATGTTTCAGAATTTAAAACTTTTAGAAAAGATTTTTAGAAAAGAAATTCTAAACTTTGGAACTGGCTGGACGCAGTGGCTCTTGCCTATAATCCCAGCACTTTGGGAGGTACTCTGGAATGCTTGAGCTCAGGAATTCGAGACCAACCAGGGAAACATGGCGAAACTAATAGAAAAAATACAAAAATTAGCTGGTTGTGGTGGCACACACCTGTGGTCCCAGCTACTCAGGAGGCTGAGGTGGGAGGATGGTTTGGGCCTGCAAAGTTTTAGCTTTAGTAAGCTATGATCGCGCCACTGCATGCCAGCCTGAGTGACACAGCAGCAAGACCCCGTCTCAATAATAAAATTTGGAATCGAAACTTTAGAAACGATACAGTGCATATACTGTATATTAATTATTAAGTAAGCACCCCCACTCCCCCTGCAGAGGTGTTAAATCAAATGCACTAATATTTTGCAGTGAAACAAAGAGTGTTAACATGAAGTGGGATAAAGACTATTAACATCTGGTCAGAATAAGTTTGCACTGAATTCAAAAAAAATACCTTTGGGGCCAAGCACGGTGGCTCACGCCTGTAATCCCAACACTGTGGGAGGCCGAGATGGACAGATTACCTGAGTTCAGGAGTTCGAGACCAACCTGGCCAACATGGCGAAACCCTGTCTCTACTAAAGATACAAAAACTAGCCGGGCGTGGTGGTGTGTGCCTGTGGTCCCAGCTACTCGGGAGGCTGAAGCTGGAGAATCGCTTGCACCCGGGAGGCGGAAGTTGCATTAAGCCAAGATCATGCCACTGCACTCCAGCCTGGATGAGAGTGAGACCCCGTCTCAAAAAAACAAACAAAAAAATTTTGGTTTTCTGAGCTTTTCAGGTTTTGAAACTGCAGATAAGAGACAGGATACAGCGCACCCAGCCAGTCATGATCGTGCTGCCACCTAATCCTTTCTTACCAGAAATTTTACTACTCCTTCAATTTGGGAATTTTCTCCTGTGGGAATTCTAGTGTAACTAAAGAATGAGACAGCGTTCTGACTGACAACATACAGGTTTATTAGGAAAACTAAATCAACCCAGAAAATAATAAAAAGCAGAAAAAATAAGAGACCCTGAACATTAAGTAGTGGTTACACAGCCCATGAGTTTGTCTACACAAACTCAACTACTTCTGTAAAATGATATTTATCAACTTAATAAGCTTGGTTATAAATTTCCCCTTGTAATCTTCATTAGTGCCTAGAAAACGGGGTACAGAAGCCATCATAAATGCAAGAGTGGGAGTCAGTGTGCTTCCTGCAAATCTGAAATCTGAAAGCAAAATAACATACTAGAAGAGCATAGGAGCCATCAGATGTATACAGCTTAGCAAAGAAAGCTGTTTTACTACATGCTTGTGAAGTGGACTGAGGTCATCAAGAAAATGTGACACTGTATTCATCATGCTGTAACAGGAGCATGTACAATTTCTTAGTAAAACTTCTACTAAACATGGTTGTTTAAACCTTAGAGGAATAATTAATTAGAATCTTTGTGTTGCAAAATGCTCATTGCAGATGTTATATAAGGGATTAACAACTTATAATACATTTAGTACAACAGAGGTAAATGAACCTAATTATCAAAATGTAGGTAATTTTACAATATATATTTCTTTACACACAATAAATGAATAACAGAGTGTTTTTATTTTTTTATTTTTTGAGACGGAGTCTTGCTCTGTCGCCCAGGCTGGAGTGCAGTGGCACAGTCCGCCTCTCGGATTCAAGCAATTCTCCTGCCTCAGCCTCCCGAGTAACTGGGACAACAGGCAAGCGCCACCGTGCCCGGCTAATTTTTTAATGTATTTTTTAGTAGAGATGGGGTTTCCCCACATTGGCCAGGCAGGTCTCAACTCCTGAGCTCGTGATCCGCCCACCTCGGCCTCCCTAAGTGCTGGGATTACAGGCGTGAGCCACCGCGCCCGGCCCACAGGGCGTTTTTAAAGCATGCAGACACAGTCCACAACAGCATTGGCTAGCATTTCAACTAGTCTTTCTCCCAAATACCATTAGTGACTTTGAGCAACTGTGGCTACTACCATTAAATATTCTTAACCTGAAGATTCAAACACAAATGCCTCTAACATAAATACTTCTGATACTCTGAGAAGACTTCTAAAATACACGTTTTGGCCAGGCGCGATGGCTCACGCCTATAATCCCAGCACTTTGGGAAGCCAAAGCTCATGGGTCACCTTAGGTCAGGAGTTTTGAGACCAGCCTGGCCAACATGGTGAAACCCTGTCTCTACTAAAAATACAAAAAATTAGCCGGACATAGTGGCATATGCCTGTAATCCCAGCTACTTGGGAGGCTGAGGCAGGAGAATCACTTGAACCCAGGAGGTGGAAGTTGCAGTGAGCTGAGGTCGTGCCATTGCACTCCAGCCTGGGCAACAGAGCAAGACTCCGTCTCATAAATAAAATAAAATAAAATACACATTTCCTTTTGGAACTTGGTAAATGATTCTCCAATATTATTAATATTCCTTAATGATCTGTAATGAAGACAAAATATTAAATAATAGCTTGGTGAAGAGGTCAACAAATGATTATTACTGTGCTAACTGTTCTCACTGTAATAGTATATATTATAGAAAACATACACCTGCATACTGCAGAATAAAGAAAAAAGTGAAAAAAGTAAAACAGAAACACTGGTTTCAAGTTCAGACACAGTAGGGTTTTAAAACCGTAATCCAAATCAGTGACTTGTACAATTTCTGAGCTTTAGTTTTCTAAGATGTTAAGACACTGGTTGTTGTGAACATTACAGAAAATAGTGCCTAACAAATTTTAAATGTTCAACATATTCCATATGCCATCAATATTTCCCTTGGAATGTGTTTAGTGTGGGAATGCCTATAGCAAAAATAAACAGTAATGCAAAGTCAGGATTCATGGCCAAACGTAACTATTTATTCATTTTTTTCTTATAAACATTGAGTTTCTTCTTTAAAAAAAAAAAAACACCTAGAATTTAAATATTTCCCATCCCATCACATACAAGTCTGTATACATTATTTACATCTTTTGAATAAAACATATTACAGATTTTCTGACATCAGTATCCCTTTTTAAACAAAAATGAAGCAATTAAACTTTGATCAGTAACAACTACAATTTGCATAATCCGGCACAGTTTGTAATATAGCGCCTATGTTGGATTTCATAACTTAGATGATTTTTCCCCTTCTAGTTACTTGATTATAAGAGAGAAACTGTCTCCATGAGAGTAGTTCCCTGTCTTTATGCACTCTTCTCAATACTTGCACAGTGTAAATGCCGCCCTTATTCTTCCATTACTTGGCACTGACAATATTCCTCTGCTTTTGTCTTCAGAAATGATTTCTATTTGAACTTTAAGTGTTCTCATATATACTGTATTCTCCTTCAACCCAGATTTCATGACACTGTTCCTAGTGTTAATTCTATGCAGTAAAAGTTAAACCTATAGGAAAAGTTCAAATAAAACATCAAGTAAGTGTTTCCTACAAGATTAGTGCCCTCACCACCCTGGTTATGCATGTACAATAATAAATACAAGTTAGTAGCTCCAAAAAAACTACTTTCCCTAAAAAGTCATTTCTGTCGAACAATTTAAGGAGCAAAGCATCCTTAAAATGAAAATGCACTAATCTTTTTTACAACCTGCACAATTAAGTATTTCAGAAAAACAAAAACTTGTGCAAAATGGTAAGAAACGCCCACCTATACAAATTTAATATTAAATCAGATGAGAACATGAATTTATAAGTAAAAAACAATTTAATATTAATAATATATAGAGAAATTAAATATTGAAATTTTAACTTTGTATCACTAATAATCTCAGCTTCAGTGAAATAATTTAAAAAAAGCTGTCAAACACTAATTTCCTAAATAAACTGAAACCTATGAATTGACAGTAAATACTTCAGAATCTCTAACAATGAAGACCTGCAAAATCAGCCTAATTATTTTCCAGTGTGTGTGTACACGCACAGTGGAAAAACATACAGCTGGAAAAAGCCAGTGATTTTACTATCTACCTTTGAGAACTATAGCCCATATTTTTCAATTATTTAGTTCTATATGCAGAAAAAGTTATTACATTTGCAAAACTCATTTTTGTATTTTCTCTCTTTTGTCAAAATGTGAATCAGTTCAGCTACAAGTGACAGACATACAGTGCAGTTTTATACCTTCAAAATGGATTATTCTCTGTGATCAGCCTATTAGGAAAGCCTTAAAAATTCAGAATCAACTGTGGTCAGAATTTTTGTTACATCTTCAAATTAAACTTTTCCATTAAATCTTAAGATAGCTTTACTGCTAAACATTTATCATATCATACACAATTAAGGTGATAGCTGAACAACAGTGATTTCCACGGTAAATTTTAATATTACAACAAAACTCTGATATTTAAGTTATTTAAGAGTAGTCCTTAAAGTGTTTCTAAGAATTGGTATATATTCTTTAATTTTAAAATAAGCTTAAAGTATAAATCTGTGTTTTTAAGAATTGGTAGATTCTTTAATATCCCAGATAAATTTCAAAATAAGGTAAGTTTTCTTATTGGTATGCAGTCACATTTCCAAATTATAAATATATTTTTGGTCCCACATCTTTTAAAAAGACATTAAAAGTTATAAATATATGAAAAGGTTATACAATTCTAAATATTTTGTGATATGTAGGCTTAAAACTCAGCATAATTAGTATATGAAACTTATTCCTATTTCTTTGTACAAAAATCTCCAGTCTTTTATTAAAGTCAAATTGTTCATCTGAGTGAAAACATTTAAAAAAAAATGGCAGTAAAGGCTGTTGTCTCCTTAAACTACTTCTATCTTAAATATTGGATCCACTTTTCCATAGTATCCATTCAATCAATACTATCCTACAGTAGTTAAAATTAAATTGAGAAGTTTTCATGAAAAGGAACAAAAATAGAAAACAAGTTCTAGAGAAAGGACTTGGTTTTTTTCCATTAGTATATCTAACTAAGGTAATTAAGGTAAGGTAATTAAGCTGAATGTTTTTAAAAAGTAAAACCTCCACATCCAAGTGATAATTTCCACTTCAAAATAGTGACATCAGGAAACTATTCTTTTATTCAATTATGCTACCAATGCTTAAAACATTCTCTTGTGCAAATTCGGAAATCATGGCACATTCCTTTGAACTTCCCTAATGGTTTAGCTCCAGAGAACAGCCAAATTTAAATTACAGTTGAGCTGATGATTAAGATAGGTCATACTGGCTGGCTGTGGTGGCTCACACCTGTAATCCCAGCACTTTGGGAGGCTGGGGAGGGCGGATCACTTGAGGTCAGGAGTTTGAGACCAGCCTGGCCAATATGTTGAAACCCCATCTCTACTAAAAATATGAAAATTAGCCAGGTGTGGTGCTGCCTGTAATCCCAGCTACTTGGGAGGCTGAGGCAGGAGAAATGCTTGAACCCAGGAGGTGGAGGTTGCAGTGAGCTGAGATCATGCCATTGTACTCCAGCCCGGGCAACAGAGCAAGACTCCATCTTAAAGAAATAAAAATAAAAAAAATAAAAAAAATTTAAAAAGGTCATATTAAGCTGCCAAAAGTGTTTAGTGTAACTAAAATGATGAAACTGATTTTCCTGCATAATAACAAACTGCTTTTCATGGTATGCTCTAGAACAGTTCCAAAAACATTATACTTTTGCAGTATAGCTGGAATAAACAGTGCTCCCAAAAGAACCACTCTGAAGATGAACTCTTATTTGGATGTTAAGGCATGACTTATTCACCTTAAAAAGAAAGTTCTACAACTCAATATTTGTATCTCACATATTCTACCATTTCAGTGGTTATCAAAACCTGTCTCAGAGAGGGGTAAACAAAAGTATAAATGAAATGTTGTTTTGCTATTTTCCCATAAGCAAGGAAAATGCTAATATATAAAATGGAGTCTGGTGGTTATATATGTAATATATAAATATCCACATCATCTCTATTTCCTGATAAGAGACTGTAGTGTTTTATCCATCCTGATAAGACAGGCAGTAACTCAGTCTGAGATATATTATACATAAAACGTATCTTCTCCTACCTAATACATTTTATGGTGACCATTTAGAATTTACAAATGACTAACAGAGGGAAGGTAGAAAGAGACTGCAATTAAAAGTCTTCCAATTTAAGGTAAATTAACCTCCAAAACCTCTACCAGCAACTAACATGCTTGTTAATTTAGTGCAGTCTAATGCCATGGTTTTTAAGAGAAAGGGAATAATCAAGTCAGCAAATGAAAGCCAGTAGCACCATCTACTGCTAATTAAAATATTTTCACTCTTTTTGTTATTAATTTCTCTCTACCACCACTACTCCATCAATTAAAGTAATTCCAAAACATTGCTTCGTATCAACATTTAACCAAAAAAAGCATTGTGTGTGACAATAATACTATGTTAACTTACTACTTTATATTTTATGGGATGCTTTTATCAAAGGATAAGAAAACCAACTGTTGCTTTATAGCTACGTATTAATATAGAGAGCAAGGGGGAAAATAATTATCTTGGTTACTTACAAATTAATTAAAGAAATCCAAAAAGAATCCAACAGACATTTATCAGCAAACTCTGCTGCAGAACAAAGCACTGATCCTTATATTTAAAAGGGCATCTTACTAACTTTCATGGGAACCAACCAAATCAACCTTTTATTACATCAGTTCTTTCACTTTCTGATTTTTTCCTTACTTGTAGCCATGTAACACCATGTGCAATGCCAGGCCTCTCCCCTAGAGAACTGCTATGCTTTGTTACCATATATACACATATATACATCTCCTTACTTCCCAGTGACTGTGATTAAAGAAATACTCTAAGCAGGCACCTGAGATTCTGGCACAGTGAAAACAAACTATCTACATATAGTGGGAAAGTAGGTCTTACTACTAAAAACAAGTACAGTGTACTACTGTATAAGGCTTGAAAGGGCAAGATTAATTTTTCACTATTCTCTCTATACTTGGCTATTGCAACTCCTTTTTTACTAGATTGATATGAAGTCAAATACAATATGGAAGACTGAGTAATTCTGTGCTTCATTTTCCTATATGGACAAGATTCAAAATCACCTCACAAATTTTATTTCTGAATCAACCCATAATGATTCATATTATCTATCTGAATACAAAAAGATTTAAGGAAATTAACTAGCTCTGACTGCAGTTTATAAATAAGCTTTACCAATAAATGTCCAAGATATTTAACTCTGCCAGGCTTTCCTGTTACTTCTACTGTTGGTACTTGGTAAATAATTGCTAGAAATGAAGTGGAGAAAAAGGCAGTTTCTAGTCAACATAATTGTAATGGCATTAAATTGTATCACTGCTCTACTTTAATGGCAAAACAAATTCATTTAATTTTAGATTCTTTTCTACTGAGTGTTTTTAATCTATACTATTTCAGAGCAAGCATTTCTTCCTAGATGTGAAAAAGGTATATGTTTCAACTGAAGGAAGGATATATATTTCTAACTGAAGAAAGATTTATCGAAAATGACAAAACTAAAACTGGATTTCTAAAAAGGGTATTTTCTAGAATAAAACTGAAGTGGAAAAATTAATATTTATTCTAAAAACTAAGTTTCTGAAATTGTTATTTATGGTAATAATTCACTAGAAAGTCATGGCGAATAAAATTTAGAAGTTAATAACTACTGAATTAGCATTTTTCATTATCTAATACTGCTGCAAAGAAAAACATTTCCTTTCAGGGTGGAAAAACCAGAAGTCAGAATGCTTCAAACTGGACCTATAATAACCAAAGAAGGTATGGTATCATCTTAAAATGACAGGCAAACATCAGCTCCATTCACTGAATGGAAATGCTAAGAAGTGATCAATTTCCCCCAACAGTCCTTAAATTCCATGTTTAATGTCTGTACCTAAAATTAATAATTTATTTTTAACTTCTCATGGAAGTTGATTCCTAAAAGGAAGTCTCTAAGACTTTGTTTATAAGTAATTGATTAAAATCTTCATGCCATTCTATTCAAAGGTTTTCAGACAAAACTTTCTAGAACTTGACTCCCCATCCCTAACTCCTCATACATACGAACATCTCCATGCCCCCAGCCAAATATACATTCCTATCCCCTTCTCTTCAAAGTAGAAGGGAATTCTGCAGACTTACGGCTCATTTGGCAATTACTAGGAAACCTCACAGTTCAGCATCACCTCTGAAGATGGCAATCCTATATATAACCTGAATTTTTACATCTACAGTGCAGTTAACATGTAGAAAGAAGCCAAAATGTAATACATTTCAACATCCTCAAGTTTCAGTATCACAGATATCAAGAGGTGGGAAAAGACCTGCTTGTAGAGCTTTAAGCATTGTTGAACGTAATATATTACCATCAATATAAAAAATAATTAAGAAATATTTTTTATGTTCTACATGCATACCTTTACAAATTCTGTTTCTTCAAAGCAGTAAAGGCTGGAAATCACCATTTTAGGTAAACTATGGCTTTTATCATAGATATGTTACAACATGCACCAGTAAGTGCCCTGGGTAGTAATCCTAATATTGTTTCAAGCCCTGTTCAGTTCTATATCTATGTTTTGCACCTCAGAAGTGAGCCTGCCAAGGCACTTAAAAACATAACTCTTTTGGGGACTTCATAAATGGGCCACAATTTATACCACACAGAAACCAATCCATCGGCAGTTCAATCAACAAGCACTTTCTTGCAGCACACAATATTATTAAAAAACTCCTCAAGTAACCAAAACCAAGTTTAAAAACACTAAGATAAATTTACCCTTATCAAGTGTATAGAGAATGGTTCTTGGCTTCCCCTAGCAATAGAATATGGTTTCACATAATCAGAATAAAGAAAAAGGAACCCAAACAAGCCCCCGCCCCCAAACCTAGGACAAAAACAATCCAGATAAAAACAAAATATAACAAAATCCCCAATACACTCCACACTGCTTCATTTGAGGAACAATTTGCACAGCTCTGCATCCTTTTATCTGTCTTTTGAGGTGAGTTTTTCAATCAGTTCTTGGAGTGGTGCAAGTTCTCTTCTATCAATAAGGTTGAATTCCTATGCATGATATAAAGAAAGGCAGAATAAATAGCAAAAACATTATTTGCATCTTATTCCAAAGTAAATTACCATGAACATTTGTTGGAAATTAGCTTTTGAAGTACATAAAAGTAGATTATTTTTTTCTTGTTCACTAGGTCTGTGTCTTGGGTAAATCACTTAAGCACTCCTGATGTTATGCTTTTACATCTGTGACATTAGGATAAATCCCCCTATCTCATAAAATTATTGTGGGGACTAAATGTGATACTGGATGTTAACTACTTCATGTAATGCCTGACACAAAGTAACAATAAATGGAAGTTGCTGCTTCCTGTTGAAAGGAATGATCTGGACACCATTTAAATACAGTTAACCAAGTAGACATAGACACACACACAAAACACTAGCATCTCAGGCAAATTCAGCATTATATGAAAAGCCAAAACCTGGTTACAAACTAACGTATCTGCAAGCTATCAAAAGATATGGTAGGAAAATAACACGAATATGGCTGAATCCACAAATGATAAATTAAAGTCCTGTGAAGAACAAATGAGAAAGCCTGAATTTAATTTGTGCTCCTTTAGAAATTCCACCCGTCATTCTGAAGTTCACTTCTGAATAGATTTCCCCTGAACTATAAACTATAAGGCTAGTAAATAGAGGCTTGTCTACACTTCTGATCTTCTGCCATGGTAAGGCATTCTTAGTTTCAATTTAATTCATTTATTAGCATCTATCATATGCCAAGCACTACAGTTAAATACTGGAGAGAAGCATTAGAGGATATTTAATAACAGGACCAAGCCCAAGATTTGTAGAGTCTGGGCCAAAAACACAAATGGGTATATATCATATGACTAAATTACTAAATTTTATATTAAGCTAGAATGTTGTTAAGTAAAACATGCTCTATCCTCCTACCTTAACAAATATACTTTCACAGCGACCAGGAGAACAGATTCAAACTTAGAATTCTCCAGACTCCTCAGGATTCTGCACTGGAAAGTAGTGACATGAGGAAAGCCAGCCCCAGGTGCCTAGCCCTCAGAAAACCTCCCTGCTTTTCCAACCCCATCCACCCTGCACCTCAAGAGGTCTCACATACGAGTGTGGACACTTTGGGTAATGTCCACATGCCCTCAGAAACAGCTGCCATCAGCAAACTCTCAGGCCTAGAGGTATACATATCAGAGACGGGACCCGCCCTCAAAAGAATGGAGCCCAGAAAAAGATGCATGGAGACCCTGGAAATACATTTTGGACCATGTGGACAGAGAATTCTGGGTTTCAGGTACCCAAGCAAGCAACAGAAGGGATCTAGGTAGGCATATTCTTAGCCCTATGGATTCCTCACTCTGTGGGGAGGGGTGCAGGCAGCAGAAGGACCAGAGCAGGTATCTCTAAATTGTGGGGCCCAAGGCAGGTGCCCCCCTTACTTAATCAAACAGTGATACTGTATAATGGACCTACCTTTAAGAAGCTCACAGTGTCCTGAGATACAAACAGAATCAGATGTGGTAAATGCTATGTATCAATCCCTTGCTATTTGCTAGGAGTTGGGAAACACAGTGTAAGATCACTGAGTCCAGTAAAATTAACCCTTCTGGAGGGAGAATATACTCTCTTAAACCACCACAACCTGAACTTTAGCAATCATGTTCTGCCTAAACCAAACACAGATGCAAACTTTAGGACAACATTTTCTTTGTTCCTGAGTTCTGGACATGGGATACCACAGTAAAGTAACTGTTGAGAGCAACAGTTTTGGCAAGTTACAATCTCCTAAAGTATGTTTATATAGGTAAAATGTGTGCCTTCAGTGTGAGGAGTGTGTACAGGGGGAAGATGGATACAAATTTCTTAAGAGAACAGGGGAAGTGGCAAAGGCATTTATAAATATATGCCTGTAGATATACAAAAACAACACGAATTCAAGATGTTTAATTGTTTATTCTCCTGATGACCATCTCCCCTTCTCAACCTCCAACAACAATAATAGCAACAATAAAAAACTGGTCAGCTCTTTTATTTCCACCTCTTTTTCATTTTTGCCTGTTATTTCTCTTATTATTAGAGCATGGTGAGAATACTGTCACTGCTCTTAGTCTGCATTTCTAAGGCCAGTTATTTGAAGACTAAAAAAAGAGGAAGTTAACTAGGAAGTCAGACCAAAGACTAATGGCCCTCTGGCACAGAAACATTCTTTGTGACATATTTTTCCCTCAGACATGATGGATAGTCCTTAACTTAAAACTTATTTAGAATGTGGTTTTAAAAAAAACAAAAGGACAAAAAACAGATGTGATATTCAAAACCCATTCCTGCACCAGAGTCCGCTAATAAAGATCCAGGGCAGACTGCAGTAGGAGAAGTACTAAAATGCCCAGGAGAACCAGTTCATCCACAGATCTGCCAAACTAGTCAGATTCATTATCCAGTCCCTCCATATGGCCTGTTAACTGAAGCAAATCCAAGGCACAACTTTTCAAATCCATTTTAGACTTGCATACCATCAACTTGGAAACTAATAAAATTTAGAAACAAAAAGTCAGTCCTTATCATCATGGAAAACTGTAGAAGAGGATGCAGACTACAGAGATATGGCAAATTCCATCCTGACAGTGTGAATACAGTATTTACCTTAGAACTATGAAGATAAATGCTTACCCTGAGCACCAAAGGCCTCCTAATCCAACTTACCTGGACAAAAAAAATAAAGTGCTTGAAAGATGTATTTAGATGTGCTTCCTCCTGAAGCTGGATCACAGGGTCAAAATGCTGATGATAAATGTGAGCATAAACCCTAAAGAGGCGTTTGAGTATAGTTTTTGCCACAGACATGAAATTCTTTGGGAACGGGACACCTAGAAAAGAGATAAACAACTCCCTCTAGTAACAAGAGATGACAACAAGACAATGAGTTTGTCGGCAAAGGTCAACATAAATTACCAAGACAAGGCTGAAAAGAAGTAGCATTTATGAATTTATACATATACCCATTATACCTTTTCAGAAGTTCTCAACATGTCATGAATGAAAATAAACTTCAAAGTTTTTATGGTATAAGAATTAGTCTTCATTACAGCCTGTTATGTCTCTAACATACTACCACCACATTTCTAAAATGAAACACACACACACACACCCAAGATGGTAGTGGAGCTTAAACTCACACTCAGATCATCGGATTTCTTAAGTCTCAATACAAATATGTGCTGAACAGAAATAATGCATTAACCACCTTCAGTTTTGTTTAAAATGCTTGCAGTTTATATTGTACTTTTTTCTATGGGAATTACTTCATTACTACTCCAGGTCTACATTTGTCCTGAAATTAGCTGCATTCTCTATTCCATCGATTTGTAAATTACAGCACTTTTACAGCACTGAAATACAAAAGCAGAAAAATAGAAAATCCCTGTGGAGAAGAGGGAACTCTTATATACTGTTGGTGGGAACACAGATTGGTATGGCCACTATGGAAAACAGCATGGAGGTTCCTAAAGAATTAAAAATAGAATACCATATGACCCAGCAATCCGTCTTCTAGGCATATACCCAAAGGAAATGAAATAACCCAGTCGTAAAGGCATCTGCACTCCTATGTTCACTACAGCATTGTCCACAATAGCCAAGATATGGAAACAACCCAGGTGTCCATCAACAGATGAATGGATTTTTAAAACTGTGCTATATATACACAATGAAATATTATTCAGCTACAAAAAGAGATCTTGCAATTTGCCACAACATAGATGGACCTGGAGGATGTTATGCTAAGTGAAACAAGCCAGACACAAAAAGAAAAATATTGTATAACCTCACTTATATGTGGAATTTTTTTAAGTCAAATATACAGAGATAGAGAATAAAACAGTGACTACCAGGGGGAGTGGTGGAGCTAAGTGAAAGGACAGAAAGTAGCAGATACGTAAAATGAACAAGACTAAAGATCTAATGTACAACATGAGGACCATAGTTACAAATAGTGTACTTAGTGTACTGAAGCTGGGCAGTGACTCACACCTATTATCCCAATGCTTGGGAGGACAAGGTGGGAGTATCACTTGAGCCAGGAGTTCAAGACCAGCCTGGGCAACATAGTGGCTCCTTGCCTCTACAAAAAACTAGAAATTAGCTAGGTATGGTGGTGTATACCTGCGGCCCCAGTTACTTAGGAGGCTGAAGCGATAGGATTGCTTGAGCCCAGAAGATGAGGCTGCAGTGAGATGTGACTGTGCCACTGAACTCCAGCCTTGGCAACAGAGTGAGACCCTGTCTCAAAAAAAAAAATTTAAAAGAAGAATAGTATACTGTATTCAGGATTTTTGCTAAATGAGATTACAGCTGCTCTTACCACAAGGGGGAAAAAGGGTAACTATGTAAGATGATGGATATGTTAATCTGTTCCACTATAATAACCATTTTATTATGTATAATCTCATAACATCATATTGTATACCTTAAATATATACAATAAAATTTATTTTAAAAAATGTATAAAATCCCATATCCTTTGTTAAACTTACTAAATGATGCAGATTGGTAAAACA
Organism: Homo sapiens; assembly: GCF_000001405.40. Taxonomy (NCBI): domain Eukaryota; kingdom Metazoa; phylum Chordata; class Mammalia; order Primates; family Hominidae; genus Homo; species Homo sapiens. The sequence goes on along the minus strand of NC_000004.12, from coordinate 70,977,438 downwards.
GCCAATATTGGTACTACTGGGTTCAATGTCATCATATTGCCATCATATTGCTATTGCTCATTTAAAATTATTATAGTTCACAAAGACACATAAGATAAACCAAAGTGAAAAGACAATCTATAAAATAATATGCACTCCTCAACAATATCGATGTCATGAAAAACCAAAAATGACTAAAGTGCACATTTCCAGATCAAAGGAGGCTAAAGAGACAACAAATAAAACAAATATAAAAGATTTCCTTTGCTTATAAAGTACATTATTAAGAAAACCTGAAAAGCCCAAATGAGATCTATATAGTATAGCATCAGTATAAATTTCCTAAGTTTGATATCTGTACTGATTTTTTTAAGGAAATACATATTAAAGTTTTTAAAGGCATCATATACGCAACTTACTCTCAAACAGTTTAGGAAAAGGAATGAATGAATGTATGTGTATGTGTGAAAGAGGCTCGGGAGAGGGAGAGGGAAGGAGGAAGATGTTAACGACTAAGAATCTGGATGAAGGGTTTGTATGATTCTTTTTACATTTCCTTGTATAAGTCTTGTAAATTTTCTAAATGTTTGAAATTGGATCAAAATAAAAATTTTACAACTGTATTATGAGAGAGAAGAGATAAGGTGGGGACACTCATCCAACCCTTATGATTGAGAGAGAGAGATATATATATATATATATATATGTAATTCAGTCTTGAAAAATTGCTCTTTTATTAAAAAAGTTCCAAGTGGTTAATGCATTCAATAAATATGTTTAAAGTACTCCATAACAACAACTATTTATATTGTTGTCACATTTTTTTTTCAAAAAAAATCGTAAAATGTCAAAAAGTTCTAACATTACAGGAGCAGATTCTTAGCTTTTTGAGACAATCAGTTGTCAGAAGTTTGAGAAGGCAAAAACATGACTATCTAAACGTAAACAATTTCTACTTGATAAGTCTGCCCTTAAAAGTAAATACAAAAAAGCAAAGTCACTCAGCCGATGATACAGCAACCCCTCAAATCTTGTTTTCTTCTCACATAGCTTAATATCTGAATCTGTAAGATTCATATTGTGGGTCATAAATTCAAACTCCCTTTTGATCACAAATATATTACTAAATAACACTGGATAGAAGCCATATGAACTTCCCTAAATAAGTAGATACAACTGTGGCAGATGTTATTAGCAATCTACTCAATATCCATTCTGTTTTTTGGGCCAGATTTTGTTACTATCCTAGATATACTGATCTCATCATTTAAAATTATAGAGAGGGTTCCCAGTACTTTGGGAGGCCGAGGTGGGTAGATCACTTGAGGTCAGGAGTTCGAGACCAGCCTGGCCAACATGGTGAAACCCTGTCTCTACTAAAAATGCAAAAAAATTAGCTGGGCGTGGTGGCACGCGTCTGTAGTCCCAGTTACTTAGGATGCTGAGGCAAGAGAATCACTTGAACCCGGGAGGTGGAGGCTGCAGTGAGCCAAGATCACGCCACTGCACTCCAGCCTGGGCAATACAGAGATACTCTTGTCTCCCAAAAAATGAAAAATTTAGATTAAAATAAATAAAATAAAATAGAGGGTTTACCTTAATGTTCATGATAAATTTGGTATGAAAAACATAGAACACCTGTAAGTGCATAAGATTAAAAATATATGTTATGTATGGTAATTTACCATGGTTCCTAGAATAGGAATAACCCTCCATCTAGAACTTTCTACTGAAAGGGCTTCTTAAGCCTTTCCCTTACTTCAGGGAAGTAAGTTTATTCTCAATGATGATCATAATTTTTTTAAAGTGTTAAAAAATGCTATCATTGTCTGAAAATAAACTCAGTGATACTTTAATCTAGAATATCATCAAAAATAATTACCTTAAGAGAGGGAGATCATTTATTTTCTAATAAACCTATACTTTCAGCTAATTAAGCATTTAAAAGCACTAAGTTAAAGGGGAAAAGCTCAATTCACACAGGATCACTTGCTTATTTTACCACTGGGTTAACAAACTTTTGTGCCTCTTCTTGGGAACTGCGTAACATATACATATATCAACACAGCCATAAAGAACTCTCCAACTAGATATAGTGGAAAGAGGGAGGAAAATTCTATAAACATATAAAAGATAAATCATGATGGATCCCCCTTACAAAAATTAATTATACCAATTTTTGATGGAAATAACGTCTCATCATCCAACTGGTCCTGAACCCAAGTCATCAAGTAATCAATATACTTTGGTGCAGAGCACTTAATAGGTTTCTTTATGTTCGTTCCATCTGCCCAATGATACTCATATCTGCATTGGAGAGATAAAAAGCACACAGAAGATTAGTATATACCTATACACAGTGTATATATTTTATGTATCTATATTACTAATGTACACACAGACATGTTTTCAACACTCTGCTCCTCCAAATAAAGATACATTTTTAAATACCCAGTGGACTACTTTGCGTTTATCACAATCCAAACTAAGTAGATCCCAACAAACTCATGTTTTGTTTCTATGCTCTCCTCACATGTCCATTTTTTTACATAGCCACCATAAATAGCATTTATATTTTAGAATCAGACATTATTGTAGTAGAAAAACTAGCTTACTTCCTAGTTCTATGATGACTACTTTTGGACTTTATGGTTGTTTTTCTTCCTTAAAAACCACTTCTCCTTACACAGTACAATTCTTTTTAACTTGGGGCTTTAAATTTTCGGTTAAGGATAGAGAATGACACAGAAGCACCAAAATAAGATTAATGAAGATGAGAATGATTTCATATTTGAGTACATTTAACTGAAGATCTAGACATGTCTTTAAAGAAGGTCCAAAGAAAATTTGCAACCCAAATAAAGGCTTTTGGTATTAGCAGAACACCACCATCCTTTGATTCAATAAACATCTAATATGCACCTTCCATGTAAAAGATACTAAGAACAAGAAACACTAAAATGAAAGACACTTTCCCTACTCTCAAGGAAAACAGGCTAGTAGAAAACGCAGACTCAAGAGTGAAGATGTAAAAACAGTGTAAGAACCCTAAAAGAGGCCGGGCACGGTGGCTCACACCTGTAATCCTAGCACTTCAGGAGGCCGAGGCACGTGGATCACTTGAGGTCAGGAGTTCGAGACCAGCCTGGCCAACATGGTGAAACCCCATCTCTACTAAAAATACAAAAATTAGCCAGAAATCGCTTGAACCAGGGAGGAGGAGGTTGCAGTGAGCCAAGATGGTGCCCATTCCAGCCTGAGCAACAGAGTGAGACTCCGTCTCAAAAAAAAAACCCTAAAAGAGTTACACACACACACATACCCTGAATTTTGAGATAAGGAAGATGCATACAGGTGAAACTCCAAAGTGGAAAAATCTCTAAACTGAACTAGCATTTAGTATTTTAGTTTCCAAAAGGTTACTCCTGCTGCTTAACTTCTCCCTTTGATTCAATTCTACCCTTGTCCCCAGAGTTTGGGCTAAATGACAGGTCAGTGAGCCTGGGAAAGGAGATGACAATATATAACAGAAAAATACTATAGGGTATTTTAAACAATAAAAATTATCTTCGGATAGGATAAATGAGGATGCTTTCTATTTAATCAGAACTACTTATACCTGAACAATAATACTAAACAAGCTATACCTGAATTAAACATTCTGTAGACAACCTTACTGCCAAAAGTGGGGCAATAAGGATGAAGTCCACTTTGAAGGTCTCCAAGTATGATACTTTCCAACACCTCTTGATATCCTGTTTTTACTGTTTAGTCACTTACTTTCCAACACCTCTTGATATTCTGTTTTTACTGTTTGATCACTTTCACAGTCAAAATCACTTTCACAATCAAAAGATTCTAATAAAACACTAAAGTTCTTAGTGCAATTTAAGCCTATTGTATCTCCTTGTTTGCTCCTCTTAGGAGCTAGAGACCGTGAATGGTAAGATTTTAGCCATCATTATGTTTTTTTTTTTTTTTTTTTTTTTTGAGACAGGGTCTTGCTCTGTAGCTTTGGCTGAAGTACAGTGGCACGAGCATAGCTCACCGCACCCTTGAACTCCTGGGCGCAAGCAATCCTCCCATCTTGGCCTCCCAAAGTGCCGAGATTACAGGTGTGAGCCACCATCCCCAGCCCATCATTATTCTTAAGAGACGGGCACAACCATGTTTACTACCTTATGTTAAGAAATCTTAACATTTTTAACCTTCCCTCACAATCAAGTTTTCATCTTGTCAATCATTTTCAGATGTGTCACATTCATATTTAAATGTAAAAATCAGAAACAGACAAGGTAAACCAAAGAATAATTTTCAATATCCTGAAGTATTTTTTAAAAATATTAACTTTCAATATCCTAAGGCTTTTTGAAAAATAAAATAATTAGGCCGGGCGTGGTGGCTCACGCCTGTAATGCCAGCACTTTGGGAGGCCGAGGCGGGCGGATCATGAGGTCAGGAGATCAAGACAATCCTGGCTAACACAGTGAAACCCCGTCTCTACTAAAAATACAAAAAATTAGCCGGGTGTGGTGGCAGGCACCTGTAGTCCCAGCTACTCGGGGGGCTGAGGCAGGAGAATGGTGTGAACCCAGGAGGCGGAGCTTGCAGTGAGCCGAGATCGCGCCACTGCACTCCGGCCTGGGTGAAAGAGCGAGACTCCGTCTCAAAAATAAAATAAAATAAAATAAAATAAAATAATTGTGTATTGCTTAGACCTTTAGAGTTTACAACTAAGACTCCCTAATCTCTTTTCTTTCATCGTGTTTATACTTAGAATGACTTCCTTCATTCTGTAGCTCTATTTTGCCGCGATGCCTTTCTCATTCTACCTTTGACAGACTATTCTCTTTGAAATGTATTTCTGTCATCACAGCATGAACTTGTAAACTGCAAACTCCAATTCACAATTTCTTTTTTAATAATAATAAAAATCAGTAACTGAGGGCCAGGTGCAGTGGCTCACCCCTATAATCCCAGCACTTTGGGAGGCCAAGGAGGGCAGATCACTTGAGGTCAGGAGTTTGAGACCAGTCTGGCCAACATGATGAAACCCCGTCTATACTAAAAATACAAAAATAGCCGGGTATGGTGGCATGCACCTGTAATCCCAGCTACTCAAGAGGTTGAGGCAGGGAAGATCTCTTGAACCTAGGATGCAGAGGTTGCAGTAAGCCAAGATCGCACCACTGCACTCTAGCCTGGGCAACAGAGCAAGATTCTGTCTCAAAAAAATAAAATAAAAATAAAAAAACAGTATCTGAGAACAAAGTTCTACGAGCCATCATTCAATACCACTTTGCAAGGGGCTTAGCATTTATTAAGTATTAACAAATGCCTCTCCTAGGCACAATCCTGCATCTGCTGGTAAAAATGAAGAACTATGACAACAACTACATCTTCTTAGCACTAATGACTGGGAAATGTCACGATTCTCCCCAAAAAAAAAAAGGGAGAAAGGAAGAGAGGGAGGAAAGACAAGAAGAGAAGGAAGAAGAAAAGAGACGTAGAGAAAGAAGAAAGAAGGAGGGAGAAAGGAAGGGAAAGAAGGAAGAAAGAAGAGAAAGAGAGGGAAGCAGACACGCAGGCAGGAGACCACACAGCTTTAACACTATGTACGCACACATGCATGCATACAGGAGCAGAGACAAACAGCTCTCAAGCCAGAAGAACTGGCTTTCTTAGAAGGCAGTGCTATTTAATTTCTCAAGGCATAACTAACCACAGAATAGAAAAATTAAAGACATCTATTTTCACAAGTGAAGCTTAACCAAAGTGAACACCAGTAATACTGGCAAGAATTAATACTAAAGGGGGACTGATTTCATTTCTAAATGCCCCCGTTCCTCTAATAAATCTTCCCGAAATAACAAGTAACAGAAATTCACACTCTAGCTTTGATGATAAAACTAGGAGACACCTATGTCTTTAAATTACTTTTTTTTTTTTTTTTTTGAGACAGAGTCTCACTCTATCATTCAGGCTGGAGTACACACACTGGCACGATCTCAGCTCACTGCAACCTCACCCCCACCTCCCAGGTTTAAGTGATTCTCCTGCCTGAGTGGCTGGGATTACAGATGCACACCACCACGCCCAGCTAATTTTTCTATTATTAATAGAGACGAGATTCACTATGTTGCCCAGGCTGCTCTCAACCTCCCGATCTCAGGTGATGATCTGCCAGTCTCAGCCTCCCAAAGTGCTGGGATTATAGGCGTGAGCCACCATGCCCAGCCTAAACCACATTATTTTTTAAAGGGACTATCTTGACTAGACTTTTCAAAAAGGCGAGGTGGGGAGTGTGACAGTTCATATAAGTTCAAACAGGGTGAGGAGAGAACAAAAGATGCACCTGCAACTACAAACCCCATACAAAGTCCACAGAAGACGTTTCTCCAAAGTAAACAGTCCCGTGACGGGTAAAAACCACAAACATACTTCTGCAGGAAGAGGTGTAAATGGAGGAAGGGAATTGACAGACGCTAGATTTTGAATAGCTCTGCAGCTATACTCATCTCCATGGGCTAGAAAGAAGTGAAGGTTCAAACACAGCTTTGTGTCTTTCCTAGTGCAGTCTTCCTTTCTCTTTACTGAGAACTGCCAACTTCTTTTACCTCTTCATATGGTATCTCCATATTTTTCCTGAGCTACAATATTATACTTCTGTTACGGGCTCTTTGATCATTTGACTAAATTCTTTGAGTCTACGGCAATGCATAGAGCAATATTCTTATAATGAATGTTGACATATGATGTAAAAAACATGTATGAAAGGCCTTACATTTAGGTACCACTAAATAAATGGTAACTGTCATTGCTATTATTAGTAGAAGTAATAATAAAAGCCAGTTTCCAAAATGTACTGATTCAACCCACATTTTTTGGGTGTTAAAACAAGGTGGCAAGCTCTGTCCTTGCACCAAAAGGGAATTAAAAGAACAAATCCAACAGGTTAAATAAAACATATATGAATAGTGTAAGAAATATAACAAACAAATTTCATTACAAAGGTAAAAAAAGTTAGTCTGATGAAATCAGAAGGCTTTGACAGAGAAATATTTGATAATAGAATTGAAGATCAGTAAGATTTTTTGAAATATTGACAGAAAATGACAGGAGTGAAATGGGAGAGAAGAAAAATGTCCAAGAGAAGAAGAGAATAAGCAAGCTTCCAGAGAAGTACGTAATGGAGGGAACAGCAAGGTATTTCCAGTAATCCAGTTAGGACAGACTAGAGAAGACACATAAGCAAACAGAGGAAAGGCAAGATGGACAGTCACAAACCCCAAGCTAAGGAATCTAGATTAATAGTCACTGGCAAACCTCAGAAAGAGACGATAAGTAGAAAAATCATATGGTCAGAAACTTCGTTTTTCTTTAAGAACCGTAAAATAATGTAAAAATAAGAAACTGATCATTAACTATGTCTTACTTTGGGCCAGCTGACATCACTGGACAACTCTCTTCTGTACAGAAGTCTGTGATAGTTCCATAAAGCATGTTGATCTGATTGAAGAAATCCACAGCTGTAAAGCAAGTATCAGTTGTAAGTAAAACAGAATGGCTAAATTTAAAATGAAATTTTAATTGTACTTGAACAGAATAGGCTTATTGGCGTTCGTTCCCCTACAAAGAACAGGTGAAAACCATACACAGAAGTATCAATACATTGAAATGAGGAGCTTGTGTTCATCAAACGACTCCCTTGAGAGCAAAAAGGCAAGCATAGAGATGAAGAGATTATTTGCAACGCATACAAACAACAGAAATCTTATATCTAGAATAGATAAAGAACTCATATAGATCAATAAGAAAAAGACAACACAGCTGAAAAATGTGAGACAATTTTAAACTGTCACTTCACAAAAGAAATTTCCAGGTGGTCAAATGTCCTATGAAGAGATGTTGGTAATCATGGAACTACAAATTGAAATGATAGTGAGATGCCATTCCATAGGCCCTAAAAAGGCTAAGATTTATCTGAAAATGCAACAAGGCAAGAATCCAACACATTCTTAAAGAACCAGGCTGGGCACGATGCATCACACCTGTAATCCCAACACATTCACAGGCCAAGGCTGGAGAATCGCTTGAGCCCAGGAATTCAAGACCAACCTGGGAAATACACTGAGACCTCGTCTCTGCCAATAAAAATAAAATTAGCTGGGCATGGTGGTGCATGCCTGTGGTTCCAGCTACACAGGAGGGTGAGGTGGGAGGATTCCTTGAGCCGAGGAAGTCAGGCTGCAGTGAGCCATGATCACATTACTGCACTTCAGCCTGCGTGACGGAATATGTCTCAAAACAAAAACTAAGGTAAGTATTAAGATTTATAAAGCACAACGAATAAAACAGTATGATTTTAGTACACCAATGGAACAGAAGAGAGACCTAGGCAGTTACAGAAACAGATGCAAACACAGATGAAACATTTGATTTATGACATAGCCATCACTGCAGAATAAGCAAAGGACAATCTTTTCATAAATATTTCTGAATCAACTGGTTATTGCTATGGGAAAAAATAAAACCTGGCCAGGCACAGTTGGCTCACACCTGTAATCCCAGCATTTTGGGAGGCTGAGGCAAGAGAATGGCTTGAGGCCAGGAGTTCAAGACCAGCCTGGGGAACATAGCAAGACCCCATCTCTGCAAAAAATATTTTAAAAATTAGCCAAGTATGGTGGTGCTCTCCTGCAGTCCAAGCCACACCATTCAGAAGGCTGAGACAGGAGAACTGCTTGACCCCAGGAGTTCGAGGCTATAATGAGCTATGATTTCACCACTGCACTCCAGCCTGAGCCAAAGAACGAGACCTTGTCTCAAAAAAGAATAAAGTAAAATGAGGCTGGGCGCGGTGGCTCACGCCTGTAATCTCAGCACTTTGGGAGACTGAGGCAGGTGATCACCTGAGGTCAGGAGTTCAAGACTAGCCATGATCAACATAGAGAAACCTTGTCTCTACTAAAAATACAAAATTAGCCGGGTGTGGTGGCGCATGCCTGTAATCCCAGCTACTCAGGAGGCTGGGGCAGGAGAATTGCTTGAACCTGGGAGGCGGAGGTTGCAGTGACCCGAGATCGTGCCATCACACTCCAGCCTAGGCAACAAGAGCAAAACTCCGTCTCAAAAAAATAAAGTAAAATGAAATCAAATAAAATTTGACTCTTCACTCATGTCATACCCAAAAAGCAATTCAAAGTAGACTGTACCTCTAAATGTGAAAGGCAAGACAATTAAGTTTAAAAGAACATAGAAAAATATATTTGTGACTTTTGACATGTATAAATTTCTTAAAAAGAGCATAGGCCGGGCAAGATGGCTCACGCCTGTAACCCCAGCACTTGGGGATACCAAGGCCTGGGGAGGATCACTTGAGCCCCAGAGTTTGGGACCACCTTGGGCAACACAGTAAAATCCCATCACTACAAAAAATTAAATAATAAATAAATTAGCTGGGCATGGTGGTCATGCCTGTAATCCCAGCACTCTGGAACACTCTAGGAGGCTGAGGTGGGAGGATCGCTTGAGCCAGGAAAGTTCAAAGCTGCAGTGAGCCATGATATCATGCCACTGCACTCCAACCTGGATGACAGGGCAAAACCTCCTCAAAAAAATAAAAATTTAATTTTAAAAAAAGAGAACAAAATGGACTAATCATAAAGGAATAGTTTCCAGGTTTCATTAGATTTGTTCCTAGGTTGATATTTTTGATGCTAATATTTTTTTTCCTTTTTTTTGTTGTTCATTTTTCTTTTTTTGGCCTCTATTTCCTGGTGATGAGATATTCATAATTTTATATTAACCCAAGAGCTGACAACCTCATTAAACTCATCTATTAGTAATAATAATTATGGTCTTTTAGATTTTCAACATATTTTCTTTTCCAAAAAGGGATTTTCAGAACAATCAACATATTTTTTATTGGCTATAAATGAAAAGAATAATTCTTTCTTCCTTTCCAGTCAGTATATTTTTTATTCTTTTTCTTGCCTTACTGAATTGGTTAAGACTTCAGTAATTGGCTGGGTGCGGTGGCTCACGCCTGTAATCCCAGTACTTTGGGAGGCTGAGGTGGGTGGACCATCTGAGGTCAGAAGTTGGAGACCAGCCTGAACAATATGGTGAAACCCTATGTCTACTGAAATACCAAAAATTAGCCGGACATGGCAGCATGCGCCCGTAGTCCCAGCTACTCAGGGGGCTGAGACAGGGGAACTGCTTGAACCCAGGAGGCGGAGGTTGCAGTGAGCTGAGATCACGCCACTGCACTCCAGCCTGGGTGACAGAGCGAGACTCCGTCTCAAAAAAAAAAAAAAAAGACTCCAGTAACATATTGGTGGTGGATATCCTTGACTCTTTCCTAAATTAAGAAAAAATTTCAACATTTACTATTATAATGTTATAGCTATTCTGCAAATAGGTATGCTTTATCAGAAGAAAGTTCTCATCTATTACTTGATAACCCTTTTATTATGGATTTTGAATTTTAGCAAATGGTTTTTCTGCATGTATTGTTGTGATACGATTTTTTTTCTCCTTGATTTTGGCTAATGCAGTGAATTACAATGACCAATTTATATTTTTTTTCTAATTTATTTTTTTTTTTGAAGTAGGATCTCACTCTATTGCCCAGGCTTGGGATGCAGTCAGAGCTCACTGCAGCCTCCAACTCCTGGGTTCAAACAATCCTCCCACCTCAATCTCCTTGAGTAATTAGGACTATAGGCATGCAACACCACACCTGGTTAACTTTTTAAATTTTTTATAAATAGTGGGACTCGGCCAGGCACAGTGGCTCATGCCTGTAATCCCAGCACTTTGGGAGGCTGACGCAGGTGGATCACCTGAGGTCAGGAGTTCGAGACCAGCCTGACCAACATGGAGAAACCCCGTCTCTACTAAAAATACAAAATTAGCCGGGCACAGTGGCGCATGCCTGTAATCCCAGCTACTCGGGAGGCTGAGGCAAGAGAACCGCTTGAACCTGGGAGGCAAAGGTTGTGGTGAGCTGAGATCATGCCATTGCACTCCAGCCTGGGCAACAAGAGCAAAACTCCGCCTCAAAAAAAAAAAAAAAAAGTGGGACTCACTATATTGCCTAGGCTGATCTGAACCCCCTGGCCTCAAGCAATCCTTCCACCTTGGCCTCCCAAAGCACTGGGATTACAGGTGTGAGCCACAACCTGAGGCCCCTCAGATGCTAAACTAACCTTTGTATTTCTGGAATAAACTCAACTTAGTCATAATGTATTATATACACTTTTAAAATGTTACTAGATTCAATTCACTAATACTTTTATTAGAATTTTTACATCTATGTTCATTTCAAAAGTTAGATGACCTAGTTCCCTTTCTTCTAATGTTCATGTAGAACTCATAAAACTAATATTTTTTCCATTCTTTGTAAGAGCCAAAGGCTGGCGTTATTTCTTCCTTGTTTCATGGAAATACTACTGTGGCAAGGTTTTTAAATAGATTACAGTTTTTTTTAAGTTATAAGATTATTCAGATTTTTTATTCTAGTGTTAACTTTGATAAGTTGAATTTTTATAAGAATTAGGTTATTTCAATTAAATTTTCAAATTTATTGGGATAAATTTATAACTTCTTCACAACATTCTCTTACAACTTTTTTTTTTTTTTTTTTTTTTTTTTTTGAGACGGAGTCTCGCTCTGTCGCCCAGGCTGGAGTGCAGTGGCGTGATCTCGGCTCGCTGCAAACTCTGCCTCCCGGGCTCACGCCATTCTCCTGCCTCAGCCTCCCAAGTAGCTGGGACTGCAGGCGCCCGCCACCACGCCCAGAGAATTTTTTGTATTTTTAGTGGAGACAGGGTTCCGCCGTGTTAGCCAGGATGCTCTCGATCTCCTGACCTCGTGATCCACCCGCCTCAGCCTCCGAAAGTGCTGGGATTACAGGCGTGAGCCACCGCGCCCGGCCTCTCTTACAACTTTTAATGCTATGTAAGATCTGGTATGTATTTACTTTTTTATCCCTGATATTGGTTATTTGTGCTTTCTAATATTATTAAATAATTAATATTTTAAATTAATATTATTTTTAAAATATTAAAATATTTTTTTCTTGATCAATCTTACCAGGAGTTATAAATTTTTAAACTTTGCAAAGAACCACTTTTTTTTTTTTTTTTTTTTTTTTGAGATGAAGTCTTGCTCTGTCATCCAGGCTGGAGTGCAGTGCTGCAATCTTGGCTCACGGCAACCTCTGCCTCCCAGGTTCAAGTGATTCTCCTGCTTCAGCCTCCCAAGCAGGTAGGATTACAAGCACCTGCCACCACACAAGGCTAATTTTTGTATTTTTAATACAGACGGGGTTCCACCATGTTGGCCAGGCTGGTCTTGAACTCCTGACCTCAAGTATCCACCTACCTCGGCCTCCCAAAGTGTTGGGATTATAGGTGTGAGCTACCACGCCGAGCCCAATTCCCTTTATTGTATGTTTCTTTTCTATTTTATTAACTTCTGTTCTTTACTGATAACCTCTTTTAACTTTTTTTTTTTTTTTGAGACGGAGTTTCACTCTTGTTGCCTAGGCTGGAGTGCAATGGTGCAATCTCAGCTCACTACAAGCTCTGCTTCCTGGGTTCAAGCAATTTTCCTGCCTCAGCCTCCCACGTAGCTGGGATACAGGCATGCCCCAACCACGCCCAGCTAATTTTTGTATTTTTAGTAGAGATGGGGTTTCGCCATGTTGGCCAGGCTGGTCCCGAACTTCTGACCTCAGGTGATCCACCCACCTTGGCCTCCCAAAGTGCTGGGATTACAGGCATGAACCACCGCACCCGGCCTCACCTCTTTTAACTTTCTTTGCATTTAATTTGCTGTTGTTTTTCCAACCTCTGGAGATGGATGCTTAGTTCATTAACTTTTAATATTTTTCCTTTTATAATATATGTATTTATGTAAGGCTCTAAATTTCCTCTAACACAGCTTTAGCTATAATATATCCCACAAGTTTCCATATATAGTATTTTCATCACCAAATTTCAGTTCAAAATATTTTCTGATTTCCATTGAGATTTACTTTTTCCAAACATATACAGATTTCTGTTTATTACTGCTTTCTAGCCAGATTCCACCATGGTCAGAGAATGTATTGGTTTCCATTTTTGAAAATGTACATATATATACTCTTAGGTGCTTAGGTCATGTGCTCCTAGGTCAAGTCTGTTAATCATGTTGCTCAAATTTTTCTAATTCCTTACCAATTTTTTCTTCTGCACTTTCTATCTGTTACTGAAAGAGGAATGTTAAAATCTCCCATTATGACCATGGATTTGTCTACTTCTCCTTTTAGTTCAGTCGACTAATATTAATAAACTTTTGAGATGTTATTAGAAACATGCATTCAGAATTTTATATACTATTTGGGAATTGAACCAGTTATCATTTTAAAATATCCTTTTTTATTGCTTTTTGCCTTAAAAGTCTACTTTATCTGACATAACACGACTATCGGGATTCTTTGGATTAGTGTTTAACTTTAGTTTCAACCATTCTATATCTGTATATTTAAAGTATGTCTTGCAGCATTCAGATTTGTTTTGCTTTGTAATCATCTTGACACATTGGTGTGTTTGTTTGGGGTTTTTTTTGTTTTGTTTTTTTCTTCTTTTGTGATGGAGTCTCACTCTGTCACCCAGGCTAGAGAGCAGTGGTGCAATCACAACTCACTGCAGCATCCACCTTCTGGGCTCAAGCGATCTTCCCACCTCAGCCTCTCAAGTAGCTGGGACCACAGGTGTGTGTCACCATGCCTGGCTAACTTTTTTATTTTTGGTAGAGATGGAGATTTGCCATGTTGTCCACGATGGTCTCAAACTCCTGGGCTCAAGCGATCCTCCCACCATGGCCTCCCAAAGTGCAAAGATTACAGGCATGAGCCACCATGCCCGGACAATCAACTTTTGTGTTGGACCATTTTGTCCTTTACATTTAATACAATTACTATTGATAATATTTGGATTTCAACTTACTATTAATATCCTACTATTTGCTATCTATTTATCCTACTCATTGTATGATTCTTCTTCTCTCCTTACGTTTTTATTAATTCTATTTTATTTCATTTTTTTAGAGACAGGGTCTCACTCTGTCGCTCAGGCTGGATTGCAGTGGTAGGATCATGGTACACTGCAGCCTTGAACTCCTGGGCTCAAGTATTCCTCCCACCTCAGCCTCCCAAGTAGCTATGGCTACATGTACGTACATCTCCGGCTAACTTATTCTTTTCTTAGAGACAGGGTCTTGCTATGTTGCCTAGATAGCCCTTATTGCTGAATTTAAGAGCTCTATGTATATTTTGGATACAGGTCCTTTACCATATATGTGGTCTGCAAAGATTTTCTGCTAGCCAGTGGCTTCATTTTTTATTTTCTTTACAATGTCTTTCACAGAGCAGAATTTTAAATTTTCTTTCTCTTTTTTTGTTGGAGACAGAGTCTCGCTCTGTCACCCAGGCTGGAATGCAGTGCCACGATCTTGTCTCACTGCAACTTCCACTTCCCAGGCTCCAGCAATTCTCATGCCTCAGCCTGCCAAGTAGCTGGGACTACAGGGATACACCACCATGCCTGGCTAATTTTTTATTTGTATTTTTAGTAGAGATGGGGTTTCATCATGTTGGCCAGGATGGTCTTGAACTCCTGAGCTCAAGTGATCCACCCACCGTGGCCTCCCAAAATGCTGGGATTACAGACGTGAGCCACCGTGCCCGGCCTCTTAAATTTTCATGAGGTCTAATTTATTAATTTTTTCTTTTAAAAGCACACTTTTGGTTTTGTATGTAGAAACTCATCACCAAATCCAAGGTTGCACAGATTTTTCTCCTGTTTTTTTTTTCCTAGAAGTTTTATAGTATTGTGTTGTATTTTTAGGTCTATCATTCAATTCATGCTAATTTTTCTGAAAGGTGTAAATCTGTGTCTAGATTTATATTTCTGCATCTGGATGTCCCAGTGTTTCACCACTATTTGTTGAAAAAATAATACTTTCTCCACTGAATTGCCTTTTCTTCTTTGTCAAGATCAGCTGCCTATTTATATGGACCACTGGTCTCTTTCATAAATTCAAATAGATTTTTCTGTGTTCCATTTTGAACATATTCACTTTGAGATCAATTTAGACATCAAAATAGTGTTATCAGGTAGAGTTTTGACTAATTCGTGAAGCCTGGGGAGAGATCTCAACTACAGTGATGAATGCAAGAGTCCTTGGTAGGTAAATTTTTATTTTATTTGTTTAGAGAAGAGGTCTCCCTATGCTGCCCAGGCTAACCTCGAACTCCTGGGCTCGAGCCATCCTCCCACCTCAGCCTCTGGAGTAGCTAGGACTACAGGTGTGAACCACCACTCCCAGCTAATTTATTTTATTTTATATTTTTGTAGATACAGATTTTGCCCAGGCTAGTCACAAACTCCTGGCCTCAAACAATCCTCCCACCTCAGCCTCCCAAAATGCTGGGATTATAGCGTGAGCCAATGCACCTAGTCTCTCCTTATATTCTTCAGGATTATTTTTTATTATTCTATTTTTCTCCTGTATTAGCTAAGTAATTACACTTTCACCTATTATTTGGATATAGATCTTATCAATAATTCCCTTTACTCCTCTATGAACCTGAAATGTTTACTGAATCACTGCCAGTGACTGGAAGTATCTGTCCTGACTCCAACCCTATTCACCTACTTCATCAAGTGTCATTTGGGAAGATTGCTATAAATAAGGAAAATTTTAAATCCAACACTTCAGTTAAATGTTGTATTTTCAAAGCAGAGTATGCCCTAAGCAGATGTTCTAATGCTTCAGTCCAAAGCAATCTTTGTCCAGCTGTAGTAAAATCATAGAACTACTGTGAAATTTTAAGAGTTCTCAAAGTTCTAGGCGTTTCAGTAGTACAGTAGTCCTCCTTTATCTGTGGTTTCACTATCCATGGTTTCAGTTATCTGTGATGAACCATGGGCTGAAAATATTAAATGGAAAATTTCAGAAATAAACAATATATAAGTTTTAAATTGTGTGCCATTCTGAGTAACGTGATGAAATTTTACAGCATCTCACACCATCTCACTCCGTCCGCTTGGGATGTGAATCATCCCTCTGTCTAGCTGTATACCTGCTCATTAATCACCTATAGTAGCCACCTTGGTTATCAGAGTGAAGGATTACAAAAAGGGTTAAGTAAAGCACAATAAGATTATTTTGAAAGAGAGAGACTATATTCACATAACTTTTACTACAGTATAACTGTAATTGTTCTATTTTATTAACAGTTGTTAATCCCTTGCTGTGCTTAATTTTAAATTAATCTTTAATAAATTTTAAATTAAGCTTTATGAATTAAGCTTTATCATAGGTACGTAGTGTATAGGAAAAAACACAGTGTACAGAAGGTTCAGTACTATCACCGGTTTCAGGAATCCACTGGTCATCTTGGAATGTATCCCTAGCAGATAAGAGAGGTACAGACACTCAGTTGTGGCAACTGAGAAAGAGACAGAATACAGACAGAAAATTATTTGCTTTTATATTTAAAAGTCAGACTCTACTGTAATATAGAAGCTCTATACAGCCTTCCTTACATTTTAAACATGAGTAAATGAACTCTCAAATTTTACAAAAAGGCACAAATTAGTACAAAAAGAACGTACACATATATTGGAGATTCATTCTGAATATTGTCTTGGAGATGACACAGAAACATCTTAGAAATACGGCAGGCCTCATCAATAAAGCAAACAAATCACTTTATTTCAAATAACTAGACTCTCTTGGTCCAGGAGGATAATCACATAATAATAACATGGCTCTTGTGTAAATGCTGTCATGGTAAGTTTTAAGACATCACAATAAAATCCCCTGGTTCCTAAAAGGTATTAGAGGGGGGCAGCTCAATTTATAAATCCCATGACATAGTTCAAATTATAATAAGAGGCCATTAAATATAAGAAAAATACTGTTTTGCATTTCCTTAAAGCCTAGACATTTTGTGTATGCTTTCAATGAAATTTCATTTTATTTTTACTAAATTCAAATAAATTTCCTTTAATTATAAAATTCTATTATTACTATTTTTTTCACTAATGTTGAAAAACGCTGAAGCTTTTATTCCTCAACTTTCTCTGGCTTAATTCCCAAGAATATAATTACTATTCATACGTTATTCTCTGTAGGAGTTAAGAACATCTCATAAATATATTTTACTAATTTCATAAGATGACTACTTGATATCTTTTTTTAAAAAATAAGCACAACTGGCCGGGCGTGGTAGCTCACACCTGTAATCCCAGCCCTTTGGGAAGCTGAAGTGGGTGGATCACAAGGTCAGGAGTTCGAGACCAGCCTGACCAACATGGTGAAATCCCATCTCTACTAAAAATACAAAAATTAGCCGGACATGGTGGTGCGTGCCTATAATCCCAGCTACTCAGGAGGCTGAGGCAGAAGAATCGCTTGAACCCAGGAGGCAGAGGTTGGAGTGAGCCGAGATCATGTCACTGGTACTCCAGCCTGGGCGACAGAGCAAGAGTCGATCTCAAAATAAAAATAAAAATAAAAAAAGCACAATTAGACAAATAACTGAGTATGCCACTGAGAAAGGCAATTTAGTATAGTGGTTGACTCTATAGACTCTGAAATTCTATAGCTGTATATTTGATCCCAGGTTCTTCCATTTAATAGCTATATGACCTAGGCAAGTTACTAATTGTCTCAACTTAATCTATTAAACCGAAATAATAATCATACCTACATCATAAGGTTATAAAGATAAAATAAAATCATCCACGTAGAAAGGAGAGTGGTATGTCTATACAGTGTTTGACACATGAAAAATTATTATAATGAAGATAGTAAATCTATGCTTTGTATTAAAATAGGAAACAAGATTTCATAAAATTCCATATTCAGAAATAAAATAACAAGGACTGGATGTGGTGACTAGTGCCTGTAATCCTAGCACCGTGAAAGGCTGAGATAGAAGGATCACTTGAGGTCAGGAGTTCAAGACAATCCTGGACAACATAGTGAGAACTCCATCTCTACTAAAACATGTTTGTAAATGAGCCAGGCAGGGTGGTATGTGCCTACAGTCCCAGCTACGCTAGAGGCTGAGGGTGGGAGGACTGCTTGAGCCCAGGAGTTCAAGGCTGCAGTCAGCCATAACTGAGCCACTGTACTCCAGCCTTCCAGCCTGGGTGACTGAGTGAGACCCTGTCTCAAAAAGTAATAATAATAAAGTAAATAAAGTAACATGAAGGTTAAAGTTAGATTGAGATATCACTCTTTTATGATATTAGCTTACTAACTAAATCCTAGAATGGACAGCACCAACACTCACCAACAATGAGGCTATTACCCTAATTCACAGGCTACTGAGAAATAAAAAGGCTACTTACTGTTAACTGCAACCCATTCATTGAGATCTTCCCCTTCAGGAAGCATGACAGCCATCCGAAGGTTGCCACTGCCAAGTGTGGCTTCTGCGTGTTTTAAGAGCTCATACTGGTGAGAACCCTCTGGAATGTTCTTCTTTGGTTTAAAAGTTTTAGAAGAGCGACTACCACTATGAATAGAAAAGAAAAAAAAAGGGTTTAATATTTAAGGCATGACATTCAATAGAGTCATTCACCAAGCATTAGACCTAAACTGTATTGGCTTAAATCCCAGCAATAGAATTGCTGTAACTACTGTGCTCTCCATCCAAAACTCCTACAAACTTTCTCTGCTGTGTCTAGTTAACTCACAAAAAGAAAAATTTTTAAGCTGTAACTAACACCTCTTCTCAATAAATTAATGAAAAAACAAAAAAGTACTTCCATGATGTTTTAGTTATTGTATTCCTTTCACTCCTATTCTAAGTCTCTCATTCTAATAAAATAAATTTGTTTCCTTCTTAAAAGAAATATAGAGATACAATTTGATATCAATAAAACATAAAAATCCTGGAACAAGAAAAAAAAGCTACATGTTCAGCCAGGCACAGTGGCTCACACCTGTAATCCCAGCACTTTGAGGCAGAGGTAGGCGGATTACCCAAGGGTCAGGAGTTGGAGACCAGCCTGGTCAACATGGCGAAACCCCATCTCTACTAAAAATGCAAAAAAATTAGCCAGGCATGGTGGCGGGTCCTTGTAATCCCAGCCACTCAGGAGGCTGAGGCAGGAGAATCGCTTGAACTCGGGAGGCAGAGGTTGTGGTGACCCAAGATTGTGCCACTGCACTCTAGCCTGGGCGGCAGAGTGAGATTCCGTCTCAAAAAAAAAAAAAAGAAAGAAAAGAAAAGCTACATGTTTTTCTACCCAATTATAGGAAGTATCAGTAATCAATTTTAGTCCAGAATTCTGGTTAAGCAGTTAAGTAGCTAGACATTCGTGTGGCTGGTTTGCTCCAATTTCTGAATGCTTAAGCACACACAGAGACACAGACACAAACACACACAGCCTATGTGTATGTGTATATATACACATAAATATTTTTTAATGGATCAACTGAAACTAGGCTTCAAGGTGGTTTTAATAGTTTTTAAGAGAGCTGGGCACCTCTAGTTCCAGCTACTCAAGAGGCTGAGGTGGAAGGATC
The DNA here is from genome assembly GCF_000001405.40 of Homo sapiens. Taxonomy (NCBI): domain Eukaryota; kingdom Metazoa; phylum Chordata; class Mammalia; order Primates; family Hominidae; genus Homo; species Homo sapiens. The sequence continues at coordinate 70,957,857 of NC_000004.12, read as the reverse complement.
CCTTGAGGTTGTAGTGCACTATGATCACACCTGTGAATAGACACAGCACTCCCCCTTGGGCAACATAGCAAGACCCCCATCTCTTGAAAAAAAAAAAAAAAAAATAAGGCAGGGAGCTGAGTGTGGTGACTTACACTGGTAATCCCAGCTACTTGGGAGGCCAGAGGCAGGAGGATTGCATCAGGCCAGGAGTTCGAGACCAGCCTGGGCAATGCATGAGACTCCCTCCATCTCTAAAAAAATGTTTAAAAATTAAGCCAGGTGTGATGGTGCAGCCCGTAGTCCCAGCTAGGGACTAAGGAGGCTGAAGCCAAAGGATAGCTTAAGCCCAAAGAGTTCAAGACTGCAGTGAGCAATGATCATGCCACTCTACTCCAGCCTGGGCAACAGAATGAGGCCTGCCTCTTTAAAAAAAAAAAAAAAGAGAGAGAGAGCGAGCGATTTTTAAATCTTCTGTTAATACTAGCAAATTTTTATCAAATTAGGGGTCACCCCTGTCCATTATTCTCCTTCACTTCTCATGAAAAGGAACAGACTGGAAAAAAAGAGGCTGGAGAAGTGGGAACTTTTTTTTTTCTGTTTTTTTTTTTTTTTTTTTGAGACATAGTCTCGCTCTGTCACCCAGGCTGGAGTGCAGAGGCACGATCTCAGCTCGAGAAGTGGGAAAACTTTAATGTTATTAAATTCACATCATCAAAAACATCTAGGCATTTGAACATATGAATACGGAAGTGGAATTCCAAAAAAAAAAAAAAAACACATAAACAATGGTTACACTTTCCAAACTCTCCAAAGCTTTTCACTCTACCTCCTCTCAACTTTACACCCCCAACCCCAATCCCTCCCTCTTTCCCTAAGATAAACCAGTAGTTCTCAACCCCTGGCTGCATTACTATAATCATCTGAGGAGCTGTCAAAAAGTACTGAGGATCTTGAAATAAAGTAAGAATCTATCAGTCAACCTGAATATACAATTCAAGTAACAGGTATTTTTCATTCTAAAGTACTAGCATTCTCATTTAAATGTAGGTCTCTCCATAGGTGTTTAATTAGAATTAAACCGATGTTCCTCATAACACACACCCTCTCCTATCTCTACTCAACAGCAAAAGGATCACTTTAAAAACACTCATCACAGGGCTGAGCACAGTGGCCCACACCTATAATCCCAGCACTTTGGGAGGTCGAGGCGGGCAGATTGCTTGAGCCCAGGCCAATCTGGGCAACATGGTGAAACTGTCTCTACAAAAAATACAAAACTTAACCAAGTGTGGTGGTGCATGCTTGTAACCCCAGCTACTCAGGAGGCTGAGATGGGAAGATCACTTGAGCCCAGGAAGTCAAGGCTACAGTGAACCAAGATCACGCCACTGCTTTCCAGCCTGGGTGATAGAGCAAAACCCTGTCCAGAAAAATAAAAATAAAAAATTGACCCAGCACAGTGGCTCTTCCCTGTAATACCAGCACTTTGGGAGGCCGAGGTGGGAGGATCGCCTGAACCTAGGAGTTCAAGACAAATCTGGGCAACACAGTGGGGCTCCCTCTCTAAAAAATATATTTAAAATTTTTTTTCAACCAGAGAATCAGGAGCTAAAAGAAAAAAATTTAAAAATAAAAACACTCATTAGATTATGATACATCTCTGCTTAGAACAACTCAGCGACTTTCCAGTGCAAAAGTGTAAATCCAAAGGTCAAATATTAGATATAGTCAAGCTCTAGGCCCACACTAGAGTGCAGAAATTCTTCAGTTTAATGAGACAATGTAATAAACACCAAATTTGCTCCCAGCATCTCTAAAATATAATTATAAAAATATAAATGTTAGGTATGGCAGTACACGCCTGTAGTCCCAACTACTGGGAAAGCTGAGGCAGAAGCATTGCTAGAGGGCAGCAGTTTGAGACTAGCCTAGGCAACACAGTGAGGCTCTGCCTCCAAAAAATAAAAATAAAATGAAATTTAAAAATTTATTTATATAAATATAAATGGTAATAATATAAATAGACATATGCCTACCAAGCTTGAAACTTACTTCATTTTCCTCTTTCTAACCCTTTATCAAAATTTTGCATAAGACACATACTTCACTGGGCGCAGTGGCTCCCACCTGTAATCCCAGAACTTTGGGAGGCTGAGGCAGGTGGATCACCTGAGGTTGGGAGTTCAAGAACAGTCTGGCCAACATGGTGAAACCCTGTCTCTACTAAAAATACAAAAATTAGCTGGGCATGGTGGTGCGCACCTATAATCCCAGCTACTCTGGAGGCTGAGGCAGGAGAATCGCTTGAACCCAGGAGGCGGGGGTTGCAGTGAGCCGAGATCACGCCATTGCACTCCAGCCTGGATGACAAAGCAAGACATCGTCTCCCAAAAAAAAAAAAAAAAAAAAAAGGACACATACTTCACAAACATATTTTACAAAAAAGACATTTTACTAATTTATGTGTGATTAATTAGGAAAAGAGGTCTCCTATAACTAATGTGGTGCAAATCTTCAGACAAAGTGTTAAGTATATTTCCTTTAATTAGCACACGGCTGAGATGGCTGCAGCAACTGAAGATGTGACAAGCAGCTCTGAAAATGGCTGGCAAGAGTACATGAGAACTACAAGGACCTCAGCTGTGTCTGCACTCAGGTAAGTCCGAGCCTCACCTCCCCCAGAGTCATCTACTAATCAAACCACTCTGCCCCGACGTTTTAGGCTTCCAATGTTTTCTTGATCAATTCTCCTCCCAGAACTTTATACTTTGGTAGAAAAAATAAAATCTAGGCCGGGCACAGTGGCTCATGCCTGTAGTCCCAGCACTTTGGGAGGCCGAGGCGGGCAGACCACTTGAGGTCAGGAGTTTGAGACCAGCCTGGCCAACATGGTGAAACCCCGTCTCTACTAAAAATACAAAAATTAGCTGGGTGTCATGGCGTGCACCTGTAATCCCAGCTACTTGGGAGGCTGAGGCAGGAGAATTGCTTGAACCTGGGAGGCGGAGGTTGCAGCCTCCCAAGTAGCTGGGATTATAGACATATGCCACCATGCCCAGATCGCACCACTGCACTCCAGCCTGGGTGACAGAGCGAGACTCCGTCTCCAAAAAAAGAAAATCGGCCAGGCACAGTGGCTCATGCCGGTAATCCCAGCACTTTGGGAGGTTGAGGTGGGCAGATCATGAGGTCAGGAGATGGAGACCAGCCTGCCCAACATGGTGAAACCCTATCTGTACTAAAAACGTAATAATTAGCTGGGCATGGTGGCGCAGGCCTGTAATCCCAGCTACTCAGGAAGCTGAGGCAGGAGAATTGCTTGAACCCAGGAGGCGGAGGTTGCAGTTAGCCGAGATTGCGCCACTGCACTCCAGCCTGGGTGACACAGCAAGACTCCGTCTCAAAAGAAAAAGAAAAAGAAAAGAAAAGAAAAAATAAAATCTGAATTCAATTTTGTGAAGGCCAACTTTGACACACATCAGCTACTATCTCAGGCAAATTACTTAGCTTTCCAGAGCCTATTTTTTCTTTAGCAGTGAAAGCCTAATAAAAATAGCAAAACATGAACACTACCTGTATCACAGGACAGTGGCAAAATGAGAGGATATATGCAACATTTAGTATTTTCATTATCCTTTCTTTTCTTGAACCACAATGACTCATAGAAAGAAATGGTAGTGCAATGCTAAAACCCCAAATCCTATTCTATCCCTCAAGACTGAATGGGGGAAAAGATAATTAGTTCAGAAAGAAATAACTGTCACACATCAAGTTTAAAAGAAAATTTTTTTAATTTCTGGGTTTCTTTTTTTGGGGGGGTGCTACGCTGAAAGGTTCAGGCCATCTTGGAATAATCTTAGGGTTAGACTGGAAATCAGGAAAACAAGGTTCTACTCCCCATTTTGCAACTTTCTTCTTTTATTTTCTTTTTTAAGACAGAGTCTTGCTCTGTCACCCAGGCTGGAGTGCAGTGGCATAATCTTGGCTCATTGAAACCTCCGCCTCCCAAGTTCAAGTGATTCTCCTGCCTCAGCCTCCCAAGTAGCTGGGATTATAGACATGTGCCACTATGCCCAGATAATTTTTGTATCTTCAGTAGAGACAGGGTTTCACCATGTTGTTCAGGCTAGTCTCGAACTCCTGAACTCAAGTGATCCGCCCGCTTTAGCCTCCCAAAGTGCTGGGAATGACAGGCATGAGCCATCATGCCCAGCCTGCAATTTTCTTCTTATGCTACTTAAGAAACCACAAATTATCATCTAGGCTTCCAATTTTTTTATTTTGTTTTTTGAGAGTCCGGAAAATGACTTTTTACAAAAGTGTATCATTTAGAGATTAGATGTTTGTAAATGTTTTTAGTTCCCTGCAGCCTCTTGACTCTCTTCTCCGTTCCTCATTTCCACATACATTTCTGCTTTCAAGTCCTGCATCTAATTTTCCTTCTATCTAACCCGTCTGCTTTATTCCTGCAGAATACTCTAACCACGTAATACTTTTAAAAAATACTCTTTTTAAAATCTTTGTTAGGTTTTCTCCTTCAGCTGCTACCTGAATCTTCTCCTACCAGAATCCACCCAACCGGGGAATGGTGGTGGTCAATAATGCTCCTCATTCGCAGGTCAAAAGACCAACTGACAGGCCAGGCAAGGTGGCTCATGCCTGTAATCCCAGCACTTTGGGAGGATGAGGCGGGCAGATCACTTAAGGTCAGGAGTTCAAGAACAGCCTGGCCAACATGGTGAAACCCTATCTCTGCTAAAAACACAAAAATTAGCCGGACATGGTGGCAGACGCCTGTAATCCCAGCTACTCGGCTGAGGCAGGAGAATCGCTTGATCCCAGGAGGCGGAGGTTGCAGTGAGCCAAAATTGCACCACTTCACTCCAGGCTGGGCGACAGGGCGAGACTCCAACTCAAAAAAAAAAAAAAAAAAAAAAAAAGACCAAATGACAAAATGACAGAGTCTTCAAATTCAAAAGCATAAATACCCAAGCATGTACACAGAAGTCCTCATCAGTGAGTACAAGCTCTTGTAGCAACACTGTATGCCCAAATGCATACATCTCACATATTTTAAGACATACAAATACAAATCTTCACAAAAATTTTCAAAAACATAAAGTATGCTGCCCTCTTACCCCACCTACCTCAGAAGAAATTACAGTTTCTAGTATCTGGTATAAGCATTAGAAAGTTTTTTTTTTGTTTTTGTTTTGTTTTTTTTTTTTTTTTTGAGACGGCGTCTCGCTCTGTCGCCCAGGCTGGAGCGCAGTGGCACAATCTTGGCTCACTGCAAGCTCCGCCTCCTGGGTTCACACCATTCTCCTGCCTCAGCCTCCCAAGTAGCTGGGTCTACAGGCACCCGCCACCACGGTCACCTAATTTTTTGTATTTTTGGTAGAGACGGGGTTTCACCATTTTAGCCAGGATGGTCTCGATCTCCTGACCTCGTGATCCGCCCACCTCGGCCTCCCAAAGTGCTGGGATTACAGGCATTAGAAAGTTTTGTGCCTGTTTTTATTTGCTTTTACACAGTAGCATAGTGTACTTAATAATGTTTTTCACTTAACATATCCAGAAGACTGTTATATTTAAGATACAAGTAAATCTACTTTATTCTTTCTAAAGACTGAAATAGTATTTCCTTATATATATTATATTATAATATAGTTTGATCAGTCCTTTATTTAAAACATTTAGATTGTTTCCTCCAGTCATCTGCTACCACAAACAACACTGCAGTAAGCATCCTTGTGTGTACGCATGTATGAAGGTTAAATTCCTAGAACTGTTGTTTTAAAGAGCAGTTACATTTTTAAATTTTATATAGTGCCTATTTTTTCCCCAAATAAATTGTACCCTTTTACAATCCCATTAACAACATATGGGAGCAGCCACAACGTACGAAAGTCTTAAAGGACAGGTATTAGATTGCTAATTTCTCTTGTACAGCTTCCAACACAGCATCATAACTATGGAGAATGTTGTGCTTTGTTTTTTTGTTTGTTTGAGACAAGGTCTTGCTCTATTGCCCAGGCAGGAATGCAGGGGCATGATCAATGGCTCAAGTGATCCTCCCACCTCAGCCTCCTGAGTAGCTGTGACTACGCCACCACACCCAGCTAATTTTTTGTATTTTTATTAGAGATGAGGTCTCACTTTGTTGTCCAAGCTGGTCTCGAACTGCTAGGCTCAAGCAATCCCCTCATCTTGGCCTCCCAAAGTGCTGGGAATACAGGCTTGAGCCACCATGCTCAGCCACTATGGAATGCTGACTAGAATGTGAATGATGTATTACATATTAGAGGTATCACATTAATAATTCATTGCATTACTCTACTGCTTTCCAAATAAACATCCACGATATTCACATTTGTTTTCCCATTCTTACTCATATTTGAAGGCAAATCAATTTTTAGAGCAGGACAGGGTGATTTGTCTAGTAAACAACTCAGTCCTAGAGATAGCTCTGAATACATATCTCTTAGTCTTCCAATTTGATTTATCTTTTGCAAATTTCAGTATCATTTATTTTCTCTTTGAGACTCTAAAACAGTGGCTCCCAACCTTTTTGGCACTAGGGACCAGTTTCACGGAAGACAACTTTTCCACAGGGGTTGGCGGGGTGCAGAGCTCAGGTGGAAATGCTTGCTTGCTGGCTGCTCACCTCCTGCTGTGAGGCCCAGTTCCTAACAGTTTTTGTTTTTGTTGTATTACCCCTATTTTTTTTCTGTACCAGATACCTATATATTGACACTGAAGAATATGTAAATTTATTCAAAATTAAAAGCAAATTATTTGTCACACAAATGATTGTAAAATAAATGATTTGTGTTACAAATCATGTATTTGTGCCAACAGCTCCATCTCTTCAAGGTTAAGTGAGTTATTAGTCTAACCACAGCTAGCTAAATGACAGAACCAGGGTCTCGAAGAAGTTACTGTTACTGAGTCTCAGCTTCCTCGTCTACAAAATGGAGATAATAATACCTACCTTACTACTGAAACTTATGTTAAGAACTTCACTACTATTAGTTCTCTCTGCTCCGCCTCTAGGTACTAACCTTTCATTCACATCAGTAGCTCCTTCCATAGGTCTAAGTCCAACACTACAGATCAGGTATTCGATAAATACTTGTTAACTGAAAGTTCCAGTCAACTTCAGGCTGAGAACTCCTACATCAGGATAATAATGATGATTAATATTAACTAACATTTACCGCAAGCTTTGTACTCGCAACTATTTTACATGCAATATATCTCATTTAATCCTAGTAACTCTGATATACAAGCTATTATTTTTCTTTATTTTATGGATGACAAATCTAAGGATTTAAAGTACTTACATACTCTGCTCAAGATTATAAAAGTGGTAAATTAAGGAGCCAAAATTTAAATCCAGGATTTAAATCTCTAAAGACCATTCTTTTTTTTTTTTTTTTTTTTTTGATACAGAGACTTGCTCTGTCACCCAGGCTAGAGGGCTGTGACCCGATCTTGGCTCATCCGCCTCCTGGGTTCAAGCGATTCTCCTGCCTCAGCCTCCTGAGTAGCTGGGACTACAGGCACCCACCACCACGCCCAGCTAATTTTTGTATTTTTAGTAGAGACGGGGTTTCACCATGTTGGCCAGGCTGGTCTCGAACTCCTGACCTCAGGAGATCTGCCCATCTCAGCCTCCCAAAGTGCTGGGATTACAGGCGTGAGCCACAGCACTCGGCCTAAAGCCCATACTTTTACCCACTACCCAACATTACTCAATGCTTTACCTTTAGCTTCTACCCAATTATTTCTAATAATTTTCTCCCTTTTTCACCACATTTTAATCAAGTCATTCACGAACAACACAAGGCTAATTTATACCAAGAGAGTTATTAATAGGCACCTTTTTTTTCTTATTTTTAAAACATTCTTTTTTCCTTACCCTTGTCTCCACCCCTTTGTAATTTTATTTATGTATTTTTTTGAAGACAGGGTTCACTCTGTCCCCTAGGCTGGAGTGCAGTGACACAAACACAGCTCACTGCAGCCTCAACTTCCTGAGCTCAAACGATCTTTCTACCTTAGCCTTCCACCTCGGCCTCCCAAGTAGTTGGGACCACAGGTTCACGCCACCATGTCCAGCTAATTATTTTGTTGTTGTATTTTTTTATAGAGAGGAAGTCTCACTTTGTTGCCCTGGCTAGTCTCAAACTCCTGGGCTCAAGTGATCCCCCCATCCCCACCACCCAAAGTGCTGGGAATAGATACATCTTAATCTTCAAACCACCTAATTCCCCTCCTATACCATCTCTAATTTATATGAATACTTAGCACATACTCTGCCAGTAAGAAAAAGTAAAATTCCACCCTACACCAATTTCCCCCAAATGTTGCCATTTGGCTTTCATCCACGCTTTCAGAAAGGCAGACATGCATCTGCAAAAAATGTTAGAAGCTGTCAAAATAGAATGTGTTCTAGAAATAATAAGACTAAAAGCTAAAGGCTAAAAGCTATGAGTATTGAAAAGATAACCTTGTTTCAAGACAGACAGCAGTCTGAACAGACATATCTACTTACATTTCTGCCTATAATCCCTTTTAAATCACTATTATTAGTGGCAGGTGGTATTGCTACTATTGTTACCATTAAGTGAGTAAGAAATCCTTAACTCGGCTGGAAAAAAAGAAAGAACACTATCTGCTATCCGCAGTTCAGAAATCGAGGAATTCTTATAAGATTAAAAAGTTAATGAGACATAGTGACTGAGAAGTCTGAGAAAACCTAGCATAGATATGCCCAGTAGAGGTCTCTATGAAGGTAAGAGTGATTCTGCTGTGCTCCAAACTCAGAATCTAGACTACGGGAGAGGACCCTGAGGGGATCTCCAGAAGATTATAGGCGAACTTGACCCAGGATCTTTGCACAAGTGAATCCCAATACCCTTCTGAGTGGCCTTTTTCTGAGAAGTAGGCAAGCACAGCCTAAGCTGAAGCTCAGAGCATGGTGGAGGGAGGGATTTTAACCACCACCCCAGCAGGCAGGGGAACTTGGCAGTCAAAAGAGAACTTACTGGCATACCTCTATACATTAGGCAGCAGTTCCTACTCCTTCCTGTCACCAGAGGTATGCTCCCATAATCAGTATATTCACCAAGAAGCAAACCAATATCCTCAAACACTCAAGTTGAGCAGACAATCCCAAATCACTAAATATTCCAGGAAAACCAACACCATGAAAGAACTACTCAACAATATATCTAATGCTAACAAAAACCAAGAAGAACATACTAAATATAATCAGTATCTTTAGAAATAACAGAGACACTATTATATTCAAAAAACAGGCAATTATGAAAAGAAACAATTAGGGAAGGATGGAGAAGCTGAAGTTCTCCTTAAGCAAGTGGTGTCAAGTCGAGAGATATTAACCACAGTGAGGGGAACTGAAAAATTAAAGAATTCTGGTAAGATTAAAAAGTTGACTTTTTAATATAATTGACTGTGGAGATGGTTACTAAAAAACTGTATTAAACAGTGCACTCTAAACGGGCGATTTGTAAGGTATGTGACTACGTCTCAATTAAGCATTTTTTAAGGCACAAAGAAAAATATAATTGTCATTATAAAAGTGAACAGTGGACCATACAAATAGAGTCAACTGATACTGACAAAAGAGGAAAGGCAATTCAATGGGGAAAGGATGATCTTTTCAACAAGTGGTAGTTCTCTACTACTTGGGACACTGGGACATCCAGAGGCAAAAACATAAATCTAGACACAGATCTTGCACCTTTCACAAAACTTAACATGAATTAGATGATAGACCTAAAACTACAACACAATACTATAAAACTTCTAGAAGAAAACATAGAAGAAAATCTATGTGACCTTGAATTTGGTGATGAGTTTCTAGATATAAAAAAGCATCTTATGAAAGAAAATACTGATAAATTAGACTTCATTAAAGTTTAAAATTCTTCTCTGTGGCTGGGTACAGTGGTGCACGGCAGTAATCCCAGCATTCTGGGAGGCCAAGGTAGGCAGATCACTTCATCTCAGAAGTTCAAGACCAGCCTGGGCAATATGTTGAAACCCTATCTCTACAAAAAATTATCTGGGTGTGGTGGCACACACCTGCTGCCCCAGCTACTCAGGAGGCTGAGGCAGGAGCCTAGGGGTGTTGAGGCTGCAGTGAGCCAAGATTGTGCCACTGCACTCCAGCCTGGGCAACAGAGTGAGACCCTGCTTCAAAATAAATAAATAAATAAAATTCTGCTCTATGAAAGACACTGTAAAGAAGGTCAAATATCAAGCCACCGACTAGCAGCAAATCTTTGCCGATCACATACATAGTTAAGGACTTATATCCAAAATATACAAAGAGCTGTTAAAATTCAACAATAAGAGCCTGAGCAACATAGTAAGACTCCATCTCTGGCGGGGGGGAAAAAAACCTAGCCAACTAGCCAGGGATGTGATGTCTGTAGTCCTAGCTACTCAGGAGGCTGAGGTGGGAGAATCACCTGAGCCCAGGAGTTCAAGGCTGTAGTAGGCTGTGATCATGCAACTGCACTCCAACCTGAGTGACAGAGTGAGACCCTGATTCTAAAAAGAAAAACAAAAATCAACAATAAGAAGACCCAGTGTCTTGATCCTGCCTTTTCAGAGTCTACGACTCACTTGTCAGGGACTCCTGCAAAACTGGTGATATCATCCCCAATTTTTTAGTTTTAAGCTTAGGGAAATTGTGTAATTTGTCTGATATTTCACGGCCAGTTTCAGATCCTGTCTTTCTAACTTACTGGCTAAGAACTTCCCTAAGTTTAAAATGAAAAAACTGCAAACGACATCACCAGTTTTGAAGGACTGTTATGATAGATGAGTAAATTACATTTGAAGCACCCTAGTTTTGAGGCAGCAATCACAGAGCAAACGCTCAATATAATGTGAAAGAAAAATATAATCTTGGAACCCCAAACTCACTAGGCTTAAGAGAAAGTTGGCTGGCTAATCAGAGCCTCACAAGAATGTAACCACTTGCCTCACTGCCTACCCTCCCTCCTTTTTTTTCCTTCCCCTTCTGTTTCATCTTTCCCCTTTAAATATTGAAGTTCCCAAAACCCTCTTTGGAAAAAGCACAGGTCACAGATCCTACTGTGACTTGTGTTTCTTTTTCCCAAGCATATCCTCAACCTTGGCAAAATAAACCACTAATTGATTGAGATCTGCCTCAGTCAGTTTTTGGTTTACAATAGGAACTAGCATTTTTCAAATGTTCAATAACAAATGACTATATATATGCATATTTACATGCACTTACATGCGTATAAATAAAATACCCTTTCTGACTTTATCCCCTTGCCATACTAACCCATGAAGGGTCAGCTTAAAATATGACCTCCTCCTGCTTATTTGTTTATATTTCTTTTTCCCTCTCCCTCTCTTTCACTAGATCGTGGGTTACGAGGGATATGAGTCTTCTCTTAGATACCTTTGCATTCCCAATACCTAACACAGAAGCTGAAACATAACGGAATGCGTAATAAATGTTTATTATCTCAAATAATGATGTTGAAGAAAAATCTTATTCTTATTGCGAGGAGCCATTGTTACCAATATTAAAGAAAAGGATCAATCTGTCATCTTTATTTGATTCACTATGACAAATCTAAAGGATTCCAACTGTGCAAGAGAAGTAACATTGAGGAATATTTCCTAGTCCTAACACCAAAATTTCATTTTCAATATTAGGCCCCTTTATAGTCCTGCCCTACTTAAACTTTGGCCAAAAAAAAAAAAAAAAAAAAAAGAACAAACAAAAACCAGCTTAGCCAAAGCATTTGCCTGCAAAAGACATTCAATGCAATCAGTGACACAGAAGTTGTGTAGTCTTAATGCTTTGAAATTAAACTCTTATAATACAGAAGCCAGCCCGATAGGAAAAAAAAAAAGCACCACAAAAAGTTAAAATCAGGTAGCGCCTACTTCTCCTTATCTCATACAATTTTAACTGCACTTTCTTTATTCACCAAATAATGTCTAGTCATCCCTAGATAATCAGTGCAGGGGTAATTTTCCTCAGGAAGCTTCCCTGATATCCTAAGACGGGTTAAGGATGCCTTCTCTGTGTTCAGACAGGATACTATCATTGTTTATTTTACACAGCACCATGAGTTTCTCAAAAATAAGAAATGTTTCTAAGGCATCACTGCATCTCCAGAACCTATCACAAGGCCTAGGTCAGAATAGAGCTTCAGTATTTGTTGAGCTAACTGACAAAGAATTCCAAGACAAAAATTTGAAAGTACAGCAAATACTTTAGACATTTGTCAAAATTTATATCTTCAGCTTATACAAATAGGCCTAATCATGATAGGTTCAAGTAGCATAGTACAGAGTATGCATGCAGAATAATATGCATCTTGTATTTTAACTAACATTTCAGTAGCACAACTGAACAAACAAAATCCAAGCACAAAATTACAGTACGAGGCTATAGAATTTACCATGACAGTTTAAAATTCAGGGCCTTGGAAAGGGCCCTAACAAAAATCACGAAAGCAATCCAACTACAATTGGTTAAAGACTTCTGTTCTGACTTCTAACTTCTGTTTCTGACTCCCTCTCCATCATACTTCCTCCTTCGGTAATCTGATATTCTGGGCACTGAACTAAGGGGAAGCTGAGTTGGGTATTTATATATACTTAGGTTTCATAGGATATATGTAGTGTGCAATCACATCTATGTATGACTAGATAATTGCTAGTCTGGGTACAAGAATGACATCCAGGAATATTCCTACCACCCAATGCACTGCCTTATCTGGTATCATTAACACTAAGGCAGAGGACCAGGGACATCTAGATATGAGCTCCATATGGTATTGGCACAGAAGTATGTAAAAACACTGCAATTCATATAAAACCAAGGGTGAGACAGTTTGGATATTTGTCCCCACCCAAATCTCATGTTGAATTGTAATCCCCAATGCTGGTAGGTGTTTGGATCATGGGGGTGGGTCCTTCATGGCTTGGTGATGTCTATGTGATAGTGAATGAGTTCTCGAGATCTGGTCATTTAAAAGTCTGTGGCATCTCATCCCCTACTCTCCCCCTTTCTCTCTCTCCTCTCTACTTCCTCTGTCTCATACTGTCTTGCTCCTACTTTTGCCATGTGACGTACCTGCTCTCCCTTTTGCCTTCTGCCATGATTGTAAGCTTCCTGAGGCCTCCCCAGAAGCTGATGCCACGATGCTTCCTGTACAGCCTGCAGAACCTGAGCCAATTAAACCTCTTTTCTTATAAATTACCCAGTCTCAGGTATTTCCTTATAGCAATGCAAGAACAGCCTAACAGAAGGAGCTGCCCCAAATTTGACAACAATCTTAAAATATTACAGACACTACCAATAAAACGAGTTGTCAATCTCAAACTTTTCTAAACTATCAATAATAAACACAATTTGATCAGTCATGGTAGAGAAAAAAGTACACTGTTGACATATGAAGAAGTGGTCAAAAAGTATACAGTCAAAAAAATCTAAATAAAAAAGTATTAGAGGCCGGGTGCAGCGGCTCACGCCTATAAACCCAGCACTTTGGGAGGCCAAGGCGCGAGGATCACCTGAGGTCAGGAGTTTGAGACCAGCCTGGCCAGCATGGTGAAACCCAGTCTTCACTAAAAATACAAAAATTAGCCGGGCATGGTGGCATGTGCCTATAATCCTAGCTACTCAGGAGGCTAGGGCAGGAGAATCACTTGAACCTGAAAGGTGGAGGTTGAAATGAGCCAAGATTGCAACTAGGTGACAGAGCAAGACTCCGTCTCAAAAAAAAAAAGTATTACAGATATCTAGCAGTTGCCATAAAAATGTTATTTTTCTATAGTTTGTGATGTTAACTAACCTTGTGTTATTAAAATTGTGATCTGTGTTTTTTCATTCTAAATATTCATTTTGACATCAAATTTTGTATTTATATATTTTTTCATTTTCTCAAAAAGGGAAATGTTTTGTTTTTTTTTATTTTGATTGAAAAAGATTTTCTCCAAAAATCTAGATCTCTACCCACTTGAAGGCTTATTAATGCTACTTACAGAAGGAAAATCAGAAGTTATAGCTTGATATAACTGATTCTCTAATTTACCAATATATAAACCCATTTAGGTACACGTATAGTCTTCTACTACTATATTTACCAAGCTATGAGAAGTGTGCGTTAACTCCTGTCTCTTCTATTACCATGGACAATTTAGAAGCAGGTCCCATATGTCTTATTCACTTGGGTATTTTTTCAGAAGCTACCTTCTAATGCAGTAAATGATCAATGATTGTTGATTTTTTTTAAAAAGTTACTATACCTTGAACTACTGTCTTTAGAAAAGTTTATCAAAGCTCTTTCACTATTTTATGTCAGATGATTATTCATCATTGTGGGGTAAGTGGAAAACATGATTAACTATAAGAAATGATGTGAGCTAATCTTGCTAAAGATCCAGGTGTTGAGATACTGGATGTCATCCCAGTTCTTTGCTCACCTCAAAGATCATCACAGTTATAACAGCTGTGCTGTTCAATGGGCAAAACTAGCACCAAGTGCAAAAAGCAGAACTAGTAAACTACTTGTTCCTCTTCCATAAAAGCTGAACCACCCCATTTAGCTAATGGAATCTCTAGAACTATGTGAAATGAGAATGTATGCTTATACAATATTATGTCAAAAAAACCATCAGAAATGACCCTATGGTTTTATTTTTAAAAGGTAAAGTACTTTCTAGGGTGACAGAAATGTTTCAGGTTTTAAAAGCAGTGTGGTTTACAAAAAGCATACACTCTTTTAACTATACACTTAAGTTCTGAGCACTTCATGTTTTGTAAATCATATCTCGATAAAATAAAAATAACTTAGCAATGAACTCCCCGAACCCACTGAGATATATTTCTGAGCTACATTAAAGGGAAATACTGCCACAATGCTCTTAAACATTCATATAATAATTTTTTCTTTGCTTACTTCTTTGCCTCCAGTTCTTTATTTTGAGTCTTTCATAATCCGACAATATGAACCTTCTCTCTACAGACAAAAAACACAATATTTTGCATACAGGAATTCAGGGAGGGGCTAAAACCTGTTCATAAACCCAGATACAGAAATCCTGCCCTAGTCTGTATCTTTTCCCTGAGGTTATCATAAAAACATCAGTTTCTCTTTAAATGTCTATGAGCTTCACATTTAATTTCTAATCCTATAGACATATCTTTTAGATAAAACACACATACATTCAGGATAGGTACAAGTTTTATTTCAATTAAAAACTACAGTTTAGGTTTATTCTTTTTCTATTAAACAGTGACTAGCAGAAAGCTTTAATCATATTTATAAAATAATTTATGTTAAAGTTCAAAACCATGGCATTTATGAGAAATTCAATGCATTAAATTCATTCTTAAAAAAATAAAGAAATCCATGCTAATGCCTATAAAAACTGATAAAGTGTACTAGGAAATAACTTTACTTATTAAATGGCAATTCCACTTTAATAGACCACTAGAATATTAAATATTAAATATTAAATATTTAATAGACCACTAGAATATTAAATGGCAATTCCACTTTAATAGACCACTTTAATATTACCACTAGAAGATATTGGTAATATGTACACAAAAGTTATAAACTATTTTCTCCTATAAATCTAACTTCAAATGCAGCTGATTTGAGTGTTTGCTTCTTAGGATTTTTCGTTTTTAATAAAATAAGAATCATTCCTGGTTTGGAGGTCAATTTTAACCAATGTGTAATTAAGGTCAAAGACATTGAGGATTTAAATGAGAGTTGCCAAAGCATACTTCTGATGCATAATCTGAATAATCTGAAATATTAGCTAAGATTGATAATAATATTAAATTATAAAACTTACTAAAGCCTTTCACAACTATTAAAACATTCTAATCAAGAGGTTTAAGAAATTTAGAAACAAAATTCTTATACAGGGTTACCATCAAATCATCTGTTCTTCTGACAGATATTGAAGTATCTCGGTCCAGTTTTACCATAATGATAAAATTAAAAATACCAAGCATGTGATCTCAGTAATTAGCTTTACTTTAAAAGATTAAATTAGCATTTGAATGTTCGAATGTTAATTTTCTCTGAAAAGAAAGATACCAAAGTTTCTCTGAAAAGAAAGATACCAAAGAGAAATGTCACAAGGAAGGATGGAACAGAGTAAGGGAAAGAAGGAAGAAATTTCTTGACTGGGCACGGTAGCTCACACCTGTAATCCCAGCACTTTGGGAGGCCGAGACGGGCGGATCACAAGGTCAGGAGATCGAGACCATCCTGGCCAACACAGTGAAACCCCGTCTCTACCAAAAATACAAAAAATTAGGCGGGCGTGGTAACGGGCACCTATAGTCCCAGCTACTTGGGAGGCTGAGGCAGGAGAATGGCGTGAACCCAGGAGGCGGAGCTTTCAGTGAGCCGAGATCACCACATTGCACTCCAGCCTGGGCAACAGAGCGAGACTCCGTCTCAAAAAAATAAATAAATAAAATAAAACAAATTTCTTAAGTTGCAGCAGATAAAAGTGACAAAGAAGTAAGCAGAAATTAGAGTATAGTACTGAGAACATATTTCATGTCTAAAGGGGCACCTGGAAATTCAAATCAACCTGTTAAGAAACAGCCACTACTACTGTGTGTGTATGGCATAGAAAAGAAAAAAAAAAAAAAAGAGCCAAAGTAGCCAAGAGAGATATGATAGCCAGATACAAATAAAGAGAAAATCAGACAATGTACATGTGGCAAGAGTTGTCTACTTCTGCAGTCATAGTAAGACAAAATACTACAGTTAAATTTGGTTAATCAAATCCTAAATTCAAAGCTGAGATACATTAAAAGACCAATTAATATTTAATGCCGGGCCGGGCGTGGTGGCTCACGCCTGTAATCCCAGCACTTTGAGAGGCCGAGGCGGGCGGATCACCTGAGGTCAGGAGTTCGATACCAGCCTCAACATGGAGAAACCCTGTCTCTACTAAAAATACAAAATTAGCCGGGCGTGGTGGTGCATGCCTGTAATCCCAGCTACTCGGGAGGCTGAGGCAGGAGAATTGCTTGAACCTGGGAGGTGGAGGTTGCTGTGAGCTGAGATTGCGCCATTGCACTCCAGTCTGGGCAACCAGAGCGAAACTCTGTCTCAAAAAAAAAAAAAAAAATTAATGCCCTAATATTATTTTTATTATTAACCTGAAAACAAAAACGAAAGGAAAATTGTTCATCCATTCGGAATCAGATTTTAGAGACATTTAACTGATAACAATGTTGATACATGGACAGAGATTCATCTTTAATCCTCTAGGATACCTAATACGGGCAAGTCACCACCATGTTAAGCACTGTGGGAAGCTAGGAAAACACATAACAGATATTCCTTGCAGTTCAAATTTGGTGGTTTGTGTTGTTTTCTGACATGGGGTCTCGCTCTGCTCTCACCCAGGCTAGAGTGCAGTGGTGCGATCTTAGCTCACTGCAACCTCCACCTCCTAGTGGTATAGAAGGGAGGCAGAAAAGTGCTGGGTAGACAGAGGAAGGTGGGTCTCTGGAGAGGGCTGGGCCTGTGCCCATGGACCTAGGTGAGGACAGGCACTCCTGCCTTTATGCCCAAATGCTGCATTTCTCAAGACCACCCTGGCCCACCATGGCCCCATCCTGTGCCTATAAAAACCCCCGAGACCCTAACAGGAGAGACACAAGCGGCTGGACGTGGAGAGGAACACATCAGCGGAAGAAGACAAAAGCGGCTGGAGGTCAAGAGGACATCGAGTGGAGCACACCGGCAGGACAGCAAACCAACAGATGCTGGCACTGGGCAGGCCATAAACCAACGGAAAGATGCAGAGACGGGCTAGGGCAGTCGGAGGAGACACTGGGCCACACAGTGGCCAGACTCCAGGGGAAAATCATCTCCCCCTGGCTCCTCCATCTTCTGAGAGCTACTTCCGCTCAATAAAACCTTGCATTCTTTCTCCAAGTCCACCTGTGATCCAATTCTTCTGTACACCAAGGCAAGAACTCCGGGATACAAAAAACTCTCTGTCCTTGTTAGGCAAGAGGTCTCAATGAGCTGATGGGTAAACTAAAAGAGCACCGGGTAACACACGCCCACTGGGGCTTCAGCACTGCACACTCCCTGTAGAGGTTTGAGCAGCAGGACACCAAAGAAGCGAGCCACACCCCCGACCGCACACCCTTTAAGGGGGACAAGGGAACCTTTCCCGTTTCACCACATTCAAGAGATCCTCCCAGCCTCAGCCTCTTGAGTAGCTGGGATTGCAGGTGTGCGCCACCATGCCTGGATAATTTTGTATTTTTAGTAGAGATGGGGTTTTGCCACGTTGGCCAGGCTGGTCTTGAACTCCTGACCTCAGGTGATCCGCCCACCTTGGCCTGTGATTACGGGTGTGAGATTACAGGTGTGAACTACTGCACCCAGACTAGGATTGGGTTTTCTTAGGGACATTAAATCAGTTATTCATCTACTTTATAATTTCCAAAATTTAGTTGTTTTCTCTTTCATTCTTTTTATTTCTATGAGATTATGATTTAAAAAACTTCACTTTATTGTGACTTTGAGTAGGAAGTGGAGGCTAGTGTATGTTTTCAGCCCAACATCTTCAATAGTTTTCTTGTAAGTACTAAACCATTTTATTGTTCTGTTAAGCATTTGCAATTGTGTTGTGTCTAAGTGAAAGGAAATTGTGTTATTGTGTTGAATCACTGCAGTGTATTAGTAGATATTCTTAAAATCTTTTTTCAACAAATTTGATATTTCCTTTTTCCAACTTTGACTGTTCAGCAGCTCTCATTTTTGCAAGAAAACAGATGAATCCAAATTTGAACTGCAAGGGGCCAGGCTCAGTGGCTCATGCCTATTATCCCAGCACTTTGGGAGGTCGAGGTGCTGGCAGGTGCCTGTAATCCCAGCTACCTGGGAGGCTAAGGCAGGAGGATCGCTTGCACCCGGGAGGTAGAGGCTGTGGTGAGCCAAGACTATGCCATTGCACTCCAGCCTGGGCAACAAGAGCAAAACTCCATCTCCAAAAAAAAAAAAAAAACCCAATCCTAAAATTAAAACCAATCCAATTTACATCATAGATCCCACAAAAGATTTAGGGATTTAGGAATTAGTGACGCCTCTAGATGTAGAATACTCTGGAGGTGCAAGTAAAAATACAACAGGATTTTTACCACTCTGTTTAAAAAGCAGTTATACCTCCAGAACCCCTAAACAATCTACACAGTGGGCTTCTGTACCACCCCAACCCTGAGGAAAAACTGAAAGCTAAAGGTTTATTCTATGGAGAGGGCAAAACAGAAGGTCTCTGGCTTAAGAGACACAGGTATAGTTGCAGGCAAGTTTACCATACTTAACACATGGAGATAAAGTGAATCTGAATAATCATGTCGAGACCCCTAGCCTATTCCCCTAACCAGAAACCTTGCAACCAGAGATAATAACCTCCAAACAAAGACTGAAAAGCTCTTTTTTTTTTTTTTTGGGGGGGGGGGGGGGCGGGGGCGGCAAATCTGACCACACCATGTATAAGGACCTGAAAAGATAATCATACCAGGAGTTCTTCAAGGAAATAACCTAGCTATATCATCCTTCAGCAAAGCCCACAGTTGATAAACCCTCCACACTCATGCACACAGAAATCCAATTAGCTTTTTAATTGCCCTACTTATAAATAAAAGCAGAAAGCAAAAGAGTTACCAGACACTGGAAGGAAGCTTCTAACATGAGAGACGACACCAAAATCGAAAAAAGTAACTTGGAGGACAAACTAAATGTTCAAAAAAGCCCAAAAACTATCAATAAAAATCTTTAGCGATAGGAAAAAAAGAATGCTTCATGAACTGAGAACAGAACACCACATTAAAAAAAGAAGAAATTAAATAGGACTCTAGAAATTTTTTAAAAAATGATTGCAGAAATTAAAAATACAAGGAATAGAAAATAAAACTGACGTAATCTCCTAAAACATAAAGTACAAAAACAAAGAGATGGGCCGGGCACGGTGGCTCACGCCTGTAATCTCAGCACCTTGGGAGGCCAAGCCAGGCAGACGGCCTGAGGTCAGGAGTTCAAGACCAGCCTGGCCAACATGGGAAGACCCCTTACTAAAAATTTCCCCTTACTAAAAATATAAAAAATTAGCTGGGTGTGGTGGCTCGTGCCTGTAGTCCCAGCTACTTGGGAGACTGAGACATGAGAATCACTTGAACTTGGGAGGCAGAGATTGCAGTGAGCCGAGATCACACCACTGCATTCCGGCCTGGGTGACAAAGTGAGACTCCATCTCAAAGAAAAAAAAACAGATGGGAAACGAGAAAAAAAAAATTAAGGACCAGTCAAGAAGCCTAATATCCAAGATATAGAAAATTCAGAAAGATAAAGTGTTTTATCAATAAATCAGGATATTTTCCTAGAATTGAAAATGCTCTTTTAGACTAAAAGAGAACCCACAACAGTGCATGAAAATAGATCCACGCCAGAGGATGCCATTATGAATTTAGGAAAAGTTACAAAGATAAGACCTTAAAATAATTCAGAAAAAAAAAAGAAGTCCCATATAAAAGATCAGAAATCAAAAAACCAATAAAAAAGTATTAGAGAACGGGCAAGGTGGCTCACGCCTGTAATCCCAGCACTTTGGGAAGTTGAGGCAGGAGGATCATCTGAAGACAGGAGTTTGAGATCTGCCTAGCCAATATGGCAAAACCCCGTCTCTACTAAAAATACAAAAATTAGAGAGGCGTGGTGGTGGGCGCCTGTAATCCCCAGCTACTCGGGAGGCTGAGGCAGGAGAATAGCTTGAACCTGGGAGGCAGAGGTTGCAGTGAGCTGAGATCTCACCACTGCCCTCCAGCCTGGGCAACAGAGCAAGACTCCGTCTCAAAAAAATTAAAAAAAAAAAGAAACCCATTTAGACTTCTGAATAGCAAATGGAACTTCGATCCCAGACAAATTAAAACAAAATTCTGTAGGAAAATTATTTCTACCCTAGAACTCTATACTCCTCTGACATAATGCCAATCAAGTATGAGGGTATGTTCAGATATATAAGGTCTTAAAATACTTACATTCCTCTTACTGCTTCTAGAGTTTTAGAAGGTCTGCCTCACCAAAATACAAAAGTAAACCAAGACATGAGATCAAAGAAACAGGAAATCCAACCCAAGAACTATGTAAGGGGAATCCCATGGATGAAGGCTAAAAGATATTCCAAATATGACAGCTATGGTGCAGGACTATATAATACCAACAATACAGACTGGAGCAGGTCAAAAAACTCCAACATAGGTTTGTTCAAAAAGATCGAATGAGCCAGGCACGGTGCCTCATGCCTGTGATGCCAGTGCTTTCAGAGACCAAGGAAGGACAGCTTGAGGCCAGGAGTTCAAGACCAGCCTAGTGTTTTGCTGAAAGTTTTACTTTCAGTTTGGGTTTGAGGATTTGCAAGCAAAAGAAACCACAATATTACACTTAAATGCAGTTCAAAGAAAAGTTTAATGATTAGCATAGCAAAAGAGTATACTGGTGGCTCATGCCTGTAATTCCAGCAATCCCAGCACTTTGGGAGGCTGAGGTGGGCGGACTGCTTGAGCTCAGGAGTTCGAATACAGCCTGGCCAACATGGCAAAATTCTGTCTCTACTAAAAATACAAAAATTAGTGTACCGGCCGGGCGCGGTGGCTCACACCTGTAATCCCAGCACTTTGGGAGGCCGAGGCGGGCGGATCACGAGGTCAGGAGATCGAGACCATCCCAGCTAAAACGGTGAAACCCCGTCTCTACTAAAAATACAAAAAATTAGCCGGGCGTAGTGGTGGGCGCCTGTAGTCCCAGCTACTTGGGAGGCTGAGGCAGGAGAATGGCGTGAACCCGGGAGGCGGAGCTTGCAGTGAGCCGAGATCCCGCCACTGCACTCCAGCCTGGGCAACAGAGCGAGACTCCGTCTCAAAAAAAAAAAAAAAAAAAAAATTAGTGTACCAGGCATGGTGGTACACACCTGTAGTCCCAGCTACTCCAGAGGCTTGAGGTGGGAGAATCGCCTAAGCTCAGGAGGCAGAAGTTGCAGTGAGCAGTGCAAGGAGGCAGAAATTGCAGTGAGCCACTGCACTCCAGCTTGGGTGACAGAGTAAGACCCTGTCTCAAAAGAAAAAAAAAAAGAGTATAATGGTTAACTTAGCAAAGACTAAAGTGAGAGAAAAGGAAAATACACACACACACATTCACCAAGTTGAGGAAAATACCTACATTCAGATTAAGCAGTGTCGGGAAGTCCTAGAACAGCCATCTGGAGTTCCAACTGAAATGAGTTCCAGGCAATGTGTGCTTACTCCACAGGCGAGACTTCAGAGAGCAATCAGAGGGTCCCAGTTTATGTTGCCAAGCCGCTAACTGAAATTATCAGCTACGTGCAAATATGCAGCTCTAAAGGTTTAATTCATAATGCTTAATTTTTTACTTTGTGTGTCTTCGGATGGTATGAAACCTAGAGAATTGCCCAGATTCCCTAGGTTTGAGAAGTTCCACGGTATACTCCCTTTCTTATCTGAAGTTTTTCAGGACTGGTGGGTGTTTAATCTCCATGTAGGCTGTAGCCCACATAGGGTCATTTGTTGGTCAGAGGCCTAGCATTTCTTCTGAAGGCTGAACAAGACTAATACAATTTTAAACTCCTTATATCTGGGCAACATAGCAAGCCCTCATCTCTACAAAAAAATTTAAAACATTAGTCGGGCATACTGGCATGCACTGCACCTGTAGTCCCAGCTAGGCAGAAGGATCATTTGAGCCCAGAAGTGGGAGGCTACAGCTATGATCTGCCATATTCTAGCCTCGGCAACAGAGAGAGACCCTGTCTCTAAAAATATACATATAATAATAATAATTAATCTTAAAAATTAAAAATAATTTTTTTAATTATAAGAAAAGAATTTAAATATGTGTGAAGGTTAACTGGGGGAGTATTTGAGGATAAAAGACTAATGAATACATATGAAATTAAACAAAACAATTACGGAGACAGCATCAAGTTATGCATAAGAGGAAAAATAAAATTATATTCCAGGCTGGGTGGGGTGGCTCACACCTGTAATCCCAACACTTTGGCATGCTGAGACAGGCAAATCACTTGAGGTTAGGAGTTCGAGACCAGCCTGGCCAACATGGTGAAACCCTGTCTCTATTAAAAATACAAAAAAATTAGCCAAGCATGGTGGCAGTCGCCTGTAATCCCAGCTACTCGGGAGGCTGAGGCAGAAGAATCACTTGAATCTGGAAGGCAGAGGTTGCAGTGAGCCAAGATCGCACCACTGCACTCCAGCCTGGAGTGACAGAGCAAGACTCGGTCTCAAAAGAAAAAAAAAATTATATTCCAGTACTTGGCTCAACTGTCCACAGTGTTTACATAATATATATTGAAAAGTTGGCAGAATGGGGCCGGGCACAGTGGCTCATGCCTGTAATTCCAGCACTTTGGGAGGCTGAGGCAGGTGAATCACTTGAGGCCAGGAGTTCGAGACCAACCTGGCCAACATGGTGAAACCCCATCTCTACTAAAAATACAAAAATTAGCCAGGCACATGTGGTACATGCCTGTAATCCTGGCTACTCGGTAGGCTGAGGCAGGAGAATCACTTGAACCCAGGATGCAGAGGTTGTAGTGAGCAGAGATCGTGCCACTGCACTCCAGCCTGGGCAACAGAGCGAGACTTCACCTCAAAAATAAATAAATAAATAAAATAAGTTGCAGAATGAGAAGTATGTATGTGGTATTTGCAAAACTTTTTTTCTTCTTTGTAGAGACAAGATCTTTGCCATGTTGACCAGGCTGGTCTTGAACTCCTGGCCTCAAGTGCTCCACCTGCCTCGGCCTCAGAAAGTGTTGGGATTACAGGCGTGAGCCACTGCACCCAGCCCTATGTGGTAAGAGAGGGGTGAAACCTTTTCCTCCACAATAAGGATTCAATAATTGGCCAGGCACAGTGGCTCACACCTGTAATCCCAGCACTTTGGGAGGCCAAGGTGGACGGATCATAAGGTCACGAGTTTGAGACCAGCCTGGCCAACATGGTGAAACCCCATCTCTACTAAAAATACAAAAATTAGCCAGGCGTGGTAGCGGGAGCCTGTAATCCCAGCTACTCGGGAAGCTGAGGCAGGAGAATCGCTTGAACCCGGGAGGCGGAGGTTGCAGTGAGCCGAGATCACACCATTGCACTCCAGCCTGGTTGACAGAGCAAGACTCTGTCTCAAAAAAAAAAAAAAAAAAAAAAAAAAAGAGTTATTTTTATTACAAGCCCTATAGAACTATTTGACTCTAAATTAAACTACGTACATGAAGAACACTGACAAAAATAAAGTTTTTTAAGTTTGAAAGCCTAATTAAAACTAGTTTGAATGCTTAATCAAAACATGGTAATAAAATGGATTATGTATAGAAATGTTAGTAAACTGCTCTGTTTTTAAAACCTAAATATACTATATAATTGATATGGTTTGGTTTTGTGTCCCTACCCAAATCTCATGTCTTAGTGTTGGAGGAGGGGCGTGGTGGGAGGTAATTGGATCATGGGGATGGACTTCCCGCTTGCTGTTCTTGTGACAGTGATTTTGTTCTCCTGAGATCTGGTGGTTTAAAAGTGCTTAACACTTGCCCCTTTGTTCTCTCTCTCTCCTGTCACCATGTGAAGAAGTGCTTGCTTCCCTTTCCCCCTTCTGCCATGATTGTTAAGTTTCCTGAGGCCTCCCCAGCCATGCCTCCTACACAGCCTGTGGAATTGGGAGTCAGTTGAACCTCTTTTCTTTATAAATTACCCAGTCTCTGGTATTTGTTCACAGCAGTATGAGAACAGACTAATACAATAATATAGATATATGACCCAGCGTTCTTACAGTATACTATAGATAAGTCAAAACCATCTATACAAATGGAGACTTTTCATTCTAATGGCATCCTAATTAGCTAGCTGGTAGCTGCTACTGCTATCATCCTTAGTGCTATTACCAAAATTGTTTCAAAAACATCCACATTAGAAACACTGCTACATTCAATCAATGTGATATACCAATGGCCCCTAAGGAAAACAAAAGCCAGAAACATGTACCACGTTGTAATTTACAAAACCAACAAGCAGCATGGGGCAGTGGAAAAACACAGACTGATGGAGTCCTATGGCTCTGGAATCACACTGCAACTCCACAATTTAGTGAGAGAGTTGATTTACTTCCCAGCCTCTCTAGAACCTTATTTGCCTCATCTACAAAATGGAGAGACCAGCATGCTGCAAGAGTTTTCCCAAGGATTAGAAATCAGAAAATAAAATACTAGTGCAATGCCTGGCACAAAGATCAATAAAACCCATTTACTATTATTATTTAACTCAGGCATTACCTACTTCATGTGGTTAAAAAAAAGAAAGAAAAAGAAAAAAATTCCTTGATTTTTGCTGTTGGATCACCTAGACTGGAAATGCTGATCTGTCTAGTACTAGTTACGTGATTCCAGGTAAGCTATTTAATTGCTTGACTGCAATCATTTTGATTGCAAATCATATAATCTACATGATGGATGATATGATTTCTCTTATAATCTGAAAATTAAATTATATATATAGAAATATAGAGCACCACTTGGCATACAATCGATATTCAATAATTAATACCAGCTAAATAGATCTGTACCATCTCTTTATCCTTGGTAGCTACTAGAGGCCTGCTCCACAGATACAGGCTTGAGTTATATCTACATATTGTACATTTTTAACAAGAAACTGCGAAAAGAGCAGAAAACCAGCCAGGTGCAGTGCCTCATGCCTACAATCCCACTAGTTTGGAAGGCCGAAGTGGGAGGATTGCTTGAGCCCAGGACTTCGAGACTAACCTGGGCCACACAGTAAGACCACGTCTGAACAACAACAACAAAACTTAGCCAGGCATGGTGCATGTGCCTGTACTCCCAGCTACTTAGGAGACTGAGATGGGAGGATTGCTTGAGCCCACGAGTTCGAGGCTGCAGTGAACTACCATCGCCCCACTGCACTCCAGCCTCAGAGTGACATCCTGTCTCTGAAAGGTGGAAAATTGTCTTAATGTCATAAAATTCAACTAAAATAAGACACTTGGAATTCTTGGTAATCAAAATTAGTCTCACCAGAATGTATTTATACAGTTGACAAAGTGTGACCTCAGAAAATCATAAAACCCAAAGCAAATATTTCATCTAAAAACAAAGAGGCTGGACTAGAAATTTTTCCAACCCTAAAAAATCACTAAAGGTAATCTATTTATTCAGAGGTCTGATCTCATTCTGACCAGTTCCACAAGCCAATCATAAATCTTCTCTAACATGTTTAGGAAGAAAGCCTGCATGTTGTCAAATAAAAACTGTTATTTTATGAATAAGAAAAAGAGACACAAAAGTACGATGATTTTGCCCAAATTATAAGTTTTGTAACTACCACCACCTAAAGTCTAAGTCCTACCTCTTTGAGCCTGATTTACAGGGGCATACACAGTTCTAGACATATTCTTTCAGAATGTAACTGCAAATCATAAGAAGACTTGAATTATTCTATACAACTGAGCCAAAACATTTATTTCATTAAAGCTAATTTCATTCTCCCCTTTCTGTCTGGGAAGCTAACAGATCTTTCAGATCACCAATGCTTTAAGCATGAGCTTATGGTACCCAAGCACAGGACAACCATGATTTCTCTAAACAAAGTCTAACAAAAGCAGCTAGTGGTTATCAGTGTGATGTCAGGAAAGGCCCACTGTGAAAGTAATATACAGATGCAATCAAACCTGGGACACAAGGCAGAGAAACAGCTGTGTTAAAAAAAAAAAAAAAAAAAAAGGAAAGGTACAATTAAAAATGTTTAAAGAAGTCCCTTTAGTGCTAATACAGTCAACTGCAAAAGTGACATTTCACATTATTTGAGACGTTGCAATGCTCCCCAATACCTAGAATGGGTTTCGACTCTGACCATTTAAACTAAGAGAGGATAACAGAAATAAGTGAAAACCATCAGAGGGAAAAAAAGAAAAAAATGCACAAAACTAAATGCAAAAATCCTCCCTCTTCCTCTTTTTGAAATAAGTGAAATGCAAGCACAGTTGTCAGACCTGACATTTAAAAAAAGAAAAAATTCATTAAGCTACCAGGGTTTCACACATACAATCATGCACAGTATTTACTGATTTTACTAATAAAAAAAGGTAGAGTGTTCTGAGTTGTTGTAACATATAAATTACTCTTAATAGTTCAACTTGTAAATACTCAAAAATAACAAGCATGCCATAAAAGCATATTCTTCACATGCACTAGCAATTGGACACGACTGTTTACTCATACTTTGGGGAAAGAGTTACTAAAAGAAAAAAACTCTTCATCCTGAAATAATCAGAAACTAAAAACCCTGGCATAGCTTTCTAACAGACTCCATGAGAAAAGCAATAAAAGAATTAAGAGAAGTAAGTGAAAAGTAACTTTAAATCTACCCCCAGAATTTAGTTATTTTTAGAGCTCCACATATGCCATCTGCCTCCCAAACATGTTTATGTACACTAAATTATCAGTTTATTGCCTGTAGTAAAATATCAAAAAAAAACTAAGAAACAAGATATACACTGAGTTAAATATCTCAGTTTGTGAAATCCACCCTTATAGACTATACTATATGCTAATTTCGAAAAAAGCATTATTTTTCTAGTAAATTGTTAAAACTTCATTTTAAATCTAAATTTTAAATTTTAAAACTTCATTCTGGCCAGGCACGGTGGCTCATGCCTGTAATTCCAACACTTTGGGAGGCTGAGACGGGTGAATTGCTCAAGCCCAGGACTTCAAGACCACCCTGGGCAACATAGGGAGACGCTGTCTCTACAAAAAATTTTAAAAATTAAGGCTGGGCGCAGTGGCTGTATTAAGGGAGGCCGAGGCGGGCGGATCACAAGGTCAGGAGATCGAGACCACGGCGAAACCCCGTCTCTACTAAAAATACAAAAAATTAGCTGGGCGCAGTGGCGGGTGCCTGTAGTCCCAGCTACTCGGGAGGCTGAGGCAGGAGAATGGCGTAAACCCAGGAGGCGGAGCTTGCAGTGAGCCAAGATCGCGCCACTGCACTCCAGCCTGGGCGACAGAGTGAGACTCCATCTCAAAAAAAAAAAAAAAATTAGCTTGGTGTGGTGACGTGTACCTGTGGTCCCAGCTACTCAGGAGGCTGAGGTAAGAGGATCATCTGAGCCCAGGAGGTGGAGGCCACAATAAGCAGTTGTTGGGCCACTGTGCTACAGACTCAGCCACAGAGCAAGACCTTATCTCCAAAAATAAAATAATAAAATTAAATTGGCCAGATGCAGTGGCTCACACCTGTAATCCTTCGGGAGGCCAAGGTGGGCAGATCACTTGAGGTCAGGAGTTGGAGATCAGCCTGGCCAACATGGGAAAATCCCTTGTCTACTAAGAACACAAAAATTAGCCGGGCGTGGTGGCACACACTTGTAATCCCAGTTACTTGGGAGGCTAATGCAGGAGAAACACTTGAACCTGGGAGGTGGAGCTTGCAGTGGGCCAAGATCACGCCACTGCACTCCAGCCTGGGTGACAGCAAGATTGTCTCAAAAAAAAAAAAAAAAAAGAAAGAAAGAAAAGAAAAAGAAGAAAAGAAATACAGGGGACAGAAATTATTTGGAAGTACCTTTACTATTATCTTGTTTATTTGGCATTAATTTTAAAAGTCCAAGAAGCTTTCATGACTCTTTTTCTTAATGATGCAATGATAGTGGGAATGCAGGGAAATGAGCACTCTCATTCCCTGGTAGAGGGAACACAATTTACAGGGCACATTGGAAAATAGGAAACTTGTGCCTGGTATATGACAATCCTGTAAAGAAGGTCTCTACAAAACTATGTGATAAAGATACAATAAATAAGGCTGAGTGCAGGGGCTCACGCCAGTAATATCGGCATTTTGGGAGGCCAAGGTGGGAGGATCACTTGAACCTAGGAGTTCAAGACAAGCCTAGGTAACATAGCAAGACCCCGTGTCTATTAAAAAAAAGTTTTTTTATTATAAAAATCCAATAAATAGGTATTCTAAACTCTTCTGTGCACAGTAGCCACCTTTTAATATTTTCCCTAAAATCTTTACAATGGAAAAACATACAACAGACTGAGGAGAATCACTCATACTCTCACCACCCGTGATGAAATTCTTGAAAATGTCAGGCCACGTGTGGTGGCTCATACCTGTAATTCCAGCACTTTGGGAGGCTGAGGCGGTGGATCACGAGGTCAAGAGTTCGAGACCAGCCTGAACAACATGGTGAAACTCCATCTCTACTAAAAATACAAAAAATTAGCCGGGCATGGTGGCACGCGCCTGTAATCCCAGCTACTCAAGAGGCTGAAGCAGGAGAATCGCTTGAACCCGGGAGGCAGAGGGTGCAGTGGGCCGAGATCACACTACTGCATTCCAGCCTAGGTGACACAGCAAGACTCCATCTCAAAAAAAAAAAAAACAAAATTCTTGAAAATGTCATTGATTAGTCAGGAAAAAAAATTGTTACTAAGAGGCACTATGCTAGGTGGTAGAGATTTAAAACAAACATTTTTTGAAAATGCCCCATCTTCAAAGAGATCATACACATGACAGTGGGTGGAGTACAATGTCTTTTTGGAAAGGACTATGATAAGGACTATAAAGGGCACTGAAATGGTATCTAACAAACTGGGAAGGGGGCACAGGCCAGGGAAAAAGTTGGCTCCTGAGCTAAAGAAATGGGGGTGGGGAGGAGAAGAATAACAGCCAGAATAACAGGAACGGCATTTACAAAGGCAGAAAGATGGAGCAAAGCAGGTTGAGAGAAATGCAAATAAAATCACTGAACACTGTGGGGGAGGGATGTTAGAGCAGGAAGGCACGGATGAGGCTGGAGTGGTAAGCAAACATCTCAGGGAGGCCTTCTATGCCTTGGAGTTTTGCAGACCACTTCCAGCCCATTCCAATATCTACCTGAAATGCCCAAGTGAACTACAGGAAGCGAGTGCACCGAAGGATTCCTACCACTTCCCCTCCATGTTAAAAACCAAGATGCTAAAGTGGAACAGCAGTGGCAGCAATGCCAAGAACAAGCAGGGGAGGCCCCCGCATCCACACAATAAAAACAGCATCTGACTAAAAACCGGAAGCTCAATTCGGCAAAATTCTTGCTGTTTTGAATAGGTGAATGCACTACACATATTTATAACTGTGGTATTGACGGCAATTTTTTTTTTTTTGAGACAGATTCTCACTCTGTTGCCCAGGCTGGGGTACAGTGGCATGATCTCAGCTCACTGCAACCTCCGCCTCCCAGGTTCAAGCGATTCTCCTGCCTCAGCCTCCCAAGTAGCTGGGATTACAGGCGAGTGCCACCATGCCTGGCTAATTATTGTATTTTTAGTAGAGACGGGGGTTTCATCATGTTGGCCAGGCTGGTCTCGAACTCCTGATCTCAGATGATCTGCCCACCTTAGCCTCCCAAAGTGCTGGGATTACAGGCATGAGCCACTGCGCCTGGCTGACAGCAATTTTTTTCTTTATATTCCTAATTTTTGATGAACACAGACTGCAATTATTTCACACATACACCCAAGAAAGTTTGTATACTCAATGCAATATCTTGCAGTGCAAGGGTCTTTAACCATCATTAGCCAGTGGACTTGGAACTGAGAGTTTAAAACAACCATTAAGGAGCACATCTATGTAACACGCTGGTCTCCAGTGCTAAGATTCTTGAGGACAGAGACCGCATCTTATTTCTTTTTTTTTTTTTCTTTTTTGAGACGGAGTCTTGCTCTGTTGCCCAGGCCGGAGTGCAGTGTCACAATCTCGGCTCACTGTAAGCTCCACCTCCTGAGTTTGCGCCATTCTCCTGCCTCAGCCTCCCAAGTAGATGGGACTACAGGCGCCCACCACCACGCCCGGCTAATTTTTTTGTATTTTTAGTAGAGACGGGGTTTCACCGTGTTAGCCAGGATGGTCTCGATCTCCTGACCTCATGATCCACCTCCCAAAATGCTGGGATTACAGGCGTGAGCCACTGCGCCCGGCACATCTTGTTTATTTCTAAACCCCTTCCTTTCTCCTCCCACCACCAGCAAGCACCTAACACTTCGCTTTTACACACAGGAGGTGTTCAATAAATGTTCATTTTATTATGCAATAATGCCATACATTTGTAAGACAGCTAAACAAAAAACTGGAATGCACAAACAGTTTATACACTGGGCTTGGGAATTTCATGAGTGGAGATAATGACAGTGTTTATACAGGACTCTGGTTTATGAAAAGCTTTCATATACATTCTGTCATTCAAGTCTCACATTAACCCAATGGAAGAAGCATTCGTTACCCTCCAGTAGGCAGAGGAAATAGAAACTAAGAAATTAAGTCATCTGCCCAAGGTCACATAGCTAGTGACAGACCAAAGACTCTGAATCTCGGATTTCCTCACTCATAGGCCACTGTTCTCTCCCATGACAATCTTCAGTTAATTAAAAAAAAAAAAAAAATGGCTGTAATCCCAGCACTTGGGAGGCCAAGGTGGACGGACTGCTTGAGCCCAGGAGTTCAAGACCACCTGGACAACATGGCAAAACCCTGTCTCTACAAAAGATACAAAAATTATCCAGGCATGGTGGCACACACCTAAAGTCCCGGCTACTCAGGAAGCTGAGGTGGAAGAATCACGAGCCCAGGAGGTTGAGGTTGCAGTGAGCTGAGAAGATACCACTGCATTCCAGCTTCGGTGACAGAGTGAGATCCTGTCACTCACACAAATAAGAAAATTATTGAAAACATATTTGCTAAGCAATGTCCTAATGTGCTGGGAAATAAAATGATGAACAAACCCTCAGTCCAGGAGGAGAAAACTTAGAATCCAGAAGGAGAAAAAAACACATTAAACAAGAAAATAATTGCAAGTGTGAAAGGACAGTACGGGGATCTACATTGAGGCTCCCTTATTGGGAATCTCTCAAAGACAGAACTGGTGTTATATTGAATCCAAGGATTTTTCTTATTCACCTTATCTCAAACCATTTAAATTAAATATACAGGCATCCACTTTGGAAGGTGCTTTCAAATCACCTAGGGATCTTATTAAAATGCATTATAATCCAATGATTAGGACCCGAAATCCTGCATTTCAAACATACTCCTAGGTGGTGCCAAAGATCCACACTTTGAGAGTCTACAGCAAACTTCTCAAGGATTATGGTTATGTAGAGACACTGATCCTCTCAATCCTGAGAGTACTTTCTGTCACCAGAGGACCAAGAGCAGTTTTTCTTCTGCTACATAAAATGACAGTGGTATTTTTCTTCCTTAATGTTAAGTGATATCAAAAAAGGCAAAGACATCACTAACAAGTATAGTTATCCCTAGACAACACCTTACAAATACATTCCCACTTGAAAGAAAGCTAAAATCAATAAAGCTCACCAGGCATGGTGGCTCATGCCCGTAATCCCAGCACTGTGGGAGCCTGAGGAGGGCAGATCACCAGAGGTCAGGCGTTCAAGACCAGCCTGGCCAATATGGTGAAACCCCGTCTCTACTAAAAATACAAAAATTAGCCGGGCACACACCTGTAAGTCTCTGCTACTCAGGAGGCTGAGGCAGGAGAATCACTTGAACCCAGGAGGTGGAGGTTGCAGTGAGCCCAGATTGCGCCATTGCACTCTGGCCTGAGTTACAGAGCAAGACTCCATCTCAAAAAAATAAAATAAAAATAAAATAAAATCAATAGAGCTCAACTAAAGCAAATTTTGGTTCCCAAATGTCTAGCTGTTTAAAATTGTAGTTTTTTTGTATAGTTTGGTTCTAACTATAATTAGAAATATAATTTTTAAAAAATGTTGGTTCTTCAACCCAAATGTCCATCAATGATAGACTGGATTAAGAAATTGTGGCACATATACACCATGGAATACTATGCAGCCATAAAAGAGGATGAGTTCATGTCCTTTGCAGGTACATGGATGAAGCTGGAAGACATCATTCTCAGCAAACTATCACAAGGACAGAAAACCAAACACCACATGTCCTCACTCATAGATGCATAGATGGGAAATGAACAATGAGATCAACTGGACACAGGGCGGGGAATATCACACACTGTGGCCTGCTGGTGGGTGGGGGACTTCGGGAGGGATAGCATTAGGAGAAATACCTAATGTAAATGATGAATTGATGGATGCAGCAAACCAACACGGCACATGTATACCTATGTATCAAAACTGCACGTTGTGCTCGTGTACCCTAGAACTTAAAGTATAATTTAAAAAAAAAATAGTTGGTTCTTGATGGCTTGCTATTTTCCAAATGAAACACTGATGAAGATTAAAGGGCTAAAGAGTCTAAGCCACTTTGGGACTTAAAGGGCTGAAGAGTCAAAGTCACTGCAGCAGACCTCAAAATATTGCTGTGAATTGGTCTGCTGTTCACTGACTCAAAAGTACAATTCCTAAGAGTTGAAAATAAGACAGCTGAATATTTGGCAGGTATGGAGAAGGGTTAGTGAGAATGCAACCAGGCATATGTGAGCAAAAACTATAACCACAGGGAGTTTTTAAACAAAGAGCTATTTCAGTAGTTAAATCTAACACTACAGAGCTCCAGCAAACAAATGGATTCTCTAAACAGCAGGAGGGTTATGCTGTTGCTCATCTGTTTGAAACATGATCCCAAACACCAGAAAAAGTTGCCTTAAAATACCTTTCCCCCATTGTTTCTACTAAATTACTCTTTATTTACAGAGTTATACATTTCCACTAAGTTATACTGTTACCTATTTCTTTTTTTTTTTTTGAGTCTAATTTTTTTTTTTTTTTTTGAGTCTCACTCTGTTGCCCAGGCTGGAGTGCAGTGGTGCGATCTCGGCTCACTGCAAGCTCTGTCTCCCAGGTTCATGCCATTCTCCTGCCTCAGCCTGAGTAGGTGGGACTACAGGCGCCCACGACCAGGCCCAGCTCATTTTTTTGTATTTTTAGTAGAGAGGGGGTTTCATCGAGTTAGCCAGGATGGTCTCTTTCTCCTGATCTTGTGATCCGCCCGCCTTGGCCTCCAAGAGTGCTGGGATTACAGGCTTGAGCCACCGCACCCGGCCCTACTGTTACCTATTTCTACAAAAGAAGATTTACATAAAAAATATTCCTCCTAATGCCCAATACTATAATACTATAACTACTAAACTATTATCATCAAATTTCAATTTGAGAACAACAAAAAGACTTAGGCAGACAGATACAAGGGTAGCAATAAAAGAAAATTTGACTAGGCAAGGTAGCTCATGCCTATAATCCCAGCACTTTGGGAGTCTGAGGCGGGCAGTTCGCTTGAGCCCAGGAGTTGGAGACCAGCCTGGGAAACATGGCAAAACTTCGTCTCTACGCATGTGGCACCGGTGCCCACCTAAGGTCAGAGACATCAGAGACATGTGACACACTAAGACTGGACCCCATAGGAGGATGCTCTGGGGGATCCTGTGGACCTCAGCCTCCCCAAAGAGGATGCTCTTGCAGAGGTTCTGAGGTCTAGAAGTTCTGAGCCCTCCTCAGAATTCTCCCGCAGTTGTAACGCTGCTTGGCCCCAAAATTGTTTGGAATCTGGAGCTTACTGTTTAATGGGAAAATGGGATGGCGTTGCATGTATCCAGGCTTTTGTGCTGCGGTTCTAAGCAGGGGGCCTGATTAATGTGACGTTCTCCTTTGGTACTGTTTGGCCCCAGTGCTCTTCAGAGTCTGGGGAGGTTTGGCCTTTAATAATCAAACTGCCATGGAGACTGCTTTACCCAAAATTTTGGTTCACAGCCTTCATTGGATTATCTATTGGGGCAAAGTAAAACTGGCAAGCTTGTATTGCTACCTCATGGCTAAGGTTCCAAGCAATTGGATCTTCGTTTGTGTGTGTGTATAGATGTCTAGATGTATTTATTCGTATGTACACTTATTGTTACATGTTGTGTCTACCAAAATTGGCTTATAAGTAAGAGTGCTCATAAATTAAGTCTAAGCAATTTTCAAGTTCACGTGACTTAGAAGTATAACTCTACTAAACAAATTAGCTTCAAAATTATAGGTGGAATAAAAATAGAAATGCCTTCAGAATTGTCAGCATACATTTTGTCTGAATTTTATGTTTGTCTTTGCTAGGTATTTTTAAATGTCAGTGTTAATTCGGGCCTGCCTCTCATTCTATTCAAAGTCTCACTGAGATAAATGCACATCTGATTGCTTCCTTTGGAAGGACTAATCAGAAACTCAAAAGAATGTAACCGTTTGTCTCCCACCTACCTATGATCTGAAAGCCCCCAAGCCCCCTCCCCACCTCGAATTGTCCTGCCTTTCTGGAACGAACCAATGTTTATTTTACATGTGTTGGTTGATGTCTCGTGTCTCCCTTGTTAAAAGTAAAAATTAAGTACAGCAAATGGGATAAATGTTTTAGGTAAACTTTTTGTGTAAATTAAAATCTTAAAGTTATTTTCGATGCTCATTTAATATCTGGGTCATCTTCAACTAAGAAATGGTTGTGATATGGGGAAATATGTTTCTAAAATTGTGGAATTGTTCTTATCTATAAATGCCCATATCTGATAGTTCAGGATTTCTTGCTTTTTAGGGTTTCACTAAAGTTTTAGGTTACTAAGGATAAGAATTTTAGTTAACACGTAATTCTGTATACAAAATGTGCCAGAAAGGATTATGTTATTAGTGGAAGAAAGAATAATTTTGTCTAATTCAGAAGTTATCTAAAAGTCAGTTCAAATTACAGATTTAAAAGGTTATTTATGAAACAATGTAGTAAGGAGTCATTAAGTAGGGGAGAAAGATGTGGGAAAAGTTTAAATAATAAAATATTCTTTAAAACCCGATAGAGAATTGAAGACATAAGGCTAATTAACACTTTCATATTCAAAGCTCCTAGCCTTGATTAAAGTAAAATAAGAAGTATTGTAAAGAAATGCGGGCCAGGCACGGTGGCTCACGCCTGTAATCCCAGCACTTTGGGAGGCCAAGGTGGGTGAATCATGAGGTCAGGAGTTCGAGATCAACCTGGCCAACACGGTGAAACCCCATCTCTACTAAAAATACAAAAATTAGCTGGGCATAGCGGCACATGCCTGTAATCCCAGCTACTGGGGAGCCTGAGGCAAGAGAATTGCTTGA
The DNA here is from genome assembly GCF_000001405.40 of Homo sapiens. NCBI lineage: Eukaryota > Metazoa > Chordata > Mammalia > Primates > Hominidae > Homo > Homo sapiens. Next base: position 70,921,605 of record NC_000004.12, on the reverse strand, counting down.
ACTGCAAGCTCACTCAGCTTGCAGTGAGCTGAGATCGCACCACTGCACTCCAGCCTGGGTGACAGAGCAATACTCCATCTCAGGAAAAGGGAAGGGGAGGGGAGGGGAGGGGAGGGGAGGGGAGAGAAGAGAAGAGAGAAGAAAAGAAAGAAAGAAATCCATCAGCAGTTTGGCAATTCTTTTTTTAATATAGTTAAGCATGAAGCTGGATTTACTGTGGAGCCAAATTTCACACACATGCCTGCATTGCTTCACATTATGTTTACTGTTTTGCATAGATAGTGCTGGCACTGGAGTACTTACTGGTCATGTGCCTAAAGTGGATTTCTTGACTGCATAGAATGTATAATAGTACTGGTAAACTAAAGGATATTAAATTGTGTATCAGGAATAAAATATTCATTATGTGAGTTTTCTGGGGCCCTAGGTAACACTGTAGCCTCCAGGGTAAATTAAATAGGAAAATTTAGGGTTGGTTTCCTGTTTGTTTTTGCTTCTAGTTTTCATTCATTTGCTGTTTATTCTCCTCTGGCTTTGCTTGTGTATGCATATATATAAAAAACCATGATATTTTTTAGTTCCTAGTGGAAGGCTTTTACTTGGTTCCGCGAATGGTTATTTTGTTTCTGATGCATTTCTAGCAAGTCATCATTTGTTCCATTTATCTGGAATTCCTAAACTACCTTTATCAGTAGAGATTAATGGAGCACACCAGCTTTTCATCCTTAAGCTAACTTTTTGGATTTTAGGCCTCCTGATACTTTAACTGTGTTGAGTATATTCTTGTAAATAGAATTTGAATCATACTTCTCTTTCTCTGCCTAATTTCCCCCAAAAATCTGTAAACTATTTGTGAGTATTCTTAATTCATGGCAATGTGTTTGTCTGCATACAGTCAAGCAGGGTCACTAGGATCACTCAGAGAGAGAGAACCCAGAAAACTGGCATGCTGGCAAAAGGGTAAGAATTTCTTACCAGTCTATATCTGGCTTCTTTCTCTGTGCAAACTAGTTAAATATAAAGTAAAAGTCACTGTTTATCTCCTCCATAAAGTTTTAAATTAATTGCTGTAATAATAAGAAGCCAGGTTCAGTGGCTCATGCCTGTAATCCTAGCACTTTAGGAGGCCGAGGCAGGCAGATCACCTGAGGTCAGGAGTACGAGACCAGCCTGGCCAACATGGTAAAACCCCATCTCTACTAAAAATACAAAAATTAGCCAGGCATGGCGGGGCACGCCTGTAATCCCAGTTACTTGGGAGGCTGAGGCAGGAGATCACATGAACCCAGGAGGCAGAGGTGCAGTGAGCGGAGAGTGAGACTGTTGAAGGAGAAGGAGAAGGAGAATGAGAAGGAGGAGGAGAGGAAGAGGAAGAGGAGGAGGAGGAAGAGGAAGAGGAGCTTAAATCAAATATTTTGTCAGAAAAGTGAAAAGTGTAATGTCTTTTATCTAGTTCATGTGACTTGAGTAATTTCTGGGAAATAAGGATAGTTTTAAAGATAATTGGTAAAATATGTCTTCAAAATGTAAATATGTGGTTACATATTATGTTATGTATAATTATGTATAACATAATATGTAATTAAATTATGTTCAAATATTTGCTTTAGGGTCATAAGCTGTTTCTTTGGCTTTTGAAAATTGTTTAACTTGCCTGCTTTCCAGCTAGGTAAGGCCTGGGGACATGTGGAGTCATGACTATACATCAAACCTTATTGAACATAACTCACCAGGTTTTACATCAAAATTAAAATTTCTAAGAGTTGCCATTATAACATGCAATTAAGACTACTAGAAACAGTTTTACAGCTGGGTGTGGTGGCTCACGCCTGTAATCCCAACACTGTGGGAGGCCGAGGCGGGCTGATCACCTGAGGTCAGGAGTTCCAGACCAGCCTGGCCAACATGGGGAAACCCTGTCTCTACTAAAACTACAAAAATTAGCCTGGCATGGTGGTGCGCGCCTGTAGTCCTGGCTACCTGGGAGCCTGAGGGAGGAGAGTCACTTGAACCCGGGAGGCAGAGGTTGCAGTGAGCCGAGATAGCGCCACTGCACTCCAGCCTGGGCAACAGAGCAAGACTCCATCTCAAAACAACAACAAAAAAAGAAACAGTCTTACATACAATGTGTGTAAGAACAGTAGAATGTGAGGTTTTTTTGGTAAAAGGTTATAAAAGGTTTTTACTTCTTTAAAATTTCTGAGTCATCATTCTGGCAAAATAAATAATTTACGGGAATCTGGAATTCCAAAATCAAACTTCAGTTTCAAAATTGTCTTTTTTTTTTTTTAATTATTATTACACTTTAAGTTTTAGGGTACATGTGCACAATATGCAGGTTTGTTACTTATGTATACATGTGCCATGCTGGTGCACTGCACCCACTAACTCGTCATCTAGCATTAGGTATATCTCCTAATGCTATCCCTCCCCGCTCCCCCCACCCCACAACAGTCCCCAGAGTGTGATGTTCCCCTTCCTGTGTCCATGTGTTCTCATTGTTCAATTCCCACCTATGAGTGAGAATATGCAGTGTTTGGTTTTTTGTTCTTGCGATAGTTTACTGAGAATGATGATTTCCAATTTCATCCATGTCCCTACAAAGGACATGAACTCATCATTTTTTATGGCTGCATAGTATTCCATGGTGTATATGTGCCACATTTTCTTAATCCAGTCTATCGTTGGACATTTGGGTTGGTTCCAAGTCTTTGCTATTGTGAATAGTGCCGCAATAAACATACGTGTGCATGTGTCTTTATAGCAGCATGATTTATAGTCCTTTGGGTATAAAAACCCTAGAAGAAAACCTAGGCATTACCATTCAGGACACAGGCATGGGCAAGGACTTCATGTCTAAAACACCAAAAGCAATGGCAACAAAAGACAAAATTGACAAATGGGATCTAATTAAACTAAAGAGCTTCTGCACAGCAAAAGAAAACTACCATCAGAGTGAACAGGCAACCTACAAAATGGGAGAAAATTTTCGCAACCTACTCATCTGACAAAGGGCTAATATCCAGAATCTACAATGAACTCAAACAAATTTACAAGAAAAAAACAAACAACCCCATCAAAAAGTGGGCAAAGGACATGAACAGGCACTTCTCAAAAGAAGACATTTATGCAGCCAAAAAACACATGAAAAAATGCTCACCATCACTGGCCATCAGAGAAATGCAAATCAAAACCACAATGAGATACCATCTCACACCAGTTAGAATGGCAATCATTAAAAAGTCAGGAAACAACAGGTGCTGGAGAGGATGTGGAGAAATAGGAACACTTTTACACTGTTGGTGGGACTGTAAACTAGTTCAACCATTGTGGAAGTCAGTGTGGCGATTCCTCAGGGATCTAGAACTAGAAATACCATTTGACCCAGCCATCCCAAAATTGTCTTTTCTAATGCCTGGCTTTGTGGATGGATCAGAGGGCCCCTGAAAACATCTAGAAAAAAGGTAAACAGGATTATCTGACATGTTTAGGTACATGGGATTGCCAAAATTATGTTCAATCTTCTTTAGGATATATTTTTGTGGATAATGTATGTTCCAAAATTGTATGGGATTTCTAAAATCCCAATGTCTAAGTTTGGTTATTAAGTTATTGTAAACCATAGAAATAACCAAATTTCCTTGTATAAAGCTACTAACCCAAGTAAAACCAAAAAAAATTAAATATCAAGAAAATACTTTGTCCAATTTTCATTTTAAACCAACTGATACTGAAACTGTTTAAGATAGTTTATCATCAATGCTTGATCCCACATTCCTGGGAAAATAATTAAAGCTTCACATACATTTGGTGACCTGATGGGCCATTTAAACATTTTATAAAGGGATTTTATTAAATTGTTATTTTCAATGCATGTTTTCTGGTTGTATAAAAGCTTTCCCATGCAAGAGGGCTGATGCTAAAACAGTAGATTATTATACTACAGTGTATTTTTACCAGGTAAAGACAGTTTTTTATGGTTTGGATCTTCTGAGAACGTCAGAGAAAGACTGTCCTTCCCATCCACACTACAACAAAACTTCGGGACCTTGAACTTTGGGTTCATAATCTCACAACTGAGAGGGCTCTCTCCATACTTTTGGAACTGTGCACCCATTTGAATCCTTGAGGTAAAGCTAACCAAGGAAATTTCTCCCAAGAAAAAGATGACGTCCTTGATGTGAACAGTTTTTCCCCAAGTTCAGAGATTAAAACTTCTACTATCATGAAACTCTTATCTTTGAATGTTTTTCTTGCTTATAATGGAAAAGGAGTCTGTTATGTGCACTAATGGGGTGTACTTTTATTTTTGAAGGAGTTTGCAGCCAGCCTTATACTTCCATAGATAAAAGATGAAGACCCAATGTAGGTAAGAAACCTTAATGGTACATACGTTGCCTCATAATCAGTCAAAAACAAAACACTGGTTCACTACTCTTAACCCATATCATGGGTTAAAGAGAACACTGCCAGGAGGCCTTCACTGTTCTAAAAGGGCATCATTTGTTAGGTCCTTTTTCCAAGGTTAAAAGTAAAAGAAGTAGTGTTAGAAATGTATCCCTCATAATACACTCTATAGCAAATTCTACTGTAAAAGCTACTGTTACACAACAGACTTTAAATTCTCCTGTGAAAGTTATAATGGAATTGGCTGAACAGAGAAGTATGTGAACAGCTGCTGCTACTTGTGGCCTATAGAGAAATACATCCAATGAAGATTATAGAAATTCAGTGGTAGGCCAGGCGCAGTGGCTCATGCCTGTAATCCCAGCAGTTTGAGAGGTCGAGGTGGGTGGATTACCTCAGGTCAGGAGTTCGAGACGAGGCTAGCCAACATGGTGAAACCCCGTCTCTACTAAAAATACAAAAACTTAACTGGGCATGGTGGCACATGCCTGTAATCCCAGCTACTTGGGAGGCTGAGGGAGGAGAATTGCTTGAACCCGGGAGGCAGAGGTTGCAGTGAGCTAAGATCATGCCATTGCACTCTAGCCTGGGCAAGATAGCAAGACTCTGTCTCAAAAAAAAAAAGATATTCAGTGGCAGGGGATTAACAAAGAAATTGCCTAGGCAAGTGAGTAAAATCTTTAGCTCATTCTTTGTTCTATTTGAATTTAGGAGGTTTGTTTTACGGGGACCTTGGGTAAGCAACTCTTGGTATTACCCTCCCAAATAGTCATAATAATAGTCTCTCTCGTGCACTGTATTCTCTCAAAGGTTTTAAATGCTTGCATGCAGCCATCTCTAGAATGTCATATGGTCTCTCTTCAACTGAAATGACAAGAGCTGAAAGAAATGTGTGACCATGAGGACACCGTAACCTATGAATGACGTGCTGAGACCAGAAACCCAAAATAATGGTAACTGAGAGTGATACTAAGGCCCTAAATTTTGGTCACACTCTCACCTAAGTGAGAACCTGACCAAAAAGGGGGAATTTTTTAAACAAAATTCTGGGAGGCCATCGTTTTGGACTAATCTCATGCACTAGGCCCCAAGAGACCAAACCAAACTAAAATGGAGTCGTTCATGCTAAGGCTTTAAGGAAACATGTAGATCCTAGAATAGACCAGGTTTTGTTTTATCGCCTGCAAACTCTGTAACAAACATTCCTGACAGCATAGGTACCCACCCTCTGAAGCCCCCATTAAATATTTTAATCCAATTCATTTCCTCTCGCCTAGAGACCATCAAACTTAAGATGATCAGGCAACAAAGGTTCCAGCCAGTTCCAGGTGAAGACACCACCCCTGGCCATCAAGGAGCTACCCTGCTTCCACTAGACAGAGCAGGGAGACAGTTCCACGATCCCCAATAGGTAGGGACTATGCCTCAAGCCAGCATGAAACAAGCTACAGAAAAAAAAAAAAGACCAACGGTCCCCCTCTGCCGCCCATAAAGATTTCTCAGGGTCACATCTCTCAGGGGCAGATGAGGTAGGAAAATAGGGCCTGAAGGCACGGAACATAAGGCCAACTCACACTTCAGCTATGACAGGAAATATCCTCTCCATGGGGCAGAGGCCAAGTAAATGACTATAACTTTACTTCATTCTCTCCATTTATATAGGGCGTACCTGAAGTAACTAATGGAATCCTCTAGAAAGTATTTAACCTCCCTTACATAGGGCATACTCGAAGTAACTAATGGAATCCTCTAGAAGGTATTTAAACTCCTCAAAATTCTGTAACGGGGCTCTTGAGCCCCTATGCTCGGGCCTGCTCCCACACTGTGGAGTGTACTTTCATTTTCAATAAATCCCGTCATTCCTTCCTTGTTTTGTCTGTGCATTTTGTCCAATTCTTTGTTCAAGATGTCAAGAACCTGGACACCCTCCACCGATGACACTATTACCCAAATAATGCTTGTTTACCTTCAACTCCTGCTTTCAAGTTCTAACCACAGAATATCAAAATAGCACTAACACATACCATAACAAACCGATAGAAATTGGCTACAATTTAAATAATCCTAAGTGGTTTATAAAAAATAACAGCTGCTAGCAATCATCATTGTTAAGATAATGATAATAACCGAAGTATCACTGTCGCACATAAGTCCAATCGATTGAGCTAAGTCTTCTACATTCAGTATCTCTAATCCTCCCAACATTTCTGAAGTATTGATCCTAAACATAGGATTCATAGGAAAAAAACACATTACTGTCACACATGTACCACACACAGCTGAATCTCAGACTGCTTTCATCCTTTATATGCTACAGGAGGGGCCCACACAGCCCCAAGGAGAGGAGGTGGGGCAGTAACCGCGACTGTACAACAGCTTGGGCCCAGGCCAGAGAGGGTGGCCAGACAGGGTCAAGAGAACAGCTGTAGTACAGGGACAGAGCAAACAACTACCTGAGAATGACAAAAGTCAGGTTTCTTACCAACAACAAAGAAAAACATAGGAAAGGAGAAGGCTAGAATGAACCCTGTGCCACTGACTTGCAACTGAAGGTAGTGATGTGAACTCGTTTAATATACACAGATAGATATAGCTAAAAATATATGGATATAAATGAATGTATTTTTTAGTACTGTCCAATGAGAGTGCCTGGGAGCAGCAACACATCTGTAATCAGCATACCTACACCTAGATTTTGGTTTCTAAATACTGTTCTCCACTGAGCAGAACCAACGTCCTCAGATAAATGTCTATCTCCTGGACTGGGGCAGAAAAAGTGTAAGATAAAAAAATATTTTGTTGTGCCAGGAAGTAAGGAAGTGTTCAAATGAGGATGGGAACAAGTCAAAGAGACACAGAAGCCAACTCACTGAAGAACATGGGAATCCTTATATCCACACTGCCTTAGTCACTTTAGGCTGTTACAACAAAGTACCTCAGACTGCATAATTTATAAACAACAGAAATTTATTGCTCACAGTTAAAGAGCCTGTATAGTTCAAGATCAAGTCACCAGCAGATTTGATGTCTGGTGAAGCCCTCGTAAATGGCGCCTCCTATGTGTCCTCACATGGTAGAAGGGCAAAGAGGCTAACATGTTCCCTCAGGCATCTTTATCAGGGCACTAATACCATTATTGAGGGCTCTACCCTCAAGATCTCTTCACCACCCAAAGGCTCTATCTTCTAATACCATCACCTTGGTGATCACTTTCAACATATGAATTTTACAGGGATACAAACATGCAGATCACAGCACACATTGGTATTAAAAAAAAAAAGAGTAAATTCCTCCTTACAGTAAAATTGCCAACTAATAAATTTAGAAGCAATGACAGAATTAGCACTTTGGCAATCATCATAGTAACAATTTAGACAAGAAATATCAACGAACACTAAAACTAGTGGGTGAAAACAGAATGAGGAATGGGAGAGCTACATACTACCAAAATATCTCCCTATAAAATATTAATAACAAAAAATAATAATAACCTTACAGTGGAGAATCCTGGCAAACACATTAATCAAAGGATCAAAGTTAACACCACCAATAATGGACAAATAGACACTATATGCATCTGATAAGATGCAGTAAGAAAAATGCACATCACCTGGGCACGGTGGCGCACACCTAGAATCCCAGCACTTCGGGAGGCCAAGGCAGGAGGATTGCTCGAGCCCAGGATTTTCAGACCAGCCCTGGCAATGTGGGCTGTCTCTACAAAAAATTTAAAAATTAGCGGGGTGTGGCGACACATGCCTGTGGTCCCTGCTACTTGGGAGGCTGAGGTTGGAGGATTGCTTGAGCCTGGGAGGTAGAGGTTACAGTGAGCCACAGTCACACCACAGCATTCCAGCCTGGGCAACAGAGTGAGACTATCCCAAAAAATACATAGATACATACATACATACATACATACATACATACATACATACATACCCATACAAACGTACATAAGAAAAGAAAAACATACATGGCTTCTGTGATATTCCTGCCTCAAATGCGTAACTCAAATGCACAAGGAAACATCAGAGAAACCCAAAGCGAGGAATGTTCTACAAAATGGCCTGTAATCCTCAAAAATGTAAAGGTCATAAAAGTCAAGGAAAGACTGACAAACTATTTCAGTTTGAAAAACACAGGCTGGGCCCGGTGGCTCACACCTGTAATGCCGGCACTTTGGGAGGCCAAGGCCGGGCAAATTGCTTGAGCCCAGAAGTTCAAGACCTGCCTGGGCAATACGGTGAAACCCTATCTCCACAAAAAAATGATTAGCCGGGTGTGGTAGAACATGCTTGTAGTCCCAGCTACTCAGGAGGCTGAGATGGGAGGATCCCTTGAGCCTAGGAAGTCGAGGCTGCAGTGAGTCGAGATCGGGCCACTGCACTGCAGCCTCGGCAACAGAGCAAGACTCTGTGAGAAGAAAAGAAAAAAGAAAAACACTACAGACATAAGTGGATGCAATACATGATTCATGACTGGATCCTTTTGTCGAAGATTACATTGTTAAAGCAACAGATGAAACTCAATGGGGTTTCTGGATAAGGAATATGTGGAAGTTCTTTGCACTGTTCTTTGCAACTTTCCTGGAAGTTGAAAAATGTTTCAAAATTAAATTTAAGGCCGGGCGTGGTGGCTCACACCTGTAATCTCAGCACTTTAGGAGGCTGAGGCCGGTGGATCACCTGAAGACAAAGTTGAGACCAGCCTGGTCAACATGGTGAAACCCCATCTCTACTAAGAATATAAAAATTAGCTGGGTGTGGTGGCGGGCACCTGTAATCCCAGCTACTTGGGAGGCTGAAGCAGGTGAATTACTTGAACCCAGGAGGCAGAGAATGCAGTGAGCAGAGATCGCACCACTGCACTCCAGCCTGGGAGACAGAGTGAGACTCCATCTCAAAAAAAAAAAAAATTTAATTTAAAAATCACTTCTGTAAAAGAATGTTACTTCACAGCTACACTTATACTTAATTAAATGTGTTGTAAAAGATGGACCTAAGGCTGGGCACGGTGGCTCACGCCTGTAATCCCAGCACTTTGGGAGGCTGAGGTAGGTAGATCACTTGAGACCAGGAGTTCAAGACCAGCCTGGCCTACATGGTGAAACCCTGTCTCTACTAAAAATACAAAACTTAGCTCAGCATGGTGGTAGGCGACTGTAGTCCCAGCTACTCGGGAGGTTGAGGCTGGAGAATCACTTGAACCCAGGAGGCAGAGGTTGCAGTGAGTCAAGATAGTGCCTTTGCACTCCAGCCTGGGAGACAGAATGAGACCCTGTCTCAAAAAAAAAAAAAAAAAGATGGCCTTAAGTTGGTTAATATAAAACAAAAATGGAAACGTAGGAAGAAAAGGAGAGTTAAAGTTCTCTACAGGACTCAGTTTGACATTCCTAACAGGTAGAACTGTTTCATATTTTTCAAGTAACATGTAGCTATTTTGCCTCAATATCTCCTAATCAAATACACAGTTTAGGGAAGTGCTACATGTATTAGACACGTGCTTTCATATATCAGAAACTCCGAAAGTACAAAAACTGCAACTACACTTAGAGAAAGAAATCAATAATGGTAAAAGTAACCAAATGGCAATTATTTTGCACTCTAGTATGTAAAGGAAAAAAAAGCTATCTCTAAACATGATAAAAGTAAACTAAAGCCAGTCAGTCCTGCAATTCCCAAAACTACAGTTCTTTCTGAAAAGATGACCATATTTACTTCCACTCCCCACATTCCCTCAAAAATACAACATATTAAAAAGGATAACATATATTATATATAAGGATATAATATATGACATATATGTAAGATGTTATCCTTTTTAATGTTATATTAAATTCTATATATTTAATAACAAAAAGAAAAAAATAAAATAACCTTACAGTGGAGAATATATTATAAGGATATAATATCTGATATCCTTTTTTGTTGTCAGATAAAAAACTGTAAGATAATACTTGGTCATCAGCCATTCAAAATGATGTTGCAGAAATCTATTCTCTGGCAAAAAAAAATTTACAAGTAAAAAACCTGGTCTACGCACGGTGGAAATCCATTTGTATATTTTTAAATACATACAAACAAAAATGCAATAAAAAAGATTCAGAAGAAGTTAGCAGGGCGCGGTGGCTCACGCCTGTAATCCCAGCACTTTGGGAGGCCAAGGCGGGCGGATCACAAGGTCAGGAGTTCCAGAACAGCCTGGCCAATATGGTGAAACCCCATCCATACTAAAAGTACAAAAATTAGCCAGGCGTGGTGGCGGGCACCTGTAGTCCCAGCTATTCTGGAGGCTGAGGCAGGATAAACGCTGAATCCAGGAGGCGGAGGTTGCAGTGAGCTGAGATCATGCCACTGCACTCCAACCTGGGTGACAGAGCAAAGCTCTGTCTCAAAAAACAAAAAAAAAAAGATTCAGAACTTTATCCCTAAATACAAACAACAGTTGTCTCTGAAGGTGTGATTATGAGTGATTTTTATTTTCTTCCTTTTCCTAACATGATTTTGTGATTTCTCCAACATGTATATTATTTTTACACTAAAGATAAAGGTTAAAAATATTTAAATATTATATGAATTTAAAAGTTACTATTTCGTCTTCTACTAGTGTATTCTTGGTGAATCTTAGAAGAGAGTCCCAGCATCATGAGACAATAATGCCTGGTAACATAAGACTTCCCTTAATAACAAGGCCCACTTGAATATCACCTTTAAGAAAAAAATATATATATAGATATACATACACACATATATACATACATATGTGTGTATATATGTATATACACGCATGTGTATGTGTATATATATCTATATATAGATATAATTTTGTTAATTATAGATGATAGTATAAGGCAGGATCAGCTGGGCGCAATGGCTAGCACCTATAATCCCAGCGCTTTGGGAGGCCGAGGCAGGCAGATTGCTTGAGGCCAGGAGTTCGAGACCAGCCTGGCCAACACGGCAAAACCCCATCTCTACTAAAAACACAAAAATTAGCTGGGCATGGTGGCACACGCCTGTAGTCCCAGCTACTCAGCAGGCGGAGGCAGGACAGTCACTTGAACCTGGGAGGCAGAGTTTGCAGTGAGCCAAGATAGCGCCACTACACTGCAGTCTGCGTGACAGAGTGAGACTTTGTCTCCAAAAAAAAAAGGCCGGGCGTGGTGGCTCATACCTGTAATCCCAGCACTTTGGGAGGCCGAGGTGGGAGGAGCACCTGAGGTCAGGAGTTTGAGACCAGCCTGGCCAACATGGTGAAAATCCCATCTCTACTAAATATATAAAAATTAGCCAGGCATGGTGGAGGACACCTGTAATGGTGAAGGGCACCTGTAATCCCAGCTACTCAGGAGGCTGAGGCAGGGAGAACTGCTTGAACCCATGAGGTGGAAGTTGCAGTGAACCAAGATTGAGCCACTGCACTCCAGCCTGGGTGGCAGAGCAAGACTCCGTCTCAAAAAAAAAAAAGAAGTATAAGACAGGATCTCTGGACCTAGACTTCCAGGACTCAAATTCCAGCTACACTATTTACTGGCCACATGATTTTGATAAAATTATGTAACCTCTCTGTGCTAGTTTCCTTATGTATAAAATAGGATTCCTGCTAATTACTGAACTATTTAAAACACTTTGTCCCTGGCACATAGTAAACACTCATTGAACTATTATTGTTATTTTTTTTTAATGTTTTCTTTTTAGAGGCAGGGTCTTGCTCAGTTGCCCAGGCTAGAGTGTACTGGCACAAGCATAGCTCACTATAACTCAAATTGGCTCAAGCCATCCTTCTGCCTCAGCCTCCCAACGTGCTGGGATTACAGGCATGAGCTACCACACCTGGCCTATTTGATTATTCTTATAAATTATTAACTTTTTTTAAAGGTGAGGCTGCTGAAGCATTAAAATCAGTTAAATCATTTGCCTGAAAACAAAATGCTGGCTTTGGGGGCTTGGGGGGAAGTGAGGGACAGAGAGACAGAGGGAGACAGAGATAGACACATATAAACATAGCACTATCATGAGTCTAGAGAGAAAGAGACAGACACATATAAACATAGCACCATCAAGAGTCTAGAGAGAAACAGAGACAGACACAAACATTGCACTATCATGAGTCTCTTTTCCTAAATTGCTAATTTTTTTTTTTTTTTTTGAGATGGAGTCTCACTCTGTCGCCCAGACTAGAGTGCAATGGCACAATCTCGGCTCACTGCAACCTCCGCCTCCCAGGTTCAAACAATTTTCCTGCCTCAGCCTCCCGAGTAGCTGGGATTACAGGCGCCCGCCACTACGCCCAGCTACTTTTTTCTATTTTTAGTAGAGACGGGGTTTCACCATGTTGCCCAGGCTGGTCTTGAACTCCTGACCTCATGATCCACCCGCCTCAGCCTCCCAAAGTGCTGCTAAATTGCTAATCTTTTTTTTTTTTAAGACGAAGTCTCACTGTGTTGCCCAAGCTGGAGTGCAGCGGCATGATCTCGGCTCACTGCAACCTCCACCTCACGGGTTCAAGCAATTCCACTGCCTCAGCCTCCCGAGTAGCTGGGACTACAGGCACATGCCACCATGTCTGACTAATTTTTTTGTATTTTTAGTAAAGACAGGGTTTCACCATGTTGGCCAGGCTGGTCTCAAACTCCTGACCTCGTGATCCACCCGCCTCAGCCTCCCAAACTACTGGGATTACAGGCATGAGCCACCGTGCCCGGCCTAAATTGCTAATCTTAAGAATGACAAATGGAAGGTATGTAGCACAGTGCTCAGTAAGTATTTCCTTCCTTTCTTCCTTCTTTTCCCAATCCATCTGTTTCTTCCTATACAGAAATACACCTAGTTCAGCTTTCATTGTTGACATTTAAAAAAAAAAAAAAAAGAGGGCCGGGCACAGTGGCTCATGCCTGTAATCCCAGCACTTTGGGAGGCCGAGGCAGGCGGATCACGAGGTCAGGAGATTGAAACCATCCTGACTAACACGGTGAAACCCTGTCTCTACTAAAAATACAAAAAAAAAGTAGCCGGGCATGGTGGTGGGTGCCTGTAGTCCCAGCTACTCGAGAGGCTGAGGCAGGAGAATGGCGTGAACCCGGGAGGTGGAGGTTGCAGTGAGCCGAGATCGCGCCACTGGACTCCAGCCTGGGCGAAAAAGCGAGACTCCATCTCAAAAAAAAAAAAAAGAAAGAACGAAGAAATAGACATGGTTTAGTCATTCACATTCCCAAACCACCTTTCCTACAGACTTTCATTTATAAGTTAACTGTAGCCAGGCGTGGTAGCATGCACCTATAATCCCAGCTACTCTGGAGGTTGAGGTGGGAGGACTGCTTGAGCCTAGAAGTTTGAGGACAGCCCGGGCAACACAGTAACACCCAGTCTCTTTTTAAATTATTTTTTAAGACAGAGTCTCACTCTGTCACCCAGGCTGGAGTGCAGTGGTGCAATCTTGGCTCACTGCAATTTCTGCCTCCTGGGTTCAAGCAATCCACCCACTTCAGCCTCCTAAGCAGCTGAGCGCCACCACACCTGGCTAATGTTTTTTGGTAGAGATGGGGGTTCTGCCATGTTACCCAGGCTGTTCTCAAACTCCTGGGCTCAAGGTTCCACCCCCTCAGTCTCCCAAAGTGCTGGGGTTATAGGCATGAGCCACCACCGTCCTCGGTGACCCTGTCTCTTAACAAGAAAAAGTTAAATTAAATGTACTTGTTTTAACTCCGTTCCAAATAAGTAGCCTTACATTAGGAAATTACACTTTGGTCTTTTCCAAGTCAAATTTTTTTTTTTCAGAATTCCATTAGTCAAAAGAGACCCATAATTTAAAAATGCTAGAAACTTAAGAGAACATGAAATATACTTTTTGAATGATTACTTAGAACTCACTTTTATCCTCAATTTCCCTGCCTTTTATATGCACAAAATGTCAGGAAGGAAAAACACCTACGTCAGGAGACCTGAGTTCCAACTGTCCCCAGGCCAATAATTGGGCCACCAACCTCAAGTTGGTGATTTTGCCCCTTTAGCAAAAAGAAGTAAGTAGGCCATGTTACTAATAGACCCCTGCTAGCTCCAAAATTCTACAGCCTCTTGCACAAACGTGGAAGTGAACAATTCACAGGCAATTTCTTGACTCAAAGATGTTTCCTCTGACTGTACTCTCCCATTTCCCCTTGTCTTCTTAGAGAGCTCTTGTTCACCTTCCATTAATTATCACCCACTTCTTTCATGAAACTTTCCTAAAGCCTAAGTAGAACAAATTGCTACACATACTTTGGGCCCCCATGATTGTATTGCATCTATCATAGATGACGATATACCATCCACCATCTCTGGAATCTCTTATCTTCCTCTACGCCTGGCACACAGCAGGTGCTAAGGATGTGTTTAAAAGATTTGAGTCCACAAAATTAAATGAGGTCCCTGTGAAGTTTCCGTATCTACCATGAGAGTTTAGCTTAATCTGAAGATACACAGAGGCCAAACTGCGGCACAACCAAAGCTCTGTCCCAGCCAAACCCACATATGCAGTGCAAATTTATCCTGAGCATTTATACAAAAGCTACACAAAGGTATCATTCCTGCAGATGATCTGGGAACCCACTCTGGGGATTATCCTAATCTGTCTCAACTCCCTATCCAAAAATCTCTATACCCTGCTCTCCTTTGTTCCATGGCACTTACAACCTTCCGCCATACTACATGATTTATTGATGTTCAGTATTTACGGACACTTACCAGAACATAAGCCCCACCAATGCAGGGATTTTTTTCTCTCTTGTCACAAATGGTGCCCAACATCCACATCAGTGCCAGGCACAGTGATTTTTTTTCTTTTTTTGAGACGGTCTCACTCTGTCGTCCAGGCTGGAGTGCAGTGGCACAATCTTGGCCCACTGCAACCTCTGTCTCCCGGATTCAAGTGATTCTCCTACTCAGTCTCCCATGTAACTGGGATTATAGGCATCCGCCACCACGCCCGGCTAATTTTTTTTATTTTTAGTAGACATGGGGTTTCATTTCTTGATCAGGCTGGTCTCAAACTCCTGACTTCAAGTGATCCACCCACCTCGGCCTCCCAAAGTGCTGGGATTACAGGCCTGAGCCATTATGCCCCGCGACCGGCCTTTTTTTTTTAAGACAGAGTCTCACTCTCTATCAGCCAGGCTAGAGTGCAGTGGCATGATTACATCTCACCACAGCCTTGAAGTATTTAATTTCCTCAGGCTCAGATGACCCTTCCACCTCAGCCCCCAGAGTAGCTGGGACTACAGGCTCACACCACCACACCTGGCTAATTTTTGTATTTTTAGGGGTAGAAAGAGAGTTTCGCCATGTTGTCCAGGTTGGTGTGGAACTCTGGGGTCAAGTGATCCACTCACCTCAGCCTCCCAAAGTGTTGGAATTACAAGCAGGAGCCACTGTGCCCGGCCCACAGTGCATCTTTTAAAAATCAGTAGTAGTTCTTTCCTTCTATCTTAGAGCCCTCAAGAGTCATGAGTCACCACCTTTGCAGCCCCATCTTGCATTGCCCTTATTTCCTCTGCTCCATCCACTGATCGTAGGCTTCCCAGTAAGCTTCCAAGAACGGGAGGAAAATATTTGTATTTAACTCCTAAGCTGTAACGCTTTCCTTCTCTGCTCATCTGTTGGTACAGAAATAGTATTCAGATAGCCAGGTGTAATGGCTCACACCTGTAACCTCAGCATCTTGGAAGGCAAAGATGAGTGGATTGTTTGAGCCCAGGAGACCAGCCTGGGCAACATGGCAAAACCCTGACTCTACCGAAAAAAAAAAAATTAGCTAGGCATAGTGGAGCATACCTGTAGTACCAGCTACTTGTAGCGGGGAGGGGGTTTGAGATGAAAGGATCACCTGAGCCTGGGAAGTCAAAGCTACAGTTAGCTGTGGTCATGCCACTGCACTCCATCCTGGTCGACAGAGTGAGATCCTGTCTCCAAAAAAAAAAAAAGAAACAGTATTCAGACAGTTATACCAAATAACAAATAGAAGAAATAACCAAAGCTTTGTTCTTTCACTTCCAATAATAATCATTTCCATGTGGTGTTCACTTTGGATTTTTAATTGACGGTAGACAAAGACCAAAACTGAAAATGTTGAATTAACTTTTCTGATTGTCAAGCACATGGGCTAAATATGTTGAGAATATATCAACTGCTAGATAGATATAACCTAACTGAAAAATTGTGCCCCAAATAGTGCAAATGCTCTAAAGTTCTATATACATTAGTTACAGCAAGATTTCTTTTGTAGTTACTAACCTTCAGGAGAAACAAACTAATCCACCACAAATCTGAATCTATTAAATACTGAGCCATGTAAAAATAGGATTCTACTGTATTTGTATTCAAAAAATAGCATCAGAAACTTCTCCATCCCCTAGTTTCAGCCAAATATGGCTCTTCCCTGCTTTAACCTTTTTTTTTTTTTTTTTTGAGACAGAGTCTCACTCTGCCACCCAGGCTGGAGTGCAGTGGCGCGATCTCGTCTCACTTCAACCTCTACCTCCCGGGTTCAAGTGATACTCCCGTCTCAGCCTCCCAAGTAGCTGGGACTACAGGTGCGTGCCACCTTGCCCAGCTAATTTTTGTATTTTTAGTAGAGACGGGGTTTCACCATATTGGCCAGGCTGATCTCGAACTCCTGACCTGGTGATCTGCCTGTCTTGGCCTCCCAAAGTGCTGGGATTACAGGCATGAGCCACCGCGACTGGCCTTGCTTTAACCAATTTAGCTTACTAGACACAAGCCCATCAGCAGTAGTCATGGATATCATCTACAGTGCTATTTTGAATACAGCTTCTAAATTCTTGAAAACAATCAAACATTAGCAATGTAAAATTAAGCTCAAGATGAGAAGCTTCAAGTTGAGATACCTGAATATGGTGATTAGAACTAAAACAAGAAACTGCCCAGGCACGGTGGGCTCACGTCTGTAATCCCAGCACTTTGGGAGATCAAGGCAGGCAGATCACTTGAAATCAGGAGTTCGAGACCAGCCTGGCCAACATGGTGAAACCCCCATCTCTATTAAAAATACAAAAATTAGCCAGGCGTGGTGGCGCGGGCCTGTAGTCCCAGCTACTCAGGAGGCTGAGGCAGGAGAATCGCTTGAACCCGGGAGGCAGAGGTTGCAGTGAGCCGAGATCACGCCACTACACACTCCAGCCTGGTGACAGAGCGGAGACTCCGTCTCAAAAAAAAAAAAAAAAAAAAAAAAGAACTAAAATAAGAAACAAGGACTTTTTTATAAAATCACCCAGTCCTGTCATCTAGCCCTATGCCAATCCGACAAACTCAGAATCAACTTCTAGGAGGAGCCTAAGAAATCCCTTTCCGTTTAAAGGTTTTAGGCAAGTTGACACAAGCCAGGTCCCCTATGCATATTGGAAATATCAAGTCTGCCCCTAGGTCAGCCTTGTTCAGTTTTGCTTAAACACCCTAAAAAAAAAAATTCTAGATGTGAGCATGTGAAAATAAGAGTGAATTAAATTCTCAGTATTCAGACGTCAATGTAATGACTAAAAATTATTAGGCAAGGAAAGAAGAGAAATCTTAAGAAAATATCCTTTAAATGCTAATTTCTCCACAACAGTAAAACAGTATATGGGTGAGTTTCAACTTCTAAGTTTTTTATTAGTTTTCTAAACACAGACTAAACATGGAATGAGTGCATCACAACGAAGCCTTCAAAGGAGTTATTCCTCAGGCTGTAACCCCTGTTTTCAGAGGACCTGAGGCTTATCTACTGCCTCCATATCCACATCTGGCCATCCCATCCTTCTGCCCTTCCCCCTCCACGTTCCCCTCCACTCGTCTGGAACAAACGATAAGTAAGTGAAATAATGACCAGCACTAAACATGACGCCAAAGTTGGCATTTACAAATGATTTTCAAAACAACTCCCCAGTGGACCTAATCAACCTAGGCAGGGCACACTATCCAAAACCTATTTGCTGGTTGTCTAAAAAGATAAAACTCATCCTCTTCAGGGAAGTCCTCTGGGAGGAAGGGCGCCTCTAGGAAGCAAGGGGGCGGCTCCAGACCCCTTTCTCAGGGACCCCCGTCTGTGTCCAAGGGATCCCGACCCGCAAGTAGCCTTGTTTCAGTGTTACATCTACAGAACTTGTCATCCCAACTTCCCAGCCCTAAGACGAGAGAGGAAGTTAAAAGGGTCCTGGGATGACAGGGGAAAGTACGACAGTCTTATCTTCTGTGCTTGGGACCCAGAAAAGAGCAATGGGCAGCCGCGACGGAGCCATTCAACCGAGCACCGCTTGGATACGGATTGTGCAGGCGAGTGGGAGATACCCACGAGAAGCGCACAAACAAGCCCGGGAATGCGAGCGAAGGCAGAGACGGGGGTGATGAAGGAATCCAGGCGCTGGCCCCGGGGTGTGCCGGGGGGGAAGAACCTCCTCAGGGCTGCAGGAGCCCACGAGTACTCGAAGCCCTATGGGGAGGCGGCGGTTAGGTAGTCCGAGCGCTCCGCGCAGTCCCGGGGCCCCGCTTGGTGGTGACGCCGGGCCCCGGGAGCGCTGGGCCAGGAGGGTCGGGACGAGGGCGGGCGACGGGCGGCGGGCGGCGGGCGGGGGCCCAGGTCCACCCGAACAAAGCCGGCGCGTGCGGGGCCTGGCTACTCACAACAAGAAGCTCATGTTGGCCGCGGGGCAGGCTGCAGGCTCGGCGGTCGCGAGGCCTCGGAGCGGCGTGGGCCAGGAAAGAAGAGGAAAGGCGAATGGAACAGGAGACAGGGAGGCGGAGGAGGAGGTGCCGAGAGCCGGCTGCTCGGTGGCCGCAACTAGTTCGGCTCAGCTAGTTCCAATGGCAGGGGGAGGGGGCGGAAGTGGGTAGCGCTCGTCTTGAATCACTCCAGGGGAGGGGAAGGAAAGGGAGGCGGGGCAGGCTCTCCGCGAGCCCCTCCCCAGCTCCCCGCCGCCCCCACCTCACGAGCTCTCGCGATAGCGGTGCAAGCCCACCCCGGCCCTCCGGCTGCGGCATGGGGACTCTCACCTTCTGGTCTCCTCTGCTGCTAGGGACGACGCCCAGCGTGTGCGCCGCGGCTGCCCGGCCCCCCTGTCCACCCGGTTAGGAGTCATGGCAGAGCTCTCGGAGCCGCTCAGCTGGGCTCCAGAGGTCAGGGAGGAAGTGGGCTTCAGCTCGGGGATGTCAAGGTCCCGCAGTGAGGGATGGAATTACCACCGGAGTTAGGCCCACCGTGAGTGTCCGGCCAAGGGCGGTGAAAGGTAATGGCATCTCTCAGTTCACCACGGAACCCAGCATGATAGGGTGGTCATCGGTGTAACCACTTAGGGGGCCAAAGCTTGTAAGCATTCTAATGCACAGAACATCCTAGAAGCTAGAAGCTATTCAGACCCACTTACAAAGGGACTTTTATTCTCACAGGGTTATGGGGCCCAGGGCAAGCCTTTATATTCTGTTTAAGAATCCTTCACATACCTTGAATATGTCACCACAGCATTACCAATTTAGGAGGGAAATACGGGTATCGAAGAGATGTCCGTCTTCTTTACTCACAACACCCATCAAATCTACAAGTTTTCAAAGAGAATCTGAGCAAAACAAATCATGTGCAGATATTAGCTCACCTTTGGCTTATCCCAAAGGGCAGAATACACTTTGAAGTAGGTGCAGATATGAAATGTATTATACTGCATATATGCACTATTATTTGGCACGTTGGTAAAGTGGTAAAAAAAAAAAAAAAAAAAAAAAAAAAAAAAAAAAAAAACGTTTTAGGCCGGGCGCAGTGGCTCATGCCTGTAATCCCAGCACTCTGGGAGGCCGAGGTGGGTGGATCACCTGAGGTCAGGAGTTCAAGACCAGCCAAAGTTCAAGACCATGGCCAAACCCCGTCTCTACTAAAAATACAAAAATTAGCCGGGCATGGTGGCACACACTTGTAATCCCAGCTACTCGGGAGGCTGAGGCAGGAGAATTGCTCCAACCCAGGAAGCAGAGGTTGCAGTGAGCCAAGATCATGCCACTACACTCCAGCCTGGGTGACAGAGTTAGACTCCGTCTCAAAAAAAAAATTTTTTAATAGAAGAAAATACTAGAATCTTGCACTATCTCAGGAACAGCAGAGGTTACTGGAATGAGAAAACTTACAGACTCAAAAGATTACCAGATCAGGATAAATAGCTAATGCATGCAGAGCTTAATACCTAGGTGATAAGTTGATAGGTTCAGCACACCACCATGGCACACACGTTTACCTATGTAACAAACCTGCACGTCCTGCACATGTATCCTGGAACTTCAAATTAAATTAAAAATTTTTTAAAAGATTCCCCAAAAAGAAGAAAGAGGAGGATTTATCTGAATGAAAATAATAGATTTATGGTATAAAACCCTGTGCTCCAAATATTGATATGGTACTGACTTACTGTATAATTCTTTTTTTTTTTTTTTTTTTTGAGACGGAGTCTCACTCTGTCACCCAGGCTGGAGTCCAGTGGTGCAACTTCTGGACTAGGCTCACTGCAACTTCTGCCTCCTGGGTTCAAACAATTCTGCCTCAGCCTCCTAAGTAGCTGGGATTACAGGCCTGTGCCACCACACCTGGCTAATTTTTGAATTTTTAGTAGAGACGGGGTTTTACTATGTTGGCCAGGCTGGTCTCAAACTCCTGACCTCGTGATCTGCCTGCCTTGGCCTCCCAATATGCTGGAATTACAGGCGTGAGCCACCACGCCCAGCCCTGTATGATTCTTGTAAGGGTCTTCTGAAAGTAAGACTTGCATTACCAGATTACTGATTATCTTTGGAAAGAGTGAGTTGACCTGTCATAGCCTCAGTTTTAGCCCATTTAAAATGGGAGCCTTCTATCATTACATGATCTCTAAAATATCTTCCAGTTCTAAAGTTCTCTCCTGCCAGGGGCATCCTTCAAATGACTGGCACACATTTCCAAACTGCTCCCTGATTTGGCTTAGGTAGCCTTAGTTTTGGTCTGACATAATTTAGATGTATCCTGTGACACTGAATAAGGGAAAACTGGCAGAGGAAAGAATCTGCAAAAATACCTTCTGAGTATTTCTTTATCATACCACTAGGAGAGTTGCCTGGAATTAACATCCAATAAAACGTAAATATACTGGTCCTAAATGTGAGGGAGGTGTCAGGTTAATAATATACAATATGATTCCAGGTTAGACTTTAAATCAAATGATGTCTGTCATATAAAATTATTCAGCATATCAAAAACATTGGGAATTTCAGAATCAAAGAGAGTTTATATTCAAATAGATATTTATAATTATCATCTCTTCTGACCAAAATCTAATAACCTTTTGTTTATGAAGCAAGATTATTAAAATTTTTGTTCTATCCAACTTTTCAAAGAATTGAAATTATACTGTAACATGTACAGAATAGAACAGAACATGAGTGGGCATATGCTCTTTAAATATTCATTTGAATAAAGACACATGCACATGTTTGTTTATTGCAGCACTATTTACCGTAGCGAAGACTTGGAACCAACCCAAATGCCCATCAACGAGAGACTGGATAAAGAAAATGTGGCACATATACACCATGGAATACTATGCAACCATAAAAAAGAATTAGTTCATGTCCTTTGCAGGGACATGGATGAAGCTGGAAACCATAATTCTTAGCAAACTAACACAGGAACAGAAAGCAAACACCACATGTTCTCACTCACAAGTGGGAGTTGAACAATGAGAACACATGGACGCAGGGAGGGGAACATCACACATCAGGGCCTGTCGGGGGGTGGGGGGCAAGGGGAAGGAAAGCATTAGGACAAACATCTAATGCATGTGGGGCTTAAAACTTAGATGACAGGTTGATAGGTGCAGCAAACCACCATGGGGGTTGATAGGTACAGCAAACCACCATGGCACATGTATACCTGTGTAACAAACCTGCACTTTCTGCACATGTATCCCAGAACTTAAAGTAAAATTAAAAAAAAAGAGGGAAATGTGTGTGTGTGTGTATGTATATGTATATATATTCATTTGAGGCCTGATGCCATGGCTCACACCTATAATCCCAGCACTTTGGGAGGCCGAGATCGGAGGATTACTTGAAAGCAGGAGTTTGAGATCAGCCTAGTCAACATAGTAAAACCCCCCATCTCTATGAAAAAATAAAAAAAAAAGAATAAATATATTCTAAGTGTATTTTGGCATGCTACACAATCACACTTAACAAAGCTAACAATTCAACCTGACCCTTATCAGTGCTCCTTAGATTTTAATTCTATTTCTTGCTTCATTAAAGACTAGCCAATGTACAATTTTAAGTGCTTCTCAAGGACAGATTAATTTGAATAATAGAATAGAATGGCACACACTTGTAATCCCAGCACTTTAGGAGGCAGAGGCGGGCGGATCTCTTGAGGTCAGGAGTTGGAGACCAGCCTGGCCAACATGGTAAAACCCCATCTCTACTAAAAGTACAAAAGTAGCCAGGCGTGGTGGCACGCCCTGTAATCCCAACTATTCAGGAATTTGAGGCACAAGAATCTCTTGAACCCGGGAGGCAGAGGTTGCAGTGAGCCAAGGTCACGCCAATGCACTCCAGCCTGGGTGACAGAGTAAGACCCTGTCTCAAAAAAAAAAAAAAAAGAAAGAAAAGAAAAAAAGAATGGAGGGCCCAGGCACAGTGGCTCATGCCTGTAATCCCAGCACTTTGGGAGGCTGAGGCAGGCAGATCACCTGAGGTCAGGAGTTTGAGACCAGCCTAGCCAACATGGCAAAACCCCATATCTGCTGAAAATACAAAAATTAGCCCTGCGTGGTGGTGGGTGCCTGTAATCCCAGCTACTCGGGAGGCTGATTCGGGAGAATCACTTGATCCTGGGAGACGGAGGAAGAAGTGAGCCAAGATTGCGCCACTGCACTCCAGCCTGGGCGACAGAGCGAGACTCAGGCTCCAAAAAAAAAAAAACAAAACAAAAAAAGAAAGGAATGGAGACATGAAAGACTGATGAAGCTTGATGTCTTTCAGTGCATTTATTTATTGCTAAAACCCACAAAGCATCAAAACACAGAGCCTGCCGGGCGCAGTGGCTCACACCTGTAATCCCAGCACTTTGGGAGGCCAAGGCGGGCGGATCACCTGAGGTCGGGAGTTCAAGACCAGCCTGACCAACATGGAGAAACGCCGTCTCTACTAAAAATACAAAAAAATCAGCCAGGTGTGGTGGTGCATGCCTGTAATCCCAGCTACTCAGGACGCTGAGGCAGGAGAATCGCTTGAACCCAGGAGGCAGAGGTTGTGGTGAGCCAAGATTGTGTCATTGCACTCCAGCCCGGGCAACAAGAGTGAAACTCCGTCTCAAACAAACAAACAAAAACAACAACAAAAAAACAAACACAGAGCTTATTATTTAATGTTTAAAATGGAAGAAGGAATGTTTTATTGACCACAAACCTAACCCAGTACCCTCCCCTTCAAGCTCGTTACTCTTTTGAATATGAGGTTTATGCAATAGGATGGCTAGATTTTGGGTTATAATCATTTATCTACTCAACAAGAATTCATTGAGTGTCTACTATGGGCCTCTGAGAGTTAAAAAAAAAAAAAAAAGGCCCTAGTGTTTACCATCTGAATCCTATAGGTCATTGGGAAATACAAGTAATCAAATAAAAGCAAAGTTAGAAAATGTGTAAATGTCATGAAAGAAAGGGCCTTGTTGTATATGAAGTCTTTTTTATTTTTTCAAGCAGAGTCTCACTCACTCTGTCACCCAGGCTGGAGTGCAGTGGCACGATCTCGGCTCACTGCAACCTCCACCTCCAGGTTCAAGTGATTCTCCTGCCTCAGCCTCCCGAGTAGCTGGGATTACAGGTATGCATGACCACACCTGGTTAATTTTTGTATTTTTTAGTAGAGACGGAGTTTCACCATGTTGCCCAGGCTGGTCTTGAACTCCTGACCTCAAGTGATCTGCCTGCCTCAGCCTCCCAAAGTGTTGGGATTACAGGTGTTAGCCACTGCACCTGGCCTGTATATGAGTATATATTAAAGGGATCTTACCTATTTTGGTGGTCAGAGAACTGGATCTTGTCTATTCAGAAGTGAGTAGCATGTATATACTCCTTGTATTGTATTTAAATTCTGGTTACATTTATAAACAGCATAATTTGATAAAACAACTTTCCTAATCATCATGCCAACTCCCTTTTGGTGTTTGGAAGCACCACAACATAAAAATTGATTTTTGTTTTCAAAAAGCCAGTCTTTCAAAACTTTTTAGAAAGTACTACTTTGTGTATAATTTTGAGGATCTTAGTCCATAGGACAAAAATTATGAAAGATTCACTGGCCAGGTACAGTGGCTCACGCATCCCAGCATTTTAGGAGGCCAAGGCAGGAGGATCTTATAAACAGCCTGGGCGACATAGGGCAACCCTATCTCCACAAGAACAAAAAATTGCTGGGCATGCACCTGTAGTCCCAGCTACTTGAGAAGCCAAGGCAGAAGGAGTGCCTGAGTTCAGAAGTTCCAGGTGGCCGTGAGCCGCGATCCAGTCACTGCACTACAGCCTGGATGACAGGGTGAGAACCTGTCTCAAAATAAAAAGTTTCTTGCATGGGCCTTGTACTTGCTCAATAAATGCTGAATTGAATTTCTTGGTACATCAAGTTTACCATTGCCCGCAATTAACTGTTTTTCCCACTAAATTCAAACCACATAGCAGTAAGCTGCCATGGGGAGAAGGAGGGAAGGTCCTTTTCAAGCCTATTCAAAACAGCTTATCCCAAATTGATAGGACATTACCAAGGTTGGAAAGTCTAAAATTAACTCCGCCAGCTGTGTTTTGGTTTGCTTCAGATAGCACATGGGCTCAGGGGGCTCAATTTGCTAGGCTTGTTTGTTGCTCCAATCTGCTGTGCTCTGAAAAAGTTTGTTTGCCTGGAGTGCACGTTGTGCACAAGACATGGTAACTAGGCAGCTTGAAAGTATATTGGAACTAAACAAATAAGTCTCTCCTTGAATCTCAGAAAAGCCTAGCAACAATGTAGGGGGATGGAGGAGTTATTGCTGAGTAGGTCATATGAATGGTTTAACATTTAACCTTGCTGAAGTTTCCCAGAGAGCAGGCTGCTGATGTGCTGACAGAGATGAAAAGATGACGATGTAGTTTCAAAGAGTCTGTGTTTTTAGCCCACCCATCTCCACGAGGTCCTTTAGCATGAAGGACCATATATAGACATAGAGAGTATCCCAACTGGGTGCAACTTAAAAATATCCTAAGTATCAGCAGCTGTTACTTTCACCCACACAAATTCACAGTTGGCTTAATTAAATAGTGCCTGTTCTCAAGAGCCGCAGTACCCTAGGTACTTATGCTGCTTCCCTCTACTTCATTTCCTTCCTCAAAATAACAAAAAGCAGAATGGATGAATGAAAGGAATCAATTATTAGCAGTTCAGGGTTTGCTTCTATGTAAATAATAGAATGTAGAAGTCAGATCTTTGAATAGGGTTTTGACTCCCTGCCACTGGAATCCAAGGACAACCACTGGAATCCAAGGACCCTATGCAGTCCCTACTCTTGGACATTTGTTCTCTTGTGCCCATGGCCATTACCACGCCCTCTTCTTGGCATCTCTCTCATGTTTTCCAGAGTTGTCATAGTCACAACCATAGCAACCTGAGCAGGCCACAATCCTCTTATAGCTGGAGACATGAGATACTACGTTATACAACATAATTCCCCTGTCCTACACCAACAGGAGTTTGGTTCCCAATAGTCAAACCATTTATTTTTCCTCAGGATAAGTATTCCAGCCTTTCCCAAATGTTACTATTTTTGAGGTTTCTATGGCATCAAAGTAACCAGAAAGCATCCACTGAGTGGAAAACCAAGGTAATCAATCCCACCTTGAAATTTGACCAAGTATTTCTAAATCCCTTATTTATGGGCTGTACTCTGTGTTTCCACAAGAATAATTCCATTTGAATACAGAATAAAGAGATTTAGCAAAAGAAAATCTTAGTAGGCAAGAAGATTTCCTATCCAAAATAGTGCTTTTAAAGAAAATGATCTTGTAATGCACTCCTTAACAGGGAGCTGTCTGAGACCTTTCTGGAACCCTGCAGGGTGAAGGACCACTTGCAAGATTCAGTCAGTTGTCAGTGATGTTTCTTAAACATCTGCCATAAACCAGTCACCACACTAAGAGTAAGGATACAAAAGAAATACGCAATATCACAACCTCAAAGAACTCATTTCTTGTTTGTTTTTGGTTTTTTTTTTTGAGACAGAGTTTCACCATGTTGCCCAGGCTGGAGTGCAATGGCACAGTCTCAGCTCACTGCAACCTCCACCTCCTGGGTTCAAGCAGTTCTCCTGCCTCAGTCTCCCAAGTAGTTGGGATTACAGGCATGCGCCACCACGCCCGGCTAATTTTTGGTATTTTTAGTAGAGACAGGGTTTCACCATCTTGGCGAGGCTGGTTTTGAACTCCTGGTCTCATAATCCACCTGCCTCGGCCACTGCGCCCAGCCAACAAAGAACTCACTTCTAATGGCAGAGGCTGACATGTAAACAAATCATTACAGGACAAAATGATTCCTTTTATAACAGGATTATACACAAAAGGCTACAGGAGGCCAGACACAGTGGCTCACGCCTGTAATCCCAACACTTTGGGAGACTGAGGCAGGTAGATTACCTGAGGTCAGGAGTTCAAGACCGGCCTGGCCAACATGGTGAAACCCCGTCTCTACTAAAAATACAAAAATTAGCTAGGTGTGGTAGTGGGCGCCTGTAATTCCAGCTACTTGGGAGGCTGAGGCAGTAGATTCACTTGAACCCGGGAGGCGGAGGTTGCAGTGAACCGAGAGCACACCATTGCACGCCAGCCTGGGCAACAAGAGCAAAATTCCGTCTCAAAAAAAAGGCTACAGGAGCCCAGCTGATTTTTATTTTTTAAAAAAGGATTGATTTGAGGAGGAAGATAAGGATCAAGGAGTGTTTTACCAAAACAAGGGGAGTTTTAAAGGATTATTATACCTTCTCCAGGTT
The DNA here is from genome assembly GCF_000001405.40 of Homo sapiens. Classification (NCBI taxonomy): domain Eukaryota; kingdom Metazoa; phylum Chordata; class Mammalia; order Primates; family Hominidae; genus Homo; species Homo sapiens. Next base: position 70,894,158 of record NC_000004.12, on the reverse strand, counting down.
TAGAAGAGGCGATGGAGGAGTAAAAAGACGGAGAAAAGGCGTTGCAGAAAGAGGACGCAGCATGTATAAAGCCTAAAATGTGTAAAGGCATTAAAAAAAAGTGTAGACGAAATGCTGACTACTGCAATAGTTGGCACATTAATATAGACTCTCATTTGCTCGTTCATTCAACAAATATTTATTAAGCACGAACTGTACACCACTTGTGTAAGTATACACTGGGGACATAATAGGGTACAAAATCAAGTTCCTCCCCTAAGAAGTTTACATTCTAGTGGGGAAGGGATATTCTAAATATGTCAGTGTATAAACTCCCTAGTTGTATTTGCATTTTAATTATCCCTAACTATGACATGAAAATCTCAAGCCTTCTTTTTTCTTTTCTTTTTTTTTTTTTTTTTTTTTTGAGACAGCGTCTCGCTCTGTGCCCAAGCTGGAGTGCAGTGGCGCGGTCTCGGCTCACTGCAAGCTCCGCCTCCCGGGTTCACGCCATTCTCCTGCCTCAGCCTCCCGAGTAGCTGGGACTACAGGCGCACACCACCACGCCCGCCTAATTTTTTGTATTTTTTTTTTTTTTAGTAGAGACAGGGTTTCACCGTGTTAGCCAGGATGGTCTCGATATCCTGACCTCGTGATCCACCCGCCTCGGCCTCCCAAAGTGCTGGGATTACAGGCGTGACCCACCGTGCACGGCCCAAGCCTTCTTGAGGAGTATTTTTTAAAAGATCAAGGTATCAGGAATCAAGTAGGGGACAAATTCTGGAATCACAGCATAAAGACAAAAGCTCTCTGATTACTAAGCAGACAATAGTTCCAATGCTCATTTGAACTGTGTGCTTCAGTTGATAACACAGAATCACAAATTCAGTCCTGTAGGAGGTACTATGAATAATTAAAGTACAGCCTTTAGCTGTAAACTCAATGACCGCATAGCCAAATGACGCATCTAAAATTAGAGCAGGTGTGTATGTGTAAAGAAATCAAGATCGACCCACAATGGCATTTCTTTTTTCTTTTTTTATTATTGTTATTTTTTTTTTTTGAGACGGAGTATTACTGTGTTGCCCAGGCTGGAGTCAGTGGCGCTACCTCTGCTCACTGCAACCTCCTCCTCCCGGGTTCAAGCAATTCTCCTGCCTCAGCCTCCCAAGTACCTGGGACTACAGGCACACACCACCATGACTGGCTAATTTTTTTTTTTTTTTTTTTTTGAGACCAAGTCTCGCTCTGTCACCCAGGCTGGAGTGCAGTGGCGTGATCTCGGCTCACTACAAGCTCCGCCTCCCGGGTTTGAGCGATTCTCCTGCCTCGGCCTCCCGAGTAGCTGGGACTACAGGCGCCCGCCACCACGCCCAGCTAATTTTTTGTATTTTCAGTAGAGACGGGGTTTCACCATATTGGCCAGGCTGGTCTCGAACTCCTGACTTCCTGATCCGCCCGCCATGGCCTCCCAAAGTGCTGGGATTACAGGGATGAGCCACTGCGCCCGGCCCACAACGCTGTTTCTAAGAACGAATCCTCCCACTTCTCCCCTGCGTCCTTCCTCCTTCTGGCAACCTCCAGGGACTTGCATCATCTATCAGAGTCACTGTCACAGGACCATCATGCTAGTAATTTCCATAAATCATCTCTGGATAATCAACAACCCTTACCGGGCCACACAACATGGCTCAAAAGGCCAGTTCCTCACAGGAGACCCATGTGGTTACTCTGGATAGGACTGAAAGCAGCACTTTGTTCCCTGTGATACCCTAGGGCCAGCCTTGGCTGCCTTTCCTGCCAGTGCTCATAAAGAGCTTGCATAATCATGGACGCATATGAGCATCTAAGCCAATGCCTAAAGGAGACCACAGAATCTTCAGGAAATGAGGGGAACCAATATTTATTTTCTGTCCTGTATGTAATTTTCTGCCAGTTTTCTTGCAAGACTGTACATCTCATTCACTTCTCACCACGCTATGAGGCAGATGGTTATTGGCCTAGTCCTATGGATGAGGAAATTAAATCACATCTTGCACAAGACCAGTAGTAAGCAGTGAATCTAGAATTTGAACCCAGTTCTAACTCATGTAGGATCAAATCATCCAGCTGGGCACACTTGCTCAAACCTGTAATTCCAGCACTTTGGGACGCCGAGGCAGGAGGATTACTTGAGACAAGGTGTTCAAAACCAGCTTTGGCAAGATAGCAAGACCCCATCCTTATAAATATAAATGTAAAATATTTAAAAAGAAAAATGCAAGAATAATAGAGTATTCAGTAAATGATGCTGGGACAACTGGAGAGCTCTCTGAAAAGTCTTGGTTTCCTACTTCAATTTCTTACACCAAATTAAATTCCAAATGGTTCAAAGACAGACCGGGTGTGGTGGCTCACACCTGTAATCCCATCACTTTGGGAGATCACCTGAGATCAGGAGTACAAAACCAGCCTGGCCAATATGGCGAAACCCCTATCTACTAAAAATACAAAAATTAGCCAGGTGTGGTGGCACATGCCTGTAATCCTAGCTACTCTGAAGGCTGAGGCAGGAGAATCACTTGAACCTGGGAAACAGAGGTTTCAGTAAGCTGAGATTGCCCCACTGCACTCCAGCCTGGGGGACAGAGTGAGACTCTGTCTCAAACAAAACAAAACAACAACAACAAAAAAAAACCCCAGTCATTCAAAGATTTATGAATAACCATTTGGAATTTAATTTGGTGTAGAGAAATTCAGGTAGAGAACCAAGACTTTTGCATTTATGAATTTTATTAATAAATCTTTGGACCATTTGGATTTTAATCTGGCATAAGAAATTCAGGTAGGGAACCAAATCAATTCTTATGAATAAAAATCGAACTCATGGCCGGGCACAGTGGCTCATGCCTGTAATCCTAGCATTTTGGGAGGCCAAAGCAGGTGGATCACCTGAGTTCAGGAGTTTGAAACCAGCCTGGCCAACATGGTGAAAGGCCGTCTCTACTAAAAAATACCAAAAAAATTAGCCAGGCATGGTGGCATGCACCTGTAATCCCAGCTACTCCGGAGGCTGAGGTGGGAGAATCGCTTGAACACAAGAGTTAGAGATTGCAGTCAGCCGAGATTGCGCTATTGCACTCCAGCATGGGCAACAGAGTAATACTCCATCTCAAAAAAAAATCAAACTCATGAAAATGCTAGGAAAAAGGAGAAGAATTTTTTAATAATCTCAGGAAGAAAGCCTTTCTAGGCTAGACATAACTCCAGAATCCACACAGATGTACACATAAGATATTGATAAATTTAATAAATGAAAAAAAGTCAATAATAAAAAATAGTAATAACAGAATGTTAAGATCTACAGATTGGTGTAAACATTTGCGACAACTACAGATATAGTGCTTATTTCTTTGCTGTACAAACAATTCATAATTCAACAAGAAAAAAACCACAATACAATTTTTTTATTCTTTGCTGTCATTCAAAGCACACGATACTAGCCGGGTATGGTGGCTCATGCCTGTAATCCCAGCACTTTGGGAGGCCGAGGTGGGCAGATCACCTGAGGTCAAGAGTTTGAGACCAGCCTGGCCAACATGGCGAAACCCCATCTCTACCAAAAATACAAAAAATAGCCCGGTGTGGTGGTGCGTCCTTGTAATCCCAGCTACTCGGGAGGCTGATGCAGGAGGATCGCTTGAACCTGGGAGGCAGAGGTTGCAGTGAGCTGAGATCTAACCACTGCACTCCAGCCTGGGGGAAGAGTGAGACTCCATCTCAAAAAAAAGAAAAAAAACAACAAAACAAGGAACGCAATACAATTTTTAAAGGTAGGAAAAATACATAAACAGAATATTCTGCAGCTGCAAATAAATGAGGCAAATCTATATGAATTGATTTTATATTATCTTTTTCTATTTTGTTTTTCCTTTTTTGAGATGAAGTCTCACTCTGTCACCCAGGATGGAGTGCAGTGGCATGATCTCAGCTCACTGCAACCTCTGCCTCCCTAGTTCAAGCTATATTCTCCCGCCTCACCCTCTCGAGTAGCTGGGACTACAGGCAGGCACCACCACACCCAGCTAATTTTTGTATTTTTAGTAGAGATGGGGTTTCACCATGTTGGCCAGGCTGGTCTCAAACTCCTGACCTCAGGTGATCTGCCTGCCTTGGCCTCCCAAAGTGCTGGGATTACAGGCGTGAGCCACCACACCCAGTCATCTGTTTCATATATTAGGAAAAAAAGGCTAGGCATGGTGGTTCACGCCAGTAATCCTAGCACTTTGGGAGGCTAAATCTAGAGGATCACTTGATCTTAGGAATTTGAGACCAGCCTGGGCAACATAGTGAAGCCCTGCTCTATTAAAAACAAAGAAGGAAGGAAGGAAGGCAGGGAGGGAGGGAGGGAGGGAGGGAGGGAAGGAGGGAAGGAAGGAAGGAAGGAAGGAAGGAAGGAAGGAAGGAAGGAAGGAAGGAAGGAAGGAAGGAAATACAGGAATCTATTGCTAATTTAAAAAAATAAGGTAGAGGAGGTATTTGAAAGACCACATATTAGTTTCCTATAACTACCACAAATTCAGTGGATTATGACAATACAAATTTATTATCCTATAATTCTGGTGGTCAGAAATCTGAAGTGAGTGTCACTGGGCTAGGATCAAGGTGTTGTCAGGGTTGTATTTTGGAGGCTCTAGAGGAGAATCTATTTCCTAGCCTTTTCCACTTTAGAGAGGCTGCCTAAACTTCTTGGCTGATGGCACCACATCATTCCAATCTTTGCTTCCATCATTGCCTCTTCTCTGGTTCTTCTGCCTCTCTCTTCCATCTCTTAAGAACTCTTGTGATTACATTAGGCTTACCCAAGCAAAACTGGACAATCTCCCTATCTCAAGATTCATACTTTAATAACATCTGAAAAAATCCCTTTTGCCATATAAAGTAGCAACATAATCACAGGTTCCAGAGATAAAGATATGGACACCTATAGGGGACGATTATTCTGCCTACCACACCAAGCAGATTGATAAACTGAAGAGAATCAACTGAACAACTATTATAAGCAACTATATAATTCACGAGAGTTGCTGGAGATAAAATTAATATAAAATAGTCAATATCCCATTTATCTAGCAACCAAAATGGTAAAATACATAGAAATATATATGCTCTCAATTATGCAAGAAAACTTAGGGATTGGCCAGGTGCAGTGGCTCATGCCTGTAATCCCAGCATTTTGGGAGGCCAAAGCAGGTGGATCTCCTGAAGTCAGGAGTTCAAGACCAGTCTAACCAACATGGCGAAACCTATCTCTACTAAAAATACAAAAAATTAGCCAGGCGTGGTGGCGCATGCCTGTAATTCCAGCTACTTGGAAGGCTGAGGCAGGAGAATTCCTTGAACCCAGGAGGCAGAGGTTGCAGTGAGTTGAAATTGTATCATTGCATCCCGGCCTGGGCAACAAAAGTGAACTGTCTCAAAAAAAAAAAAAGGAAAGAGAACTCAGGGATTAAACATAGGAATATTTTTCAGCCCAGCATGGTGGCTCATGCTTGTAATCCCAGCACTTTGTTTTTCTTTTTTTTTTTTTTTTGAGATGGAGTCTTTCTCTGTCACCCAGGCTGGAGTGCAGTGGCATGATCTCTGCTCACTGTAACCTCCACCTCCCAGGTTGGAGCAATTCTCCTGCCTCAGCCTCCTGAGAAGCTGGGATTATAGGCAGGTGCCACCATGCTCAGCTAATTTTTGTATTTTTAGTAGAGAAGGGGTTTCACCATGTGGGCCAGGCTGGTCTCCAACTCCTAGCCTCAGGTGATCTGCCAGCCTTGGCCTTCCAAAGTTCTGGGATTACAGGCGTGAGCCACTGCGCCCAGCCTAGTCCCAGCACTTTGGGAGACCGAAGCGGGCAGATCACTTGAGGTCAGGAGTTCAATACCAGTCCGGCCAACATGGTGAAACCTCATCTCTACCAAAAATACAAAAATTATCTGGGTGTGGTGGCACGTAACTGAAACCCAGCTATTTGGGCGGCTGAGGCAGGAGAATTGCTTAAACGTGGGAGGCAGAGGTTGCATTGAGCCAAGATCGCACCACTGCACTCCAGCCTGGGTGACAGAGTGAAACTGTCTCAAAGAAAAAAAAAGGAATATTTTTCAGTGTATGCTCTTTTGTATCATTTAAGCTATTTCATAGACATCTTCTGTTGAACATATGTATTAGTTCATTCTGATGATGCTAATAAAGACATACACGAGTGGGGAGAACATCAGGAAAAATACCTAATGCATGCCGGACTTAATACCTAGGTGATGGGTTGGTAGGTGCAGCAGACCACCATGGCATATGTTTACTTATGTAACAAACCTGCACATTCTGCACATGTACCCCAGAACTTAAAATAAAATAAAATAAATGTTAAAAGAGAAGGCTTGAAATATTCCCAACACAAAGAAGTGATAAATACTGGAGGTGACGGATACCCTAAATATTCTGTCTTGGTCATTACACATCCTATGCATGTAACAAAATATTACATGATGTGCCCCAAAAATATGTACAAATATTATGTATCAAATAAAAAACTTTAAAATTCCAAAAAAGAAAAAATTACCCGTGACTGGGTAATTTATGAAGGAAAGAGCTTTAATTGACTCCCAGTTCAACATGGCTGGGGAGGGCGGGGGGGGTGGGGGCGGGGGGTAGGCATTGGGGGAAGCCCCTTGTAAAACCATCAGATCTCGTGAGAACTCACTCACTATTACAAGAACAGCATGGAGGTAACCGCCCCCATGATTCCATAACCTCCCACCAGATCCCTCCAACAACACGTGAGGATTATGGGAACTACACAGTTCAAGATGAGATTTAAGTGGGGACACAGCCAAACGATATTAGTTTGTAAATCTGATCTTGTCACTGCCTGTTTAAAATTCTGTATTTGTTGTTTTATTTTGTTTTTGTGGCTATTAACCAACTCCCCTTTCCTGTTTTGGGGAAATCTGCCATTGTGTATGGTTTTGGTAGGATTCAGCGACCCATCTTTTACTATGAAACCTGAAGAGGAAAGAAATTGGATCCTCCTGCCCTGGGCACTGACTCTGGAGGCAGCTCCACTGAAGCCAAGGGACACTTAGATCTGTTCATGGGAATCTGCAGAAGCATGCCACAGTGGCCAGTCTGTTCTGACTGAAAAACGGCTGGTGTATTTTGTGTTTTTTGACCTGACGGAGTTCCTTGGCGTCTTTCTGCTTTCCAAGTCTTAGCCTCAGCCTCCTGCTGATTTTGTGAGTCCCACAAAACCATCCAATAATGTGGATCTTTTTTCCCTATTTCCTGCAATAAAAAAACATGACTCCAGATATCAGTCAGACCCCTTCGCAAGTCCTACAAGGCCCCACCTTATTTTTCTGGGTCTCCCTCTTATCCAACTCTTCCCCAGTACATACCTGGAATTTTCATAATGTCTGGAACATGCTATGCCTTTTTTACCCCTTCATATGCGTCCAGAATGTTTTCTTCCCCATACGGAAAAGCAAGTCCCTTCTGAACTTTTAATACTCATTTAATTCAACTATAATTTCTGCAAATCATTCCTTCATGTTATTTTCTTTCCTACTTCTATCATCTATTACAATATTTATTACGTTATGTTTGAAGGATTTGAAGTTTTCCGTATCAAACCAAGAGGTCCTTGAGGGGATCAGACCAACAGGGGCAGGTCTAGCACATAGTATATTGAGCCTCCTTAGTAAATATTCATTGACTGAATGAAGTTAGTTAAATGCCTTTTTGGTGATTCAAGATTATCATGAACACTCCTCCTTTCTTGGTCCATTTCTTTGTAGCTCTTTGGGGCTGGAGAAGAGTATAGGATGATTTGTTCCTTTAAAAATGTACTTAAGGCCGGGGTGGTGGCTCATGTCTGTAATCCCAGCACTTTGGGAGGCTGAGGCAGCTGGATCACCTGAGGTCAGGAGTTCAAGACCAGCCTGATCAACGTGGTGAAATCCCATCTCTACAAAAATACAAAAAATTAGCTGGGCATGGTGACTGGCACCTGTAGTCCCAGCTACTCGGGAGGCTGAGGCAGGAGAATCGCTTGAGCTGGGAGGCAAAGGTTGCAGTGAGCCGAGATCGCACCATTGCACTCCAACCTGGGCAACAAGAGCAAAACTTCATCTCAATAAATAGATAAATATGTGTCTAATATTTGGCAGCTTAAATATAGTTTCATATGCATTTCCTTGTTGATTTTTATTGCAATCATATGGGGCAAGCTAGGGTAATGAGTTTCAGAGTGATTGAGTAACTTTCCTAAGGTTACGTGACTTTAAGTCGTAATAATAATGATAATAAAATAATAAAAATAAAATTAACAAAAGAAAAACTAACATTTATTTAATAATTACTATGCCTAAGCACTGGCTTCTGGTTTTTGTTTTTTTGTTTACCTTGCTGTATCTCATTTGATCCTTTTCACTATGTGGTAAGTACTATTATTATCTGCATTTTGTAGATGGGGAAATTGAGATCTCTGTTGGGGTGGAATCAGTGTCCCAAGTCATTATGCTGAGCTGGTATTTACTGTGACCTCCTGATGATTCTTAGTGGTTATATTCTATGGCAATTTTGTTGTTGTTGTTTTTTGGGACAGGGTATTGCTATATTGCCCAGGCTGGTCTTGAACTTCTGAGCTCAAGCAATCCACCCACCTCAGCCTCCCAGAGTGCTGGGATTACAGGCATGAGCCACTGCTCCTGGCCTCTATGACTACAGCTTCTCTTTGTGCCATTTTCTTGTTAGCATGCAGTGCCATCTTGCTGCGACTTATTCGCTACTTCTTATCTATGCTGGAAACCAGGTGAGTAAACTTAATGGTATTGTGTCTAAAATTAGGAGGAAATAAATGAATATCCACGGATTCTGTAACACCTTTTTTTTTTTTTTTTGAGACAGTCTTGTTCGGTCACCCAGGCTCGAGTGCAGTGGCACGATCTTGGCTCACTGCCATCTCAGCCTCCCAGGTTCAAGTGATTCTCCTGTTTCAGTCTCCCAAGTAGCTGGGACTACAGGCGCTTGCCACCATGCCCAGCTAATTTTTTGTGTTATTAGTAGAGATAGGGTTTCACCCTGTTGGCCAGGCTGGTCTCTAACTCCTAACCTCAAGTGATCCACCCGCTTCAGCCTCCCAAAGTGTTTGGATTACAGACGTGAGCCACCGTGCCTGGCCCAAGTCAAAGGACCAGCCAGGTAAGGAGTTCGAGACCAGCCTAGCCAACATGGTGAAACCCTGCCTCTACTAAAAATACAAAAAATTAGCTGGGCATGATGGTGCATGCCTGTAGTCCCAGCTACTTGGGAGGCTGAAGCAGTAGAATTGCTTTAACCTGGGAGCCGGAGGTTGCAGTGAGCTGAGATCTTGCCACTGTAGTCCAGCCTAGGTGACAGAGCAAGACCTTGTCTCAAAAAAAAAAAAAAAAAATGAATTTGACTTGATGCATTCAGTTCATTCCATGCATATTTACTGAGTGTTTACCATGTGCCCAGCACTCTACAGATGTTAGATAAATATTAGTGAGCAAAACTGACATCTGTCTATGGTATGCATCCTCACTCTATATTCAGCTACTATTCTAAATTTATAGCCCAAGGTCATCAAAAAAACACTGAAATTTTTATAGCAATGTGAAACTTCCCAAATATAAGCTCTTAAAAAGTAAGGGATTGGCCGGGCGCGGTGGCTCATGCCTGTAATCCCAGCACTTTGGGAAGCCGAGGCAGGCGGATCACGAGGTCAGGAGATCCAGATCATCCTGGCTAATACGGTGAAACCCCATCTCTACTAAAAATACAAAAAATTAGCCAGGTATGGTGGCGGGCGCCTGTAGTCCCAGCTACTTGGGAGGCTGAGGCAGGAGAATTGCTTGAACCTGGGAGGCGGAGGTTGCAGTGAGCCAAGATCGCACCACTGCACTCCAGCCTAGGTGACAGAGTGAAACTCCAACTCAAAAAAAAAAAAAAGTAAGGTTACCAGGCCAGGCACTGTGGCTCATGCCTGTAATCCCAACACTTTGGGAGGCCAAGTCAGAAGGACTGCTTGAGCACAGGAGTTCAAGACCAGCCTGGGCAACAAAGTGAAACCCTGTCTCTACAAAAAATTCAAAAATTAGCCAAGCATGGTGGTGTGTGCCTGTGGTCCCAGTGACATGGGAGGCTGAGTCAGGAGAATTGCTTAAGCCCAGGAGGTCGAGGCTGCAGTGAGCTGTGTTCACACTGCTGCACTCCAGCCTGAGCCACAGAGTAAGACGCTGTGTCAAAAAAAAAAAAAAGAAAACAAATGTAAGGGGCCAAAGATAACTATTGGATGCTAGTGACGAAATAAATTTTAAAATAGGCATAATACAATGCTGCTCTGCTGTGACTTAAATTTCATTTTGTTATTTATTATTATTATTTGAGATGGAGTTTTGCTCTTGTTGCCCAGACTGGAGTACAATGGTGCAATCTTGGCTCAACTGTAACCTCTGCCTCCCAGGTTCAAGCAATTCTCCTGCTTCAGCCTCCTGAGTAGCTGGGATTACAGGCACGTGCCACCACGCCTGGCTAATTTTTTGTATTTTTAGTAGAGACGGGGTTTCAACATGTTGGTCAGGCTGGTCTTGAACTCCTGACCTCAGGTGATCCACCCACCTTGGTGTCCCAAAGTGCTGAGATTACAGCCATTGAGCCACTGCACCTGGTTGCTGTGCCTTAAATTTCATACAGTGTTGTATTAGTTTCCAATTGCTGCTGTAACAAATTACTATAAACTTGGTGACTTAAGTTTATTATCTTACAATTCTGGAGGTCAGAAATCCAAAATGAGTTTAACTGGGCTAAAATCAAGGTGTCATCAGGCTGTGTTTCTTCTGGTGCCTCTACAAGATGACCTGAAAGTTTCCTTGCATTTTCTAACTTCTGGAGGCTACTTGCATTCCTTGGCTCATGGCTCCGTTCCTCCTTCTTCAAGGTAAAACACCACTTTGTTAACAGTGATGATATTATGGAATGATTTTCATTTTCTTCTTTTAGCATTTTCTGATGGTGCATGTACTCCTTTTACAGCATGAAAAAAGAAAATAACAAGAAGCTTCTCTTCAGAAAATAGTTTAGAGTTCTGTGCCAGTGGACATAGTGCACATAGTACAGATCAGCAGGGATCAAGGCTACTGAGATCTACTTGGAACTAGATCATGACCAATTTTGTAGCCTAAGTAATAATCTTAGCTTGATCTGATGAGCAGTGAAGAACAATGGTGTTTTTTAAAGCATTAGGTTACCAGGTTTGTAATTTAAAAAGAAGCTGTAATGATAGACTGTATTAAAATAAGCTTTACTACTACTTTGTAATCACCCCATTTAGATTTGCGAAGTATAATTTAATTGTCTCTATTGTTAGTTTAGCCCATTTCTTTATACCATCAGCACTGATATTCAACTTTTAATTCATTTTTCTTGGCAGCATTTTTATTTATTTATTTTTCGAGATGAGGTCTCACTGTGTTGCCCCGGCTGGTCTCGAACTGCGGGGCTCAAGCAATCCTCCTGTCTCAGGCTCTTGAGAAGCTGAGACTACAGGCATGCCCAGCTAATTCTCTTTTCTATGCTATGAAGATAAAACATTTATTTTAGACCCTCATGGATAAATGGCTGCATTATTCATTTTTCGCTTAAGACATAAACACAGATGACAAAAGATATCTGGTTGGTAATATAACACTGCTATTTCCAGTGAACCAGGTGTTTTTCAGTGGAAAATTGAGGTGGGAAAAATTTCAGCAAACTTTCATTATTTGTTAGTCCTCAATACACCATCATATGATATAGTATCTTCTTGACATTTGGCCAGGGTAAAACAGTAGTACTTCAGTAAGTTTGATTCTGAGGGACAGAATCTAGGGAACAGATTTTCAGAAACACTATCCTAGGGTCAGCCGAAGTTGCTGGGGAAGGAACTCATAGTGTGGGAATTCTGCCACCATACCTACTTTGACACATGGACTACCAAGGGAAAACTCCTTATCTATCTATTTTATAGTAAGTATTTATTAGGTTTTGTGTGAGATTAATTTGAAGGAAAAGACCTCGAGTTTAAAATTTTGGAACATACTATACTAGTCCTTTTTATTTTTTATTTTTTTGTAGAGACAAGGGTCTTGCCATGTTGACTAGGTTGGTCTCAAATTCCTGAGCCCAAGCCAACCACCCACCTCAGCCTCCCAAAGTGCTGGGATTACAAGTGTGACACTGTGCCTAGCCCTTACACTAGCCCATTTTTTTTTTAGGGTGGCATTAGAACCTAAAGCTCCCTACTCAGTTTATTATGAAATAATGGGTAGACTAGTTGTCTAGCTTAGCTCTTCATTTATCCCCTTTGTTTTGTAATGGATCCAGTTGGCTGGGCAGATAAGAATTTAAAAGTTGGTTTCAAGAGCACATTAGGTATTTCAAATATTTAGGGACTAAAGGAAATTAATCAGTGTTCCTTAATAATTATCAACCTGTCTGAAAAAAATGTTGTATTTCAGAAACGGCTTGCTTTGGTTGGGCTCAGTGACTCATGACTGTAATCCCAACACTTTGGGAGGCCAAGGTGGACAGATCATTTGAGGTCAAGAGTTCAAGACCAGCCTGGCCAACATGGTGAAACCCCATCTCTACTAAAAATGCAAAACTTAGTTGGGCATTGTGGCACGAACCTGTAATCCCAGCTACTCAGGAGGCTAAGCCAGGAGAATCGCTTGAACCTGGGAGGCAGAGGTTGCAGTGAACCGAGATTGTGCCATTGCACTCCAGTCTGGGTGACAGAGTGAGACTCCATCTCAAAAAAAAAAAAAAAAAAAAAGTGGCTTGCTTCTACTACTGAAAGCAATTTACCATCATGATATAATCCAACAAACACAAATTATTATAGTTACTTTAAACAAAATATATGGTTATAATTTCTGGCTTTTAAAATTACTCAAAACACTTTCTTGAATATAAATAACAAAGTACAAGCAAAACAACAACTGGATTTATTTCTCATTCCTGACAAAAGTAATCAAGTCTTCTTATCAAACGGTACACTGAAAGGAGAAAAGCAGATTATTTACTTTTCACTATATTAACAGAATTCTATTCTCTTGCTCGAGAGTGTATTTTGTAATAAGCTCTTTTTAGTATAAGAATTTTACTTTTTAAAAAACTGACCAGTGACTACCAAGCAATAGATGAGTTCTGTCTACTCAGCATTAACCTTCCAAAAAATTCATCTTAATTTTACTTTACTAAAACGTTCTAATAAGTCAATGAAAAATCAGGCCTACATTTTGTATGAAATATGAGACTGTCTGTAAGTTTCTATTTAACTGCATGAAAGAAACACCATTTTATTTTTTTTAAGTGGAATGGCATAACTAAAGTCAAGGTTGCTTTCACACAAAACACACATTGTATTAACGGAGCATATCAACATTGCTGCAACTCGAACTCTACCTCTTATTCAGGTCTAAGCTAATGAAACTAAATTTCAAATAGAAAATATGATAGTTCTAAAAATATCTACTCACAGCAACCAGTTAACAAAGAAGGATCGGGCAAGATCATGCATTGGAATTGAGCAAATATGCATCTTTTCAATTTTTTTGAGATGATAGTGATTTTTATTTTCATTTCCAAAAACTACTTATCAGAGGGCCAGGCATGGTGGCTCATGCCTGTAATTCTAGCAGTTTGGGAGGCCGAGGAAGGCAGATCACCTGAGATCAAGAGTTCGAGACCAGCCTGGCCAACATAGTGAAACCCGGTCTCTACTAAAAATAAAAAAATTAACTGGGTATAGTGGCATGTGCCTGTAATCCCAGCTACTTAGAAGGCTGAGGTAGGAGAATCGCTTGAACCCAGGAGGCAGAGGTTGCAGTGAGCCGAGATCACGCCACTGCACTCCTGCCTTGGCAACACAGCAAGACTCCGTCTCAAAAAACAAACAAACAAACAGCAACAACAACAAAAAACTACTTAGCTGGGTGCGGTGGCTCACACCTGTAATCCCAGCACTTAGGGAGACAGAGGCAGGTGAATCGCCTGAGGTCAGGAATTCAAGACTAGCCTGGCCAACATGGTGAAACCCTGCCTCTACTAAAAATACAAAAATTAGCCAGGTGTGATGGCAGGTGCCTGTAATCTCAGCTACTTAGGAGGCTGAGGCAGGAGAATCACTTGAACCCAGGAGGCAGAGGTTGCAGTGAGCCAAGATCCTGCCATTGCACTCCAGCCTCGGTGACAAGAACGAAACTCCCTCTCAAACAACAGCAACAACAAAAAACTGGCCAGGCGCAGTGACTGATGCCTGTAATCCCAGCACTTTGGGAGGCAGGAGGCGAATCACGAGGTCAGGAGTTTGAGACCAGCTTGGCCAACATGGTGAAACCCCGTCTCTACTAAAGATACAAAATATTAGCTGGGCATGGTGTCACGCACCTGTAATACCAGCTACTCAGGAGGCTGAGGCAGGAGAATTGCTTGAACCCGGGAGGCGGAGGTTGCAGTGAGCCAAGATCTCACCATTGCACTCCAGCCTCGGTGACAGGGTGCGACCCCGTCTAAAAAACAAACAAACAAAACAAAACAAAACAAAGACTTATCAGAAGAATGGTAAAGGAACAGCAGCAGAGCCTGAGCAGGCAAATGTTTCCTGGTTTAATCTATCTTTGCCTTATTATTTTAGGGGAGCCAGTGCTCCCATCTCTGTCTACTAAAGTTTAAATCTTCAATTTTTGAAGATATATTAATTATTGTACAGTCTAAACTTGTTGCAACAGGGAGATCTAAAAAAATACGGTGGCATAAACAAGACAGACATTTATTTTTTTAAATTTTATTTTATTATCCTTTTTTTTTGAGATGAAGTCTTGCTCTGTTGCCATGCTAGAGTGCAATGGCGTGATCTCCGCTCACTGCAACCTCCGCCTCCCAGGTTCAAGCAATTCTCCTGCCTCAGCCTCCCAGAAACCAGTAGCTGGGACTACAGGTGCACACCACCACACCCGGCTAATTTTTTGTATTTTAGTGGAGACGGGGTTTCACCATGTTGACCAGGATGGTCTTGATCTCCTGACCTCGTGATCTGCCCACTTCAGCCTCCCACAGTGCTGGGATTATAGGCGTAAGCCATCCTGCGCTGCTGAGACATTTATTATCTTTCAATTTTTATTGAGACAGGATCTCACTCTGTAGCCCGGGCTGGAGTGCAGTTCACTGCAGCCTTGACCTTCTGGACTCAGGTGATCCTCTCACTTCAGTCTCCTGAGTAGCTGAGACTACAGGTGTGTACCATCATGCCCAGCTAATTTTTTTTTTTTTTTGAGACAGAATCTCTCTCTGTCACCCAGGCTGGAGTACAGTGACACAATCTCGGCTCACTACAATTTCTGCCTCCCAGGTTCAAGTGATTCTCCTGCCTCAGGTACCTGGGACTACAGGCAGGCACCACCACGCCCAGCTAATTTTTGTATTTTTAGTAGAGACAGGGTTTCACCATATTGGCCAGGCTGGTCTTGAACTCCTGACCTCGTGATCTGCCCACCTCGGCCTTTCAAAGTGCTGGGATTACAGGCATGAGCCACCATGCCTGGCCATGACCAGCTAATTTTTGGAATTTTTTTTTTTTTTTTTTTAAAGAGACAGGGTCTGGCTGTGTTGCCCAGGCTGGTCTCTAACTTCTGGCTTCAAGTGATTCTTCTATCTTAGCCTCCCCAACTGCTGGCATTATGGGCACGAGGCACCATGCCCAGGCTCAAGATAGATATTTATATCTCTTTCATCTAACAGTTCAAAGATAGGTAGTTCTGGGCTGGTAAAGAGACTGCCATCTTCAACATGCGGCGTTTGTTTCAGGGTCCAAACTGGCTTACTTTTGCATCCCAGCCAAAAGAATGGAGGAAAGGACAAGTTGAAGGAATGCCAATTTTTTTAAGGAAAAGACCTGCTAGCAGCCGAAATATCTTCTGCTCACATTTGAACTTAGACAAATGGCCACAATTAGCTGTAATAGTTTTGCTGGGTAGCCTAACAAAAATTCCAGAGTGTCATTAAAGAATTGACTATCATCAGTCTCTGCTCTAATAATTTAGGTGTAGTCAAGACACTTGATCAGAGTTGTCTAGTTGTAGTGGCTCCAGGAAAGACATTCCCCTAGAATGAAACCTCCAGACTTTGGAAAAACACACTTCAGGAAAGGAGTATCAACACTTTGAGGCTGAAGTCTGTTTGACCGCACTTCACATAATGTATGTCTGATCAATGATGTGCATCAGGACATTCTTGCTAATTTTTTAATTTGGGAAAAACATTCACTCCTATGACTAATATAGTTATCTAAGGATTTGCTTGAAGATGATCTGGGAGTGGGTGGTGACAGAAGTAGTATGTAAAAATGAAACAAGATCAGCCATGCGTTGTTAATTTTTGAAGCTGATGATAAGCACATGCAGATTTATGATACTATTATCTCTTCTTCCGCATGTGTTTTAACTTTTCCATATGACAAAGTTTTAAATGGAAATAAATAATAATAGCTAAAATCCATATAGGGAACTACAGATTTGTAAACCTTTTTCATAGGTATTATCTTCATAAGAACTGAATAAATTTCATGGCAATTGTGAGCATTCTCCTCAATTTATCTTAAAGAATGGAAAATATAATTAAACAGTATAAATGTATTTATGAAATTCAAACAAATGTTAAAAGAGAAAGTTTAAAAGTGCTTAAAAATCATAGTTTAACAGTTTGTCATCTTTTTATTATCTATTTTTATTATCTTCCTAGTTAAATCCCTTTTAAGAATAAAATTCAGCCAGGTGCAGTGGCTCACGCCTATAATCCCAGCACTTTGGGAGGCTGAGGCAGGAGGATTGTTTGAGCCCAAGAGTTTGAGATCAGCCTGGGCAATAGAGTAAGACCCCATATCTAAAAGAAATAAAAAATTAGCTGGATGTGGTGGCATGTGCCTGCAGTCTCAGCTACTTGGGAGGCCGAGGCAGGAGTGCTTGAGCTGGAGAGGTTGAGGCTGCAGTGTTGTGTGATTACACCACTGCACTCAGCCTGGTGATGGAGCAAGACCTAATCTCAAAAAAAAAAAAAAAAGAATAAATTTATACGATGTTATATTACAGCAATTTATCTTCTGGGAAGAAAGGAAGAGAGTAAAGAACATAATCCTGTGTTACAATGTGGTGTAGTGTGAAGAGACTGAGGTTTGGAGTTAGAAATCTGACTTAAGTCTTTATTCTAATCTACTAGCTTTGGACTTTGGGCATGCCACTTAATTTCACTGCATCTTGGTTTTCTGATTTAACAAGTGCTGTTAATATTTACTTTGTAGGACTGTATTGAGGATAGGTGCATAATAAATGGTAACTATCATTATAAATAAATAGATCTATTTCTTTTTCCCTTTTTGGTTGAGGTTCCCAAAGTAGTGTTTCAAGGAAAAATACTCTCCAATTTTCCTAGTCTCCTTCTAGCTTTGATAGAATTCTCAGTGTCCAAGTCTAAAAAAATGCTTTCTTAGTCTGTCTTGTTACAATAAGGTATACCTGAGGCTGGGTAATTTATTTATTTATTTATTTATTTATTTTTGAGACAGAGCCTTGCTCTGTCACCCAGGCTGGAGTGCAGTGGCGGCCATCTCGGCTCACTGCAAACTCCGCCTCCCGGGTTCACGCCATTCTTGTGCCTTAGCCTCCCGAGTAGCTGGGACTACAGCGCCCGCCACCACACCTGGCTCATTTTTTGTATTTTTAGTAGAGACGAGGTTTCACAGTGTTAGCCAGGATGGTCTTGATCTCCTGACCTCGTGATCCGCCCGCCTCGGCCTCCCAAAGTGCTGGGATTAGAGGCGCGAGCCACTGCGCCCGGTGAGGCTGGGTAATTTATTTAAAAAACAGGTTTATCACAGTTTCACAGGCTGTACAAGAAGCATGGTTTCGGTATCTGCTTCTGCTGAGTCCCTCAGGCTGCTTCCACTTACAGCTGAAGGCAAAGAGGAGCCGGCATGTGCAGAGATCACGTGGCAAGAGAGGAAGAAAGAGGTGGGGTGGGGGGGGTGTTTTTTTTTACAGGCTCTTTTTAACAACCAGCTATTGGGGAAACTGATGGAGTGAGAACTTACTTACCCCCAAGGTGGGGAATTAATCTGTTCTTGAGGGATTTACCCCATGACTCAAACACCTCCCATTAGGTCCTATCTCCAACATGAAGGATCAAATTTCAACATGAGGTTTGGAGAGGACAAATATCCAAATTATAGCAGATCCCTTGGCCGGGCATGGTGGTGCACCCCTGTAATCCTAACACTTTGGGAGGCCAAGACAGGCAGATCATTTGAGTCAGGAGTTAGAAACCAGCCTGGGCAATATGGTGAAACTCTGTCTCTACCAAAAATACAAAAAATTAGCCGGGCATGGTGGTGCACGCCTATAATCCCAGCTACTCAGGAGGCTGAGGCAGGAGAATCGCTCTAACCTGGAAGGTGGAGTTTGCAGTGAGCCAAGATCACGCCACTGCACTCTAGCCTGGGTGATAGAGCGAGACTTTGACTCAAAGAAAAAAAAAAACTCACAAATTATAGCAGATCCCTATACTAACATTAAGAAGAACAAAGAATTCCATCTATACAGCATTATCTGTTGGTCAGTGAAATAAGGGTTAGGGAAAGCAACCTAACTTTGCTTCCAACGTAAGCCACAGAAGTCTTACAAAAACATAGTCTTATTACTGTTTTAAATTTTTATTATTGCTGTTGTTTTTTGAGACAGGGTCTCAATCTGTTGCCCAGGCTGGAGTGCAGTGGTAGGATCTCAACTCACTGCAAACTCTGCCTCCCAGGTTCAAGGTTTCTCGTGCCTTAGCCTCTCAAGGAACTGGGATTAGGGCAAGCCACCACACCTGGCTAATTTTTTTTTTTTTTTGTAGAGATGGAGTTTTGCCATGTTGCCCAGGCTGGTCCTGAACTCCTGAGCTCAAGTGATCCACCCTCCTCGGCCTCGCAAAATGCTGGGATTACAGGCATGAGCCATCCCACCCAGCCCATAGTCTTATTACTGAATCCAAGAGAGAATCCTGATAATTATATGTCTCTGTCTCAACAGATACATAACTGTATTTACTTTGGGAAAAAAAAATAAGGAAGTGAAAGATGCATTTTAATGAGAAAGAGGTGTCCGTTTTCATGCTCTGTAAGCTCCATGCAGACTGCTGAAGTCTTTGTTCCTTTGAACCCTAAATTGGTTATCACTTTCCATTCTGATAAAAATATGGATGAGGGCCAGGCACGGTGGCTTATGCCTCTAATCCCAACACTTTGGGAGGCCAAGGTGGGAGGATCACAACGTCTGGAGTTCGAGACCAGCTTGACCAATATGGTGAAACTCCGTCTCTACTAAAAATGCAAAAATTATTTGGGCATCGTGGCACGCACCTGTAATCCCAGCTACTCAGGAGGCTAAGCCAGGAGAATCGCTTGAACCCGGGCGGCGGAGGTTGCAGTGAGCCGAGATTGCGCCATTGCACTCCAGTCTGGGCAACAGAGTGAGACTCCGTCTAAAAAAAAAGGCTTGCTTCTACTGCTGAAAGCAATTTACCATCATGAAATAATGCACCACCACACCCAGCTAATTTTTGTATTTTCAGTAGGTTTCACCATGTTGGCCAGGCTTGTCTCAAACTCCTGGACTTAGTCATCCACCCACCTCAGGCTCTCAAAGCGCTGGGATTACGGGTGTAAGCCCCCACGCCCAGCCCCTCAGTGGTTTGTTATAAATCTGGGCTTTAGTTTTTATATACATATGAATACATATGCATATATTTTGCATATATATTTTTCTTTTCTTTCTTTCTTTTTTTTTTTTTCTTTTCTTGAGATGGAGTCTCACTCTGTCGCCCAGGCTAGAGTATAGTGGTGCAATTTCAGCTCACTGCAACCTCCACCTCCCAGGTTCAAGCAATTCTCCCTGCCTCAGCCTCCTGAGTAGCTGGGATTACAAGCATCCACCACCACCCCTGACTAATTTTTGTATTTTTAGTAGAAACGGGGTTTCACCATGTTGGACCAGGCTGGTCTCGAACTCCTGACCTCAGGTGATCCGCCCACCTCAGCTTCCCAAGGTGCTGGGATTACAGGCATAAGCCGCCAAGCCCAGACTATATTTTTCACATGTATGAAAATAATAAACCCTTCTTCTTTTAAAAATTTCTATAAATTTGCGATTAATGATACATGACTGGAAAGCAGGGAAAATACATAAAATTTGACATTAATTTATCCTATTTAACTTTTAATCAGTATTGGGCCTCCTGTCTCTAAATTAAAATTTGACACGGATTAATATCATTAGCCTAGTCTTAGAAAGCTGTAGAGAGAGAAACATCTTACATATTCACTCTATTTTGTCAATGCTAAAGTATTTTAAAGTGAATTAAAGCGTATGATTTCACCTTTGAGTATGTCAGCATACATGTCTAAAAAAACTTCCTGCATACCAAAATAACATGGTCATAAAAAAATGAATAATTCCTTAGTATCATCTAAAACCCCAGTCCATATACAAGTTTTTCCATTTATTCTCTAAAATGTTTTAGGACCACACTTTGCATCAGGTTGTTATGTCCCTATGTGTGCCTCAGCTGGAAAGCACAGCTTGAAACAAAATTTTATATGCTGCTACTTTATAGAGAGCGCAGTCCGAAGACAGCAGGAGTGAAGGAAAAGGGAAGTGGAGGAAAGGAAACTAGTAGAGTGAATTTGAGGGTGCTGTTCCAAACCGACCACCACTTATATCAAGGGTGACTGATTGTTCCTCTAGGGCCATCTTCTGAGAGGTTGGATGAACAAATGCCTTTCAGGAAAGTCAAGAAACAGGGAAGAATTTATCTGCTAGTTCTTGTTTCCTTTTGGCCAAAGATTTGCTCCTTGGGAGCACTTTCTCCCCTTACTTCTGAGTTACAAATGCAAGGGCACCCAGCAAGCAAAAGCATCTCAAGCCTCGTTGTCTCAGGAAAACTCTGGGCAGGACACAAGAGTTGAGAAGTGCTAGCAAACAGTGCAATGCTGTAGTGTGGTGCCCAGGTGAGATGGTGCTGATGTAGGTGTTCACACAGAACTGCTCTCTGTAGCTCTCTACAGCTGCTCTCTTGTTCTGAGTAAGAATAAGTGGCCAAAGATCACTTTGAAATAGTGAAGAAGTGGTATTGATATGCTCTTTAAATCTGGACTTGTCCCCTTCTTTTTTCCCACGACACTGACTTGCTAAAGAGATCAATGTAGAAAACACCATAGTCTGAATTGGTCTGATACTTTCTTCATGAATTCATTTAGCTTATTATTTGAACTTTGTATTTCCTGTAAACTGGAAATTCAGTGTAAATGTTTTCATAGATTCAAGTTAAAGATTTTTGGCTAGAATACAATGAATGATAGTGTACATTTTATCTCGCATCACATTAGGAAACACATACTATCTCATCCCACTAACAGTGATGCTAAAATTGACCACTGGAACAAGGTAATACCTAGTAATCTTAATAATAAACATTGACTATAAGAGTATATTAAACTATGTTTTAACTCATAATACAAAAATAAACATTTAAATCATTATGAAATATGAAAATAAACATTTAAATTAAACAGAAATTACAGCTAAAGAAATGTATAGTTCACTTTGGAAATCTAAGGTTCACTAACCCAGTAAAATTGAGTGATATTGCAGAATCATTGGCTAGTTTGTATCTGGTGGGAATGAGATGATGATAATATGATACACAATCATTTTCCTGGATTCATATCTGAACTATTATAGTAAGGGTTTTAGAAATCATATGGTATTCAATACACCAAAAATAATAGTATTTTATATATTATTATTATTATTATTATTATTTTGAGACAAAGTCTCGCTCTGTCGCCAGGCTGGAGTGCAGTGGCGCGATCTCGACTCACTGCAACCTCTGCCTCCCGGGTTCAAATGATTCCCCTGCCTCCACCTCCCAAGTAGCTAGGACTACAGGCATGCACCACCACGCCCAGCTAATTTTTTATATTTTAGAGACAGGGTTTCACCATGTTGGCGTGGCTGGTCTTGAACTCCTGACCTCATGATCCACCCGCCTTGGCCTCCTAAAGTGCTGGGATTATAGGCATAAGCCACCATGCCTGGCCTATTATTATTTTTTTTTAGAGACAGTCTTGTTCTGTTGCCCAGGCTAGAGTGCAGTGGTGTGATCATAGCTCACTGCAGCTTCAAACTTCTGAGCTCAAGTGAATCCTCCTCAGCCTCCGGAGTAGCTGCGACTACAGGTATGTACCACCACTCCCAGCTAATTTTTTTTTTTTTGAGACAGAGTCTCACTTCGTCACCCGGGCTGGAGTGCAATGGCACGATCTCAGCTGACTGCAACCTCCACCTCCCGGGTTCAAGTGATTCTCCTGCCTCAGCCTCCTGAGTAGCTGGGATTACAGGTGCATATCACCACGCCCAGCTAATTTTAATATTTTTAGTAGAGACGGGGTTTCATCATGTTGGTCAGGCTGGTCTCGAACTCCTGACCTCATGATCCACCCGCCTTGGCCTCCCAAAGTGCTGAGTGCAGTGAGCCACCACGCCCGGCCTAATTTTTGTATTTTTTTGTAGAGATGGGGGTCTCACTGTGTTGCCCAGGCTGATCTCAAACTCCTGGCCTCAAGTGATCTTCCTGCCTAGGACTCCCAAAGTGCTGGGATTACAGGCATGAGCAACCATGTCCATCCTCAATTTTTAAAATTCTAGGCATTATTCTAAGTCCTTTGCAGGTAGTAATTCATTTTATCTTCATAACAACGCTATGATGTTGAGATAGGTATTGTTACTTTTCCTTTTTTATGAATGCAGAACTTGGAGCAAAGATTTTTCTCTGTAATAGGAATGCTCTTCTCCCAGATATCTGCAAGGCTATTTCCTCATTTCCTTGAAAGTTTTGTTCAATACTACCTTCTTATTGATGCCTACCCTACTGTTACAAATTGAAATTCACCCCTTTTCCCAGTTCTTATCTGCCTTTCCTCGCTCTATTATTTTTTTCACTATAGCACTTATCACCTTCTGTAGTGGCTTTGTAATGTGCCTACTTGGCTAGGCTGAACTACATTTCCCAGAATTATCTTCCCTGTACATTCTCAAAGTGGGCCACAGAGACATTTTGCATGAGATGTGGAAAGCAGAAAGGGAGCAGCAACATATTGTCTTCACTCTCAGAAGGTCAGTGCAGGCTGGGCACAGTGGCTCACATCTGTAATCCCAGCACTTTGGGAGGCCGAGGAGGACAGATCACTTGAGGTCAGGAGTTCGAGACCAATCTGACCAACACGGTGAAACCCTGTCTCTACTAAAATACAAAAATTAGCCAGGCATGGTGGTGGACGCCTAGTAATCACAGCTATTCAGGAGGCAGAGGCCCTAGAATAGCTTGAACTTGGAAAGCAGAGGTTGCAGTGAGCCAAGATGGCGCCACTGCACTCCAGCCTCGGCGACAGAGTGACACTGACTCAAAAAAAAAAAAAAAAAAAGAGATCAGTGCAGAGGCACCAAGTGTCGTTGCACATTACACATGTGTTATTTATCTGCTGGCTTATCTCCTTGATGTGGGACAGAAGCTGCTGTAGCTCCCCACTGCCCACTTCAGCTTCTCTGCCTCCTGGGCCAGGTTCATGTTTAGCCTCATAACGAGGGGTGCCAGCTTCTGCAGGATACCCACATCATCACAGTCGGAGGTTGTGAGACTGAACAACAGGTGGATTCCAGCTTGTGTTTGTGAATTCCAATTTTTTGTTGCTAGAGCAAATCACAACTAAGCCCCCTATTTAGAATGATTCTCTAGGGGACAGATTTATTACGTTGGACCACCCCCATCACGGAAGGGGCAGCACTTTGTTCTCACTGGAACAGATACTCTTTATAGGGATTTTCTCTCCCTGCACGTAGAGGTTATGCCAAAACCACCATCCACAAATTTACGGAGTGACTTATCCACAATCATGGTATTCCATATAGCATCACTTCTGATGCAGGAAGTCTTTTTGTTTGTTTGTTTTGTTTTTTGTTTTGAGACACAGTCTTACTCTGTCACCTAGGCTGCAATGCAGTGGCGGCATCTTGGCTCACTGCAACCTCCACCTCCCAGGTTCAAGTGATTCTCCTGCCTCAGCCTCCCGAGTAGCTGGGATTACAGGCACACATCACCATGCCTGGCTAATTTTTTGTATTTTTAGTAGAGACAGGGTTTCACCATGTTGGCCAGGCTAGTCTCGAACTCCTGACCTCAAGTGATCTGCCCACCTTGGCCTCCCAAAGTGCTGGGATTACAGGTGTGAGCCACCGTACCCAGCCTAGGAAGTTTTTGCATAGAAATGAAATACAGCAATGGAACTATGCTTATATTAATAAAATTCACCAGTCTTACCCTGTCACCCTCATCCTAAAGCCACTGGCCTGATGGAAAGGTGGAATGGCTTTTTGAAGACTCATTTATGGCACCAGCTAAGTGTCATATGGCATACATTGTGAGGCCTAGACAATGTCCTCCAGGATGTAGTATATGCTCTAAATCAGAAAATAACATAGGTCAGATGCAGTGGTTCATGCCTGTAATCCCAACACTTTGAGAGGCCAAGGTGGGAGGATCACTTGTGGCTAGGAGTTTGAGACCAGCCTAGGCAACATAGCAAAACCCTGTTTCTAAAAAAAAAAAAAAAAAATTAATAATAAATAAATAAATAAATAAATAAAAGGAAAAGAAAATAACATAGATGGTGCTCTTTCTTCTACAGCCAGGATTCATGGGTCTGGGAATTAAGGTGGTGGTGAGTTTGGACATGGCTCCTTTCATTATTATTCTTAATGATCTACTAGGAAACTTTTTTTGCCTCCTATCCCTGAGAATTTGAGATCTGCTAGCTTGGAGGACTTAGTTCCCAAAGTAGGATGCTTCCACTAGAGGACATAGCAATTGTTCCACTAAACTGAAAGTTGAGACTGCCACATGGTCACTTTGGGCTCATCATGCCAATGAATCAACAGACAAAATAGAAGGTAACTGTTCTGACTACCTAGAGTGATTGGTTCTGATCACCAGGGGAAAACTGGGTTGCTTCTACACAATGGGGATAAGGAAAAGTATGTCTGGAATGTGGGTGATCCCTGGAGTGCTGTTAATATCCCATGTCCTGTGATTAAAGTCAAGGGAGAAACCCTAACAACCCAATTCAGAGGGGACTGCTAATGATCCAGACCCTTCAGAAATGAAGATTTGGGATACCCCACCAGTCAAGGAACCATGACCAGATGAGGTGCTTGCTAAGGGCAAAGGGTCTATGGTATGGATAGTAATTATAAATATCTGCTATGACTAGGTGACCATAAGTAAAAATGAGGACCATAATAGTTATCAGTATTGTTTGTTTGTTTTGTTTTGAGACAGGGTCTTTCTCTGTTGCCCAGGCTGGAGTGCAGTGTTGTAATCTCAGCTCACTGGAACTTCTGCCTCCCAGTCTCAAGTTATCCTCCCACCTCAGCCTCCCAAGCAGCTGCGCCACCACATTCGGCTAGTTTTTTATATTTTTGGTAGAGACAGTGTTTCCCCATGTTGCCCAGGCTGGTCTCAAACTCCTGACCTCAAGCAGTCCACCTACCTCAGCCTCCCAAAATGCTGGGATTACAGGCGTGAGCCACTGTGCCTGGACTAGTTGTCAGATGAACTGAGAAACTGCTCTAGCTACATTAGTAATTACACAAACCTCTGAATGCTTTATAGAGTTTACCTATTACTGAAATTATTCTGGAATTTCCATTTCCAAACAAAATAAAAAAAAATTTATTTTATTGTGATGATTTCCAAACAAAAACAAAAATAATTTTTAAAGTTTACTTTTTTATTAGTTCAAGCACATTACATAATATTAAAATGAACCAACTAAATGTTGCCCACTAGAGATTTTGATTTAATATTTCACACATTCAAAATTAGCCCATCGGTCAGGAACAGTGGCTCATGCCTGTAATCTCAGCATTTTGGGAGGCCTAGGCAGGTGGATCGCTTAAGTCCGGGAATTTGAAACCAGCCTGGGCTACTTGGTGAAATCCCATCTCTATGAAAAGAAAAAAGCCAGGAGTGGTGTTGCGTGCCAGTAGTCCCAGCTATGTGGGAGGCTGAGGCAGGAGAATCTCTTGAACCCGGAATGTAGAGGTTGCAGTGAGTCGAGATCATGCCGTTGCCCTCCAGCCTGGGCAACAAGAGTGAAACTCTGTCTCACACACACACACACACACACACACACACACACACACACACACACACCAAAAAAAAAAAAAAAAAAAGCCAGGCACGGTGGCTCATGCCTGTAATCCCAGCACACTTTGGGAGACTGAGGGGGGCAGAGATCACAAGGTCAGGAGTTTAAGACCAGCCTGACCAACATGGAGAAACCCCGTCTCTACTAAAAATACAGAAATTAGCCGAGTGCGTTGGCATGCACCTGTAATCTCAGCTACACAGGAGGCTGAGGCAGGAGAATTGCTTGAACTCGGGAGGCGAAGGTTGCAATGAGCGGCGATTGCGCCACTGCACTCCAGCCTGGGCAACAGAGCGAGACTCCGTCTCAAAAAACACAAAACAAAACAAACAAGCAAACAAAAAACTAGCACATCCAGGCACAGCTGAGGCAGTGATTGTTTCCTGTTAGTATTGATAGCTCTTTGTAAATATCCTCAACACAATACTTATCACCTTATAGTCATTTGTTCACTGATATAGTTCCCAGGCTAGACTACAGTCTATAAAGGCATTTTGTTGTTGTTTTTGAGACAGAGTCTGGCTCTGCTGCCCAAGCTGGAGTGCAATGGCACGATCTGGGCACACTGCAACCTTCATCTCCCAGGTTCAAACAATTCTCCCACCTTAGCCTCCCAAGTAGCTGGGATTACAGGCACACACCACCATGCCAGATTAACTTTTGTAGTTTTTTTTTTTTTTAATAGAGGTGGGGTTTCACCATATTGCCAGGCTGGTCTCAAACTCCTGACGTCAAGTGATCTGCCTGCCTCAGCCTCCCAAAGTGCTAGGATTGCAGGTGTGAGCCACTGCACCCAGCCCATAAAGACATTTTTTTCTTTTTATATCAAGAGTTCAGCTAATGTCCAGGTCCTAGAAATACATTATCTGTGGAAAAAATAAGTTTTCATTATGTGTGGTTGTATAAATGAATGAACAGTGCATGTGTATAAATGAGTAATTCTAAAGTTACTAAAAACTGAGGACTGTAAGTAAACAGTCTTAGAGTCATTTAAGAAAGGTGTAGCGGCTGGGCGCGGTGGCTCACGCCTGTAATCCCAGCACTTTGGGAGGCTGAGGTGGGTGGATCATCTGAGGTCAGGAGCTCGAGACCAGCCTGGCCAACATGGAGAAACCCCATCTCTACTAAAGATACAAAAAAAATTAGCCAGGCATGGTGGCACATGCCTGTAATCCCAGATACTCGGGAGGCTGAGGCAGGAGAATTGCTTGAACCCAGGAGGCGGAGGTTGCGGCGAGCCAAGATTGCGCCACTGCACTCCAGACTGGGCAACAAGAGCGAAACTCCGCCTCAAAAAAAAAAAAAAGAAAAAAAAGAAAGGTGTAATGGCCAGGCACGGTGGCTCACGCCTGTAATCCCAGCACTTTGGGAGGCCGAGACTGGCGGATCACCTGAGGTCAGGAGTTCGAGACCAGCCTAGCCAACATGGTGAAACTCTGTCTCCACTAAAAATACAAAAAAAATTAGCCGAGCGTGGTAGTGGGTGCCTGTAATCCCAGCTACTCGGGAGGCTGAGGCAGGAGAATCGCTTGAACCAGGGAGGTGGAGGTTGTAGTGAGCCGAGATTATGCCATGGCGCTCCAGCCTGGGTGATGGAGTGAGAATCCACCTAAAAAAAAAAAAAGAAAGAAAAAAGAAAAAAAAGAAAGGTATAGAAAGGTATAATGAAAAGAATTTTGGAATTAAATTAAAGAGATGGGGATTTGAAAGCTGGGTTTGCAACTTATTATTTTTTTTTCTGAGACAGAGTTTTACTCTGTCACCCAGGCTGGAGTGCAGTGGTATGATCTCAGCTCACTGCAACCTCCACCTCCCAAGTTCAAGCAATCCTCTTGCCTCAGCCTCCCAAAATAGCTGGTCTTGAACTCCTGACCATAGGTGATCTGACCGCCTCGGCCTTGCAACTTATTATTAAGCATTAAGCACCTCACTTAAGAGTCTCAGAGGCTGGGCGTGGTGGCTCACACCTGTAATCCCAGCACTTTGGGAGGCTGAGGTGGGCGGATCACCTGAGGTCAGGAGTTCGAGACCAGCCTGGCCAACATGGTGAAACCCCGTCTCTACTAAAAATAGAAAAATTAGCCAGGCATGGTGGTGTGTGCCTGTAATACCAGCTACTCGGGAGGCTGAGGCAGGGAGAATTGCTGGAACCTGGGAGTTGGAGGTTGCAGTGAGCCGAGATTGCGCCACTGCACTCCAGCCTGGGCAACAGAGTGAGAATCCGTCTCAAAAAAAAAAAAAAAAACTCTCAGATCTCAAGTTCCTCTTTTGCAAAACGAGATAATACCTTGCAGTGTATATACATATATATATATATATATATAGTTTGTATATACTGTGTGTGTATATATACACACTGCAAGATATCTCATTTTGCAATATATATACATATATATATATTTTTTTTTTTTTTTGAGACAGGGTCTTACTTTGTTGCCCAAGCTGGAGTGCAGTGGCACAATGATGGCTCACTGCAGCCTTGATCTCCTGGGTTCGCATAATCCTCCCACCTCAGCTCCCTGAGTAGCTGGGAATACAGGCACAAGCCACCATGCCTGACTAATATTTAATTTTTTGTAGAGACAGGGGAGCAGGGGGTCTCGCTTGTTGCCAAAGCTGGCCTTGAACTCAAGCAATCCACCTGCCTTGGCCTCCCAAAGTGCTGGGATTGCAGGAATGAGCCACAACGCCCTACTTTATCTTGCAGTATTGTTATGAGGATTAGAGATCATTTACACAATCAACACAGTGCTGAGCTCAGAATAGGTGCTCTATTACTATTTACTACATGTATCCAGGAATAATTCAACTAAACAAGTCCTTATATATGAATTATGACAATTTCTCTATTCATTGAGTTTATTATAATTTATTTAGAAAACAGAAAGCAATGTATGACACTCTGGTTCATAGCTGGATTTTTTAAAAACTTAGGCTGTTCTTATAAACCTAGGGCAAGTCCCTCAAACTTTGAGTCTTGAGAAGTCCTCAACTATAAAATTATTAGCTCAATACCTGTCCTGTCTATATCACAGGATGGTTAGAAGAATCAAATATGCAAATGAATTTTGTAAATTGTAAAGTGCTAAACAAATCCTAATTGTTTTTATATCTTCAATCTGAGTGCTTCAACTATAATTATAAGAATATATATGTATTTTTTTGAGACGGAGTCTTGCTCTGTCACCCAGGCTGGAGTGCAGTGGCGTGACCTCAGCTCACTGCAACCTCCTGCTCCTGGGTTTAAGCAATTCCCCTGCCTCAGCCTCCAGAGTAGCTGGGACAATAGACGGCCAGCTAATTTTTTGTATTTTTAGTAGAGACGGGGTTTCACCATGTTAGCCAGGATGGTCTCGATCTCCTGACCTCATGATCTGCCTGCCCCAGCCTCCCCAAGTGCTGGGATGACAGATGTGAGCCACTGCGCCCGGCCAAGAATATTTTTTTAAATCACTGCATTATACCTTAATGCACTTTTGCTCCCTTGTCTATTTTCTATAGTTTAAAGTGAACTAAAACTTGCCACTTAATTCACAAAGCTATCACGAGGCCTGATGACCTAATGTTTATATAAATTTAAACATTTAGGGCACTGGGCATTTGCGTCAGAGTGACTTACCATCAGTCACTGTGGAACTTTGAAAGATCAATTAACCAATTATAATAGTAGGTAAAATAATTTTGTGTAAATAGTTACCATCTAACAAGGCTCCTTAATTTCTTTTATAAACTTTGAGAGGTCTGCTCTGAGTGGTATGCCAGGAGTAAAGTCTTATCCTAAGAGACATAGACATTCCAATTGCCAAGAAGTTTTTTTGTTTGTTTTGAGACAGAGTCTCACTCTGTCGCCCAGGCTGGAGTGCAGTGGCGCGATCTCGGCTCACTGCAACCTCCGCCGCCTGGGTTCAAGCGATTCTCCTGCCTCAGGCTACTGAGTGGCTGGGATTACAGGCATGCGCCATCATGCCCGGCTAAACTTTTTGTATTTTTAGTAGAGATGGGGTTTCACCATTGCCGACAAGTTTTAAAGGCAAACTGTTATGTGTTGTTCTGTACTCATTATCATAGTTCTGTTCATTGAAAACTCACTGTTGTTTAAGTAGACTTAAAAACTTTCACAACGTCAGTGACACATTTCAACAGGTACCTAATGTGTCACTGGCTTTTCCCATAACCTTTCCCTTAGAGACTTTAGGGCAAGAGCCGTTCATATGAACAAACTGTGATGGGCCTAGGCAGGATGGGAACATTGACTCTGTGTTTACGTGAGGTGGGGAAGTCATGTGGGGTTTTTTTGTTGTTGATGTTTGTTTCTTTTTATGTGGCTTCATAGTTAACAGTTTCTGAACTTAGCTGCACATCGAAATCACCCAGGAATCCACCCCAGACCTCTTGTGACAAATAATACAAGGAGGAATCCTAAAAACAGTATTTTGAACAAATTCCAGGTCCTTCTCATGTAATCAACCAAGGCTCTCTGTCTGTGGACTGCTGGGAATCTCTGGTTCACCCTGCCTTAGTGTTGCCTCCCTCTTCTCTATTTTTAGTGCTTTCTCCTTTGCTAGTGGTTCTGTATTTCCCACGGTCCCCAATGTCAGGACAAAATCTATCTGATATGTTGTTAACACCCTAGTGTGGCTTCATTTAATGTGCTATTTCTTCAGAAATGCTAATGGTGGGATTTGAGACTCTATGACAGCTTGGGGTGGGGGTGGTTGAGGGAGGAAAGGCTTTGCTTCCTGGTCCCACAAATGACATTACTTAGGGAATAGCTTCTTTTTACCTATCCATAAAGTCGGTCCTACATATGCATCATTATACAGAAATGCATTTCAGGAAGACAGCACGAAGGAAGTCAATGGAAAATCTGGATGGCATCTGGAATCTTAACTTGCAAGTCCCTATTAAACAAAATTTCCTAGTTTTCTTTTTTTCTTCTTCCTTTTTAAATTAGAGCATACGTGAGAAAGTTTTTTTTCAAGAATAGAGGATTTCTCTCACTGGAATTATTCAACACAGTCTGGATCCTAATTTAGCAGGGACATTTTAAAGAAGATTAAACATTGGATTTGAATTTTTAAATAATCCTTAATATTTTTTCTGTCCCAAAGACTTTATGGTCCTCTGACATAGCAAAAGTTATTTTTTTGATTAGGCATTTCTCCAGTTGATGACAAGTAGGAATAAAGCCTTTACTTTTGACACATGTCTGCTAGCTGCTTTAGTTTGACCTGTACCTGGGAGTTCCTGCCCAAGGCTACCATAAGACTTAGAAAAGACCCTTTTCAGGAGAGTAGGATTTCCATAGGAGTCCAAACAGCTCTTGAAATTGCTCTCTTGGCCCAGGCTCTGCTCTTTTGTCCTGTGAATTATTGCATTAGTTCCCTAATCAACTCTGGTCTCTTGTCTTCCTACAATCCCTCCTTCAAATTATTGCCAGAGTTAAATTTATTTGTTTATTTATTTTTCTTGAGATAGGTCTCACTCTGTCACTCAAGCTGGAGTGCAGTGGTGTGATCATAGCTCACTGTACCCCTGACCTCCTGGGCTCAATCAATCCTCCCACCTCAGCCTCCTTAGTAGCTGGAACTACAGGCATGTGCCACCACACCTGGCTAATTATTTCATTTTTTGTAGAGATTGGTCTTGCTATGTTGCCCAGACTGGTCTCAAATTCCTGGGCTCAAACGATCCTCCTGCCTCGGCCTGGCAAAGTGCTGGGATTGTAGGCAAGAGCCACCATGTTCAGCACAGAGTTGAATTTCTAAATTTAAATGTGTTTATGTTACCTTCCTATTTCAGTGGGCACCCTATCTTCTTCCAGATGCAGTTCAAGTTCCTTAAGATGCATTCACCCAGTGCACCCAAACCTTTTTAATGCTCTCATTTCCATCAGACTTTCCAAAATTCTCATTATGTTAGTATTCCTGCTATAAACCATCTGCAATTCCTTGAATTCTCCAAGTCTTCATGCCTCTGGGGTTTTGCAAAAACTGTTCCCTCTGCCTGGGACAGGAGTCCCTCCTTCATTTTGTTTCTTTATTGATTTCTTCAAGAACCAATTTTCAAGAACCAATCATTACGATATGGAGCCTGGTTTCAAATGTAGTGGGGAACCAATACTGTACTTATTAAATGTGGTACATAAGAAATAAGCACCTCCAAGATCTTTTCACAGTGATAATTCTCATTCCTCTGATATCCTTCAGATCAGTAGGGTATATTCTGCTCTAGACCCTAGGATATGCTTCAAGAGGCCTCTCAGAGCTTAACTTGCAGCTTAGTGTTTTCTTTTTCCACATAATTTTTTTTCTTTTTTTTTTTTTGAGACAGAGTTTCACTCTTGTCATCCAGGCTGTAATGCAATGGCTCAATCTTGGTTCACTGCAACTTCCATCTCCTGGGTTCAAGCGATTCTCATGCCTCAGCCTCCCAAGTAGCTGGGATTACAGGCACGTGCCACCACACCCAGCTAATTTTTGTATTTTTTGGTAGAGATGAAGTTTCACCACGTTGGCCAGGCTGGTCTCAAACTCCTGACCTCAGGTGATCTGCCCACCTCGGCCTTCCAAAGCACTAGGATTACAGGCGTGAGCCACCATGCCTGGCCTTTTCACAGAATTTTTTTCCAAAGAAAATTTATTTTCCCGGGAGTCAGCTGCCTTAAATCCTTTCAGAACCAAGACAGTTTAAAACAAATAAATATTCAGGTAGAATTGGAGTGGGAAAACATACAAATACAAATACCATTTCCTTTAAACAATATCTAAGAAAATAATAGTCACCACTTATTAGATTCCTCTATTTGGTAGATCTATGTGCTATATTTACCTATATTGCCTTTACTGCCTTATCACTTTCTGCATTTACAAAATCACCTTCCTATGTGCTCTACCAAATAGAGCTACTTGGTTCTTCCTATGTGTCAGGTAGCTCACTAGCTCCACCAAATACAAGCTGGTGAGATACCTAGCACATAGGAAGAAACTAATATCATCTCCATTTTTATAAGTTAGGAAAACAAAGCTCAGAGAGATAAATAGCTTGACCAATATCACCATATAGCTAGACAGTGACATAGCTAGGATTTTATCAAAGTGTCTGACTCTGAAGTCTTATGTTTTCCTAAGTCATGGTGTTAAAGAAGGGGAGAAATTATTCCAAATACCATAGCCAATTTACCTTTCCCTTCATGCCTTGTTTCTTTTCTTTTTTTTTTTTTGAGATGGAGTCTTGCTCTGTCACCCAGGCTGGAGTGCAGTGGCACAATCTCAGCTCACTGCAACCTCCGCCTCCTGGGTTCAAGCGATTCTTCTGCCTCAGCCTTTCGAATAGCTGGGACTACAGGTGCGTGCCACCATGCCCAGCTAATTTTTGTATTTTTAGTAGATACGGGGTTTCACCGTGTTGGCCAGGATGGTCTCCATTTGTTGACCTTGTGATCCGCCCGTCTTGGCCTCCCAAAGTGTTGGGATTACAGGCGTGAGCTACCGCACCCGGCCCCTTCATGCCTTTTTTCCTAATGTCCTTGTTTCCTGTGACACAGTCTCTCTTTGTCTATTGTGCTTCCTTTTCCTTTTGCTCTCAATTTAGGAACACACTGGCTTCCGAATATCCTTTCACAGTAGAAAACTTGTCAAAATCCCGAATACAGCAGAATTACCAAGTTTAAAAGTGATGAAACATGGCACAGATCATATCTGAAGGAATATGCAAGAAACCGGTAACAGTATCTTTGAGGAGAATGGGATAACTAGGGGACTGTTGTTAGAGACAAGCCATATCCTATGTGTATGTGCATGCATGCACATGCATGTACATGTATGCATATATAATTTTGCAGTTTCACTTTTTTCTTTTTATACTATGTTCATGTGTTACCTATTTAAAAGAGGTGATTAGGCCAGGTGCGGGGCTCATGCCTGTAATCCTAACACTTTGGGAGGCTTAGGAGGGCAGATTGCCTGAGCTCAGGAGTTCAAGACCAGCCTAGGCAACAAGGTGAAACTCCGTCTCTACTAAAATACAAAAAAGTAGCTGGGTGTGATGGTGCGGGCCTGTAATCCCAGCTACTAGAGAGGCTGAGGCATGAGAATCGCTTGAACGCGGGAGGCGGAGGTTGCAGTGAGCCAAGATCGCACCACTGCACTCCAGCTTGGGTGACACAGTAAGACTCTCTCTCAAAAAAAGAGAGAGGTGATTATTCAGAATGATGCCTTTTATGAAAGAGTTCAGGGATATTTTGTATCTTGTGTGTGTCAGTGAATACTCTGTACCTTGGGCTCTGGTTACACTCTATCTTTTGCCATCTTAGGAAAAACTAGCTGATGCCACTACTTCTCAGTATCTGGATAGTAAACAACAAAAACAAAAACCTACCACCTTATCTTAGTAAGTATGCCAGAAGATGCCATAGCCTATGCTTCCACTTTCTAAATGTCCTCAGTGTGAACATTTAGTCAGAGTAGTACCGACTTAGCATTCATAGAAAATTCTGTTTTGTGACTGCCTCATCTACCTGGAGTAAATCAATTCCTTATCATAATCATGTTGACATTGTATTCTGAGAACTCTCTCAGGAATGCTGTTCACATTTCCAGTCTTGTTCATTTTTAAACATTTGCCATGGGGAAAAATGTGCTATTAATATGAAATAATCCTTTCATTTTGATTGAAGTTACTATTTCTTGACAGGACATTTTATTTCAATAACTAATCAGCTCACTCTTTCCCAGAGACCTGTTTTAACAAGCAAATTTTAACAAATGAAAAAGTTGCAGTATTTAGAGCTATATTCATCTGTTATGTGTCCATCATAAATAGGTACATTTTATTCTCTCACAGAAGAGTTTTCCAAATACAGTCCATGGGAGAAAGATAAAAATTGGTTGGCATGGACTTGTTAATCATGAATATAGCCCAACTGACGAAGCTAACCTAAGAAAAACATCACTGCAGCGAAAGACAAATTTTGAATTTGTGGCTCTAAGTGGATTCGTTTTCCTGTCAGATAAAATGAGGCAGTGATGGTGGTGAGAAAATGCCCCTCTTTGTCTTTCCTTGGAAATAACTGGTAGCCTCAATTCCTGAACTTCTGTTGTATCTACTCAACCTAATAAACTTTTTCCTTTAATCTTGGATGATGAATAGCACCTTAGTCACAGGTTACACAAATGGGCACCATTTATTTATGGTACTTGACTTCAATTCCTTTTCCTTTTGCTACCCTAGGCTTATTGACGTCTATGGGTTCACGATTTTTTGCTTCTTTCAAATGCAAAGAAGACTGTGGGGTGGGACCCTTTGAGATGAACTCAGCCTCACTGCATATCAGAAGAAAAGTATGTTCACCTCTAAGAATTAAGGGGCATGGACAATAAAATGAGTCCCCTACTTATTTCTTACTAATCAGAACAATTATCCCCTTCCAGCTCGTCTTCTAGCTCATGATAATGTGCCCTTTAGAGCTTTGAGCGCACCTTCTGAACATTCTTTCCTAAAGATGGGAGGTGATTGTTTCTTTCCTTCCTTCTCCTTACAGTCCCCTAAATCTAGAGTG
Organism: Homo sapiens; assembly: GCF_000001405.40. Lineage (NCBI taxonomy): Eukaryota > Metazoa > Chordata > Mammalia > Primates > Hominidae > Homo > Homo sapiens. Next base: position 70,858,237 of record NC_000004.12, on the reverse strand, counting down.
TTTCTACCAATTTAGACTAGCTCTACCTCAGAAAGTGTCAGAGAAGAAGGCTGACAACCTGTCAGTGGTACTCTGTATACAGTACTATAATAAGGACCTGTTTTAGGATTACTTTGTTATAGAGAAGGTGGAGGAGTTCTCTCCTATTTAAAGCCAACCTCTGCCAACTGAGTTTTGATGCTGTCCTTTTCCACCTTTCTGGGAAACCACACATCAATTATGCTTATTTCTCCTCATTACTTAGTCCTCATCAACTGAACCCTTCCCAACACCACTTCAACAATGCTCTCATCTCACCAAATTTAATACAAACTAATCTAAACAAAGTAAAACAAAATCCACATTAGACCTATATTTCCTTTACTGCCTTATCCCTTTCTGCATTTACAAAATCAAACTTTTATTTTTTTCTACTTTCATCTCCATTTCCTCACCTCTGCTTTATTCTGGTTTCTGCTATCACTACTCCAAGAATAATGTCCTCCACAGGACATTATTAATTATTTGTGGAGTTTTTTGTTTGTTTGTTTTTGAGACAGAGTTTTGCTTTTGTTGCCCAGGCTGGGGTGCAATGGCATGATCTCGGCTCACTGCAGCCTCTGCCTCCCGATTCTCCTGCCTCAACCTCCCGAGTAGCTGGGAATACAGGCGCTTGCCACCATGCCTGGCTAATTTTTTGTATTTTTAGTAGAGATGGTGTTTCACCATGTTAGCCAGGCTGGTCTCGAGCTCCTGGCCTCAGGTGATCTGCCCGCCTCGGCCTCCCAACGTGCTGGGATTACAGGCATGAGCCACCGTGTCCGGCCTCAATTATTATTATTACTATTTTGATACAGGGTGTCACTCTGTTGCCCAGGCTGGAGTGCAGTGGCATGATCTCAATTCACTGCAACCTCCACTTCCTGGGCACAGGTGATCCTCCCACCTCAACCTCCATAGTAGCTGGGACCACAGGTGTATGCCACCACTTGGCTAATTTTTGTATTTTTTGTAGAGACAGGGTTTCACCATGTTGCCCAGGCTGGTCTCGAACTCCTGGGCTCAAGCAGTCCACCTGCCTCAGCCTCCTAAAGTGCTAGGATTACAGGCGTGAGCCACCATGCCCAGCCCTCCATAGGGCATTAAATGCTTGAGTACCTCAAGTCTGGTTTCTAGGCCTTTTTCTCTTCTTACTCTAAACTTGGTCTTAGGCAACCTCATCTAAACCAACAACTTCATTTATACTGACAACTCTCAAATGAATAGTTCCAGGGCAGACTTCTCTGGTTTAACACAAATTGAATTTAACACAAAATGGGGTTGGTTTGCTTCCAGTATATCTGTTTGTTCTAAACTTTCCTGGAAATGAAAATCATCCCCATCCACTCCACCCAACTCCAAACAAGAGTAAAATAACAGGAAACACTACCCCCTCAAACAAGCCCCAAGTCCTGTTGATTCTACCTCTGAAAAAAAAATTTCACAAATCTTTCCTCTTCTCTTCATCTCCATTGCTACCATACTAGTCAAAAATTGTCTCTCAATGTAAGACTTTTGTCCAAGAGAGCCTTTTCACTTCCATAATAAAGAATTAAATAACTAGCACTAAAGAAGGTTAATTATGGCTATCTGGGCTTAAAACAATAATAACACCGGCTGGGCACAGTGGCTTAGGCCTGTAATCCCAGCACTTTGGGAGGCGGAGGCAGGCGGATTACTTGAGGTCAAAAGTTAGAGACCAGCCTGGCCAACATGGTGAAACCCCGTCTGTACTAAAAATACAAAAATTAGCCAGGCATGGTGTTGTGCACTTGTAATTCCAGCTACTAGGGAGGCTAAGGCATGAGAATCATTTGAACCCACAAGGCAGAGGTTGCAGTGAGCCGAGATTGTGCCACTGCCCTCCAGCCTAGGTGAAAGAGTGAGACTCTGTCTCAAAAATAAATAAATAAAACAATAATAATAACACAATTTTTTTTTTGAGATGGAGTTTCGCTCTTGTTGTCCAGGCTGGAGTACAACGGAGCAATCTTGGCTCACTGCAACCTCCGTCTCCCAGGTTCAAGCAATTCTCCTGCCTCAGTCTCCCAAGTAGTTGGAATTACAGGCACCCACCACCATGCCCGGCTAATTTTGTATTTTTAGTAGAGACGAGGTTTCACCATGTTTGGCAGGCTGGTCTCAAACTCCTGACCTCAGGTGATCCGCCCACCTCGGCCTCCCAAAGTGCTGGGATTACAGGCGTGAGCCACCGCACCCGGCCAGTAACACAATTTTTAAAACCTGGCATTTCATAAGTTAAATCTAGACATACATATATAGGCATACCATGCAGATATTGCAGGTTTGGTTCCAGATCACTGCAATAAAGTGAATATTGCAATAAAGTGAATATCGCAATAAAGTGAGTTACACACATTTTTTGGTTTCCAGTGCATATAAAAATTATGTTTTTACTATACTATTGTTTATTAAGTGTACAATAGCATATGCATAAAAAAGTACCTTCATTAAAGAATATTTTATTGCTAATGAATGCTAACAATTATCTGACCCTTCAGTGAGTCATAATCTTTTTGCTGGTAGAGGGACTTATCTTTGATGTTGATGGCTGCTGACTCATCAGTATGGTGGTTGCTGAAGGTTGGGGTGGCTGACGCAAATTCTTAAGATAGGGCAACAATTAAGTTTGCTACACTGATTCTGTTTCATAAATGAAAGATCTGTCCTTTATGCAATGATGTTTGATAGCCTTTTACACACAGTGGAATTTCTTTCAAAATTGGAGTCAATCCTCTCAAACTCTTACCACTGCTTTATCAACTAAGTTTAGGTAATATTCTGTTTTTTCCTATTTATTTATTTTATATGTAATATTCTAAATCCTTTATTGTCATTTCAACAATGTTCACAGTATCTTCACCAGAGGCTGCAGTTTCTTGAGATAGAATCCTCAAAAAAACACTTTATTTGCTCATGTTTAAGAAACTACTCCTTATCCATTCAAGTTGGATCATGAGGTTGTAGCAATTCATTCACATCTTCAGGCTCCACTTCTAATTCTAGTTCTGTTTCCACCATCTTTGCAGTTACTTTCTTCACTAAAGACTTAAACCCCTCAAAATTGTCCATAAGTGTTTGGAACCAAGTTCTTCCAAATTCCTGTTAACATTGATATTTTGACCTCCTCCCATGAATCACAAATGTTCCTAAAGGCATCTCGAATGGTGGATCCTTTCCAGAAGGTTTTCAATGTACTTTGCACAGATCTATCAAAGGAATCACTGTTTATGGCAGCTATAGCCTTACAAAATGTATTTCTTAACTACTAAGACTTGAAAATCTAAGTTACTCCTTGATCCATGAGCTGTAGAATGAGTATTGTGTTAGTAGGCATGAAAACAACATTCATCTCCTTGTACATCTCCATTAGAGCTGTTGGGTAACCAGGTGCATTGTCAAGGAGCAGTAATATTTTGAAAGGAAACTTTTTTCCTGAGCAACAGATCTCAACAGTGGGCTTAAAATATTCAGTAAACCATGCTGTAAACAGATGTGCTGTCATTCAAGCTTTGCAGCTTCATTTATAGAGCACAGGCAGAACACATTTAGCATAATTCTACAGGGCCCGAGGATTTTCAGAATGGTAAACGAACATTGGCTTCAACTTAAAATCACCAGCTGCATTAGCCCCTAACAAGAGTCAGCATGTCCCTTGAAGCTTTGAAGCCAGGCCGTGACTTCTCATTTCTAGCAATGAAAGTCCTGCATGTCATCTTCTTCCCATATAAGGCTGTTTCATCTACAGTGGAAATCTGTTTAGTGGGTTCATCTTCATTGATTATTATGCTAGATCTTCTGGATAGCTTGCTACAGCTTCTCCATCAGCACTTGCTGCTTCACCTTGCACTTTTACATGACAGAGACAGCTTCTTTCCTTAAGCCTCATGAACCACCTCTGCCTAGCTTCAAACTTTTCTTCTGCAGCTTTCCAACCTCTCTTAGCCTTTATAGAACTGAAGAGAGTTAAGGCCTTCCTCTGGGTTCGGCTTTGGCTTAAGGGAAGGTTGTGACTGGTTTGATCTTCTATCCGGACCACTCAAATTTCCCCGTATCAACAATAAAGCTGTTTTGCTTTTTTTTTTTTTTAATCATTCATGTGTTCACTGGAGTAATACTTCTAATTTCCTTCAAGAACTTTTCCTTTGCATTCACAACTTGGCTAACTGATGCAAGAGGCTTAGCTTTCGGCCTGTCTCAGCTTTTGACATGCCCCCTTCCTCAATAAGCTTAATTGTTTCTAGCTTTTAATTTAAAGTAAGAGATGTATGACTCCTCCTTTCATTTGAACACTTAGAGGCCACTGTAGGGTAATTAATTGGCTTAATTTCAATATCACTGTGTTGCAGGAAATAAGGAGGCCCGAGGAAAGGGAGACAGACAGAGAAACGGCCACTCAACGGAGCAGTCAGAACACACACTACTTTTTACTGCAATAAAGCGAAACACAATAAAATGAGGTATGCCTGTATTTAAACAATACTTTGATATCTAATCTGAAAACATATTATATCCCTGAATTCACAGGGCATAGCACAGTGCCTGGAACACAAAAAGCACTTAATAAATTTTGTTAGATAAATGAATAATTGTTCAAAGTTAGTTTCTTTTCTCCTTTATACTCTCCCCAACTTCCTCTAAGTAAAAATTAAAACTTTCTGTTTTAATGCTTAGGTGTTACTCCTTTCAAAAGTCAAAATTACAATAAATTTAGTTTAAAGATCTTAATTGGCTTTTTGTGTGTGTGTGATTCATTCCATAAAACCAAACTCCTTTGCTCCAATGAGCCGAGCAAAGGAATTTGGCTTTATAGAGAGAAATAAGCTGAGGAGGCCGGGCATGGTGGCTCACATTTGTAATTCCAGCACTTTGGGAGGCCAAGGACGGTGGATCACTGGAGGTCAGGAGTTTGAGACCAGCCAGGTCAACATGGCAAAACCCTGTATCTACTAAAGACACAAAAATTAGCTGGGCATGTGCCTGTAATTCCAGCTACTTGGGAGGCTGAAGCAGGAGAATCGCTCAAACCTGAGAAGCGGAGGCTGCAGTGAGCTGAGATTGTGCCACTGCACTCCAACCTGAGCAACAGAGTAATATTGTCTCAAAAAAAAAAAAAAAAAAGAAAGAAAGAAATGGGCCGAGGAAAGCAGAAACAGAACAAAAAGTAGATTGGTCATTTCGAAGCTACTCTCCCTGTAAAGGTTAAAGCAGAAGGGACTTTATCAAGCCAGATAAAACTGGACTATTTGGGGATTTGCCTATTAACTCCTGCTACCTTGAAGTGTCACATAAACAACTTAGTTACAGTTTGGTGGTATGGAACTTCAGGACAAGTAACTCCATTTTGATTTGGTCTGTTGAGCCTAAAGAGATATAATTGTATTGAACAATTCCCCTCTTTTTGTCAGGGTCTCTCATAGGTGACAGTGTGACCAAGACTTAGGGCATCAGTACAATCTAACAGTCACCATCATTTTGGGGTGCGCTCTCCATACATCATTCATGGGTTACATTGTCTTTCTTATCATGTGTTTCTTTAAGTTTTCTTCATTCCAGCCCAAAAGACCGTTTAGCATACAGCAGATAGCTGCATGTAGATATTTAAGACTTTTTGAGAGGATACTGTGTACCAGGAAGACTAATATTGTGACCATCAGGAGGATAATACCAAAAATTCGGAGCATGTTTCTTACCCAGGGTCTCCATGAACTAAAGCAACTAAAATCAAACAGATCTAAGAATGAGCTAGATGAGGAGTCTGCCTGTTTTAACCAAGTAGGTATTAATTTTTAATAACTGAGTGTCTACAATACTTGATATATTTACCTATATGCAACAAGAAATATCAGCAACTACACAGACTACTTCCTGTTCAGCTAGTAGGTAATCTAGCATCCCATGATTGGGATAAATTAAGGCAGGAAGTGAGAACAAGTGGATCTAGAAGTCTTTTTTTTAAAAAATATGGAACGCTTCATGAATTTGCATGTCATCCTTGTGCAGGGGCCATGCTAATCTTCTCTGTATCGTTCTAATTATTTTAGCATATGTGCTTCTGAAGCCGAGCACTAGAAGTCTTACTTTATAAAACAGATCATGAGGCTGGGCATGGTGGCTCACACTTGTAATCCCAGCACTTTGGGAGGCTGAGGTGGGCAGATCACCTAAGGTCACGAGTTCGAGACCAGCCTGGCCAACATGGTGAAACCCTGTCTCTACTAAATATACAAAAAATTAGCCAGTCGTGGTGGCGGGTGCCTGTAGTCCCAGCTACTTGGGAGGCTGAGGCAGGAGAATCACTTGAACCTGAGAGGCAAAGGTTGCAGTGAGCTGAGATGTTGGCCAGGCTGGTCTCGAACTCCTAACCTCAAGTGATTTGCCTACCTCAGCCTCCCAGAGTGTTGAGATTACAGGTGTAAGCCACCGGGCCCAGCCCAACTTCTCATCTTGATTTGCAGTTTGATTGTCTCTGGTTATGGCATCATGCATTTTGGTGAAATCTCTATTTGGCCCACACATCAGTAATAGGACTTGTCCTTTGAAATTTACATTGAGTTGTCCAGCTTCTGCTTATAGGGCTTCAGGAACAGAGTAGTTCTTATTTTTAGTTGGAGAGTCGTAACCACATACTGGAGGAAACTAGAAGAATTCAGAATCTAGTCTAGTCTACAGGTAGATAATAAAAACTTGAGAACAAGGAACAGGGGTATACTCTATTAACAGGTATACTATAGCTATCCTCAGAAACATAGTTTTTCTCTCAATAGCAGTGGTCTCCAATCTTTTCGTGGAAGACAATTTTTCCACAGACCAGGGTAGGGGTGGAGGGGATAGTTTCGGGATGAAACTTCCACCTCAGATCATCAAGCATAAGATTCTCATGAGGAGCAAGAAACCTAGATGCCTCGCATGTGAAGTTCACAATAGGGTTCCCACTTCTATGAGGATTTTTTGTTTTTGAGACGGAGTCTCACTCTGTCACCTAGGCTGGAGTGCAGTGATATGAACTTGGCTCACTGCAACTTCTGCCTCTGGGGTTCAAGGGATTCTCCTGCCTCAGCCTCCTAAGTATCTGGGATTATAAGGGTGCACCGCCATACCCAGCTAATTTTTGTATTTTTAGTAGAGATGGGGTTTCACCATGTTGGCGAGGCTGGTCTTGAACTCCTGACCTCAATCCTCCCACCTTGGCCTCCCAAAGTGCTGGGATTACAGGTGTGAGCCACCACGCCTGGCCTCCTGTGAGAATTTAATGCTGCTGCTGATCTGATGGAGGTGGAGCTTAGGCGGTAATGCTCGCTTGTCTGCAGCTCACCTCCTGCTTTGTGGCCTGGTTGCTCATCTCCTGCTGGGTGGCCTGGTTTTTAACAGGTGAGCCAGGGGTTGGGGACTCCTGCTCTACAGTCACCCCCATTTCTACCAAAGATAATCGGGGTAAAACTAATTTGTTTGCAAAATAAGTTTAGTCTCATCAAACTTAGGCTGTTTATTTATACAAGTACAGCAAGAATAACAATTGACCACATAGGCGCTATTAAACTTTGCTTTGCTGGAACTTTTGATAGGAAATCAAATCCAACAGATTGGATTATTAACAACCTCTTGAGGCTATGAAGCCAAACCAAAGCATACCTCAGACTTTGTCTACAGTACCTGTAGATTAATTCTATGCACTTGTCAAATATGGTATCCCAGTGAAAAAATATAACTGATATTTCCAATTTTATTCTGAGAAAACTGAGCAGATTCTTATTGAACTAAACTATGAAAATAACTATATTGCCACGAAAATAAAAATTTTCATGAATATTTCTAAATTCTGGAGGGATCAGGTAGGTACTGAAAGTAAACGTTTCAATTTTTGTTCACACAAGTATACTTTGCCAAATTGCTGTAAGTTACAGATACCTTAAAAGAAAGAGTTGTCTTAAATCTGAAAAACAAAATATTAAAAAACCTGCAATATGGCCGGGCGCAGTGGCTCACGTCTGTAATCACAGCATTTTGGGAGGCCGAGGCGGGCGGATCACGAGGTCAAGAGATCGAGACCATCCTGGCCAATATGGTGAAACCCCATCTCTACTAAAATACAAAAAAATTAGTTGGGCATGTGGCGTGTGCCTGTAGTCCCAGCTACTCGGGAGGCTGAGGCAGGAGAATCACTTGAACCTGGGAGGCAGAGGTTGCAGTGAGCCGAGTTCGCGCCACTGTACTCCATCCAGCCTGGCAACAGAGCGAGACTCCGTCTCAAAAGCAAGCAAACAAACAAAAAACGTGCAATATTTCGAATAAAAATGCTGTAAAAACCCATAATTCTTCTTCATCAGTTTATTTAATCCCATGTAATTAATTTTTGTTCTGCTTGATCTTGGTTAGCAGCTCACGAACCCAGCAGTTTCTTCATTAGATTTCTGGAAATTTCTACCTAGTCCAGTGGTATGATCTTAAAGTTATCAGAAACCTACATTTATTTGTCAGAGTCCTCTCTATCCTTCTGTTAAAAGAAAAAGTCAGCAGAATTAAGTTTAAAGGAGTTTAGTTAAGCAATGAATGATTCGCGAATCAGACAGCCCCCAGAATCACAGCAGATTCAGAGAAACTCCAATGGTGTCTCGTGGTCAGAACAAATTTATAGATAAAAAAAGGGAAGTGACGTACAGAAATTGGAAGTGAGGCTCAGAAACAGCTGAATTAGTTACAGGTTGGCATTTGCCTTATTTGAACACCGTTTGAACACCCAGCAGTGTATGAATGGTTGAAGTATGGCTGTGCTGGGATTGGCTAAGACTCAGCTATTGTTATAGGCACTATTGTTATAACCTCTAAGTTAGGTTTTCAATTTTCCCTACCTATTAAGTTAGGTTGCAGTTCATCCAAGGACTCAAATATGGAAGTACAGAGTCCTTCTCATTTAGTTTGCTTTAATACTTCCCGTGAATCTTCGGAGTTTCCCTCTGTTGCCCAGGCTGGAGTGCAGTGGCACGATCTCAGCTCACTAAAGCCTCCATCTCCCGGGTTCAAGCAATTTTCCTGCCTTAGCTTCTCGAGTAGCTGGGATTATGGGTGCACACCACCATGTCTGGCTAATTTTTGTATTTTTAGTAGAGACAGGGTTTTGCCATATTGGCCAGGCTGGTCTTGAACTCGTGACCTCAGGTGATCTACCTGCCTCGGCCTCCCGAAGTGTTGAGATTACAGGCATGAGCCACTGCCCCAGGCCACACTTCCATAAATCTTCTTGAAGACACAACACTTTAGGATTACAGTTGTTTGCAAAAAGCTCTCAGAAGGGCTGGGCAGGTGGCTCACGCCTGCAATCCCAGCACTTTGGGAGGCCAAGGCAGGCAGACCGCTTGAGCCCAGGAGTTCGAGACCAGCCTGGGCAACATGGTGAAACCTCATCTCTACAAAAAAAAGAAAAAAAATAAAATTAGACGGGTGTAGTGGTGCACACCTGTAGTCCTAGCTACTCAGAGGATCCCTTGAGTCAGGGAGGTGGAGGTTGCAGTGAGCCAAGATCATGATACTGCACTCCAGCCTGGGCAACAGAGTGAGACTCTGCCTCAAAAAAGAAAAAGAAAAAAAAAAGGTTTCAGAAGAGCATAAGAATAAAAGAATTAACTATGGACTTAAAATGGCTATGGTTGAAAGTCTGATACGAGGTCAGGCATGGAGGTTCATGCCTATAACCCCAGCATTTTTGGAGGCCAAGGTGGGAGGATCACTTGAGGCCAGAGGTTCAAGACCAGCCTGGGCAACGTAACAAGATTTTGTGTCTACAAAAAATTTTTTAAAAAAATTAGCCAGGTGTGGTGGTGTGTGCTTGTAGTCCTAGCTACTTGGGAGGCTGACGCAAGAGGATCTCTTAAGCTTAGGAATTTGAGGCTGCAGTGAGCTATGATTGTACTACTGCACTCCAACCTGGGTGACAAAACAAGAACTTGGTTCTAAAAAAAATTAAAAATTAAAAAAATCTGGTGCTTGCAATTAGAATGATAGAGATGATTAGCATGGTCCCCTCCACAAGGATGACATGCAAATTGGTGAAGCATTCCGTATTAAAAAAAAAAAATCAGGCTGGGCGTGGTGGCTCATGCCTGTAACTCCAATACTTTGGGAGGCTGAGGCAGGTGGATCACTTGAGGTCAGGAGTTTGAGACCAGCCCAACCAACATGGTGAAATCCTGTCTCTACTAATACAAAACTTAGCTGGACGTGGTGGCGTGCACCTGTAATCCAAGCTGCTTACTCAGGAGGCTGGGGCAGGAGAATCACTTGAACCCAGGAGGCGGAGGTTGCAGTGAGCTGAGTTCTTTAGCCTGGGCAACAGAGGGAGACTCTGTCTCAAAAACAAACAAAGAAACAAACAAACAAAAAAACTAGATGAATGCCAGAATGCCATATTCTGGAAAATAATTTAGTCAGACTGGTGGCTTTTCAATTTTGCTTCTGTTTCTTAACTGGATTACTGAGTTTAGGGTGGAGTCCATTAACAAATAGGTCAGACACATCATTTTCTATGTCTGGACTCTAGCACTGATAACTCTGAAAAAAGAAGCAAAACTGCTTGACCTGAGGGACTAAGTTTTATAAAAACCACTTTTCCCACTTTCTTTTTGTCTTTGGGGTGTGATAGTAACTAAGCAAAAAGGTTGGCAGTTTCCATTTTTCTTATCGATTGGTTACTTAAGCTTTTCATTTGCCTTTTGTAATAAGTCTTTTAAAAGAGGCAAGAAAAAATTTTGAAATCTTTTTAGAAGTTTCTGCATATCCATAGGCATCCCTGGGTGGGTCTAATTCAGGAACTCTCTCTCTCTCTCTCTTTTGGAGACAAGGTCTTGCTCTGTAGCCCAGTCTAGAGTACAGTGGTGTGCGATCAGAACTCACTGCAGCCTCAAACTCCTGGACTCAAGAGATCCTCCCATCACAGCTTCCCAAGTAGCTAGTAACTACAGGGATATGTTACCATGCCCAGCTAATTTTTCAAAGTTGTTGTAGAAATGTGGTCTATGTTGCTCAGGTTGGTCTTGAACTCCTGGGCCCAGCTAATTATCCCTCCTTGGCCTTGCAAAGTGCTAAGATTACAGGTCAGAGCCACTATGCCCAGCAGGAACCCTCTTTTTTTTTTTTTTTTTTTTTGAGACAGAGTCTCACTCTGTCACCCAGGCTGGAGTGCAGGGGCACGATCTCGACCCACTGCAAGCTCTACCTCCCGGGTTCACGCCATTCTCCTGCCTCAGCCTCCCGAGTAGCTGAGACCACAGGCACCTGCCACCACACCCGGCTAATTTTTTTGTATTTTTTTAGTAGAGATGGGGTTTCACCGTGTTAGCCAGGATGTTCTCCATTTCCTGACCTCGTGATCCACCTGCCTCAGCCTCCCAAAGTGCTGGGATTATAGGCGTGAGGCACTGCGCCCGGCCAGGAACCCTCATTTTTAAATGCACTTCCTTTTTTTTTTTATTTGAGACAGGCTCTCCTTCTGTAGCCCAGGCTGGAGTGCAGTGGCGTAATCTCAGCTCACTGCAACCTCCGCCTCCTGAGTTCAAGCAATCCTCCCACCTCAGCTGGTAGCTGGGACTCCTGAGTAGCTGGGACTACAGGCACAAACCACCACACCTGGCTAATTTTTGAAATTTTTGTAGAACCAGGGTTTCACTGTGTTGCTGAGACTGGTCTCGAACTCCTGAGCTCAAGCAATCCACCCGCCTGAGCCTCCCAAAGTGCTAGGATTACAGGCATGAGCCACCCACCATACCTGGCCTAAATGCACTTCTTAAAGTTGAGTATCGGTCTGTCGTGGTGGCTCATGCCTGTAATCCCAGCACTTTGGGAGGCCGAGACGGGCGGATTGCTTGAGGTCAGGAGTTTGAGACCAGCTTGGCCAACATGGTGAAACCCCATCTCTACTAAAAATACAAAATTAGCCCGGCATGGTGGAGAGCACATATAATCCCAGCTATTTGGGAGGCTGAGGCGTGATAATTGCTTGAACCCGGGAGGCGGAGGTTGCAGTGAGTCCAGATCGTGCCACTGCCCTCCAGCCTGGGTGACAGAGTGAGACTCTGTCTCAAAAAAAAAAAAAAAAAAAAGTCGAGTATCACTCCTCTCATCTGGAATGGTCCATATAATGACCATTGTAATTTTAAATTATCTTTAGTAAGATTCCACTGGTTTCACCACCTTTATAAGTATTTTCAGCTACTGGGGCCTAATACAAGTAAAAGGCAGGTGTAGCTGGAAGGTGGAATATTCAGTTCTTTAGAAATTAAGGATCTGGCCGGGTGCGTTGGCTCACACCTGTAATCCCAGCACTTTGGGAGGCCGAGGTGGGCGGATCACCTGAGTCAGGAGTTCAAGACCAGCCTGGTCAACATGGTGAAATTTGGTCTCTACTAAAAATACAAAAATTAGCTGGGCATGGTGGTGCATGCCTGTAGTCCCAGCTACTCGGGAGGCTGAAGCAGCAGAATCGCTTGAACCCGGGAGGTGGAGGTTGCAGTGAGCCCAGGCAACAGAGCAAGACTCCCATCTCAAAAAAAAAAAAAAAAAAAAATTAAAGATCTCATTTTTACATTGACTCTTGGGTCTCTCAAAGTCAAGACAAAAGCCTAAGAGGGGGCCAGGCGTGGTGGCTCACACCTGTAATCCCAGCACTTTGGGAGGCCAAGGCAGATTGATTGTCTGAGCTCAGGAGTTCGAGAACACCCAGGACAACATGGTGAAACCCCGTATCTACTAAAAATACAAAAAAAAATTAGCCAGGCATGATGGCACCGCCTGTAGTCCCAGCTACTCAGGAGGCTGAGGCAAGAATCACTAGAATCCTGGAGGCGGAGGTTGCAGTGAGCCGAGATTGCACCACTGCACTCCAGCTTGGGCTACAGAGTGAGACTCCATCTCAAGGAAAAAAAAAAAAAAAACAGCCTAAGAGGGAAACATCATGGGGTTGGGTGGTATAATTCTTTCACAGTGTACCTCACTGCATAAACATTTTATTGAGGATGGCAAGTGCTACCTTGTTTCATGTCTAGTTTATTCTAACAGGTAGTCTCATTTTTTAGTGGCCAGCACTTTAATAGCTCTAAAGTACCTGAACTGTGCCCACTAGTTAAATGGTGGCTTTGGCTCTGAGATCCCCTTGACCAACTTACCCAGTGATTTTTTTCCTACCTAAGCATGCAAGAAAACCTAACAAAAAGGATAGAATTCAAATTCCAGCAGATTCCAAAAGCCAGAGTTCATGCCTCCTGCAGTAATAACCACTTAGAGCAACACTGTCTTAAAATGCAGCTCCTTGTTACCTGAGTCCATGAGTAAGGTAAACAACTAAAAAACAAACAAACCCCCCCCCCCCAAAAAAGAAAAAAAACTGCAGCTCTTAAACCAGACTTAATGGCACAGACCTGTAATCCTATAATCCCAGGCACTCAGAGCAAAGGCAGAAGGATCGCTTGAGCCCAGTAGTTTGAGGCAGTAATGTCCTGTGATTGTGCTTGTGAATAACCACTGCACTCCAGCCCGGAAAATAGCATCAGACCCCTGTCTCTTCTTTTTGTTTGTTTTTTCTTTTTGTTTTCTGCTTGTTTCTTTCTTTGTTTGTTTGAGACAAATGATTCCTATGCCTCAGCCTCCCGAGTAGCTGGGATTATAGGGGCGCACCACCACACTTGGCTAATTTTTGTATTTTTAGTAGACGGGGTTTTGCTATGTTGGCCAGGCTGATCTCAAGCAATCCACCTGCCTCTCAAAGTGCTGGGGTTACAGGCATGCGCCACCGCACCCAGCCAAGACAAAACTGCAGCTCTTGCCAATGACTTGTCAGCCACTGCAAACCACAAAAGGTCATGCACTGTCTCACAGCATAAACTAATCCTAAATTCAAAAGCCAAAAAAAAAAAAAGGAGTCCACCCGAGCGGAACTTACCTATAACCCTTGAGGCTCCATGAGGAAGACCGAGGACCTCAAAAGGCATCTGTGGCTCTGTGGCACCTCTCTGATATTCCTCCGGGAGTCTCAGAAGTCATCAGCAGTGTCCTTTAGGTCCCTTTGTCAGTTGCCAGAACTGTCAAAAGACAAAATTACAATGAATTTAGTTTACAAATCTTTTTTTTTTTTTTTTTTGAGACAGAGTCTCTCTCCGTCGCCCAGGCTAGCATGCAGTGGCGCGATCTCAGCTCACTGCAACCTCCACCTCCCAGGTTCAAGCGATTCTCTTGCCTCAGCCTCCCAAGTAGCTGGGATTACAGGTGTACACCACCATGCCCAGCTAATTTTTGTATTTTAGTAGAGATGGGGTTTCACCATATTGGCCAGGCTGGTCTTGAACTCCTGACCTCAAGTGATCTGCCCGCCTCGGCCTTCCAAAGTGTTGGGATTATAGGCGTGAGCCACCGCACACGCCTTTTAGAAATTTTTTTTTTTTTGTTTTTTGAGACAGAGTTTCGCTCTTGTTGCCCAGGCTGGAGTGCAATGGCACGATCTCGGCTCACTGCAACCTCTGCCTCCCGGGTTCAAGCAATTCTCCTGCCTCAGCCTCCTGAGTAGCTGGGATTACAGGCATGCGCACCATGCTCAGCTAATTTTGTATTTTTAGTAGAGAGGGGGTTCTCCATGTTGGTCAGGCTGGTCTCGAACTCCCGACTTCAGGTGATCCGCCCACCTCGGCTTCCCAAAGTGCTGGGATTACAGGCTTGAGCCACTGCGCCCGGCCTCAGCTTTTATAAATCTTAATTGGCTTTTATTTTCTATTCTAGAATCGGGCAACATCTCATTCTATAGAGTGAGTGTTTTGATGAGCTGAGCAAAGGAGGTTGGGTTTGTAGATAGAAAAGGGCCAAGGAAAGTAGAAACAGAGAATACAAAGCAGATTGGTTGTTTCAGGTATTTTCCCTATAAAGGTCAAAGCAAAGGGGCCTTCCTTATCCTGCCAGCTAACACCAGTCTGTTTGAGGATTTGGCCATTATCTGTCTCTCCTGATTACTCAGAAGGTCAAATAAACTTAGTTTCAGCTTGGTCTTGTGGAAGGTGAGTAACTGCATTTTGGTTTGGTCTTTTGGGCATAGTAGAAGAGCTCAGTCCAAACCAATGGCCTCTTATAATTTAATTTTATTTATTTATTTACTTTTGAGACAGGGTCTCACTCTGTCATGAGGATGGCAGGTGCTACTTTGGAGTGCTGGAGTGCAGTGGTGCGGTCTCAGCTCACTGAAGCCTCAACCTTGTGGGCTCCGGTTTTAGGGTCAGTTTGTGCTGTGAGAGAGCGTGTGACCTTTTGGGACTACAGGCAGGTGTCACCACGCCCAGCTAATTTTTTGTATTTTTAGTAGATACGGGATGTCGCCAGGTTGCCCAGGCTGCCTCTTATTATTTATACTCCTGATTATAAAGTACAGGATTTCTGTCTATTTAGGTTTCCAATCCATTCAGATTTTTATGTTATAGATGATGACTGCTGCTATTAAGAAAATGAGGGCAAGAGTAAATATAGGCAGAGTCTCCAATACATCAGCAACCTGTTATTTGTAGTGATGATCTGTTAGGAAGGGCTAACCCATTTTCCTTCTTGAAAGGGAGGCTTACGAAAAGAAAAATAGGTCAGGTGTGGTGGTTCATGCTTGTAATCCCAAGCACTTTGGGAGGCTGAGGCAGGAGGATTACTTGAACCCGGGAGGTCAAGGCTAGTGTGAGTCATATTCCCACCACTGCACCCCAGCTCGGGCAAAAGAGCAAAACCCTGTCTCTATATAAATAAGTAACTCTAGGATTCCCAAATCTTGCAGATGAAGAAACCCCCTTCTCTTTTTTGGCTGGGGTGGGGAAGACTAGCCTGTTCTTTGTTTTCCTTGGGAAGTTACAGGATTACTGATGAACAAAATTACTGTTCAGGGAAGAGACATCCAGTGGCTTCTATGTCCAGGCCCATTCCCAGGAACCACATTTCCAGAGGGGCCTCAACCCCTGAGGCCTCAACTGGCCCCTTTCCAGGTATCCAAGAACAAATCACGAACAAGCAGTGGGAAACAAAAACCAGCCTGACCTCAGCACCTGCTCTCACCCCAAAGGGAGGTGAGGGCTGCTGGCATTGGTGGGTCCTGGGCCTAGCCTCTAGCCAGAGGATGTGGGGACCTCTCTTGGGGGCCTGCCCTTCCCACACCCCCTCTCCCAGCCAGGCTGTCTTGGACATTTCTGGGACTCCTCTGAGGGATCATGGTTCTTGCTCTGGGGTTTTCTTTTGTCATTTTAACACTGAGGCATCCCAGCCTCCCTTCCTGGAAGATGGAGTATTTGCACTGTTGCCTTTTCTTTTGTCCCTGTTTTTGTATAAAAATGACAATACTCTCCGTCGGACTGTATTTTAGCCCAAAAAACAAAACTAAACCCCTTTTTCTTTGATACTCCAGGTTCATAGAGCCAAGCCTATCAATTTTTTTCTTGTTCTTTGTTTTTTGGTTGGGGAAAGGGTTTTCTAAGAAATACTGAATTTTCCTTACCTAAAAGTAGTCCAGGTTAAACAAGTCAAACTTTAAATGTAATACCCATTGCTTTAAAATATTCTAGCAAAGAAAATAAGGTCTGGAAGATGGTGGTAGGGGATAGATGAAACAAGACTGAAAAGTGTTGACAATTTATGAAGTTCTGGAAATTCATTCTGCTCTTCTGTTTGACATTTTCCACAGTAAGGAGTTTTTAAAAATACTAGCTTTCTCTTATTTTTTACTCTAACAACTTCCTTTTGCTTGTCTTTGACAAGTCCTGGCTCAGGAGGAGAAAAGCTGCACAACCAGTCTTTGTGTATGTGTGTGCAAATCTCTGTGTGTTCACTTGTGAATACAGTTTCATTAGGGGAGGGTTCACCTTTGTTATGTATTATCAGTACATAATAAATATATATGTTTTCTTTTATTTTTTTAGAGACAGGGTTTCACTCTGTCACCCAGGCTGGAGTTCAGTGGTGGCAATCATAGCTTACCACAGCCTCTACCTTCTGGGCTGAAGCAATCGGCCTCCCAAGTAGCTGGGACTACAGGCCCACGCCATCACACCCAGCTTTATTTATTTTTTGTATAGACGGGGTCTCCCTATGTTGCCCAGGCTGGTCTGGAACTCTTGGGCTCCAGTGATCCTCTCACTTCAGCCTCCCAAAGCGCTGGGATTATAGGCATGAGCCACCACGCCAGGCCTATATTTCATTTTAAAACAACGAAGTTCTCCTTCCTCACATACCTCAAATTCGGGGGGTACCAAATCTCTGATATTATCCCAACGATTTTTTTATAACCAAGGTATCACAATTCCTTTCAGAAAGGGTTCTTTAGCCACTCACACCACGGGTTTCGGTGGCACAGCGCAGGGCAGCACAGACTTGTGCTACAGCTCTCGGCCCTACCCAGAGCAGGATGGCCCTAACCTAATTTTTTTGTTTGTTTGTTTGGAGATGGCGTCTCACTCTGTCGCCCAGGCTGCAGTGCGGTGGCACGATCTTGGCTCACTGCAACCTCCGCCTCCTGGGTTCAAGCGATTCTCCTGCCTCAGCCTCCTGAGTAGCTGGGATTACGGGCACCCGTCACCACACCCGGCTAATTTTTGTGTTTTTAGTAGAGACACAGTTTCACCATGTTGGCCAGGCTGGTCTTGAACTGCTGACCTCAGGTGATCCGCCCTACCTCGGCCTACTAAAGTGCTGGGATTACAGGCGGGAGCCACCGCGTCCGACCTAATTTTTTGTATTTTAGTAGAGACGGGATTTCACCGTGTTGCCTAGGTTGGTCTCGAACTCCTGACCTCAGGCAGTCCACCCGCCTCTGCCTGCCAAAGTGCTAGGATTACAAGAATGAGTCACTACGAATGAGTCACTGCGCCAGGCCCCTAGCCTCACTTACTTTGGGCCTCAGTTTCCACCGCCTGAAAAAAGAGCAGTTCGATTGCACCCACTTCCCCGGGCCCCGCCCAAACCATGGGCAGCCCCGCCCAAACCATGGGCAGCCCCGCCCAAACCATGGGCAGCCCCGCCCAAACCATGGGCAGCCCCGCCCAAACCATGGGCAGCCCCGCCCAAACCATGGGCAGCCCCGCCCAAACCATGGGCAGCCCCGCCCAAACCATGGGCAGCCCCGCCCAAACCATGGGCAGCCCCGCCCAAACCATGGGCAGCCCCGCCCAAACCATGGGCAGCCCCGCCCAAGGGCGGAGACTGGGCGGAGCGTCGCGCTCTCCTCCACCTCCTTCCGACTCTCGGAGGCCCCCCACCCAGTGCCCGCGGCGCATGTGCCAGGCACACCCCACCCCCAACCGGCCCTGGATTCCACTTCCGTTCCACCATCGCTGCTGGAGCAGCTGCCTTCAGGCCCTGCGCCGCCTCCGGAGTCCATGGCCGGCACGCGCTGGGTACTCGGGGCGCTGCTCCGGGGCTGCGGCTGTAACTGCAGCAGCTGCCGGCGCACCGGCGCCGCCTGCCTGCCCTTCTACTCCGCCGCTGGCTCTATCCCGTCGGGCGTCTCGGGCCGCCGCCGCCTGCTGCTGCTGCTCGGGGCCGCCGCGGCCGCTGCCTCCCAGACGCGTGGCCTCCAGACCGGGCCTGTGCCTCCCGGGAGGCTGGCGGGGCCTCCCGCTGTGGCCACCTCTGCCGCGGCCGCGGCCGCCGCGTCCTACTCTGCCCTCCGTGCCTCTCTGCTGCCGCAGTCGCTGGCGGCGGCGGCCGCCGTCCCGACGCGCAGCTACAGCCAGGTACGTGGGCGCCGTGAGGGACCTGGCGCGAGATCCCTCCCGGGCCGCGTGCACGCGCCCCCGCGCCCCTCCGTCCCTCCGTGTGCGCCTCGCGGGCACGCCCGGGGATCCGCGACACTCGCCGCACACCCGCCCCCGTCCACCCTGTGCTCCTATTGGGCCCTGGAACAAGGGAAGCTCTCCCAGGCGTCGGGTCTTCTGCTTGTTTTGTTCTCGCCTCGAGTCTCTGGTCGGTTGGGCAGTGTAAGTGTGGCTGGGGTGAATGTTGAGGCCTTGTTCCCCGCCTGGCCCATGGTAGGTTTCGTGAGGCTGCTGACGCCCCCACCTCGCATCTTCTTGCTTTCCGCCGGCTGGTTGTGAAGTTGCGAGGCCCGAGCCCGCCGGAGGGTTGGGAGTTTCCGTGCAGCCCGAGCGCTAGGCCTGGGCGGCCCTCGGCGCCTCTCGGTCGGCCGCTGCTGGGAAGGTGCGCGCACACAGTTGCGTGGGCTGGCTTGTAGGGAAGGAGCCTGTCCCCATCGCGCCGTTCCCTCTCCTGTCCCCAGGGAAAGACGAGCTGTCCCGGTTTACTGAAGGTCACCTCTGCAACTCCACTCATACAGAAGGTCTTTAAGGACTGTGTGTCGCCTCGTCTGGGAAAGCAGTTTGGAGATTTAGCTGTTGGGGGGAGGGGGTGAATGGGAGGGAGCGTTGAGGGTTGAGGACACAACTTGGGGTCCCAGGAATGAATTTGCAATGTTTTCCTTTCCATTTTTTCTTTATTTTTTTAGAAAAGTCGGTGTGTAGTTAGATTGCAAATATTTTGTGCTTTGTAGATGAACCTTTCTCTTCTTGGTACGTGGCATCTGGGAAGTGTCTGCACACTTTTTAACTACCCAGCCCCTGATTCCTTAGGTCATATTTATCTTAATTCAATTTGTGCTTCTCCTTTAACTTAGGGAGACTGGGAGGCTAATCAGCATGGCTGCTGTCTGCCAGTGGCTGAGCTAATTGATTTGAATCCTGGCCCAATACTTTACGCTGCCTTTTTCTGTAAAAGCTTGTGATGCTTATGGAATTATGGAAAAATGGGGAAAGTTGTCTACAAAAACCACAACAAAACCATCTCCAGTAAACCTTTGTGAGCTAGCTTCTCTCTTTTTTTTTCTATGAAATTGACTGCGGTGATATCTGTAGAGCATCTACTATGTGTTAGACACTGCTTACATTTATTCCTTAAAACTAAACATTAAGCCTTTTTTTTTTTTTTTTTTTGGAGACCGAGTCTCGCTCTGTCGCCCAGGCTGGAGTGCAGTGGAATGATCTCGGCTCACTGCAAGCTCCGCCTTCCGGGTTCACGCCATTCTCCTGCTTCAGCCTCCCGAGTAGCTGGGACTACAGGCGCCCGCCACTGCGCCCAGCTAATTTTTTGTATTTTTAGTAGAGACGGGGTTTCACCGTGGTCTCGATCTCCTGACCTCGTGATCCGCCCGCCTCTGCCTCCCAAAGTGCTGGGATTACAGGCGTGAGCCACCGCGCCCGGCCTAACATTAAGCCTTAATGAAAATTATAGATAGGGCTGGGCGCGGCACTTTGGGAGGCTGCGGCGGGTGGATCACCTGAGGTCAGGAGTTCGATAGCAGGCTAACCAACATGGTGAAACTCCGTGTCTACTAAAAAAATGCAAAAAAATTAGCCGGGCGGGGTGGCGGGCGCCTGTAATCCCAGCTACCCGGGAGGCTGAGGCAGGAGAATCCTTTGAACCCGGGGAGGTTGCAGTGAGCCGAGATTGTGCCATTATACTCTAGTCTGGGCGACAAGAGCGAAACTCCGTCTCAAGAAAAAAGAAAAGAAAAGAAAATGACAGATAGTAGAAAGATATCTCTGTCCTTAGTCCGGTAGAGTGCAAGTCTTTTTTTTTTTTTTTTTTTGAGACGGAGTCTTGCTCTGTTGCCCATGCTGGAGTGAAATGCCGAGATCTCAGCTCACTGAAACCTCTACCTCCCGGGTTCAGGCGATTATCCTGCCTCAGCCTCCCGAGTAGCTGGGATTACGGGCACACGCCACCACACCCGGCTCATTTTTTGTATTTTTAGTAGAGATGGGGTTTTGCCATGTTGGCCAGGCTGGTCTTGAACTCCTGACCTCGTGATTCGCCCACCTCGGCCTCCCAAGGTGCTGGGATTACAGGCGTGAGCCACCGCACCTGGCCCAGTAGAGTGCAAGTCTTAAAGCCTGAGTTGTCTTCTTAGGTTATGGTTGTAGTGCTTCGTGGATTCTTACTAAATTCCAGTTTTACTTAATCCGATAAAAGAGACTTTACAAGTCTGTAGCCTCACACTGCTGCCGTTGTCTTTAAGATCTTTCCCTTAATCACTTGGTCTGGCATACCAGCTGACAGAGGAATATTCCCAAGGCGTCCTGCTGTCTTGTTGATTTACCCAGTCCTCAGTGTCTTGTATTAACTTATCTTTGCCTACCAAGTGAAGGACACACATTGAGCTCCACACTCAAGGCCCTCTGCTCTATGGTACCAACCTCTTTTGCCAGGTCACCTTCTTTGGCTCCTAATTTAAACAGTTGGAATTAATTGCTGTTATTCAAATGGGCATTTGGTCGTACTGCTTCTTTCTCTCGCCTTCAAACTGGAATACCCTATCTTTTATATCCTCATAAAAATTCTATCCTTCCTTCAAGGCCCATCTCATGTCACATCCTGATTCATCTGTTAGTGCTCTGATTTGAATTCCTGTAGTATTTTGTATCTTAATTATAGCACTCAGTATCTCATCTTGTATGCTTATCGTATTCTAGATAGCTATTTCAGATGAGGGCGGCAAACACTGTGTGTAGGGGCAATCAAATATTTGTCAAATTGTCAGGACCTTTCTTGTGTTGCCTTAACTACACTATTGTTAGCTATAATTTGGGGTTGATGAATTTTAAAACAAACCCTGAATGAAATTTGTGTCCTGCCAAACCTTTAGGATATACCTGCTTATGGCTTTTGGATGTACAATTTAAGCCAAAACAGGATGGGTTACATTGGTGAAGTTTACTTTTTGCTTCTGAAATAACATCTAGAATGTTAGTTTGTAGAATAAACATTTTCTAAGAATTTTTTTACATTTTTTACCTGTAAATGCAACTCTTTTTACAATTCTTCATTTCCTTTGGAAGGAGTCCAAAACTACTTACCTGGAAGACCTTCCACCACCCCCTGAGTATGAATTGGCCCCGTCCAAGTTAGAAGAGGAAGTGGATGATGTCTTTCTCATTCGAGCTCAAGGACTGCCCTGGTCATGCACTATGGAAGATGTGCTTAACTTTTTTTCAGGTATATTTTATGTATGTTTTATTTATTTATTTTTTTTCCTTATATTGTTTCTCACAAGCAGGTATGTATGTTTTAAGTATGTAATTTTGTCTGAGTAAAAGGTAGTGCTACAAATCCATGTCAGACTACGCTGTCACCTTCCTTTTTGATGGTTGGGAACTGTCTCATTCTGGTTGGTTGCATATACCAAATGATACCATGTGTGCTGTTTGCGGTATGTAACGAATTGAAAGACTTTGGGCCAGGGGCAGTGGCTCAGGCCTGTAATCAGCAGTTTGGGAGGCCAAGGTGGAAGGATGGCTTGAGGCCAGTAGTTCCATACCACACTGGGCAACACTGTGAGACTGTCTCAATTTACATATGTATAAAGACTTTGAATGCAACAAAAGTATTTTAACGTTAAGACTGCATAGTATGGGCCAGGCGCAGTGGCTCACGCCTGTAATCCCAGCACTTTGGGAGGCCGAGGCGGGCGGATCACAAGCTCAGGAGATCGAGACCATCCTGGCTAACATAGTGAAACCCCGTCTCTACTAAAAATACAAAAATTACCCAGGCTTGTAGTCCCAGCTACTTGGGAGGCTGAGGCAGGAGAATGGTGTGAATCCGGGAGGTGGAGCTTGCAGTGAGCCGAGATGGTGCCACTGCATTCCAGCCTGGGCGACAGAGTGAGACTCTGTCTCAAAAAAAAAAAAAAATCCATCATACTATGTAGGTTTTTTTTTTTTTGAGACGGAGTCTCGCTCTGTCGCCAGGCTGGAGTGCAGTGGCATGATCTCAGCTCACTGCAAGCTCCGCCTCCCGGGTTCACACCATTCTCCTGCCTCAGCCTCCCTAGTAGCGACTGCCACCACACCCAGTTAATTTTTTGTATTTTTAGTAGAGCTGGGGTTTCACCGTGTTAGCCAGGATGATCTCAATCTCCTGACCTTGTGATCTGCCTGCCTCGGCTTCCCACAGTGCTGGGATTACAGGCGTGAGCCACCGTGCCCGGCTGGTATGATGGAATACTACGTAGCCATAACAAAGAGTGAGATTATGTGCTTTGCAGCAATGTGGGTGGTGCTGGAGACCATTATCCTAAGCAAACTAACATGGAACATTAAACTTAATACTGTATGTTTTCACTTACAAGTGGGAGCTAAACAATGAGAACACATGGACACAAAGAGGGGAACAAGAAGACACCAGGGCCAACTTGAGGGTTGGGGAGAAGATTAAAAAATACCTATCGGGTCCAAGTGCGGTGGCTCACGCCTGTAATCCCAGCACTTTGGGAGGCCGAGGCGGGCGGATCACGAGGTCAGGAGATCGAGACCATCCTGGCTAACATGTTGAAACCCCATCTCTCCTAAAAATACAAAAAAAATTAGCCGGGCGTGGTGGCACGCTCCCGTAGTCCCAGCTACCTGGGAGGCTGAGGCAGGAGAATCGCTTGAATCTGGGAGGCGGAGGTTGCAGTGAGCTGAGTTCACACCACTGTACTCCAGCCGTGGTGACAGAGAGAGACTCTGTCTCAAAAAGAAAAATAAAACCTATTGGGTACTGTGCTTGCTACCTGGGTAACTAAATTATCTGTATACCGAACTCCCATAACACATGGTTTACCTATGTAGCAGTCCTATACATGTACTAAATAAAAGTTGAAAAACAAAATTACATGGTTTGAAATTATTTTTCTCTGTGGTATTAATATATACATATCAAAAAGTCAAGCCTGTCAGTGGAAATATGGAATTAAGGGTGACTCTTTATGTAATACAGACATTTACAATAGAAGGTCACTTAGTATCAAGGAATAAAGTTCCCTTAATAACATGTTTGGAGGGTTTACATATCTGTGGGATTTTTTTTTTTAGTTTCTGTATCTGACTATGATTTATTTTTATTAATTTTTTTGAGATGGAGTCTTGCTCTGTCACCCAGGCTGGAGTGCAGTAGCGCAATCTCGGCTCATTGCAACCTCCACCTCCCGGGTTCAAGGGATTCTCCTGCCTCAGCCTCCTGAGTTGGTGGGACAGCAGGCACCTATCACCATGCCCGGCTAATTTTTGTATTTTTAGTAGAGACAGGGTTTTGCCGTGTTGGCCAGGTTGGTCTCAAACTCCTGACCTCAGGTGATCCACCACCTTGGCCTCCCAAAGGGCTGGGATTACAGGCATGAACCACCATGCCTGGCTATTTCATTAATTTTTTTAGCTGCTCCTTGTGGAGCAGGAGTAAATCCTAGGCAGTATGCCCAGAGTGAGCCTGGTCAAACTTTTTTTTAAAGCCACTTGGCCACTTACATCTTGGACTACTCCCATTATAAAAAGTATGCAGTATGAAAAGGGGAAAAAGGCTGGGTGTGGTGGCTGATGCCTGTAATCCCAGCACTTTGGGAGACTAAGGTGGGAGGATTACTTAAGCCCAAGAGTTCAAGACCAGCCTGTGCAACAAAATGAGACCGCCTCTCTACAAAAACAAAAAGTTAAACTATGGTAATAAAATTACTCATACAGGAAATATTTTAGAGACCTATGGAGATGATTTTAAAGGAAGACACTTATGTATAAATTTAACTATATTGTATTTCCTTAAGTGATTGTAGAAACATTGCAATAGAAATAATGAATTTTGTGTTGGGCCTATCCTGATTTGCTATTTAATGATCAGGAAGGAGATCATAAGCTTCTGTGCTAAGGTTTGCTTATCTTTTCTACTTGGAAGGTTTTAGAGACTAAATCCTTATTGGTGTTTGGATGACTTCAGTGATGGGGATTTGTGTAAGGAATATGACACTTGTTTCCTGCTTTGTTGTTGGAAAACTGCATTCTTGTGACTTACATAATTGAGCTAAAAGTTTGATTTCTGTTTTCAATTGATTTTGCTCATACACTTTTAGACTGCAGAATCCGCAACGGTGAGAATGGAATACATTTTCTCCTAAACAGAGATGGGAAACGAAGGGGTGATGCCTTAATTGAAATGGAGTCAGAGCAGGATGTGCAGAAAGCCTTAGAGAAGCACCGCATGTACATGGGCCAGCGGTATGTGGAAGGTATGTGAAGTCAGATTATGGCTTTTTGGGATCATTGCATTAGGTTTTATACTTTTCAAGGTAGTTTTTATTTGATCCTTAATAATGAAGTATTTAGATTGTATGAATGCATTCTTTTATAGGATGTGAAAATAAAACATAAAGAGATAAAGTTTCTTTTTTTTGTGGGGGGGATGGAATCTCACTCTGTCACCCAGGCTGGAGTGCAGTGGTGCGATTTCAGCTCACTGCAACCTCTGCCTCCTGGGTTCAAGCAATTCTCCTGTCTCAGCCTCCCAAGTAGCTGGGACTACAGGCACATGCCATGATACCCAGCTAATTTTTGTATTTTTATTAGAGATGGGGTTTTACCATATTGGTCAGGCTGGTCTCAAACTCCTGACCTCAGGTAATCCACCCGCCTTGGCCTCCCAAAGTTCTGGGATTATAGGCGTGAGCCAGTGTGCCTGGCCAATGAAGTATCTTACAAGCTGTGAGAAATAAAGAAGTTATGCCCGCATGGTAAATATGCAATAAATGTCATTTGTTATTTTCTCTAGAGAAGCGCATAAAGATTAAAATAGTTATTGAATTCTCAGATAACCCAGCAAGTTGTAATGATTTTTTTTAATGGGTTTGTTCCTTTGTTATGTAAATTTTTCATCCCTGTTGGGTTTTTTCTTCGTAGTATATGAGATAAACAATGAAGATGTGGATGCCTTAATGAAGAGCTTGCAGGTCAAATCTTCGCCTGTGGTAAATGATGGTGTGGTTCGTTTGAGAGGACTTCCTTATAGTTGCAATGAGAAAGACATTGTAGACTTCTTTGCAGGTACTTTGCAGTTGTATTATGCTTGGGAGCTCATATCTTTTTTCCCTTGGTATCTCCTTCTATATCTTAGATGAGCCTGTTTCTGGGCAAAGGCATGCAGTTATATTAGGTTCTTTAGGGGAGAGCTCTTCACTTAAATTTCTAATATTTATAGATTTTATATGTGTTTTTGTTCTATCAGGCAGATTTTAGGAGGGAAGTCAGATTTCAGAATAATTTCATGAGGGTTTTACTATTGAAGGAAATAACTTCTCATAATAGTTGCTGTATTTGTGTAAGACAATAACAATTTATATAATTTAAAAGTATTTTCTAATTCCTAGAACCATTAGCAGTGAAGTCTGTGATTTCTATTGTTTCCTAGTATATAATTAACAGCAAAAAAAAAAAAAAAAACTGGTGGGGAGAATTGTATGTTTTGGGTGGGCTTCTTGGACCTTACCTATTCTGGAAATACAAGTATGTAGGTGTTGACTGACTTTTGACTGCATAATAATTTTCTTCCTGTCAAGCATGTATTCAGTTTTGGGACTGGCAAAACAGAATAAAAATTTTATTAGTATGTGAATGATGGTGTTAATTCTAAGGATAAAAAAGCCTGCTAGTAGCATTAAAATCTCTTGGTGTCCTAGGACTGAATATAGTTGACATTACTTTTGTGATGGACTATAGAGGGAGGCGAAAAACAGGGGAAGCCTATGTGCAATTTGAAGAACCAGAAATGGCCAACCAAGCCCTGTTGAAACACAGGGAAGAAATTGGTAATCGGTGAGTAAAGCAGATACTAATGATGCAGAAGTGTTACACATTAAGTCATTTTGATGAATGTGCTGTAATATGACTGAAAAGTTATCCAAACATAGAAAAGTAGAGAGAGTAGTGTAGTGAGCCATCAAATGCCCATAATTTAGATTAACAATTTTTTTTCGACTGCTCCTTTTTTTTTTTTTTGAGACAGAGTTTCACTCTTTTTGCCTAGGCTAGAGTGCAATGGCACGATCTTGGCTCACTGCAACCTCTGCCTCCCTGGTTTAAGCGATTCTCCTGCCTCAGCCTCCCAAGTAGCTGGGATTACAGGCGCCTGCCACCATGCCCGGCTTTTTTTGTATTTTTAGTAGAGACGGGGTTTCACCATGTTGGCCAGGGTGGTCTCGATCTCTCGACCTTGTGATCCGCCCGCCTCGGCCTCCCAAAGTGCTGGGATTACAGGCGTGAGCCACCGCATCCGGCTTGACTGCTCCTTGTGGGGCAGGGACTAACCCATAGACAGAGTACCTAGAGCAGCTAGATTAACACATTTATATATAAAATGTAACATCTGTTATATTTGCTTCATCTGGGTTTTTTTTAGTATGCATCTTTTAAAAAAATTTTTTTACATAATTTCAATGTTATATCTAACACTGTTAGCAATAGTATATTATCTAATAACAGTTCATAATAGCATTTTCCCAATTATACCAAAAATAGCCTTTTTTTTTTTGGCAACGGAGTTTCACTCTGCCGCCTAGGCTGGAGTGCGGTGGTGTGATCTTGGCTCACTGCATCCTCTCTCTGCCTCCCAGTTTCATGTGATCCTCCTGCCTCAGCCTCCTGAGTAGCTGGAACTAGAGGCATGCGCCACCATGCCCAGCTAAGTTTTGTATTTTTAGTAGAGACAAGGTTTTACCATGTTGGCCAGGCTGGTCTAGAACTCCCGGACTCAAGTCATTCACCCACCTCGGCCTCCAAAAGTGCTGGGATTACAGGTGTGAGCCAGCACACCGGACAAAAATACAGAATCCAGATAAGGTCTACACACTGCATTTGATTGTTATGTCCATAATTCTCTGTGTGTGTGTGTGTTTTTTTTTTTTTTTTAAGACACAGGGTCTTATTCTGTCACCCAGGCTGGAGTGCAGTGGCATGATGATAGCTCACTACAGCCTTGAATTCCTGGGCTCAAGCAATCGTCTCGCCTCATCCTCCCAACTAGCTAGAACAATAGGCATGTGCCGCCACACCTGGCTGTGTGTATGTGTGTGTGCGTGCGTGCGTGTGTGTTTGTAGGTGGGGTCTTGCTGTGTTGCCCTGGCTGGCCTCAAACTCATGGGCTCAAGTGATCGCCCGCTTTGGCTTCCCAAAACGCTAGGATTACAGGTGTGAGCCACTGCACCTGACCACTGATTCTCTTGAACTAGAGCAAATCCCCCTTACTTATTCTTCCCCCCTTTTTAAAAGCAATTGACTTTTGAAGAAATTAGATCAGTTGTCTTGTACAGTATCTCATGTTGACATCACCTCAGGATGCACATGATGATAAGTGGGTTCATTTGTGTTTTAACTTTAACTTTGGAGGTACAGTTTAAAATGTCAAATGTTAAATCACTGTTTCGTTAATTTTTTTTTTTACTGTTTTCTGGCCTTTTAAATCAGCTCCTTTGAAGTAAACAAAACAGCCATTCCAAAGCCAGTGTTTCAGGATCTACTGATAGAAGTGGTTCAAAGGTTTTTTGGTTTTTTGAGACAGGATCTTGCTCTGTCACCCAGGCTGAAGTGCAGTGCCACAAACACTGCTCATTTCAGCCTTGACCTTCTGGGCTCAAGCAGTCCTGCCATCTCAGCTTTCCTTGTAGCTGGTACCACAGGCATGCATCACCATGCCTGGCTAATTTTAGACAGAGTCTTATTCTGTTACCCTCGCTGGAGTGCAGTTGTGTGATACAGCTCACTGCAGTTGTGGCCTCCTGGGCTCAAGCAATCCTCCCACTTCAGCCTCCCAAGTAGCTGGGACTACAGATACATGCCACCACACCCAGCTAATTTTTGTATTTTTGTAGAGACGGGGTTTTGCATGTTGCCCAAGCTGGTCTCACACTCCTGAGCTCAAGTGATCCACCTGCCTCAGCCTCCCAAAGTACTGGGATTATAGGTGTGAGCCACTGTACCTGGTCTCCTGGCTAATTAAAAAAAAAAACAAAAAAAAACTTTTGTAGAGATGGTGTCTCACTTTGTTGTCCAGGCTCAAAGGTTTTTTTTTTAAAGAAGTAGTGCTCATCTAATCTTTATAGATTTGTAAACACAAGCTAGTTTTATAACTCTTAGTTTAGAAGGCCATGTTAAGAAAAAGGAAACTGTGCTGGGCGCGGTGGCCCATGCCTATAATCCCAGCACTTTGGGAGGCCGAAGTGGGAGGATCACTTGAGCCCAGGAGTTCAAGAGCAACTTGGGCAACATGGCAAGAACCCATGTCTACAAAAATAAAAAATAAAAAAATTAGCAGTGTGTGGGCTGGGCATGGTGGCTCATGCCTATAATCCCAGCACTTTGGGAGGCTGAGGCAGGTGAATCACCTGAGGTCTGGAGTTTGAGACCAGCCTGGCCAACATAGTGAAACCCTGTCTCTACTAAAAATACAAAAAATCAGCTGGGCGTGGTGGCGGGCGCCTGTAATTCCAGCTACTCAGGAGGCTGAGGCAGGAGAACTGCTTGAACCCAGGAGGCAGAGGTTGCAGTGAGCCAAGATCGTGCCATTGCACTCCAGCCTGGGCAACAAAAGCAAAACTCTGCTTCAAAAAAAAAAAAAAAAAATTAGCAGTGTGTGGTGGCAGGTGGCAGTAGTCCCCAGCTACTCAGGAGGCTGAGGCAGGAGGATCACTTGAGCCTAGGAGGTTGAGGCTGCAGTGAGCCATGTTCACACCACTGCACACCATCTTGGGTGACAGCAAGAAACCCAAGTTTCAAAAAAAAAAATTGTTCCAGAAGCTTGGGTTTAATAGATAGTCCCCTCCTGTGATAGCAAGTCATAATTGATACTTAGTTCTTGAATTCTCAGCCTTTTAGTGAAGTTCTGGGGAAGTTAGCTCTTCTTTTACTGTGACTTTTAATATCTTATACAGATATGATTAATTTGCACAGAATTGAATTTCAGAGCTTCAAGAGATTGTTAACCAGCAATTTAAAAAACCCTTATGAGATTAATTTTTTCTGTATACACAATTAACTTAAGCATAGTTGTTCTCATGAAGCAAAACAGAGTAGAAAATATTATTAAAATGTATGTGAAGAAAAAGTGTTACCTTGATGCAAAAACTTAAATCAGTGACCTACTCTGTTGTATATTTTCATGGGCTACTATCTGTATGCATTATTAGTTTTCCCTACCTGTTATCTTTTGACACCTGTGTTTCATAAGCTGTTGGAAATATAATGTATACATGTTTATTTTAAATGAGTTCAGTATAAAGTTACTTTGCACCATTTGTGCCTGTTTACTTTTGCTTTGACATAGATACATCGAGATATTTCCAAGCAGAAGGAATGAAGTTCGAACACATGTCGGTTCTTATAAGGGAAAGAAAATCGCATCTTTTCCTACTGCTAAGTATATAACTGAGCCAGAAATGGTCTTTGAAGAACATGAAGTAAATGAGGATATTCAACCCATGACAGCTTTTGAAAGTGAGAAGGAAATAGGTAAGGTCCTGCCTCTTCTTGAGACTCATTGGGTCTATCTTGAATGTTTTGGGTTTTGTGATTTTTTTTTTTTTGAGATGAAGTCTCGCTCTGTTGCCAGGCTGGAGTGCAGTGGTGCGATCTCGGCTGACTGCAGCCTCTACCTCCTGGGTTCAAGTGATTCTCCTGCCTCAGCCTCTTTGAGTAGCTGGGACTACAGGCGCATGCCGCCACGCGCAGCCAATTTTTATATTTTTAGTAGAGATAGGGTTTCGCCACGTTGGCCAGGCTGGTCTGGAACTCTTGACCTCAAGTGAGCCGCAGCCTCCTAAAGTGCTGGGATTACAGGTGTGAGCCAACACACCCGGCCTAAAGATTTAATAGGACTTTACATACTTTGAGTATATGCAGAAAGGCTTAATTATTTTGCTAGGTTTTTAATTTAATCATTTTTATTAACTATATCAAAAGCTGGGTAGTAAAAATGTGATAAAAGGAAGTAAGATGTCAACATTTAAATTAAGATGGGGGAAGATTTGGATAATGAGCAGGAATATTGACTGAAGTAAGGATTTTTTTTTTTTTGAGACAGAGTTTCACTCTGTTGCCCAGGCTGGAGTGCAGTGGCGCACTCTCGGCTCACTGCAGGTTCCGCCTCCCAGGTTCACGCCATCATCCTGCCTCAGCCTCCCGAGTAGCTGGGACTACAGGCGCCTGCCACCGTGCCCGGCTAATTTTTATATTTTTAGTAGAGACGGGGTTTCCCCGTGTTGGCCAGGCTGGCGTTGAACTACTGACCTCAGGTGATCTGCCGGCCTCTGCTTCCCAAAGTGCTGGGATTACAGGCATGAGCCACTGTGCCCGCCTGAAGTAAGGATTTTTGTTTGCTTCTGGATTTAATTATTTCTTTGATTCCTAACCCAGGGCAACATTTGGAATCTTTTAAGTTTCATAAATACTTTTTAAACTGGTACCCTGGGATTATCTTGTCACTATATATATGTGTATATATATTTTTGTTTTTTGAGACAAAGTCTTGTTCTGTGGCCCATTCTGGAGTGCAGTGGCACAATCATGGCTCACTGCAACCTTGAACTCCTGGGCTCAGGCAGTTCTTCCACCCCAGCCTCCTGAGTAGCTGGAACTATAGGCATGCATCACCATGCCCAGCTAACTTATTTTTATTTTTATTTTTTGTAGAGACAGTGTCTGGCTGTGTTGCCCAGGCTGGTCTCGAACTCCTGGGCTCAAGTGATTCTCCTGCTTCAGCCTTCCAAAGTGTTGGGATTACAAGTGTGAGCTACCACGCCCAGCCTTTGTTCTTTTTTTTTTTTTTCAGTGCCTATAATCTAGAAAGTCTCTTTTAGGGTTTAATTCATAATCATTTTACCTGCTCTCTGATGTTACAAAAAGGGCTAAGTTCTTAAACTGGTAATGGTCTGAGGCATTCAGTGCTTATGGGTGTTCAGGTGATATTTGTTGAGTGGCAGAAATTTCAGATCATTTTGGCTTTTAATGCTCTTAAGAGGAATTGAGGATTTGGACATAAAAGTCATACCTAATTAGAATCTGTTAATAACCCTTGAAGCTGTTATGTTTTAACAGTGCTTTCTGTTCCACCTCTCAGAATTGCCTAAGGAGGTGCCAGAAAAGCTTCCAGAGGCTGCTGATTTTGGAACTACGTCTTCTCTGCATTTTGTCCACATGAGAGGATTACCTTTCCAAGCCAATGCCCAAGACATTATAAACGTGTGTGGCAGTAAGATATCCAATCTCAATAGATTTGAACAAAAGTTCTAAAATTGAACTTGTATTAATTTGGGGAAGGTAGAGAAGAAAATATAGTGTTTCTGCGTTGGATAGTAAGATGGCATCTTCCTGGTTGCAAAGCTTGCTTCTTTTTCTGTAGCTGAAAAGTGTGGCTTGGTATTACTTTTTTTTGTGACAGAGTCTCGCTCTGTCGCCCAGGCTGGAGTGCAGTGGAGTGAACTTGGCTCACTGCAACCTCTGCCTCCCGGGTTCAAGCATTTCTTCCGCCTTGGTCTACCGAGTAGCTGGGATTACAGGCAGGCGCCACCATGCCCGGCTAATTTTAGTATTTTCAGTAGAGATGGGGTTTCACCATGTTGGCCAGGCTGGTTTTGATCTCCTGACCTCAAGCGATCCACTGTCCTCGGCCTCCCAAAGTGTTGAGATTACAGGTGTGAGCCACCATGCTCGCTGAGAGCAGATATTTGAAATGTCACTTTGAGTTCTGAGAAAAAGTAAAAAGCCAGAAGACATACTAGATATATAAATATATTACTGCTTAAAAAGATTTCCTAAAAAGAAATGTATCAAGTGTATGAATCAAAGTCTGAAAGAAAGATGAAGAGCCACCAGACTTCTAGGTAGGTTTACATCCATCATGTTCCTCTTGACTGCCTTTGTTTGTCGTTTAGTTTTTTGCTCCACTCAAGCCTGTTAGAATCACCATGGAATACAGCTCCAGTGGGAAGGCCACTGGAGAAGCTGATGTGCACTTTGAGACCCATGAGGATGCTGTTGCAGCGATGCTCAAGGATCGGTCCCACGTTCGTAAGTCCTGCCTTTGGCTTTTGTTGTCATTTTTGATGCTTGTCTTTGCTTACAAATATCTTTTTCTGTTTTGGGATTGTAGAATTTTTCCTTGAGAAATTTGTATTCTTTTAGTACTAGTAAATTAAACGTAACAGATAAAACACTATATTATAATTTAAAAAATTTTGTCTGCTAATTATCCTGCAAATCTCTTTCTTTCTTTTTTTTTTGTCACCCACGCTGGAGTGCAGCGGTGCCATCTCGGCTCACCGCAGTCTCAGCCTCCTGTGTTCAAGCAATTCTCCTGCCTCAGCCACCTGAGTAGCTGGGATTACAGGTGCCTGGCACCGTGCCTGACTAATTTTTCTATTTTTAGTAGACACAGGTTTCGCCATGTTGGCCAGGCTGGTCTCGAACTCCTGGGTTCAAATGGTCCACCTGCCTCGACCTCCCAAAGTGCCGGGATTACAGGCATGAGCCACCGCATCCAGCCTGTTTGTCCATTTTACATTTTGTTTGTTTGTGGTTGTTTGAGACGGAGTCTTGTCTGTCGCCCAGTCTGTAGTGCAGTGGTATGATCTCAGCTCACTGCAACCTCCGCCTCCTGGGTTCAAGTGATTGTCCTGCCACAGCCTCCCGAGTAGCTGGGACTATAGGCACCCACCACCACACTGGCTAATTTTTGTATTTTTAGTAGAGATGGGGTTTCGCTACATTGGCCAGGCTGGCTTGAACTCCTTACCTCAGGTGATCCTCCCACTTCGGCTTCCCAAAGTACTGGGATTACAATAGGCGTGAGCCACCGTGTCTGGCCTAAATTTTGTTTTTAATTAGGGAAAGGAAAGGGCAAAGGGTTTGAGTTGCTGTCTGAACTGTGAGAAAAATGGCTGTAATATTTTTCTACCTTTTCAACTTTTTAAAACTAATCTTTCTCATTATCCTCAGATCATAGGTATATTGAACTGTTCCTGAATTCATGTCCAAAAGGAAAATAAGACTCTAGGGGCTCCAGATAATAAGGTAAATTTAAGAGGTAATACTGTGGGCTGGGTGCAGTGGCTCACACCTGTAATCCCAGTACTTTGGGAGGCCAAGGTGGGCGGACCACCTGAGGTCAGGAGTTCAAGCCAGCCTGGCCAACATGGTGAAACCCTGTCTCTACTAAAAATACAAAAATTAACCGAGCATGATGGTGGGTGCCTGTAATTCCAGCTACTCAGGAGGCTGAAGCGGGAGAATCACTTGAACCCGGGAGGCAGCGGTTGCAGTGAGCTGAGATTGTGCCACTGCACTCCAGCCTGGGCAACAGAGCGAGACTCAAAAAAAAAAAAAAAAAAGAGAGAGATACAACTGTGGAAATTATTTGCTATTGATAAACTAATAATCATTCACTCACTAATTTGTAATATGGTAGAAACCATTCTCTTTTTATTTTTCAAATTTTTTTAGGGACTAGGTCTTGCTCTGTTGCCCAGGCTAGCAGTGGTGCGATCATAGCTCACTGCAGCTTCAACCTTCTGGGCTCAGGTGATTCTCTCACTTCAGCCTCCCAAGTAGCTGGGACTACAGGTGTGTACTACCATGCCTACCTAATTTTTTAATTTTTTGTAGAGATGGGGTCTCACTATGTTGCCCAGGCTGGCCTTGAACTTCTGGCCTTAAGTGATCCTGCTGCCTTTGCCTCCCAAAGTGTTGGAATTACAAGAGTGAGCCACCCCGCCTGGCACCATTCCTTTTTAATAAAGATCAAACTAATGATAATTGAAGTGTCAATATAAGGAATGAAAATTCTCGCTCTGGCTTCTCAGATGTGGGGGGCAAAAAAAAAAAAAGAAAATTCTGCTGGGAAATAGAATTAATTATGATATTTTTTCATTTTTTTTAAATTTTATTTTATTTATTTATTTATTTTTTGTGAGATGGAGTTTCACTCTTGTTGCCCAGGCTGGAGTGCAATGGCTCGATCTCCACTCACTGCAACTTCCACCTCCCGGGTTCAAGAGATTCTCCTGCCTCAGCCTCCCAAGTAGCTGGGATTACAGGCATGCACCACCACGCCCAGCTAATTTTTGTATTTTTAGTAGAGACGGGGTTTCTCCATGTTGGTCATGGCTGGTCTTGAACTCCTGACCTCAGGTGATCCGCCTGCCTCGGCCTCCCAAAGTGCTGGGATTACAGGCGTGAGCCACTGTGTCCGGCCTACTTTTTATTTTTTTTGAGACAGAGTCTTGCTTTGTTGAGCAGACTAGATTGCAGTGATGCAGTCTGGGCTCACTGCAAACTCCGCCTCCTGGGTTCAAGTGATTCTCCTGCCTCAGTCTCCCGAGTAGCTGGGACTGCAGGTGCCCGCCACAATGCCTGGCTAATTTTTTTGTATTTTTAGTAGAGATGAGGTTTCACCATGTTGGCCAGGCTCATCTTGAACTAACTCCTGGCCTCAAGTGATTTACCTGCCTTGGCTTCCCAAAGTGCTGGGATTACAGGAGTGAGCCACTGCTCCCAGCCATAATTCCTTATGATTTATATGGTAGCTTTGAGCATTATCTCCATATAGAATTTTTATGCATAATTTCCAACATCATGCTGTTTGCCAAAAAATAGCCACCTTTAGTAGCTATAAATCGTAATAGACTGGATATGTGACTTGCATTAGCTTTTTTTCCCCACTTAAATTTAAACACGTTTTCCATTTTCTCAGGTTACTTTTGTTTTTTTTTTTTTTTTTTTTTTGATATGAAATCTCACTCTTTTTGCCCAGGGTGAAGTGCAGTGGCACAATCTCAGCTCACTGCAACCCCTGCCTCCCGGGTTCAAGTGATTCTTCTGCCTCAGCCTCCCAAGTAGCTAGGATTACAGGCATTCTCTACCACATCCAGCTAATTTTTGTATATTTAGTAGAGACGGGGTTTCACCATGTTGGCCAGGCTGGTCTCAAACTCCCGACATCCAGTGATCCGCTAGCCTCAGCCTCCCAAAGTGCTGGGATTACAGGTGTGAGCCACCACGCCCAGCCATTTTCTGTTTTAAGGTATTTTTAAAAGGATACCATGTGAAACCAGAGTGTATCATCCATAAACACAGTTAATGTGCCACTGTTTCCTTTTCCTAAAATGGCATTTTTTTTTTGCCTTAGGAAGTACATAATTTTATAGTGTTAACCTACCCGTGAGATTTGCTTAATACATCTTGATGTTCCTTGCCTCGATTAAATATATGGTGTCTTTTTTTTTTCCCATAAGGTATTGTAAGTATTACTGTTGTATTGCAGTCACTTTTCTACAGGTAATGGCTCATTCTTTTGAGACACTTACCTGTAATGATTTCTTGAAAACACATGGGGCCAGGCATGGTGGGTTACTCCAGTAATCCCATTACTTCAGGAGGCTGAGGCAGGCAGATCACCTGAGGTCAGGAGTTTGAGACCAGCCTGGCCAAAATGGCGAAACCCTGTCTCTCCTAAAAATACAAAAATTAGCTGGGTGTGGTGGTGCATGTCTGTAGTTCCAGCTACTGGGAAGGCTGAGGCAGGAGAATCACATGAATCTGGGAGGCGGAGGTTGCAGTGACTGAGATGGTGCCACTGCACTCCACCAGCCTGGATGACAGAACGAAACTCTGTCTCAAAAAAAAAAAAAAAAAAGGAACAAAAAAACACGGACATTCATTCTATTACTATATCCTATTCTATTGCTTTTTTTTTTTTTTTGGGAGACGGAGTCTCTCTCTGTCGCCCAGGCTGGAGTGCAGTGGTGTGATCTCCGCTTACTGCAACCTCCGCCCCCCGGGTTCAAGCGATTCTCCTGCCTCAGTCTATGAAGTAGCTGGGGCTACAGGCGTATGCCACCATGCCCGGCTAAGTTTTGTATTTTATTTTTATTTATTTATTTTTTGAGACGGAGTTTCTCTCGTTGCCCAGGTTGGAGTGCAATGGCACAGTCTCAGCTCACTGCAACCTCTGCCTCCTGGGTTCAAGTGATTCTCCTGCCTCAGCCTCCCCAGTAGCTGGGATTACAGGCATGCGCCACCACACCCGGCTAATTTTTTATTTTTGTGGAGACGGGGTTTCTTTATGTTGGCCGGGTTGGTCTCGAACTCCTGACCTCAGCTGATCTGCCCGCCTCAACCTCCCAAAGTGCTGGGATTACAGGCGTGAGCCACCGTGCCTGGCCTCTTCTGTTGCTATTTTTGGATATGAAGTCCCACAATTCTTTGGTGTTAAATATTTATAATAGCTAAAATCTATTTAAAATATATTCTGAAACTCAGTTTTTTGTACCAGCCTGTAAACACTAATGCCTGACTAGTTTTCCTCACTTTAACTCGGTTTATCAGATAGCTTGCACTAAATTAGAAAGGAGAAAAATTTGAATTTGCAATTTTAAATGGTATGGGAATGTGTGCCATCCTTTTTCATCTTGAGTAAATGTACAATATTTTTTGTTTTATTTTTAGGGTGAAGCAAGAAGCATTTCATTTGCACATCTTTCTTGGACTTGGGATATACAGTTCCAGTTTATTAGCAGCAACTGCTAGGGAAATGATTTTGGTGTTTTGGGTTAATTGCTTCTAAGAAAAGTTTCATAGTGGACTGTTTAGAAGAAGAAATGAAAGATCCAGTTTGGGATTATGAAATAAACCACAAATTAAAATTTTTGTTTAAACTGTCCAGGATCTGATTTAAAAATATGGTCTTTGTTTTATATGATTAAATGGTTTGTTTTCATAGATGATATGTTACTCATTGTAAAGACCACATATTTTTATTCAGCAGTGTTCTTTAAACGGTTTCATTTAAAAAGTAACTTTTTTTTTTTGCCTGTGAATTGAGTGCTCTGATGTAAAACTTC
The DNA here is from genome assembly GCF_000001405.40 of Homo sapiens. Lineage (NCBI taxonomy): Eukaryota > Metazoa > Chordata > Mammalia > Primates > Hominidae > Homo > Homo sapiens. The sequence continues at coordinate 70,820,466 of NC_000004.12, read as the reverse complement.
TCATGGAGTGAAACAGTGATTTATTTTAACCAAACATTCACCAAAGCAAAGAACGGTTTCAGACCTTTGAACTGGTATGGTTTGGCAGAATAGTTTTAAATTTTGCTGTATTTGATTACTTAGAGATAGGAATTTTTAAAAATCAAAACAAAAAATACCACAGCTTAGTGTAAATGACAATTTGGCGGTTTTATGTCTTTAGAAATGTTTTGCCTTTCTAAGCCTTGTGCTAAAGGCGTATAACGGTGGTGCCTATCTACTTAAGGGGGCATTCTAGTCTTAACTTAAAAGTTGTCTAAACTGTCCCTCCCTGGCTTTTTTTGGTTTGGGGTAGACCTAAGGGTGTTTGTTAGTCTCAAAACTGTGAAGTGACATGTCAGAACAGTCCAGACTGGTAAGAAAATTAATGGCTTCACTTGAATTTAAACCAGCTCTAGATAGGAAAAAAATCAGTCTCCTCATTTGCTTTTTAAATGGAGTAGTACATCCCATATTTTAGAACAAGTAGGGGTGCCTTGCTTAAATAAAAATAGCATTTAATGTATAATTGTGTGAAGGGTTTATGGATAAAGCTGTACTTCTGTCACAATGTGGCAGTACTTTCTGCTTTAATATTAAACAGCTTGTTATTTAAATATTGGACAAAATGGCTGGCTTCAAAATATAGTCATTAATAAACTAACTTTATGTGCACCTGTGTAGGAGAATCAAAATCCTGTATGCTTTCTTTGCCTTGTTCCTGTTCTCAGGGTGACGACTGCCACCAGGAGATGCAGTTCTAGTTCTTAAAATTAAATTTGCCCAGGTTTCTGACAGGTGATACCTGGAAGAGAGACTATGTCTTCTCTTACTTAATACATAACCATCTTTGATTACCAGCTAAGATGCGAAATCACTGTACTGTAGTCAATAAATGAAGACTTGTTTCAGGCTGAAGATTACCTAAGAGTATTTATTATTGGAGTCTGTGAGTCAACTGAATATATTATTACCTCAAGTCCTGCTATATTAATATAAGTAGTAAGGGTTAATTTTCGTGTGTGTGTTCTCTAAAATCCTGTGAACATGACTTAACCAGCTTAACATCATCAGTAGTACTGCCTAGATGGAAATGCGTTTTCATATATGGTTGAATATGCCAAGCTATGAGAACTGGTATCTGTAGTTGTACGAACTATTAGAATGTGATCTTTGTTGCTCTTTCACATTTGGTATCTGATTTGCTGTGGAAAAGATCTGTGGGGCCTACTGTGAGGAATTCATCTGCAATTGATTTAAGCTAATGAGTTTTATTTGCACATCTCTGGAAAAAGAATGCAAGCAAAGCATTAAAATGCTATATGATGGATGGGTAAGGTTGAAAGGATATATCTTCTTGGCACGCTACAGGCTGAGTTTTCTGTACAAAATGTGGCCATTATTGGGAAATCATTTTATGTATTTGAATGCTCCCTTTTGTTTTTGTTCATGATCTAGGCTAGTACGTAAGTGATTGCTAAGGTGGATGTAGTTATGGGAAAGGAAGAGAAGCACATAATACAGTAAAAGTAATCTTATTTCCATGCAAGTGGAAGACGGTACCGTCTCCCCACATTTGAGAAGACTGTTTTGCATCACTCTTTGCTATTGAAGGAAGCAGTGATGGTGAATTTCCTTCTGTTTGGGTTCCTTGTGTCTATAACTTCCTTTGTGGTAAAGCCATCAGGAAGAATAGTGGGAGTGGGGCATATGGTCAGGGTGCTCATATCCTGCTTTAGCCTAGCTGCTGCTTACGGAGTGCAAGGGAGAACTCTGAGAAGCAGTATGTAAATACCAGGGAGCTGATTGCTGAATATTGTGGTCTCATCTGAATATTGTGGTCTCATCTAAATATTGACACCAGGCAATGAAGCAGAAATAGAGTATGTGTCCCTTTATGCGTGGGTAACTTAAGCTTCTGTCATGTGGGAAGGGGGACCGAATCTTCCCTGGGAGGAAGGCTCCAAATTCTCACTACTTCTGTGTTACTTGAAGGGGGAAGCATAAGGAACCCAGTTTGAAGGCAACATTGTGTGCCATGAATCTGCTTATTAATCAACATGCCTTGTTAATGTCCTCTGCCCTGAACAGCCCTTACTCAGTTCTCATTTGGAAAGTTATTTTTTGGGGTTACATCCTGTTTGTTTCAGAATTTAAAACCCTCCATGGTGGGTCACTTGAGGTCAGGAGTTCAAGATTAGCCTGGCCAACTTAGTGAAACTCCGGCTCTACTGAAAATGCAAAAATTAGCCAGGTGTGGCACACGCCTGTAATCCCAGTTACTTGGGAGGCCAAGGCAGGAGAATCGCTTGAACCTGGGAGGCAGAGGTTGTAGCGAGCCAAGATCACACCATTGCACTCCAGCCTGGGCAACAGAGTGAGACTCTGTCAAAATCAAAAAAACCAAAATACAAAAAACTCCATTGTTCTGAGAGTTTCCCCTAAATTATCGGAAGACACTCACATTGAATTGGTAGGACCTATAGTATAGAGGAGAATGGTATGTATGTCAGCAGTAGAGTTCCAATCCAAATTGCGCTATCGCATTAGAAATACATTACCCTCCCACTCCCCAAGTTCAGCAAATTAGAAGAGAATCTGAAGTTTGTAGGAAGGGAATAAAGCTGCTATAAACATTTATGTGCAGGTTTTTGTGTAGACTCGTTTTCAGCTCCTTTGGGTAAATACCAAGGAACCAGGTTGCTGGATTGTAAGTTAAGAGTATGTTTAGTTTTGGAAGAAACTGCCAAACTGTTCCAACATGACTATTTTGAATTCCCATTGACAATGAATAAGAGTTCCTGTAGCTCCTCACCCTCATTAGTATTTGGTGATGTCACTCTTGCATTTTAGCTAATGGGTGAATAGTGGTCTCATCGTTTTAATTCCCAATCCCATAGTGATGTGGAGCACCTTTTCATATACTTAATCTGCCATCCTTATATCATCATTGGTGAGGTGTCTGGATTTTCTGTCCAGAATTTTAGTTCTAGTGGTTTTCTTATTTTTAGAAAGGAAGTATAGGAAGGAAGGTTTAATCTGTCTTAAGCCTGATTATATGAAAATCAAGAATAGGCTAGGTGTGGTGGCTGACATCTGTAATCCCCGCACTTTGTGAGGCTGAAGTGGGAGGACTGCTTGAGCCTGGGAAGTCAAGCCTGCAGTGAGCCATGACTGTTGCTGCACTCCAGCCTGAGTGACAGAGTGAGACCCTGTCTCAGAAAAAAAAAAAGCAGGCTCATTTTAAAGTTGTTTATATTTTATTTTTTGAAGGAAATAAACTTGAAGAGATACAAACGGTAGTGAAGATTCTCCTTCCCCTCCTGTAATTCAGCTGTTTAGTTTCTATTCTCGCACAGCCCTGTTATCAGTTTCTAGTGTAAGCTTGCAGTGACTTTTACTTTATTTATAAGCAAGTGTTAGTGGGTGTTGTCATTTCTTTTAAAAATATAAATTATACTGTACATGCTATTTTGTATTTTGGCTTTTCTCCCACCTAAACACCCTAAAGATCATTTTCTGTCAGTATATAAAATCTTGGTGATGCCAATACCCATCCCTTAGATTGTACAAGCAGCATTTTGCCATGCTTTATCCCATAGCCTGCCTCCTGCAGTCTCATCTTTTTTTCTATATGCATGTCCAAGTAAGTTGTAGACATTTTTCACTTTTAATCCTTTCAGCATACATGTCATGGGAATTTGTTTTTGTTTTTGTTTTTTGTGTTTGAGACAGTCGCTCTGTCACCCAGGCTGGAGTTATAGTGACGTGATCCCAGCTCATTACAGCCTCCACCTCCCAGTTTCAAGCAATTCTCATGCCTCAGATTCCCGAGTAGCTGGGATTACAGATGTGCACCACCACGCCTGACTAATTTTTGTATTTTTAGTAGAGATGGGGTTTCATCATGTTGGCCAGGCTGGTCTGGAACTCCTGGCCTCCAGTCATTTGCCTGCCTCGGCCTCCCAAAGTGCTGGGATTACAGGCATCAGCCACCACACCCAGCCGTCATTGGAGTTTTTTTGAGGGAGATTTGCAGTAAGGTGAATAAATGTTAAGTGTATCATTTGATGAGGTTTTTTCTTTTTTTTTTTTTTTTTTTGAGATGGAGTCTTGTATCGCCCAGGCTAGAGTGCAGTGGCCTGGTCTTGGCTCACTGCAACCTCCACCTCCTGGGTTCAAGGGAGTCTCCTGCCTCAGCCTCCCGAGTAGCTGGGATTACAGGTGTGAGCCACCATACCCAGACTCATTTGATGAGTTTTGATGTAAAAGCATGTAACTCAAACCCCTATGTCTGGAACATCTGTATTACATCTGAATTTTTTCACCTAGTCAATTCCTGCACCTCTCTCTCCTGTCCCTTCTTCCCTCCCCTGGCAGTCAGCTACTGTTAGGATTTTGTTCACTGTAGATTAATTTTGCCTATTCTAGAACTTCATATAACGGACTCACTTATGCAGTATGTATTCTGTAAGTTCCTTTTACTCAGCATGTTTGTATGTTCATCAGTGTGTTTAAGCTTTGTTCCTTTTTATGGCTGAGCAGTGTTCTATGTATGAATGCCACATTTTAACGTTTCACCTGTTAGGTGAACAACTAACTGGTGAACAATGGGCTGTTTCTAGTTTGGGGCTATCATGAATAAAGTTGGTATGAACATGTACAACCTTTTTGTGAACCTACATTTTAATTTAATTTAATTTGGATAAGTATTTAGGAGTGAGATTATCCTGAGTTGATGTATTTTAAATTTTACTAGAAGACGACAAACCTTTTCCTAAATGGTTATCCTGGTTTACATTCCCAGAGTTCTAGTAGGTCCATATCCTTACCATTTGCTGTTGTCAGTCTATAATTTTAGCCATTGTGTAGTGGTATCTTCTGGTTTTAATTTGCATTCCCTGACAATGAATAGTACTTTTTCATAAGCTTACTAGCCATTTGGATATCTTTAGTAAAGTTGAAGTGTCTGTTTCTTCTCTTATTCAGGATGTTTTGCCATCCATTTATTTTTTTCTTATTTGCTGAAGAAATAAGATTAACCTGTAGGTTTCCATAATCTGAGTTTGGCTGATTGCCTTTGTGTGATGTTTATTAACCGCTTTTCTATTGGCTTTGGTCTTTTAACTAATCTGCAGGAGTACTTTGTTCCTATAGTGAGCTTTAAATACCTTTTCCCCCCAGTTTGTCCTCTTTGTTTGCTCATGATGGCAGAAACTATTTTTACATCGCTGAATTCTTAAATCTCCCCTTTTATAGTTTCAAGGTTTTATGTCAGCATTAGAACATCTTAGTGAAATGGTTCTGAAAGCACTTGGGGATAAAGCATGAAGGTGTATAACCAAAGTAGACTCTAGAATATGGATGGATTCATTGAAGGTCACAAGGATCACCAAGATATGTTTAAGAATCTTAATTTGAAGCCCACAGGCAAAATTTAACAAGTTTATTCAAAGACTTGTGATTTGAAAACATACCTGGTTATGGCCTGGCTTGGTGGCTCATTCCTGTAATCCCAGCACTTTGGGAGGCCGAGGTGGGCGAATCACCTGAGGCCAGGAGTTCGAGACTAGCCTGGCCAACATGGTGAAACCCTGTCTGTACTAAAAATATAAAAGTTAGCCGGGTGTGATAGTGCATGCCTATAATCCCAGCTACTTGGGAGGCTGAGGAGAATTGCTTGAACCAGGGAGGCAGAGGTTGCAGTGAGCCGGGATCACGCCACTGCACTCCATCCTGGGCAACAGAGTGAGACTCCGTCTCAAAAACAAAAACAAACAAAAATACCTGGTTATGATGGAAATAAAGAGGTTCTGAACCTTTGCTGCTGCTGCTTGACAGAAGATGGCAGACATTTGGGAATAAAGACCAAGAGCTAGGGAGACAAGTTATTAACAGTTTCTGATGGGCTGGCTGTTGATTCATTCATTTCTTGCCTCCTCAAGAAAGCAAGATGGGGCTGAGCATGGTGGCTCACACCTGTAATTCTAGCACTTTGGGAGGCCGGGGCAGGTGGATCACCTGAGCTTAGAAGTTTGAGACCAGCCTGGGCAACATGGTGAAACCCATCTCTACCAAAAATACAAAAACTAGCTAGCCATGGTGGCTCACGCCTGTAGTTCCAGCTACTCAGGAGGCTGAGGTGGGAGTATCACTGGAGCCTGGGAAGTGGAAGCTGAGATCACACAGGTTACACCACTGCACTCCAGCCTGGGTAACAGCAAGACAAAAATAAATTGCGGAATACGAGCAATGTTATGCTAGAAGAACATAGTATTTGTGATAGATGTTGTAATTGAATATGAATGATACTTTATTTTTTCTTAACTTTACCTTCCACCAGCTCACTCCATGAATGATACTTTTGTGCCATAAAGCAGCATCCAGAATGCTAAGTCATTACTGCTTTCTGGAGACTTGTACAGCTTTTTCACTGTACTTGCCCTTGCCCTTTGGAAGCCTGAGTTACCTCTTCTTTTCCATGCTTAATTAAGTCTTAGGGATCTGATATCCTCAGTGATGCTTACAACCGCTTGCTGGATTTTTTTTTTTTTTAAATATAGGGTCTCACTCTGTCGCCCAGGTCGGAGTGCAATAGCGCAATCTTGGCTCACTGCAACCTCTGCCTCCTGGGTTCAAGCGATTCTCCTATCTCAGCCTCCCGAGTAGCTGGTATTACAGGCATGTGCCACCACGCCAAGCCAATTTTTGTACTTTTAGTAAAGATGGGGTTTCACTACATGACTGGCCTCGAACTCCTGGCCTCAAGTGATCTGCCTGCCTCGGCCTGCCAAAGTACTGGGATTACAGGTGTGAGCCACTGCACCTGGCCTACTGGTTCTATTTTTAAATTAATTTTACATTTCAAGATAATTCACTGACTAAAGTTTGTGCCACTTATTCTAGGTGTAGAAATTGTGCTTGTCAGATACGTGGTTTCTGATTTGGTATATTGACTGGCATGCTTACAAGAATCTTTATACCAAAGTAGTGTGTTAACATCAAAATTAATCTGTTCCCAGCATGGGAGACCTGTCATCGATGACAGTTCCCAAACCAGCTATTGTCTAAGAATTATTAAGATTTGACTTGGGATAACTTTTTGGGTAATATATTAGGCTAAGTTAATTTGAAGGAAGTTTTACTGTAAATCAAAACAGGACCACTAAACTACTGAAATATAATTATTTAAAAACCGCCCCCATTTTTTGGTGAACAAAGCTGAAATGAGGCTGTAATGGAGAACCTCCTTTCACAGAATGGTTAAATGTCCTTTAAGAGTTTCATCATATGTTTTTATAACTTGACTTATAGTGAATGAACTAAGGACTTTGTCATAGTTCCGATCTGCTTATCAACCTTGCAAAACTTGGAGTCTATTTGGAAATAAGTAAGAACTCAAACTGCATTTAGGGATGAGTTCAGTCAGGTTCTATAGGGTTAGACCTATACTTGCTTTGAGTATGAAAGCACAATTTTTTAATATATAAACTTTATTTTAGAGTAGTTTTAGATCACTGGGTGTGGTGGCTCGTACCTGTAATCCCAGCACTTTGGGAGGCTGAGTCGGGCGGATCATGAGGTCAGGAGTTTGAGACCACCCTGACCAACATGGTGACACCCCATCTCTACTAAAAATACAAAAAATTAGCCGGGCATGGTGATGCGTGCCTGTAATCCTAGCTACTAAGGAGGCTGAGGCAGGAGAATTGCTCGAACCCGGGAGGCAGAGGTTGCAGTGAGCCGAGATTGCGCCATTGCACTCCAGCCTGGGCGACAGAGTGACACTCCATCTCAAAAAAAAAACAAAGTTTTAGATCTACAGAGACATTGCAAAAAGAGTACAGAGTTCCTGTATACGCCTCACCCACCTGTATACCTATTGTTAGTATCCTACATTACTGCAGGATATTTGTCACAACTAAGGAACCAAATTTGATACATTACTATTAACTAAATCCCACAGTTCAGATCTTTAGTTTTTTTCCAAATATTATTTTCATTCCAGGATCCCACAATTACATTCAGTTATGTCTCTTTAACCACCTCAGATGTTTTTGTTTTTAATGACTTCAGATTCCCAACCTTTTTAACTTTTTTCACGTCAGATGGGTAATGTCCTGATGTAACAAGGTGTGAAGGAGGCACATCTCACACAGAAGTGTGAAAGCCCAGTCGTCACGCTTATGAACTACAGAAGGATCCCAGACTTGTTTTTGATGACCATGACAGTGTTAAGGGGTACTAGCTGGTTTTGTAGAATGTTCGTAAGGTGAGGTTTTCTGATTGTTTTCCTTCTGGTCTTAGGAGGAAGACCACAAAGGGGCATTTTCATCACATCAAGGGTGCATATTTTTAATAGGGCTTATCACTCATTATATTAATACAAATTTTGATCACCTGGCCAAGATAGTGTTTGCCAGGTTACTATAAATTTTTTTTCTTCTTTACATATTGTACTCTTAAAGCAAGTTACTAAGCACAATCCATACTCGAAAGGTGGAGAGTTAAGCTCTATCTCCTTGAAGTGGTGAGGGGCGGGGGGTATCTACATAATTATTTGGGCTTTTTCTGTATAGGAGAGATGCTACCGCTCCATCAGGTCATATACACACATGGACTCATGGGTACTTACTTTATCCTTTGGGTTATAATCCTAAGGTGCATTATTTACTTTGTTGCTGAGATTTGTTTCATCTTTGGCCATTGGGCATTCTATCAGTTGGCTCCTGTGTCCCTTTCACATGCCTACATCCTTGTTTGTGGAACACTTCTTTACTTTCTGGCACTACAAGATGCCCTAGACCCAGAATCAGCCATTTCTCTAGGGAGCCCTGATTCCTTTTCTTGGAGAATGGTATTAGAAAACAAGATCTGGGCATTGGATGTACCCGTTGCTGCTGGCATGTCTGCTGCTAGGCCCTCTCAGTGAACAGAGATATATGCCTGTGTAATAACCCAAATAGACACACATAATTGTAATTACTTTCTGAATCCTTCCGGAAAACACAATTTTTTTTAAACTAGTAAAATATACATAAAACTTGCTGTTTTAACCATTTGTAAGCGTACATTTCTGTGGCATTAAGTGCATTCACATTGCTGTGCAACCATTACCACCATCTGTCACCAGAATTTTTCATCTTCCTCCAACACAAACTGTACCTATTAAACACTGACTCCCCATTCTGCTCTTCCTTAAGCCCCTGGGAACCATCATTTTACTTTATGCTTTGACTATTCTAGGTACTTAGTGTAAATGGAGTCATACAATATTTGTCCTATGTATGACTGGCTTATTTCACTTATCATGTCCTTAAGTTTCATCTATGTTGTAGCATGTGTCAGAATTTGTTCTTAAAGCTGAATAATATTCAATCGTATGCATATACCAAATTTTGTTTACCCATTCATCCATTGATGGATACCTGGGTTGTCTCTACCTTTCAGCTATTTTGAATAATAGGGCTGTAAACACTGGTGTACAAGTATCTGTATAAGTTCCTGCTTTGAATTCTTTGGGGTATATACCCAGAAATGGATTTGCTGGATTATATATGCTAATTGTTTTTTTTTCTTTTTTAAGAAATCACCATACTGCTGTACCATTTTACATTCCCACCAACTGTATACATGGGTTCCAGCTTCTCTATGTCCTTGTCAACACTTGTTCTGCTTTTTTGATAATAGCCACCTTAATAGGTTTATAAAGTGGTATCTCATTGTGGTTTTGATTTGTACACTTCCCCAGTGATTACTGATGTTGAGCTTTTCTGTACTTATTGGACATTTCTATATCTTTTTGCAAGAAGTGTCTATTCAAGTACTTTGCTCATTTTTTTCAGGCTTTTTATTGTTGCAGGATTTATTTGCAAATGTTTTCGCCCATTCCTTGGGTTGCCTTTTCATTCTGCTGATAGTGTCCCTTGATGCACAAATTTTTAATTTTGCTGAAGTCCAATCTGTTTTTCCTTTTGTTGCCTGTGCTTTTGGTCATACCCAGGAAATTACTGCTAAATCCAATGTCATGAAGCTTTTCCATTTTTTTTTTTCTTTTTGAGATTGAAAAAAAAGACAGGCTGCTTTTTTCTGTCTTTTCTTGCTCCGTCGCTCAGGCTGGAGTACAATAGCGCAATCGCGGCTCACTACAACCTCCGCCTCCCACATTCACGCAATTCTCCTGCCTCAGCCGCCTGAGTAGCTGGGATTACAGGTGCCCACCACCACACCTGGCTAATTTTTGTATTTTTAGTAGAGACGGGGTTTCACCATGTTGGCCAGGCTGGTCTCCAACTCCTGACCTCAGGTGATACACCTGCCTCGGCCTCCCAAAGTGCTGGGATTGCAGGCATGCACCACCACACGGGGCCAATAATTCTTTTTCTTCTTTTTTAAAGAGTTTAATGATTCTAGCTCTCTTTTTTCTTCCAACCTTAGTGGATGGAGCTAGTTCTTGATGGATTTTAAGTTAATATTTGTATATGGTGTAAGGGTCCAACTTTTTTTTGTATGTAGATATCCAGTTTTCCCAACACCATTTGTTGAAAGGACCCTATTTTCTCCACTGAATGGTCTTGGCACCCCTGTCAAAAATCTGACTATATGTGTAAAGATTTACTTCTAGGCTCTTTATTCTATTCCATTGGTTTATATGCTAATTTTTATGCCAGTACCATACTGTTGGTTACTGTAGTTTTGTGTTAAATTTTGAGATCAGTAAGTGAAGACTTCCAACTTTGTTCTTTTTCAAGATTATTTTGAGTATCGGGGGGGGGGGTCTCTTGACATTCTGTATGAATTTTAGGATTGATTTTTCTATTTCTGCAGAAATGTTGGGATTTTCATAGGGACTATTGAATCTGTAGATTACTCTGGGTAGTATTGACATCTTAACAATATTTATTAAGTCTTTGACTCCATGAAAATATGATACTTTTTTTTCTTGGCCTCCCAAAGTGCTGGGATTACAGGTGCGGGCCACCGTGCCTGGTGAAAAACATACTTTTATGTCTTCATTTTGTATGGCAACATTTTGAAGTTTTCAATGTACAAGTCTTTGCCTCTTTGGTTCAGTTTATACTATTGTAAATGGTGAAAAGCACAATTGTAAAGGAAGACAGATAGGCATACCATTAAGTCAAGGTATTCATGACTTGGTCTCCTTGCTTTTATGGGAGGCTGCACTGTAACTAAAGATCTTTGGGACGTTGTAAATTTTTTTTTTTTTTTTGAGATGGAATCTCACTCTGTTGCCCAGGCAGAAGTGCAGTGGTGTGATCTCGGCTCACTGCAACCTCCGTCCTGGGTTCAAATGATTCTCCTGTTTCAGCCTCCCCAGTAGCTGGGATTACAGGTGCACACCACCACACCTGGCTAATTTTTGCATTTACTTATTTATTTAGTTAGTTAGTTAATTTATTTTAGTGGAGATGGGGCTTCACCACATTGGCCGGGTTGGTCTCGAACTCCTGACCTCACGTGATCTGCCTGCCTTGGCCTCCCAAAGTGCTGGGATTACAGATGTGAGCCACCGCGCCCAGCCTAAATTTTTTTAAGGCTAATATTTATGTGTAATTCTAAGTAAAGTATCAAGTGACTGTTCCTCCTTATATTGTGTTACAAAGATCTTTTCAAATTAATTTAAAATTAGTTATAAAATAACTTTCTAATTTAGGGCAACACTCCTGTAGTCCATTTTTGTGCCCCACATCATGTATAGCACCTAAAAGAGTGCTAGCTCATGTAGGTGGCCAAAAAATGAGAGTGAAGATTCAAAAAAGAAATGTTGTTATTTAGGGTAAAAAAAAAGACAATCATCAATCAACAAACTAGGCTGGAATTACTAGATTTTATTTTTCCCCAGAACTCTTAAACTTCAGCTTCACCAAGTAACAGGCTGACTTTTGGAATAACAACTCTTTCCCAGGCTGTTGTTAACTCTTTCCAAGAGACAGAATTTATTAAAAAACATGGTTCCAGGATATTTCCACCCCAGAATTCTAAATCAGTCACAGAATCATACCTTCTTAGGTCTTGATTAGAATGAAACAATCTATAGACACACGTAACAGAATCAAAATATTATGTAATGTTTTTTGCCTTCTCTTGCTCAATACACTTCCCTCTTTTCCCCCAAAGAGTTTGTTACTCAAAGATAGATAGATATGTAAGTAAGTACAGTCAGCCCTCCATATCCATGGGTTCTGCATCCATGGCTTCAACCAACTGCCAATCAAAAATATTCAGAAAAAGAAAAATTCCACAAAGTTCCAAAAAAGCAAAACTTGAATTTACTGAACACCAAGCACTATGTTGAATCCATGCAAATGAAGTGATGTGTAGGTATTTTATTAGGTATAAGTAATCATCTTCAGATGATTTAAAGTACACAGGAGGATGTATGTAGGTTATATGCAAATACCATATAACCCATTCTCTATAATGGGACTTGAGCACCCATGGATTCTGATATCAAGTTGGGTTCCTGGAACCAATCCCCCATGGATACCAAGGGATGACTGTATTGCCCTTTTCAAGAAAGCATCTATCAGCTCTCATTCGTGACTCACTCAGAATAAGGAATTCCTTATTCAAAAAACAATGTAAGTATTCCGAGCTAACTGTTCTCAGCCATGAACAAATTAAACTTGGCCAGGTGTGGTGGCTCATGCCTGTAATCTCGGCACTGTGGAAGTCAAGGTGGGAGGACTGCTTAAGCCCAGGAGTTTGAGACCAGGCTGAGCAACCAATGAGACCCCCTCCCCGGCCAAAAAAAAAAAAAAAAAGCCAGTCCCAGCTACTTGGGAGGCTAAGGTGGGAAGATTGCTTGAGGCCCGGGAGAACAGGGATTCAGTGAGCTGTGATTGCACTACTGCCCTCCAGCTTGTGCAACAGAGCAAGACCCTGTCTTAAGAAAACAAATTAAACTTATTTTACTCTATATTTGACTTTGCTTTAATCAATATCTTCTATTTGCAAAAGCCAAACCCTATTTTTAAAACTCCTTACAATTTCCATTATGACTTGGAAAGGAAGATGGAGGGAATGGGGAAGAGTTGGCTTGTTTTGTGGAAGGAGATTCTGAAAAGGGCAGTTATTTACTTTGAAGTCATAAAGTAGAAAAACAAATGTTCTTTTTTTTGATAATGAAAACCCTTGTAGGTAAAGACCAGAAAATTCTGGTCCTGAAATTATAACATATTACAATATTGTTTTTAATATATGCAGAATTTATATTACTTTTTAATTTCTTTTCCCTGAGATTGGGTTCACAGTTTGGTAGAAATACTTTAAAGAGGTAGTTAGCAGGGGTGAAGAGGAAACAATGTTTATACTAACAGCACCTGGAAAAATAAGTAACAACTGTCATTTTGATCTCAGCATCTACCTCTCCCCCTTGAATCTGCAAATGCTATAGAAGGAGATGATCATTTTCCTTTTTATTCTTATCTGCCTGGATTCTCTCTCCTATTAAATCCACCCCAGTATCACTAATCATAAAAATGAGTTGCCTTTCCAAAGATATGCTATAAAGCAAACCTTCAATATCAGGTTGTTTAGATTTAGAAGAGAAAGGCTCAAGTAAGTTCACTTTTATTCATACAGTCATTAGAGAAAATGAGCAAAATTTCCAGTAACCCCAACCACTGCCTTTTCTCCCTGGACCTAGTAAATTCCTATCAACTCTTTAGTTGACTCTAAGAACTGGGCTCTATGAGATCCTGACAGCTAAAACACAGGTACAGAGGAGCCTGCATAAACGTTTTGGTCCAGGTCTTGGCCTCCAGTCTTATGATGGGCTGGTAGAATATTGCTTCATCAGATGCTTGTGACAGGGATTGCAAACTCGCTCAAGCTTGATACTTGAAGGAAGAGGCAGTTCATTTGTTGAACAGGCATCACAGAAGGTTCCGCTGCAGTTCTTACACACATTCTATGAGAAGAGGAGGTTAGGCGGGGAATAGAAGATGAGCAAGGCATAAGGATTCATGGGATATAAAAAGCCAAATATGGCAAATGCTCAATGCCTAATCAAACAATGACTGAATGTTTACTATGTGCCAGGTAGTATCTGAACACAGGCCCAATCTACAAAAAAGTTCACCGTCTAGTTTTTAGATTTAAATGAAAAGAAGCAGTGCCATAGAGTTAAAAATAAAAACAGGTAACATACAAGTCACTTATCTTTAGAATATCCTTCACACATCTGTTCCCCATACTCACTTTGAGGTAGGTTAGTTTTAAAATTAGTTTGCAAGTACCTGCGCATACTCCAAATAAGGCAGTGAAAGAGCAATGGATTGAGTGAACAGGCTAAGATTTAAAAATGTCCAGAGTATGAACTGAAAGTATAATTCCTAATAAATACACTGATGTGCTTTATGCTTTCCTGTGGTCTCTGGTGCTCTGTAAGCACATCCACTGGGTTATCAATGCAGCAGGAGCACAGCTTCCTGCATCTTGTTCATAGGGAAATTATTTTGTTTTCCTAAATGTTTTGCATCTTTAATGGTCAAGCACAGAGAGCAAGAAGTCACTATAGCAATGTCAGCAGTAAGGCTGTGATAGGGTGGTATACACAAAGCTCCAAGGGTCCTATATAAAAAGCTGTAAAGAATAATTTCTCCCATGAAGTGCTACCTTCATCCCAAATAATTCATCTTCCTGAGGTTGAGAGGAGTAGGGGGTTGCTTTTATCTGAAAGCCTAAGAAGAATTTTTGTCTGACATACAGAAGCTAATATTGCATGGCTTAGAAGAGGAAAGCCAGAATTAACAGTTTGTTCTACTTTGTAACATATTTCTATAATTGTAACTTCCAGTTCTATAAGGGCAGTTCATTTGTTATCTGATTCTGTGAATTTAAGACTAGGTCATATTATAATTTATTAAAATTTTGCATGATCACAGATGGTGCTATGCAGGTTGTGATCCAGAATTTGAGCCTGTTTCCTGTATCTCTTCCAAGCATGTGTTTCATACACTCATTTGTACATAACTTTTCTTGAGGATCTACTATGGATTGGGTACCATATTAGATGCTGGGGGATTCTGTGAACAAGACACAGTTCCAGCTATCAAGGGCACTCATTCTTTCTGAATACTTCCTTAACTCTGCCTACTCTAGGATAACAAACTGGGAAGATGCTCAGGCAGGCACCCTTGAGGATCGGGTGGAAAACAAGTGGTCTAGCAGGGAGAGCTCATATCCTGTTCTGAGCAGGATAAAGTGCTGAAAGGACTGTGGACTTTGGAGCGAAAGCTAGGTTGGAAGCTGGGCTTCATCACTTATGACTTAATTTTGGGAAATGTAGTTAGCATTAGATGTTCAACGTTCTTCATCTATAAAATGACAGCTATGAAGGACATAAGCTTGACAAGAACAGAGACTTGGTCTACTTTGTTCATTACTCTTTCTCCAGCACATTCTACACAGCAGGCACTCAATATTTACTTATACATTTCTATCTGCTTATTTGCTTTATTACATAATTATTTTTGTTTGTTTATTTATTTACTTATTTTTAGACAGAGTCTCGCTCTGTTGCCCAGGCTGGAGTGCAATGGTGTGATCTTGGCTCACTGCAACCTCCGCCTCCCGGGTTCAAGCGATTCTCCTGCCTCAGCAACCTGAGTAGCTGGGATTACAGGCCACCACGCCCGGCTATTTTTTTTTTTTTTTTTTTTTGTATTTTTAGTACAGACGGGGTTTTACCATGTTGATCAGGCTGGTCTTGAACTCCTGACCTTGTGATCGGCCCGCCTCGGCCTCCCAAAATGCTGGGATTACAGGCGTGAGTCACCGCGCCTGGCTATTTATGTTTATTTTAATGGGAATTTTCTGACATGAATTATTATGACTGAAAAAACAGGTACCCAGTAAATGCTTGCCCCTTTTGCTTTTCACCCCACTCCCAGCACTCTGCATGCACTCTGCACTCTATGCGGGAAAGTCCCTGTTACTCCTGGGGAGGGACTGGGGGCTGCTGTAGACATCCCTATGAAAAGCCTGTCCGTTTCTCATCACAGTTACCTTTGTTAGGCTGCCGTCTTCCTGGCATAGCTGACACAACTGTGGCTTTTCAGAGAGCAGCAGCTGATCCTAAACCACACAGGGAGCTGGTTAGTTTTTCTTAGTGCCAGAAATATTAGTACTTTCAGAATATGCATTTTTTACCTACAATATTAATATAATCACACTATAGACTATCTGGAAACTAAACCAATTATAAATAGGTAGTCCTACCACCATAATACAACTCGGATAATCCTATCATTATGCTTCCAGCTCTTAATTTTTATAATAACATGATTTCTAAAAAGAAAATTCAAACACATGCAAGTATAGAGTAAAAAGTTTTAACACTATCCCATTCCTCTTGTTCACTCTACCATCAAGAATGGAAAGCACTGGGGACTGGGCCTGGTGGCTCACGCCTGTAATGCCAGCACTTTGGGAGGCCAAGGCAGGTAGATCACTTGAGGTCAGGAGTTCAAGACCAGCCTGGCCAACATGGCAAAACTCCATCTCTACCAAAAATATATATATTAAAAAAAAAAAAAGTTGGACATGGTGGTGGGCGCCTGTAATCCCAGCTACTCGGGAGGCTGAGGCAGGGGAATCACTTGAACCTGGGAGGCGGAGGTTGCAGTGAGCTGAGATTGTGCCACAACACTCCACCCTGGGTGACAGAGTGAGACTCTGTCTCAAAAAAAAAAGGAAAAAAAGAATGGCAAGCATAGGGCATGGAAGCTCACACCTGTAATCCCAGCACTTTGGGAGGCCAAGGCGGGAAGATCACTTGAGCCCAGGAGTTTGAGACCAGCCTGGGCAACACGGTGAAACCTAATCTCTGCAGCCCTAGCTACTCGGGAGGCAGAAGTGGGAGGACTGCCTAAGCTCGGGAAGTTGAGGCTTCAGTGAGCTGAGATCGTCCACTGCACCCCAGCTTGGGCAATGTGAGTAAGACCTTATCTCCATTTAAAAAAAAAAAAAGGAAAGCAGTAGGACTTATTTTATTTTATAACCTAAGAGGTAAATGACAGGGTGACTCAGACACAGTAGCATTCACTGTCTTTCTCATGGGCTTATCATATACTATTAGATTAACAAAGTGTTTTACAATCATTTATGTTAGCTTATTTCTAAGTGATCAAAACATCTTTTTTCTCTCCATTTTATGTAAGGAAAAACTAGAGGAAAGGGACATAAAGTGAGCTCTCCTAGATCTTATGTCAGGGATAATTTAAAATAGGTGAGAACTGATGTTTACTTAGTAAACTGCTCAAAGCTGTGCTACTTCCTGTGTGAGCTTCAGGCAATACATATTTGTTCAGGGTATTGTTAGAAGGATGGCACACTGTATTCACTCATCTTCCGCCCATGCTACCTTATTTGCTGGCTAGGCACGGTACAACCAACTTCATAATTCATACAAGATGTTTTGAAACAGGAGGCTCTGTTACCTGTTCATCCATAGGGTGGGGTTGCAGCCTACAATGGAGAAGTAAAAAATTGTGACAAATAGGAACTTCATGTATTTTCATTTATATCATTTCAATAAAAAGCTCAGAATACAAACATTTTTTTCAAACAAGAAATACTGTAGGTCTTTTATATTACTTAGAACAACATAATTATTAATTTTGACCTCCAAGGAGAGGAAACTTTGCTTCTTAAAATGAATCACTAGAATCTGACCCTTGACTTATTATATAAGGGTTCCCATTTAAAAATAGATTTGAAGTTATATTTTACATTCCTTTTTGCTATCAAAATAGTTAGCATTTATGTTTCCCAATGTGTAAAACTCCAATGGTTCACTGGCCATATATTTTAGTAGCTTTTTTTCTATTTGATATTATGGAAATCTATCCATTATCCATTATCACATGTTGTGTATCAGTCCCAAATATTCTTAAGATGTGAGCTTTAGCAAATTAACCCAAGAAGGGGAAATGAATGAGACTGTCACCAGAAAACCCATTCAGGTTGAAATATTTCTTCATGAGGGACTAAGCTGAGCTAACTCCGATGTTCCAGCATGGACTAGAGCCTAAATGAGAGGTGAAGCAAAGCCCGCTCTCGGTTACAGGGAAAATGCACTACAGATTGCAATGGTTCTTATTCTTTTCACTTGAGTAGCAGTGTGACCACCAGACATACACCATGGGGTGACCAGGTTTTCCGATGTTCCTTGCCATCATAATCCCAGGAAGCCTGGTATGTCTAACGATTGCAGCTATGGCCAGAATAAGTCCTGGAAGTTGCTAATAGGTAGTGCAGAGCCAAAGGACTTAAAAACAGTAGACATGATAAACAGAGGCAACTTGGATAAGTCACCCAGCCTCTCTGCTTCTCAGTTTTCTCATCTGTAAAGTTGCATTAGGTACTTTTGTAAGGAATACTGAATCATAAGGAGATAATAAATGTGAAACAAATTCTAAGTTGCAGAGCACAATTCAGATATAAGGAAGCACTGTTCCATATTCTCAGGACCTAAATCAGAAGTTGGCATTTAAGACACTCCTGGTTGCTCAAGTAAATGATTTGATTTTAGTTTGGAACGAGGCTGACCCTGAAAGGCACCTGGAAGCCCAGGTTAATTTTATGGCCCTTCTAGTTCCCTTCTCTTTGCTTATGCCATTCTGTAATGTGAGATGGGTGATAGTTTAAAGTTAGCTCTGGATCAAACCATGCTCTTTGGGAGCAAGGCCAGAAAGGGACATTTAGGCCAAGCACCTGCATAATTAGCTTACTATTGGACTGTGTGTTTTCTCTTCTCCAGCAGCTACTTTTGCTCCAGATGACACACTACCTCATTCTTAAGGTGACGAAGCCTGGCTAGGGACAGCTGTATAGTTCTCTCAAAACCTCACTGTGGTATCATTCCTCATCACTAACCTCTTCCTCCACCTTTTAAAGTAGACCTTTATGTTTAGAGCAGTTAGGTTCACAGTCAAATTGAGTAGAAAGTACAGAGACTTCCCACATGCTTCCTGCCCCATCCCTGGCCTCTTTGTCAACATGCTGCACCAGAGTGGTACATTTGTTACAACTGATGAGCCTACACTGACACAACATCATCACCCAGAGTCTATAGTTTACATTAAGGTTCACTCTTGGTGGTGTCTAGTCTATAGTGTGGTCAAATGTATAATGACATGTATCCACCATCATAGTATCATACAGAGTAGTCCACTGCCCTAAAAATCCTCTGTGCTCCACCGGTTCGTTCCTTCCTTCTCTTACCACTGGCAACCACTGATTTTTTTTTTTTTTTTTTGTCTCCATAGTTTTGTCTTTTCCAGAATGTCATGTAACTGGACCTCCTTCACTTTTTAATGCAGTGGCACTATGTAATATTTAATTATATTTCTAACCTGCTAAAATAACTATAAAAAGTCAGCTTCCTTGAAACTATCCTATGCTCTTCATCATGAGCAAATCAGACAGAGTTAGGATAAAGGAATGAAGTTAAGCTGTTTGAGATTCTCAAGATAAAGGAAAAATGAGAGATGAGACATAAGAGAAATCAGAGTACTTATTTGAACTTTTTTTTTTATTTGAGACAGAGTCTCACTGTATTGCCCAGGCTGGAGTGCAGTGGCGCTATCTTGGCTCACTGCAACCTCTGCCTCCTGAGTTCAAGTGATTCTCCTGCCTCGGCCTCCCAAGTAGTTGGGATTACAGGCAGGTACCACCAGACCCGACTAATTTTGTATCGTTAGTAGAGACCGGGTTTCACCATGTTGGCAGGCTGGTCTCGAACTTCTAATCTCAGGTGATCCACCTGCCTCGGCCTCCCAAAGTACTGGGATTACAGGCGTGAGCCACTGCGCCCAGCCACTTATTTGAAATTTAGCACAGAGGTAGAAACAAGTCATACTCAAATATATTTAAGAAGTTAAGAAATGCTATGTATGACTTATACTTTATTTTCCTGGGATACCAATTCAGTAAAGGTGGGAAATAACCTCTTAAGTGATAATCTGAGCTTGGGAATTAATCAGGGAAGAGAGGACAGCCTGATCATCCTTCTTTCCTCTGAAATGGCCTAATGGGTTTGGTTTAATACATGTTATACGTTTTATTATTAACTTCCACTTCAAATGTCTTCCTGGCATATTAATATTATAAGTCAGTGTCTGGTCGGTGTCAATGCCAATGTATATAAAGAACTCCCTCCTTCCCACCACCCCAGAATAACTTTACATCTTAGTTAATACTTGATTAACAAACACCTGTGGCTTTCTTCCAGGGGCTTTTTTAGTTTAACATTTTCCTCTTGCATTTTGTGCTTCCCATCCTGCCAAAAGAAAACAGCCCAATTTATTAATTATTCAGAATGCTAAATAATGATATTGCAAATATTTTCTTCTGCAATGCCTTAGTTTGGGTATAAAGCTAAGTAGCTTTTTTTATTAGGGAAGGGATCTAACTTTCAAGCTATGTTTCCTCATTCTTTGCTCTAAGTAGTTTCTTAATTATTCTGACAGTTTGTGACAAATGATTTTCAAAGTAATATTTTAATTCTTGAGATTCAAATAAAATTCAGAATGTATTCTACTTACTTGCAAAGTTGGCTCCAGATATCAGTTACTTCTTAGGGGAAGTATAATTTTTTTTTTCTTTTCCCCAGACTGAGCTCTGAAAAACTGGTAAAACCAAGGATGGCCATATACAGCAGACTATAATCCTCTGGACGTTCAATCAAGTTGATGCCCCAGTGCCACAATATTTTTCTTTCTTTTTGGAGACAGAGTCTCGCTCTGTCGCCCAGGCTGGAGTGCACTGGTGCCATCTCGTCTCACTGCAGCCTCTGCCTCCCGGGTTCAAGCGATTCTTGTGTCTCAGCCTCCTGAGTAGCTGGGATTATAGGCGTGCATCACCGTGCCTGGCTTATTTTTGTATTTTTACTAGAGACGAGGTTTCACCATGTTGGCCAGGCTGGTCTCGAACTCTTCACCTTAAGTGATCCACTTGGATTCAAGTGATTCTTGTGCCTCAGCCTCCAGAGTAGCTGGGATTACAGGCACACGCCACCATGCCCAGCTAATTTTTGTATTTTTAGTAGAGATGGGGTTTCACCACGTTGGCCAGGCTGGTCTCGAAGTCCTGACCTCAAATTATCCACCCGTCTCGGCCTCCCAAAGTGCTGGGAGTACAGGCGTGAGCCATCGCACCCGGCCCAGTGCCACCATCTCTATAGCCTGTTCAACTCAAGGAATTTTCTACTTGGCAGGACAGATGTAAAGTTTCAAACTGCATTTCTTTTTTCTTTTCTCTTTTTTTTTTTTTTTTTGAGACGGAGTCTTGCTCTGTCGCCCAGGCTGGAGTGCAGTGGCATGATCTCGGCTCACTGCAGCCTCTGCCTCCTGGTTTCAAGCGAGTCTCCTGCCTCAGCCCCTGAGTAGCTGGGATTACAGGCGCCCACCATTGATGGCTAATTTTTGTATTTTAGTAGAGACAGGGTTTCACCATGTTGGCCAGGATGGTCTTGAACTCCCGACCCAGGTAGTCTGCCCACCTTGGCCTCCCAAAGTGCTGGGATTACAGGCGTAAGCCACCACGCCCAGCCTCAAACTGCATTTCTACCAATACTCTTAAGCCCTGCCTGGGCAAATTTTGTTTGTTTGTTTTGGAGACAGACTCTCACTCTGGCACCCAGGCTGGAGTGCTGTGGTACGATCTTGGCTCGCTGCAACCTCTGCCTCCTGGTTTCATGCAACCTCTGCCTCCTGGTTTCAAGCGATTCTCTGGCCTCAGCATCAGGAGTAGCTGGGATTATAGGTGCACGCAGCAAGGCCCAGATACTTTTTTGTATTTTAGTAGAGATGGGGTTTCACCATGTTGCCCAGGCTTGTCTCAAACTCCTGGGCTCAGGCAATCCACCCGCCTTGGCCTCACAAAGTTCAGGCATGAGCCACTGTGCCTGGCAAGGTGCTGGGCAGTTCTAAGGGCTACATTTTTTTCTGAGGCACACACAACCACTGCTGCTTGCCTTCGACTGCTGCCCGCCTTCGACTGCTGCCCATGTGCATCCAAAAGTGGAATGTGTTTTCTTTTTGTTTGTTTTTTGAGACAAGGTCTCATGCTATTGCCCAGGCTGGAGTGCAGTGGCATGATCACAGCTCACTGCAGCCTCAACCTCCTGGGCTCAAGTGATCCTCCTACCTCAGCCTCCTGAGCAGCTGGGACTATAGGCACGAGCCACCACACCGAGATAATTTTTAAATTTTTTTGTAGAGATGAGGTCTTCCTATGTTGCCCAGGCTAGTCTCTTACTCCTGGGATCAAGCAATCTTCATGCCAACGGCCTCCCAAAGTGTTAGGATTACAGGTGTGAGCCACCCAGCTGAGATGTGTGTTCTTACACCACTCAAGAATCAAGGAAGAGAGGTCAATACTTATCCTCCTGGAAATGCCACTGCAGGCAACAACTGAAGACTGAAAAACTTAAAACCTCATTGGAAAAATAGGGTGAGGTAGGCCAAGATTTTAAGTAAACTTTTGTAAGCCTTTTAGATTTTATGTTCACTAAACTAAAATAATAAAGATAGCATGCTACACAGAGTGTTTTTTTTTATTATTTTTTTATTTTTTTGAGATGGAGTCTTGATCTGTCACCCAGGCTGGAGTGCAGTGGCTCAGTCTTGGCTCACTGCAACCTCCGCCTCCCGGGTTCAACCAATTCTCCTGCCTCAGCCTCCCGAGTAGCTGGGATTATAGGAGACTACCACCATGCCCGGCTTATTTTTGTATTTTTAGTAGAGACAGGGTTTCACCATGTTGTCCAGGCTGGTCTTGAACTCTTGACCTCATGATCTGCCCACCTTGGCCTCCCAAAGTGCTGGGATTACAGGTGTGAGCCACCGTGCCTGGCCTAGAGTGGTTCTTTGTACACTTTAAATTATTAGTAGTGGTACTATTTAATAAATTTCCACATACCATTGTTTTCTATTTGCCAGTAAATTAGCAGCTCACTCTCTAGAAATTTTAAATAGTTTATGAACTCTTCCTGCTTTGTTATATACTAGAGGTATTCAAAAAGTTCATGGAAAACGCGTATTACGAAAAGACTGTGCATGGACTTCAAAAATATTTCGCACCAAAATAAACTTGTATTAACTTATTTTAATATATCTAATCAGGATTTGGTTTGAGTCACTAAAAAGGATAAGACATCAGTTTGAAAAGAACCCCGGGCTGGGCACGGTGGCTCATGCCTGTCATCCTAGCACTTTGGGAGGCTGAGGCAGGCATATCGCTTGAGCCCAGGAGTTGAAGACCAGCCTGGACAACATGGCAAAACCCTGACTCTACCAAAAAAATACAAAAATTAGCTGAGTTTTGTGGTGTGTGCCTACAGTCCCAGCTACTCAGGAGGCTGAGGCAGGAGGATCACCTGAGCCTGGGAAATCGAGGCTGCAGTGAGGCATGATTGTGCCACTGTACTCAGTTCTAGGTGAGAATGAGACTCTGTTTCAAAAAAAAAAAAAAGAAAAGAAAAGAAAAGAAAAAAGAGCCCCTATCAGAGTAATATGAATTCTGCTAAAATTGAAGCAAGAACAAACATCAAATTGGTGGTGAAGCATGGATGGAAGAATTGTGAAATTATTGATGCTTTACAAAAAGCTTTTGGGGACAATGCTTTAGGATTGTCCCCAAAGAAGTGGGCAGTTTACAAAAGGATAACTCACTTTAAGAAGGGGCCAGATGATGTTGAAGATGAAGCCTGCAGTAGCAGACTATCCACATCAATTTGTGAGGATCTTGTTCATGCTCTAATTGAAGAGGACCAACAATTAACAGTAGAAACAATAGCCAACACCACAGATATCTCAATTGGTTAGGCTTATACAATTCTGGTTGAAAAATTAAAGTTGAGTAAACTTTCTACTTGATGGGTGCCAAAACTGTTGTGCCCGTATCAGCTGCAGACAAAAGTATAGCTTTCAATGGAAATTATAAACAAGTGGGATCAAGAACCTGAAGCATTTGTTTGAGAAATTGTAACAGGAGATGTAACAACTTCATAGTACAATCCTGAAGACAAAGCACAATCAAAGCAATGGCTATGAAGAGGTGGAAGTGGTGCAATCAAAGCAAAAGCAGACGGGTCAAAAGCAAAGGTCATGGCAACAGTTTTTAGGGATGCTGAAGGCATTTTGCTTGTTGACTTTCTGGAAGGCCAGAGAATGCCAACATCTGCTTATTGTGAGAGTGTTTTTAATTTTTTTTATTTTTGGGGACAGAGTGTTGCTCTGTCACCCAGGCTGGAGTGCAGTGGTGTGATCTTGGCTCACTGCAACCTCTACCTCCCAGGTTCAAGTGATTCTCATGCCTCAGCCTCCCAAGTAGCTGGGACTAGAGACTAGAGGCATGTGCCACCACACCTGGCTAATACTTGTGATGAATGTTTTGAGAAAGTTAGCCAAAGTTTTAGCACAAAAATGCCCAGGAAAGCTTCAACAGAGAGTGCTATTCCACCAGAAATATGCTCCTAACTCATTCCTCTCATCAGACAATGGCAATTCTGTGAGAGTTATGATGGGAAATCATTAGGCATCCACTTTACAGTCCTGATTTGGTGCCTCTGATTTCTTTTTGTTTCCTAATCTTAAAACATCATTAAAGTGCACCAATTTTTCTTCAGTTAATAATGTAAAAAAGATTGTATTGATATGATTAAATTCCTAGGACCCTCAGTTCTTCAGGGATGGCCTACATGACTAGTATCATCACTTACTAAAGTCTCTTGAACTTGATGGAACTTAGGTTGAGAAATAAAGTTTATATATCTTTACCTTTTAATTCCATTTCCCATGATCTTTTTGAAGTCGCCTTGTATAATATGTACACACAGAAGGCAATTTTTTCACTGTCTTTTACAGAAAAAGTTATTTTATGTTTTTCTGATTTCATTATTTCCTGGGCCCCAGAGATGATCTTACCCAATTGTAGCTCCTTCATCACTGGAGGTGCTGGAGGGGTCTCCTTCTAAGATTATTATGTAGAAATTTCTACTTTTGCTCTTTATTCTGTATTACCTTCCTTTCCTCAAGCCTAATTCCCTAATTATTCCCACGAGAAGTTCCTTAAGGATACTCAAAATGAAATCCTCATGATTTGAAAAAGGTATACAGAAGCAAATCCACATTGAGGAAAATTCTGTTAAAGGGGAATTCAGGGTTGGAGAGGGATTATTATACTATTTTATTAAAATTATTATTTAGCAGAAATCCAAGAAACATATATTTTTGTTAAGACACCAAAATAATCTTACTTAAAAAATTATTAAAAGGGAAATAGGGTCACTGTGATTATTAAAATCCCCCTTTCCAAATGAAATCAAGTTGGAGAAAGTATCCTAGAGGCAGACTCAGAATCAAGCTTTCATTTGTTCACATAATTACTAGTTTGCTATCTACATACTTGAGGACACAGCCACTAAGTATGTGATCTGTAAAGGAAAACTGACAGGACTATCAAGGTAGCCTCTAAAATTTAAACTGAAATTAAGTAAAAGAACAAGGGAATAGCAAATATTACCATCTTGGATTCTGACTTCTGGGAACCCCTTCCTGGGATGCTCCTGTCGTTTTGTAATCTTCTTTCTTTTTCCTGTTTTAGTTCTAACTCAAGCTGGTTCCTGAGGTAAGTTGGAGAGGAAAAGGATGAAAAATTGGAATTCTATACAGACATATTCTCTAAAGAATGCCAACCCCTTGTCTTAAAGTGCAGTAATTACGAATGGTTAAGGGCTTGCTGTCAGAGAGACAGGTTTTTAAATGATAATGTTGCTACTTCTAAGCTTAACTGTGTGAATCTGGACACATTTAACCTGTCTAATCTCTACCTTTTTTTGAGATGGAGTCTTGTTCTGTTGCCAGGCTGGAGTGCAGTGGCATGATCTCAGGTCACCGTAACCTCCATTTCCTAGGTTCAAGCAATTCTCCTGCCTCAGCCTCCCGAGTAGCTGGGATTACTGGCACCCACCACTATGTCTGGCAAATTTTTGTATTTTTAGTAGAGATGGGGTTTCACCATCTTGGCCAGGCTGGTCTGGAACTCCTGACCTCAGGTGATACACCTGCCTTGGCCTCCCAAAGTGCTGGGATTACAGGCATGAACCACTGCGCCCAGCCTTAAGCTCTACTTTAATCTGAAAGTGGAGGCAATAATATCACTAATAGGGTTGATATGAAGATATTAGGAGAGTTTGCATGTGAAGTGCCTAAAGTATCTGGCACACAGTAAGAATTCAGGAAATATTACATATTATTATTAGTGTTATTTTGGCTAATAATTACTATTTATCTGGGATCTTGGGCTCTAATTTCCTAATTCTTTGATCACAAAGCATGTTGATCGGATTTGGGGAATGTTGAAGTACGTGAAGCTTTCTGAATTCCAATTCCAGAGAAAGGACATTGCAAAGACAGAGCCAACCTGGCTGGAAGTCATGAGACCCCTTTTCTTGCTGTCTACCCTAAGAATTACCCATGACCACCCTGTCAGCTCAAGCTACCCCCTCTTCACCGCTGCCTGGTGAGCTCCTCGACTTCCAGCTGCAGACTGTTGATCTTGTCTCCAAAGTCCTGTTTGAAGAGCCGGTTGTCCAACTCAGCAGATTGGCGGCTTCGCTCAGCCTGGCGCAATCTGGATGTGAGCCACATGAACTTGTGATAAAAAACAAAAGCCATGGTGGGGAAGAAGACCAAGTTCACAACACAAAATAAAATAACCCAAGGAAGAATGCACAGAGAGACAGAGAGAGGAAAAAAACTTTGCAGGACACAGGTGAAGAAATTATGGGGGGGAAAAGATGGAGAAGAAACAAATTCTAAAGAAAAGTAAGATGAAGGTGAACCAGGCAGAGGAAAAGCTGATTTTCCATTTTTTTTATTCTAGTACTACAGTTTACAGCCATTAGATGATAAACAATAAAACATCACTTTTTAGAAAATCCATATCCAAAGCCAACCTCAAGTACACAGTAATTTAAGTTAAATCCACTTTTTAAAAAAATTTCCTAATAGGTTTGGTACTTAATTTTTCTGTTTTACACACATAACTGGAACTTGTAAATGGGCAACTACCTTCTTATATGTGGAATTATAGTTTTTTCTTGTCCTTTCCCCCAAACCACATATATTAAATCATGGGACATTATATATCAACCCTCACCTAGGCTTTGGGTTATTCTATAAGGAAAAGCCTTTGTCAGAGTTTGGCTGTCTCCTTCCTTTCCCATTCCCACAAAAGATGTGTGACTAAGTGGACAAAGAACTCAGCACTGGGCCTGTTTAAGACTCTGACCATATTCTCCAGAAGATTCTGATGGATGTTTTCTTCTACATATCTTATAACTTTGCACCTATAGAGAAGCATGTTTTAGAAGGTAAAGCACTTGGGGCTTTATATAATAGAATTTAAACGCATGCTATGTGTAGGTTTTAGAAAGTTCAATTTCGGTATTTGATCACTCCTTCCAAATGCTCGTAGAAAAGGCAACCCATCACCACAAAAGGTTGATGAAGAGAAGAATACAGTAGGAGCTTTGTTTATATAGGTGCAAATTATAAGAATTAAAATAAGTTCAAGAGCACAGGATCTTCCACTTCCATGAAGTTGGTCTAAACATATGTTCTTTGGACTTAATTTTGGTTCAAGTCCAATCTGTGCAGGGACCTATATAAGCACACATGGAATCTATCTTACACTCTTAATTCTGGTTTTGCCAAGAAAAAGATAAAGAATTTTAAGAGCTGGAAGCGAAGGGGTTATCTGTGTCCCCACCAAAGCAGCTGAAATGCTGCAAAGCATACCAGAATGAAAAAAAGAGAAAAAAACCCAAGTATTTTGTCAGGACCTTTTGAAGGAATGAAGGCTTATGTAAAGCCTGTCTCTTCAAATCAAAAATCATCTTAAAAAATCAAACTGTTTATAGGATTATTTACAATGTTAAAGCCTAGAAAGGGTTAGTCTGTGGTCACTTAGAAACAGAAGCCCTGCTAATATTGCTTGTGGATATCTACTGGGAATCTATTTTTGTACTAAATAATAATAAAGAATATAAGTTTATCATTTACTTCCTATTCTGAAATGTTTTTCTAATAATTCAATTATTAGCTTCCCAGAACCTTTAGCAAATCCCCATCTGAACAAAAAGTAACAGAAACTCTTAAGTAAATGTTTCCAGGTAAGAAATGACAGGCCAGGCAGAATATCATCATTCATGTCTATACCCTGTCCTTTTTACTCCAATATAAGAAAAGCAGGATACGAAAAATGGGTACTGCATCATTTTTTGTTAATAGGAGAGGAGTGTTTTTATTAGAATTGTTCTCTCTGAACTGCCTAAGTAGGAAGCGGAATTGCAGGAAAACGGCAGAGGTAGAAGATGACAAACATGAGGAGGGTTTCCCCAGGCGTCCACATTATTATGTTATCATAGGTTACCTAATTACTAACTTTATTTCTATGTATTTTAAAGAAATATAAGGATGCTGCTTTTTCTTTTCTTTTTTTTTCAAAAGTCACCAAGGCAAAAAAAGTTGCAAGCAATCTTGGTTACTGAGAATAGAAGTGTAGTGAAATACTAAGTACTATCCTTGGCTTGGGGATTAAACCTATATAACAAAAGTGAAAAGGGGTCATGGTCTAAGAGACACAGAACTATTTTAGAAGAGTTCAAGTTCACATGGTAGTTACCTCTAGGTTCATCACACTGCAATGGCAGAACAGGCTTGCAGATACAGACATGAACAATGCACCGAGAATCTGGTATTATCAAGGACTGGGTTGTAAAGGCATCATTAGTATATGTACAGAGCTTCAATTCCCTAGGCTTTTTTAAAGAAAGTGGTATTTTTATTTATTGGTCAACTCAGAAATAATTTCTCAAAGTTTATTCAGCTTTTAATTAGGAACTTATACCAATTTTTCTAACCCTGGGGAGAAAACAATAAGAAAAAAACCCAACCTATATTTCCAACTGGTTTTTTAAAAGTCCAACAAATTCAAAGTCAACTTTTTGGTGACATTTTATATAGAATCAGAGCTTAAATGTAGTAACTTTCAGATTTCTTCCTTTTACAATTAAGTTGTGATATCGGACTTGCGACGTGACCAACTTAAAAATGCCTAATGATGTTTTGGGATCAGTTTATTTGCTGCACTATTTAAGGTCTTTGCCTGTTTCACCAAATCCTTTTCACTAAATAAAATAAAAATGACAATGAAGTGAAAGGAGAATGAGAAAATGGATAAACAGGAAACACAAAAATAGCAAGAGAATAAGTCAGCTTAATACTCAAAGAGATAAGTCATTATTCTCTTTCTGTTTGCTTTAAATTCCAAGTCAAAACATCATTGAAAAGAAATTTGATACATTTCATTTCAAAAGCACAATTTATGAACAGTAAAATCATTTTGTTAAATCATAAACATATAACTGTTTATGAGCAAGTACCTAACCATCTTTCCTAGGTAGACTGATACATTTGTATTTGGCTATGTAAGAGGTTTCAGGTTTATTTATAAATTTGCCATTAAGTTTTGAGTTAACATTAATATGCACTGCTGTTCAGGACCCTTACTGGTTAAGAATCATCTGAATATAAGAAATCACCCATTAATCCATTCATTCATATATCTACTGAATGAATGCTTGTATATTCAAGGCACTGCGACAGATCTAATACGGGAACTTAAAAGATTCGTTAACTAATCTCAGGGAGCTTACACTCGCATCGGAGGAGACATATATAAAGAGTTAAAAGGTACAGTAGACAGTGAGAAGTGCCATAAGCAGTATAGATAGATATGAGTATGAAGCTATGGGAGTTCCCAGAAAGACAGATCATTTCTAGCTGCAAAGAGGTATCAGAGGAAACTCTGGGGAGGTGGCATTTGAGCCTAAACTTAAAAATGTATCTGACGAATAAGGGAGTGGGAAGAATTAGGACATTTCTAATTGGTGGAACTATTGGGAAAGAAATAAATGGGAAAAATGGGAAGTACAGGGACCAGCAGTTTAGTTTTGCTCAAGTGCAAGAAGGGTGACAAACAGGTGTTAAGGGTAGAAACATCAAATGACCTTGGGTACCACGTCACATTCATCCTTGAAGACTCAGCCATTTCTCTTGGCTGCTAAGTTGCCAGAGAGAAAATGGTGGTTTCACATAAGCACAGAAAGAGAGTAGCATAGGAAGAAGATGTGCTTTGGGCAGACTGAATTGTAGATACTGGTGGAAGATAGCTGCCCAAAGGATGAAAACTCAAGACTGGTCTCCAGATGAAGGTAAGAGCTGGGAAAACACACTGGAGGTGACAGTGGAAGCTACAGAACTACCCAGGAGAAAGAAAAGGGAGATAAGAGAAAAGGGTTAAAGAAGGGAGAGAAAGATCCAGAATAGATCCTTGGAGGACACCTATCTCTCAGTGCCTCTATATCCCCTAGCATCCAAGTATTCAAAGACTTCAGTGATGAACAATAAAATCACAGAATTACATACATACATTTAAGAGTCCTTCCATGCTTTTAAGTATCCTTCCTCTAACACATGACTCTGACATGGATTAAGAGTTCTGATGTTCAAAACAGTCATAAAAGGCTGACCTTTCTTTTTTTTTTTTAAAGGCTAGTCAAGTGATTGACATTTCCTAAAAACATTTCAGTCATACCTTAGAAAACACACATAACATTCAACTGGCTTTTTTCTACCAGAATGTCTGATGCTAATTTGGAAGAATTTCATGTATTTTCTATTTGCCGAATGTACAGCACATTCTTTTCACTTCAGCACTGACAATCCAAAGTGTTTCATTAAAGAAACAGGACTTTTACCTTTGTTCAAGTTGTTTAATGGTAGCAGCCATCTGATTAGTCTTCTCTTCCAAGCGACTGTTTAGTTCACTTTTCTGTTTTACTCCTAAGTCTGAACTCTGTTATGGAAAATAACGATAAACAACCTGTATAACATAAATCCTAAAATACAACCACACATGCCTTTTGAATCTAATGGTAAGTGGGAAAACAGAAATGTTCATATATTTCAATATCAGTTAATCCTGAAATGGAAAAAAAAGCAATTTATCTAAAGTTAGTATTGTTATATGCAGTGTGATCACAGTAATAGTTCATCAATGTATCACATTCCAGTGTAAAAGCTAATAGAATATATAACTTAGCTGGCACGGTAGACTGCAGAGTAGAAATTACCCTATAGGATAAAAAAGACCCTCATCCTCTACTATAATGTGAAAAGTGGCCATGGTTTTCTAGAACAGCAATACAGGATCCCATGGTTGTCTGATTCTGAAAGTAGTTTACTGGCAGCTAGCATCAAAATGAGATGTGATTCTTTCCTCTTGTAATTAAAGTGTGATTCTGGAGGATCAGATGGGAGGAGGGAAGCCCCAGGATTTTAGAGAGCCAGTGAGTCTATTCCTCATATTTCCCCTACCTGCAGCTTAAAGGCAAGTTCATGCTTGAGAGCTCTGAGGTCATCCAGCTGCTGCCGAAGAGATACCAGGGCATCCTGCTTCTCACAGACATCCTTCTCCAGCATCTTCATAGCCAATTCCATCTCCTGCCTCATGCTGATCTGCATCTCCAGTTCTTTCTCAACATCCTGCCCCCAAAGGTAAGTAAATTGCTTACACTCTGTTCCTTCAACTAAGTACAAACCATAATATTTCACAGGAAAAAGTACACCAAAACTCTCAGGTCTGAATATTCTGGCAAAATAGCTTAAGCTACCATTCATTTTCAGAGACATTAACAATAATTAATTAATAATTAACAATAATAATTAGGATATACAATAACATTTGCCCAATAATGTACAAATCTGAAAAACCTGCTAAGCCAAAGATAGTGTTATTTAATACATCTAAAATATATACATATTTGAGACACTTCAGTAGATATTACGACAACTGATGGTCATATCTTATTATAGAAATATACCTACAGGGTTACAGCAGTCAGCACAAAATGAAGCAGTTGCAGTCCTCCTAAATGTGAATGTTGTTGATATATTCAAGAGCCCAGGGAACCCAGAGGACCATCTGGGTCCCTGGGGTAACATCGCAATTACTGAGGATGATGACTAGTATGGTTACGAGGCGAACAGATTTTTTTTTTTTTTTTGAGACAGAGTCTCGCTCTGTCGCTCAGGCTGGAGTGCAGGGGCTCAGTCTTGGCTCACTGCAACCTCCACCTCCCGGGTTCAAGCGATTCTCCTGCCTCAGCCTCCTGAGTAGCTGGGACTACGGGTGCATGCCACCATGCCTGGCTAATTTTTTGTATGTTTAGTAGAGACGGGGTTTCACCATGTTGACCAGGCTGGTGTGAATTCCTGACCTCGTGATCTGCCCGCCTCAGCCTCCCAAAGTGCTGGGATTACAGGTGTGAGCCACCACACTCGGCCGCTAACAGAATTTTTAGTTCACTTAACATGAAACCTCTTTTTGTTTCAACCATTATTACTGCAACATTATGTGGGTGATCGAAGATACAAAGACCTGAGGATCTTCTGCATCTGCCTTGTGCCTTGGGCTCACCTAGGACCTCAAATACTTTCTTAGTTTCTTTCCTTCTTAACAAACATTTGTCTTACTGTGATAAAAGGATATGAAAAATTTTAAGATTTTTATTATGTGCCACTTCACTGAGATTCTCATTTTACTTGATTAGCATTATAGAAAACGAATCATACCCCTTCTTAAAATGCTGACATATATTATTTCTGCGACCTTTCTTATGAAAAGTATTATATTTTGAGATCTCATTCACAAATACATAGAAGGCAAATGCTAACTATTTTAAGGATGTCAAAATAATATCGCTTTGTTTTCAAAAAATCTGAAATTCTGGCCGGGTGTGATGGCTCACACCTGTAAT
The DNA here is from genome assembly GCF_000001405.40 of Homo sapiens. Taxonomy (NCBI): domain Eukaryota; kingdom Metazoa; phylum Chordata; class Mammalia; order Primates; family Hominidae; genus Homo; species Homo sapiens. The sequence continues at coordinate 70,787,531 of NC_000004.12, read as the reverse complement.
CCCAGCACTTTGGGAGTCTGAGGCAGGCGGATCACAATTACAAGGTCAGGAGTTTGAGACCAGCCTGGCCAACATGGTGAAACCCCATCTCTACTAAAATACAAAAATTAGCTGGGTGTGGTGGCAGGCGCCTGTAATTCCAGCCATTCAGGAGGCTGAGGCAGGAGAATCTCTTGAACCTGGGAGGCGGAGGTTGCAGTGAGCTGAGACTACACCACTGCACTTCAGCCTGGGTGGCAGAGCAAGACTCCATCTCAAAAAAAAAAAAAAACAAATAAATAAATCTAAAATTATGTTATATACTGTCAATTTGTTTTTATATATATATATATATATATATATATTTTTTTTTTTTTTTTTTTTCTGAGACAGGGTCTCACTTTGTCACCCAGGCTGGAGTGCAGTGTGATCTTGGCTCACTGCAGCCTTAACCTCCTTGGGCTCAGGTGATCTCCCTCCTCAGCTTCCCAAGTAGCTGGGAATACAGGCATGTACTATCAAGCATGGTTAATTTTGTAATTTTTGTAGAGATAGGGTGTCCCTATGTTGCCCAGGCTGGGCTCAAACTCCTAAGCTCAAGCGATCCTCCCAAAGTGCTGGAATTACAGGTGTGAGCCATGGCGCTTGGCCTGTAATAATTTTTTAGTACAAGTTAAGTCACCCCTTATTTTCAGGCTCCTCCTTATTCTTAAAGACATTCTGGGGAGGTCCTTGTGTTTGTTATACTATCTAAACTCCAGGAAGAGTTAGTATGTGAATACCAGGGGTTATTAATATAATAACACTAGCACCTGGATAAAATCTAGTACAGGAATAGTATCCCTTATTATAAATTCTTTTTAAAAAAAGTATGACTGACACATAGTAATTTATGGTATAGAACATGATGTTTTGATAATATAAAAATTGTGTAATGACCAAATCAGAGAAATGAATGTATCTATCATCTTAAACATTTATCATTTGTGATGAGAACATTCAAAAGCCTCTTTTTTTTCCAGCATAAAGAAAAGACAAATATTTAAGGTGATGGGTATACCAAGAACACTGATTTGGTCTTTACTACATGAGTATATTAAATTATCATATGAACCCCAGAGCTATGTATATCTATTATGCATCAATAAAAAAAAAGAAAAAAAAAAACCTTTCTTCTAACTATATTAAAATGTGTATTATTGTTAACTCTAGTCACCCCACACTATGCAACAGAGGACCAGAACTTATTCCTCCTATCTAACTATAGCTTTGTACCTGTTGACCAATCTCTTACTATCCCCTGCCTCCTCTCCCTCTGGTAACCCCACCTTACTCTCTACTTTTATGAGAACAACGTTTTAGATTCCACGTATGAGTGTTATCATATGGCATTTCTCTTTCTGTGTTTGGCTTACTACACTTCACATAATGTCCTCCAGGTTCACCCATGTTGCCACAAATGACAGGATTTCATTCCTTTTTATCGCTGAATAGCATCCCATTGTGTATATATACCATGCTTTCTTTATCCATTCAAGTGTTGATGAACACTTAGGTTGATTCCCTATCTTGGCTACTGTGAATAGTGCTGCAATAAACATAGGAGTACAGATTCTCTCTGACATACTGATTTCATTTCCTTTGGATATATCCCCAGTAGTGGGATTGCTGGATCTTTTGCTAGACTGATTTTTAATTAATTTATTTTTTATTTTTTGAGACGGAGTCTGGCTCTGTTGCCTAGGATGGAGTGCAGTGATACAATCTTGGCTCACTGCAGCCTCCGCTTCCCAGGTTCAAGCAATTCTCCTGGTCAGCCTCCCAAGTAGCTGGGATTACAGGTGCATGCCACCATGCCCGGCTGATTTTTTTTTTTTTGTATTTTTAGTAGAGATGGGGTTTCACCATGCTGGTCATGCTGGTCTCGAACTCCCGACCTTACGTGATCCATCCGCCTCAGCCTCCCAAAGTGCTGGGATTACAGGTGTGAGCCACTGTGCCTGGCCCGATTTTTAATTTTTTAAGACAACTATGTTTTCCATAGTGGCTATACTAATTTATATTTTCACCAGCAGTGTGTAAAGGTTCTCTTTCTCTACATCCTTGTCAACACTTATCCTTCAATTTTTTGATAGTTGCCATTCTGATTAGAGTGAGATGATATACTCTCTATCTATATATTGATATGTATTTTTTTTAATTTCTAAAAAAATCTTAAGACTAATACTGGATGATAAATTTTCCATTTATATCTAAGACCAATAATAAATCAGAAATAACAGCTAAAAATAAAATAGAGTAATCCTACATTAATGATTCTTTGTAAAGAAAAGAGGAGCCACCACCTCCAAGAATCTTTGCAGGGATGAGGACTTAGGTAGGAGTGAGACGGCATAGTTTAAAAAAGTAGGTTCTGTATACTTAATATTCTTGTAATACAAACTATAAAAGCAAAAAAATAAAGATTAACAAAATCTTGTTGAGAATACTCAGAAAAAGATTGAGAAAGTATGATAAGGAATGTGGGTTAAAAAGAGATGAACCATTTTATAGGATCTAGAATTTTTCAGAACACTACTGATATTCCTAATCTTGGTCTGTATGATAAAACCTCTAAGTGGGCAGTTACCTTTTAATATATTCCTGAACTATTAGAAATTAAGCATAGTTTACCAATCGTAATTGTGTCTCTTCTTTTAAATGCTTTCTTGCTTCACTTAGTGCTTGCCCTTCTGCAGTTCTGTCTTGCTTGGGACCCTTGAAAAGATAAATAACATTGTACATATTTAAGGATTTAATCTATACAGAATTAGACACTAACACTGCTACTTAGCAAGAAAAAAAGATCATACTGAAGCAGGTATAATAATGAACAAACACAACAAAGAAATTGAAGTCTAGTACATTTTTAAAGGTTAAGCTGAATTGGGGGCTTCCTGACACTTTATTTAAAATCCTAAAATAGGTTTCCAAACCAGATGGTAGAAGTTTTAAAAATCAGCCTCTAAAAATAACATAGCATTCATTTCAAAATATGAGTTGGGTTATAGGTTTTTTTTTTTTCTTTTTTGAGACGGAGTCTCACTCTGTCGCCCAGGCTGGACTGCAGTGGCTCAATCTCTGCTCACTGCAACCTCCACCTCCTGGGTTCAAGCGATTCTCCTGTCTCAGCTTCCCGAGTAGCTGGGATTATAGGCGTGCGCCACCACGCCCGGCTAATTTTTGTATTTTTAGTAGAGACGGGGTTTCACCACGTTGGCCAGGCTGGTCTCGAACTCCCGACCTCAAGTGATCTGCCTCCTTGGCCTCCCAAAGTGCTGGGATTACAGGCGTGAGCCACTGCACCCAGCCCAGGGGCTATAGGTTTAAATGTTAATACATTCAATCTCCAGAGAATTCGCAACTGGTTATCTTCAACTATCCAGCAAGATCACAGATAAAAACAAGCAGGTCATAAAAAAATTATTCTGAGCAGTCATGAAGTCCATGCATTATTAAAGTCAATCACTTTACTCATGGAAAACTGCTTTTGTCCCCTCGCAGAGCCTAGTAACTCTTTAAGAACAATTTTAATAACTATGGATTTGAATTCCTAGGGAGAGTAGATTAGAAGCATGAAGATAAAAGAAAGTAGAGATCATCCTAAAGATAACACCGAGCATCAGTAAAAAGTAAGAGATGCTATTGAATACGTAAAAGACAGGAAAAAAAACCATCCACAGAAATCGGGGAATATTTAAGTGTAGGTGTCAGAAGCTCTATCAATTTCAATAGCCTCCTAAAGTGGCACTATTATAATTTAGTAGGGAATTGTCAATGTTGGTAATTAATGATCCTCAGTCATCGTAAAGGGCTAAATGTATTAAATTATGTCCTTAATTAAGAAGGCTTGGAATTGTACAAAACATAAAGGTTTACAAAATTCTAATTAGACATGTATAAAAAGTTTGATACTTTAAGGAATTAAGTTATGTAGAAAATACATTTATATGGTAGCTCTTTCCCAGTGATATATAAATAAGGTGTCACTTCTTACAAAACAGTAACATGCTATAAAAGTAATAGTATGTTTAACATAACAAATTATTAAATACTGTTTGAACCATTAGTACATAAAAACAAGAAACTGAATTAGACTGTTTCTTGAAGTCTCTAAACAGATGTAGGTGGCTGTGAAGCCACGAAGCATCTTGTAGAAAAAGGCGCATAACCCTCCCACAACCTTCATCACACAATTATGCATGGAGTCTAAATAAAAAGTGTGCTTGATACAGGCCAGCTGCTTAAAATAGTCCTTTAGAGACTCCCCTTTACCACTAACAAGTTGATATGCTCTCAGTGAATATTTTATAAATCCAGTAAGATTAACCTTCCGATTGGATTCCAGTATGTAGGAACTTTCCTCTTTAACTCGTTCCATTTCTTCTTGTAAGGTAATGATCCTGTTGTTTGCAACTGCAAGCTGTGGATAAAATTTTAAAAATAATCTTTTATCTTTTTAAAATTAACATAGTATAAGATAATTCACGATCTGCTAGGATGTAATTCTCAGGCTTGGATATTCTTAGAAAGCAAGGAAGCTATAACCCAATAAAAATGTTCTTATAAGAACTCAAGAGAAATATTTTTCTTTATTTTTCTGAGACAGGGCCTCACTCTATTGCCCAGCCTGGAGTGCAGTGGCATAATCTCGGGTCACTGTAACCTCTGCCTCCTGGTTCAAGTGATTCTCATGCCTTAGCCTCCCAAGTAGCTGGGACTATAGGCATGCACCACCACGCCCAACTAATTTTTGTATTTTTAGTAGAGACAAGGTTTCACCATGTTGGCCAGGCTGGTGTTGAACTTCTGCCTTCAAGAGATCTGCCCACCTCGGCCTCCCAAAGTGCTGGGATTATAGGCATGAGCCACTGCGCCCGACCAAGAAATATTTTTAGAGCAGTCTAAATAAAAATAAAAAATATCTCCTTGGCCAGGTGCAGTGGCTCATGCCTGTAATCCCAGCACTTTAGGAGGCTGATGCGAGCGGATCACGAGGTCAGGAGATCGAGACCATCCTGGCCAACATGGTGAAACCCCATCTCTACTAAAAATACAAAAATTAGCTGGGCGTAGTGGTGTGTGCCTGTAATCCCAGCTACTCGGGAGGCTGAGGCAGGAGAATAGCTTGAACCAGAGGTTGCAGTGACCCGAGATCAAGATCGCGCCACTGCACTCCAGCCTGGTGAGAGTGAAACTCGGTCTCAAAAAAAAAAAAAAAAGAAATAAAATATCACCTTACTGCTACTTTTATATGAAAAGTTTTAACTTAAGATTATCTCAAGGGTGTTCTTATAGATGTACACATATTTAGTAAGAAAAAAATTATTTATTAATAATGTCTATTTCTAAAATGTTTAATAAAGGGGTCCTGTCACACCATGGAACCCATGTGACAAACGCTCTATAAGATCTTTTATAGATGATTTCTTAAAAGATTAAAGACATGAACTCCAAAGTTCTCATGCTAAAAGATCCCATTAAGCATTGAGGAGATTTTTCATTTCAACACCTAAAAAGATCAGGTAACGTTATTAGCAGTCAACTGCTACAGGGAAACATTTATATCTCTTTCTTAGAAGGAAAAAGTAAGGTGGAAACACTTTTTTCTTCTCTGCATCTACTAAACTCCCGGAGAATGTGAAGGTGCCTGTATGAGGCCGAGAGGAATAACCAAGCAGGCTCCTCTCAGCCAGGCTAGTCTCCTCAATTATTATCTCCTCATTAGCAGTGGGTGCAGGCTCTGCTCAGTTCCTGTCCTAACATGGTAAGCACAGAGAAGCTCATGCTTTCTGGGGGCAGGCCTGGAAGTCCAATTCTCTCTCAGATCCTGTGGCCTAAAAATGTGCACGAAACCAATTCTGGGCAAGTAGGTCTCCTCTCTAGATTCAAGTATGCCCTCAGGCAGGTCATTCCAAAATCTTGATTTAAGAGAAACTATTGGGAAACCTGATTATGGCTGCAGATCACAGGAGGCTTTCCAATTCAGCTTTACCAATAATGAAGTAGACATTTATTTATCTATTTATTTATTTGAGACAGGGTCTCCCTCTGTTGCCCAGGTTGGAGTGTGGTGGCACAATCTTGGCTACTGCAGCCTTGGTCTCCCAGGCTCAAGCAATCCTCCCTCCTCAGCATGCCGAGTAGCTGGGACTACAGGTGTGCACCACAACAGCCGGCTAATTTTTTTGGTGTAGAGATGGGGTCTCACTATGTTTCCCAGCCTAATCTTGAACTCTTGGCCTCAAACGATCCTCCTGCCTTGGCTTCCAAAGGGCTGGGATTACAGGTGTGAGTCACTGTGCCAGGCCTGAAGTGGATATTTATATCTTCATCTGCTTAATTCTTCTTAGTTTGTCATTCAGATTCAAAACCCAGGAGGGGAAAAGAGGTCTGCTATCTTTTTTACTGGCCCTTTTTTTTTTTTTTGTGAGATGGGGTTTTGCTATGTTGCCCACGCTGGTTTTGGAATCCTGGCCTCAAGCGATCCACCCACCTTGATGTCCCAAGTGTTGGGATTACAGGCATGAGCCACTGTGCCTGGCCTTACTGGCTTTCTTAAACCCAAAATGGAAATGAAAAAAGGCAGAACTAATGAGCCTCGTCTACTCTCTTAGAGCATATTTTCTTTAAGAAAATAAGTGCTACTGGTAAAATAAATAAGTCAATGAATAAATATTGTTAGTATTAATATGACTCTAAGGAAGACAAGTCTTATGACTGAGGGAATAAAATTAACAACTATATTTATTGAGTGCTTATGATGTGTTAGGTACTGTTCTAAGCCCTAATCATGTATTAAATCATTTCATTCACACAGCAATCTCATAAAATGTTATTATTGCTATTTCCATGTTATAGATAAATAAATCAAGGAATAGAAGCTTAAGTAATTGGCCCAGGATTAGAAGACTAGCAAGTGGCTGGGTACGGCGGCTCATGCCTGTAATCCCAGCACTTTGGGAGGCCGAGGCGGGTGGATCACCTGAGGCCGGGAGCTCAAGACCAGCCTGGCCAACCTGGTGAAACTCTGTTTCTATAAAAATACAAATATTAGCCAGCTGTGATGGTGCATGCCTGTGGTCCCGGCTACTCGGAGGCTGAGGCAGGAGAATTGCTTGAACCGGGAGGTGGAGGTTAAAGTGAGCCAAGATGGCACCACTGCACTTCAACCTGGGCGACAAAGCAATACTCTGTCTCAAAAAACAAAAAACAAAAAACAAAACAAAACAAAACAAAAAAACAAAAAACTAGCAAGTGCCAGAGCCAGGACATGAACCCAAGTAGCCTAACTTTAGAGATCATGCTTAATTGCTATGCTGTACTGCTTCAACATAGTAGCAGCAGAATAACAGTAAAAAATCTGTGCTGAACATTCCAAAAGCCTATGTGATAAGATTCTAAGGACCCTAAGCATAAAGTTTTAAGATATATAAAATTTAAAAATTTTTGTCCGAAAGTGAAGGTCACAGAGTTGAGTAATAAAAAAGGTATTTTAAAACTATAATAATGAAAATGTTCATTCTAAAGAAAAACTGATTAAAAGCATCTTCCTGACTAGTGCTTTAATTTGATTTTATTTAAACTAAATTCATCCCATGGGGTGTAAGGGCATCATTACAATTAGAAATAAAGAAGGTGGGCCAGGCGCAGTGGCTATGCCTATTATTCTAGCACTTTGGAAGGCCGAGGCAGGCGGGTCACTTGAGCTCAGCAGTTCAGGACCAGCATGGGCAACATGGCAAGACCCCCTCTCTACTAAAAATAGCCAGGTGTGGTGGTGTGTGCCTGTGATCCCAGCTACTTGGGAGGCTGAGGGTGGGAGATCACTTGAGCCCGGGGGGCGGGGGTTACAGTAAGCCCTTGTGTCACTGCATTCCAGCCTGGACAACAGAATGATACCCTATCTCAGAAAAAAAAAAAAAAAAAGAAAAAGAAATAAGGAAGGTAAACTCTTTGCCATCTGGACAATGTTATTTAGTATTTTTCATAAAACCATCTAATGCTATTTAAAGAAAAAATATCTGTAGCTAAGGCTTGGCAAGTTAAGGAAAAAATATTTTTATTAGAAGTAAAACATGAGGTTATTTTTCTGTTCTTATTTTAGGGACTTTTCTAAGAGTTTTCATATTCTTATCTGATCTTCAGAGTTAATTGTGAGGCCGAAAAGGAAGTGTATTGTAAACACTCTCATTTTCCAGTGACGGAACTCAGCCTCTTGGAGGTCAAGTGGCTGACTTACTCAGGAGCACATGAGTTACATAAGCATGATTTGTAGGCAGGGATTACTGATCTTCTGACCAGTACTCTTCACCTTATCTATGTAACTGTCCCAGGAAGAAAACAAGGACATAAGTGGTGGGGAGTTTGCCAATCTGGAACATAAATCAATGCCTGGCACATATAAATATTTGTCTAGCTCTTGCACATAAACTGTGTGAAACGCTTACTGAATAAATGATGAATATGCTATATGCTAAACATTTAATCTAGGCTAGCCCAGACAAAACATGCACACGAAAGAAACCAAGATACTCCATCAACCTGGCAACATGCCCCTACACAGTCTAATTGGGTAAATGAGATCCCTGCAATAAGCCAACTGGGCCGTTCTAGTCAGAATAAGGAGTTATGGGCCAGGCGAGGTGGCTCACGCCTGTAATCCCAGCACTTTGGGAGGCTGAGGCGGGTGGATCACCTGAGGTCAGGAGTTCAAGACCAGCCTGACTAACATGGAGAAACCCCGTCTCTACTAAAAAAATACAAAATTAGCCGGGGTGGTGGTGTATGCCTGTAATCCCAGCTACTCGGGAGGCTGAGGCAGGAGCATCGCTTGAACTTGGGAGACGGAGGTTGCGGTGAGCCAAGATCGCGCCACTGCACTCCAGCCTGGGCAACAAAAGCGAAACTCCATCTCAAAAAAAAAAAAAAAAAAAAAAAGAATAAGAAGTTATGTACTACAGTCAATATTATTTGAAAAGTCAAGTTCTTTCTTTCCAAGGTTACATTAAAATTATTGGTTCTACTAATGCATATTAAATTCTATAAGTCAATCAAAGCATTTCCAAAACTTACCTCCTCTGTCAGTTTAGTGTTGGATTTTTCTAATGCATCTACTTTTGCCTGAAGGTTGTTTACAGTAGCACTATAATATAGAGAAGAAAAAAAAGTCACTTTTGAAAAACAGACAATACTCTGTACCTTCCTTTTTAAACCCTTCACACTTATCCTTCATTGTCTAATGTTCATAATTTTTTATTTTATTATTATTATTATTTTTAGACGGAGTCTCGTTGTGTCGCTGAGACTGGAGTGCAGTGGTGCGATTCTCGGCTCCCTGCAACCTCTGCCTCCTGGGTTCAAGTGATTCTCTTGCCTCAGTCTCCCAAGTAGCTGGAGACTACAGACATGCACCACCAAATCCAGCTAATTTTTGTATTTTTTGGTGGAGATGGGGTTGCACCATGTTGCCCAGGCAGGTCTCAAACTGTTGACCTCAAGTGACCCACCTGCCTCGGCCTCCCAGAGTGCTGGGATTACAGGCATGAGCCACTGCGCCAGGCCTTAATGCTCACAAATCTTGACCTCTAGGCTTACAAAAGGCTATTATCTTTGGCATTTGAGTTTTAATTCAGTAAGTATTTATTCAATGAAATAAAAGAGTTCATTCCCTACAGAATAAACTTTGTTTATCTACATATGATAATAACAGTCTATATGAATTAAATACTTACATGCACCAAACCCTCTTCTAAATTACGTTATTTGCGTTATTGCATTTATTCCTTTCAACAACCCTTTATGTTAGGTATTCTCATTTACAGATAAAGAAACTAAGGCATAGAAAGAGTAAATAATAGTGCCATTGTTTATATTTCATTGTTAACTGTAACCATATCTTTGCTTGGCTAACATCTCCATAGTTCATTAAAGTCATTATATTAGTTCTTGGTCCCCAGAGAAAATGTACTTAAATTGTTTTGAATTTGCTAGGTGGAACCAAGACTACTTAAAATTTTACTGACAGTAGTATAATCATATTATAAGTTTTACTTAAATTAAAAATGTCTATTTTTCATAAGAGAACTACAAACAAGATAATTAATGAATATATTAATTATTCTTCAAAATTATTCAGTAGTCTTAACATAACAAGAACATCAAAGTACTTGAGAATACCAATAGCTTTTGGATAGCTCTTCTCAGGAGAGAGGAAACTGTTTTATGTTCTGGAAAATTCTGAAAATACAGTAGTCCTCTCTTATCTATAGTTTTGTTTTCTGTGGTTTCAGTTACCTGCACTCAACTGTGGTTCAAAAATAGGTAAGAATAGTACAATAAGATACTGTTCTCCCTCTGGGACTTCCTTGGGCAAAGCTGGGCATGTATTTTTTTCTTACATGTAAATAAGGATTTTGATAGACTCATGTATAAACGTATTTGTTTAAATCCCACATAAGATGTCCAAATCTGATTTGTGCTCTCTATGACACAAACAATAGAGGGAAGTATGAGTATGTTTAAAAAACACAAATAAATAAGGATTATCCAGTAAGGATTTTTACTTCTCCTAAGATAAAAAAATAAACTGTGAACATATATACAACACTGAATTGTCGTAAGGACAGTGGCCCTTAGAAAATCTTTTGGAAATAATGATTTCTCAATGCACAAAATCTTGAAACTGGTATTTCTAATGCTTTCTTTCTCTAATTTTTGTTTTGTTTTGTTTTGTTTTGAGACGGAGTCTCGCTCGGTTGCCCATGCTGGAGTGCAGTGGCGCGATCTCGGCTTACTGTAAGCTCTGCCTCCCGGGTTCACGCCGTTCTCCTGCCTCAGCCTCCCGAGCAGCTGGGACTACAGGCGCCTGGTACCACGCCCGGCTAATTTTTTTTGTATTTTTAGTAGAGATGGGGTTTCACCGTGTTAGCCAGGATGATCTCCATATCCTGACCTTGTGATCCGCCTGCCTCGGCCTCCCAAAGTGCTGGGATTATAGGCGTGAGCCACTGCTCCCGGCCTCTTTAATTTTTAATTAAACTTTAATGTTTTATTCACTGTGCTCAGATATAGAATAGCCATAGTCATTTAAGGACAATAAGAAATATAAATACAGAAAACTGAAGGGGGAAAAAAACCTGAGAAAACTAGGAAGAAGAAGTTCAATGAAAACAAAATAAAAGGATGTGTTGATTTTGAGGGAGACACTACATTCACATTACTTTTATTATAGTCTATTGTTAAAGTTGTTTTATTTTATTATTGTTGCTAATCTCCTACCTTGCCTAATTTATAAATTAAACTTTATCATAGGTACATATGTATAGGAAAAAACATAGCATATATAGGGTTTGGTACTATCTGTGGTTTCAGATATCCTTTGGGGGTCTTAGAATGTATCCCCTCCACATAAGGGGGAACTACTGTACTTTGTGAATACTTGGTGAATTAACTGTAATAATGGCAAAGAAATTCAATTTATATATTAAATTAATGCTATTAATTCAATGTATAAATGAGAAATGCAGGAAAACAAAGCATGTATCTTTTTTTTCGTTTTTTTTTTTTTGTTTAAGACAGTGTCTCGCTCTGTAACCCAGGGTGGGGTGTAATGGCAAGACCAGGGTTCACTGCAGCCTCAGCTTCCCAGGCTCAAGTGATCCTCCTCCTGTCTCAGCCCCACAAGTAGCTGGGACTACAGGCACATGCCCGGCTAGTTTTGAGTTTTTTAATAGAGACAAGGTCTTGCTATGTTACCCTAGCTCATCTTGAACTCCTGAGCTAAAGCAATCCTCCTGCCTTGGCCTCCCAAAGTGTTGGGACTACAGGCTTTGGCCCAGCACACCTGGACGATATGATTAATTTAAAGGTACTAATGTAATGAGTGGTTTACCCAAGATCAGTTCTGAAATATGCAGCTATCTCTACTAAACTGAAAAAGCTACCAATTTCAACTGTATATGTCACATATTTTAAAATTCTTAACTGAATGTATTTACGTATTTATCTATTTAATCACTAGAGTTATAATTACATACGTAATATTATATACTATGTTATTATATATTATATATAACATTATATACTGCCTTTCACTAAAGGTCACCAAAACTGTTAAATGCCATTTATTTATCTAGTGCCTAACTCAGTGCCTGGCAAACAGGAATTCTACATATATTTGTTGAACACTGTCTGAATTTATCCTCACTGCGCATCATCTTACTCTTCCCTTCTCCTTCAACAATTCCCCAGTAAAGTAATATATTTATTCATTATTTACTTCAAATGTCTGTTCAGTTCTTCTACATAGTTCTTCTGGTCCAGAATTGCAGTAATCTGACCGTCTCTGGGGGAAGGGGAAGAAAATAGAAATAAAATAAATAACATAAGAAATACCAAGATCCCAACCCCACCCCACCCCATCTTTTCATAAAACATGAGAAAAAAATTGTGGCACAGATACACTGAACCATAAGACAGATTTGATGTAAAACCCTCTTGACATAGCAACAAGAAAGAGTCAGGAGTTTAAAAATGACAAAACCCCTCACTAATAAAGCTCTTGTTATAGCTTACAAACCTCAGTATTAATAATTTAGGTCACAGGTATGATGTTGCAATCTATTAGACGCATTTAAAGGATAAAAATTTTCTTGTTAATAGGTTTTTCAGCTTCACTAGTAGTATTTATAGTAACAACTTTCCAATTGTCATAGGACTTGAATTAAGCTCACTCTGATGTAATATAGCTGTTCTCAAGGGCTAAATATTTGTCTGTAAGTGCTATTTAACATTTAAAGTGAATGGTTAAAAAGGGTTTCACGAAGATTGAATGTTTATTTTATATATATATATATATATATATATATTTTTTTTTTTTTTTTTTTTTTTTTTTTTTTGAGGCAGAGTCCTGCTTTGTCACCCAGGCCGGAGTGCAATGGTGTGATTTCGGCTCACTGCAACCTCCACCTCCCGGGTTCAAGCAATTCTCCGGCCTCAGCCTCCCAAGTAGCTGGGATTACAGGCACCCGCCATAATGCCTGGCTATTTTTTTTTTTTTGTATTATTGTAGAGATGGGGTTTCACCATGTTGGCCAGGCTGGTCTCAAACTCCTGACCTCAGGTCATCTGCCTGCCTCGGCCTCCCAAAGTGCTGGGATTACAAGCATGAGCCACCATGCCCGGCCCAAATGTTTATTATTACATGAAAAATTAAACTGTGGATAAAGAAGGTTCACGTCTACAACCAACTAATCTGTAGTAGACAAAAGATAAACAGCCAGATTTTTCAGCTGTAAGATAAAATTAAGGCCCCAAACCTATACAATTACTAAAAGAACAGTGAGATAATCTTAGCTCAATGTCAAAAATTAAAAATCAGACTAATTATGCTTTCAATGGCTAAATTTATAAAAAGAATAGATGTGCTTCTGATCTCTAATTACTAAGTACCATAATGAATATTTTAAAAGTGTTTAACACAATTTTAGATATACAAGAAGAGGTATAAACGCAGCACAGAGTTCCCATGTACCTTCAATCAGTTTCCCCTAATGTCAATATTTTACATAACCTCACAGTGCATATTTCATATTGCCAATTTTAAGCAAACTGAGAATGCGACTCCTCTGGTCAAAATGACCATGTTTTTAAACCCTACTATAAGACATGGAGAATTGGAATCCTTTAGAAAATTTGTATTTTCTTTGCCCCTGAACCACATAGCAGGAAAATCATTAAACAAACAAACAAAAAAATCCTTTTAGGGTTTAGAGGTAGGCGTAATAGTCAGATATTTCTGGCAAGACTTTATTAAAGCTATATGATCAGAAATTCTTTCAGCACGTCTGTTAAAACAGTATTGTTGTAAACTTTAAGTACCACCAAAGGAAAAAAAATGCTACATCAGGAGAAAAGAAATCTAATTTTCTTTGTACGTACCCTTCAGTACCTTTACTGCTGTTCCCGTCCTTGAGATACATTGAAAAATCTATAACTCCAACCTACAGAGAGAATTTTCAGGTTTTAATATAAAATTAGATATTCTTTACAAGGCATAACACAATGTCTCCTTCTAGGCACTCAAAACAGTAATACAGTCATGACACTTACTAGAAATTTACGATTAAAAATGTACTGTTTTACTTTCAGTTTAATCAAGAATTAACAAGAGTTGGAAGTAAAGAATCAAGATTATGTCAATAAGACTAGAAGACTAGATCACAACTAACACAGTCAACAGAATACTTAATATAAATAAGGTCTAAAGTTTCTTTCTCTTTTGCTTATTTCGGGTATTCTGCTACTGAATCCCTGTTCATTTTTAGAAATAACTTTTTAAAAATTAGCACATTTCCCCTGTAGAAGTTTCAGAAAATACAGCTAAAAAAAAGGGGAAGTAATATTAAACACTCATAATCCCAACCACTGAAGATGACCATTGCTAATATTTTGGTGTCTGTTCCTCCAAACTTTCATTGATGTACACGTCTTCATTTTTCAAGATTGCCATTTTATTATTTAGCTTATTTCTTTTTAAAAATCCACACCAAAGGCCGGGCGCAGTGGCTCTTGCCTATAATCCCAGCACTTTGGGAGGCCGAAGCGGGTGGATCACCTGAGGTCAGGAGTTCGAGACCAGACTGAACAACATGGAGAAACCCTGTCTCTACTAAAAATACAAAAATTAGCTGGGTGTGGTGGCACATGCCTGTAATCCCAGCTACTCGGGAGGCTGAGGCAGGAGAATTGCTTGAATCCAGGAGGTGGAGGTTGCGGTAAGCCAGGATCTCACCATTGCACTCCAGCCTGGGCAACAAGAGCAAAACTCCGTCTCAAAAAAAATAAAAATAAAAAAATAAAAAAAAAATCCACACCAAAAAATCTTACTTCCCTTCCTATTTTACCAGAATAAAACATAACAGAAGTTTGTCATAGTATTTCATACAGAAAGGGTGAGAAGTAATTAAAGTGAAAACATTATTTATTGGGCAATTAATGTGTACTAGGCCCTGTTCTAACTGCATTACATCAAGAAATCTGAAACAACAAGAAACTAAGTAATTATAAAATATATTCAGCTAGAAAATGAGGAAGCCAGAATCCAAACCTAGGCAGTTAGCTTCAGAGCCTTTACTCTTAACTACCGTGCTTTAATGGCCTTTAGTACAGTTCGCTCTCATTCTCAGCAAGTCCTAAAATCCAAGGACGCAGAGGGCTGACTGTAAGGGCTTGAGCATTGTGAGTGTTGGTATTCATGGAGGTGCTGGAAATAATCTCCTTTGGACACTGAAGGACAACTGTACAGTTGATTCTTGAACAACACGACTTTGAATTGTGCGAGTCCACCTATATACTATATATATACACAATATAAAATATATATTTATATTATATTATTTTATTTCTGAGACAAAGTCTCACTCTGTCATCCAGGCAGAAAAAAAAAAGGTTTTCCTCCATCTCTGCCACTCCTGAGACAGCAAGACCAACCGCCTCCTCTTCCTCCTCCTCCTCATCAATCTGGTTAGTGTGAAGACCTTTATGATGATCTGGTTCCTTTATGATAATCCATTCATTTAAATGAATAGTAAATATATTTTCTCATCTTTATAATTTTCCTATAATATTTTCTTGTCTCTAGCTTACTTTATTGTAAGAATACAGCATATGAAATATACAATAGGCCAGGCGCCATGGCTCATGCCTGTAATCCCAGCACTTTGGGAGGCCGAGGCAGGAGGATCACTTGAGCTCAGGAGTTCAAGACCAGCTTAGGCAACATAGCGAAACTCTGTCTCCACAAAACAAAAAAATTAGCTGGGTGTGGTAGCATGTTCCTATAGTCCCAGCTACTCTGAAGGCTGAAGTGGAAGGATCAATTAAGCCTGGGAGGCAGAGGTTGCACTGAGCTGAGTTCACTCCACGGCACTCCGGCCTGGATGACAGTGAGACTTTGTCTCAAAAATAAAATAAAATAAATATAAATATAACTATTTATAATATACAAAATATGTGTTAATTGACTGTTTATGTTACTAGTAAGGCCTCTGGTTAATCGTATGCTATTAGTACTTAACGTTTTTAGGGAATGAAAAGTTTTAGGTGAATTTTCTATGTGGGATGTTTCTACCATGTGGAATGCCTTACTCTGTTGTTCAAGAGTCAACTGCATATATTTTAGTATACACACACACGCACACACACACATACCTCATTTTATTGCACTTTGCTTCACAGATATTGCATTTTTTACAAATTGAAGGTTTGTGGCAACCCTGCGTCATGCAAGTATATTAGTGCCATTTTTCCAACAGCATGTGCTCGCTTCATGTCTCGGTTTCACATTTTGGTAACTCTCACAGTACTTTAAACTTTTTCTTTATTATTACATCTGCTATGATAACCTGTAATCAGTGATCTTTGATGTTACTATCAAAATTATTTTGGGGCTCCATGAACTACGCCCATATAAGATGGCAAGCAATCCATAAATGTGTATGTTCTCACTGCTCTACTTACTGGCCGTTCCCCCATCTCTCTCCCTTCTCCTTGGCCTCCCTATTCCCTAAGACACAACAATACTGAA
This sequence comes from Homo sapiens, assembly GCF_000001405.40. NCBI lineage: Eukaryota > Metazoa > Chordata > Mammalia > Primates > Hominidae > Homo > Homo sapiens. The sequence goes on along the minus strand of NC_000004.12, from coordinate 70,770,925 downwards.
ATTAGGCCAATTAATAACCCTGCAATGGCCACTAAGTGTTCAAGTGAAAGGAAGAATTGCACATTTCTTATTTTAAATCAAAAGCCAGAAAAAATTAAGCTCAGTGAAGAAGGCATGTCGAAAGAGAAGACAGGCCAAAAGGTAGGCTTTTTGGGCCAAACAGCCAGGTTGTGAAAGCAAAGGAGAAGTGCTTGAAGGGAATTAAGTGCTACTCATGAACAAATGAATGACAAGAAAGCAAAACAGCCTTATTGCTGACAGGAATAAAGTTTGAGTGGTCTGTATAGAAGATCAAACCAGCCACAACATTCCCTTAAGCCAACACCTAATTCAGAGCAAGGCCCTAATGCTCTTGAATTCTATGGAGATTGAGAGGTAAAAAAGCTGCAGAGGAAAAGCCTGAAGTTAGCAGCCACTGGTTTACGAGGTTTAAGGAAAGTGTCTCCATAACATAAAAGTACAAGTTGAAGCAGCAAGCACTGATGTAAATAATAGAAGCTGTAGCAAGTTATCCAGAAGATCTAATTAAGATAATTGATGAAGGTGGATACACTCAACAACAGATTTTCACTGTAGTCAAAACAGCCTTCTATTAGACAATGCCATCTAGGACTTTCATAGCTATAGATGAGAAGTCAATGCCTGGCTTCAAAGCTGCAAAGGACAGACTGACTCTCTTGTTAGAGGCTAATACAGCTGGTGACTCTAAGTTGAAGCCAGTGCTCATTTACCATTCTGAAAATCCTAGGGCCCTTAAGAATGATGCTAAATCTACTCTGCCTATGCTTTATAAATGGAATAGTGGGCTGGGCATGGTGGTTCATGCCTGTAATCCCAGCACTTTGGGAAGCCAAGGCAGGCAGATCACTTGAGGCCATGAGTTTGAGATCAGCCTGGGCAATATGGCAAAACCCCATCTCTACTATAAATAAAAAAATTAGCTAGGTGTGGTGGTGCATGCCTGTAGTCCAGCTACTCAGGAGGATGAGGCATGAGGATTGCTTGAGCCCAGGAGGCGGAGGTTGCAGTGAGCTGAGATGGTGCCACTGCATTCCAGCCTGGGAGACACATTAAGACTCTGTCTCTAAAAAACAAAAAACAAAAACAAAAACAAAACAAAAATAAAGGGTACAACAAAGACAGCACATCTGTTTACAGCATGGTTTACTAGAGTATTACATAAACTTAGTTGATAAAGCAGCAGCAAGATTTGAGAGGACTGACTCCAATTTTGAAAGAAATTCTACTGTGGGTAAAATGCTGTCAAACAGCGTGGTATGCTACAGAGAAATCTTTTGTAAAGGAAGCCAATTAATGTGGTAAACTTCATTGTTGTCTTATTTTAAGAAATTGCCACAGCCACCTCAACTTTCAGCAACTGCCAAGATCAGTCAGCAGCCATTAACACTGAGGTAAGACCCTCTACCAGCAAAAAGATTACAACTCACTGAAGGCTCAGGTGATTGTTAGCATTTTTTTAGCAATAAAGTATTTTTAAGTTAAGGTATGTACATTATTTTTTACACTTACACTATCACATACTTAATAGACTACAGTATAATGCAAACAAACTTTTTATTTAAAAAATTTTTTTTAGAGTTTTATTTTGAGACAGGGTCTCACTGTCACCCAGGCTGGAATGCACAATTATGGCTAACTATAGCCTCGACTTCCCAAGCTTAAGTGATCCTCCTGCCTCAGCCTCCCAAGTAGCTACACAACCAGCTAATTTTTTATTTTTTGTAGAGACGGGGTCTCACTATGTTGCCCAGGCTGGTCTCAAACTTCTGGGTTCAAGTGATACTCCTGCCCCAAAGTGCAGGGATTACAGGTGTGAACAATCGCACCTGGCCTAGTATAAACAAACTTTTACATGTACTGGGAAACCAAAAAATGCATGTGACTTGCTTTATTATGATATTTGCTTTATTGTTGTGATCTGAAACCAAACCTGCAATATCTCTGGGTATACCTGTGTTTGTGTGTGTATGTATGTGTATGTAAATGTGTATGTGTGTGTGTGTATATGTATGTTTAACAGAGAGTACAGCCAAGACAAGAATCTAAAAAACATTCGTAACGTATAAATGAGCCAAACTGGAAGGAAAAACAATCTTTTTTTTATATTCCCATCAAAATGGAAGGAAATCCTGTTTATGACTCATAGAATATGGCCTAATTTGGTTGGTATAACCTAATCAAATCCACTTCTGAGATAGCAGAACTCAGAGTGACACCCATGGGAATGAGTCTCTTTCCCATACCTGAGAGTCCAAGTCTTCTCCTTTCATACAGAAATTGGCATCAATGACATTCAGACCCACCAACAGACCAGCAATTATGGCTCCTTCTTCTTCCATCATGAGGGCATTGGGTTCGTAGAATTCACTGTAAGAGAAATCCACAGAATTCCTTATTGTAACAAAAATCTCAAAAATCCAGAGACAAGGACAAAAATGGTTGATTCATGGTTGAATCATAGTCATCATGGTTGATTATAGCCATCTACAAAAATAGTAAAAAAAAAACTACAAAAAGAAAGGCTTTAGTAAATATTTTACTTTTAGAATAATAGGTGGATGTTGGCAAGTGGCACTGGAGAAAAAATTTTTTAAAAGAAAAAAATAATAGGCGCATGAATAGATTCTTTAAATAATAGGCTGGCAGAAAGACGTGACTGAACAGTATTGTGGTTGAAGCAGGTATTCAGACTTTTCTGACATATTTGTACTTGTGATGCACCATCAGATAATTTTGCAATCTTTTATGCATCTTAAAACATTTGTTTGGTAGCTCGGCATGGTGGTTCGCACCTGTAATCCCAGCACTTGGGGAGACCAAGGCGGGAGGACTGCTTGAGCCCAGGACTTTGAGACCAGAGTGAGCAACATAGTAAGACCCCATCTCTACTAAAAACAAAAAAAAATCTGAATGGATAAAAATTATTGGCTGGGCACGGTGGCTCACGCTTGTAATCCCAGCACTTTGGGAGGCCGAGGCGGGTGGATCACTTGAGGTCAGGAGTTCAAGACCAGCCTGGCCAACATGGTGAAACCCCATCTCTACTAAAAATACAAAAATTAGCTGGGTGTGGTGGTGCACACCTGTAATCCCAGCTACTCAGGAGGCTGAGGCAGGAGAATCGCTTGAACACAGGAGGCGGAGGTTGCAGTGAGCTGAGATTGTGCCACTGCACTCCAGCCTGGGTGACAGAGCAACACTCTGTCTCAAAAAAAAAAATTCGTGAAGACCCATAGATAATTAAATACTGCTTATAATGCACCTAAATTACTAATACACACACAAAAAAACCAGTGATGTAATTCATATGATCTAACTATTGCATTCCTTGGTATTTACCCAACTGAGTTAAAAACTTACGTCCACACAAAAACCTGCATACATGTGTTTATAGCAGTTTTACTCTTAATTGCCAAAATTTGGGAGCAACCAAGATGTCCTTCAGTAAATGAATGGACAATGGCATATGACTTAGCACTAAAAAAAGGGAGCTATCGCCAGGCGCAGTGGCTCACGCCTGCAATCCCAGCACTTTGGGAGGTCAAGGCGGGTGGATCACCTGAGGTCGGAAGTTCGAGACCAGCCTGACCAACATGTAGAAACCCTGTCTCTACTAAAAAAAAAAAAAAAAAAAAAAAAAAAAAATACAAAATTAGCCGGGCATGGTGGCACACGCCTGTAATCCCAGCTACTCAGGAGGCTGAGGCAGGACAATCACTTGAACCTGGGAGGCGGAGATTGCGGTGAGCTGAGATCGTGCCACTGCACTCCAGCCTGGGCAACAAGAGTGAAACTCTGTCTCAAAGAACAAAAAAAAAGGGAGCTATCAAGCCACAGAGGAAACTTAAATGCATATTACTAAGTGAAAGGTGCCAGTCTGAAAAGGCCATATACTCTATGATTCCCACTACATGACATTCTGGAAAAGGAAAAACCACAGAGACAGTAAACCCCTGGTAACAACAGTACAATCACAGTACGATCAGTGGTTATTAGGGGTTGGAGGACAGAGAGATGAATAGGTGGAGCACAGAGGATTTTTTAGGGCCATGAAACTATTTTGTATGGTACTATAATGACATATGGATACATATCATTATACATCTGTCAAAATCCATAAAACATACAATACCAAGAGTAAACCTTAATGTGAACTATGAACTTTGGGAGATAATGATGTGTCAATGTAGGTTCATCAATTGTAACAAATGTACCACTCCTGTGGGATGTTGATAATGAGGGAGGTTGTACAGGGGGGAAGGGTATGTATGAAAAATATCTGTACCTTCTACTCAATATTGCTATAAATTTAAAACCACTCTAAAAAATAGTCTTTTAGATTTTTTAAAAAAATGGAAACAGGCGGGTGCGGTGGCTCACGCCTGTAAACCCCACACTTTGGGAGGCTGAGGCAGGTGGATCACTTGAGGTCAGGAGTTGAAGACCAGCCTGGCCAACGTGGTGAAACCCTGTCTGTACTAAAAATACAAAAATTAGCCAGGTGTGGTGGTGCATGCCTATAGTCCCATCTACTCGGGAGGCTGAGGCAGGAGAATCGATTGAACCTGGGAGGTGGAAGCTGCAGTGAGCCGTGATTGCACCACTGCACTCCAACCTGGGTGACAGAGCGCGAGTCTCTTAAAGCAAAACAAAACAAAACACGAAAACCCAGTGACCTGAATTATTCATTTTCAGTCAATTTGACATCATGATTAAAACAACACTGCAATCAATTTGTTTTCAACAAGTTACCTGGGGGTAAAGGTCAACCTCAATCACTGTTAACAATCAATATAATTCACTGATATTAGTTCCTTATTTCTTTTCTGATTCACTATAAAAGATATTAATAGGCTGGGCTCACGCCTGTAATCCCAGCACTTTGGGAGGCCAAGGTGGGTGGATCACGAGATCAAGAGATCGAGACCATCCTGGCCAACACGGTGAAACCCCGTCTCTACTAAAAATACAAAAATTAGCTGGGTGTGGTGGTGTGCGCCTGTAGTCCCAGCTACTCAGGAGGCTGTGGCAGGAGAATCGCTTGAACCCGGGAGGCGGAGGTGGCAGTGAGTGGAGATAGCGCCACTGCACTACAGCCTACAGCCTGGTGACAGAGTGAGACTCTGTCTCAAAAAAAAAAAAAAAAGATATTAACAAATGACAAAATAGCACAAAAACAGCAAGTGAATGAGCTGCAAATTTACTGTTTCTCTCAAAAACTGATCACATGCTATTTTTGTTCTTTGATAGCCTCTGAAGGAAACTGAGTAGAACTGGAATGAACAAGGTTCTTTGACAGTTTATTGTCCCAAAAGCCTAACCTTATGAACTGTTCAGAAGTGGAATATGGCTGAATTCCAACATTCACACATTTCCAAATCTCAGCTAACTGTTAGTTCCATGAACTTTCACAAAAAACACATCTATCTGTGTAATCACTATCATGATCAGGAAAGAGAACAGTACTGAAATCCTAGAAATCGGATTCTTTCTCTCTTCCAATCTCTACCCCCACCTCTTCAAGGTAACTATTATCCTGATTTCTATCACCATAGATTGATTTTACCTAGTTTTGACCTTTATACAATGGAATCATATAATAAAGACGGATAAAATAATGTTGTTTTGCCTCTCCCAGTTGTATCTATGATCTACTGGAAGATTTTGTGATTTTACAAATATATATATATATATACACATTTTTTTTTTTTTTTTTTGAGACAGAGTCTCACTCTGTCGCCCGGGCTGAAGAGTGGTGGCACGCTCTCGGATCACTGCAGCTTCTACTTCCCAGGTCCAAGCGATTCTCGTGCCTCAGCCGCCCAAGTAGCTGGGATTACAGGTGTCCACCGCCACGCCCGGCTAATTTTTATATTTTTTTAGTAGAGATAGGGTTTCGACATATTGACCAGGCTGGTCTCAGACTCCTGGCCTCAAGTGGTCTGCCCACCTTGGCCTCCCGAAATGCTGGGATTACAGGCGTGAACCACTGCACCCGTCCAATTTTGTGCTATATTTGAATTTAATGCTACATGTCAAGTTCTTGTCTTATTGAGCCTGGGCACATGCTAAGGTGCCTTCTGTTTTCTAGAGGTAAGTCTTGGCCTGCCTTGGAAAGGACCAATATATGCCACAGTGACAGACAGAACACACATAACATAAATCATCCATTTGGGAGGATATGTGTGTGAGGTATGAGAGAAAGTATCAGTGAAGCTGTTATGAATCAAATGTTTCTGATCTACAAAAATAGTGAACTTATATGGTTTGACTTTATACGATGTAGAACATACCAAGGAAAGAAGAAAGTTCAAGAAGGTGTTCATACCTGAGAAGTTCTTTCTTATTGATCAAAGCTTTCATATATTCTGAAAGTTTCTTTTGCATTAATGCCAAACGAAGCCAGGCTCTTCCTCTACCTACTGGTGTCCTACAAAAACACAGAAATCAAACAACTGAAAACATAAGCACCAGAAGCAAAGGCTACAGTAGAATCAGTTCACTTATTCTTGCTAATGGTATTCCAGTGTAACAAGCACACTGAGGTGCTCCTCAGGACCTCTCCCAGTACATTCCCATGCAAGGAATTTTTGTGTGTGGGCTAATGTGACCCGGAACAAATGCTTTCAAAAAGAATTACTGAATGTAACTACAATTTGAAGACACAGCCTCTGGGAGACCCAACTAAAAATGTTCCATCAGATCAATAATAGCAAATCCTTATAAATTCAGTGTGGATTATATAAATGTCCAAAGCATGAATGTGGACACAGGCAATCTAGGCCTCTGTCTGATTAAAATTAAACCAGTCTCATTTGGGAAGGTGGTCACTACTTTATAGTTCTAAGGCAGGCTACAGTCACTAGCTCTTCAGGTTAATTTGACAGCTGTTTTAATCTTGACTCTCAAACCCACTGAATACCTTTTTTCCCTAAGTCAAGTACAGCATGCCACCCCCTTAGATATGATTCTCCCAAGTGCTTTAAAAAATAAGCAAATGTTTGGCATTTCAACAAAAAGACAATCTCTCTTAGATGAATAATTATCCCTCAAGAGCACATTTTTCTCAATATTCTGTATACCAATTCTCTCCTGTCAGCACCTATTCATGACATCATGCATTTTGGATTGTTATAAAATAAATTATTCGTACATAATTGTCTTTAGTCTTGCTCTTCAAGGGATAGTTAATAAGAATGCTGTTCCTGAGAAATGGAATTCAACCTTAGACTTACTTAAGTCCTGGAAGATCTTTAACACTTGCTGTTATCTCTGCGGCTTCTGGAACAAGCTTTTCTACCAGTTCTAGAGGCCCCCAGAAGGATTTATTTTGTCCGAGAAAAGTTTTTTTAGCTAAGGCAACAAAAATAAAGCAGTATTTTAATATTCTTTACAACATAAGCGCACTCTCAATACACACACACATACACACACAACTTTTCAGGAAACCAATCCTAGGTTATAAGATGGTTTTGGATTCATTCATGCTTTTAGAATAGATAATATTTTGTGAAAATAAAAAAATTCTCTACTTCCCAAGACTCAGCCCTTCTTCTTTCACAAACAGTTTGTGGCCTAGCCCTATAATATAATAAAACATTTTAACAATTTAGTGCCTAAAATTGTGTGGTATTAATGAAGAAAACAGCTCAATAGAAAAGAATATGTAATCCAGAAATAGGCTATGGAATATTGGGAAGTTGGTAAGCATAGGCATACAGATTTAAAAAAAACAATCAAACAAAAAACAACAAGAAAAGAATATTGAGAAGGCAAGAAGAAAGGAAACAAGGGTGAACAAGACCAGTTACTGCCCTCAAAAGCTTATAGTTAAGTGGAAAGAACACTGACCCAAGAGTCGGGAGACCTGAGTTCTAGCACCTACTCTGCCACAACTCAATGTGTGACCTTGACCAAGTCATGTCTCATTCTGGGCAGGCCTATTTCCACCTGTCAAACAGAACTACTGTACTGTACTTGATTACTTATAATGGCCCCTCCAACTGTAACATTTAATGATCTGTATTTTTAAAGCCCTATAAGTCCATTGAGTCAACCATAACCCTGCTCCTATAAAAGACTGCATTCCAATGGATTAATATTATTAATTCAAGCCTCTTATTCTTTGGCTCCACAAAGAATGCTTTCTTCTATAGTATGCATTGCTAGAAAACAGCTGCATGCATATTTGCATTTTGGGGTGATGGCCTACCTTTCAAGCCATGTTTCAGACAGTGCTCCATCACCACAAAGAATTGCTGGAGAGGTGCATAGTCAGAGTCAAGAGTCCTCCCCAGGTTCAGAGCTGATTCAATCAAGCCCTTGATACTCAGCTTGGCCATGTTCATGAGGTTCATGCGTTCATTAGCCATGAGATAATTAGGATCTGCAGCCAAAGGGGAAGAAGATGAAGGCTGGTTACTAGAAATAGCACATTTTAAAATTCAGTATTAGTTGTATTCTTCTCCACCATGTACTCACTGTGAAAAAAAATGCCAGTTTCCTTTAAGAATATCCTCAATGAAGCAGTAAAATGAACTATTTTATCAAATCTCAAGCCTTGAGTAGTCTTTTCTTTCTTTTTTTCTTTGAGACAGGGTCTTGCTCTGTTGCCCAAACTGGAATGCAGTGGCATGATCATAGCTCACTGTAGCCTCAACCTTCTGGGCTCAAGTAACCCTTCTGTCTCTGCCTCCCAAGTAGCTGGAACTATAGGCGCACGCCATCACACTGGCTAATTTTTGTATTTTCTGTAGAGACATGGTCTCACTTTGTTGCCCAGGCTGGTCTTGAGCTCTTGAGCTGAAGCGATATTCCCACTTCGACCTCCCAGAGTGTTGGGATAATACGCGTGAGCCACCATGCCTGGCTGAGTAGTCTTTTAATAGTCTCACCACCACCTCTGCTATCACCCTAACCTAAGCATCTGTCATAACTCCCTACTGTACTACCTTCACACTGCTCTCTCTGCTTCCATTCTTGCCTACCCCTCTTTTCTCTGCATAATTTGTGAAGTGCTCTAAAAATAAAGCCCCAATGTAGGAAAAAAAGGGTAAAGGGCTTAAACAAACTTTGCATTATGGTATTTTATTATTCTTTAAACTATGCACTAGCATTATTAGTATAATGCAGTACTAGAACTTAATCAACTCCCACATTTTTAAGTCTTAGCATACAGTGTATGGCTCTCATCAACCAGATGGATAAACTATTTGGGGAAAGGGGCTAAGTGACACATTTTATTGTACTCATTACCTTCATTTATTGGTGCTTACACTGTGCCAGCACTGTGGGCTACCTCTTACAATTATGATCTCCATCTCTCCTTACAACATGCTGTGAGACAGTCACCAATACAACAATTTTACAGGGAAGGAAAATGAGACTTAGAGAGTAAAGCTTCAGCTGCTCTGCCCTGACTCACTGTATGACCTCGGGCAAGTCACCATCCCATTTTAGGTCAATCAAATAGTTGCAGCCGGCCCATGGGCACAGACAATAATAAATGACAGAGCCAGAGGCCAGACTCCTCCTGACCATTCTTTTACATGATTATTTTACCTACTTATTCTCTCATCATATTTAGGTATTCTCCCTTCTTTCCGGTGCTAAAGCAGGCCCATAATAGCTAGGTGGTCCAAGGTGTAACAGTTTATAAGTGGCAGAATCTGGACCTGGATCTGACGTGAAAGCTAATGCTCTCTTTACCTTATGCCATGTATATCCTCCCAAACACCAAATATACCAAATTTGTACTGAAAACTAAAGAAGGCCTAGAGCTCTATGATGTATTCCATTTCTTCTTAGGAAGACTAAAAATACTAATAAGGCTATGCTTCCATAATACAAATAAGCCACTTAGCAAAAAACAGACTGTTTAATGCAAATTATCCCAAGCAATTTTCTTCATACAAGGTTTTTATTTATATCTGCTTTCAAAGTTAAATGAGCAGAGTCAAATGGTCAAATTCCAAATTAATCTTCTCATTAAGTTTAAGGACTTACGGATTTGCAATTCCAACTATATAAATCTTGGTTTGTTGTTATGTTGTCTGAGGTTACTTTTGGAGAAACACTTTATGTGAGAGTCAGAATTGGTATATATCACCATTAATTCTTTCTTGCATAACAACAAATGTTTTAGGGCCATAGTTTAAATGTGGCCATAGCTTAAATGTAGATCAACTTGTCAAGGGTAGTATTCTCACAAGAGGACAGCAAAATACATGGAAAACTATGCCCTGAAAGACAGCCATGAAGAAAACTATCAGATATTAATTTCCATTTATTACCAGCATGTATGTACATTCTAGTGTTTCTGACCTCCTATAATTACTCAAAAAAAAAAAATAGAGCTGGGGTGTGGGTATGAATATGTGTAGAGGGCTACTAGCCTTCCCACCTGACACCTCCCAATAGATGGCAGGAGACTATGGTTGGTACTAGATAACTGCCTGCCCATAACTTTGAGGCATTCACTCTGCCTCAAGCCTGTAGACCATTAATTCAGGAACTTATAACAAGATTAAACAATGCTGCTAGTCAAAGTTTACAAGCTGATTCCAACGTAGTGAGAACTAGTCATGTGGTGAGAGATAGACTTGGGTTAAGTAAAAAATATCATATTGAGACATTTTTCCAGAAGTAGTGATAGATTTATACCAACCCATCTACATTTTCTCATCTTGTTCTTCTTATAATCTGCAGCAGAAATGTTTAAGACATCTGGCTGAGGTCTGGAGTGCATGAACTACAGACAGGTTAACTAGCGTCTATGGGAATTAAATTTCTGATATCATGGACTCCATTAGTAAGGTGCTACAATCTATTTAAACTAACTTCCATCAAACATAAACAACCTACCCATTCTTTAAAAAACACTACTCTCAACCTTGGCACTGTTGACATTTTAAGCTAGATAATTCATTTTTATGGGGCTCTGTTCTGAAAACTAATTTTCACAGCAACCCAGTAGTGGGTAACACTAGATGTCAGTAGCACTGACAACTGTTTTTGGTGGGTTAAGACAACCAAAAATGTCTCCAGACACTGCCAAATATTCTTTGGGAGATTAAATCAGGTCCTTCCACATTGAGAACTACTAATCTAAACAAATGAAAGTGAAACAAAAATCTGTTATAGTAATTTGATTGTTAGAGATAAGAGCTTAAAAGTAACAATTCACTCAGAATGGCTATTACTAACAAGACAAAAAATAAAAAATGCTGGTGTGGATGCAGAAAAAAGGGAATTCTTATACACTGTTGGTGGGAATGTCAATTAGTATAGCCTTTATGGAAAACTGTACGGAGGTTCCTCAAAAAACTAAAAGTAGAACTACCATATGATTCAGCAATCCCACTACCAGATATTTATCCAAAGGAAAGGAAATCGATATAACAAAGAGATAGCTGCATTCCCATGTTTAATTCAGCACTATTCACAATAACCAAGATATGAAATCAACCTAAGTGTCATCAACATGAATAAAGAAATGTGGTATACACACACACACACACACACACACACACATACACACACACACACAAATTCAGCCATAAAAAGAATGAAATCCTATGATTCATGGCAACATGGATGAGCCTAAAGGACATTATGTTAAGTGAAATAAGTCTGGGACAGAAAGATAAATACCACATGTTCTCACTCATATGTGGAAGCTAAAAAAGTTGAGCTCATAGAAGTAGAGAGTAGAATTGTGATTATTAGAAAATGAAAAGAGTATGGAGGAGGGGAAGATAGGGAGAGGTTGGTTAACAGATGCAAAGCTACAACTAGATAAGATGAGTAAGTTCTAGTGTTCTGTAGCATTGTATGGTGACTATAGTCAATAATTTTCTTTTTTTTTTTTGAGACAGAGTCTTGCTGTCGCCCAGGCTGGAGTGCAGTGGCACGATCTCGGCTCACTGCAAGCTCCGCCTCCCGGGTTCATGTCATTCTCCTGCCTCGGCCTCCCGAGTAGCTGGGACTACAGGCACCCACACCACGCTGGGCTAATTTTTTGTATTTTTAGTAGAGATGGGGTTCCACTGTGTTAACCAGGATGGTCTTGATCTCCTGACCTCGTGATCTACCTGCCTCGGCCTCCCACAAGTGCTGGGATTACAGGTGTGAGCCACCACGCCTGGCAATAATTTTTTTTTTTTTATATTTTCAAATAGCTAGAAGAGAGGATTTTGAATATTCCCAAAATTAATAAATAAGTGTTTGAGGCAAGAGATATGCTAATTACCCTGATTTGATCATTACATTGTATACATGAGCCAAAATGTCAGTCTGTATCCCTAAATATGTATAATTATTACACATCAAAAATTTTAAAAAGAATATATTGCTCATTGTAAATGAACACAAAAGCTAAAATGAGTATTATTTAATTCTTATTATTAACATTTTTGTGCTGAATAGTATACAAAAGTATGGCTATTTAGTCTTGCTATGTTGCTCAAACTGGTCTTGAACTCCTGGCCTCAAGCCATCCTCCCATGTTGGCCTCCCGAAGTGCTGGGATTAAAGGTATAAGCCACTACACCTGGCCTACAAATAATGTTGGCTGCTAATAATGAATATTAAATCATTAACCTGATTTGTCACAGAATATTTTCTATTCAACATTACTTGTCTTAAATACTATTCAAGTGTAAAATGATTTTGCAAAACTAACCTATCCTGTTAAAAAGGGCTGCAATGACCTGACAGAGTATGGAGGGGCTTCTGAGGGCAGGTGAATTTCTGTTTGTTGGTATGGGTGTTTATTATGCAAGCATGTTGTGTGTGTAACATTGTACTGAGCTGAATACTTATAATATAGGATTCTTTTCTGTGTATTTTGTACTTTTAACTATATAAAGTAAAAAAAGATTCTGTTATATTGTATAAGCCAGAAAGCCATTTTAAAACATGCATGACTTTCATGATATCATCAGTCAAGCTTTTCCTATGAGAAAAATGATTTAAAATTTTAAAATGTTCACAACACTGGCATTTAACACTATCATTCCAATAGAGAACTTTCATGCAATTATTTTTTTCAATACATATTGAACATCTACTATGTGTTAGATATTGTTTTAATGCTAGAAATACAGAGGTAATAATAGACTTAGTCCCTGCCATCAAAGTGCTTACTATTTATCGCAGTTGGTTAATACAAACTTATAGAGAACAAATAGGGCAGTGTACAGCAAACACCTGAAATTTCAGGATAAACATAATCATATTTAACAAAGATCAATTTTATTCCAGGACAAATATTTTATTTTATTTTAATTTTTTAATTTTTCAGATGGAGTTTCACTCTTGTTGCCCAGGCTGGAGTGCAATGGCGCGATCTTGGCTCACTGCAACCTCGTCTTCCTGGGTTCAAGTGATTTTCCTGTCTCAGCCTCCCAAGTATCTGGGATTACAGGCATGTGCCACCACGTGCGGCTAGTTTTGTATTTTTAGTAGAGACAGGGTCTCACCATATTGGTCAGGCTGGTCTCAAACTCCTGACCTCAGGTGATCCACCTGCCTCGGCCTCCCAAAGTGCTGGGATTACAGGCATGAACCACCGCGCCCGGCCCAGAACAAATAATTTTAAATGTTCCATTTGTTTTGTTTTGATTTTTGAGGCAGGATCTTGCTCTATCACCCAGGCTGGAGTGCAGTGGCACGATCACAACTCACTGTAGTCCCAATCTCCCAGGCTCAAGTGATTCTCCCATCTCAGCCTCCTGAGTACCTGGGATAATAAACAGGTGTGTGCAACCATGCCCGGCTAATTTTTTTTTTATTTTTTGTAGAGACAGGGTCTCCCTATGTTGCCCAGCTGGTCCCAAACTCCTAAGATCAAGTGATCCTCTCACCTCAGCCTCCCAAAGTAATGAGATTACAGGCATGGGTCGCCATGCCCAGCTAATTAAAAAAATTTTTTTTTTGTTAAATGACATAAACCTATTCTATGGAAATGTTAGTTTTCTACATTTCTTAAAACTAAGATAATTGATGTCATTAATTTAGGGTTTCAGGCAGGCTGTAAGCATAATACAATTTCCTCTGACATTGGGTGCACTTCTGTGGAGAAGACTGAGAAGTACTGCAACTACACTGCAGTAAGAACTCCAACAATGGTATATACAGGATACCAGGGGAATATGCATAGGAGAAAGGTATCTGACCTGGCTCCCTATTTTTCCTTCAATTTTAGGGGCCCCGTGTGTTTCTATAAATCCTCAGAGGATGAGACTTTTGAGTTCAATCTTAAAGGATAAAAAGAAAGGAGTCACGTAAGGAAGGGGTAGCAGTAGAGATGTGAAGGGAACAGGATGGAAGGAATAGCTTAGGTAAAGGTACAGAAGTATGGAAGAACATAACATACACAGAAGAAAAACAACACTGAAAAAATGCCAGGGGTTTAAGTATTAGAGATGAGACAAGAGAAAGAGACAAGGGCAGACTGCTAAGGACCTTGTTTAAGGAGTACAGATTTCACCTTAAAGTCAGTGAAGACTTTAACGTGGGATGTGATGTCACAAATTTGAATTTTAGAGAAGCCATTCTTGCATCCTTTTGGAAGATGATTGGAAGGGTGCATGAACTCAAAGCTGAGGGGCAAGTAAGGGTCTACTGCAATGGCAGAGGAAAATAAATAATAAAGGGTAGAACTAGAGCAGTGGGGCTGTATGGAGAAGAGGGAGTCAGCATGGAGAGACATTCTGGGGTAGAACGTTAGCATTTCATAGCTTGACTATCTGGACATAGTCAAGGAGAATGGAGAGTAACTTCCCTATTTGTAGTTTTGGCGATTAGATGGACGATGGTGCAGATCACATTGGTGGGGAATACAGCAAGAGCACTGGACTAAAGAAATCATGTGGAAGTGACTATAGTTAAAATAATACATTATGTTGACTGGTTCTCAAATCAATGTTCTTTTTTTCCTTTTTTTTTTTTTCGAGACAGAATCTCGCTCTGTCACCCGGGATGGAGTGCAGAGGCGTGATCTCAGCTCACTGCAAGTTCCGCCTCCCAGGTTCACGCCATTCTCCTGCCTCAGCCTCCTGAGTAGCTGGGACTACAGGCACCTGCTGCCACGCCCGGCTAACTTTTTGTATTTTTAGTAGATACGGAGTTTCACTGTGTTAGCCAGGATGGTCTTGATCTCCTGACCTCGTGATCCGCCCGCCTCAGTGTCCCAAAGTGCTGGGATTACAGGCATGAGCCACCGTACCCGACCTCAATGTTCTTTCAAAAAGCATGTGATTCTTCACTGTATCTCTTCAAGACTGCTAATTTCCATATAAGGGTATTTTAATAAACTTTACAGAGTCATGTAGCTCATTTAGTTAATAGTGATGATAAAAGTGATCTGAAGTCATATAGCTAACAGTGACAGTGAGTCATATTGTTCTGAAAACAAATCATGTCACCAAGGTGCCATTTTATCTTCTTATAATGCAATGACTAATGTTCATACAGCAAAATCTTGAAATGTTTTCTAAATAATTGAAGGAAAAGAAAGATATATTTAATATTAGTATTAAGTATGTTATATGCAATTCTTGGCAGAGAATAATTGATATTAATATGTAGCACAATCATAGTTATTCTTCAGAATTTTCTTATTATCTAACAGATTAAAGCTTTTATCTTATATAAGAAACAAAATGGTTATCACACAGAAGACTTTTCAAAGATGTGTAAAAGCTTTTGGCTGGGCGCAGTGGCTCACGCTGGTGGCTCACGCGGTGGCTCAGGGAGGATCATCTGAGGTCAAAAGTTTGAGACCAGCCTAGCCAACACAGTGAAACCTCGTCTTTACTAAAAATACAAAAATTAGCTGGGCATGGTGGCAGGCGCCTGTAATCCCAGCTACTAGGGAGACTGAGGCAGGAGAATCGCTTCAACCCGGGAAGCGGAGGTTGCAGTGAGCCAAGATCACACCACTGCATTCCAGCCTGGGAGATAGAGTGATACCCCCGTCTCAAGAAAAAAAGAAAAAAAAAAAAGCTTTAATATGAGATTAAAAACAACAAACTAACAGAAACATATAGAAAGAAAAGCTTACTCTATGTTGGGAATGACTGAAGAACAATAATTTTAAATAAATCTATTTTGAACTTTTGCAATAATTGTTCTTAGAGTATAAAACTGGACAGAAAATGAGTCCTTGATTGTGAAAGAAAGAAGTGAAAGTACTAAAAAGACCTTAGCGTATAAAACTGGACAGAAAATGAGTCCTTAATTGTGAAAGAAAGAAGTGAAAGTACTGAAAAAGACCTTGTAATAAAACACCATTTAGTTAGCCTGATGACACTTATTTGTATGAGACAATCATGAACTTTTATTCTATCCTCATTTACAAAAAAAAAAAAAAATTATAATAGAGTCTTAGGACCCTTAGAATATCTATATATCTATATCCATAACTATATCTATCTATTCTTAATGGCGTCTCAGGTATCATATTTCTACTCAATAATAAGAAAATTTACTTAAGTAACATTTTCTCTGGATTGAAATCTGTTAAAGGGGTTAGTCAAAAAAATTAACCAGCCAGGCTTGGTGGCTCACACCTGTAATCCCAGCACTTTGGGAGGCCGAGGCAGGTGGATTACCTGAGGTCAGGAGTTCGAGACCAGCCTGGCCAACATGGGGAAGCCCCATCTCTACTAAAAGTACAAAAGTTAGCTGGGTGTGGTGCCAGGCACCTGTAATCCCAGCTACTCAGGAGGCTGAGGCAGGAGAATCACTTGAACCCGGCAGGCAGAAACTGCAGTGAGCCAAGATTGTGCCATTGCACTCCATCCAGCCTGGGCGACAACAGCAAAACTCCATCTCGAAAAAAAAAAAAAAATTAACCATAAATTTACTTGTCCTCATTGCTACCTTTTCTTGGTAACAGTATAATCAATGATGAACTTCACTGAGTTAGGACTTGTCATCAGAAAGGATTAATATACTCATCCATGGAGCCAATTAACCTATTATATGACTTCAGGCAAGAAATCTCACCCCTTTGAAGCTTCAATTTCCTCATCAGTAAAATGAGAGGGTTGGGCTTGTTCAGTTTTTTCCCTTGGAAACCATGCACATTCATAATAGTCATAATGACATATAGCAGCACTGATTCTCAAAGGGAGAGACATATTAATATACCTGGAACCAGAGAAATGACATGTTCTGTTTGGAAAATCCCACAAATGATTGATACCAAATGAACTAGATCCTTTCTACTCTCTGGTCTCAGAACATCAACACTGGCATAACCAGGAAAGCTTTTAGACAAGGGAAGCTGTAGACTTCAACACTACCACTGAATCAGGTTTTGCACTTTAACTAGATCCCCAAGCAATCTGTATGTGCATTAAAGTTTGAGAAGCACTGGCCTAGATCACTCTCCTAGCTAGCATATTATAATTCCATGATTTCACAGTTGGCTTCATCAAGGGCAACCAACATACATGTATATAAGTAGAAAGCCCTAGGAGGAAGGAAATAATAAAGATTAGATCAGAAATAAATTAAAAAGCAAAAACAACTACTGAGAAAAATCAATAAAATCCAAAGTTGGCTCTTTGACAAGATTAACAATACTGACATTTAGCTAGACTGATCAGTAGAAAAGGGAGAAGATTCAAATTACTAAAATCGGGAATGAAAGAGGGGACAGTAGTATTGACATTACAGAAACAAGGATTATAAGGGAATACTACGGACAACTGTATGTCAACATATTAGATAATCTAGACAAAATGGACAATTTCTTAGACACAAACTACCAAAACTGACATAAGAAGAAATAGGAAATCTGAACAGACCTACAAGTAAAGATCCTGAATTAGTAATAATAATAAAAAAATAGCATACAGAGGAGGCCAGGACCAGATAGTCTCGTTGTTAAAATCTACCAGTCATTTAAGGAATTGACACCAATCCTTGACAGACTATTCCAAAAATTAGAAGAGAGAACTTCCGAACTCATTCTATGACACTAATATTACCTTGAGACCAAATCAGATAAAGATATCATAAGAAAACTATAGATCAATACTCCTTATGAATACAGACACAAAAATCCTTAACAAAATACTGGTAAACCAAATCCAGAAACATATAAGAAGGATTATATAACTGGACCAAGTGGGATTAATCACAGAATGCAAGGTCGGTCCAACACACAAAACTCAATCAGTGTAATACACCAAATTAACAGAGTAAAGAAAGACATCACATGGTCATTTCATTAGAAGCAGACAAAGTACTTGACAAGTTCCAATATCCATTAATGATAAAAACATTCAACAAACTAGGAAGAGAAAGAACTTCCTTAGCTTGACAAAGGGCATCTACAAAAAACTCACAGCTAACAAACTTGATGGCAAAAGACTGAAGGCTTTCTCAAAGATCAGGAACAAGACAAGGATGCCCACTTTTGCTACTTCTAACCAAATTGTATAGGCGAGTCTTGCCAGGGCAAGTAGGCAAGAAAAGGAAATGAAAGGCATCCAGTTTGAAAAGGAAGAAGTAAAACTATATTTGCAGATGACATGATCTTGTATATAAAAAATCCTAAGGAATCCACACACACACACACAAAGTATGTACATAAAATGAGTTTGGCAAGGTTGTAAGGTACAAGATCAATACACAAAAATTAATTATATTTGTATACATTAGCAACAAACAATTCGAAAAAGAAATTTAAAAACAATTCCATTTACAATAGCACCAGAAAAATATTTACCAATAAACTTAACAAAAGAAGTACAAGACTTGTACATGGAAAACTATAAAACTTTGCTGCAAGAAATTTTAAAAGATCAGGCTGGGCGCGGTATCTCACGTCTGTAATCCCAGCACTTTGGGAGACCTAAGTGGGTGGATCACTTGAGGTCAGGAGTTCAAGACCAGCCTGGCCAACATGGTGAAACCCCATCTCTACTAAAATTACAAAAATTATTATTTGCAACAAATGGTGGTAGGATAATTGGATATCCAAATGCAAAATAATTTTTTAAAAAGCTCAAAATAGATCTGAGACCAAAGTGTAAGAGCTAAAACTATAAAACTCTTAGAAGGAAACACAGGTCTAAATATTTTATAACCATAGGCTAGGCAATGGTTTAGCAACAAAAGAAAAAATAGGTAAGGTGGACTTCATCAAAAATAAAAACATTTGTGTTTCAAACGACATCATCAAGAAAGTGAAAAGACAACCCACAGAATGGCAGAAAATATTTGCAAATCAGATCCAATATCCAGAATGTATAAATAATTATTATGATTTAACAACAGAAGAGAAATAATCCTAGTAAAAAAGAATGGGCAAAGGCTTGAAATATACATTTCTGCAGAGAAGATAGACAAATGGCCAGAAAGCATATGAAAAGATGCTAATTAGAGAAATACAAATCAAGATGAGATACCTTTTCACACTCACTAGGATAACAATAATAATTATTCATTGAAGCAAATGGTATTAGCAAGAATGTGGAAAACTGGAAACTTTTGTGCCTTGCTTGTAGGAGTGTAAAATGGTCCAGCTGCTTTGGCAGTCTGGCAATTCTCCAAAAAATTAAACATATGAGTTATTTGACCCAGCAATTCAACATTTTCAATATGAAAACATGTCCACACATCATAAAAATGCCAACAATAGACACTGAAGACTACTAGAGGGTGGTGGGAGGGAAGCAGAAAAACTAACTGTTGGGTACTATGCTCACTACCTGGGTGACAGGATCCATCATACCCCAAATCTCAGCATCACACAGTATACCCATGTAACAAACCTGCGCATGTAGCCCCTGAATCTAAAACAAGAGCTGAAATTATTTAAAAAATATATCCACACAAAATGTATGCATTAATGTTCACAGTATTATTCATAATTTGCCCCAAAGTGAAACAAGCCAAATGTCCACCAACCAATAGACAAAATATGATATGCCCATACAATATTATTAATCCATAAAAAGAAATGAAGTTACGATACATGCTACAACATGGATAACCCTTGAAAACATATACTAAGTGAAAGAAGCCTGACACAAAAGACCACATATTTTATTTTTGTTTATATAAAATGCCCAGAATAGGCAAATCTATGGAGAGAGACATATGTAAATACTTGAAGAAGCCCCTCAAAAAAAAACTGCAGAGACAGAAAATAGACTAGTGGTTGCCAGCGGCTGGGAGGAGGAAGAATAGAGAGTGGTTATTAATGGGTACAGAGTTTCTTTTTAGAAAAGGTGATGAAAATATTCTTCGATTAGAGAGTGGTGATGGATGCACAGCTTTGTGACTATACTAACCACCACTGAATTGTACACTTTAAAGTGGTGACCTTTATGGTATGTGAATTGTACCTCAATAAGGCTATTATTAGAAAAAAACCACTAAAGTTTTTAGACATAATAATAATATATAACTTGTATGTTTCTTGATTCAAATAAACCAACTATAAAAAGACATATTTGAGACAATCAACAGACTTTGAAAATGGGCTGAGACACTATAAGACTTTGTTGTTAATTTTGTTAGCTCTGACACTGAAGGATTTACAGGTGCTGAGATGTAATGTTTGGAGTTTGCTTTAAAATGCTCCAGAAACAAAAATGGAGGTATTAGATTAAATAAGATTGGCAATAATTACTGAAGCTGGTGATGGAGATATTTAAGTTCATTAAGCTATTCTTTTTACGTACTATAAAAAGTTGTGTAATTAAGCTGGACTTGGTGGTACGCACCCATAGCCCTAGCTACTCGGGGCTGAGGTAAGGCAGGAAGGTCACTTGAACCAAGAGTTCAAAGTTACAGAGAGCTACGAGAGCTATGATCATGCTACTGTACTCTGGCCTGGGCAACAGGGTTGAGACCCTGTCTCTTTAAAAAAAAAAAAAAGTTTCATAATTAAAAGTAAAAAATTTAAAGTAAAAGTAAAATTCTGGCTGGGCACAGTGGCTCACACCTGTAATCCCAGCACTTTGGGAGGCTGAGGCTGGCAGATGGATAGCTTGACCTCAGGAGTCAAGACCAGGCTAGGCAACAAGGTGAGACCCCCTCTCCATAAAAAACACACAAAAAATTAGCTGGGTGTGGTGGTGCAAACCTGTAGTCCCAGCTCCTTGGGAAGCTGAGGTGGGAGGATGGCTTGAGCCTGGAAAGTGTAAGCTACAGTGAGCTGTGCCACCACCTTCTAGCCTGGGCAACAGAGTGAGATCCTGTCTCAAAAAAAAAAAAAAAAGACAAGACAAGAAAAAAGTAATTCTGCTTTCTCTTACTCCAGGTCAAGGTTTAGCTGCTGGCCTCCTGTAAGAAGGTAAGAAGAAACTAGTGTAGTTTCTTCTACCTCCGTATATAACCAAAAAAAAAAAAAAACCCTTTTGATGGGCTTTAGCATTGAAATGAGTCAGCTTACTTAACCAAAACCATTATTTTCATATACTCTTACTCATTCTTGGTTAGGTATACATTTCTCTAATCTTTAATAGATTAAAAAAAAATATATTAGCTTGCACAAGAGTTCCCTAGGAAACACACTGATTTCTTCTTCATTGGGCTCCCATATCATAATATAATCAATTTTAGTTTTGGAAAGTTTCCCAGACTTCTTCAGTTACCTTTACCTGAGAATTCCATGCTGCAGAAGAATACCTAGAAGATTTCTGGAAACATTTAGAAGTTAGGACAAACCTTCGTTGTTTTGATACAACATAAGAAATTTAGGTGGTAAATACAACCCAAGAATTCCTTGGTTTGCTCAATTTATTGCATAGAAATAATTTAAATGTTTTGGGCTTTACCTAGGTATAAAAAAAAGAAAAGAAAAGAAAAGAAAAACAATGTAAATGGATGTGAGAGGGCAATCGCAGTTAGATCTATGATCTAGAAGGGTTAGATCTGTCTCTCTCATATTCCCTGAGTGATGTTGGGGGAAATCCTCATTCTTCTGTTTCATCTGTAAAATGTTGGGGAAGACAATCCTCCTTGGACCTCTTGGGCACCTACATTTCTTTACTGGGTTATGTCAAGACTATACGGCCCTGACCACTCTTTCCTGGGCCATTTATGAACCTGATAATGAGAGACGAAGCTTTCCTACTGCTTCCTATAAAAACAATGGGTTCTCCCAACTTGGCCTTCTTCATCTGCAACACAAACCTACCACGTGTGAAGCATGTCACTGAGCCATCCAGTGTCACCCCATGGGACTCTGGTCCAAGAAGAACTGGCACAGATATGCAGATGCTCAGGCTGCTTGCACTGTCATGAGTAATAAAGTCCTTTATCTCTGACCTAGGAGTCTTGTGTCTTTTGCCAGCATCCAAGAAACAGCAAGAGGCTTTATTAATTTGTTAAAGCAGGTAAACCTCAGACCTGACAAAAACCAGGAATAACCACTGTCCTTAGTTTAACTCCCTGGAATATTGTACATTTGTACTTCAAATGAGATAACACCAAAAGTAATATGAATAAAAGTGTGATAAATCTCAATATACTGCAGTACTTGAGGTAGATCCTAAATGTCGTGGTATCACAGAACACATGAAGGACGGTATTCCAAGTGGTTGGAATGGGTGTGTGAAGTCAGGTGGAGAAAATAAGAGTGGAAGAGGGAGTTCTTACTGGGGAGAACTGGAAAACACAGGTAGGGTAGAGTCAGATAAAGAGGTCTCTGAAACTAGACTTGGATATTAATGGAGGAAGCAATGGGAACCACTGTAGTTTTGAGCAGAGAATCAGCGTGCCTAAAATTTTGTTTGGAGATGACTAATCTGAGAAGATTACGCAAAATGAATTTGAGGGAAGAGAATCAAAATGGTCTGCCACGAAGAACTGTAGTGATTCAAGTTCAGATAGTCATAGAAAAGATAAAGGAAATGAAGGGGTCAAGAATAACACCAACATTTTTGCCCTGAGAGACTGGAAGAGTGTGCTATAAAGGGAAATGAAAAAGTTGAGTAACTGTTATGGAGATAAAGGGCAAAATAAACTTGGTTTTGGATATCATAAAGGATATTTATGTGGAAGGATTCTCAACATATTATTTTTAAAGACAAGGTCTCACTATGTTGCCCAGGCTGGACTTGGACTCATGGGCTCAAGCAATCCTCCCACCTCAGCCTCCTGAATAGATGGGTCTCCAGGAATGCAACCACCATGCCCAGCTTTCAAGATATTTTTGATCACCTAGTTGTAAATGCAAATGGAAGTTTGGACTTAGAGAGTCATCAGCATAGGACAATAATAGCAGTTATGAGAAAAGATGCTTTCACAAGGAGATGTTTTAAAGAGAAATAGAAGGATGCAAGGTTACTAGCCCAGCCTTTAAAGTATGCCCACGATTACAGGCTGGAAACAGAGCCAAAACAGTCCTTTCAGGAATTTGTTTTTTTTTTTTTGCACACACCTAGACAGTGGCTACCGTACAAATGGATGTATATACCAGAGAGGCAGCACAGGATACTGGAGTGTCTTTCAAACAAAGGTCACAACCCTTTAGTGGGTCACAAAATCAATTTAATGTCCTATATAGTAAGGCTATGTATTGTTTCATGAAACTTTTGTTTTAAGATACATACAAATAAATGATGTGTGTACTGAGTTCTGATGAAGATGTATTTTTACAGTTGTTCTTGTGTCAAATAAGTTTAAACAATTTTGGTGTAGTGGTTAACAGCACAAGCTCTAAAGCTGGTCTGTGGGAGTTTGAACTCTATTCAAACTCTTCCCTAGCTGTGTGACCTTGGGAAAAGTTTTTTCTCTTGTTGCATTTTCTGTTTTGAGATAATTGAGGAATCACATGAAATTGTAAGAAATAATATCGAGAGATACCATGTACTTTTAACCTAGTTCTCCCAAGGGTATCTTGCAAAACTGTAGTACATTATCACAACCAGTATACTGATGTTGAATTACAGTCAAGACACTGAACATTTCCATCACGACAAGGATCCCCCATATTGATGTTTTATAGCCATGCCCACATCTCTCCTTGCCCCTACTCCATCCTCAACCCATGCCAACCACTAATCTGTTCTTCATTTCTATACTTTCATCACTTCAAGACTGTTATGTAAATAGAATCATATAGTATGCAACCATTAAAATTGACTTTTTGTTATTCAGCATAATTCTCCGAAGAATCATTCAGGTTGTTGCATGTATCAGTGGTCTCTTCCTTTTTACAACTGAGTAGTATTTTGCTGGGAAACTTTCTTAACCTCTGTATGTGTCACTTTCCTTATCTATAAAATGGTGACAGGGTTCTGAAGAGTAAACAAGTTCTTATACGTAACCATTTAGAAGTGCTTGGAATATACTAAGGAAAAAAGTTGTTAGCTACTGCAATTATTATGGTCTTCCATGTACATAACTTTTTTTTTTTTTTTTTTTTGAGACAGTCTTGCTCAGTCACCCAGGCTGGAATGCAATGGTGCAATCTCGGCTCACTGCAACCTCCAACTCACAGCTTCAAGTGATTTTCTTGCCTCAGCCTTCTGAGTAGCTGGGACTACAGGCACCCGCCACCATGCCTGGCTAATTTTTTTTTTTTTTTTTAAGGAGTCTTGCTCTGTCAACCAGGCTTGAGTGCAGTGGCATGATCTTGACTCACTGCAACCTCCGCCTCCCGGGCTCAAGCGATTCTCGTGCCTCAGACTCCCAGGAACTGGGATTACAGGCGCCTGCCACCATACCTGGCTAACTTTTTGTATTTTTAGTAGAGACAGGGTTTCACCATGTTGCCCAGGCTGGCCTTGAACTCCTGGCATCAAGTGATCCGCCCACCTTGGCATCCCAAAGTGCTAGGATTACAGGCGTGAGCCACCACGCCCCGCCAATTTTTTTGTTGTTGTGTTTTGAGAGGGAGACTCACTCTATTGCCCAGGCTGGAGTGCAGTGGCGTGATCTCAGCTCACCGCAACCTCTGCCTCCCAGTTTCAAGCAATTCCTCGCCTCAGCAATTTTTTGTATTTTTAGTAGAGACGGGTTTTGTCATGTTGGCCAGGCTGGTCTTGAACTCCTGACGTCAAGTAATCTGCCTGCCTCGGCCCCGCAAAGTACTGGGATTATAGAAGTGAACCACCACTCTAAGCCATTATAACAATTTTGTTTAACTTAATAAGCTTATTGAATGACGATGTGGCACAGTGCTAGAAGCTAATAAAATCTCTTAAGATATGTTTCTTCTGTTTTTCAACATGCATCAAGTCTTAACACCCTCTGCCCCCAAATGCCAAGGAACCAGTATGCAATTTTGGTAGGTAATATTTTACACAGGTATATTATTGCCTAAATTCAAGTACTGTCCTGACTATTTTAATCCTCAGAGAGACGGGCAGTAATCTGGGCCACTGCAAATTTACAAAATCTGTTCAAAAGGCTTGTAATGAGTACAGACAGAAATCCGATATTTATTGAAAAACTAAAGGTAATAAGCTATGTGCCTTTCATTATTTAATTTAATGTTCATAATTTCCCTAGTGAGTTTCAAAACATTTTAGACACAAATTACTAGCATATAAGGAAAGGAGATGCAATATAATAGGTGTTGTACATCATACAATTGTACCCTAAGAAGACACTTCATATTCTAGTAGATATAAGTTACAAACACATAGAATATGAAACTAATCATCACTGTAAAAAATAGTTCAGGCCGGGCGCGGTGGCTCACACTTGTAATCCCAGCACTTTGGGAGGCCAAGGCGGGTGGACCACGAGGTCAGGAGATTGAGACCATCCTGGCAAACATGGTGAAACTCCATCTCTACTAAAAAATGCAAAAATTAGCTAGGCATGGTGGTGTGCACCTGTAGTCCCAGCTACTCAGGAGGCTGAGGCAAGAAGAATCACTAGCAGAGGCTGCAGTGAGCCGAGATTGCACCACAGCACTCCAGCCTGGGCAACACAGCAAGACTCCCATCTTCTAAAAAAATTCAAAAGGGCTGGGCACAGTGGCTCATGTCTGTAATCCCAGCACTTTGGGAGCCTGAGGCGGGCGCATCACCTGAGGCCAGGAGTTCGAGACCAGCCTAGCCAACATGGTGAGACCCTGTCTCTACTAAAAATGCAAAAATTAGCCAGATGTGGTGGCATGTGCCTGTAGTCCCAGCTACTCAGGAGGCTGAGGCAGGAGAATTGCTTCAATCTGGGAGGTGGAGGTTGCAGTGAGCTGATATCATAGCATTGCACTCCAGCCTGGGCAACAAGAGCGAAACTCCATCTCAAAAAAAAAAAAAAAAATTCAAAATAAGAAGCTTCAATTGTGACAGAACTGAAACAAAAAACAAAAACAACGACCAGTTCAAATCTGCAACCCACTAGAGTCTGTTATTTTAAAAATTTTTAGGAGGCCAGAAGCCAGTGTTAACACTCTATCTATTAAAAAGCAAACTATAGCCGGGTTCGGTGGCTCAAGCCTGCAATCCTAGTGCGTTGGGAGGCTGAAGTGGGAGGATCGTTTGAGCCTAGGAGTTTGAGACCAGCCTGGGCAACAAAGTGAGACCCTGTCTCTACATACATACATACATACATACATAAAAATTAGCCAGGTGTGATGGCACATGCCTGTAGTCCCAGCTACTCAGGAGGCTGAGGAAGGAGCCTGGGAGTTCGAGGCTGCAGGAAGCTATGATCATGCCACTGCACTCCAGCCTGGGCAACAGAGTGATACCTCGTCTCAAAAAAATAAAATAAAATAAAATAAAATTTTAAAAAAGCCAACTGTTATGGCCCATCTGCAATAACAGATGAGAAACAGCATTGAAAACAGCTTAGCAGTTGAAGGTCTCCAGAAAAGATCTGAGCCTGCATATATCATCAGCTTTTTCTGAGTCTGAAATGAGGATTCTTCCCAGACCCTGAATTGCTATTGTGTGTTATGTGCAGGTAATACTCCATAACTTATTTCTTCTTAGTACTAGCACTTATTTATAACATCTCCAAGTTACGTAATACAGTTGTGTGAAATGCTGGAATTTTACATAACTGTGATTGAGACCATGAGGCAAGAAAAGCAGAGAAGGATATCAAGAAGAATGAAATTATCAAAAGAGTTAAAGTGAAGCCATCTCCCTCTCCCCATTCTCATTTTTTTTTTTAACTACTTTTCAGAAAGACTTTTCTGTAAAGAGGATCTTGATCAACATTACCATATATCACTTGACTGGAAATCTATTAAGATCATGAAGGTACTGACATAATCAACATTTTCTGGATATTTTATGTACTATACTGTTAAAGTTCATCTTCTCTCCCTTTTGGAGTTCACCTATAATAACCATCGACAAAAATCCCAGCAAAAACAAAATTAAAAAAAAGGAGTCTGACTCTCACAGTAAGCTTGACTCTTGCATTATTAATACTTTGTATTAAAGAAATAGAATCTTGCCTGTGATGAGTCATGGTAAAGTTCTCAAGAAGGGGATAAACTTTATGTAGCATTTTCCTTTAATATCTAGTCTATCAAAGGAATTAAAGCCTTAAACCTGGTGGTGCCTAGCCAATAATTAATAATAATGATAATAGGCCAGGCACAGTGGTTCACACTTGTAATCCCAGCACTTTGAGAGGCTGAGGCAGGTGGATCACTTGAGGTCAGGAGTTCGAGACCAGCCTGGCCAACATGTTGAAACCCCGTCTCTACTAAAAACACAAAAAAATTAGCCAGGGATGGTGGTATGCACCTATAATCCCAGCTACTTAGGAAGCTGAGGCAGGAGAATTGCTTGAACCCCAGGAGGCAGAAGTTGCAGTGAGATGAGATCGCTCCACTGCACCGCAGCCTGGACGATGGAGTGAGATTCCATTTCAAAATAAATAAATAAATATAATAATAATAATAATAGCAGCTAACACAATAGTAAACATTACACACTAAATGAATCAACATCCTTCTCTTTTTTCTTGTCTGTGAACTGTCAATCAACTAGACAATACTGATTTGTTCTTTCACTGAACTATATGTAATCAGTTATATTAAAAGCAGAATCAAAGATGGCATAAAAATAGTTTGACCAAAGGAAAAGAGATGACACTCAGGATTTCAGAATTCACACATTCAAAGGCAAGGGCTGAAACAGAAGATACTCTTGGGCATCAACAGAGAGGGTAAAGCTGCCTTGATTTTGTTTGGTAATGACCAGATCTACTGAGGGCAGTACTCGTCCCAGGTCTGATTAAGGATACCAAGAAGTTTAAGACAATCTCTGTTCTCAAGGAGTTTACCCTTTAACTAGGTTGATAAACACACAAGAATTAGAGAATAAGTAAAAAGCCTTCCTTAAGCTCCAAGTTCTGCAGCAGCAAGTGAATGGAGAAAAGAATGTGGGCCAAAGCTGTCAAAGAGTAAATTGTGGAAATCCCATAAGGACTGAAGGGTTCGCAGGTGGCACAGGCGGAGGGGGAAGGGTATAAATACATGAGATGTCACAGGAACAAAGTAGGAGAGGAGGAGGTGGGCAGGAAAGGTCAGTCTGGACAGAGTGGTGGATGTGTGTGTGTCAGGGGTGTGTGCTACAGCAAAGCGGGAACATGTAAAATGATAAAGTAGATTCAAATCTCAATTTTTCTATTTTTAGTATAAAATGTGTAAATCGCTCTGAGCTCCCTATAGTTAGCTGCCTTGATACAGAAGAAACACTGATTGGTTTGGGGAACCTTTCCACATTAGAACATGTGTGCTACTTTAAAAAGATAATCACACCATTCCATGTTTCAGTCTCTTGTATGAAGAAGAAAAAATTAACAAAAAATAATTACACCAGAAAAGAATGCTATGACATGACAAAGCTTAAGTGTGTAATGTTATGGAAATCTACAAATCAGAGCAACATTCCAGGCCAACCACTAGATTCCTGGGATCTGTTTGCTTTTGGCTGCTGTGAAATTCACAGAAATATATATACATGTATTTGCATGAGTAATAAAATTTACACTTTCTCAACAAACAAGTGAAAAAACAGCCATGGCAAAAACTTGATATAATCTTGAAATAATGTCCCTTTTAAACACGTTATTCAGCAAATATCTTTCAAAAGCAACATAAACATACATTGACACTATTTTACTTGGAACCAAAACATTAAGATTTCCACTTATTGCCATGGGAAATAAAACCTAAAGCTGACATTTCCTCTTACGGAAAACAATTAAAAGGTGGTTAGAAAATTTTAAAAAGCAAGGAGAAAAAGCTGAAAGATGTTGGTGTGGCACGCACCTTCTGTATCATCGCGCATTTGCTCCACCAAATCTGTCAAATCCTCCCAAGAGTCTTTGCAAACGGCAAAAAGAAAGGAAAAGAAAGATAAAATGTCATGCAAGCCCAGAAAGAAAAGTGCTATTAAAAACAAGATTTCCAAAGGGATAACTGAAAGGGAGGTTCCTAGGATTCTTTCTACTTATCACAGCGATTAACAGTGACAAGGGCTGGGAGTACAACCAAATAAGCAGAGATAGCAACTACGGTTATTAAATATGTTTCAAAGCTAAGATTAGCAATTTCAAAGTTTCAAATAAAGGGAAACAAAGATGCATATCCTATTAAAAAGCAACACAGATTTATTTTTCTATTGAAAATCAAAGGCTCTTTGTATTCTAAGTGTAGGCGACATTAATCTAACTCAACTATTATTTTGATCACTTCAGGGAATTGAAAAGTATGTGCGATATATTTCTTTTAGATTCAGGACAAATATTATGATGCAAACTAGTGACTTTTCTTAAAAAAAAAAAAAATCCAAATACTTTTTCCAACTCCCCCTCCCCCAATTCTCCTTCCCCAAAACAAAAATAAAGGAGGCTACTTTGAAGATACACAAAATAAATCACATATAATTCAATAAAGCCAGATGTTTATTCACCATACAGAACTAGCAGGATCTGAGGCAGTAACCTACAATCAAGCACATTAATATTTCTGCAGGAAATGAATATTCAGATTAAGTAGAATAAAGACTATAAATAGCCTCAAGTAAATTCACATCATGTTGTAACACCAAATAAGTTCAGGCAAATTTGTGAAAAATGCTTTTCATTTCCAGAGGTTTTTTTAATTTTGGAATTATGTGTCTATATATGTAAAGCAAATGGAAAGTGTCTCATACAGAAAAAAAAATACTGTGAGTTGGCTACTATTATTTTATAGTAAATTAGTGCTGAAATACATTATATATAGACATATTTGCAGAAGTCATTTTCAGGTTCAATCCTTTGACAATATAATGTGCCACAAATCTATATTATGTAGGATTACAGATTCATGAGAATGGACTCTTACCATCCACATTATTACTTTACAGACTTGCTGTGACCTTGCAAAAGTCAATAGAGGGAATATTCCCATTTTGTTCTTTATTGTATTGTATTTAATTAGAAACTCTATTTGTCACCTATGAAGATAAAAGCCTACCTTAGTAAAGCAAAATATGAAGAGCCTCCAAGATTTGTATAGAAAAAGGCTCTGGAAAGTGAATTTCTAGGTAGGAATGCGTGGTGGATACCAGGGATCTCGGACTTTTCCTTGGGCATATCCCATCTAGAACATTTTTCTGTTACAAACAGACATATTTTCTGTTTTCTTCTTAAAACAGAGATTAAAGTTTTAAGTATCAGAGTGATGCAATTAATTTAAGAGAACTTTTCTCCCCCAGAAACTAAAAGGTCTGTCTTTTCCATGTAAAGCTGTTCTCCACTTTACCTTGGCATGCTCAGGACTTTACTACAATAGGTAACATGCCATTCTTTTATACCTCAAGGTCCTTTGAGTCACTATGTACCTTAAGGGTAGATGTTTACAGTGCCACCAGCTTAAATCTTTTCAGAGCTACATAATTAGTCTATTGATTTTTTTTCATTCTTAGACCTGAAACAGGTCTATGGGTGTTTCATCTTTTTTTTTTTTTTTTTTTGAGACGGAGTTTTTCTCTGTCACCCAGGCTGGAGTGCAGTGGCACGATCTCAGCTCACTGCAGCCTCCGCCTCCTGGGTTGAAGCAATTATCCTGCCTCAGCCTCCAGAGTAGCTGGGATTATAGGCGTCCCCCACTGCACCCGGCTTTTTTTTTTTTTTTTATACTTTAAGTTCTGGAGTACATGGTCTGGTAGAAGGTGAGCCTGGCCCCTCTTGTACTTCTTTTTTCTCTGGATGAGGCAACTGGCTGAATGAAGCTCCTTTTCTACAGGGAAGTGCTTGAATGGGCTAAAAAATGCTTCGCCTTTGTTTATGTATCCATGGTTGTGAAATCTCTTCTTGAGGTAGCCTTTCTCTAGCAGTATTGCTATAGGCAACCAAGTGACAGATTTTACAAGGCCTGGGGGTTATTTTGTCCCCTTGAGACCAAGTGTCTTTGATTTAGTGTTAATTTTTAGAATTTTATTATGGTTTCTTAAGGCAACACCTTTCTGAAGCCCCAAACCCAGACACATCACATATAACTCCTTGAAGGGCTATTGTGAAAATAAAAGCTAATAAATTTGAAGTACTTAGCAAAGCATAGGTACTCAATGTCAACTTTACACTTACAACTGGATTTCTCTATATTTGCCGTAATTATTCAAAGACAATAGAGTGAATGGAATTTTAAAAAGCCAGCTAAGCTAAATATTAAAAACAGGAAAAAAAATTAGTCAACCTAAATAAACCAAATGACAAATTAACAGCTGAGGTGCTATTAAACTAACCATAGTATTATTAGCTTGGTAACAAAGCAATTGTCATATATTAATTTTCATAAATGCTTTGAGGTTTTGTTCTAATAAACCAGTAATTTGGGCCAAGGTCTACTTTCTCCACAAAAATATCAGCAAAAAAAAAAAAAAAGACAAATAGCCCTAGAAAAGGTAACACATTAAGTCATCAACACTTCAGCCATTTTAATTTTACTGAGGCTGGGTGTGGTGGTTCATGCCTGTAATCCCAGCACTTTGGAAGGCAGAGGTGGGTGCATCGCCTAGCCCATGAGTTCAAGAACAGCCTACTCAATATAGGGAGACCAGGCTACTTGACAGACTGAAACAGGAGGATCTCTTGAGGCCAGGAGTTTGAGGCTGCAATAAGCTATGATCATGCCACGGCACTCCAGCCTGGGTGACAGAGTGAGACCCAAAAATAAATAAAGTAATATAAAATAAAAACAAATAATATAAATAATAAAAATAAAATAAAATAAAATTTATTGAGCATTTATGGTGAGCAAAAGACTTTACTAATGCAATGGAAGTTAAAAAGATGAAACATCTGGCTGGGCACGGTGGCTCACGCCTGTAATCCCAGCACTTTGGGAGGCCGAGGCGGGCAGATCATGAGGTCAGGAGATCAAGACCATCCTGGCCAACACAGTGAAACCCTGTCTCTACCAAAAATACAAAAAATTAGCCGGGCGTGGTGGCGCATGCCTGTAGTCCCAGCTACTCCAGAGGCTGAGGCAGGATAATTGCTTCAACCCGGGAGGCGGGGGCTGCAGTGAGCCAAGATCGTGCCACTGCACTCCAGCCTGGGTGACAGACCAAAACTCCGTCTCAAAAAAAAAAAAAAAAAAAAAAAAGATGAAACACCCATAGACAATGCCCTTGAGATCTAAATAAGTATGACATAAGCTTTACAAGGAATTAAGGCTGGGCGTGGTAGCTCATGCTTGTAATCCCAGCACTTTGGGAGGCCAAGGCAGGCAGATCGCTTGAGTCCAGGAGGCGGCGACCAGCCTAGACAACATGGCGAAACCCTGTCTCTGCCAAAAATACAAAAGAAATAGCCAGGTGTGGTAGTGCAGCATGCCTCTAATCCCAGCTACTTGGGAGGCCAAGGTAGGAGGATTGCTTGAGCCTGGGAGGTGGAGGCTGGAGTGAGCTGAGATTGTACCACTTGCACTCCAGCCTGGGTGATAGAGTGAAACCCTATCTCAAAAAAAAAAAAAAAAAAGGAATTAATAGGCTGGGCATGGTGGCTCCTGTCTGTAATCCCAGCACTTTGGGAAGCCTAAGCAGGCAGATCACTTGAAGTCAGGAGTTCGAGACCAGCCTGGCAACATGGTGTAACCCTGTCTCTACTAAAAATACAAAAATTAGCCAGGCGTGGTGGTGTGTGCCTGCAATCCCAGCTACTCAGGAGGCTGAGGCAGGAGAATTGCTTGAATCCAGGTGGAGATTGCAGTGAGCTGAGATGGTACCACTGCACTCCAGCCTGGTTGACAGAGCAAGACCCTATCTCAAAAAAAAAAAAAAAAAAGAGGAATTAATATTAGTGACATAAGTGAAGATAAAACAGATTCTTAGGTGAGCAGCTAGGTGACACTAGAACGCTAAGGAGGGCTGAGCCTGATGGGGGGTGAGCGGATGAGGAAAGAAAGCCCTGACCAGTAGACCCTTTGCTCTCATGCTGGAATGGCTATGCTGGCAGAGATAATGTCTCTAAGATACTTTAGCTGGGAAGCTGCTGTCCACAGGACTGGACACTGTGGGATTCTCAGACAAAATGTAGTACATCTCACATACACTCTTAGTTTTATATCTGTATAAGAAAGAAAAAGGAAATCCCAGCATGCAGCTTTTTCATCCCAAAAAGCAAATTCTAGCAATCTTAGAAAAACATGCAGTTTCTCATTGCACAATTAACAGTAAAAACTCTCTTTTGCTTAGGACACTACTGTTAGCTTAAAAAAAAAAAGTAGAGAAAGTAATATCATGAGGTTTTCAGCTGCTGAACCAACTGTCTTGAAAACCACAACTGTATCTTTTGGAAACTTCAGATGTTAATACAGCATGAGAAAAACGCAACCAACTGCAAGCAGGAAAGACAAAACCAAGCTTTGATGAGTAGCTAATATGAAAGTTTATGATACCATGCTATTCAAAATTTGTTTTAATTGTTTAAAGTAGTTTGGCAATGTGTATAAAAATTAAAAACTAAAAATTGGTTAAATATTCAAGTTATACACATAACAATTTTTCTAAAACTGTCTTGGGTAGAAAAATTTAGAAACAACCTAAATGCCTGTAATAAAGAAATAGTCAAAGAAATTATGGCACATCCAGGCCAGGCGCAGTGGCTCACGCCTGTAATACCAGCACTTTGGGAGGCCAGGGTGGGTGGATCACCTGAGGTCAGGAGTTTGAGACTAGCCTGGCCAACATGGTGAAACCCTGTCTCTACTGAAAATACAAAAATTAGCCGGACATGGTCGAAAGCGCCTGTAATCCCAGCTACTTGGGAGGCTGAGGCAAGAGAATCACTTGAACCCGGGAGGCAGAGGTTGCAGTGAGCTGAGACCATGCCATTGCACTCCAGCCCAGACAATAAGAGCAAAACTCCGTCTCAGAAAAAAAAAAGAAAAGAAAAGAAATTATAGCACATCCAATAACTGAAGACATTAAACAAAATGACAAAAATTTCAATTTACCCATATGGAAAAATATTGCAGAGGAAAAAAGGCAGGTCACACAGCACAGGTGTGGTATGATCTTACATGTATAAAATTTTGAGTTTGCAAGTGAACCTTCAGTGTATACATTGAAAAAGTGTATACATTGAAAAAGAGAATCTGATACTAAATCTTAACAGTGGTTATCCCTAGGTATTTGAAATGTAGGTGCATTCTATTATTTTGCATTTTTATACTTTTCTGTATCTTGTGACTTACAATGCAAATATATCACCTCTATAACTAAAGTTGTTTTCATTAAAAATATCTGTACATAATAATGCTAAAGACATTTCTTTCTTTCCTTTTCTTTTCTTTTTTTTTTTTTTTTTGAGACAGGGTCTGAACTCTGCCACCCAGTGGAGCACTGTGGCGCAATCACAGCTCACAGCAGCCTTGACCTGCTGAGCTCAAGTAATCTTCCCATCCTCCCACGTCAGCCTCCTGAGTAGCTGGGACCACAGGCATGCACCACCACACCCAGCTAATTTTTTTTGAGATGAAGTTTTGCTCTTGTTGCCCAGGCTGGAGTGCAGTGATGTGATCTCATCTCACTGCAACCTCCACCTCCTGGATTCAAGCAATTCTCCTGCCTCAGCCTCCTGAGTAGCTGAGATTGCAAGTATCCGCCACCATGCCCGGCTAATATTTTGTAGTTTTAGTAGAGACAGGGTTTCACCAGGTTGGCCAGGCTGGTCTCGAACTCCTGACCTCAGGTGATCCACCCGCCTCGACCTCTGAAAGTGCTGGGATTACAGACATGAGCCACAGTGCCCAGCAGCACCCAGCTAATTTTTATTTTTTTTTGTAGATATAGGGTTTTGCCATGTTGCCCAGGCTGGCCTTGAACTCCTGAGCTCAAGCAATCCGCCTGCCTTGGCCTCCCAAAATGTTGGGATTACAGGTGTGAGCCACCACGCCCAGCCAATATTTTCTTTGAAAACACTATTTTCAACACACTGACATACAATTTTGAGAATATTTAATTATGATGAAAAATATATAATTACTTAGCAGCCATTTGGGAAGAAGTCTTTTTCACTGTTCCTCTACACATGTATTTCTAAGCTCATCAAATCCTTCTATTTGTTCTCTGGAAAAGCTCAAATACCAAAAATTGCAAAGGAACAGATTTTAGTATTTACAGCCCTGTACTCAAAAGCACTTCATAGTAGTCACAGTTGACTGGTGGGGACTAGAGGAACCACAATGAAAAAACA
Source organism: Homo sapiens (assembly GCF_000001405.40). NCBI lineage: Eukaryota > Metazoa > Chordata > Mammalia > Primates > Hominidae > Homo > Homo sapiens. Next base: position 70,735,264 of record NC_000004.12, on the reverse strand, counting down.
TGCCCAATTATATACTCTCCACCTCCCCCTCAGGAGGGGCACCATCAAAAAAGCAAAACACAGAACAGCTACTGAAGAGTACAGAATATGGTGGATGTTCTCAGACGACAGCACTTGCTCTTTCCAACCAGATCTTGGTTGGTACTCAGGCTTGGGAATCTGACAACGTGAATTCCGTTCTGAGCTCTATCACTGAGTGGCAATTATCTTCTCTGGCACAGCATTTCTTTTTGGAAAATGATTCATATTTCAGTGATTAGTTTAGGACAAATGACTCTTGGGTGTCAGAAGCTGATAACCCAAAGAAGAGTTAATGTGAGTTCTGTTATGAAGGGCACAAATTAAAGATTCAAGTAGAAGCTCTGTTTCACGAAAGGTCCAGAAAAGGCTCACCAATAGAAGAAAATACTGTAAGGCACTGTGGTTAATGACAGTGCACTGAAGCCAACGCTAGTGCAAGAGTATCAAAGAGACAGGAAGAAACTGAAAGTAGTCCTGAAACAGGAAGGAAAAGCTGATTTTATGCAGAGTATGTTACGGTCAGATCAGAGGCAGCATGCACCTCTTTCGTGGTTTAGATAGGAACTGGCATACAAGTACAGAGCTACTGATATTTCTCACCCAGATTTAGAATTTTACAAAATCCTGGAAGCTAAGTGGGTAAAACTTACCTTGAAAGGGTGACTAGCCAGGTTATTTTCAGGGCAGAGCAACAAGAAGGGATGAACCGTGTCCAGAAAACTTTGTCCCATAGGCTTCTGAGACTGTATTAAAAGCTACAACCTTCTCACTTTGAGAAGTTCACTGAGACTGCCTTCTGAACACATAATCACAGCTCAGAGAACCTGACAGTGTAAATCTAAGGCTGACTGCACTGGTGGCAACAAATGTTTCTGTAATCTCACCAAGGGCCAATTACAAAAGGGGGTGTGCCACAGTGAAAGCAAAGAACAATAACACAATTCTGTGAAAAAGAGAATCCCAATGACTCAGGTTTTATTTTCCAAACACTTAGGAAAGGAATAAATCAAATGCTGTAAATGCTTCTAAATCTAGACACTGTGGGCCACCCCATACACTGCAAACAGCATTTAAACAGCTATGAAAACAGAGCATGCCAGTAAATAAACACAGGTCTGTGTTTGAAAAAAACCCAAAATAAAATGCCTAATAGAAATATTAAAAAATTATAATGGAAATTGAATCTAAAGCAGTAGCTCTGCTGTGAGGCAAATGTTCCCACTCACAGATGTGTGAAACTGTCATAGAAGGTACTGATATATAATACAAATATCTGTTGGATGGATGATTGCACACCCGTTAATTTTCATAAAGATTTTTCCTTTGAAAAAGGAACATTTGTTTTCATATTAGAGTAATATGTCCTCTTGTAGAATATTTGGGAGATATAAAGAAATATAAAGAATATTATAAAAATCACCCATAATTCCACTATCCAGAGATAATCAATTTTTATATTTTTGATACATTTCCTTTTACTTGTGTTTATGTATACCTATACTTAAAAAAATTGTGACTATAGTAAATATGCAGCTTAAGAGACAGCTTTTAAAGTTATATCCAAACATTACCCTACACATCAAATATTGTTCCACAATAATTTTTAGTGTAAGGTGTTCTACAACTTATTGAATAATTTTCCTCTTAGGCTATTTAAGTTGCTCTCAAGAGTGTGTTACAGGAAGTCAGAATACCGTGATAAATATACAGTACATACATAAACTTTTTGTTTGTATCTCTTATTATTTCCTTAGGATAGGTGTCTGGTACAATTACTGAGAATTAATTTTTTAAGGTCCTTGATTCACAATGATAAAATGATTTCTATAAAGGATGTACCAATGCACATTCCCACTAGCAGAGGCCCCAAGTCGTCCCATATTTTTATCAATACTACGTATTATTAAGATATATTTAAACAACAAATTATTACATTATTCTAAACTTATATTTTCCAAATAATATACAGTCGGTCCAGAATATGAGATAAACAATTAAAAATAAAGAAAACATTAGAAACCATAAATTAAATTGTGTGTAATGGAGGAAGACAAAATCCATTTTTCTTTCTTTCTTTCTCTCTCTCTCTCTCTCTCTCTCTCTCTCCCTCCCTCCCTCCCTCCCTCTCTCTCTCTCTCTCTCTCTCTCCTCTCTCTCTCTCTCTCTCTCTTTCTTTTGAAATGGAGTCTCACTCTGTTGCCCAGGTTAGAGTGCAGTGGCGCGATCTTGGCTCACTGCAACCTCCGCCTCCCGAGTTCAAGTGATTCTCCTGCCTCGGCCTCCCACATAGCTGGGATTACAGGCGCCCGCCACTGCACCTGGCTTTTTATTTTTTTTAATACTTTAAGTTCCGGAGTACATGTGCAAAACGTGCAGGTTTGTTACATAGGTATACATGTGCCATGTTGGTTTGCTGCACCCATCAACTCGTCATTTATATTAGGTATTTCTCCTAATGCTATCCCTCCCCCCAGCCCCCTACCCACCGACAGGTCCCCAGTGTGTGATGTTCCCTTCCCTGTATCCATGTGTTCTCATTGTTTGACTCCCACTTATGAGTGAGAACATGCGGTGTTTGGTTTTTTGTCCTTGTGATAGCTTGCTCAGAATGATGGTTTCCAGCTTCATCCATGTCCTTGCAAAGGACATGAACACATCCTGTTTTATGGCTGCATAGTATTCCATGGTGTATATGTGCCACATTTTCTTTATCCAGTGTATTATTGATGGATATCTGGGTTGGTTCCAAGTCTTTGCTACTATGAATAGTGCCGCAATAAACATACGTGTGCATGTGTCTTTACAGTAACATGCAAATCCTTTCTTTTAAAATGATTTTATGGAGTAATAGGGAATCACTGAGTTCACCAGAAGTTTGTTGGATATCTACGATAAATAGTACACAGTACCATGGGGCCTTCTGAAGAACGCCAAAGAAAAGGTTTGCCCTGAAGAACTTTCTATATAATTTCAGAAATAAGGAATCCCATGAATTAAATAACTGGGGAATGATTTCTAGCATATTCAAACAAATGTCCCAGATGCTAACCAGTGATTCAGGACATGAAAGGTGTGAGATCTGTTAGAGAAGGACTTGTAGATGAAGGGAGTCAGGGGTCCATTACCCTTCCTGATATAACACGGGCATGAAGAATCACAAGTCAGAATAGTAAAACAAAAAGAATAATCAGGATTTTACTGAAGCACAGTCTGACTGGAACAGGTAAGTATGTTGAAAAGGAGTTTGAAAAAACATTGAAAAAATCATCCAAAGAAGGGCATGAGAATGCTTGGCTAAAAGAATAATGATTACCTGTAGCTACTATTTCAAACAATCCATAATCGTGAACATTACTGCTATCACAAACTGCTTTTCAGGCTAAGTGCGGTGGCTCATGCCTGTAATCCCAGTACTTTCAGAGGCTGAGGCGGGTGATCGCTTGAGCCCAAGAGTTCAAGACCAGCCTGGCCAACATGGCAAAACCCTGTCTGCACTAAAAATACAAAAATTAGCCGGGCATGGTGGTGCACATTTATAGTCCCAGCTACTCAGGAGGCTGAGGCAGGAGAATCACTTGAACCTGGGAGGCAGAGGTTGCAGTGAGCCGAGACTGCGCCACTGCACTCCAGACTGGGCAACAGAACGAAACTCTGTCTCAAAACAAAAACAAAACAAAACTGCTTTTCTTATTGCTTTTGTACATCTGCTTCAGAAAGCTAAATTTAGCATATAGAGGTGTCACTTGCCAGCCAGGTCAGTTTCAGCAGTGTACTATTTTTGCTGTTTGGTAGTATATGCACGATTATGTAAATATTTTCATTTACTTTATAAAAGTGAGTGAAAAGAGGAAAAAGAAAACATGTGGACAAAAAACTCAGTCTCCACTTTAAAAGATGGCAATCACTGGCCAGGCTTGGTGGCTCACGCCTGTAATCCCAGCACTTTGGGAGGCCAAGGTGGACAGATCACCTGAGGTCAAGAGTTCAAGACAAGCCTAGGCCAACATGATGAAACCCCTTCTTTACTAAAGTACAAAAATTAGCCGGGCATGGTGGCGGGCACCTGTAATCCCAGCTACTCAGGAGCCTAAGGCAGGAGAATTGTTTGAACCCAGGAGGCGGAGGTTGCAGTGAGCCGAAATCGCGCAGCTGCACTCCAGCCTGGACAAGAGCGAGACTCCGTCTCAAAAAAAAAAAAAAAAAGATGGCAATCACCAAGCATGTCCCAGCTGGGATGCTTTTGGCCTTATCTGCATGCTGACTGTACTTAAGCTGCCAATGCTGTGTTCAATTGTGTATAAAACTTCTGCAAATATGTCATCAGAGACTGGGAAGAAGACTCCTCTTATTACACGCAGGCCTATTGTTGGACTTACACTCTAGAATTCTGGGACAGGAGTGTTGTGTATGGGTTGAACCATTGGTAGTCTGAGTTTGAATCCTGCCTCTACCGGTTATTACACCCTTGAATGTCAGCTTATTTTACTTTTTTTAATTTTTGAGATGGAGTTTCACTCTTGTCGCCCAGGCTGGAGTGAGTGCGGTGGTGCAATCTCGGCTCACTGCAACCTCTGTCTCCCAGGTTCAAGTGATTCTCCTGCCTCAGTCTCCCAAGTAGTTGGGATTACAGGCACCTGCCACCACGCCCAGCTAATCTTTTTTTTTTTTTTTGTATTTTTAGTACACCATGTTGGCCAGGCTAGTCTTGAACTCCTGACCTCAGGTGATCCACCCGCCTCAGCCTCCCAAAGTGCTGGGATTACAAGTGTGAGCCACCGCGCCTGGCCAAATGTCAGTTTATTTGTAAATTGGGGGTAATAGTTGTACCTAGGCTCAAAAGGTTGTTGTAAAAATTAAATGAGAGAATACATTTTTAACACTTGGAGTAAATAATTCCTAGCGGAAAGTAACTAATCAGGCCAGATGTATATTTTATTGCATTCAACTGATCATCTGTGCATCACCTCTCAATGTCAGACTCCTTATCCCTAAAAGAAGGTTAATAGAAAAGCACATATTTTGGCTGGGTGCAGTGGCTCACGCTTGTAATCCCAGCACTTTGGGAGGCCGAGGCAGGTTCAAGGAGTTCAAGACTAGCCTGGCCAACATGGTGAAAACCTGTCTCTACTAAAAATACAGAAATTAGCCAGAAATGGTGGTGGGTGCCTGTAATCCCAGCTATTTGGGAGGCTGAGGCAGGAGAATCGCTTGAACTGGGGAGGCAGGGGTTGTAGTGAACCAAGATTGCGCCACTGTGTTCCAGCCTGGGTGACAAGAGCGAGACTCCATCTCAAAAAAAAAAAAAAAACGAAAGAAACAAAAATGCATATTCCTGGATAACTGATAACTTGTGGATTTTTAATCAATTATTTTCTTATTTATAGAGGTCCAAGAAAGGACAATGCTAAAACTTGAGTTTAAGCTACTACTAATGTTCATCTTTAGTCTGATAAATAACTTGTTCAGACTACTCTATAAAGATAGATATAAAAATAGAAATATAAAATAAAATGGCAATGTATTGAAGAATCCGGCTTAAACTGCTGTGGCTTCAGCTACTGCTTCATGAATAACTACTAATATAAATAGCTACCATTTATAGGGTGCTTTACATTAAGTATCTCATTTAATCCTCCTAACCTCTGAAGTAGTTACCGTTAATATTCCCAGTTAAGAGGAGAGAAAAACTCAAGCATGATGGCTCACATCTATAATCCTAGCACTTTGGGAGACAGAGGTGGGCAGATCACTTGAGGTCAGGAGTTCGAGACCAGCCTGGCCAACATGGGGAAACCTCGTCTCTACTAAAAATACAAAAAATTAGCTGGGTGTGGTGGTATGCGCCTGTAATCCCAGCTACTCAGGAGGCTGAGGCAGGAGAATTGTGTGAACTCAGGAGGTGGAGGTTGCAGTGAGCTGAGATCGTGCCATTGCACTCCAGTCCAGGTGACACTGTGAGACTCTGTCTCAAAAAAAAACAAAAAAACTCAAGCATGAAGTGATCACTTGTGCAACGTCACATGACTACTGAGTACTGGGTAAGGAACTGAATCCAGGTCCAGGTCCAAGCCACAAAATCCATACTTTTAACCACTATCCTATATTATCTCTAAATTAATGACCATCACAGTAGCTAAAACACGAATTGCCAAATCAACCCCATTATTGTACTAATTCCTTTACTGTTCTCAAATATACCCCATATTGACAGCAATAAAGTTTTCCATTGACTAATTTATCCACCCAACTCTAAAGAGACTCATTAGGTATCCAGCAGATTTCTTCAGTCATTTTGAATTCTGTGTCAAAATTCTACTTAGAAATTTCCAAATCTCAAGGCCTCATTTAAAAAAAAAAAAAAAGAAATATCCAAATCTCCACAACAAATTTCCTTTTGTAATCGGAAAAAAGTCTTATTTAAAAAAATCCAACTTAGCTTCACTTTGAAAAGCACACAAAAATTATTTTAAATTGCGATTTTTAACTTGCCTGCCACTCAAACCATATAAATATCCGAAAAATGATAACAGAGAGTAGGAATGTGGAAGAAAAAAGAAAATAGACCAAAAGCTGGACATTTAGTTTAAGAACAAGGAATTGGACTTAGATCACAAATTATATTTTAAAAAAATCTGTCTGAAACACTTTACAGAGTAAAGGCAGTATATGCAAAATAACATTTTCTTTTTTGAAATATGATACTACTGCTGTCTTTTAGGCTAATTTCAATTCACAGACAGTCCCTGGCTTATGAGGGTTCAACTTCCGATATTTCAACTTTACAACGATGAGAAAGTGATATGTGTTCAGTAGAAACCCTACTTCAAATTTTGAATTTTGATTTTTTCCCGAGCTAGCAATACGCCAGGTGATCCTCTCTCACGATGCTGCGCAGCGGCAGCAAGCCGCAGCTCCCAGTCAGCCACACCATCCTAGTCAGCCACACGATCAGCCACAGATCAGGGTAAACAACCAATACGCTACAGGGTACTGTGCTGCCAGATGATTTTGCGCAACTGTTGGCTAATTTAAGTCTTCTAAGCATGTTTAAGGCAAGAGAGGCTAAGCTACTTAAGCTATTAAGTTCAGTAGAGTAGGTGTGTTAAGTGAATTTTCATTTTATGGTATTTTCAACTTAGGATGAGTTTCTCAGGACATAACCCCATCTTAATTCAAGGGGTATCTGTAGTCACTTGAGACAACAAATGAGTCAGGATTTCATTCTTTAAAAATCCTCTTTAAAGTGTAAAAATTTTTATTAACATATACATTTCTAATTAGGTAAACTTATTAAGGGTAAACGTGTTATAAACTGAGTCATAGCTATAGTTGGTTTTGTTGTTAAACACTCAATAATACTGAAGGTAATACTATCCCTGCCCTTCACGTATGTGGACATGCGTATACATAACATGTATTGGTGAATTTCTTTAAAAAAATCTTTTTTTTTTTTTTTGAGACAGAGTTTCTCTCTTGTTGCCCAGGCTGGAGTGCAGTGGCACGATCTCGGCTCACCGCAACCCCTGCCTCCTGGGTTCAAGCGATTCTCCTGCCTCAGCCTCCCGAGTAGCTGGGATTACAGGCACCCGCCACCACGCCCAGCTAATTTTTTGTAATCCCAGCACTTTGGGAGGGCAAGGTGGGTGGATCGCCTGAGGTCAGGAGTTCAAGACCAGCCTGGCCAACATGGTGAAACCCCGTCTCTACTAAAAATACAAAAATTACCCAGGCGTGGTGGCGTCTGCCTGTAATCCCAGTTACTAGGGAGGCTGAGGCAGGAGAGTCGCTTGAACCTGGGAGGCAGAGGTTTCAGCGAGCTGGGAACTCGCCACTGCACTCCAGCCTGGGCAACAGAGTGAGACTCTGTCTCAAAAAAAAAAAAAAAAAAAGTTATTACTTTCCTGATCCTAGAATTATATGTAACTTGTTTTGAGAATGTTACTCCAAGAAATTCAGATACATATGAGCATGTGACTTAAAAAAAATCGCAAAAATAAAATATACCACTTCATCTCAGTAATAACACCATTTCTGAAATTAATATAATGATGCTTAAAGGTCTAACTGAAGCGTTCTGCTTCCATTCTTGAAAAAAACAGAGAACACATGTTCTCTAAAATTTTCATGGTGCTTTAAAAGTTCCTTTACTTTGAAATTCCACTTACTTCCAACATTGCTTCGGTTAAAAAAAAAAAAAAAAAAAAGGAAAGAAATCCCACTACGCTTTCACAAAGTAAAACAAACAAACAAACAAAAGTCTGAGAGGTTATTTCAATGGTGGTACATGTTTCCCTAAATTAAGAAAATGCAAAATGAATTTTCTATAAACAAGGCTGCTCCTCTAGCACTGACATGGCACAAGCAAAGTAAGAAAGTAAGCCACATTCTCACATCTCTGAATGTCCATTTAAGTCTCACTCCTTTTATCTTCACCCCCGCCTTTCCATGTGAGGATTCCAACTCTTAATGTAAATTAGGGTACAGACTTAAGCCAGGATATGTAATCTGGAAAAGTATAAATCTGATTAATGCTTCTGTGGGGCGGGTAGAAGGCTCAACTGAAAGAGTAATGGGCGGGGCACGGTGGCTCACGCCTGTAATCCCAGCACTCTGGGAAGCTGAGGCGGGCGATCACCTGAGGTCGGGAGTTCGAGACCAGCCTGACCAACATGGAGAAACCCTGTCTCTGCTAAAAATACAAAATTAGCTGGGCGTGGTGGCGCATGCCTGTAATCCCAGCTACTTGGGGAGTCTGGAGAGTCTGAGTTAAGGAGAATTGCTTGAACCTGGGAGGTGGAGGTTGCAGTGAACTGAGATAGCGCCATTGCACTCCAGCCTGGGCAATAAGAGCGAAACTGTCTCAAAAAAAAGAAAAAAAAGAGTGATGGTAGTGCTTTTGTTAGTCACAATCTATTAAGCATCAACAACTCAAATGTTCTCTTCCTTCTATATTCCCTACTGGTAAAGGGAACCTAGCTTCTGCAGCCAGAAGTTGGAGAGTCATCCCAGGCACTGCCTTATGTTCATTCTCCAGCCACCCAGCCCCTCAGTCATCGGGTACATTCTGCTTTTCCAGGGATTGTTCCTTTGGTGTTCACTCTTGCTACCTTAATGTGAGATTGTCATCTCTTACCCAGACCATTTTAAAAGTTATAGTTAGGGGTCCCTGAGAGCTTATATCCTTCTGATCCATTCACTACACTGTTGCCAGAGTGATCATTCCAAACACAAATCTTATTTTATGTTACTCCCAGACATAAAGCACCAGTAGCTTTTCACTACAGAATCAAGTGCAGGCTTTTCAGTATGAATAAGATTTCTACAGTCAAGCCCCTGCTTATCTTTCCAGTCTTGCTCCCTGTTGTGCCAAACAGAAGCCCTCTGTGCTCCTGTTGCTATTCCCTGGCTGGGCCAGCTCACTGTGTACTGTTTGAAATGCCCTCCCTATGTCGGTCTGGTGATCACCTGTTTATCTCTTAAGGTCTCACTTAATGAAGCCTCTCCTGACCCTTCTCCTGTGGAGTCAATCACAGGCTCTTGCCTTTAGGGGAAATCTATTTGCAATTAAACTTGTTGTAGATTTGCTGTTGGCTTTTGAAAATAAGAGTATATAAGCCGGGCATGGTGGCTCACACCTGTAATCCCAGCACTTTGGGAGGTCAAGGAGGGTGTATCACCTGAGGTTGGGAGTTCGAGACCAGCCTGATCAACATGCAAAAACCCCGTCTCTACTAAAAATACAAAAATTAGCTGGGTGTGGTGGCGCATGCCTGTAATCCCAGCTATTTGGGAGGCTGAGGCAGGAGAATCGCTTGAACCCGGTAGGCAGAGTTTTCAGTGAGCCAAGATTGCGCCATTGCACTCCAGCCTGGGCAATAAGAACAAAACTCTGTCTCAAAAAAAAAAAAAAGAGTATATAAGACAAAAGAGAGATAATCCCTCATTGACCACCAATAAGCATTGAGATAATGAAGTGAATGCTTTTATTTTCATTTATTTAAGGGTTAAAGTAGGCAGAAACTCTAGGTCCAGGCCTATACTGCGGACTGCTCAGTGAAGGGCCAGGAACTCTGGTTTTAAGAAAATAAAATATGGAAGCCACAGAGCCTCTATTGCTGAGTACACACAGTCAGTCTACATCATTTTAAGAGGGAACATTATGCTGTTTGCCTATTTTCTTTTGTGGGAGTGAGGAGACTTCACTCTAGGATTTGGGTGGTCAGATGTTTTTCCCTCTGTGAATCAGCCCGGAAAGCAGTCTGAATACTCCCGCGTCCAGACATCAGGAGTTCCATTTTGTGAACAAGGTGAGATTCACATAATCATGGGCCTGGTGACCACCACTTAAATGCTTATAGCTAAATTAAATCTAATAACTATCAGTGGTATTAACATAAAAGTGGGTATTTCTTGGGACCAAATGACTGTTTAAATATCCAGAGTTTGGTAATGGAGCAAGGCAGTAATACTCACAGGCTTTCATGGGACTATGCTTTCTTTATTTTCATTTCTAGTAATTTAAAATAATAGCTTTCTTGCCCAATTTAAGGCAAAATTCTAAAATGCACTGTCGGCATTTCTCTATTTTCTTCCAAATCCTCTATAGTTGATTACAGGTCTTGGAAACTCTGTATTTATCTGATTTCTTTAATCAGCAGACATACAATTTATTACTTAGATTATAGCTCTCACACATTTTCCATACTGAGAAATGTGTTGCTACAGATTTCTCTATGAAGAATTCAAATGGCGCTGCTAAAAACGCTTACATGAACCAAACAGCTCACTTTTGCTTATCCATAGGAATCCTGCTCCAAAAACATATATTTGAGGTGTTAAAATTGTTAAAAATTATTTTTGAGACACTGGTAAACTAGATTTCATGATAAAGGGAATATTTCATATTGTATAACTCTCAAATTGGACGGGAATACATTTTTTTCAAACAAAATATGTAAACTGAGGCAGTTGCCAGAAGACTTCTTGGTAGCCTTCTAAAACTGTATTTTTCTTCCCTAAAGACTTTTAAAGCTTTGGAGGCTGTTTTAAGTAGTACTGGAATTGTTGGATGTAACGATGTTTTGATGAAAATATAGAATAAAATAATAATAAAAAATAAATAGTACTGGCATTGCATGGAATTTCAGCTGATGTCTTATAACTTGTGCACATAACGAAACATACAGCCAAAGAAAGCTGTCTAATTAACAAACCAATTGTTAAAAGATGCAAAGGGTCTTAAAAACCACTTAAACATTGTTCTTAAAGACACACCCAAAATGACTGCTTTGTGTTCTGTGTTATTAACCATCCCTAAAACTTTCTCAAGGCTAAGGCTGACTGGGAAGATAAAATGCTTATCAAACACAATGGGAAAATTCTGAGTCATGATAAGATTTCAACTCAAGGTCAAAGGCAGAGAATCACCTTTCCTAACCCCATCTGCTAGGTACAATTCACCTATGGTCTTCTTTGTCCTGTCGATGTGCCTAACTATCAGGCAGATGTTTATAAAGAATTTCTCCTCATATGCAAGCGTTTTTTGTTTTTTTTCATCAGTATAAGGACAGAGAATAAACCTTAGCTAAGAAGCAACTGTATTAAAAACAAAACGATTTGTAGCTATGATTCAAATCAGCTCTCTTTCTGTGGTATTAAGAGAATTAAAGGGTAGAAGCAGAAAACCTCTCATAAATTAGCAAGAGTCCTGGAAAAAAGTCGCAAGTCAAGAGACCACAAAGATCTCAGAGGTACTGACAGTGGAAATCTCAAATGGATCATAATAGTTACCACAAATAATTTATAAAAAGCAATGGCCAATAGATTCCAATATTACCATTCTATTGTAATCTATAGGGATGCCATATTAATCATATTTAACCTTTCCAGGCATTATGCTTTCTTAGGAGTCCATATTCAATAAATAAATGCTGAAAAGTTATTTTCTCATCTAACCTAATAATCCATATTGTTAAAAAAATGTTTTATCAAACATTTCCTAGATGTCATAACTTGCTTAAAATTGTATCCTCATATAATGGTGAGGATACCATTACCAAATACCCTGGTGTTTCTACTGTATTCATCATGTACAATCCTATAATTATAGTCATGTTGTCTTAACTTAGTGTTATAAATCACTACAATTTCTATAACATTTTCATATATGAACAAAATTAATAGCTTTCTCATTATTGAATAGAATCAGATGTGATAAGTGACCTCAAATGTTTTATTTAGAGGCTTAAAGACAAAGAACTCTAAACGAGTATCCAGCATCTTTTGAAAGGATACCTAAAGGGGCAAGAAAAAAAATTATCTTTCCCCCATGAGCAAGAGAAGGGGAGCTGGGTGGTAAGTAAGGATGCAAGGTTTTCAGGACTGTTAACAGTTGAGAGTGTAGGTTCTTTCTACCTCTCCCTGATCCTCCCAGCCCTCCCCCATAACAATGAGGATGCTGGTGAAATACTAGCGGACAGGATCTGACCATACCTTCATGGGTAGGCTCTGGGTCAGGTGTAAGTGAGATGTCATCCAGCTCTCGCAGGCAGAGCCATTCTCCATCCATGGACACTCGGAATTTGCAAAGGTAGATGGTCTCCATGGCAGCCTGTGTGATCTTGTCAGTGGTGGGGGTTGGCATATCGGTCGGAGGCGTCAGAGCAGACATGATGACTCAGCTGGGACCACAACACACACACAGACACACACACACTCACACACACACACCAAAAAAATAAATACAACCTCCTCACCAAAAAAACCCAATACAAAGCTCTGAAACAAAGCTTTCAGGAAAAGGGTGGGGGAGGTTTAAAAAAAAAAAAAAGGAAAAATACCTTATAGGTTAAGAACAAACTGCTCAAGATAAACAATTCTACACTATCTTATAGACAGTTCCTACCACATAGCAAAATAAGATGATGCTTGTCTTCTCCCAGCTTCCTCTCCTTTTATCTTCCCTTCCCTGCCCCCCACCTTTTTTTTCAGCTGAGCTATAGGCTTTAAATCCCGCACAGCTGATGCTGCCTTAGCTGGCTTTAAAAATCTGGCCTCGATATGAGTAAGTGAAAAATCCTCCTCCTTTGTGCAGAAAAAAAATATAAAAGAAAAACCTGAACAAAAAATAAACCTATATTTTCAATGTAGCTTAAAAAAAAAATCCTGAGCTGCAGAAATCACTTCCAGGATCTGCTCAGATGAGCTGGGATGCTGAGTTCTCATAGGATTGGCCGTGCGCAGTAAGCAGGGTGTTGACCAAAATGGCTGACTAATGAACTGAACTGAAAATTCAGGCTCATGTGACCAGCTGCTCTGAACGTAGGGCAAGCAATTCCCAGGATGCTTTATAGATGCTGCTGATGCTGGGAGAGCAATTAGGCTTCTCTCTCTCATCCTGTACAACCCACTTCCAGACTGTGCTAGTCAAACTGTGATCAGACATAACACAATGCACATATCCTCATCAATTCTTCTTACTTTGGGATCAAGGACTGAATAAAAGGATGACAATTAATACCGGATAATAATCTATAGTAAAGATGGTAAAAGAGGCAGTTAGATTAATTTAACAAGCATATAATTCACCTCTTTCATTCTTATCTACATAGCTATTAAAATTCTTTACTATGCTAAATGTTATGTTTTAAGAAAAGCTAAAGCATAAAAAATTGAGGTTCTCAGAGGGAAAAAAAACAAAAAGATAAAAAGAAAAGCTAAAGTAGATTTTCAATTTAAATATCTTATTCTTGGGCATTTATAATTTCCTTCTCCAAGGTACAAAAACCTGACCTTTTAGGTTAGGCAGAAATGCAAAAAAAAAACTTCAAGTTAAAAAAGTAAAATCTTTCCCAATTAATGGCAATTTCCCCCCTTTTTGATTTTGTTGTATTTATCAAGTTTCTGTATTAAGCATAAAATACGTTTCTTTTTTTTTCTTTTTTCTTTTTTGAGACAGAGTCTTGCTCTGTAGCCCAGGCTGGAGTGCAGTGGCGTGATCTCAGCTCCCAGGTCCAAGCAATTCTCTGCCTCAGCCTCCCGAGTAGCTGGGATTACAGGCACCCACCACCACGCCCAGCTAATTTTTGTATTTTTAGTAGAGACGGGGTTTCACCATCTTGGCCAGGCTGGTCTTGAACTTCTGACCTCATGATCCTCCCACCTCAGCCTCCCAAAGTGCTGGGATTACAGGCGTGAGCCACCATGCCCAGCCTTAAGCATGAAATATGTTTCTAAGCAGATTAAACCATGTTATATTTTTAAAATCCTCCCATTCGATAAGATACTGAAGACAATTATATTTTCTTAATACACACACACACACACACACACACACACACACACACACACACACACGGCCCTATATTATCCAATGAGGCATTTATACCTTGGTAGCAAAAGGGCAGGTACTTGCTTTATGAACTACATAAATTACAAAGAGAAGAATAAGAATTTTCTTTGAAAATGTTTTGGACAATTGAAAGAAAGTGTTTGTTTGTTTTTGTATTGAAGGGTTCCAATTTTAAGGAGGAACATACAAATTCAAGAAATATGACCTGAGACTATTCCTTTCTAGGGATTGTTATCAGAGGGACATCTTGATTTACCTAATTTCTGAAAACTAAAAAAATTCTCCTTGAATATTGTTAAAATCTCAAATGCTTCATCATAATTTGAGACTGAACTGAAAGAAAAAAATGCTAATAATCAAATTCTGTAGAGAAACTGGCATTTTCATATTGTTACGAAGACAGGGCGGATGGCTGGGCGCGGTGGCTCATGCCTATAATACCAGCACTTTGGGAGGCCAAGGCGGGCAAATCACCTGAGGTCAGGAGTTCGAGACCAGCCTGGCCAACATGGTGAAACCTCATCTCTACTAAAAATACAAAAATTAGTCAGATGTGGTGGCATGTGCCTGTAATCCCAGCACTTTGGGAGGCTGAGGCAGGTGAATGGCTTGAGCTCAGGAGTTTGAAACCAGCCTGGGCAACATGGCAAAACTCCATCTCTACAAAAACAAAAATTAGCAAGGTATGGTTGCGCGCACATGTGGTCCTAGCTACTTGGGAGACTGAGGTGGAAGAATCACGTGAGGCCAGGAGGCAGAGGCTGCAGTGAGCCGAGATCATACCACTGCACTCTACCCTGTCTCAAAATAAAAAAAAGAAGGAGGGTATACTGGTACAATGTAAGAAGGCATATATATAGGCTTATTTATAATTGGGGAAAATCAGTAAGTTACTAAGGAAAGCAAAATACTCCTGGTTTTATTTCTATCTCATTCTCTCTCATCATTACCCTACATCTAGACTCAGAGCCATTCATTCATTCATTCATTCAACAGATATTCACTAAGAGGTGCTCCACATGCCAGGTAGTGATCCAGGCACTAGGCACGCAGCAGTAAGACAGAAACACCTTTTCCAGGAAACAGAATTTTCATATCCAAATACTGAACACAAGCCTTCATTTAACACATTCTCATTTAATTCAGTTCAATTCCTTTCTAGCCAAAAATATTCCCATATTATATATTAATAAGGGGACAGTTTATAGATTCACTTTATATCATGCAATACTTCAAAACATAGTAAGTAGTCATTAAAACCTTCAAATTACATGGGACATTCCTGGAACCACAACTCCAAACAGCCCTAGCTATCTGTATGTGTGATATCAAAACTCTAGATCACTGATATGTTCTTAAAACAGAACAAGGAATACATGAATAAATCCGAATGCCATGTGATTGTCTGGGGTCCAAAACCTGAATTTGGCCTTGTCACAAACCACAACAATCTCTTCACCCCAGTAAGCATTTACTAACTTGAACAGATCTAGATTGATTGCAACATACCAACACAACAGGAACATCAAGGTTAGTGAGCAAGAAACTTGATTAACATTCCTTCGGAAGATCCATCCCACCCTGCCTCTCTCCAGGTAGAGGACACAGAGAGGCAAGCCCAAAACAACTAAAGTTTTTGGCAAGGAAAGAAAAACATGCCTGTATTGGTATCCTTGAATTTCCCAGATCTACCAGTTTGAGGTGTTGGCAGCCATTTCAGAAATAAGACCCGGGGGTGGGCAAGAAAAACTGTACTTCTACGCTGTTCTTTAGGTAAACACCATTGAGTCTTCAGCACGAACAGTTATCCATTGTTCACAGGCAAAGAAGTTACTATGAAAACAGTGCTATTTGTAGAAACTTATAAAAACAATTCTACGGCCGGGCACGGTGGCTCATGCCTGTCATCCCAGTACTGTGGGAGGCTGAGGCAGGCGGGTCACCTGAAGTCGGGAGTTCAAGACCAGCCTGACCAACATGGAGAAACGCCATCTTTACTAAAAATACAAAATTAGCTGGGCGTGGTGGCACATGCCTGTAATCTGCTACTCTGGAGGCTGAGGCAGGAGAATCGCTTGAACCTGGGAGGCGGGGGTTGCAGTGAGGTGAGATTGCACCACTGCACTCCAGCCTGTGAAACTCCGTCTCAAAGAAAAAAAAAAAAGATTTTAGATATTGCTTAGTACCGTTTTTACATTTTGGTCTTTACTAAGTAAACATCTTAGCTTTGAATATGAAGTTAAAGTTAAGCCATCAGTAAGATATTCAAACCTTGATTTTTTTTCTCACATACAGAGTAATTACTGTATGAGCTGTATTGAACTATTTTCTCATTTGATCCCATTTGTGAGTAATGGCACCTATTTGTAAGATGGTTGTGAGGCGGGTGGGAGTTCAGTCTGTGGCCCTAAAAGAATAGGCCTGTGTGAAGTTCAAATCCAAAATGAAGATCCAAAAAATACTACGTTCTAGCTGCTTAAACAGTCTGTATTTTCCACATTATGATGGATTCAAAGCAAATAAGAGTCACACTTCAAAGTCAGAAGTTACATTCCTCTTAAAGGATATTTGTACTCGGCTGCTACTATAAGACAAAGGTTAACTTGACAGGCTCAATGTCTCTGTTATATATTGTGGAAAAATTACCTAAAATAGCTATCATTTATTAAATTTCTATTTTCTGTTAGGTGCTTTACAAATGCCATGTAAAGGGCTGGGTGCGGTGGCTCACGCCTGTAATCCCAGCACTTTGGGAGGCCGAGGCAGGTAGATCACGAGGTCAGGAGATTGAGACCATCCTGGCTAACACGGTGAAACCCCGTCTCTACTAAAAATACAAAAAAATTAGCTGGGCATGGTGGTGGGTGCCTGTAATCCCAGCTACTCAGGAGGCTGAGGCAGGAGAATGGCGTGAACCCGGGAGGCGGAGGTTGCAGTAAGCCAAGATCGCGCCACTGCACTCCAGCCTGGGCAACAGTGTAAGACTCTGTCTCAAAAAAAAAAAAAAAAAAAAAAAAAAATACCATGTCAAGTCTTCACAAAAGCACTGCAAAACAGAGATTGATACCTTCTCTTTATACACAATGAAACCAAAGTTCAGCCACGTAACTGGCCCAGAATCACACAATTAGCGAGTAGCAGATCTGTTACTCCAAGCTACTTCTGTCTAGATACCTCCAAAGTCCATGTTCCTTCTACACTCTGCAACTTCAGCACTCTATCCTAACTCTTCCTCATCCCCGGATGTTAAATTTTATTCAGAGAAAATAAAAAGACATTTAAAACACACACACACAAACACACACACACACACGCAAAGTCTCTTCATGAAATTTCCTAAAGATGAGTTTCAACAAATTTAAGATTTGAAGAAATTTTTTTTATCAGCCTCCATACTTTACACCTTAATGCTGCACAACCCATACCTTCCTCTAGGCCCCCCAACTTACATATTAAGTTCAGGCTTTTAGTAAGTGGGCACATTCTGACAAACTGAGAACCCAGTATGGACTTTTCTGTCATGGGCTCACAAAGGGTAGATAAAATGCTTCCACTATGTACTTGGTTCACCCTACTACCACTCTGTCTCTGAGTTCCCTCCACATTTACATACTAGTTGGACACATTAAGAACACCTGATAAATTCCAAAATAGAAAAAGATAAATGAAGGGGGGAATCACTTTCTAAAATGATGCATTGTACGCTTTTTAAAAATAGCAAACTTAATGTATAATTTTAAGTCCTTAAAGAATATAACCAATATCCCTGAAACCCTTGCTCAACTGGAGAAATGGACCAACATATGTACTTATGTGCTCCTTCTTGCTTCTAAACTCCTGCCTCTCATTTCAAGGTAACCTTCTGAATTTCGTGTAAATCATTATCTTATTTCAAAAATATTGTCACAAATATATGAAGGTCTAAGCAATATGTTTAGTTTCAGTTTTTTTCAACTTTCTTATAGAAAGTGTTTCATGCTCTATAAAACTTTCTAAGCCTTTCACTCAATGCGTATTTTTTCTTTTCTTTTCTTTTTTTTTTTTTTTTGAGACAGAGTTTTGTTCTTGTCATACAGGCTGGAGTGCAGTGGCATGATCTTGGCTCACTGCAACCTGTCCCCTCCCAGGTTCAAGCAATTCTCCTGTCTCAGACTCCCGAGTAGCTGGGATTACAGGCACCTGCCACCATGCCCAGCTAATTTTTGTATTTTTAGTAGAGATGGGGTTTCACCATCTTGGCCAGGCTGGTCTTGAATTCCTGAACTCAGGTGATCTGCCCATCTCGGCCTCCTAAAGTGCTGGAATTACAGGCATGAGCCACCGCACCTGGCCTTCAATGCTGTATTTTCTAAGATTCATCCAAACCGTAGTGTGCATATGTAGTTTATCCTTTTGGCTGCTGTATTACAAGGTAGTGTTCCAATGCATGTACAAAAAATTTCTGATTCGGCAGGGCGCGGCGGCTCACGTCTGTAATCCCAGCACTTCGGGAGGCTGAGGCAGGTGGACCACTTGAGGTCAGGAGATCAAGTCCTGCCTGGCCAACATGGTGAAACCCCGTCTCTAGTAAAAATACAAAAATTAGCCAGGCAATGTGGTACGTGCCTGTAATCCCAGCTACTCAGGGGACTGAAGCAGGAGAATTGCTTGAAGCCAGGAGGCGGAGGTTACAGTGAGCCGACGTCATGCCACCACACTCCAGCCTGGGCAAGAGAGAGAGACTCCGTCTCAAAAAAACAATAACAAAAACACATTCTGATTTATTTTCTTTTTTTTTTTTGAGATGGAGTCTCACTCTGTCACCCAGGCTGGAGTGCAGTGGCACGATCTCGGCTCATTGCAACCTCCACCTGCCGGGTTCAAGTGATTCTCCTGCCTCAGCCTCCCAAGTAGCTGGGACTACAGGTGTATGCCATTCATGCCTGGCTAATTTTTTATATTTTTAGTACAGATGGGGTTTCACCAGGTTAGCCAGGATGGTCTTGATCTCCTGACCTCGTGATCTGCCCGCCTTGGCCTCCCAAAGTGCTGGGATTACAGGCATTGGCCACTGTGCCTGGTCTTCTGATTCATTTTCATGTTGGTAGGCATCTGGGTTATTTCTGATTTTCATAATGCAGAATAGAAACTTCTTCCTAAAATTTGTCAAGTTGTGCAACTAAATTTGTAAAGCTCACAAAGTTCTGTTTGGCAGCTTCCTGAATCACAGTTTCATAATTTAAGAAGAAAAATCTCATTTTCCCCCTATTTCACTAGTTGCTGTTAGCATGAAAGGGTAGCTTTTTTTTTTTTTTTTTTTTTTTTTGGAGATAGTGTTACTCTCACCCGGGTTAGGGTGCAGTGGCACGATCTCGGCTCACTGCAACCTCTGCCTCCCGGGTTCAAGCGATTCTTCTGCCTCACTGCCTCAGACTCCCAAGTAGCTGGGATTATGGGCACACACCACCGGACCTGGCTAACTTTTGTTTTTTTAGTAGAGACAGGGTTTCGCCATGTTGGCCAGCCTGGTCTTGAACTCCTGACCTCGAGAGATCCACGTGCCTCGGCCTCCCAAAGTGCTGGGGGATTACAGGCATGAGCCACCGCATCCAGCCATGAAAGGGTATCTTTGATGAATCATCATCATGATGACATTGGTGGAAAGCCCAGATGTTTCTGTTAAATTATATGATTATTCAACTCAATGATCATGATTATTTCACATGCTCCAGTACACCCTCCCACCTCCTTTCCCAGAACCACAATCTATTATGTCTACCTCTGATTCCAAGATTTCTTCAATTTTAAGTTTATACACTTCATAGGCTCAGTGTCACTTTATAGATATTAACCAAAGTTGACAACAACTATAAACTGATATACTCAGAAAGTTGATTTATCATTACTTTGTTAGAAACAAACACTACCAGGAGTATTATAATGCATCATCTTTTCACTTGTTAAAATTAACCAGCATAAGATTAAAAATAACCTCTACCCTGAAAAGTAAAACTGATTTCATGGCTCAGTGGCTGTAGGCAATAATTTACACAGACGTAAAGCTATCAAAAACTTAGTAGGTGACCTTGGGAAATTTATCCTCCTCTTGCCTCAATTTACTCAGTTGTAAAATGAAACTAAATAACTAGCTCCACAAAGACCAGAAGCTCCACCAAAGAAATATGCATTTTGCATACCTCTTACGTATCTACTCAAAATAGTACCTACCAAATACCAGACTCTCAATAGATACTTGCTGGTATAGATATGTATATAGCCTTGCAATGGCATTTTTCCACCCTCATGTTTCACTTCAATTGTGAAAACCCCCAAATTCTATAAAATCAAACCATATTTATGCCCCAACAAACAGGTCAGTCTAACACTGGCTTCATTACATGTACATAACAGATTCATTCACTCAACATGTACAGGGTACCTCCCATATGCTAGGGATGCAGAAGAAAGAACAAGGCAATAGACAAGAAACAGACAATTTTAGGTGTTTAGGAAAGTCTTAATGTCTGTTATAAATGGACCTATTCAGCGTTTTTTACATATACAACCATTTTTTCTATCAGATTGGTGACTCTTGAGTTTCATTAATTTACTCATTTTTAGTAAATAGGGCATTAGTGAGTAGAATATGGAACCAGAGGGCTGGTTGCCTGAAGACGTGCCTCTAATCTAGGACCTGATTCCAGTTACGGGAGGTGATGAAAGAGTGTGACATAGCATGTGGACTCTGGAGTCAGCATGCTCACAGTGAATCCTAGGTCCACCACCTAGCTGCTGAGTAACCTTGGCAAGTTACTTCTCTGTGCCCATTTCTACATTAACAAAATGGGGATAATAATATTAACCATTTCGGAGTTAAATGCTTAGCATGGCACTTGGCACAAAGTAAGCAGTAAGTAAATGTCACCATAACTGCACTATGATAAGTGCTTCTCCTTTGAGAGTTCTGGAAAAACCCTATCAACACATAAAATGAAAGTCAGTAAGGATAAACGTTTATGGGACAGAGGCAAAGGAAAGTAAAAAGGAGATGTGAGCAGAGGGTTACAGTGGTATCTCTCAGATTTTGAGGAAGGAAGAGAGATGGGTCAGAATTTTACCAAGCATTCTCACCTCAAGTGATCAGATTTCCTAAGTTCATAAAAAAGACAGCAGAAGTAGATAAATGTCTGTGGAGAGTCCCTAAACAGACTCTGAAGTTAGAAGAATCACACTCTAAAAGGCGACATGCTACAACGACTTCAGCTTTCCACCTGCTTTTTGCTGTCTTGGCCTGCCAGGCTCTCCTTTCCTACACATCATAAGGTTCCCACACCTTTCTTCCAAACTTTCCCACCCCCGCCCCACCACTCCCTCTGACAAAGCTGAGTATCTTGTCCGGTCGGTAGGGAGCATGTCAGATAAAAAAGGCTTTGCAAAGAGAGGGAATGCCACCTTGGCCAGCAGCCTTGAGAAGTTTTAGGGAGACTATGAACCTTTTCACAATTATTCAAATACAGTAGGGGGCATGGCCATATTGCTACTTACCTTCTCAAGTACCACTGCTTTGCTTTGTAACTCTAAAAACATTTCCTGGCCAGGCATGGTGGCTCACGCCTGTAATCCCAACACTTTGGGAGGTTGGGGCGGGCGGATCCCTTGAGGTCAGGAATTCAAGACCAGCCTGGCCAACATGGCAAAACCCCGTCTCTACTAAAATACAAAAATTAGGTGGGTGTGGTGGTGCATGCCCATAGTCCCTGCTACTCAGGAGACTGAGGCAGGAGAATCAGCTAAACCCGGGAAGCAGAGGTTGCTGTGAGGCAAGATTGCCCCATCGCACTCCAAACTGGGCAACAAAAGTGAAACTCCATCTCAAAAAAGCAAACAAAACAAAAAAAAATTTCCTTTCACACAATTTCAAACCAATTTTTTAATGCTTACGGTGTGCTACTGACTTCCCACAACAAATTCTACAGCTCATAACCTGAGCCACTTCACAAAGTAGGGAGTGTGTTTCAAAATTAGTAAGGATTGAGTAGACATGTAATAGGTGTGATGTCCTGTAAAATTCATCAAAAATGGGATTCTACTTTTATTTATGTTGGCTACAGGTTGCCTATTGTGCAATGATAAAGGGGCAGCCCATTTTTTAGTTAGTTCTTTTAATTATTTAAGGAATTTTGAAAAATATTGCCAACAAAAAAATTATTTCATCCAGTTTATTCTGCTACACTTCCATCATCATACATCTAGACTTTTTACTATCTATAGCCCATACTAGAAAAATATGGTCTCTTAGCTTCTTGATAAAATCCTACCTCTTAAACATGTAGATTTCTATGAAAAATTTTAAAAAAGGGAAAAGATACAAGACAGAATATAGTCAAGTGAATATGTTTTGAGGCCAATACTTGTCTTTTAGTCCCCAAAGTTGCTTTCTTTGCCACCTTTCCTCTGCTATCCCTCCTACCCAGCAACCTTTACTGCTCTCCACTCAAACCAGCTTCTTTAAGACCTTGGTGGTGAGGGAACGTACAGTGATTAAGAACATGCGCTTTGAAGGCTGACTATTGAGGAATATGAATTCATTCCCTGGCTTCAGTTCAAAAAAGTGCTAAGTACTATTACATGTGAAGTTTCTAGCTCTCTGCACGGCACACAAAAATATCCCACAAATGGTGGCCACTAGTAGTAGTATTATCTTACAGTCACATCTTTTATTGGTAATTGTTTGGGTTTCAGAACTACAAAAAAAAATTGTTATATAATGAAGAGCCTTTTAGGACTCTCTAGTGTCCAGAATAAAACTAAGATGGGAAGAAAAAAGAAAACTCTGTCTACAAAGAATGAGTCTATGATTATCAGAAGGGGAGCAACCAAAGAAAGACTCAAAGATTACATCTGATATTCTGAAATTGTTGTTCTGTCAATAAAAAGCGTGATTTGACTTTTTGATAATGCCAGGCCAGAAGAATAGGTGCAACAAAAAGGTGGTGGCAGAAAAGAAGGGGAGAATTGGCTGGGAAGACAAACTGTGAGAGTTCAGGGAGCCCTGCTCACAAAGGCAGAATCAGGAAGGCAAGCAGAGTGTTTAGTCGTGAGGAAGGAAACGGGGGCATGACCCAGCTACCTGTCCCTCAGTAGCTCAGGAGGTCCAAGGTCATGTCAGCTGTGTGTGGAAGGAGCCAACTGCACCAAGACACTGAACACCTAAACTCCAGATCTCTGGCAGTTACACATCCTTGGAAAGATGCTACATTTCTGAGGTTTGTATGTGGGTGGGTGCTTTTTATCTACTATTTGACAAAAGGCACTTAATGGATCAGAAAATGGCTCTCTGCCTTCTTAACAGGGTTGGAAAAGAGCAGAGGGCTAACAGATTTATGAATCACAGAATGGTAAATGAGGACACTGATCTACATTGAAAATACCGAAAATCTGTGTTTTAAAAAGTCACACATCACTCTGCTGTTTCCAAAACTACTAGTATGAAGGTAACCATGCCCAATCTTTTGGGGTTCTGAAAGTTTGACCATTTCCCTCATATGTTCCAGCCTGGGCAGACGCCTCTATGTTTACAAAACACAATAAAGTACTTTTGCCTTTTCAAAGTTTAAAGAAGCATACAGCAGGTGAACTGATTAACACGTGCTTGAGGCCGGACATGGTGGTTCATGCCTGTAATCCCAGCACTTTGGAAGGCCGAGGCAGGAGGATCACCTGAGCCCAGGAGTCCAAGACCAGCCTGGGCAACACAGTGAGACCTCATCTCTTTTTTAAAAAAATTGTTTATTTTCACTTTGGCTCTTCTTTGACATACTTCTTTTTTTTTTTTTTTTTTTTTTTTTTTCCAGACGGAGTCTTGCTCTGTGGCCCAGGCTGGAGTGTAGTGGCGGATCTTGGCTCACTGTAACCTCTGCCTCCTGGGTTCAAGCGGTTCTCCTGCCTCAGCTTCCCCAGTAGCTGGGATTACAGGCGTGCACTACCATACCTGGCTAATTTTTTTGTATTTTTAGTAGAGACGGGGTTTCACCATGTTGGCCAGGCTGGTCTTGAACTCCTGACCTCAAGTGATCCGCCTGCCTTGGCCTCCCAAAGTGCTGGGATTACAGGCATGAGCCACCATGCCTGGCCCATTGACATATCTCTTTATATAAATTAAAAATTTTAATAAATAAAACAAAAAACATGTGTTCAATTCCTGACCAGGTATACTGTTTTCTTTTTCTTTTTTTTTGTTTTTTGAGATGGAGTTTCACTCTTGTTGCCCAGGCTGGAGTACAATGGCGCAATCTCGGCTCACCACAACCTCTACCTCCCGGGTTCAAGTGATTCTCCTGCCTCAAACTCCTGAGTAGCTGGGATCACAGGTGTGCGTCACCATGCCCAGCTAATTTTGTATTTTTAGTAGAGACAGGGTTTCTCCATGTTGGTCAGGTTGGTCTCGAACTCCCGACCTCAGGTGATCCGCCTGCCTTGGCCTCCCAAAGTGATGGGATTACAGGCGTGAGCCACCGCACCCGACCTTTACTGTTTTCTAGAGTACTACTAAACAATTAAAAAAGAAGAGAGACAATAACAGAAATGTCCACAGAGGAAAAACTAAAATATATATATTTTACACAAACACATATACAATCTACACATACATACATGCATGCATGCAATATATATGATATATACATATCTGTATACTTGTGTGTGTATATATGTTAATGAAACTGCAAGCATAAATTTTCTCCCCTTAAACACTAATTCCTGGGTTTACATGTATATTTCGAACCTCCTTCCCCATACAATGGATTTTTCAAGTGCATCTGTCAGAGACAAAGGCTTCTAGGTACCTCATTCTCTGCACTATCCGGGGCTTAATCATGGCACTCGCTGTTAAGTATACTCAACTTTGTAGTGGGTAGTCATAGTAACGCTGCCAGTCCTTTTCAAGATTCTTTTTCTTCTATTCCTCTTCTAGCCTTCCTCCTATCTCAAAACAGCACTTAAAAATACAGAAAGCTGCTACTTGGTGAGTGGGACACTTTTTTGGACACTGCCTTAACTGGGAGAGAAAAGACAAGGGCAAGGATGTGGGCTATTTGCATAGCATTGCCTTGAACAATGTTTGCCGTAGTTGTGGGAGTTGGAAGGAGAAAAGAATAACTAAATAGAAGCTGTTAACTGTGCAAACAGCAGGGTGACTCTTCCAACCAACACTAAAGGGAAGCCATCTTTTGTCTATCCTGTCCATTCACAAGACGATCTCTAACGGCAGGATGGAAAAGGAAAGCATTAAAAGTATTACACCATGGCCTGCAAGCAGATCCTCCTTACAAATTGTAGTTGCTGAGAAACTGGCATGGAAGGTCATACATACACCAAGAGGATAAAGCCACCACGAAATATAAAAACATACATGTCTGTAAATGCATGAAAAAGTTCAGGATGAAAACTCCCCAAACTCAAAAGTGGGCATCCTCCAATAAGGAACCGGGGAGAGGGTGCTGGAGGTCCACAAAGAGGAAAGTTCACTTTGTAACTGTACTTATGTATTATGAAACATTTAAACAATGAGCATAGATTCATGTATTACTTGTACATTTATAAAATCAAATTTTAAAAGGCATGGCAGAGAGTTTTATGAGATTTAAAGTTAGAAGTATAAAAACCTAGCAGATTACCAGCACTCAAAGACTCAGAAAGAGACATAATCCTCAACAAGGCACATCAGAAGTCTCCTTTCACACTGCATTGAAGCAGATTGATTTCATGGATATTATATCCTGCAAGATTTTGGAACAAAACAATTCATGTGACAAACCCTGAAAAGTTTAGGCTACCTTCTATTTACAAACTTTTTTTTGAAACAGCATCTCGCTCTATTACCATGACTGGAATACAGTGGTGTGATCACGACTCACTGCATCCTCAACTTCCCAGACTCATGCCATCCTCCCACCTCAGACTCCTGAGTAGTTGGCACCAGAGGCATGTGCCACCATACCCAGCTAACTTATTTTTAATTTAAAAAATTTTTTTTTTGTAGAGACAGAGTCTGCTTATGTACAGGCTGGTCTCCAATTCCTGGGCTCAAGTGATACTCCTGCCTAGGCCTCCCAAAGTGCTGGGATTGCAGGCTTGAGCCACCGTTCCAGTCTCACACATTTTTGCTATTCTTCAGCACTGTTATTTAAAAACAGAGCTTCTGAACTCAAATGTAAAATTTAATTTTTAAAACCTCTAAGTACACTCAAGATTTCTAAAATAAAAAGATAATACCACCTTAATACACAGTCTTTCAAAGCTATAATATTTTATATACTTTTAGCAAATACATTACTGAGAGTTAAAAATTGGGTTGCTAAAGAGGCAGATGCCAGTCATCGTAATATTCACTAGGCATTGAGGTTGAGTCCATGTACCATTCTCGTAATTAAGAAGTCTTTTAAAAACTGTTTGGGGCCAGGTGTGGTGGCTTACACCTGTAATCCCATCACTTGTGAGGCCGAGGAGGGTGGATCACTTGAGTCTAGTTCGAGAGCAGCCTGGCCAACATGGTCTCTACTAAAATACAAAAAAAAAAATAGCTGGGGTGGTGGTGCGCACCTGTAATCCCAACTACTTGGGAGGCTGAGGCAGGAGAATCTCTTGAACCTGGAAGGAAGAGGTTGCAGTCAGCCCAGATTGTACTGCTGCACTCTAGCCTGAGCACAGAGTGAGACTGTCTCAAAAACACAAAATAAAAAAACAAAAACTGTTTGGTCTCAAGTGTTCATGTATTTTATTTTTATTTTTTTAAAAACAGGGTTTCGTTCTGTTGCTCAGGCAGGAGTGCAATGGTGCAGTCACAGCTTACTGCAGCCCTGAACTTCTGGACTCAAGTGATCCTTCACCTTAGTCTCCCAAAGGGCTGGGATTACAGGTGTGAGCCACCAGCACCTGGCCTGGTCTCTAATTTCTTAAATGAGTAGTCAAGAGAATCAAAGTTCTGATATCCAGATACATTACAGAAAGCAATATTCCATTGACTCTGCAGGGTAACAAGGAACTTTTTATTCATATCTAGAGTGTTCCTTTCTGTAAGTATGCTTACGTTCTAAAGCACATATAAATGTAACAGGTAAAAACAAAAACTCAGTCCAAAACAAAAAACTATTTTGAATCAATTTTATATTTAAATAAAACATGTAATAGTGATTTTTTTTTTTTTGCTAATATGAAATGTTCTCAGTGACTAATCTTTAAAAGCAGAGGAAGTGGGACACGTATATATTCCCAGTAACTTTTCTGAACACATACACATCAATAAACTATTTCAAAAATAAAGACCATGAGGAAATATTAGAACTTACGTGGTAACAAAAAACACCATACCGCCTGGGCACGGCGGCTCACCCCTGTAATCCCAGCACTTTGGGAGGCTGAGGTAAGTGGATCATTTGAGGTCAGGAGTTCGATAACAGCCTGGCCAACATGGTGAAACCTCGTCTCTACTAAAAATACTAAAAATGGTAGGTGCCTGTAATCCCAGCTACTCAGGAGGCTGAGGCAGGAGAATCGTTTGAAATCGGGAGGCGGAGGTTGCAGTGAGCAGAGGTCATGCCACTGCACTCCAGCCTGGGCGACAGAGCGAGACTCCGTCTCAAAAACAAAAAAACACCATACATTTGCTAGTATCCTAAGGTAGAGACTGAGATCACGCTCATGAAACTTTAGCTTTAAGTCCTCTAGTCCCGATCTTGATCATGCTTAAGCAACAGTATTAACTGATAAGAGTAACAAAATACTGTTATTTTCTACAATAATTAATAACATAAAGATAACCTTTAACAATGAGGGAGTCCAGTCAACTGAAATTCAGGTAATTCCCACAATTGATACTGTTCAATAGTTGAAAAGTTCCTCTACATCAAACCTTGTACCATAACTGTTACAGAGAAATGACAGTCTTCTTTCTATAGTAGCATGCTTAATATGTAGATTACACAGAAAGAAAACATTTTTGGTGCAAACAAAAAAAGAGGCGGTGTTTAAAGTACAAAGTAGAAGGATTCCTCAGAAAACAAAAGCAAAGTCTCCTTGAGAAGATTCTTATCTTTGCCTCCTCTGTATAGGAAGACTCACTTCTGCCATGAGCTGACAATCCATCTGCACATTAGTGCAGACCACTCCAACACACAAACTATGGCTTCACTAAGACAGTCAATGGTCAGTGTCTGCCCACTGACTTATTACTCAGTAAGTAATAAGGAGGTGTGAACACTGGGCAACCTCCAGCTGAATCACATAGACCCTTCCTGTTAACCTGTCACCCACCAT
Organism: Homo sapiens; assembly: GCF_000001405.40. NCBI lineage: Eukaryota > Metazoa > Chordata > Mammalia > Primates > Hominidae > Homo > Homo sapiens. The sequence continues at coordinate 70,706,601 of NC_000004.12, read as the reverse complement.
CACAGTTTTGGATCTCTTGTTAGATTTAAAGAGCATGGGTTTAGCAGAAAAGCAATCTGGGTCAACTGCATTCCTTCTCTTAAGCTGTTACTTGGGATAAATCGAGCTTCCGCATCTGAAAAAGTGGCATTCAGTTTGGCGCACACAAACTTATTAACCATGATTATCACAACACATGCACATAGGAAATAATCAATAAATATTATCTTTTCCTAGGAGATGGATCGGGGCAGAAAAGGTGAGTCAGGGTTTCTTGGCAGGGCAGAGCAGCTAAAAGATTTGTACTTGTGCTTTAAAAATATAGGGTGTATGGTGGGAAAGGTCCTTCCCTCATCGCTTCAGGCAAGTTTCTGTCTCCCTTTCCAGAACTCATACAGCAAAGTATTTGGCGCTTACAGCATGCCTTGTATCGTCAGCCACATTTTCATACTGTAAGAGCTTGTATTTGAAAATCAGATTTAACATTCCTCTAAGAGTCCTTATATTCATTGACGACTCTAGGGCCCTACTCGTTTGCCAGCACAGTAAACAGTTCACTAATAAAAAATACAGCACGGAGTGTGGGTCAGCTGCATTCAGAGCGCTCGCGTGTGCCAGTGGCTTTAAAAGTGGAGGCCTCTTCCCGACAACCGATATAACCCTGGGAGGTAGCCTTCCAAAGCCACACATTCCCTTCTTGTCTTCTCATGCACCGCTCCGATTTCTCTTTCCAATCCGGGGGACGGATCTGTCATATTTACCGGCATGGAAGGAACGCTCGTAAAAAATTAGTTACTAGTATTACTAAGGCCGCACTGGCGGCGGCGGCGGCGCAGCAGCCACACCTACTCAGCTGCCGCGGCGCCGGGAGCCCGAAAAAGGCGGGTCAGAGGGGCCACGGGGTCTCCGGGCGCCGCCCCCTCTTAGACTCCTTCGGGGAAGGTTCCCAGCCCGGGACCCGGGACAGGGCCAGGGCGCCCCGGGTGGAGGGGGGCAGGCAGGCCGCTTCTCGCCCCCGCCCAAGCACGTGGGAGGCCGGCGAAGACCAGCGCCCAGCCCAAGACGGGAGAGAGACCAGGCCAGGCAGGAGCCGCGGCCTGGGGAGACGCGGAGGTAGAATCCGGCGCCCGAACCGCGGTCGTCCCGCTGCCTCCTCACCGGGCGCCTCGGGAGAACAGCTTCCCGAGGGTAGCCCCTAAAGCCCCCGCCTCCCGGCCACCCGGCTCGGGTCACCCCGCGGGAGGCGGAGCTCCGCGGGGGCCGGGCCGGCCCTCCCCAGCCGAATGCTCCCTTCCCCGCGGGCGTCCCCATGCCCCTCCGCCACTCACGGTGCTTGCCGCTGCCGCTGCTGCCGCCGCCGCCGCTCGGGTAGCTCAGCAGCAGGAAGGGCAGCGGTGAGCCGGGGGACGGCGGGGTCCTCCAGGAGCGCTGCTGCTGCGGCGGCGGGCGCACTCCGAAGCCGGCGCCTCCATCGCCGGGGTACAGCAGGAAGAAGGGGGCGGCCACCGGCGAGTCGGGCTCCGACTGCCCGGCGGGGGAGGCCGGCGGCGGCCCCGCCTCGCCCTCTCGGTCCGTGCCCCCGGCGGGAGCGCGGCGCGGCTCCTCCGGCCGCCACTCCCCGCCCCTCGCCGGCTCCTCGCTGCAACTTTCGGCACCAGCGGTGGGCGGCGGCGGGGTCTCAGCCATGCTCACTCCTTCCTTCGCCGCAGCCTCCGATTCGCGCCCGGGCCTGGGCGGGGGAGCAGAGGGTCAGGGCGAGGAGCCGCCGCCCCGTCCCGTCCGCTGCGCCGCCGCCGCCACCGCCACCTTTCTTCTCGGCCACGGGCTGGCGCCTGGGCTCCGCCGCTCGGCCCACAGCCCGCCCCGCCAGGGTCCAAGCCAGCTGGAGGGACCGCCCCGCCCGACGGCGCGGCCTCGCTACCGGCCGCCTCCTCCAGCCCCTCCCGCCCCGGCCCCCAGCCTGTGACTCGGCTCCCCTAGGGGGCAGCGTCCTCCTCTTCCCACTCCCCACCTTCCGCTTCCCTCCGGCTGGGCTGACTGCCTCCCGACCCTCGGGCCCTGGGCCTCTTCCTTACCCGCCCCCGCTGGGCCCTGTAAGGCGGTCAGGTGTGTCTAGTGCTTGAAAAGTGGAAGACCTGGCGAAATACCTGGCGGCGTTTTGTCGTGTAACCGCCAACTTTATCGGTAGCACGAAGGCACAAAGATCTGGGTTGAAGAAGAGGCGAAAGCTAATTTTAAAAAAGCACCTCCCTGCCCCCGGGTATTAAACTGTACCATTTGCCTTTCACACACTGCAACTTCAACCGTTGATTCACTGTTTGGAGTATTGAGCTCTTTATGTGAGAAACCAAAGGTGGGTGTCTTCCTTCCACCACCTCTTTTGTTCCCGTCTTGTGCGCTGTACTGAAATCCTGTATTTGCTTTGACTTTAATTCCCTGGTTTTCTAGTGCCGCGGGTGCGCATGAGTGCATTTTAAATCAAACAGCTTAGAATTTATACGACAAATGTCAATTACAGGTCGACAGTTTTCTCTTTCACAGTGCCCGTGTCTCGCTAGTAATTAGCCACCGTTGCTTTGAGAATTCGAATCAATGATTACTGATCCAGTAATTCCCTTAAGTAAACATTTCTTTCGGCAATAAAGACAATTTCCAGTTACTCTCATGGTTCTTTATCCTGGATTCCTAGCTGATTAGCCTTGTGTTTAATGCTGGCATAGAAGCCATGTTGACTCATAATTAAAAATCACTGTTGTGTAACATTTTGCCCACCTGCTTTTTCCTCTTCTCTGTTCAGCCCTTCCCTGTGTAGAGGAAGTTGTACTTCTTTGAAAGGAAAAGTAAACATTTTTATTACTGTTGTTATTCTCTGTAAATCACTTTTGAAATTACTACTCGCAATTACCATGAGACTTACAATACTACTTTTCACTGAGTCTTTTAACAAGAAGCATTCAAAAGGGAAATGTTTACAGGATAGCTTCAGTCTTAGAAAATTTCTTAGCTTTTCGGTTTCTGGCATTTCCCTGACCTGTTGATCCCAGTCCTACTACCTATTTGAGTAAGTTATTTGTCCAGCTCTGTAAAATGATTATGTTATTCATAGATACTGTGAGGGCTAAATAAGAAATAGAAATAAAGCGTTTAAAATACAACTTAACATTGGGGTAAATAATAATTATTACGGCCAGGTGCGGTGGCTCACGCCTGTAATCCCAGCACTTTGGGAGGCCGAGGCGGGTGGATCACGAGGTCAGCAGTTCGAGACCAGCCTGACCAAAAAGGGGAAACCCCGTCTCTACTTAAAATACAAAAAAATTAGCTGGGCGTGGTGGCGAGTGCCTGTAATCCCAGCTACTTGGGAGACTGAGGCAGGAGAATCGCTTGAAACCAGAAGGCAGAGGTTGCAGTGAGCCGAGATAGCACCACTGCACTTTAGCTTGGGCAATAAGAGCAAAACTTCATCTCAAATAAATACATAAATCAATAATTATTAGTAGTACTCACTTCAGCAGCACATAAACTAAAATTGGAACGATACAGAAAAGATTAACATTTCCCTGCACGAGAATGACCTGCAAATTTGTGAAGTGTTCCATATTAAAAAATAATTATTATTAGGGATATTTTATCATTTTGGCAAAATAACATTTAACTTACAATAATAAAAACATACTGAGTTGGGGAAAAAAAGCCTTTTCATTATATCCTTAGCATTTTGAAGGTGGTTTGGGCCTTAACTCTTGGTGCTGGTGAGAATCTCAACAGGAAGACATATTTGTCTTTTAGGAATTGCTAACTGCATGATACCTTCATAAGAAAAACTGAAAGCATTTGACCCAGCAATCTCATTAACTGGGTATATACCCAAAGGACTATAAATCATTCTACTATAAAGACACATGCACACGTATGTTTATTGCAGCACTATTTACAATAGCAAAGACTTGGAACCAACCCAAATGCCTATCAATGATAGACTGGATAAAGAAAATGTGGCACATATACGCTATGGAATTATGCAGCCATAAAAAAGAGTGAGTTCAGGTCTTTTGCAGGGACATGGATGAAGCTGGAAGCCATCATTCTCAGCAAACTAACACAGGAACAGAAAAGCAAACACCGCATGTTCTCACTCTTAAGTGGGAGTTGAACAGTGAGAACACATGGACACAGGGAGGGGAACATCACACACCGGGGCCTGTGGGGTAGTGGGGGTAAGGGGAGGGGAAGCATTAGAAGAAATACCTAATGTAGCTGATGGGTTAATGAGTGCAGCAAACCACCATGGCACATGTATACCCATGTAACAAACCTGCACGTTCTGCACATGTATCCCAGAACTTAAAGTATAATTTTAAAAAAAGAAAAACTGATTGAGATGTATTATATGGTTTTAACACTCATCCTTAACTGGATCCTTTATCTTGTTTTTACATGCAGAAATTCCAAAATATTATATTCTCATCAGGGTCCTTCACAGAGATGTTTTGCAATGTTTTGGTAAAGAATTTGACAATAATCTACACTTAACCACTGTAGGTAGAAGAAATGAGAGCAGAGTCCTCACAGATGATTCTTGAGAAAGGCCAATAATCAACCAAGGGAGTCACCAAGTTAAAATATGAAACATTATCTAGTCTGAATTGCCAGCTTTCTCCTTTCTTGTTAGTCAAGATACCTACAGGTATAGAAACATTGACATGCTGTGAAATCATTCAGTGTATTGGATTTTTGTGCCTCTATTTTTAAAAAGTTTTTTGTAAAAATATAGAACACTTCACAAATTTGTGTATCATCCTTGTACGGGAACCATGCTAATCTCTGTATCATTCCAATTTTAGTATATGTGCTGCTGAAGAGATCACTGTGCCTCTATTTTTAAAAAGAGTTCTATTTATGTTTTATGTAATTAATTAAATGGCAGTAAAATTAATACAGAAAAATCAACTGAAATATGAGTTCTTACAATTTATAGACAAGGCTATTTATGAACTTTTTCTTTAAAGGTGGATGGTACTCCAAGTTCCTAGTTTCTTAATGCTTTTAGCTTTTGAATCAATAATACAATCACAGTTCTGCATTAGCTTTAGTGACATAAAGGGCTGATTCAGCTGCTATACACATTTAAGGAAGCCAAGATTATAAAAACAAGCCTAAACATGTTGCTCCTTCTTGAGAATGCACAGAGCATCTCCCTATACTGTTTTAAAGTGACAACATCCAAGCACTATAATTAAGAATCGAGCTCTATTAATTTTCTTGTGAAATAAAGCAGGAGGTGATTTTCAACTTTATCTGCATTTTATTTTTAGTTATCCATGTTTGGTTTTTAAAAAATCCTTTGGTGGGCTGGGTGCGGTGGCTCACGCCTGTAAGACTGAGGCAGCAGAATCGCTTGAACCTGGGGAGGCAGAGGTTGCAGTGAGCCGAGATCGCGCCACTACACTCCAGCTCGGGTGACAGTGCGAGACTCTGTCTCAAAAAAACAAACAAACAAAAAATCCTTTGGTGATCTTACAGATAGATACTTAAAAATATATTTTAAAACTTTTTAAAGATCAATGTTATGGACAAGAATATATTTTTAGTACAGTATAAACTTCTTAAGAGCTGTGAATCAGACCAGGTGTGGTGGCTCACGCCTATAATCCCAGCACTTTGGGAGGCCGAGGCAGGCAGATCACTTAAGGCCAGGAGTTCAAGACTAGCCTGGCCAACATGGCAAATGGCAAAATGCCAGCTCTACAAAAAATACCAAACAAAAAACCCCACAAGAGCTGTGAAGCAGAGAAGATACCACTTGAGGCCGGGCGCCGTTGCTCATGTCTGTAATCCCAGCACTTTGGGAGGCTGAGGCCCAGCTAAGATTGTCTTCTCTGGGCTGTCTTCTCTGATATACTTCTTTCCATGAACATCTAATAATCTCTCAACTCTTCCTATGTTAGGGATTTCTAAACATTTTCTCCATTGTGTTAAGACTAGTTATGTACTTGTCTTAGCCGGGCGTGGTGGCTCATGCCTATAATCCCAGCATTTTGGGAGGCTAAGACGGGCAGATCACTTGAGGCCAGGAGTTCAAAACTCCTGGTTCAAAACCATGGAGGTTTCACCATGAGGCCTGGCCAACATGGTGAAACCGCCCATCTCTACTAAAAATACAAAAATTAGCCGGGTGTGTTGGCACGCACCTGTAGTCCCAGCTATTCGGGAGGTTGAGGCAGGAGAATTGCTTGAACCCAGGAGGTGGAGGTTGCAGTGAGCCGAAATCGTGCCACTGCGCTCCAGCCTGGGCGACAGAGCGAGAATCTGTCTCAAAAAAAGAGGCAAAAAAAAAAAAAAAGGGAAGATACCACTTGAGAAGTGTTGATACTCTTTTTCAGTATAGTATATAGATTTATTATGATTTTAAAATAATGGTTTTCTTGAGCTGTTTATTTTACATTGTATGGCACTTGGGAAACATCATAGTTGAAAAGTGTACTCAATTTAAGCCTTTGTGTTAAACTTATTTTAATAAATGTAGAAATGTATTGATACTAATTAATATAATGCCTTATTGTGAAAGCTCTGAGTCCATTGTTCAGAATTACTAGATTTTGATGACTGTAACTTAATGACTTATTTTTTCAAAACAGTCATTATAAAAACACCTAGTTACAACATTATAGTGTGGGGATAAAATAATGAAAAATTTAAAAATATATATTTAAGGCCAGGTGCAGTGGCTCACACCTGTAATCCCAGCACTTTGGGAGGCTGAGGTGGGTGGATCACCTGAGGTCAGAAGTTCGAGACCAGCCTGGCTACATGGCAAAACCCCATCTTTACTAAAAATACAAAAAAATTAGCCTGTCATGGTGGCGGGTGCCTGTAATCCCAGCTACTCAGGAGGCTGAGGCAGGAGAATCGCTTGAACCTGGGAGGCGGAGGTTGCAGTGAGCTGAGATCGTGCCACTGCACTCCAGCCTGGGCGACAGAGCAAGACTCTGTCTAAAAAAAAAAAAAAAAAAAAAATATATATATATATATATATATATATACACACACACACACACACACACATACACATACAAAAATATATATATATATACACACACACACACCCACATATATATACATATATATATATACCTAGTCAATTTATATCTCCTCTCTATATATATTATAGATACTCTTAAGAAGTAAAAACAATATATTTATCTACCTTGAGTGGGATGAAGAAAAAAATAAAGGTAATATATTTAGGTCAATCGATAGTTTTCTTTGGGTGCAGACATATGGATACATTTTTCCATTTTTCTACTTTTCTGTATTTGTAAGTAGTCTGTAATGGCTGCATTGCTTTTAAATAGAAAATAAAACACATTGAGGGGTTATTTTAATTCATAGTTTCATAATTATATATTTTTTATGAAGACCTAACAGCAAAGTTGTGTTCCTTGTATATACTGTGGAGAAATAGGGTTCAAGAGGAGCTGATCATATTTGTGTCTTTTTTGAGTGTTTATTATTATTATTTTAGAGATGGAGGGTTTCACTATGTTGCCCAGGCTGCAGTTGAACTCCTGGCTTCAAGCAATCCTCCCACCTCAGCCTCCAGAGTTAGTCCAGATATTCAAAAACAATATTCAAGAACAATATTCAAATAACCTAAACATTGATGGAAACCCTACTCAAGTTCCTACTACATACAATTTCCTTTGCCAAAAGTTGAGATGATCCTTACTATCAGATTTCTAATTAAAATAATGTCCTTGGACATAAATGGAAATATTTAGTTTATAATAATGTCATACTTAAAGGTCAATTATTTCTAGTATTATGAATCAGAGAACTGAAGAAAGAAGACTTCTCCTAGTTCTATATCACTGACAATACATTGCTTCACAGGTCTAAAGAGACTCCAGAGACAATTCAGCCTCCAGTGTAGCTGAGATTACAGGTGTGAGCCAGCAGGCCCAGCTAGTGTTTATCTTAATAATGTTGCTGGCCGGGCGCGGTGACTCAGGCCTGTAATCCCAGCACTTTGGGAGGCCGAGGTGGGCAGTTCACAAGGTCAGGAGTTTGAGACGAGCCTGGCCAACATGGTGAAACCCTGTCTCTACTAAAAATACAAAAAAAAAAATTAGCCGCGCATGGTGGTGTGTGCCTGTAGTTCCAGATACTCGGGAGGCTGAGGCAGGAGAATCACTTGAACCCGGGAGGCGAAGGTTGCAGTGAGCCAAGATCGCGCCACTGCACTCCAGCCTGGGTGACAGAGAGAGACTTCATCTCAAAATAATAATAATGATAATAATGATGTTGCTGAAGATTTCTATGAATGTATCCAGTAATTCTCATGCTCTCTCTTTCTGGTTCTTCTTCTCCTTCTTTTTTTTTTTTTGAGACAGAGCTTTGCTCTTGTTGCCCAGGCTGGAGTGCAGTAGTGTGATCTCGGCTCACTGCAACCTCCACCTTCTGGGTTAAAGCAATTCTCCTGCCTCAGCCTCCAGAGTAGCTGGGATTACAGGCGTGCACCACCATGTCCGGCTAATTTTTGTATTTTTAATGGAGATGGGGTTTCATCATACGGGTCAGGCTGGTCTTGAACTCCTGACCTCAAATGATCCACCTGCCATGGCCTCCCAAAGTGCTGGGATTACAGGCGTGAGTTACTGTGCCCGGCCTGTCCTCTGCGTTAAAGCTTCATCTTTTCTTGCCAGTTATTATTGCAAAGGACTCCTCATTGGTTTCCCTGCCTCTGGTTTTAATCTATTCCAGTTGCCCTGCTCTACAGCAGCTAGAATGAGTAATTTACTTTTCTGAACGTTCACCTAATTATGCCACAACATTTCTTAAAAACCTGGGTTCACTTCTTTATGTGTGGGATACAATCTAAATGCATTAACTACCTAGTAAGGTCTTTCATGATCTAACCCCTTCCTATCTTTCCAATATTATCCTCCTATCTTGTCTTACCCCTTGTTGCCTTTGACTAAGCTTTAACATGTTTGCCATTACTCATATTGCGGTACCCGTTCTTCCTCTCCCAAACTCTACTCAAACAAAGCTGTGATACTTTTTCTGCTCTCCCCATGTAGAAAGGTACATGCCATTTTTGAGGTCTCATAGTACCCTATTTAAGCAGTTAATTGTTTTAATTGTAATGAATTTATGCCTCTTCCCAAATTTAGCATCGTTTTTTCCTCTTTTTACAATGCATAAAAGATTTATTTTTTGTACTATTTGTTCCTTGTACTATTCCTAAGTAGTTATCAGTCCCTCTCACTTATTTTTTATTTTTTTGAGACATGGCCTCACTGTCACCCAGGTAGTGGCACAATCATGGCTCACTGCAGCCTTGACCTCCCAGGCTCAAGTGATCCTCCCACCTCAGCCTCACCACTAGCTGGGACCACAGGCGCACACCACCATGCCCAGCTAATTTTTGTATTTTTAGTAGAGATGGAGTTTCACCCTGTTGCCCAAGCTGGTCTCGAACTCATGTGCTCAAGTGATTTGCCCACCTTGGCCTCCTAAAATTCTGAGTTTACAGGCGTGAGCTACTACGCCCAGCCTCACTTATTTTTAAGACCCTTTCCTCTTAAGATCACATCAAAATTCTTTTTTTCTATCTGTGACCATCAGGTATCCGAATAAAAGCAATTCAAAAAAACTGGACTGAATAAGAAGCTTAAGGAATAACTTATTTAGCTTACATTTATATTTCCCTTTTTATGTATGTTCAAGTGTGGTGTGAATAGAAATATAAGTATGTCTAAAAGAGGTCATTTAATAAATGTGAAAAAATTTTAGGTGCTAATTAAATTCTGCCATCTACTTAATTTGAATAATCCTCACCCCACCATGGCAAAATTGTCTATTATATGTATTAAAACAGGCCATATAAAACAATGCACAAGGGTAAAAGGTACAGCCCTTCTAGCATTAAGTTTTCTTATTTTTTCAGATGGAGTCTCACTCTGTCGCCAGGCTGGAGTGCAGTGGCACGATCTCGGCTCACTGCAACCTCTGCCTCCCGGGTTCAAGTGATTCTCCTGCCTCAACCTCCTGAGTAGCTGAGATTACAGGAGTGCACCACCACGCCCAGCTAATTTCTGTATTTTTAGTAGAGGTGGGGTTTCACCATGTTGGCCAGGATGGTCTTGATCTCCTGATTTCGTGATCTGCCCTCCTCGGCCTCCCAAAGTGCTGGGATTACAGGCGTGAGCCACCACACCCAGGCTAGCATAAAGTTTTGTAACTGAGGTCTATGGACTCCTGGCTTCAGGGAGTCCAGGAACCCACTGTCATATGCAAAATGTGATTAGGACTGTGCTATGGTTCTGGGGTGGGGTGAGGGGAGGCCTACTGTTTTCAAGATTCTCAAGAAGTAGTCCCATGGTAATGCCACATCATATTTCACTCTTGTAATTAACTTCATTCATATGCCTAATGTTATTAGCTGAGAGAAACCCAGAGCAGTGTTTCTCAAAACATATTCTGTAGACCATTTGGATCAGAATCATGTTGCATGCCTGTTAAAACAGAGATGACTGGATCCAACACCAGGAGAGTTGAATCAGAATCTGTGCAGGTAGGGCACAGGAATCTGTACTTTAAACTTACCAACTGATCCTTGGACATTCTGGTTTAAGAACCATTATGGTTGGCCGGGCACGGTGGCTCACGCCTGTAATCCCAGCACTTTGGGAGGCCGAGGCAGGCAGATCACAACGTCAGGAGATCGAGACCATCCTGGCTAACACGGTGAAACCCTGTTCCTACTAAAAATACAAAAATCAGCTGGGTGTGGTGGCAGGCGCCTGTAGTCCCAGCCACTCAGGAGGCTGAGGCAGGAGAATCACTTGAACCCATGAGGTGGAGGTTGCAGTGAGCCGAGACTGCGCCGCTGAACTCCAGCCTGGGCCACAGAGCGAGACTCCGTCTCAAAAACAAAAACAAACAAACAAAAGAACCATTATGGTAGAACCTAAGAGAAATTAACTCATTCAAGTGGAGTAAATTCGCTTTTTAAGACCGGGTCTCACTCTGCAGCCCAGGCTGGAGTGTAGTGGGGCCATCATGCCTCACTGCAGCCTCCACCTCCTCAGGCACAGGCAGTCCTCCCACCTCAGCCTCCCAAGAAGCTGTTACTACAGGCACGTGTGGTACCATGCCCAGCTAATTTTTTTAATGTTTTATGTGGCCCAGGTTGGTCTTGAACACCTGGGTTCAAGCAGTTCTCCTATCTGAGCCTCTCAAAGTGCTGGGATTATAGGTGTGAGCTACCACACCTGGCTAAATTAGTTTTTTTTTTTTTTTTTTTTTTTTTGAGACGGAGTTTTGCTCTTGTTGCCCAGGCTGGAGTGCAATGGTGCAATCTCGGCTCACCGCAATCTCTACCTCCCGGGTTCAAGCAATTCTCCTGCCTCAGCCTCTGGAGTAGCTGGGATTACAGGCATGCGCCACCATGCCCGGCTAATTTTGTATTTTTAGTAAAGACGGGGTTTCTCCATGTTGGTCAGACTGGTCTCAAACTCCCGACCTCAGTTAATCCACCCACCTCGGCCTCCCAAAGTGCCTGGATTACAGGCATGAGCCACCGCGCCCAGCCAGTTTTTTAAAACTGGATTAAAAAAAATAGTAACGAACATGAAGCACTTACTACCTGTCAAGTGTTCTTCTAAATTGATGTTACATGATTAACCATTTAAACTATTAACTATTATATATTATTCAATGTGAAGAAATTGCAGTACAGAGAGGTTAAGTAGACCAAAGACACATGGTAAGTGGGTGAAACAGGACTTTGAACTCAATCTGGCTCTGGAGGCCAAACTCTTCCCAATCACTTCCCTTTATTGCCTTTTTTTTTTTTTTTTTTTTTTTTTTTGAGACAGCGTTTCACTCTTGTTGCCCAGGCTGGAGTGCAATGGAGCAATCTCGGCTCACCGCAACCTCTGCCTCCCGGGTTCAAGCGATTCTCCTGCCTCAGCCTCCTGAGTAGCCGAGATTACAGGCATGCATCACCACGCTCGGCTAATTTTGTATTTTTAGTAGAGATGGGGGTTTCTCCATGTTGGTCAGGCTGGTCTTGAACTCCCGACCTCAGGTGATCCACCCGCCTCAACCTCCCAAAGTGCTGGATTACAGACGTGAGCCACCACGCCCGGCCCTATTGGCTTTCTTAAAGCAGAACATTTTACTAGTTTCCTCCAGGTCTTTTTGTTTTGTAGTTTAACAAATGTTGATTCTTGATATTTGCTATCATTTAAAACTTCACTTTGTAGCAAATGTAAAATCACTGGTTTTATTTTTTAAGAATAGCTGAAAGAATCAAAATATATCATCTGGAATACATAGCTAAAGTAACTACCAATTAAAAACTCAGCTATGAGAAAATATATCTTAAACAAAATGAAAAAATACAGACTAATATTTGTTGATGGGGGGGGGTATAAAGGTTCTATACTGTTTTTTTCTATTTTTGAGACGTAGTCTTACTCTTGCCCAGGCTTGAGTGCTCACTGCAACCTCTCCCTCCCAGTTTCAAGTGATTCTCCTGCTTCAGCCTCCTGAGTAGCTGGGACTACAGGAGTGCACCACCATGCCCGGCTGATTTTTTTTTTTTCAGTAGAGATGGGGTTTTGCCATGTTGACCAGGCTGGTCTCGAACTCCTGACCTCAAGTGATCTGCCTGCCTGAGCCTCCTGCCGTGCTGGAATTACAGGCATGAGTCACTGTACTCTGCCTGTTTCTGTTTTTTAAACTTTCAAAGGCAAATTATAATTTTGTTTTTAAGAATAAAAAATACAATCTGATTAGCTGAAGCAGCTTTTTTTTTCAGTGTGATTTTTGTTGTTGTTGTTTGAGACAGTCTTGCTCTGTTGCCCAGGCTGGAGTGCAGTGGTACGATCTCAGCTCACCACAACCTCTGCCGCCCGGGTTCAAGCGATTCTCCTGCCTTGGTCTCCTGAGTAGCTGGGACTACAGGCGTGGGCCATCACGCCTGGCTAATTTTTGTATTTTTAGTAGAGATGGGGTTTCACCATGTTGGCCACGTTGGTCTTGAACTCCTGACCTTGTGATCTGCCTGCCTCAGCCTCCCAAAGTGCTGGGATTACAGGCATCAGCCACCGCGCCCGGCCCAGTGTGATTTTAAATTCTAGTTAGAAACATGATTTTTTTTGGTAACATCTATAATTCAGTGTTCCTGTTCAGTACCTGTTCATCATTGTGATCTCCAAGATGTAAAGCATACTAAGTTCCACTTTTCTTGAATTATTCTGGTAATGTTAACTTGTATAATTTAACACGTTAACTTAAAATTATTTTATTTCATAGCAACTCCAGCCATTCCTCAGATATATCAAATATTTTGTGTAAGATACGTGAATCAAATTAATTATTCAAGTTATCTAAGCTAGATTTTATCTTTTAGATCACAAAAAGTAATTTTCCAGTTTGCCAAAAACTTTGACCATTAGGTAGTTCTTAGAGGTCTGAGAAGCGAATAAAATTTACTTCTACACAAAAATTAAAGTGGCATGTTGATCTTATTTAACTTCTTCATAGGTAAGAATATAGGTAAGAAACTGGCTTAGAGAAATTGGCCCAAAGCCAGTCAGCTGATTAGTGGCAGAGTAAATGCATCACTAGCTATTTAGTGGATCACTAATTTGATGTTTTCTTCTACTTTAATTTTTAATATTTTGTATTTTTCATAGCTGTCTATAGTTTAATATACTGCCATAAAACTAACAGGTTGTTGATGCTTTGTACTGATGCCTGCTACCAGTAATGTACTTTATTGGAACTCTTACCCATGAAGCTCTCCAGTCTTCACAAAGTGAGTTTTTACAAAAAAAGATTATCACATTGGTTAACAACTTATTCATGTACAAATGACAGTACCCAGCACATCTCAGTGCTCTTTAAATGTTTGTTAAATATACATAACAAATTTTGAAAGATGCGGCTGGGGGTGGTGGCTCTCGCCTGTAATCCCAGCACTTTGGGAGGCTGAGGTGGGTGGATTACCTGAGGTCAGGAGTTCAAGACCAGTCTGGCCAACACAGTGAAACCCCATCTCTACTAAAAATACAAAAATTACCTGGGTGTGGTGGTATACACCTGTAATCCCAGCTACTCGGGAGGCTGAGGTAGGAGAATCACTTGAACCTGGGAGGCAGAGGTTGCAGTGAGCCTAGATTGTGCCACTGCACTCTAGCCTGGGTGACAGAGAAAGGCTCCATCTCAAAAACAAACAAACAAACAAACAAAAAAAACACCAAAAAATGGCCAGGAGCGGGTGGATCGCTTGAGGCCAGGAGTTCGACTGGGACTGTAGTCTCAGCTACTCCGCAGGCTGAGAGGCAGAATTGCTTGAACCTAGGAGGTTGAGGTTGCAGTGAGCTGAGATCACACCACTGCACTCAAGCCTGGGCGACAGACTGAGACTCTGTCTCAAAAAAAAAAACAAAAAACAAAAAACAAACAAACCCCCTGCAAAAGATCCAACCCGGCAGTCTAACTACAGTCTGTTCTTAACCACTGACTTATGGCTTCTCTGAGGTAGGTATAATAACAGAGACTCATACAGATGAAGAAAATGAAACTCAGAGATTAACTGAAAATCATCCTGTTAACTCCAAAACCTGTATTTTTTCTATTATATCAAAAAAAAAAAAAAAAAGGAAGTATAGAATTGGGTTCTGAAGCCATAAAGGCTGGGTTGAAATCCTGGCTCTGCCACTTAATAGCTGTGTGACCCTGAGAAAGTTACTTCTCTTTGCCAGTTTCCTTATTTTCAAAATATGGATAACAGAATTTACCACATAAGGTTATGAGAAATAAGGAAATAAGCACAAAGTGCTCGGAAAGTTACCTTAGTAAGCACTGTTATTTCTATTTCCAACCTACCTCTTTTATTTATAAGGAAACAAAATAATTTGTCCTGTGTGCTACTCTGAGGAAGCAGCTGTAAGCCAGAGGTTAAGAGAATGAATGCTCAAGTTGGTTTGGGTTCAGATTTCAAGCAGATGTCCTTTAGAAAGTCAACCTTCCAAAATTTCAGCATCCTCATCTGTGGAGCACAGTATCACCTTGCAAAGTTATTGTAAAGATTAAATGAGGTGATGTACAACTAGCACATGGCAAGTGTTCCATAAATATTAACCAAGCGTCATCTCTGCATCTCTAGCAGCTAGCACAGTGTTTACTGAATAAACAGTGACACAATTAGGAAATTAGGACTTTTTTTTGTGGTTTCCTTCACTAGTCCTCTCATTTTCTTCCCTGGCAACATCCTATTTTTACATTTACCACCTCAACATCTTCCCCCTATTTAAAGACCAGTGTAGCAGCAAAGAAAAATGGCTAATGTTAAATGACGAGTTACGGGGTGCAGCACACCAACATGGCACATGTATATATATGTAGCTAACCTGCACGTTGGGCACATGTACCCTAAAACTTAAAGTATAATTAAAAAAAAAAAAGAAAAGAAAAATGGAACATTGAGCTGGGCGTGGTGGCTCACACTTGTAATCCCAGCACTTTGGGAGGCCGAGGCGGGCAGATCACTTGAGGTCAGGAGGTCGAGACCAGCCTGGCCAAAATGGTGAAACCCTGTCTCAACTAGCAATACAAAAATTAGCTGGGCGTGGTGGCAAGCACCTGTAATCCCAGCTACTCAGGAGGCTGAGGCAGGAGAATCGCTTGAACCCGGGAGGTGGAGGTTGCAGTGAGCTGAGAGATCCTGCCACTGCACTCCAGCCTGGGCTACAGAGTGAGACTTCAATCTCGAAAAAAAAAAAAAAGAAAAATGGAACTTTGTTGCCACTTAAAGTTACCACTTACCTGGTAGTAATCATATCAAAGTTTTAGCAAATGGAGTGCAAGTACAAGCAGCAACCACTGCAAATCACCAGTAAAGAAGGGGAAATGGGATTTTTACCTTATTTGCCACATGAAGAACTATGAGAAAATATTGACAATTGATGTAATTAAGGCATATCTTTTCCTTTTTCTGCTTTTAACCAAAGTTTCATTCCTATGCTTTTAAACCACACAGAACATATGAAATCCATGTTAACATTAAGCCCATTTATTAACAAGTATCTGGCCCAATAATTATAGTTAGGTAAATAAAATACTTCAGAACTATTTTATAGGCTGCCTTACAAATAAGATAACTGTCAAAGATGCATTCTCTTTATGTGAAAAGTTACACATGTTCTAAGTTTAACACTCCACAATGAACTGTGAAATTTCCCTAAGCTAATACTTAATATTGGAAAACTTCAACAGAATATTGGAAAACTTCAACATCATCTCTTTTCTCAAGCACCTTCATATTGCTCCCATAGTTCTTATAAATTGTCCAATAACCCAGACAAATTTCCTTGTGGACAAGAATTTTTAAAATTTAAAGTATTATATATTAATACAATGACTTTAGTTAAAAGTAAAAATTTATTGATCCAAAACTGCCAAAAACCTTATGCTAAGCAAAAACTTCATTTAAGCTTAATGCTCTTTTTAACTCCTGCACGAATGCCAGATAATTCACCACTATAACGTTGCTCTTCTTTACGAACTTCACGAACCTGGCCTCTTCTTCTAATTTTGGCTCTTCTGAACTTCTCTCTGTGTTTCACTCTGGGATTGCGATCAATCTTCTTTCTCCTAGGAGTAAGTCCCCTATTTTTAGCAATTTGATAGGTAATAGCTCTCTTTGCATTTTGATCTTCAAGAGCCTGTTCTTCAGTGCTATTTTCTTCTTTCTTTCTCTTTAGCTTTTGCCTGTCTTCTATTTCTTTATAGTACTTCAGTTTTGCTTTTTCATCAAAATCAGAATCATCAGAAAGATCTGTAACAGCACAGGCAGCAGCAGAAGTCTTTGAAACAGACTTTGGTTTGGGCTTGGTGGATTTTGCTTTTGGAATCAGTTCTTTCTTTACAGCATCATCCTTAAGTGTCAACAGATGACGAATTTCTGAGGACAGCTTCTGATCCACAACGGACAGCTTGTTGATCAAATTTCGGTAGGTAACAAGCCTTTCTATGACAGGATGTCCATGTGCTGGGACTCTCCTAGCTTTCAGGATCAAATAAAAACTGATGTTCGAGCAATAATTCAAGTAGAGGTTGTACTTGGTCCTCAAGTATTGGCTTCCTTTTCCGGGTGGAATGATCCCTTGTTCCACCAACTCTAACAATGGCTCCAGCTCATCCTTAACCTCTGTCAACTTGACTTTCAGGTCTTCTATCAGCTCCAAGAGTTCTGGTGATTCCTTTCGCAACATTTTCAGCTTCTCTTTCACTGAAACTTTAGCCAAATCCTTCACGACCCGTGTCTCAGCCTCATCTACCTGAGGCACTGGTTTTGCAAAGGCCTCAACCCAGGCGACACCAAAATCATCCTCTTGCAGCGCTTGGGCTAGGCGCCGCTGAATGATCTGTGCCTCCTCCTCCTCCTCTCTTTCCTCCTCCTCTGCCTCCTGTTGACTCTGCCGGCCTCGGGACTTGGAACCATAGTCCGTGTCATAGTAAAGTTTTTTCCTCTGACCCCACGACAAACTGGGATCCACAGAGGCCTCAGCTTCACTTTGCACGGAGCTCCCACCATCATCATCGGCATTCTCCTCCTCCTCCTCCTCCCCCGCATTCCCTCCATCTTCGTCGTCCTCATCGTCCATATCTAGGGCTAGCACCTCCTCCTCCTCCTCCTCGCCATCCTCCTCGTCTCCACTCTGTACTTCATTCCAGCCCTTAGCTAAGGCGGCCCGGGATCGTGCCTCATGAAAGTCATCTACCTGATCTTGGTAGTAGCTGGTGTCCCCTGGTGAGGGTGGCAATCCTAAATCATCTCCATTTTCGTCGGTGAGCGTGGGACCTGCCTTGGCTCGCACAGCTGCCCACTTAGCTGCTCCGCGCCGCCGGGATCTCCCCACCATGGCTCACAATCTCAGGTTTTACAGCGACTCCGGACTTTCGGCCACCACTGACTTCGGCGCAGGAATCAGGCGCTCCGGTAACTCGTGGCTCTAAACAGCAGCGCGCTCCCCTACCACCGGAGTTTGCAGACTCCTGATCGGCTACTGGAATTTCCTCTTCCTTCCGGCCCCCAGCATGCTCTCCGCGTGGCGTACGATTGAGGACTTCCGCTCGGTCCCTTAGTCGAGATCACGTTGATACCAACTTCCTTTTCACTGTGCCCTTTAACGCCAGTCGATTCCGGTGAATTAAAATCTTTCCGTGTGGAAACGATAGGATAAGGAAGTTCCGTTCCACAGAACGCTTTCTCGGGCTAATGCGCTTACTCTCGAGTGCCTGGGAGTGGCTGGGGGACGGAATCCTGACGGCACCTCCAGGCGAGGTCCCGATGGCCAATAGAGGGCGCTGCGCTTTACGCCCCGGAGAAGTCCCGGGGGCGTTCCATTGAGGTTTAACTGCGTGTGTACCCGGCGCTTGCGACCGGCAGTCTAGTGCTAGCGTAGTTTTCCTGCTCCCTTGTTTTCTCTTTTCTGCTTATCAGGCTGGAAGTTAATCAGATTGCTTTCCTCTCATTTCACCCCCACCCCCAATACCATATTTCTGGGTACCACAGCCTCAGGCAGCGCCGCTGGACTCCAGAATCCCACGGGAGGTTTCCGGGCGAGAGCGCAGGCCGGGCCTCCGGCTCGGGTTTACTCATCCCCATCGCCCTCTCCCTGCTCACAGGGCTCGGTGACCCGCTCCATGGGGATCGATAAAGCTAGATGACCCCGAGGCTGACAGTGGGAAGGCAGAGCCCCGCTGCAGGGTCTGACTCTTCTCAAGGAAGTCTGCCCTGTAATGTTAGAGTAATTCAGGGTGTAAGTTTTTAGGCATTACATATGTAAGGTTCAGGGTTAGTATTATTATACCTTTTAATGTAGGTAGTTGGAAGCTGAACTTTTGATACGTTGCTAAAATTAATGGTGACATGGCTGGGCGCGGTGGCTCATGCCCATAATCCTAAGCACTTTGGGAGGCCGAAGTGGGTGGATCACTTGAGGTCAGGAGTGCAAAACCAGCCTGGCCAACATGGGGAAACCCAGTCTCTACTACAAATACAAAAAATTAGCGGGGCGTGGTGGCGGGTACCTGTAATCCCAGCTACTCGGGAGGTTGAGGCAGGAGAATCACTTGAACCCGGGAGGCGGAGGTGGCAGTAAGCCGATATCGCACCACTGCACTCTAGCCTGGGCGACAGACAGAGACTCTGTCTCAAAATAAATAAATAAATAAATAAAATAAAATTAATGGTGACAATTTCTTTTTCTTTTGTTTTTTGTTTCTTTTTTCTTTTTCTTTTTTTCTTTTTTTTTTTTTGAGACGGAGGCTCGCTCTGTTGCCAGGCTGGAGTGCAGTGGCAATCTCGGCCCACTGCAACCTCCGACCCCCTGGTTCAAGTGATTCTCCTCCCTCAGCCTCCCGAGTAGCTGGCATTACAGGCACGCGCCACCACTCCCAGCTAATTTTTGTATTTTTAGTAGAGACGGGGTTTCATCATGTTGGCCAGGATGGTCTCCATCTCCTGACCTCGTGATACGCCCGCCTCGGCCTCCCAAAGTGCTGGGATTGATTACAGGCGTGAGTCACCGCGCCCAGCCAATGGTGACAATTTCTTTTCAGAAAGTATAGTGTCATTAGGTTAATAAAAATAATGCAAAATGTTAGAAAAGTGATACTTTGAAATAAACATTTTCCAAGTGCCTAAAGGTGTCCGAAACATTTTGAAATTTTTACAAGATTTTAGAAAATAAAATTAAATTAGAAAGTTGTGGGCAAAAGTTATGTTCTGATGGTAAGCATGAATTTATTTTTTAATGTAAATTTTAGTACATTTTGTCATTTAGCAGATATTAACTGCTTACTGTTTGTTGTAGAATGCTACAGACAATAGTGATGAATCAGCCAGTTAAGGACTGTATAATCAGGTAGAAAAGAAGACACTCATACAGATTACTGGAATACAAGGCAGTGTATGATGTAAACCCGGTGCTGTAAGAGAACAGAAGGATAAGAGATAACCTTTAGATTGCTGTTTTGGGAATATTGCTTAAAGAATATGACATCTATGCTGGAATTGTAGTTATTTCCTTACTTTAAATGTTAAATTTTCATTATTTAAACACTGTTGCATTTAGGCACATAAATAAAAATTTTTCATTTTTATTGCAAATTATTTGAGAATTTAGTGTCAGACTTCAAGACTAAAATGCATATACTATTATATATAAGTTAGAAAAATATTTTGGATATTTTAAATGGGAATGATCACATTAATATTATTTAGTTTATACTAAATGTTAAATTTCCTAACCAGAACAGAGTTGCAGTATTCAATGCATATTCAGAGAGTATCGTATTCTAACATTCTCAGATCCTTTGTTTTTAGAGACAGGTGCCTGCTGTGTTCCCCAGGCTGGGTAGAACTCCTGGGCTTAAGTGATCTCCTGCCTCAGCCTCCTGAGTAGCTGGGACTAAAGGTGCGTGCCGCTTCACCCAGTTTTTCAGATCCTTTTGATAAAGAACAATTGATTCTCCTGCCTCAGCCTCCCACGTAGCTGGGATTACAGGCACCTGCCACCACACCTGGGTAATTTTTTTGTGTGTTTTTTTTTTTTTTTTTTTTAGTAGAGATGGGGTTTCACCATGTTAGCCAGGCTGGTCTCAAACTCCTGACCTCAGGTGATCTGCCCACCTCAGCCTCCCAAAGTGCTGGGATTGCAGGTGTGAGCCATCGCACCCAGCCAATCTGAATCTTTATTTTATTGTGATGTCTGGCTCAGGAGTTAGCAAGTTACACTAATGAGAGCCAGCAGGTTAAAAAAAAATTGTTTTTGCCTTACTCTAAGCCCTTTATGGGATTTTCTTACTATGGAAATTAGGGAGTCTATGAATGACACATTAGGTGATGATACATTAGGATACTTCTTTCAGGGCATTTATTCTGGGTGTTGGAGGTATTGTATGATCACATTAGCTTAAACTAATCTTTATTTCTTCCTGGACTATTGAAACAATTATAATTAATAATAGCTAACATTGAGAGTGGTTATTGTGTGCTAGATACCATTACAAGCTCTTGAAACCATTATAACCCTGTGAAAAGTTACTATAATAATCTGTAATTGGAGATGAGAAAATTAGGCGCATATAGCTTAAGTGAGGTCATAAAGCTAATAAGTGTTAGAACTAGATTTAAACTAGAACAGTCCAGCTTCAGAATCCATGTTGTGCTATAACTAACTACTATACTATACTGGCTTTCAACTTTTCCTTTAATAGGTCTCCTCCTTTTAGTCTCTGGTACATTTGATCTGGTACATCAGATATATCTTCCTAGAATATCATTTCTGTCACCGCATATCCTGGTTCAGAAACTTTCATTTACTATCCAGATAGTAAAAACTTTCGTTTACTAACAAAATTTACAGCATACATGGCTGTCCTAAAGTTTTACCCCAAAACAACCTTTCCAGTCATACCTTTCATTACTACAAAAACCTTCAATGCTAAGCTAAGTACTCTACTATGCTTTATTCTCATTTGTCACTTTACCAATCTTCTGGGTGTTCAGAATTACCTGTATCAGAAATTTATAAATCATTGCAGATATCTTTTTGGTTAAGAAATTCTCACATAAGCCCATCCATAAGGGGACCTGTGCGAAGCTATTTGAAAAGTTATTTTTGGTAGCAGCGAGTTAGAGACAACCTGGATATCCGTCACTGGAAGAGCAGATCAATAAAATGTTGTGGAAGAACAGCATGGAATTTAGGAGCATAGGGTGATCATACATTCTGGCTTGCCCTGGATGGCCCTGTTTAACCTGTTATCCCAGTGTAATTATTAATAGCACCTCCTTTCACTCTCATGATTAAGATGATAATTTTTTTTTTTGAGACAGAGTTTCACTGTTGTCACCCAGGCTGGAGTGCAATGGTGCGATCTCAGCTCACTGCAACCTCCGCCTCCCAGAGTCAAGAAATTCTCCCACCTCAGCCTCCCGAGTAGCTGGTATTACAGGTGCCTGCCACCACGCCTGGCTGATTTTTGTATTTTTAGTAGAGACGGGGTTTCACCATGTTGGCCAGGCTGGTCTCGAACTACTGACCTCAGGTGATCCACCCCTTGTCCTCCCAAAGTGCTGGGATTACAGGCTTGAGCCACCATGCCTGGCTAAGATGATACATTTTATAGTGATTTTAACTATATAGTAATTGGAAGCAGTAGATTATATATCCATATGGCAACATGAATGGATTTTTAAAACAATGTGCTAAGGGAAAAAAGTAAAAAATAGAATGTAATAAATAATATACCATTCACAAAAATTAAAAATGCAGGCACAATAATGTAACAATACACATTTTGTAGGAATATAATCAAACAAAATAATATACATTAAACACAAAAGAATAGCTGTTTGTGGAAGATGAAGAATGGGATAAGGGTTGGAGATTAAAAGGAATAGAAGAGGACATTTCCACAGACCAATAATAATGTCAGGAACTGAGGAGAATAATTAACTGCACCTGAGATTTAATTAAAAAACAAATGAGCAAACAAAAAATGACTATATCAATTCCTAACTTAAAATCCTGCAGAAGCGTCCCAACGTCTATATAGCAGGGGTGTCCAATCTTTTAGCTTCCCAATGTCTATAGCAGGGGTGTCTAATCTTTTGGTTTCCCTGGGCCACACTGGAAGAAGAATCGTCTTGTGCCACACATAAAATACACTAACACTAACAATAGCTGGCTGGGCACGGAAGCTCAAACCTATAATCCCAGCACTTTGGGAGGCTGAGGTGGGCAGATCACCTGAGGTCAGGAGTTCAAGACCAGCCTGGCCAACATGGTGAAATTCCATCTGTACTAAAAATACAAAAATTAGCCAAGCGTGGTGGCACACGCCTGTAATCCCAACTACTCGGGGGGCTGAGGCAGGAAAATCGCTTGAACCCGGGAGGCAGAGGTTGCAGTGAGCCAAGATCGCGGCACTGCACTCCAGCCTCGGTGACAGAGCTAGACTCCATCTCAAAAAAAAAAAAAAAAAATCGCAAAAGAACTTACAATCTTTTAAGAAACTTTCCAGAGTTGTGTTGGGGTGCATTCAAAGCTCTCCTGGGCTGCATATGGCCTGCAGGCTGTGGGTTGGACAAGCTTGGTCTATAGGATCAAATTCATATGCTTCATCACCACAGTCCTGCATAGATCTCAAACTTCCTCTCTATCAATTATGTGTAATTGTACCTGATTTTTGTTGTTAGGTGGACAGTGACTTTTTCCTTTAGCATCCATAGCCAAGTTCAGACTCCAAAGATTATGGTTTCCAAGATAGACACTAGATTAAATAGTAATCTTTCTTGGCTGGAGTGGGGTGTGAGAAGGTAGTGGAAATGCAGTCAGTCAGTCCAGGTATGTATGTTTCTGTACTCTGTCAGCACTTCAAAGCAGTAGCCTTTAACAACGTAGTGTCTTTTGAGCTTCCATAGTTATCAGCATAGCTCTTCAAATTTAAAAGTAATTAACAAGGTGAAATATTTAATATATAGCTTTCATGAACTTAAGACAATAGTTGAGTCTCAGCGTGGTGGCTTTCACCTGTAATCTCAGCACTTTGGGAGGCTGAGGTGGGCAGATTGTCTGAGGTCAGGAGTTTGAGACCAGCCTGGCTAACGTGGTGAAACCCTGTCTCTACTAAAAATACAAAAATTAGCTGGGCGTGGTGGTGCACACCTCTAGTCCCAGCTACTCGGGAGGCTGAGGCAGGAGAATCGCTTGAACCCAGGAGGTGGAGGTTGCAGTGAGCTGAGATCGCGCCACTGTGCTCCAGCCTGGGTGACAGAGCAAGACTCTGTCTCCAAAAAAAAAAAAAAAAAAAAAAAGAAGACTATAGTTGAATGCGTATTACGTTGTTTTTTTAATTTTTATTATTATACTTTAAGTTCTAGGGTGCATGTGCACAACGTGCAGGCTCGTTACATAGGCTCGTTACATGTGCCATGCTGGCCCATTGCATCCATCAACCCGTCATTTACATTAGGTATCTCTCCCAGTGTTATTCCTCCCTCTGCCCCCCACCGCATGACAGGCCCCAGTGTGTGATGTTCCCCACCCTATGACCAAGTGTTCTCATTGTTCAGTTCCCACTTATGAGTGAGATCATGTGGTGTTTGGTTTTCTGTCCTTGTGATAGTTTGCTCAGAATGATGGTTTCCAGCTTCATCCATGTCTCTGCAAAGGACGTTAACTCATCCTTTTTTATGGCTGCATAGTATTCCATGGTGTATATGTGCCACATCTTCTTAATTCAGTCTATCATTGTTGGACATTTGGGTTGGTTCCAAGTCTTTGCTATTGTGAATAGTGCTGCAATAAACAGCATATTACGTTTTTTCCCAGCATCACAGACTAGGCTAGGATGACTGAAGCTGTCAAAAGAAGTAGCTTTTCTTAAAAATGTGCATAAAGGTAGTAATAGTAAAAATAATAATTTGATATAAGAGTTATATTGGGAAAATGTATTCTTGGTGTTAGTACCTATCAATATATTTGGATAATTTAATATAACCCCAGAAACATGCTGAACTATTTTTGGATGCAAAAAAGAAAGAAAGATTATTTTTAGTTATAAGAAAGAAAATGGATGAAGTTTGCCATCTGCTTTCATTTCATCTAGTTTCATCTGTCAGAAACCACTTACTCTGAAACAAATATGTCACAGATTCTTTTTGCAAATAAGGTCTGTATCTATTTTAAGTCCCAAAAGTCCTAAAAGTGACTTGGAAGTAAAATATAGAGCTTCTACTGAAATATTTGGTAAATATTTGAAGCTTTTAATCTTTAATTTAACTTAATTTAAAATAACTGACTGGATGTTCCTCACCACAGATTTATGCTTTCTCCTTATTAGGGAAAATGAACTTAGTATGGCACTTACATATGATGTAAACACTCTGAATAGAAGAGTTAGAACAAGAAAATTGTATTTTCTTACCTACTTTTCCAACTAAATCTTTAGAGTTCCCTTTTGGTGTTCTTTCATATCCTTTTTTGGGGTGCCATCTGATATTGCTCTTTATGAACACCTCTCTGCATCTAGAAAACAGGTTTGGTAGCCTTCATTACAAAATGAAGAATTTAGTGAAATTACGACACTGCTTTCCCTTCCAAACTCTAATTCAACTAAAAACTTGGCAATTACTTTCTAAACATTATTTAATCCCTTTTAGTTTTTTCTTTTCATGGGAAAACTTGTAACTACAATTATTTTGATTTAAATATTGACCCAGTGATAATTATAGCTTTGGTGGTGAAGGTCTTTTGAAACACAGCCCATGTTAAAATTTTTTCTTTAGTCACCCCTCATTCTCTATAGAATCAAGTTCTTATCTCTAAGCCAATATTCAGGGCCTGCCTTTATCTGGCCCCAACTTATTTTTCCAGCTGCTTTCCCACTTTCATGAATTATATGTTCTAGCCAAACTATGTACTCATTTTTTTTTCTCTTTTTGAGATTTTTATTCTCTTGGCCTCTCTTTGGGCTGTCTCATATTTCAATGCTTATATGGCCTTCAAGGCCCAGCTAAGATTGTGTCTTCTCTAGGCTGTCTTCTCTGATATACTTCATTCTATTAACATCTAATAGTCCCTAACTCTTCCTTTCTTAGGGATTTCTAAACATTTTCTCCTTTGTGTTAAGACTAGTTATGTACTTGTCTTGGCCGGGCGTGGTGGCTCATGCCTGTAATCCCAGCACTTTGGAGGCCGAGGTGGGTGGATTGTTGGAGGCCAGGAGTTACAAAAATTAGCCTGGTGTGGTGGTGCATGCCTGTAGTCCCAGCTACTTGGGAGGCTGAGACAGGAGAATTGCTTGAATCCAAGAGGCAGAGGTTGCAGTGAGCTGCGATCACGCCACTGCACTCCAGCCTGGGCGACAGAGCGAGACTCCATCTCAAAAAAAAAAAAAAAAAAAAAAGATTTAAGCAGGGGCCAAGAAATGGGAAGTTAAGTTTTGTATATGTTTGATTTGAGGTGTCTGTGAAGCTATTTAAGTGTCTAGATGTCTTCTAGATGGTTTGATATATGGATCTCTTTAGAGAAAGAAATTTTTGATGTCTTTAAAATTCAGTTGAAACGTGGGACCATATTTGATATTTAACTAAAGGCAAATAAAATATAATTTTGGGTTGTTCTGACTTAAGTAACTAGCACACGTGAACTAGTAGACCAAAAGTGTTATACTACCTACCTGCTACTAGAGTTATAGGACTACATATCTCCAGGTGTCAAATTAAAAAGGCTTGGATTGGCTGGGCGCAGTGACTCATGCCTGTAATCCCAGCACTTTGGGAGGCCGAGGCAGGTGCATTGTTTGAGGCCAGGAATTCGAGAGCAGCCTGGCCCACATGGTGAAACCCCATCTCTACTAAAAATACAAAAATTAGCTGGGTGTGGTGGCCCAGACCTGTACTCCTAGCTACTCAGGAGGCTGAGGCAGGAGAATCATTTGAACCTGGGAGGCGGAGGTTGCAGTGAGCCAAGATTGCACCACTGCACTCCAGCCTGGGCAACAGAGTGAGACTCTGTCTCAAAAAAAAAAAAAAAAAAAAAAACCAAGCTCTGTTAAATTTCAATAAGGTATTAGAAATTATTAAAAATGACCTAAGAATTTAATAAGCTATTTGCAAATGTGATCTTGATCTATATCTATTTTGGGTAGAGATATATTATTTATGCTATGAGCAAAGGGGAATCATTGGAGGGTTTTAAACAGGGAAGGATTGGAAAATTGACAGAAGGAAGTTGGTGCAAGATGGTGATAGTCATCAGAGTGATGCGTTTTTGTGTCTAAATCAGGGTCCTGGGAATATGGATATGAAAAGTAGGCAGATCAAGAGCTAAGCATTATGCTAAAGTAATTGTTTATATGTTGTAGCCATGTTCTAGCATATTCCATGCTTTACACTTATCAATTTAATTTTCATCAATCTTGTGAAGTATGTACTACAGTGATGCCCATTTTATAGATGAAACAGAGAAAACAAGATTTTATAACTTGTCAGAGTCCCATTTGCACCCAGGCAATAACTGACTCCACAGCGTTTGCTCTTTTGTTCAGTAGGAAGACTAAGTAGAAGTGTCTCTTAAGACACATCTTTACAGTTGCATCTGATATTTTAAAAATAACTGACTGGATATTCCTCACCACAGATTTATGCTTTCTCGTTATTAGGGAAAATGAACTTAGTATGGCACTTACATATGATGTAAACACTCTGAATAGAAGAGTTAGAACAAGAAAATTGTATTTTCTTACCTACTTTTCCAACTAAATCTTTAGAGTTCCCTTTTGGTGTTCTTTCATATCCTTTTTTGGGGTGCCATCTGATATTGCTCTTTATGAACACCTCTCTGCATCTAGAAAACATTAATATATAAAATTACACACATATGAAGAAAAGTGATAAAGTAATATGCCAGCTGAGTAAAATGGTATACAAGATACAAGATGAATTTATTAGCAATGAAGAAACAAAGTAAAAGAGTGAACAGAATGGAATGACATTTAGACCTACTTGAATTAGTTTGAAAGATTTTAGGGTTTTTTATGAGGATGAACAGGAAGGAAAGAGAAATAAATTTATGGTAAGGAAAATGACAAACTAAAAAAGATTCTGAAACAGGAATTAGCAGATAATATACAGGAAAAGGAAAGCAGACATAATTGACTAGAGCAGAAGCCTCTCCAGAAATCAGAAGTTTTCTTAAAGCAGAGAAGGACCAGACCACTGCAATGGATGAATTGAAGGGAGCATATTCTTTTTGTTTGAGGGGTATCCTGGAAACCTTACTTATTATTGTGTCCCTGGAGAGATTACCATGAAATCTAACCAGATTTTTTTTCAAATGAATTTTTGGAAGTAGGCCCTTTTTAAATTAGGACCTGCCTGGCAGGTGATATGGTGAAGGGAAATAGCTCTGTGTGATGGTCAAACCACTGACATGTAATTTCTCAAACAGCAATTCTATGAAAAACCACTGCAGGTGCAAGTTTATTTAAAAGCTGACCACAACACAGGTGCAATTCTCCTCATAAACATTTAACCACAGAAGGACTACCCTAAAAGTCTATGTGGAAAGCTGTTCGAGAAAAAGAAGTCAATTTTTTGGTTTGTATTTTTTAATTTTTAGTAAGAATTTGGAATGAAGTTTCTTCTTCATATTTTGAGGGTTTTTTTTTTTAAATTCAGCTTTTGCCTCTGTTTTTTTTTTTGAAATGGAGTCTCACTCTGTCGCCCAGGCTGGAGTGCAGTGGCATGATCTTGGCTCACTGCAACCTCTGTATCCCAGGTTCAAGCAATTCTCCTGCCTCAGCTCCCGAGTATCTGGGATTACAGGCATGCGCCATCATTCCCAGCTAATTTTTGTATTTTTAGTAGAGATGGGGTTTCACCATGTTGGCCAGGCTGGTCTTTAACTCCTGACCCCAAATGAT
Source organism: Homo sapiens (assembly GCF_000001405.40). Classification (NCBI taxonomy): domain Eukaryota; kingdom Metazoa; phylum Chordata; class Mammalia; order Primates; family Hominidae; genus Homo; species Homo sapiens. Next base: position 70,678,098 of record NC_000004.12, on the reverse strand, counting down.
CTGCTTGCCTTGGCCTCCCAAAGTGTTGGGATTACAGGCGTGAGCCACTGCACCCAACTGACCAGCTTTTGCCTCCTGATATCTAAATATAAATTTTACATACACTGTGCTTGGATAGAGATCAATATTTGAAGAAACTCTGCATATAAGAACGAAAATGTTTAGGGTTAAAAAATGGCAGTTAGTATTATCAGACATTTAATGAGGTTGGAAGTCACAAAGATTAGGAAGGAGGGTATCAAAGGGTATCAAAGTTGAGTAAAAATGCTCTGTTTGACTTTTAATCATTCAATGCTTATATAATATCAGAAAAAATCATTCAGTGTATATCTCTGCAAAAATAGCTAAATATATATATATTTTTTTGAGACAGAGTCTTGCTTTGTTGCCAAGGCTGGAGTGCAGCGGTGTGATCTTGGGTCACTGCAGCCTCCTCCTGGGTTCAAGTGATTCTCCTGCCTCAGCCTCCCAAGTAGCTGGGACTACAGATGTACTTCACCACACCCAGCTAATTTTTGTATTTTTAGTAGAGCTGGGGTTTTACTACGTTGGCTGGGCTGGTCTCAAACTTCTGACCTCAGGTGATTCATCAACCTCAGCCTCCTGAAGTTCTGGGATTACAGGCATGAGCCACCGTGTTCAGCCAGCTAAAGCATTTTTGTTAGACAAAATCATTTTTGATTATTTCACTTATTTAAATTACAGATTTCTAAGTTTTGTATCATTTCACAAGGTATACATAATCAAAACATCACATTGTGAAATGATTCAGTCTAATCTTTCAATTCCCCCACCCCCAAAAAATGCCAATTAGAAGAAATTTCTCCATATAGATGTGAAAAAATAGTATTAATGGCTCTTGGTATTGTGAGAGGTAAAATGGACTGTAAGTTAAGAGGCTTAGGCTCTCTACCTTTAGCTTTAGAATGACTAAGATTGATTCTGAAGTTCAAAATAGATTCTAAGCTTGTACAATTGAAATGGGGGAAAAGGCCAGGAATGGTGGCTCACGCCTGTAATCCCAGCACTTTGGGAGGCCAAGGTGGGTAGATCACTTGAGGTCAGGAGTTTGAGATGAGCCTGGCCAACATGGTGAAACCCCACCTCTACTGAAAAAGACGAAAATTAGCCAGGTGTGGTGGTTTATGCCTGTAGTTCCAGCTCCTGAGGAGGCTGAGGCAGGATAATCGCTTGAACCCAGGAAGCGGAGGTTGCGGTAAGCCGAGATCATGTCACTGCACTCCATCCTGGGTGACAGAGAGAGACTCCATCTAAAAAAAAAAAAAATGGGGGAAAAAAGTTAATCCTATAAAGTGCATGGTGTTGTTATCTACTATGATTCTCCCCCTCACTCTGCTGCAGCTACAAGTGCCTTCCTTCCTGCTCCTCATCCTGTGTGGGCCAAGCTCTTTCTTATTTTGTGCTTTTTACTTGTTGTTTCCTTTCTTGGAATAGTGTTTGCCTGACTCTAGGTTAGGCAGAATAATGTCCCTCCCAAACATTGCAAATATAGTTGCAATTGCTTCTGTACTCCTTAATATTATTAAACATATTTTAAAACTTTTATTGATAATTATTCCAGATAAGTCATGTGTGCTCTTGTGGATTTGGACACAGAGTGCCCTATAGGAGTTTTAGGAAGTTCAGAGCAACCCAGCAAGGATCTTGGTAGGAGGACCGATTGTCAGATCAAGGGCTATACCTCAGTTTTGTCATAGTAAAACAACCAGGCTGGGCGCGGTGGCTCTCATCTGTAATCCCAGCACTTTGGGAGGCTGAGGCCGGTGGATCACTTGAGGTCAGGAGTTCAAGATCAGCCTGGCCAACATGGTAAAACCCCGTCTCTACTAAAAATACAAAAATTAGCCAGGCGTGGCGGTGCATGTCTGTAGTCCCAGCTACTCGGGGGGCTGAGGCACAAGAATTGCCTGAACCTGGGAGACGGAGGTTGCAGTGAGCCAAGGTTGCGCCACTGCACTCCAGTCTGGGCAGCAGAATGAGACTCCATCTCAAAAAAAAAAAAAACAAAAAACACACAACACAAAAAACATCTTCCTCTTTATCCTTTGTTAGTAATTTTATGCTTGACTGATTTGTGAAATTCTGGGATATTTGGGGACTTTTAGTTTTGTAGTATTAAGTTAATAGCAGTTATATATTCATGATAAGTATATATACACACACATATAATGAATTTTCCACTTTGTTGGAGTGGAGATGGTTTTTGATGGAGTGGAGATGGTTTTTGCTGTTAGCTTCTCTTGGCAGCAGATCTTTCGTTCAGTGCTAATAGAATCTTCCTTCAGTTTATTTCTCTGGATTGATTCAAAAGTTACTTTTGTATTGTCTAGTGTCTCAAACGTATAGAAGTTAGAGAGATGGTATACACGGAGAAGAGTTAAAGGCTGTGCTTTCAATGGCCATTTGACATATTTTAGAATCTATGTTTTAGGGAAATAAATATCTTACTTTCCTCTCTGTATTCCTTGCAAGTGTGTCATTTAATTCTGGGTTTCTGGGATTGTTATATATACCTGGTTGTAAAAGTAGTCATGGAGTTCCTCTGTAATAGACTTTGTAAATTTGTCAGATATAAAATGCTTATCTCGAGTATACATTTTACAGTATTCTTTTAAAATTATTTCTTTTTATGTCCTCTGAAATAAATAGATTCTGGAATATATTCATGAGAGTGCTAAGGAAATGAAAGACGATACTTTTTAGGGAGATCCAGGACTGATGATGCTCTTTCAATTCACTTACCACTTATAATAATACTGAAGATTCTGTCAGATATATTTAGGGTATCACACACACAAAAAGGATTTCTTTTTTCTAGCACATTTGGGAACACTGATAAGTTATTTCTAAATCTAAAAGATTTTTGGGTTACTTGGAATTTACAGGTTGACATTTAATTCAAGGTTTCTTGTAGACTTCATATTTTCCCTCCTAATTTTTAGAGCTGATTAAGCAGTACTATTTATTAGTAAAATTTGTTTTCCATATAAAGTTCAAGGACAAATGGGAAATGTGAATTATTACACTAAATGTAGAAATTAATCCATTAAAAGGAAAATCAAGAGATTTCAGCTGCATTTTGGATTTAAGGCCAAGAAGCCTGTTAAAAAATATCATCGTCCCTTTTAAGAGTTCAAGTGGCAAAATGCCAGGCTGCTATCAAGACTCCTTTTATATTAGGGAAGGCTTTCAAGGGGAGAAATGAGATGACATTAAAATAGAGAATAAAGGAGAGATTGGCCTTTTATGATAAGTATTCATGTTACCTTATGGATAAAACCCAGACTTTGAGTCTGTGTGATAGTATGGATTATGAGTTAACTTGAGATGAACTACTGCACCCAAAATGTGCTTATTAATGGACTGATATTGATAGAGATAGGACTTTAGATGTATGCTGCAAAAGTCTATCTTAAGCACTATCCCATTAAACATTTTTCTTAATGACTTCAGTAAGGATCCGATGGCATGTGTCAAGTTTGCAGATACTGTAAAGCTGAGAGAAAGAACTAATGTGCAAGGTTTCTGAATCTGGATTTAAAAAGAATCTGAGACATTGTAATGTTGGTCTGAGTTTAGCAAGATAAAACTTAGGGACCAATGCTAAATCTCATGCCCAAATCCTAACTTGTTTAAATTTTAAATATGGGAAAGTCATTACTTTATAGAAACATATTTTTAAAAATGAGATTGTACACTTTAATTGAAGCCAATAGTGTAACATAGCTGCCAAAAAAGAGATATTATCATCTTAAGTGGGATTTATTGAAAAATGTTAAGTTCAGCTGTTGTTTGTACTGTCCAGATTACACTTGACTATTGAATATGTATCTAGATACTACTCTTTAAATAGGACATTGACAATATGGAGCCTATCCACAAAAGAGACTAATATTGTTAGAAGACATAAACTTAGAGGCAGTTTTCAACTCCTTGTAAAAACGTTCTCCATTCATCCTTCATTCAATCAATATACTTGAGGCAATCCTGCGCTTGTTCTTGGAAACAGAAGTAAGCAACAAGACAATGCCGCTCTTAAGGAGCTTTTATTTTAATGAGGAGGAGACAGTTACGACTAAGTAAACTAAAGAATTTCAAACAATAATAAAAACTATGAAGAAAATAAAACAGGGCAATATGATAATGATTGGTAATTGGTTAGGAAGATTATCAGCCAGAAAATTTCTCTCTGAGGCAATGACATTGGAATTGAGACTTGGTGGTAAGGGGCCAGCCATGCAAGGCTATGGAAAGTGTTGCAGGCAGAGGGACTAAGACAATACGAAAGCCTTGAGCAGAGTAGCTGGAGAGAGATGAGTGGAAGGGGGAGTTGCAGGAAATCAGGAAGGCTAATGACTCTGAATTTATTCTAAGTGTAATGAGAAGCCACTGGAGGGTTTTAAATCAGATATGATCTGATTTACCTTTGAAAAGATCACTTTTCATGGTAAGTGGACAATGAATTGTGGCAGGTAAGACTAGAGAAGAGTTTGGAACAGTGAACAGTTTAATGAGTTATAACATGAAACCATATTTTCGTCCAATTATTGCCTCTCAATTACTATAATTGAATTTTTCTTTGCCTTTTTGACAATGTTTTAAGAAGATTCCGTAATTTAAAAATATTTTTTCATTATTAAAAAATCTAGTTTATTTGCTGTGATTGTAAAAGTGCCATAAATAGTAAAGCTCATTTTTTAAAAGTCTAGTTCAGTCTAAAAGCTTGTATCTCAAACTCACTCTTAATTTCAAGTCTCCAATGCTAAACAAGATGGAATAACGGTGCAGATTTTCCCTGCCATTTGAACCAACTAGAAAAAACTGACAAAATTTAAGAAACACTGGTTTTCTTTTTATTATTATTATTATTATTATACTTTAAGTTCCAGGGTACATGTGCACAACATGCAGGTTTGTTACATATGTATACATGTGCCATGTTGGTGTGCTGCACCCATTAACTCATCATTTACATTAGGTATATCTCCTAATGCTATCCCTCCCCACTCCCCCCACCCCATGACAGGCCCTGGTGTGTGATATTCCCCATCCTGTGTCCAAGTGTTCTCATTGTTCAATTCCCACCTGTGAGTGAGAACATGCGGAAGAAACACTGGTTTTCAAGACATTAGGCAATGCAGGACAGTGATTTCGGAGAGACTGGAAACAAATAAGGAGACCATTGCCCCATGTTGCCTTGGAGAGAGTTCCCAGGCCATGGCTTCACTGGAGGAATTCTGCCAAACATTTAAGGAAAAATAATACTAATTCTACACAGACTCCTCCAGAAAATTGGAGAGGGGGAAATACTTCTAAACTCATCTTTTCAGGACAGCATTATTGTAGTAACAAAACCATGCAAAGACATTACAAGAAAAGAACATTTTAAATCAATTATCCCTCATGAATATAAAAGCAGAAATTCTAAGCAAAATTTTGGTAAATAAAATTCAAAATTTATGAAAAGGATGTTATATCATAACTAAGTGGGGTTTATTCTAGGAATGTAAGGTTAGTTTAACATTTAAAAATAAATGTAATTCACCATATTAAACAAAAAAAGGAAAACCATATGGTTATCTCAATAGACAGAGAAAAAATATTTGACAAATATTCAATGTTCACTTCTGATAAAAACTCACAGCAAACCAGGAAGAGAAGGGAACTTCCTCAACTTGGTAAAGGGCACCCAAGAAAAACCTAACATCATACTTAAAAAACTGAATTCTGAAGATGTGAACTTTTTAATAGCTTTACTGAGATGTAACTGACATACAGTGCACTGCACACATTTGAACTGTACAATTTGATCAATTTTGACATGTGTGTACACCTGTGAATTCATTATCACCACTAAGATAATGAACATATTCATCATCTCCAAAAGCTTCCTTATGTCCTTTTATAGACTTATAGTCCCGCCTTCCCTTCTCTCTGTCCCCACCTTCCCAGATAATCACTGATCTGCTGTCACTATGCATTTGTTTGAATTTTCTAGAAAAAAATATAAATATATCCAAATATAGAATCATACACTATGTACTTCTTCTTTTTTTTTTTTTTTTTTTTTTTTTGAGACAGAGTCTTGTTCTGTCGCCCAGGCTGGAGTGCAATGGCGCGACCTCGCTCACTGCAAACTCTGCCTCCCGGGTTCAAGCGATTCTCCTGCCTCCGCCTCCTATGTAGCTGGGATTACAGGCACCCACCACCACACCCGGCTAATTTTTGTATTTTTAGTAGAGACAAGGTTTCACCATGTTGGTCAAGCTGGTCTTGAACTCCTGACCTTGCGTTCTGCCCAGTTTGGCCTCCCAAAGTGCTGGGATTACAGGAGTGAGCCACTGTGCCCAGCCTGTACTTTCTTAAAAAAATTTTTATCTGGCTTCTTTCCCTCAGAATAATTATTTTGAGATTCATCCATATTGTGTCTATTAATAGCTTATTCATTTTTATTATTGAGTAATGGATATACCACAATTTGTTTATCCAATTTGTTTTTGGACATTTAGACTGCTTCCAGCTTTAGGCTATTACAAATAAAGCTAACATATCTTCCAAGTGAACTTCCTCCTCACCCATCCTAAGTTGGAAACTTTGGACATTTTCATTTATACTTTATATAGCATGATCATGTATCATTTTTGATATTCCTGCACATCCACAACCCAAGGGGCCATGTCAGGTTCTCCCAGGAATGCTTTCCCCAAACTTCATTGCAGTTGGTAGCTGCATTTTCTGCAACTCCACAAGGAGTTAAGACATAATGATGACGACGATGATAATAATAAGTAACTAGTACTTACATAACACTTATTGTGTGCCAAGATCTAACTTCTTCACATGATGTAATAGATGTAATAAATATTAACCTGACAACAATCCTGTGAAGCATATATTGTTATTTCCCCCTTTTACAGATAGAGGAAATTAAGAGAGATTAAGTGATTTGTTCAAGGTTTGTCCAGTGTTACCTAGCTAGAGAGTGGTGGAATTGGGGGATAAACCCAATCAGTCAGGTTCAGAGCCCTTTCTCTTAACTATTATGCTATATTGCTTCTCAATCTCCCCTGCTTTTAGGGTCCCTGATCTCTTGGGTGATTTTCTTGAAACTCTCCCTCACTTGAATCTGGGGAGAGGAAGGTGCCCCACCTTTACTCTCTACTCTCCCAAGGGTGAAGCGAGGTGGGATATGTGTGTGGGAGTCTCTTATTACAAACACTATGATTTCAACAAGGTAACAGCTGCTCTTATAACATCCCCCCTCTTCCCTCCCTAGTCTTCTAAAGATGAGATGGGAGTGTATGGGAGCGGTGGAGTGGTGGTTGATGGAAGTAGATTGAGTTTTGTTGCCTCTTTTTAGAAAAAAATTGTATGTGTACATAATAGTTATACATTGAAAACTACTGTTATCTTCCTTAGCCTTGCCTTCAATTCCTGGCCTCAAGCGATCCTCCTGCCTTAGCCTCCTGAGTAGCTGGGACTACAGGCATGCACCACTGTGTCTGGCTTCGTTGCCTCTTAACAAACCTTGGAGGAAATATTTGGCTTGCTTTAGATTTGTGGTACTTAGTCATTCTTGTTTATGATCTGTGTGCCTTAGTCACCAATGCTGAGGGAAAGGAAAAGTTACTTTTTAATTATAGAAGCTATTATGGTAGTCCAGGAAAGAGGATGGAGGCTTGGACTAGGTTGGTAGTGAAAACGGAGAGAATCAGATGAATTTGGGATATGTTTTGGAGAGAAAGCCGACAGGTCATGCTGGTAAATTGGATGTAGGGGAGAGGAAAAGAAAGGAAGCAAAGAAGAGGATTTTGGCTTGAGTAACTGATGGAGGTGTCATTTACTGAGATGGGGGAAAACTTGAGACAGAAAGAGATTGGTATGTGAGTGTGAGGATGGATTGGTCATCAAGAATACCGTTTTACCTGGTTAAGTTTAGATACCCATTTAGATAGCTACATGGAGATATAAAATAAAAAGTTGGACATAGGCATTCAGAACTCAATGGGCAAGGTAAAAGTTAAAGTTATACATTTGAGAGTCCTCAGTGTGCCCTATGTTTAAAGGCATGGAATAAGGTAAAATTAATTAAGGAGAGGCTAAGAGAATAGAAAAGATGAGGATTAAGCCTTGATGTCCTCAATATTCAGAGGAAAATTTGGCAAGAGACCCAGAAGGAGTCACCAGTGAGACAGGAGGAAAACAGGGAGTTACATTCTCTGTGTCCCATGAGAATAAAATCTTGTCACAATTTGAATATCCCAAAATATAATGAGTTGTGTCCACAGGGAGTGGAGCATCCAACTATTTCGGATGATTTTCAACTAAATGCTGAATTCGGTTATATAGAATATTGAAAAAAAATTGAGAGTCATGAAGGTGAGACTAAATTACCTTTAAGATCTCTTTCATCTAGCTGAGTCTATCACTGAATCTCTTACTACACAAATCTTAAATGTGAGTATAGAAAAATAAGCCTCTTTTTTTGCTGAGAATTTAGAACACATGGCTAAGTTCTCAATCACTTAACACACATGTAAAGGGTTCTACTATTCACATTTGACATTTTTTTAGTGGCAAAAACATAACTAAAACTGGCAAAGAAGTGGTTTAAAAATTAAACTGGAACTTGTATTTGTATATAGTAGGTTAATGATAAAAAGAATATGCAACAGCTTACCTATAGTGAATTATAAGCAAATACAAACTTCAGCTAACTTTTCAGTATGGCTATTTATTTAAAAATTACCTTTATTAATCTTTTGTTCTTCCATAAATAGTTATTGCTGCTAGTTATTCTGCACTCCCTTACTTCCTGCCCTAGGCCAGTCTTTTTTTCCATTAGTTTTCAAACTTCAGTGCACATCAGAATCAACTGGGATGCTTTTTGAAAATACATATTCCAAGGTCACATCTCCAGAAATTCTGAGTGTTACCAAGAAATCCATATTTTAACCAGTACTACAAGTGGTTCTAGTCAGATGATCCCTAGAGCACACAAGGCAAAACACTAGTCCAGATCCTATGTTGCCAGCATAGGTAATTCTCTTCTAATGACAAATGTGTCACACTTTATTTTTATTAACGCAATTTATTTTAGATTTATAGTTTACATAATCGAAATATAAAAATGCAAGATTGGCCAGGCGCAGTGGCTCACGCCTGTAATCCCAGTACTTTGGGAGGCCGAGGCAGGCAGATTACCTGAGGTTAGGAGTTCCAGACCAGCGTGAACAACATGGAGAAACCCCGTCTCTACTAAAGATACAATACTAGCTGGGCATGGTGGCACATGCCTATAATCCCAGCTATTCAGGAGGCTGAGACAGGAGAATTGCTTGAACCTGGGAGGTGGAGGTTGCAGTGAGCCGAGATGGCACCATTGCACTCCAGCCTGGGCAACAAGAGCAAAACTCCATCTCAAAAAAAAAAAAAAAAGCAAGATTGGAAGAATGAAAATATCAAATATAGAGCTTTTCTTTAGGTTAGTAATTATGAGTTAAATAATCTTTGCTGTTATAAAAAAGGAAACTTTTGGAGAAGTTTTAATTTGTTCCCAAGGATTTACTCAACTTGCTTTGGGAAGGCAGTCTAGCCTTGAGTTTATTTTTCAAGAATTAAAAAGGTATCCAGCTGACTATTAATTACTATTTTTTTTTGAGTGATTGAATAAGTCAGTTATTTAGAAACTTCAGTTGGGGGTGAGGATCTTTTAGAGTGGTTGATAGTTGTTTTGACCTCCTGACCACAAACTAAAATAATGTGCTTTCAGGTCTGTTTCTTTTTTTAATAAACTGTCCATGTGATGCCAGTATATTTTCCCTAAACTCAAGTAGTTGCTAAGTCCTACTGATAGTAGAAATTAAAATAGGAATAAACTTGGACAGTATAGTAATATTGCGTATGACAGTGCCTGACACTTTGTTCTTACAGACTTTCAATACATACTCTGAAGAAGTGCAATCATGTGCTAGCCTTTAATGTCTCTTTCATCCTGTCATTTCGTATTTCTAGCTTTGAAGTCTGCTTGCCTTACTTATGATTCTGAAGTACTCCTAATTACCTCTTAAAATTCTAGGAGTCCCTTCAAAAATTAGAGCTGAGAACCAGAAGTAACACGGATTTGATGCTGTTGTGTAACCAGCATATTCTTGGAACCAACCTTGCCTAAGAGACAGGAAATTCCAGCATGTTGGAGTGGGAGTGCAGGGGGTGCTCTGTCCAAAAGCTCAGTTAAAAAAAATGACATTAATTAAGTGAAAAAAATTTTACACAAAATACTGCAGTGATTCAGTTTGCTTTTGAGGCATCTCAAAAATCATCTTATGGGTTTGCAATTCTGAAAGGTGTAACTAGACAGAAGGTCCGTCTTAATGCTATCAAATTAAAATATGGCAACTTATTTATCTGGTATATACCCGCTTCTTTTTTTTTTTTTTTTTTTTTCGAGATAGAGTCTCCCTCTGTCACCCAGGCTAGAGTGCAGTGGTGCCATCTCGGCTTACTGCAGCCTCTTGCATCCAAGATTCAAGCGATTCTCCTGCCCCAGCCTCCCGCATAGCTGGGATTACAGGCCCTCACCATGTCCAGCTCATTTTTGTATTTTTAGTAGAGACGGGGTTTCACCATGTTGGCCAGGCTGGTCTTGAATTCCTGACCCCAAGTGATCCACCTGCCTCGGCCTCCCAGAGTGCAGGGTTTACAGGTGTGAGGCACTGCGCCCAGCCAAGTATCTACCAGCTTCTAATTCCAATTCCATGTTTGAGCTTATAAAATAACTGAAAGTAATCAAAATATATTTTGTAAGATATATACAAAATACAGATTTTGTGAGATATATACAAAATACAGATTTTGTGAGATATATACAAAATACAGATTTTGTGAGATATATACAAAATACAGATTTTGTGAGATATATACAAAATACAGATTTTGTGAGATATATACAAAATACAGATTTTGTGAGATATATACAAAATACAGATTTTGTGAGATATATACAAAATACATATTTTGTGAGATATATACAAAATATATATTTAAATCTGGTAGCTTGGTTAATTAAGGACTAGTATAAAAAATTAACATAAGATACACTTGGGACCTTAAAGGACTTTCATTTCTCTCCCCTTCCTTCATCTCTCCTCCTTCACTTACCTTCATTTATTATTCTAGGCATGACAAGTGTCAGATGTCTGATTTGAAGACTAATATGAATATATCTAGGTAATAAAATGGAAAATCCCTATTTCAACATTCTTAATGGAATCCTTCCTTGAAATTATTATTAGTCTTCTGGTTTAAACATTTATATAGTGTAAATGCAAAATAAAAATGATTGTATCAAATTATGGTTTTTATTTGGATGCTTTGCAAGAAAATACTTAAATGTGAGTCATACATTTTTCCAGTTCAGCATTTAAACTTCAGACTTCAACCACAGTTGTGATTGTTTTTAGTTTGTTAGCTGCCTGGAGTGTTATTTTAAGAAAGCAGAAGCACCATCATTTGCACACTCCTTATAGATCACACACCTTAACCCTGACTTTTTTTGCTCCAGTTTTTCAGAAGAAGTGAAGTCAAGATGAAGAACCATTTGCTTTTCTGGGGAGTCCTGGCGGTTTTTATTAAGGCTGTTCATGTGAAAGGTATGTGATATTTAGAAAATGATCCCAGATCAAAGGAAAAATATAGGACAGATCTGTTTTTCAGTTTTAAACATTTATGCCTATGCTTTGGTTGGCCAGTTAGCCAGCTACTTTTTCCTAACATGCTTTCATCTTTCTATGGCAGTTGTCTTTACATAGATAAGACTCTTTTTATTCTTTTTTCTCTTATCTTACTTACTTGTTTGCCTACTACAAACTAGAGAATAAGAAATTAGCTAACTACAGATAGTCCTGCTTATATGAATGTCCATATTGAATCTTAAAAATCTATAATCCTTCCCTTGAGTCTCTTAAATTAATATTCTGGAGAAATGAAATAATAATTACTGTAAGTACAACATGGAATGCATTGGGATTTTATTTCCCCAAAGAGGCTGGTATTGGTTTTAACAGCTTTCCTGGATCTGATCCCACAGATTTATTATGACCCTTTAACAATGTTTAATGTTATACAGGTTGCCTATAAATTGATGACTGAACTTTTGTTATTTTGTTTACTGATCTTTCAAACAACTTCAGAAAATGGAATACATTCTGAATTTAGAGGTACAGTATTAAATAATTTTCATTTAGAAGGACACACTAAAATTTGTCTGGATTGTTCCTATCACTGAGTCTGTGGTTCTTATTTCAAGATGAATAATGACAGAAATGTGATTAAGAATAGGCCTTATATATATATTTTATACTAATTTAGCATTAAGAATAACTTTCTAATGATTTAAAATATAAAATATTAGTAAAGCATGTACAATGTAAGTATATATACATATCTAAAAATATATGATATATATAATGGGGCTACTTCCCTATAAACCCTATAAAGTTGAAAGTTGAAAATATCATACTTTCAGCTTACAGTGACTTTATAGGGAGGTAGCCCCATTGTAGCTGAGGAGCATACTGAATACATATCACTTTCACAGCATCATAAAGTAGAAAAATCATAAGTAGAACCATGGTAAGTTGGGGACCATCTGTATATAAAACAGCTATCACTTACTGAATATGATATTCTAGGTATCATGCTAATTCCTTTACATATAATATTCCATTTAATTCTCTCAGTAACCATATGAGAATAAATACTATTATTACTTCTGACATACAGTTGAGCCAGTTGAGACTTACAGAGGTGAAGTAACTTACCAAAGTCATACAGCAAGCAAGAGTGTAAGCAGAACCCAGGCAATCTGACCCTATAGCCCGCACTCCTACTATCCTATTCTGCCTTGTGTAAGGCAATCACTTTTTAGTAAACTCATTATGGTCATATCTAGCATATGTTGTTAAATCTATTTTCTTATTTGTTTGAAGTGAATTAAATTTAACAAATATTTATTGAACACCTACTATGTGTCAGATGCTCTTGGAATAAAGTAAGGCACAGTCCCTAATAACAGGTTTGTTAGGAAAAATACTGCCTGTTGGTGAGAGCAAATGCTAGACTCTAAGTCTTGGTGAATTGAAAGTATTTGTAACTTTTCTGACAGCTATGTATTTCTGATAGATATTAGGCTGCCTAATATTTTTCTATATTAACTTCCCAGGTTTCTGGTAAGGAAGTAATCATATGCCGTAATAGAATATAGACATTTTCTATTTAAGACTTAATAGTCAAGTCACTCCTCAACAATCTATATTTTTGGTCAGGCATTATGTGCTCATTTATATTTCATTGAGAAAAAACTTTTAAGAGTCATGGATACACAAGTAGGAAAGAGGACATCATTTAAGTCATTTTACCTCTTTCAGATGTTAATGAGTTATTTCATTACCTTGAATTTACTCCATAATGTTTCTTTCCAATATTACACAGTGTCAGAAGATTCATTAGGAACTTATGAATAATGGTATAATAATGCATTATAAAGTACTTCAAACAATTACAAGTACAATAACAATGGTCTTAAAATGTTTTTGTAGTGGCTCTTATCATTAAGACTGAAATACTGCATTAGGTCCTCTTTGCTCTGGGAATCGTCTCAGGAATAGACTTCCAGTTAAAATTATAACTATTCTGATCATTTAAACTTTATAACTTGAATTCGTATACTAAATGTTTTTTTTTTAGTTGAGGCTTAATGAGAGGAATTGTTAAAGGTCACTTAGCTAAAATTATATGAATAAAGCATATTTAACATCATTGTTGTAATTATTATTATTATTATTATTTTTTGAGATGGAGTCTCGCTCTGTTGCCCAAGCTGGAGTGGAGTGGTGCAGTCTTGGCTCACTGCAACCTCCACCTCCCAGGTTCAAGAGATTCTTCTGCCTCAGCCTCCCGAGTAGCTGGGATTACAGGTGTGTGCCACCATGCCTGGCTAATTTTTGTATTGTTAGTAGAGATGGAGTTTCACCATATTGGCCAGGCTGGTCTGGAACTCCTGAACTCATGATCCACCCGCCTCGGCCTCCCAAAGTGCTGGGATTACAGGCGTGAGCCACTGCACCCGGCCAACATCATTGTTATTATTAATTAGCACTCTTATTTAATAGCATTACTTATGTAAAGCTATTATTGAATTTTTAAAATCTGGTAATTTGCCAGGCGTGGTGGCTCACGCCCATAATCCCAGCACTTTGGGAGGCCGAGGAGGGTGGATCACCTGAGGTCAGGAGTTCGAGACCAGCCTAACCAACATGGTGAAACTCGGTCTCTACTAAAAATACAAAAATTAGCTGGGCATGGTGGCACATGCCTGTAATCCCAGCTACTTGGGAGGTTGAGGCAGGAGAATCACTTGAACCCGGGAGGTGGAGGTTGCAGTGAGCTGAGATCACGCCATTGCACTCCAGCCTGGGCAAGAGTGAAACTCTGTCTCAAAAAATAAAATTAAAATAAAATCTGTTAATTGATCCAAACCCAGATGATACAAAATTTCCTTTGTTTATTCCTTGCAATACTTATCAAGGTCAGGTGCGGTGGCTCTGTAATCCCAGCACTTTGGGAGGCTCGAGGCAGGTGGATCACTTGAGGTCAGGAGTTTAAGACCAGCCTGGGCAACATGGTGAAACTCCATCTCTGCTAAAAAAAAATACAAAGATCTAGCCAGGTGTGATGGTGCACACCTGTAGTCCCAGCTACTTGGGAGGCTGAGGGAGGAAAATCACTTGAACCCAGGAGGCAGAGGTTGCAGTGAGCTGAGATCGTGCCACTGCACTCCAGCCTGGATGACAGAGTGAGACATTCTGGCAAATAAACAAACAACTTATCAGACCTCTTTGTCTAATATTCAGATTAGACAATAAATGTTGACATTCAAAGTTAAGGCTTTAATGGTCATATGTGTATTTATTCATTTATTCATTTTTTTTTCTGTATACAGGCATATTCAATTGAGATTGTACCTCATAATATTTCTAAATTGCTTTTGCAAATTTACAGCACTTTATATCTATATATACTCTATCTTTTAAAATAATTCTTTTTTTCCTTTTTTTTTTGAGATGAAGTCTCACTCTGTTGCCCAAGCTGGAGTGCAGTGGCACGATCTTGGCTCACTGCAACCTCCACCTCCCAGGTTCAAGTGATTCTCCTGCCTCAGACTCTTGAGTAGCTGGGACTACAGGCATGCACCACCATGCCCGGCTAATTTTTGTGTTTTTAGTAGAGATGGGGTTTCACTATGTTGGCCAGGCCGGTCTTGAACTCCTGACCCTGTGATCTGCCCGCCTCGGCCTCCCAAAGTCCTGGGATTACAGGCATGAGCCACTGCGCCCTGCTTAAAATAATTCTTATAAGAAATATAGCCTTTTTTTAAATTGAATCATGTACTATGATAATCTGATTGTTATTATGAAAAGGCAGATAATTGTGGTAGAGAATATTTAAAAGTCTTACAAAATAAGGTTATCTTGGATGAAAACATGCCTGTTCTTAACTATAATACAATTTATACAAAAAAAATTTAAGTACAAATGAGAGTTTAGGAAGGATGCGAAAATCAGAATTCTTTCAACCCAGATTCCCATAGACTGGTTCAAGAAAAAAGTGAAAATCCCTTTTAGAGTACCTTTGGATTTCCTTTACTGTGATGTAAGATTCTGCTTAGAGAACAAATGGAGAAAGCTGAGACAAACCAACCATAAAACTATTTTTCTGCAGGCAAGAAAGATAAAATAACTCAATACAAAATATATAAATTGACCTTTGTTTTCCTTTCTTTTTAATACGTTTACCTTTCAAGCCCAAGAAGATGAAAGGATTGTTCTTGTTGACAACAAATGTAAGTGTGCCCGGATTACTTCCAGGATCATCCGTTCTTCCGAAGATCCTAATGAGGACATTGTGGAGAGAAACATCCGAATTATGTATGTGGCATTCCATATTCCTTTTTTTCCTGTTCTAAGCAGAGATACTTTCTGACACTGAGCATTGTTTGAATGTAACACCTGCCTCTTTACTCCCCTTTTTGCTGTGTAGCACTTTACATGAGTAAAGAATTGAGTCTTATGAATGAGCTTGAGGCAATTTTATTGAAATTAGGGGTAAGAATGAAAGATTACAGCCAATCTAAAATCAGTGGGCTACATCAAATTATAAACAAAGGTTGTAATCTAGTCATCAACATGCACTGTTTATATGGAGTTATTTCTATTCATTTATTTTTGTTTGCTTGTTTTTGAGACAGGGTCTCACTCTGTCACCCAGGCTAGAGTGCAGTGGCAAGATTACTGCTTACTGCAGCCTCGAACTCCCAGGCTCAAGTGATCCTCCTCAGTAGATGGGACTACAGGCATGCACCACCCCACACCTGGATAATTTTTTATTTTTCTTTAGAGACAGGGTCTCACTATGTTGCCCAGGCTGTTCTCGAACTTCTGAGCTCAAGCGATCCTCCTGCCTTGGCCTCCCAGAGTGCTAGGATTACAGGCCTGAACCACCACGCCTGGCCAAGTTATTTCAATTTGAATCAGAACTTTCAGTTGCCTTTGATCAGTTCAAACTGAAACTTCAGATAACACTAAAGCCTTATTTTGTACCATATATAGATAACTGAGTCTTTTATACTGTAACCAGATGTCTGCATCGAGATAAGGCAGACTGATCACATTAATTTGATTTGATCTCACTTTTAGATTGGATTTCAGATATTCATTTCATTTCACACACAGTCCAGAGTTATATGCTATACAGCTCTTTTTCAATAGCAAGAATGCTAATACTATTTGAGAAATTAGATTTCTATTGGATCCAATCAGTTATAAGTTTTCCTTGTAAACCACTCCTACCTTAATAGTTTTTCCCCAATCAAATCTCCTATAGAAAGAGAACAGAGCATTCCATTCCATTCAATCAATGGAAAAAGTATAATGTGTTTAAGAATTTTGTTTTAAGTTCTGTCTGGGACACTTAATAGTTGTGTGTTTTTGTATGCAAGTTACTAATCTACTTTGAACTTCAACTTTTTCATCTTTAAATGAGGAAAAAAATCATGCTTAACTCATAGGATTATTGTAAAAATAAATAGAGAATATTCCTTTTAGAGCTTATATATTTCTGGGACATATTAAAAAATATTTACTATTATTTATTCACCTAATCTATGTGCCAATTATTGTCACCATCCTGCTTAAAAGTCTTGTGATGGTTTCCCCAACATTGACCTTAGGATATATTACAAATGCCTTGGCCTGATCTACAAAGCTTAGCATAACTCTCAAGATCATCCATTGCCACTTTTCTTTTACTTCATGTTTAAAAATTCAGCACTACTGGGGCTGGGCACGGTGGCTCATGCCTGTAATGCCAGCACTTTGGGAGGCCGAGGCGGGTGGATCACCTGAGGTTAGGAGTTTGAGACGAGCCTGGCCAACATGGTGAAACCCCGTCTCTACTAAAAATACAAAAATTATCCGGGCGTGGTGGCAGGTGCCTGTAATCCCAGCTACTCGGGAGGCTGAAGCAGGAGAATCACTTGAACCCGGAAGGCGGAGGTTGCAGTCAGCCAAGATCATGCCATTGCTGCACTCCAGCCTGGGGGACAAGAGCGAGACTTTCTCAAAAAAAAAAAAAAAAAAAAATTCAGCACTGCTGTAGTGTCTCTATTTCCCCACATTCACAGTGCTTTTACATCTGCTAGTTCCTCTGTTTGAAGAACTCTGTCCCACCCCTCTTAGCCTAGTTAACTCCTTCTCAATGTGCATGTCTTAGTTCAGCCATCACTTCCTCTAGGAGGTTTTCTTTGACCACTCAGATCCTGCCCACATAGCTTCGTGTTAGGGATAGAATAGCTGGAGTAGTGGGTAATTGGAAAGAATGGCATACATGACACTGGCACTTAAGCCATGTTGAAGAGTGTCTATCTTACGTTTAAACCTCCAGGAGATTTTTAAAATCTCCTCCATGATCTTCTAATTCATCTTTTTATTTTATGAAATGATTCTTTTTATATTACATTGTTTACTGAAATCAGATAATTCAGATATTTCATGACACTTTGCCTGATGTGTTGATCTTCTGTTCTGATTTCTGAAAGTATATTGCCATTGCTGTGCCATTATGGTATTATTATTATTATTCTTATCATTATTTTGAGATGGAGTCTCCCTCTGTCACCCGGGTTGGAATGCAGTGGTGCGATCTTGGCTTACTGCAACCTCTGCCTCCTGGGTTCAAACAATTCTCCTGCCTCAGCCTCCCCGAGTAGCTGGGACTACAGGCACGCACCACCATGCCCAGCTAGTTTTTTTTTGTATTTTTAGTAGAGATGAGGTTTCACCATGTTGGCCAGGCTAGTCTCGAACACTTGACCTCAGGTGATCTGCCCACCTTGGCCTCCCAAAGTGCTGAGACTGCAGGCATGAGCCACCGTGCCTGGCTTTTTTTTTTTTTTTTTTTTTTTTTTTTTTTGAGACAGAGTCTCACTCTGTTGCCCAGGCTGGAGTGCAGTAGCATGATCTTGGCTCACTGCAACCTCTGCCTCCCAGGTTCAAGCAATTCTTCTGCCTCAGTCTCCCTAGTAGCTGGAACTACATATGCACTCCTCATCGCCTGGCTAATTTTTGTATTTTTAGTAGAGACAAGGTTTCATCATGTTGGCCAAGCTGGGCTTGAACTCCTGACCTCAAGCAATCCACCTGCCTCAGCCTCCCAAAGTGCTGGGATTACAGGCGTGAGCCACCATGCCGAGCCTGCCATTATGGTATTATTCCCAACTCCATTACTTACTAAAATGATGTGACTTTGGGCAAGTTACTTAACTAGCCTTTTTCCTAAACTTTAAAAAAAGGGATAATTATGCATGTATGAATTTATACACATATACTTTATAGGGTTGTGAGGATTAAATACAATAATTCATAAAAGAACAGTGTTTGGCTTATAGTAGCCTCTCCTTTTTCTGATATTACTAGAGTCTTTACAGTCTTATTAAGAATAGTTTCATTCATTCATTCAACGAATGTTTATTTAGTAACTGCCAAATATTAAGGGTTGGTGGTGGGGATAAAACAGTTTATTTAAAATATAGTCCATTTCTTAAAAGAATTTATAGTCTAACAGGAAACCGTAAACAATTAAAACGGCAATTACAATTCTGTATTGTAAGTGCTATGATAGGAATGGGCATGGGTTGTTATAGGAGTACTGAGGAGGGGCACCCAGTCCAATCCTGGGGGAGAGGAGAAGGGTGGCAGTGGGAGGCAGGAAAGGGTGCTTGGAATAAGTGGTGGGATGGATGATGGCTGTTAGCTCAATAGGAGTTTGCTGGCTAAATGTGTGTGGGGAGTGAGAGAATTAATAGGTGGGGCAGGTCATTCCAGGAAAAGGAAACAGGATTGCTGTGACGATTATATGAGATCATCACGTAATATGCTTAGCATAGTACCAGGCACACTGTAACCAGTATTATATGTTAGAACTGTTATTGTTAAGATGGGAGATGAGAAAAGCATGGTACGTTTGTGGAATTGCAAGTGATTGTTTACAGCTGGCATGCATTGTAGATGGTGACATTGTGAGAGATGAAGCTGGAGAGTTAGGGGCATATTAGGATACGTGCCTTCTATGCTATTTGAGGATACCCTGTTATCTGTGGAGAGACACTAGAGGTTTTAAGCAGAGAAGGAAATTAAGCTTGCATTTTTAGAAAGGATGTTTGGCAATAATGTGGCCAGTGGTTTGAAGGGGTCAAGACAAAAGGAAGACATTGTTACAATCTAGGAGAGGATAGTGGTGTCCTGAATTAAGGCAGTAATAATGAGAAGAGAGGCAAGTGGATGGATTTCACACATGAAAATAATTAGAATCAACTGGACTGTGAGATTGATTAGATATGTGACAGGGGAGGATTCAGGTATGATAGCCAGGTTTTTGGCTTGGATGGTATTTATAAATACTGAGTTAGGAAACACAAGGTTTTTGTTGTTCCTTTTGGTAGGGAGGGCTGCACATGAGAAGGAATGATGACTTAGATGAAAAAAATGTTAAAGTTAATGAAATCACCTGAACTCGTTGACAATCATCTAATTTTTCATGGGACATCACGATGAAAAAGTTCCAGCTTTGCTACTTAATTGTTGTGTGAACTTGGGTGGATCACTAACCTCTCCTATTTATGATTTCCTCTCCTCTAAAATCTGGATAATAATATCTGTCTGTCCATTTCACATATATTGAACATATTCCATATGCCACATACCTAGCTAGGCACTGGGAATACATAAATGTTTTTGCCTCAAGGAACTTACATAGCCCAGGGAAGCAACCACTCTGTAGACAAGCAACTATGATACGGCATTTGATATAATAAATATATATGAGCATTAATGAGACTGCAGAGGAAGAAGTTTGTTGAAGGGTGGGGATAACATCAATATAATTATTACAGAGGTAAAACGTGAGTTGAGTTTTAAAGGAAAAGCAAAAATTTGCCAAGTCAGCAAAGATAGTTGACAGCGGAGTTGTTGTGAGGTTTATTTTGAATGAGAAATATTTAAAATATAGCAAGTTACTATAAAAATCTGAGTAACGGTATTACTCTAGAGTGCTTATAGAGTACTAAATACAATAAGTACTGTTCTGATGAAATAGTGGCCGTATACTCATTACCAAAAATAACAATATCTGCATTTCATTGTTTTAACTTTGTTTTCTTTCTTTTCTTTTAGTGTTCCTCTGAACAACAGGGAGAATATCTCTGATCCCACCTCACCATTGAGAACCAGATTTGTGTACCATTTGTCTGACCTGTAAGATATATTTTTTTCCATAGTAATATAGATGTGGAAGTTAATAGCTTTTAATTTTAACCTTGTTAGTAAGAATGTTTTTAAAAATATGTTGGAGTATAAACATTTACAAACATAATCTGAACTTTTGAATACATTAATTCCTATGTTAATTATTAGGTATCATAAATTCATAAAACTTTGTCACAGATAAAATTTAGCTATACATTTTTTCTAAAGAAAAAATCATTGGCATTCATAGAAAGGCCAATTTCTCTTAATAGTTCAATAAGTGGATTTGATCTTATAAAAAGGCAGGTGTTTCTTTGGAAATGACAGACTCCAACATCAATTTTTTTAAAAATTCTCCCTTTCTTGTCACTATAAATAACTTGTTTAGACAGATATACAGTTGGGAATAAGCCTAACACAGTAGAAATTGCTGTATGGTGTAGATAAAACAATCATATTATCATATCATTAATTATATTGCTTACTTTCAACTAATATATATTAAAGATTGGAAAATCCCATAAGCTATTCTGTATTGTAGAGCTGCTTATGTCTGAAAGGAGTCATCCCTTGCTGTCATGTCAGAGCTGCAAGAACTAATTGATTTTGGATTGAAATGTGTAGTCACATTTTGAGACAGCATTTGAGGGGATTGTCTAATACATATATTTGCTTTTCAGCTGTAAAAAATGTGATCCTACAGAAGTGGAGCTGGATAATCAGATAGTTACTGCTACCCAGAGCAATATCTGTGATGAAGACAGTGCTACAGAGACCTGCTACACTTATGACAGAAACAAGTGCTACACAGCTGTGGTCCCACTCGTATATGGTGGTGAGACCAAAATGGTGGAAACAGCCTTAACCCCAGATGCCTGCTATCCTGACTAATTTAAGTCATTGCTGACTGCATAGCTCTTTTTCTTGAGAGGCTCTCCATTTTGATTCAGAAAGTTAGCATATTTATTACCAATGAATTTGAAACCAGGGCTTTTTTTTTTTTTTGGGTGATGTAAAACCAACTCCCTGCCACCAAAATAATTAAAATAGTCACATTGTTATCTTTATTAGGTAATCACTTCTTAATTATATGTTCATACTCTAAGTATCAAAATCTTCCAATTATCATGCTCACCTGAAAGAGGTATGCTCTCTTAGGAATACAGTTTCTAGCATTAAACAAATAAACAAGGGGAGAAAATAAAACTCAAGGACTGAAAATCAGGAGGTGTAATAAAATGTTCCTCGCATTCCCCCCCGCTTTTTTTTTTTTTTTTGACTTTGCCTTGGAGAGCCAGAGCTTCCGCATTTTCTTTACTATTCTTTTTAAAAAAAGTTTCACTGTGTAGAGAACATATATGCATAAACATAGGTCAATTATATGTCTCCATTAGAAAAATAATAATTGGAAAACATGTTCTAGAACTAGTTACAAAAATAATTTAAGGTGAAATCTCTAATATTTATAAAAGTAGCAAAATAAATGCATAATTAAAATATATTTGGACATAACAGACTTGGAAGCAGATGATACAGACTTCTTTTTTTCATAATCAGGTTAGTGTAAGAAATTGCCATTTGAAACAATCCATTTTGTAACTGAACCTTATGAAATATATGTATTTCATGGTACGTATTCTCTAGCACAGTCTGAGCAATTAAATAGATTCATAAGCATATACCTGTGTGAAATAATTTGTTGGAAAAAAGTTTCCTTATGTTAACTTTCTTTACGTAAGTTAACTTGTTATTGATGAATGGTTTGTAAGTATGATGTAATGAAGCATTAATCACAGAACTAATACATGTACATATTTGAGGTGGCTTTGCCATTTTATACCCATAATTAAATAAAAGGGCAAAATCCCCCCTGATAAATACCATGTTTATCATGGCACATAAAACTTTATGGCAGAAAGCCAAGGCCAATTGACATATATATTTAAAGGTACCATGGAAAGTAAATGCTAACTCTGAATTTAAAACAGTGGGAAGATGATTAGTAAGAGTTGGTTTCTTGAAAAGGAATTGTTCTGGTAATAGTCATCTTTAATGACTTCCACGGATTATTCAGTGTTTCTTTAGGGATATGCATAGGACACTGGTGCTTCAGTAGAAACCCCAGTTTTGGTGTATTAAAGATACATCCATTCTTGACTGATCTTTAATCTAGAGTGTGGTTTTAGCCAAGTCTTTGAATCTCATTTAGTCAGTAAACATTTATTAAATATTAACCAAATGCACAGGATTGGTCTGTGGTGGTGAAGTTATGGTGAGCGCCCTTGAGAAAGTCACTATCACTGCTCGCTCCCCAGAACTGTGCCTAGGTGTCATCTTCTCTGTGAGAACCACCCTGACTACTTTTTAAATATCTCAAACCCCATTTCTTTATCTTAGTCTACTTCCCCCCAAGTACTTATCTCCCTCTAGCAGACTAGGTAATTTACTTACGTGTCATGTTTATGGTCTGTCTCCCCTCACTAGAGTGTAATCTCCACGAAGGCACGCACTTTTGCCCATTGATGTTTCCTCACCATCTGGAACAGTGTCTGGCACATGGAAGTACTCAATACATATTTGTTGAATGAATGAACATGAGTGTAGCTTAGTTGAAGAGATAAGACATACACATAAATAATTATTATTTGGCAGAGCCTGCTGAAGGCAAAGAAATAGCTTCCAAAGTGCTATGAGAATTCATGAGAGACTGCTTCTGAAGAGACCGCTTACTTTCTCCTCATCTTTGCCTTAGTTTCTCGGTGTACCCAGTAGAAGAAGTTTTGTAGATCCACATTGCAGATCCTTATAGGAAAGACCCCTATTCCAGCATTATTACCTCATTAAATGCTAGCTGGAAGAAGACTGCAATTCGTAGTCCCACAAGTCTTCCTTCTTTCAGAAGTTCAGTTAAACTCTGATACTACCATACTAGTAACAATTTAGTACTTACTATGTGCTAGGTACCAATGTAAGTGCTTTATATATATTAACTCATTCAATATAAATCTGGAGTAGCTGGTGACTCTTAAATGAGAGTTATTGAGGATAGATTAAAGCCTTTCTTTAAGTTGTATTCAAACATTTGCTGGTATTAGTGGAACATTTAGAGGGGCACACTAAGGAATCAATGTAAGATGTGGTGGCCATGAAAGGAGCCTCTCAGTTCTCTGCAAAGAATGTAATTGACCTATAGTTCTGAGATCCACTGTGTTTGTGCAAGGGACACTAAGACAGGTCAGTTCCCGGGAGACACAGGACTCTTCTGATGGGGCACTGACTTGGGGACTCCTTTTTATCTTTGCTGAAAATTTCTTAGCACTGCACCTCCAGACATTATCTGTCCAATCATCCTTCCTATCCTCTTTGCTCCACATGGGTAAGACCTGCATCAGGATCCGAAGACTCAGCCTTCTTCGGCTCCCTTCCCATTATCCCTCACAGATGTTTTCCTAATAAATCTCTTGCACCCACTAATCTCATCTTGCAATTCTGCAGGGTCCAAATTAACACAATACTGATTATGATCTATCTGATTTAGTGATGATAACGATGATAGCATTCTTCAAGTACCAAATGATTTATCTATGTCATCTCATTTTATCCTTACAATAACTTTTTGGGTATTTCATATTATAAATGAGAAAACCAACTAAGTGGATAATTAGCCATTTGAGTGGTTCACTTATCTAGTAAATGGCAATGAAAAGTCTGAATCACTCTGCTATAGTCTTAACAAACATCAATTGAGGCTCTTAGAGAATCACTATGTCCACTGTAACATTTTCTTAAACCTCATGTGATATTTTGAGGTTAATGTGACCAATTCATTGACCTGTCATAAGTCTATTATAAGTTTTGCACCTTTTGCCCCCCCTTTTTAATTTGAATTAAATGGATGACATTTTAAAAAGACAGGCATAAATAGGTACAATTGGTGAGAAATGTTTTTCTTCTGCATAGTTCTTGACAAGTTAGCCATTTGCTCAGGTAAGCACACTCAGCAGCAGCCAGATGAAAATTATATTAATCAGCAATAAGAATAAAGCCCTTTAATGGGATTTCCAGGTCTTGGCTTTGGGGTAGCAGTATAGTCTAGTGGATAAATCCATGGTCTATATTGAAATACATACTGTAACATTGGCCAAGTTAATTCAAAGATTGCTTCCTCATTTGAAAAATGGGAGCAAAAATAACTACATTGATTTTTATAAAAATAAGGATGCATGCTGTGTCTGCATATCACTTATTACCACTGTGGTAGCAATTAGCAACAATCCATAATTTACAGTTGTTATTATGTGTTAATTTTCTTTGGCTCTTCTCCCTGCCTAAACAACAAATAAGAAAAGAATGTAAATATATGTGAATATATATTGGGTCAGTGATTTTCTGGGTTTTTTTTTTTTTTTTTTTTTTCAGACGGAGTTTTGCTCTCGTTTCCCAGGCTGAAGTGCAATGGTGCAATCTTGGCTTGCCGCAACCTCTGCCTCCTGGGTTCAAACGATTCCCCTGCCTCAGCCTCCCAAGTAGCTGGGATTTCAGGCATGCGCCACAACGCCTGGCTAATTTTTTGTATTTTTAGTAGAAGACTGGGTTTCTCCATGTTGGTCAGGCTGGTCTCAAACTCCCGACCTCAAGTGATCTGCCTGCCTTGGCCTCCCAAAGTGCTGGGATTACAGGCATGAGCCACTGCGCCCGGCAGGATCAGTGATTTTTCAAACTTTAGAGTGTATGAGAATTACCTGGAGGACTCATTAAAGTAGATTGCTGAGCTCCACCTCAGAGATACTGATCAAGTAGCTCAGAGATGCAGCTGGAGACATTGCAGGTCCCACAAATTCCCCAGGTGCTACTGAGGCTGGAAATTACAGGAGAGCCACTACTTTATAATTATAAACCTCCACTTCCATCTAGTGGTTGAGTTACAAAATACAATGAATGTACGTTTTTAACACGCGTTGTTTCATTTAATTCTCCTAACATTGCATAAAACAAGTACTGTTTTCACTTTACAAATGGTAAAACTGAGCTGTGAGGGTGATGAAGTAACCTGCCTAATGTTTTTCAGGTATTTGGAGAACTGATGATTAGCTCCAAGGCTGTCAGACTCCAAAGCCAAAGCTCTCAGTCAGTATGTTATTCTGTCTAAACATCCTTCAAACCATCTTCCTCGGTAATTCCACTTCTGAGGAAATAACCAGAAATACAGACAAAGAGAGATAGAGATATCTATTACAATGTGATTTATAATAGTGAAAATTCATAGGAAACTTTAAGTCCATCATCAAGGGAATGGTAATATAGGTATACTTCAAAATATTTTACATACAACTGAAGTGAAACATCATGTGTTTTAAAATTTATGGAAATTGATATACAAAGTGAAGAGGAAAATGTAGGATTTTGCATAAAGGAGTGACTTTAAGAAAATTCCAGGCTGGATGTGGTGGCTCTCGCCTGTAATCCCAGCACTTTGGGAGGCCGAGGCGGGCGGATCACAAGGTCAGGAGATAGAGATCATCCCGGCTAACACGGTGAAATCCCATCTCTACTAAAAATACAAAAAAATAGCCGGGCGTGATGGCCGGCGCCTGTAGTCCCAGCTACTCGGGAGGCTGAGGCAGGAGAATGGCCAGAACCCCGGAGGCGGAGCTTGCAGTGAGCCGAGATTGTGCCACTGCACTCCAGCCTGGGCGACAGAGAGAGACTCCCTCTCAAAAAAGAAAAAAAAAAAGAAAATTCCCTACACATACATGGGAAAAGACTTGAGGGAAATAGGCCAAAATGTTATTTTTTTGTTTCCTTTTACTTTTTAGTATAGAATGTTCCAAATATTCTACAAAGACTGTATATTTTATAATTAGAAAAGTGTTAATCATTATTAAACTTTTAATATTAGTTAATACATTAATATTAATTTTGGTGAAATTCTAAATATTTATTCATTTGCATAAGATAAAGAGAGTGGTGTTTACTTAGAATCTACTCTGTACTCAGCACAGTGCTATGAGGGCCACATAAGAAGAAGAACTGGGTCTCACTTTTTCAGTTTTCCTATTTCTTCTATAGGCAAAACTAACACAGGAAAAAATTAGCACACAGTATAAGACACAGTTGTGATTAAATATTAAAGATCGGCTGGGCATGGTGGCTTACAACTGTAATCCCAGCACATGGGGAGGTTGAGGTGGGTGGATCACTTGAGGCCAGGAGTTCAAGAACAGCCTGGCCAACATGACGAAACCCCTGCTCTACTAAAAATACAAAAATTAGCTGGGTGTAGTGGCCCACGTCTGTAATCCCAGCTACTCAGGAGGCTGAGGCATGAGAATTGCTTGAACTAGGGAGGCAGAAGTTGCAGTGAGCTAAGATCGCATCACTGCACTCCAGCCTGGGCAACAAAGCAAGACTGTCTCAAATAAATAAATAAATAAATAAATAAATATTAAAGATCATGTACTGTGAGCCTTCAGGGAAGCTGGGTTGTTAGGACTGGGGTAATCTTGGAGGAGATGTTAACTGAATGGGGCCTTTCCTGATGGAGAATAGAACCTTCTAGAACTACACGAGCCAAGCAGTGAAAGAGGAAGAAGCATAACACAAATGTCAGAATAGAGACAGGATCAGCCTGCTCCTGTTTCTCTTTCTGTCTTGAATCTTTCACTTATATGCTTAATTTATACACATCCCCTCAAATTGGTGATAGTTTTTTCATTGGTCAAGACCTTTCTGTTCCTTCCCTGGTGAGTGTGAAGTTGCCACTTATTTAGAGGGAGCAGCCTACCACTTTGCCACCCTTACCACTTTGCCACTTTGTCCACCGATTGGTTGAATCACTACCACCTGGGAGCATGTTAATACCACAGAATGGTGGGCTCTGCTCCAGAGCCTCTGAATCAACATCTGCATTTTAACACAGTTCACAATCATATACACATTAAAACTGGAATAATGCTAGCATGGCATGCAACACTGTCAGAAAACAGCCTGAATCCAGAGGCAGCTGCCAATGTGGTTTAACAGATGAGGAATGGGACTGACAAGGTCTTCTCTGAACAAAATTTTGTTTTCTTTTTCTTTTTCTTTCTTTCTTTTTTTTTTTTTTTTGAAATGGAGTCTCACTCTGTCGCCCAGGCTGGAGTGCAATGGCGTGATCTTGGCTCACTGCAATCTCTGCCTCCCGGGTTCAAGTGATTCTCCTGCCTCAGCCTCCCAAGTAGCTGGGATTACAGGGGCCGGCCACCATACCTGGCTAATTTTTTAGTATTTTTAGTAGAGACGGGGTTTCACCATGTTGGCCAGGCTCGTCTCCAACTCCTGACCTCAGGTGATCCACCCGCCTCGGCCTCCCAAAGTGCTGGGATTACACGAGTGAGCCACTGCACCCAGCTGAGAAAAAAATATTTTTACTGAGTTAAACCACAGCAAATACTGTAATATTTTCTTAAAGCTAATGTGGCATTTTGAGGTTAGTGCGACCAATTCATTAACCTGTCATAAGTCTATTATAATGCTTGCACTTTTTGCCCTCTCTTTTTAATTTGAATTAAATGGGTGACATTTTTAAAAGGCAGGCATAAATAAGTACCATTGGTGAGAAATGTTTTCCTTCTGCGCAGTTCTTGACAAGTTAGCCATTTGCCCAAGTAAGCATACTTAGCATCAGCCAGATAAAGATTATATTAATTAGCAATAAGAGTAAAGCTGGCGGCCGGGTGCGGTGGCTCACGCCTGTAATCCCAGCACTTTGGGAGGCCTAGATGGGTCGATCGCCTGAGGTCGGGAGTTGGAGACCAGCCTGACCAACATGGAGAAACTCTGTCTTTACTAAAAATACAAAATTAGTTGGGTGTGTTGGCCCATGCCTGTAATCCCAGCTACTCGAGAGGCTGAGGCAGGAGAATCCCTTGAACCCGGGAAGCAGAGGTTGCGGTGAGCTGAGATCCCGCCACTGCACTCCAGCCTGGGCATCAAGAGCGAAACTCCGTCTCAAAAACAAAACGAAACAAACAAACAAACAAAAAAGAGTAAAGTCGGCCAGTCGCGGTGGCTCATACCTGTAATCCCAGCACTTTGGGGGGCTGAGGCGGGCGGATCACGTGGTCAAGAGATCGAGACCCTCCTGGCCAACATGGTGAAACCCCCTCTCTACTAAAAATACAAAAATTAGCTGGGTGTGGTGGTGCGTGTAGTCCCAGCTACTTGGGAGGCTGAGGCAGGAGAATCGCCTGAATCCAGGAGGTGGAGGTTGCAATTAGCCCAGATCGTGCCACTGCACTCCAGCCTGTCTCAAAAAAAGAAAAAAAAAAAAAAAAAAGAGAGAGTAAAGCCAACCAAGCACATTCCGCATCAGCCAGATAAAAATTATATTCATCAGCAATAGGAGTAAAGCTTTATATAGTGCAGAAAGGAATGAGATAAGGTTATTTGGGTAAGCTCAGAGGTAATTACTGGTCAAGCTCTGATGAGGCACAGAAACGGAAGTTGCTGGGTGCTCAGGTGGATGAAATGGGGGCATCATGAGAGCACAGGACCTTGCCTGGGATGTGAAGGGATCCTGAGAATAGCTTTATCTATTTCACAATTATATCTTTGTCAAATTACAGATCAGCTTCCTCTTCGCCTCTTCATTTGAAAATTTTTCCTCTGCCAGCATGGAATTTTGCTTGTTACCAGTTGAATCCTATTTCTAAATCTAATTGACTGTAAATTCAAAGCAAGAAGAAAAGTTTCAGTGGCTGATGTTATTGGACTAGGGGTGAGGTGGAGTCACATGGAAGCGCATGTGGACAAAACCTAATGCTATATTTTATTGTGAAATGGTGAACGTCTATTTTCCATCGAGTGAAGTTTTCTTCCAACTTTTGATTGGGCAGTTGGGACAGAGCTGTTGATTTTTTAAGTCCAACGTTTCTGGTTTCTTTTTTAGTTATTAGAAATGAAGTTTGGTTTCCTGAGGTCAAGATGAATCTTTTTCAGTTTCCTTAAGGTCATGATTGAAGGCGACTGGGGTAAATGAGGGAAGAGGAAACGAGTGGTCAGAGATACGTCTGAGTAATGTTAATAATACAAATAACTCAAAGGTCATTACTTCTGCGTTTTCTTTAAAGGTGTATAAAGTTAAGATGCTGATGTGAGTGACCGAAGTGAAACATGTTATCTACATGTTTAGGTGCTCCAAAAAGTCAGAGAAGACTCTCCATGCTAATGGCTACTAGGCTGTTTACGGAGGTCTGGCTTGGCTCTACATTTTGTCATCTTACTTTGCTTCCTGTGTCAGGTGAGGAAATGCAAGATTTCCCCCAGGCACCTGGATTAATGCCCAACCATCCTCTAGAGAAGTTTACTGTAGGCTGTGCATATAAAGCAGATGAGTGTCAACCTTGCTGGATTATCTCTTGTGTTTATAATCCTCACATTTTTTTCTTCTTCTTTACCTTATCAACTAAAGACATCATAGACTATATCCAGCTAGTTTAGAATCAGCAGATGACCACTAGATGTAGGAACTCATCACAGAAGTGTAGTAGTAGCGGTAGGGTTCAGATGCTAAGACAAGAGGGTTACTTTTAGAGCCTCCGATATCCACCGCGTGCACCTTAACTTTAGAGCAGACTTTAAAAGCTTTATCAATAACTTAGCAAGAGCATACAGAATAATTGATTTCTTTACTGTAAGGAACTCATATCTGGTATCCAGGTTTGCAAATGCATACCTGTGCTGATGACATCAAGAGTTTTCTGGGCCGGCCACAGTGCTCACGCCTATAATCCCAGCACTTTGGGAGGCGGAGGTGGATGGATCACTTGAGGTCAGGAGTTCGAGACCAGCCTGACCAACATGGTGAAACCCTGTCTCTATTAAAAATGCAAGAATTAGCCATGCCTGGTGGCACACATTTGTAATCTCAGCTGCTTGGGAGGCTGAGGCACGAGAATTGTTTCAACTTGGGAGGTGGAGGTTGCAGTGAGCTGAGATGGTGCCACTGCACTCCAGTGTGGGCAATAGGGCAAGACTCTGTCTCAAAACAAAAACCAAAAAAAAAAAAAAAAAAAAAAGAAAACAGTTATTTTCTGGAGAGACATTTTCCCTTCTTTTCACTGTGTGTTTTCAAATTCAAAATATGTGTTCCTTTGGTCACACTATACATTTTTAGAAAAAATATTTACTTATGCTCAAGACAGTTTGGAAGTGTCACACTGTACTTTTTACATTTTACATTGCAGCGATCTCAGATGGTAGTTTAAGTAGCAGTGTCTTATAAATTCAGATATGTCAACATATCTGCCAAAACAATTATGTGAACCCATGCATTTTGGTGAAATGTGAAGTGAGTATCTTGTAATGAAAGTACTCATATTGAGATTTCAAAAAAAATCATTTGGAAAAATAAACTAGTGAAACAATAACATTTTTATTTTGAAAGGATAATTCTTAAAAGACAGTTTTATACAGAATAAGTTAATGAATTTTTCAATGTGTGATTAAAATATAAAACTGGCCAGGGGGAGGGGAATGTAAGCAGTAGGGGATGGCCTGGATAATCTACCTCTAAGATCCCTTCTAACGCTGAAATTCTATGATGGAAATGTTGCTGAATATATAAAGCTACGGAGTGGTGGCTCATTCAGCATCCTAGACAGTCACCTTTCAGGAAAAGCAGACTACGGTGTTTTCATGGGAGTGTTGAAAGTCATTAAAAAATGAATTGATATATATTTATTGGGTACCTTCTATGTTGAAGACACTGTGCTAGGTACTTCAGAAGATTCAAGGGCAAGATTCCTTTTCTTAGGAAGTTTTCAACGTTGTGTTTCCCCAAATTTTTGAGATGTTGTTATGAAATCTGCCCCTGAAGATGTATCCTAAGAAATCTCTTAAAGTTATAAAGTATGTTTTTAGGTAATTCTGAGACTTTTTTCCTGCTCTAGGCAAGGGACATCCAGATAATAGGCCAACATGTTATTAATAAGAATAATAATCCCTGATGTATTATAAGCAAGGCATATAGAAATATCCACTTTTCAAAATAATTTACACAATTTATTCAAGATACCAAGAAAGAGTGTCTGTAAGTAATTCTGCATGGACATGAAGAATGTTAGTAGTAGCACATACTGGTAGAATCCCTTATGCTGAACTAGTAAAAAAAAAAAAAAACAACTAAACATTGAGTTTTTATTTAAGACAGTGTTTCCCAAAATGTCTTCTACAGATCCTGCGGATTATGAATTGGCAGTGTGTGGCAAGTCCTAGTCTTTTTTCCTGGATGTGCAGTCTCAGAGCGGCAGTTTCTTCAGTTCCTCATTCTCCATCTTCCTAAGCCTTTTCCCTAGGCTGCTAGTTCTGGGTATCCTGCCTTCCCTTCTCCTTAAATACGTCTCTCTAACTGAACTGTGTCTACTTGGTAGAGACCCTAAGATAACTAAAAACAAAGTAGCTATCAGTGTCTACCATTTCCAAAATATATTCTGTAATGATGGTTAAGCTGGGTCAAGAAAAATTTAGGGTACGATTTGGAGAGTGGATACAAAAAGGAAGAGAGTGACATGCAGTCTTAAGATGAAAATGGTGTAACAGGGAAAAAGATAAATTGAAGGGAAGAAAGGAATCAGAGAGGAGAGGGATTAGTTGATAAGTGGTACATTGGGAGACAGAACAGATAGGTTGGAAGAGACGAAGACATAATGGAGGAGGTAGACATAAAGAAGAGACTAGAAATGGTTAAAATAGCTAATTTAATATGTAAGAAGTGATATACAGAGAGAAAAAGATGAGGATTAGAAAGCTAAATACAGAATGGTTGAGGGAGAGAGAAAAGAAGGAAGAAAGCTAAGAAAAAGAAATGATAAAGGTAAAGAGAGTGGCAGTGGAAGAAAAAAAATGCTTGAAGAGAATATTGAGTAGGAAAAAAACCTGACAAGATCAACACAAGCAAAAAACGTACAGTGCATCAGGACTATACTGATGTGTGGATCTCCATAAGTAGAATGGAAAGTTAATCTGCCTTTCAGTCTTGAAAAACCAATTTTGCAAGTATGGAACTTTGAGAGCAAAAGAAGTCATCAAGCAAAAGGAAACTAACTCAGACAAGTGACTTGCAAGTTTCGAGGCAGGGATGGTCATGGCCTTCTTGCTTTTTTAAGGTCTGCACTAATCTGTGAAAGTGCTAGATCTGGTGATCCCCAGAGGCCTAATCTCAGCTCCACCTGGGTCGCTACTCCTATTGCTGAGAGGGGAGAAAACTTAAGGATCACCAAGACAGTCAGACACTTAATTAAGTCTTGGGGAAAAAATTTTGGGAACCATTGGTATAGAATGTCAGTGATTTCTCTTTCCCCAAGAATGCTTGGTTGGATAACCCCTAGGCCTGAAGTAGTAAGCAGTCTTGTACCTGGTCCTGTACATTGGTCCCTCTTTGAAGGAATTCAAATGGACTGTGTTCATCTGCATCAAGTGGGTCTACATTTATACTCTTAAATTGTTCCTCAGTAGCTAACTCAACCAATGTGTTAGGATTTTCAGTAGGCGTAATTGAATCCCCATCAAATGGGCTTTGCCTTCCATCGCTAGATGGAGTTCCGGTGGTGGAAGAGTGATGCTTTGCTAATTTGGAGCCAAAGCATGGCAAATGCAGAATGTTAGATGGTCTTTGCTGTTGCCTCTCACTCTCATTTTCTTGGACTTGACTTTGGATGCCTTCTGGATTGGAGCCTTCATCAGGTGTACCAATAACAAGCTGCTCAGGAGTAAGGTCAACAGTTCTTTCATTGAGCTGGTTGTCTTCAAAAACTTGTTCCAGAATGTTGTTCCCATCTCCTCCAAGATCATTTTTGAGACAAGGTGTATTCTTTGATTGAAGGGAACTGGCTTCAGGAAAGGGCATAATTTCCTTTTGGCCCAGTTGATTCTTTATAGAACATGGTGTGTTCCTCCTCAGCGTGGACACATCATCTCTAAAAGGGTTTTGGCTTTCCCTCTTCTCTGAGCTGTTTCTTTGGCCTGGTAGGATGCTTGTTGGGGAGATGATATCTCTTGTCTGCTTGGTATGACTACCGTCTGTATACAGAGGACTGGTGTCTTGGTTCTCCCCAGGTGCAAGACCATAGGATGGAGTGTAGTCTTGTAGAGCTAGTGGATTGTCCTTGGGCCCTGTGGAGCTACCAGCACAGCAAGAGCCTCTCTGGCTTAGGTGAAATAAATGTGCTTCTTTTTGACCTGATGGGTAACTTGGTGGGATGAAGTTAGGGAAAGATGAATGTTCTCTCTCTGGAGAATTCATCCTAGTTATTTGCATGCCATAGTTCAAATTCTCACCTTCATGCCATATTGGATTTTTCTGAAGCCCAGCTGGGGTGTTACTGTAATAGGGCTGGTTACCTTTCTGGTCTGGTGGCCTAGCTGGGGCTTTTTGTAAATGTGTTGCCTGATCCCAGATATTTCTGTTAAAATACGGCCTTCTTTCTCTCTGCCCTTGGGCTTGTATCCTGTGGTCCCAGGAATTCCGTGAAGGAAATAGAGTGCTTTCTTCTGGTCCAGCGGCATTATTAACGTAGTAGCCCCTGCTCTCTATAGGTGGTGGCATAGTAGAAGCTGTATTATATGATGGAAAATTCTCATCCGGGCTCCATGGGTAAAATTCACTGTAATAAAAATCCTCCCTTGGTTTTGATGGATTATCTAAAGAATAGGGAAGATATTCCTTTGGCTGATTTGAGGTATATTGTTCACCTTCATAGTGCCTAACTGTTGGGCCTCCTTTGAAGCTCAACTCTTCACCCCATCTATTTTGTCCAGGAAAGACTTCATCTCCAGTTGGATCAACTGGGTCCTCTTCATTATAAGGGACTATCTCCTTCTGGTCTGGGGTATTTATGGGGTAGAGTGGACTTTCTTTTTGCCCCATAGTATTGGGAGAATCATCTCTCTCATCCCATGTATTGCCTCTAAGGTATGGTGAGTTTTCCCTGGGATCATATGGGTTATATTCAGGGTAGAAAACACTTCCTCTAGAACCATGGGAAGGATGGGGTAAATGTTCTTCTTGCCTCCCTGGATCTTCCTTAAAAGGTGGAGAGATTTCTTGGTGGTCCCAAGTATTTCTTCCAGCAGGAAAATGTTCTTTTGCAGGAGAAGGGATTTCCTCAGGGTATACAGCAGGCTGATATGAGCTGTGCTTTAATTCTGACTGATTAGTTTCTGATTCATATGGCATCCTTCTTGACCCTAAAACAATCCCTTTGGGCAAATTCTGGCTTTGGGTTTGTCCATCAGAATTTGGGACTTTTCTGGAATCTCCTCTTGGGTAATAGGAGTTTTCATGTTGATCAACAGAATTAAAATTTGGGACTGGCATATAACCCTCAGAGTGAGGCAGTTTATAATTTGATTTATTAACTTCATACTGTTGAGAGTTTCTCCAGGGGCTGGTTGGATTCTTTGTAGGAACTATTATTTGTTCTTTTGGACCCAGGGGCTTCTCCTTTGGATTTTGGATTTTTTCATTGCGAACAACAGGGCCAGGTTTGGGACCCAGTGGGGCAACAGTAGTTCCTACAGGGTGTTTATTTGGCCCCTGAGGCTTTCTTCTGAGATTTGCTGGATTTCCTGCATAATTGGGATAATTGCCTCTTGAAGTAGGAGGGTAAGCTTTGTGATAAACTGGATTTCCTGGACGAGCTACTTGTTTACGTTCCCAAGCAAAGAAGTTCCACCGAGGACCCCTTTGAACTTGTTGATTTCTGTAAAAAGGCCTATTCTGTCTGTGCCCCATGACAGTACCAGTGAAATACCACTGTCTTCCTGAAGGAAAATTTCTTATATTAGGATATGGATGATTTTCACGAATATTTGGCTGACTTGGTCTCCATGGGATTTGACTTCCTGGCCCTCCCTGGCCTGAAGCGTTGACTGCAGGGAGTGGGCCAATCCCATTTTGAGCTGGAGGGTTGTTCCCAGTGTTTAGTCCTGGGGTACTGTTTCCTGTGGGGCTGGTGTCATTTCCTCCCTGACTCCCTTTAGGATTTGGTTGGGTAGAATTCGTCTCAGTGACTGTTGAATTAGCTGTGGGTTCTGTGCCTGGACTTTCTGCTTTAGGAGGATCTTCTTCTTTGGGTTTTTCAAAATCTTGTTCAAACATTTCTTCTGAATAATAAGGAGGGCGACCCCCAAAGCCATGATATCCAAAATATCCAAAGTAAGGATTCTGTAGGAAAGAAAATGGAAATCAATAATTGCCCTTTGTTTCCCACCATGGTGTTGTTTGGAATTTTTTAGTATAACAGGGAAATCTTATCAGCCACATGATTCTTTTAACATCATTAGCTTTACTTTCTTTCTTGAAATTTGATTCTTCCTTGGTTTCCATGACCATACTCTTTCTGGTTCTCTCTCCTGGTATTTTTTTCTGACCACTGCTCAGCTTTCTCTTTTTAGGCCTTATACATCTGAGGGTTTTTGTTTGTTTTTCTGTTTTGTTTTTAATGATTTCATCCTCCATCCTCCTAATTTTTCTGTTCTGTTTTTACATACCTCTTTTAAGAATTCTATTGCACCTGTAATCCCAGCACTTTTGGAGGCCGAGACAGGTGGATCACGAGGTCAGGAGTTCGAGACAATCCTGGCCAACATGGTGAAACCCCGTCTTTACTAAAAATACAAAAATTAGCTGGGCATGGTGGTGCACGCACCTGTAGTCCCAGTTACTCAGGAGGCTGAGGCAGGAGAATCGCCTGAACCCAGGAGGTGGAGGTTGCAATGAGCCCAGATCGTGTCACTGCATTCCAGCCTGGCAACAGCGAGACTCCATCTCAAAAAAAAAAATAAATAAATAAATAAAATAAAAAAAAATAAAAGAAAGAAAGAAAGAAAAAAGAATTCTATTGCATCAGCCCATGCTTTTAATAGGCATAGACTGCTAACAACTCCCAAAGGCATAATTCTAACCCACAACACTCTCACCCAAGGTTGAGGCAGCAAAACATCTCCACTAAAGATTTCATGAGTACCTCCAACTGAATGCACCCAGAACTGGGCTCATCTCCCGTGAAATCTCCTCCTCCGATGTTCTATATTTAAGCAACATTCACCACTATCTGTACAGTTTCTTAAGTTTCTGCTCTCTCTTAGTACTTCAGACTATTAATAATCAGGTCCTATAAAATCTAAACTTTCATCCTTGTTCCCACTTCCTTAATCCACAGTACCCCTGAACTGTTACAGTAGTTTTCTTACTGGCTACTCTGGATACAGTCTTACTTTCCTTTAATCTTGCTTCTGCACTGCCGTCAGAGTATTAGAGGCTGAGAGTGGGTATATGGAAATTTGGCCCCTTTCCTCTTTAAATTTGTATTTAAAGTTCTCCTTTACAAAATAAACTCTAAATCCCTTAACATAACATCAAAGCAGTACAACATGCTGCTAAACAGTGGGGCTCTAGACAGATGTGCATTAAAATCCCCGTTCCACCAGTATTAGTACTATGACTCTGGGCCAACCTTGGTTTATTCATTTGTAATATGGAGATGATAATAAAATAACGTCTACCTCATAGGTTGTCATGAGGGCCAAATGAGACAAAATAAGTACAGCTCAGTGCCTGGTACTTAGTAAGTGCCTAATAAGTGTTATATATTATATAATAATAATACAATTTTTAATAATAATCTGGGCTATAACTATTACATTCAGCCTCATTTCCTCCCCCTTGCACTTTATGCAGTTGCAAATCACAACTACGTTGAATTCTCTGGGTTCTCTATTCTTTTTATGTTTCAGTGCCTTTGCACACGGCTTATTCATATTGAAACTTCTTCCATTGACACATTTATTCCTCCTGGCAAATTTGACTCATCCTTCAGAGCTCAGTTTGACTTCTACCTTCTGTGTCTTGACTTCCATGGGCAGAATTAGGTCCTATTCCTAGGAGTCCACAGCAGTACAGATTTCTGTCATCACA
This sequence comes from Homo sapiens, assembly GCF_000001405.40. Classification (NCBI taxonomy): domain Eukaryota; kingdom Metazoa; phylum Chordata; class Mammalia; order Primates; family Hominidae; genus Homo; species Homo sapiens. Next base: position 70,640,262 of record NC_000004.12, on the reverse strand, counting down.
ATTATCCCACTGAATTTCAGTTTCCTATTTTCCTGGGATTCTTCCATTTAATTCTCCCATGTGAAGGTTTTGAATGAAAACATTATGCTTCTCATCCTTGTTTTCCAGTACCGAGGAGAGTGGGATGTTCTTAATAAATTTTCATTTAATGAATGATTTAATCATCACGAACTCAGTCAGTATGTTTGTTAGACATTTGTGTGGCATTTAGATCATTTGATTTTTCTTTTTAAAACAAATGCAATATAAAGAAAAGTATTTTAATCCCCATTTGTGGATGGAGATGAGAAAGACAGGCAAGGAAATATCTCCCAAGATCATGCAGGAAATCAGGTAGTGCCCTCAAGAGGTAGAATACAGACATCTTAGTTTTTGAGACAGGGTTTTTCTTTGTTGCCCAGGCTGGAGTGCAGTGGCAAGATCAGGGTTCCCTGCAGCCTTGAATTCCCAGGCTAAAGTGATCCTCCCACTTCAGCCTCCTGGGTAGCTGGGACCACAGGCACGTGACACCACGTTCACCTAACATTTATTTTATTCTCCCTATGTTGCCCAGGCTGGTCTTGAAATCCTGGGCTTAAGTGATCCTCCTGTCTCAGCCTCCCAAAGTGTTGGGATTACAGGTGTGAGCCATTGTGCCTATCTAAATTCAGATTTCTTTCCTTTTTTGTTTTTTGAGACTGAGTCTCGCTCTGTCGCCTAGACTAGAGTGCAATGATGTGATCTCAGCTCACTGCAACCTTCCCCTCCTGGGTTCAAGCGATTCTTCTGCCTCAGGCTCCACAGTAGCTGGGATTACAGGCCAGCACCACCATACCCGGCTAATTTTTGTATTCTTAGTAGAGACGGGATTTCACCACCTTGGCCAGGCTGGTCTCAAACTCCTTACCTCAAGTGATCCACCTGCCTCAGCCTCCCAAAGTGCTGGGATTGCAGGTGTGAGCCACCCGTGCCTGGCCTAAATAAAAGCTTCTTAAAGCCTGTGATAACTGCCTGGATCTTTCTGCTTCCTTTCTTATGTTACTCATATGAAAATTAGAAGTGCCACTTTCTAGGTTGCATACAATTATCTGAATCATTTTTATTTGGGGTTATTTCATGATATATTTGAGAGCGCCTTATACCATTACTGACACGGTAATCTTCAATGTTATTTTAAGAACAATCTCTGCCAGTTGCAGTGGCTCATGCCTGTAATCCCAGCACTTTGGGAGGCTGAGGTGGCTGGATCACTTGAGGCCAGGAGTTCGATACTAGTCTGGTCAACATGGTGAAATCCCATCTCTAAAAAAATACAAAGATTAGACGGGTGTGATGGCACACACCTGTAATCTCAGCTACTCGGGAGGCTGAGGTATGAGAACTGAATTGCTTGAATCCAGAAGGTGGAGGTTGCAGTGAGCCGAGATCGTGCCACTGCACTCCAGCCTGGATGACAGAGCGAGACTCTGTCTTACAAAAAAAAAAAAAAGAAAGAAAGAAAGAAAAGAAAGATAAGAAATTGGCAGTCATTGCAGGGACTGAGCAGAGGAGCAACAAGATGAGACTATTGTTTTCACAGGTTCACTCTGGCTGCCATGCTAATAATAGACTGTGGGAGATGAAAAGACTTACTTACAAAATGTATATATACATAATCTTAAAGCTGAAAGGGACCTCTTAGAGCAGGTAATGCCAACCTCTCTTTTGTTTGAGATAGTCTCGCTCTGTCACCCAGGCTGGAGTGCAGTGGTGCTATGGCTCACTGCAACCTCCACCCCCAAGGCTCAGGTGATCTCCCACCTGTCTCAAAAAAAAAAAAAAAAAAAAAAAAAAAGAACAATCTGTCGCCCACTCTCCAGTCAAGCTATTAAGTTACCACAGTTCACTGAGGACATATCACATATTTAGGGAAAAAGAAGTAAGCTCCAGGGGGGTGGGGTGCTATGCCACAATCACTAAAATGACTTTTTAGATGACATAGAGCTGGAATATTAAGAGTATATCACTCTGTGATATACATTTGGTTCTTCTCCTAGTGTGGTATAGTAAAAAGGCCATTGAGCAGAGTAACAGAAGACTTGGGTTCTGGGTTCAGTTTATCCAGTAACTTAAAAGTGAAATTGAGTAGTAATTGATCTTTTCTTGGCTTCAATTTATTTGTATTAATATAATCAGGAAGTTAGAGATCACTTAATTTCCTCTTGAGGATAACATTCTAAGAAACTCTTACTTCTTTCTCTGTTTATCACTGTCTGGAGTCCACCATCAATCTTTGGACCACTGGCTTGATTTGTTTAACTTTTTTATTTTCTAAAAATCACGGAAGCTTGAGCTACAGGTTCATGTGTTGGATTTTAACTTTCTTATTAGATGTGGATAAAAAAGCAGGGGCGAATGGATTGTAATTTCTAGTGGAGAATGTAGTTTTACTTGTACTTACCCCCCCTTCTTCATTGCTGATTGGTGGGCGTCCATAACCTGGTGGTGGTAACCTCTGAGAAGTGAAAAACACAGTGAACACAGGAGAAAACCACGTTCGATGCCGCCATTTGTTTGTAAGACTCAGGGTGTCTAAAAATAGCTCAAGTCAATGATTGAGCTCAGTTAGTACTCTGAGCTTTTAGCGTTTGAGTTATTAGCTCTCACAGTCCAGCTGCTAAGAATTATGATCTAACAGTGAATACTGGTAAATACAAAGGCTTCAGCTGGATCCTAGATTATCCTACTTAAAATACTCTGTATGGCTGCATCTGTTGGCAATCCTCCTTACCACCTCCAACACTCAAAAACATACCCTCCACAACCCCCAACAAACACACACCATGCACACACATACAGAGAGAGGGTGAGAGAGAGAAATTTGAGTGCTGTTAGAATCCAAGTATCCATATTAGAACATCTAATAATAGAGATTAAGTAACGATGTTATTTTTAGAATGTGGCTTCATGTTTAGGGGGACAAACTCCAAACTGACAATCCTTGAATTATTACTATGATATTTTTATTTGACTAAAGTTAATTCTCCTAATCAAACTTGGAGGCCGAGTTTCTGCTTCTCAAGTTTTATGTAGATGAGATTAATAGTTACTTCAGCATGAGAATCATGTTTATCTGTTTTTAAAATCTTTACCTTGTACTGCCTTAATTTCCTTAGTTCAGCATAGCCAGTAAAAGGAAGTCACTCTTTTAAGGAGGAAAAATGTAAGGAACTCTTACTCCTTAAAATGAATTGTTCCTCACTGATAAAAAGCCTTCTTGGTAATAGAGTTGTAGACAAGGAAAACCTATGTCATAGCTGAATGAACAGTCAACAAATATTTCCTGTTGTTTTGTTTGTTTAGCAGCAACTGGCCTTTAACATTTCTTTAGTTCAAAAAGTTTATTTTGCCATTCGTATTTTTAATGCCTATGATGCAATTTCAATATTATTTTTTATTTTAATGATTTTAAACGTTTAAGATTCTTTGAGGCTTCTTGTAAACAATATTTTGCAAGATCTCTTTTTTTTTTTTTTGAGACGGAGTCTCGCTCTGTCACCTAGGCTGGAGTGCAATGGCACGATCTCGGCTCACTGCAACCTCTGCTTCCTGGGTTCAAGTGAGTCTCCTGCCTCAGCTTCCTGAATATCTGGGATTACAGGTGCCTGCCATTATGCCCAGCTAATTTTTGTATTTTTAGTAGAGACGGGGTTTCACCTTGTTGGTCAGGCTGGTCTCGAACTCCTGACCTCAGGTGATCCGCCTGCCTCGGCTTCCCAAAGTGCTGGGATTACAGGCATGCACCACCATGCCTGGCAAATTTTTGTATTTTTAGTAGAGACGGGATTTCACCATGTTGGCCAGGCTGGTTTTGAGCTCCTGACCTCAAGTGATCACCCATCTCGGCCTCCCAAAGTGCTGGGATTACAGACGTGAGCCACCTTGCCCAGCCCCAAGATTCTTTATAATGATATATCTGTGGCTAGAAACAGTAAGATAGGATGAAAATGTCTAATCATAGCTCACCCTGTGGTTTTCAAACTCCATTTTGTCCTGTGTCCCAGTTTCCCCATTACATTAAATGAAGATAATTTGTGTGTTTTTTAAAAATTTCTTAAGGATGTGGGGAAATAGTAATGAAGTAGTGCAACCTTTTAAAATTAATTTATTAGCTAATTTATTAGTATCTGTTTGGTGATTTAGGTTGTATTTATGTCACCAATTTGTCTGAGTATGAAATTCAAAAAATTATTCTTTTTCTGCATGATTACTGATGCACTGGTTTTGTTTCATACCATCTACTGATTGGTATATGGTATTCCATTAGAATGTATGAATTTATATTAATTTAAATTATAACATACTAATATTATTTTTCACTTACAGTGTAAAGAAAAAAAAATTTCTCACCTGTGGAATTTGCCATGGTGGTTGTTGATAGGGGAATAGCCCATTTCCAAATGGTGGGAATGCCTAGAGAGAAAGAAAGAATCAGAGTGATGTGGTATTGAAAAGAATACATAAAAAAATGAAGGAAACTAACTAAATACAATTGAAACTTGGGAGTCTACATCTCCCTTTGCATTAAACTCTGTGTTTTTTATAGGGCAAAGACGATAATGATAATAACAATTAGTATCATTGGACACACATTCCAGGCTCTGTGCTGAGCATTTTATATTGTTAAACTCATTTCATCCTCATATAACCATAGAAGATATAAACTATTACTATTCCCATTTTACTAAGACCATGAAGTTCAGAGAAGTTTGGTCACTTGCCCAAAATCTCATTGCTCGTAAATCACTGAAGCCAGGATTCCAATCCAGGAGTGTCTTTTCATTCAATTTGGTACTCCCTATGTCTGTAATAGTGTCTGATAATAAGTGTTAACTGACCAAAAGCCAGTATTTTCTTTTTATTTTTTTGAGACAGAGTCTTGCTCTGTTGCCCAGGCTGGAGTGCAGTGGCGTGATCTTGGCTCATTGCAACCTCCACCTCCCGGGTTCAAGCGATTCTTCTGCCTCAGCCTCCTGAATAGCTGGGATTACAGGCACGCACCACCAAGCCCAGCTACTTTTTGTATTTTTAGTAGAGACAGGGTTTCACCATGTTGGCCAGGCTGGTCTTGAACTCCTGACCTCAGGTGATCCACCTACCTTGGCCTCCCAAAGTGTTGGGATTACAAGTGTGAGCCACCACGCCCGGCCTAAAAGCCAGTATTTTCGAAGCTCCCTCCACACTGGATGAGATCTTGAGAAACCATTTGCACATCTTCTTACCTTATGTCATACTAGTACTGGAAGCAATGTTAATTTAAGAGCAATATTTTAGAGCATCAAAGCACAGATTTGGATGAAACTTCGAAACTATTTAGTTTACTCATGGGGAAACTGGAACCTAGAAAGGTGAAGTAACTTGTTCAATAGCATACAACTAATAAGGACCAGGCATAGGACTTGAACCTTTGATTCTCGACTGTTAGATTAGTGCTCATATTATTACACCATGTTGTCTCTGTAATTTAAAAGGAGCTTTTAAAAGGCAACAGTATTTGGGTAATTTCAACCAAACAAGATTGGAGTCGACTTGCCATGCAGTTTTGGATGCATGTCAAAACAAACATTGGTATTGCAACAGAGTACCTGTATTGAAGTGTGTATATGGGGGTGGCATGGCCCTCCAAATCTCTCCGAGGCCATTTACAGATATGGAATTTTTCTGTGCAAGTCTCACCTGAGGGGGTTGAGCTTCCTCTTCGGGCTGAGGTTGATTATGTGATGGCTGCTTCAAAGGCCGCTTTTGTGGTGGCTTTTTTGACTGAGTCTGGTTGGGTTTCTGGGTTTCTTGGGTCTGATCAGTCTTGTTATGACGTTTGGGTGCTGAGGATTTCCGTGGATGCCATGTGTTGGGTGGTGGCTGAGGCCACATGGGCATCTGGTACTGTGGAAATTGCTGAGGGAGACCGTTTCCAAAGAAGGGCCCCAGGTGTGCCATCTGAAAGGGTAGCAAATAATAGTGAAATCATAATAGAGCTGTGATTCAGGCTGTCTCCATCCTCTAATGTCAGCCTCTAAAACTCAGCCAAAGAGCTTAAAAGTCCTGGAACTTGACTTAACTATGGAAGCTTCCAGATCTTTAGTTAGAATTTCCTTACACATTGTCTTACAGAATGAACTTCCGTCTTCTAGAAAGCCAAACAACCAAAACAAACCAAAAGGCAGAATTAGGTGGGAAATCTCAGTTTAAGAATTTGACTGATGATTTTCTAACTCTGAAACCCTAACTCAGGTCAGAAGTATACAAGTCAGGTTACAGAAGATTTAATGTCGTATTCAGAACCCATGTGATTTGTTATAAGGCTGGATGAAGAAGAGAAAAAACAAAAATAAGATAAAGGAAGTGAGACTGTAAACAAAAAATAAAAAACAAGAAAAAAAGGAAAAGAGAGGATAAAAATTCAGTCTGTGTAAACACACTTATATGGTGTCTATGGTTCTTGGTTACAGGTGGATCCTCATTAAATCCATTTTTTTATCAGAATCACCACAATTACAAAGTTGGGCAGGGAAGCAAAAGTAGTTATAATCTAAAAATGTTAATTTATAAATTTATGATAATTTATAAAAATGCTAATTTCTAAATTTATGATAATTTATGAATGATCAGTCTTGCAACATCAGTTCTCATTCAAATATTTCCTCCCTGGTTTAACACCTGTCTCTATACCCAGTCTTCATTAATTAGTCTCTTGCTATCTATTAGATGATGTACCCACGCTTTGTGGATTGATGAAATTCAAAATTGCAAATATTGCACTAAGACACAGGATTTCATGACAACTAAGTTGGTAAAAATTTCAAATCACAGGTAAAGTCACTAAAACTAAAAACAGGGGTATGAAAAAGTTGAGCCAATCAAAAGTTGAGGAAGAGGAAATTTACAATGATTATTTTAGGCAAAGAGCTTTAAAAGAGAATGACTTGGATAAAAAGGGTTACAAAAAAATGGATGTAGTCCTTGATTTTCCCCTCAAAATGGCCCTCATGATCATTCCATGGAAATCAAAAGTGATGTGTAGTGTTATTATGCTAACATACAATTTTATCAGAAAAATTGTGCCAAAGAACCACCTGATACTTGATTTGTCTGTTCTGACAATTAGCATACAGTGACAAGAATAACCTATATTTATTTAAATAACATAAAACTTGCTTCATAACTGTAGTGTTATCTTTCAAGATAATCCAAGTAAAACTTACCCCCCACCAATACTTACTATGTTATTTTTATTGTCATTATTTGTGACATCTTATGTGATATTTTCCCAGAACCATCTTTTCTTGACTATACATTTGAGACTCAGTCTCAAATAAATAACATTTCTCATTAATAATTATTTTGATTTACATGAAAGAACAATAGTAATGAATAAGAAGAAAATTTGGTGTGAGAGGATAGGGGCAATAATTTTTCCACCTTGAAACTTTTGTAATGATTACATTATACTTAAAACATGTGGATTGGTGTCTCTATTGACTAAGGCAAACTTTATAACGGAGTTATCTAGATAAACAAGAAATCATCAGAAATAACATAAAGAAAAACTTACATGTGGGCCGTTCATAAAGTTGAATTGATTATACCGCATCATCTGCAACCAAAGGAATCCATTAATGTGATACAAAGTGAAACTTTTATTAAATCAATGCACAAATCGTAAGAAATAAGTAAAATTTCTTTTTTTAACCTTAGAACTTCCCAGTGTAAAAATTTCTGATTTTAATGCACAACAGTCATATCACCTTTTCCTACTTATGCTTGAATTTTAAGAAAGTATACAATTAAAGAAGCTTCTCAGGCAGTTTAACTTTTAAGTCAGAATTTTATTTTGAGAATAATCAATAGAGAATCATAGAAAATAAAAGTCTGATCTACTGTAAAGTTTTTGAATGTTCTGTTCTATTCTTTTTGAGTTCAGGATTTGAGAACATGAGAATTATGTGACAAGATGATTCATCTTTCTGATATGTATTGAATTTGATTAATGATCTGGGATATGAGTCATGTGAAAGGTATTTCTATTTTTAAGCATCTACCTTCTAATAACCCTTGGTACAATTGGTCACTTTTGCTAGCTAAAAAACTTAGCAGATAAGGTAACATCAACTAGATTTTAACACAAATCCACATCTACCTTGAAAAGGAACACTGAAGTACATAGGTAGGCTGATGGCTGGGGAAATTACTACTTTGCCTCGATTTGAGAGTTTAAGACTTTCAAATCTCCCTCTTTTTACCTTTTTCATAAGAAATATTATATATGAGACAATTTTCCAATATTCTCCTTTTTAGTAAATGTGTAGGATAGGACTCTGGATAACTTCTCCTCTGAGACTGAACGTACATACCTCCTCACTTTTACTGCTAAATCCAGGCATTCGGGGCATGTGCATCTGGAAGTAAGAGAATGTCAGTGACAAATGCAGAACATCAGTTGAAATAAGCTCAACAATTGTTCCTAACGGAACACAAAGAGAAGAGCTAACATTTAAAAAATACTCACTGGCATAGCAACAGAATTACCAAGAAGCCCTAGAAAGACCAGGAGAATCTTCATTTTGCCTTTTGGTACCTAGAATAAAAAATTGATTTTTATTTTTGGTCTGTGAAATAAGTATGCTTAGGGCACTCTGCACTTATCTAAGTACTAGCCTACTTGTCTGTCAAGGAGAGTATGGAAATGGATGGGGCCCCTGCTGCCAGTTTTATTTTATGTCAAGAAACTATTAGATAGTTATCATCTGGTACTTTTCAAGCTGCCAAAAGAGTCAGATTAAAAGGAAATATAAGTGTGTGTGCGTGAGAGAGAGAGACAGGGAAAGAGAGAGACAGGGAAAGAGAGAGAGACAGAGAGAGAGAGAAAGAGAGAGATATCATAGCACCAGAATGTGAAAATTAGAAATTAGGAGGTTATCCCCCAAATAGGAATATTAATGGGTTTGAGTTTCTAGTTACTAGTTGATTTATAAAGAAATAGTGATGTCCAACTACATTCATTGTACAGAATAATCTCAGTTTCAAGGAGGGCACACTCCAAAATCAAAACTTTGTGCTACTTTCTAAGATGTTATAGATAATATTCTGTTATATAGAGACTAAGTAAACTGGAATATGCAGAATCTTATTTTTTTCCTGGTTTCCTCTATTGTTCCTGTTATTATTATTATCATCATCATCACTTCCTTTAAAAATCACTTATGTGGCCAGGCGCGGTGGCTCACGCCTTAATCCCATCACTTTGGGAGGCTGAGGTGGGTGGATCCCCTGAGGACAGGAGCTTGAGACCAGCTGAGCCAACATGGTGAAACCTTGTCTCTACTAAAAATACAAAAATTAGCCGGGTGTGGTGTCTCACACCTGTAATACCAGCCACTTGGGAGGCTGAGGCAGGAGAATCGCTTGAACCCAGGAGGAGGAGGTTGCAGTGAGCCAAGATCGTGCCATTGCACTCCAGCCTGGGCGACAGAGTGAGACTCTGTCTCAAAAAAAAAAAAAAATCACTTATGCTCTAAGATGGTCAGGAAAATAGGAAGAAATAGGAAATAGGCAGAATAGTAAATTTATCTCTTTATTAGATACCTTGATTAAACATATAGACTTATGTATGAAGTTTGGAGATTGTTTTTAACGGGGTTCATTCATTTATCCCACTCTAGTTAATTATGAAAGACTTGTAAAATTAAGTCTCGTATTTACATCTTGGAACAAGGTTTATTCTGAAACATTTACTTGAGTAATTTCTTAAGAAAACTTTCTATTTGCATATACAATAGAGGAAAATAAAAGGTTTTAATCAGAATGATTCATTTTCATCGTATATCAGATATAGTCCATTTCCTAGCAGAGTAACCAACATGTAGACACTCAGTTGTTTTCATTCCTTTCATTCTTTCTTCCTTTTCTGGACATAAAATCTATCTAGCATAATTGGAGCCAATGCTCACCCTTCTGTTTACTTCCTATAGGAGCAACATAAATGACGCTTTAGCATTTTTATAATGGACATTTTCCTAAATTGTGGGTGTAATCAGTTATCTTTCATACATTAGAAAAATTGGCAGAATGTAATTAAACAAAGGAAGCAGTAGTATGTAAATACCTTTCCTACTATTTAAAGATTTTCAGAGTTAGAACATCATAGAGAATGAAAATAACAGCTGAATGTTATTTTAGAGTGTTTAGTATAGGTTACAACAATATGTGGAAACTAATAAAGAGAATACTGGTGAAAGCTTTCTTTGCTAAATGTTTCTAAGATTATGGCCCAAGATTTAAGGGTGCTTTTGGATGGTTAATTTCTGCCTTGCTTAATCATTCATCTCATCTCTCTAGTAGCTGTCACAGTGATTCTTGATAATATATGTAGCCTTTATATTTGCAAATAGAAAACTCATTTTCTCTTTTGTAAAATTAATATATTATGTTGGATGACTGAGATCCCTTCCATCTCTAAAAGTTAGTGATTAAAGTCTATAATTAGTTATTTTTTGAGTTGAAAGTAACACTCATAATGATTGCCACAAAGTACAATGACTGTGTAAGTTCTTCTTCCATTCCATCTGTGAAAGCAGATGCTCTTTGAGTCTTCTGATACATTTCAGTAGTGTTTGGCCCTCTCAAGTGTATTTCTGACAGTATCTAGTTTGAGAACCTGTATGTATTGGCAAAAATAAATGAAAGTACTCACCAAGTTATCTAGTTTAGGAAAAGAGGTTCCAAGCCTGCACCGAAGCACCAACATTTTTTTCAGCAAAATTTTTATAAGCCTTTAAGAAAAATACAGCTTTAACCTGAGAAGAAACTAAAATATAGAAATGGAACAAATAAATGAAATGAATAGCAAAGCTTCAGTTCTAAGGCAGCACATGTCATGTTAATTATTTTATCCAGTCATACCTGTATTAGGGGGCCACAAAATCAAGTTTAATCTTCTGTTGCTTTAAAAGTAGGATGAAAGCTAAATCAGAGAGGAAATGACACAGGCACTGTATTTTGAGATACTTCTAGGGCGATGTTGACAAAACTAGACTTCACTATGGGGAAATGTACAAAGTCACAGTAGTAAAGGAGGTCTAAGAAGGCTGGAAAAAACTTACAAGAAAAACAAATACACCAAATAAACCAAGGAGTTTAAAGTTTTATCAGAAGATTAGTCTGCATACAATGATTATACAACCAACAAGAAGGAATGCAATAAGGAGAATTAACCAACATCTATGAATTAAATTCATTATTTGACACTATATGTAATTTATGTTGATAATCTCTAATACTCACCCAATGCCAATTAGAAGCTGTAATATATAAAAAATAATTTTTACTTGAACTTTGTTAGCTTGCCTTTGAAATATATTCTTAATGGTCTATAGTGGAAATAACTACAAATTGCTGAAGCCAGGGAGATCTCAAGAAGCAAGATACATTTATTTCTTAATAATAAAACAAAAATTCTTCACTCAGATATCATGTTCAGTATCAAAAAGGCTCAAAATAAAAAGATTCCTCCTTGTCAGAAAGCTTGGCACAGCAAGGTTCCATTTAAGCACTGTTGTAGACCTGCATAACCAATCAGCTTTGAGGAAAATGGTTTTGTCATCACAAGAGTTTAAGGTAAAAAACACACATCGAATTTAAAATTTAGAATGTGTTATTATAGGAGCTGTCAAGTCAAGTCTCTTATTACGTATAATAACAGTCCAGGAAAATGAGCTTACAGCAGTAAGATTTAGAAGATGCTTCCCTTGGTGAATTTGGCTTTCAAAGTATAGAAACTATGTTTATAACAAAGATATTTCAGGAACAAAGGCGAATATTAACTGTATGCTATTGTCATAAGTCAGTTGCCTTCATCAAAAGGCAGGCTAATATATATATTTACTTAATATACATTTTATATGTAATTAAAATGAACTGGAATGTTATATCCATGGGTGAAAACTCAGTGACTTGATTTACTTTGTATTACATAAGGCTAGCAGGACATAGTGTTCTTTTTGAAGTCAAATATAATCCAGTCACTGGGGATTCAGAATTTTAGATGAGTTGGGTACAATGGCAAATGAACTCTCAGCTATTATGATAATACAACTTAATGAAAATAGGACCTGAGTAATTTAATGAAACAGTTATGTTATGGATTTTTTTCCTGAAATCTGACTTTCCATAATAAAGATTTCACTTTCAAATAGATAGGCCAATTGCACTTTTAATTGACAAGAGCAAGCTTTGCTATCTTTGCTTAACTTGGATTCTCCTGTTCTCTTATGGCTTCACAAGAGAAAACATTTGTTGTGGCAATGTTTGCTTATTTTAATGTTGGGATTTAAAAACCAAGAATGAATGAACTTGATGGCAAAACCTGTTCCTACTTGGTATGATTGTGTATATAAGTTAATCCAGTGGTTGCCCATGGTGCTGTTCTTCCAAGGACAGAGAAGTGCTGTGTCATTCCTTTTGGGCCAAATAGCATTGTATTTCTCAGTGCCTCTCTGCTCCACATATTTCGTGCCACAAATAATAAAAATGTGCTAGAATATTTGACTTTAAATGAAGCTAGGACTATCTTTTAACTCTATGTGTATCCAAGATGTGCAAAGTTAAATCTGCTTCAAGTACCTGCTTGCCTTTGTCTGATTTTGTAGAAACTGAGTAGTATTTATCATATTGTGTGCACATTGAGATGAATTTGCAAATGGTAGGACACTTACGGGACAGTGACCTACAGTGTGTTCTTGGAAGTGAAATGGGAGTTCTGATGCTGGATGACCTGGCCTATCCTGTGCCCATTCATGTAGAGGGTAATTTTTGATTTTGGCCTTACCCATATAGGTTGTTGGGAGTTGCCACTAAACCTCACTTTTGATCACTTTCCTCTATTTACCCTTGTTCTCTTGGCCACAAGGGTGGTTAGTTGTCATGAAATAATTCATGTTTCTAAAATCCAGCCAAGCTATTGAATGAGTGAATTCTTAGTACTGTTGGATTGGATTGGGAGAATTACCAAATTTCCTTTCATTTAAAGGAAAAAAAAAAGCTCAAACTTTATAATTTTTTTTTTTTTTTGAGACAGAGTCTGGCTCTGTCACCCAGGCTGGGGTGCAGTGGCGCGATCTTGGCTCACTGAAACCTCTGTCTCCTGGGTTCAAGTGATTCTCCTGCCTCAGCCTCTAATGTAGCTGGGATTACAGGCATGAGCCACTGTGTCCAGCCTATAAAATGTTTTGAAATCAGTCCTTTATGAGTTTTTCCCCCTTTACTTTATCTCTATTTATTTTGTAAATTATTTTTCCCTTCAGGCAATTACAACTGTTTGTGAAACATGTTTATGATTTGGCTTAAATTTTTTTTTTTAATGTATCTCTTTGATTTTTTTCTCTACATTACCCTTCTCAGTCTTAAAATAAGATGTGTTAACCTGGGAGCTGAAACCTAAGAAATTGCATATAAGAATTTGTGCATTTGTGTGTAAATGTACCATTTTTTTCTCCCCCTGAAAAAGAACCCATATTCTCCAGGGGGCCTGTGAACTTCTTCCTTTGCCTCCACTCTTTAAGGTCCCCTCATTGCTCTAGATTTTAAGCCAGCAGGAGCAGAAAAGTCTTTTGATTTCATACTCTAGATGTAAGGGAAAGAGGCTGGGTTTTGAAATTGCCAGATCTAAGTTTAAACCTTCCACAAATTATCCAGCTGTTCAATTTCCTGTTCAGTAAAATGAGGGCAATATTACCTTCCTCATAAGTTTCCTCTAAGAAATGAATGAAGTAATAAATATAGCTTGGGCCACAAAGTGGGACTCCATCTCTACAAAAAAATATATTAACCAGCCACAGTGGTGTGTGCCTGTAGTCCCAGCTACTCGGGAGGCTGAGATGGGAGGACAAGAGGGCTCCTCAAGGAGCCCAGGAGGTCAAGGTTGCAGTGAGCTATGATCGCACCGCTGCCCTCCAGCCTGGGTGAGGCAGAGAGAGACCCTGTCTCAAAAAAAAAAAGTGAAATGCCTGGCTCCTAGTAGCCGACTATCAGTGACTGACTGATCAATACACAAAGGTACTTCATTGTTCCACATTACACCTTATAATGATTTACTAAGGATTTAAGAACAATAAATTCAGCCATAGTTCTCATAGTTCTCAGAGCAAATAGATCCTCCAAGTACAACTATGAAGGTAAAGTTCTGTGGATTAGTATTAACAGAACACTCCAACACTGCAGGATCACTGAATGAAGCGCCTGAGACAAAGTAGTGTCTTAGGGATCCATTACTGGTGCCAAATAGTGTCTAAGCATCCACAACCTTGAATTCTTTCTGAAACCATTCATTCCTATAGCCTGTTCTCAGGCTGTAAATGCGAGAGATCTTTCTATCAGAAGAGAAGAGGAGGCGCAGTTTAATTCCTCACAAATTAAAGGACTGATAATGCTTTATTCCATAAACATTTTCTGAGCTTTCTCTTCATGCAAGCCCTGACTTGGGTGCCCACCCATCCTGCACAGAATATTACGATAGCAAATTTTCTGAGCTAGAACTCAGTGGTGGGTTCAAATTCTGATTTCTACAACTTACTTGTTTTAGAATTTTGGTCAAATGACTTAACCTCTTTAAACCTCAGTTCCTCATTTGTAAATGGGAGACAACATTCTTTTCATGGGTTTGTTAGGCAGATCACGAGGTCAGGAGATCAAGACCATCCTGGCCAACATGGTGAAACCCAGTCTCTACTACAAATACAAAAATTAGCTGGGCTTGGTGGCACGTGCCTGTAATCCCAGCTACTTGGGAGGCTGAGGCAGGAGAATTGCTTCAACCAGGGAGTCAGAGGTTGCAGTGAGCTGAGATGGCGCCATTGCACTCCAGCCTGGGCGACAGAGCAAGACTCCGTCTCAAAAAAAAAAAAAAAAAAAGGAATTTAATGAGATAACTTAAAGTTCTTAATATATACTTCAACTAAATATTATAAATAAATAGATAAATGTTACCTATTATTATCATTAGAGCTTTCTCAATAGTTGTTTTATTACTGCTCACTGTCACATTTCCTAAAGATTTCTGAAGAATGTTTCACATCATTGTGCTTACTTATTCATTAAAAAAAGACAGCAAACAAAAAGCCTCCCAAAGAAAAACTGAGCATCTTCATAGAGTATAGAAAAAAGGAAACTAGGCCGGGCATGGTGGCTCACGCCTGTAATCCCAGCACTTTGGGAGGCTGAGGCAGGTGGATCACCTGAGGTCAGGAGTTTGAGACCAGCCTGGCCAACATGGTGAAACCCCATCTCTACTAAAAATACAAAAAAATTAGCTGGGTGTGGTGGCGGGTGCCTGTAATCCCAGCTATTCTGGAGGCTGAGTCAGGAGAATCACTTGAACCCGGGAGATGGAGGTTGCAGTGAGCCGAGGTTGCATCATTGCACTCCAGCCTGGGCATCAAGAGTGAAACTCCATCTTAAAAAAAAAAAAAAAAAAAAAGGAAAAAGAAAAGAAAATAAAAAGAAAGAAAAAGAAAAAAGGAAACTAGATCACAGTGTTTGTCAGATTTTATTTAATTTAAATTCTACTTTTTGTCTACTAATAAGAAAGTTGCTCAGTGAAGTCAATGAGTAACTATTGTTGGGTGGTGATTTATTAGTATTTGGATAACCCTCAGAGGTGGTGTTTATTTCCTGGGCTTCTAGCAGTAAGAACTCTCTTATATGTACTCAAGATCAGCTTCTTTCTCTCGTCACCTTGAGAAGAAAATAAAACCCAATGGTTAAGAAAACAGGCATTGGGGTTGGAAATACTGAATAATGTATACACTGTGCTTACAACAGTGCCTGACCCAGTAAGTGTTTCAGATGGGTTAGGTGTCATCTCATCATGGAAATAATACATTATATCTCATTACATTTCTTACAACAATTTTATGGTTTATTTCCTCCTTTGCCATAAAAAGAAGTATGTAACACTCTGTGTTTTCCTGTCACTCTGGTTACTAGGAAACTCAGAGCTAAATTTGATTCCTACTTAACAGAGGATCCAGGTTATATGAAGCCAAAGCTAATTAGATTTTAAGGGATCTCTTTAAGAAAATGAACACAAAGTTAGGTACAAGCGTAAATATTTGTTTTGATGAACTATAGAAATGATCCCTGAAAGTACGGTCTTAATATTTGTTTTCATACGACAATAAATTGTAACAAATTTCAGATTTTAAAAAGGTGACAAATAGTACAAATATCACAAAATCCAGAAAAGCAACTTAATATTTTTCCTAACTGCCTGATGCACCACCATAATAACATCTGATTCCATACATTTCAAGCCTTACTTTCCCTCTACCACATACATTTCTAGTGCCAGCTTCAATGGACACATTCATATGGAAATATGAGCCCTGATCCTGCACCTTCGGGTTGCATGTTGAATGAGTAGGCATTCAAAGTTAGGCATGGGAGGTAGAAATATTTCTGGAAGCTGTTCCTAGATGAGGAGGGCCAGCAATATTTTAACTATATACAGAAGTAGACTGTGAATTGCATAAATACACCCCACTAAACCCAAACTAAGTCTCTCCCCATCTCAATTTCCTCAAAATACCCATTGGTATCCCAATATCATTTGATTTGACAGAAGTGTGATGAAAAGAACATGGGAGTAGAAAGAGAAAAGAGTCTTAATCACTTGAGGGAAAATTTTACAAAACCTCATGATCATGTGAACATATTGTCTGGGCCCCTCCTAGGGAGTGGAAAAATTCTGTGCTTCATCAGTTTCATGGCGACTCTGTCTCTGACCCTATATTAAGCCTGTCTGTGAACTTTCTGCTTGGGCCTACCTCCTAACTATCCTAACCTTATTACTATTTCTTGCTGTGAACGATCTAAAAAATGTTTTGAGAAGCGATATGTGTATATATATGTAATATATGCATATATAAATTAATTTTTATATACATACATATATAAATTATATAATACATATATGTATCTACATATATACATATTAATATAATTTATATTATGTATATACAAATAATATAATTTATACTATTATAATTTATGTTATCTATGTATATACATAGTAATATAATTCATATAATTATAATTATAATTATGTTGTAATATAATATAACGTAATAATTAAATTATATTATAATATAATTATATTATTCATATATATTATATGTTAATTATAATATATATAACATATTATATATGTTATACTTCATATATAATGAGTATTATATAATATAAATATAATAAATATATAATATGAATATTATATAGTATAAATATAAATATTGAATAAATATAAATATTATATAATTATTATTATATATTATATAATAAATATTATTTTATATATTATATAATAAATATATATATTATATAATATATAGTATTTACTATATACTATATATTATATATTATACAATGTACATTATATAATATATAGTATATATAATGTAATAAACAATATATATAATATAAATCATATATTATATGTAATATATTATATATACTATATATTATATATTATATTATATATAATATATCATATAATATATATTATATATTATATAATATATAATATATATTATATATTATATAATTTATTATGTAATATATATTATAATATGTATTATATAATATATTATTTATTATGTAATATGTATTAAAATATGTATTATATAATTTATAATTTATTATGTAATATATATTATAATATGTATTATATAATATATGTTATTTATTATATTATATATTGTAATATAATCTTACAATGTAATAATGTAATATAAATATAATATATATAATATAATATATAATATAAATATTATATAATATAGTATATAATATAAATATTATAATATGTAATATAGTATATAATATAATATAAATATTATAATATAAATATGATATATAATATAATATAAATATTATAATATAATATATCATATAATATATATAATATAAATATTATAATATATCATATAATATATATAATATAAATATTATAATATATTATATAATATATATAATATAAATATTATAATATTATAATATATCATATAATATAATATATATAATATAATATTATATGTAATATAAAATAAATATTATAATATTATGTATAATATAATATATATAATATTATATGTAATATTATATATAATATTATACATAATATTATATATATTATTACATATAATATTATTTATATTATATTATATATAATATATTTATAATATATATATTTATAAATATATAATATAATATATTTATATTATATTATATATTTATAATATATTATATATAATACAATAATATTTATTATATATTTACATTATATTATATGTAATACAATAATATTTATTATATATTTAAATTATATTATATACAATATAATAATATTTATTATATATTTATATTATATTATATATAATATAATAATATTTATTATATTATATAAATATTATATATATAAAAATTATAATATATAATATATGTTATATATTATATGTATATTAGTATATATTATATTATAATATATTATTACATATTATATTATTATTATATATATAATAAATATATTATATATTAATTCTTATATAGAATATATTATTTATATTATATTATATATATTAATTAATATATATAATATATAATTATATTATATATTATATATATTATATTATATATAAATAATATAATATCAATATATTATTATATTATATAAAAATTATATAAATATTATATTAGAAAATATTATAATATTATATAATATAATATAAATATAATAATATTATATAATATAATATAAATATTATAATATTACATAATATAATATAAATATTATAATATTACATAATATAATATAAATATTATAATATTATATATAACATTATAAATATTATAATATTATATATAACAATATAAATATTATAACATTATATATAACAATATCAATATTATAATATTATATATAACAATATAAATATTATAACATTATGTATAACAATATAAATATTATAATATTATATATAACAATATAAATATTATATATAATAATATAAATATTATAATATTATATATAACAATATAAATATAATATTATATATCATAATATAAATATAGTATTATATATAATAATATAAATATTATTATATATATAATATAAATATTATAATATTATATATAATACAATATTAGAATATTATATATAATAAAAATATTATAATATTATTTATAATATAATATAAATATTATAATATTATTTATAATATAATATAAATATTATAATATATAACATATAACATAATATAAATATTATAATATATAACATATAATATGAATATTATAATACATAACATATAACGTAATATGAATGTTAGAATACATACTCTATAACGTAATATGAATGTTAGAATACATACTCTATAACGTAATATGAATGTTAGAATACATACTCTATAACGTAATATGAATGTTAGAATACATACTCTATAACGTAATATGAATGTTAGAATACATACTCTATAACGTAAGATGAATGTTAGAATACATACTCTATAACGTAATATGAATTTTAGAATACGTAATCTATAACGTAATATGAATGTTAGAATACGTAATCTATAACGTAATATGAATGTTAGAATTCATAATATATAATGTAATATGAATGTTATAATATATAACATATAACGTAATATGAATGTTATAATATATAATATATAATGTAATATGAATGTTATAATATATAATATAATATAATATGAATGTTATAATATATAATATAATATAATATAAATGTTATAATATAGAATATATAATATAATATGAATATTATAATATATAATATAATACAAATATTATAATATATAATATAATATATATAATATAATACAAATATTATATATATAATATTATATATAATATAATACAAATATTATAATATATAATATAATATGTATAATATAATACAAATATTATAATATATAATATAATATATAGTAATATAAATATTATATATTATATAATATAAATTTTATATGAAATATTATATAATAGTATTAATATATAATATATATATATTAATAACTTAATTTATATTATTAATATGTATATATGCATATAAATAATATAACTTAATTAATAAAATAAAATAAAATAAAACAGTGACAATAAACCCTTCCTCATTACTATTGTCTTGTAGAAAAGAACCTTGGAATGCATAACAAGAATAACTTCATTCACTATGTGGTAGGCACTGTGCTAAGTGCTTAGAAGACTTATTTAAAATTCACAGAAACCCTGTGGGATAGGTACTATGATCCCCCACCGACATTTTGCCATTGAAAAAATAGAATCTTAATGAAGTTAAATAAGTTGTTCAAGGCTAAGAGGTAGAATAGGAATTTGAACTCAGATCCGCATGAGGATACTTCACTGTCAATAGTGTAACCATATACAATATCTATGTTTTTCCAGGTGTTAGGACAGCAGGACAAATATTCTATAAAATTCTTTTTTGTAAAAATCAATTGTGGTATGAACTTAAATGAAATGGGCTTGAGAAATTTCAGTTCTGAAGACTGACGTAAATTATGATTTTTTGAAAGTCCAATTGCATGGAAAGTAGAAAAAAAAAGCCTTGCTTGTCTCGAAATCAAGAATGTACTCTCTTGGTATTTGAAATGAAATGTATGCTGGGCCGGATGAATCAACTTTGAAATAAATAGTTACAGCAGACTAGATAATTGAGTAAGTTGAAGCTTGTTGAGTCAATTACATCATCTCCTACCAGACATCATCTAATCATTTTTTCCAGAAATGTTAGCACCTACACTGACACATCTACATTCAAACAATGCATACATTTCAAGCCCCTCTTCTTAAACAGGCCCATATATAGTGGGAGCAACCCTCAGTTTACAGCTTTTGCATCTTGTGGGTCCTTTCGCCACTGTATTATTCCATTTTCACGCTGCTGATAAAGACATACCTAAGACTGGGCAATTTACAAAAGAAAGAAGTTTAATTGGACTTACAGTTCCATGAGGCTGGGGAAGCCTCACAATCATGGCGGAAGGCAAGGAGGAACTAGTCTTGTCTTTCATGGATGGCAAGAGACAAATAGAGAATAATGAAGATGCAAAAGCAGAAACCTCTGATAAAACCATCAGACATGGTGAGACTTATTCACTAACACCAGAAAAGTATGGGTGAAATTGCCCCCATGATTTAGTTATCTCCCACCAGGTCCCTCCCACAATACCTGGGAATTATGGGAGTACAATTCAAGATGAGATTTGGGTGAGGACACAGCCAAACCGTATCATTCTGCCTCGGCCCCTGCCAAATCTCAAGTCCTCATATTTCAAAACCAATCATGCCTTCCCAACAGTCCCCCAAAGTCTTAACTAATTTTATCATTAACTAAAAAATTCAGAGTTCAAAATCTCATCTGAGACCACCTCAGCCTGGACCTTATTGTCCCTATCACTGTCAGCATTTTGCACAAAGCCATTTAACAAGTCTTTAGGAAGTTCCAGATTTCCCACATTTTCCTGTTTTCTTCTGAGCCCTCCAAACAGTTCCAACCTCTGCTTGTTACCAAGTTCGAAACTCGCTACCACATTTTCGGGTATCTTTTCAGCAATGACCCACTCTACTGGTATTAATTTACTGTATTATTCCATTTTCTGATAAAGACATACCCGAGACTAGGCAATTTACAAAAGAAAGAGGTTTAATTGGACTTACAGTTCCACGAGGCTGGGGAAGCCTCATAATCATGGCGGAAGGCAAGGAGGAGCATCTCATTTTTCATGGATGGCCGCAGGCCAAAAGAGAATAAGGAAGATGCAAAAGCGGAAATCCTTGATAAAACAAAATCATTATATCTGGCGAGACTTATTCACCATCACGAGAACAGTATGGGGGAAACCACCCCCACGATTCAATTATCTCCCACCAGGTCCCTTCCACAACACATGGGAGTTGTGGGAGTACAATTCAAGATGAGATTTGGGTGGGGACACAGAGCCAAACTATATGAGCCACCAGTCATCACCTCAGTTAATCCATTCACAGGGAGTGGACCTCATAAGGTCCCCCTCAGGATGTTAGATGAATGTATCCTTAGACTCCAAGTTTTCATACTTCAGATACGTTCTCTTTTTCCTTGCAATAGATATTTAACACATGTGGAAACTGAGGCTCAGTGTGATGAGGTAACAAACGTGGGCTTAGGATCCATGGAGCATGGGTTTGTACCAAAATCTGTCTATCTCTGCTTTCCACTTGTTATACAATACCTTAAGCACAGGGCTAGGCAAGCACCAGCACAAGGATCACTGCTTGACCGTAGAGTGCTGCAGCCGGCTGACAGTTTCCCTGTTTCTGGGCTTGGGCCCCTCTCAATTCATCTGCTTCCTCTGGTAATGGGATCATTCTGAGCTCACCAAAAATTCAATAACTGCCTTATCCATGAGAAATGTGGAATGGAACACAATTTAGTATTCAAAAGATGAGTAACTGGAAAAGATTAGGTTTTTAAACAAATGCACATTTTTTCAGTGTTTTTTCTTAAGGTTTTTGTCATAGACTTTCCTTTATTGTAAGGCTATCTGAGGAGAGAAAATAATTTAAAAGAGGTGACATATACTTTTAGTTTTTTTTTTTTTTCATCTCAACTCACTGCAACCTCCACCTCCCAGGTTCAAGCAATCTCCTGCCTCAGTCTCCTGAGTAGCTAGGATTACAGGCACACACCACCAAGCCTGGCTAATATTTGTATTTTTAGTAGAGACAGGGTTTCCCCATGTTGCATGGACTGATCTTGAACCCTTGACCTCAAGTGATCCACCTGCCTCAGCCTCCCAAAGTACTGGGATTACAGGTGTGAGCCACTGAGCCTAGCT
Organism: Homo sapiens; assembly: GCF_000001405.40. NCBI lineage: Eukaryota > Metazoa > Chordata > Mammalia > Primates > Hominidae > Homo > Homo sapiens. Next base: position 70,617,334 of record NC_000004.12, on the reverse strand, counting down.
ACATTTTGTTTTTTAAGAACTAGTTTCCAAATGAGTGGAAGATTTCACCAAAAAGAAAGAGAAAAAGCTTCTCCAAATTGTAGAATCTCAGAGTCAGAAGAAAATGTAAGGGTCATCTAAAGAGCTGTGTCTGTCCTTTCAGTTCCACAGACTTCAAACTTTGAGATCATCCTTGACTCCTTTCTTCTGTCATTCCTGGGCAATCCTGTTAGCTCTGCCTTCAAGATCAGCTCGCTTTGCACATCTCCATGCACTGCGGTTCAATCTTACCACCTTCCTGGTTCCTCTGCTTCTTGCCCCTCTTCAGTTTATTCTCAAACCCCCAGCCAGTGATATTCTAAAAACATAAGTCAGATCATGACCCTTCTCTGGTGGCTCCTTGTCTCAGCCTGTGTTAGAGCCAGTCCTTACAGTACCCACAAGACCCTGTGGAATCTGATCTCACCTCTCTGATGTCCAGCTCCTACTACTCTCCATCCCTCCTCTGTTACAGCCACATGGGCCTTGTTACTTTGGATCATACGAGGCATACAGCTGCCTCAAGACGTTTGCACTGGCTGTGCCCTTTGTCTGGAATACTTTTTCTCAAAGTCTGTATGGCTCATTCCCTTACCTCCTCCATGTCTTCACTCAAATCTGCCTTCTCAGAGAGGGCTTACCTCATGAAAATTATAGCTTCATCATCTTTTTAAATCTCTTTTCTACTTTATTTTTCTCCATTGCACTCATCATCAATTAACACATATTTTCCTAGCTTAAATTTTGTTTTCTGTCTTCTTCCACTGCAACATAAGCTCCATAAAGGCAGGGAGTTTTGTCTATTTTGTTCACTACAGTATCCCTAGCACCTAGAGCACAGCAGGTGCTCAGTAAATATTTGTGGAATTAAATAAAACCTGGTAACTCAGCCCTTTTATTGTGTAGATAAGGAAGTAAATGCCTAGAGAGATAAGTTAATTTTTCTAGGGTATGCACCACTGATTAAGGTTCGTGGGGACGTTGACTTTCAATTTATTGTTCATTTCACTACATCAGAAATTCCCAGGAAATATCACATTCTATGTTTGAGACTCAGTACACCAGGTGATAATGGAGAAGCAGAGAGAGAGAGAAGGAGAGTGAGATAGCGAGAATGAGAGTGTGATACACACTCACATACAGTCAGGGAGATAGAGAAGACAGAGACAAGAACAAAGACACAGAGGATAGAGACAGCCTTAACTGGATTCATAACTCTAGCTGTGGCTCATCCAACTACACCCTCCAGTCCTCCATGTACCATCAGGATTATCAGGATTAATTTTCCCCAAACCAGTAGTAATCCTATAACACCCTTGGTGGTTCCCTGGGAACTACAGAACAAAATGCAACTTTCTTAGCTTGGCATGCAAGTCACCATCGGCCTCCTCCTATTTTCCCCAAAATAACACCACATATTTTTCCCTGACATGCTGATACTCTTGTCATAGTGTTCTGTTTCCCCTCTCCCGATTCTCTGGATCTTTCTACATATTTGTCCATCGGCATGTGTGGTTTATTGAGCCTAGAATTCCCTTTACTTCTTCCACTTGGAATAGTCCCCTATATTTTTTATGAGCCAGCTCAAAAATCCCCTCCTCTTTTGAAACTTCCCCCTTCTTTCCCAGCGGAGTCAGCTTTTCTGTCCTCTGCATGTCCTTTTTCTGGTGCTAACATTTACCACAGTGTCTAGGTTTCCTCATCATGGTATCACTTTGTCTCTAGCGGCTAGTACAGTGCCATACAGTGCCAGGGCCTAGTGGGTACCCAAAATGTGTTAGCTGAATGAATGAAGATCAGTCACAATCACAACAGCTTAACTAACTTTGGTTCTTATGATAAGTGGTTATGGACAATAAGTAGTAGGAGAGCATGTACACACAGCTGGTTATACAAAGTAAAGTTAGGCTACTGCTTACGTAAATCTCTCTCATCACAACAAGCAGTAAATTCTAGATTAAAGCCTCATTAAGTCAGTGTGCGTTGGAGGTTTTTATTGGCAAAATAAAAACCTTTCTTTTCCATGACTATGGAAATTATCCATTTTTAGTTCATTAACTCATTTAGTAAATATTTATTAGCTCACATTCTGTGTCAGGCGCTGTTCTGCAGTCTAGAGATACTGAAGTAAGACAAATGTCATCCCTGCCATCACAGAGCTTATAGGCTAGCAGGGAGGCAGATTTTAAACAAATATTATACAAATAATTAATTTTTTAATAATTGTAATGACAGTTGATATTACATACATCAGTAGCCTAAAGAGCACAATAATGCCTAGTATTTACTGAGCTCTTAAAATGTGTGAGTCACTGTTGTAAATTTTACATATTGAATTTTATTACTACTCTTAACTCTAAGTGTTGGGTTCTATTATTATTATTTTTGTCTTGTTTTCAGATAAAGAAGCTGTGGCACAGAGAGATTAAGTAACAGGGTCACAAACAAGAAAGGGTAGAATTGGGATTTAAACTGCCATGCTATATTGCTGTTTGGCACTTGCATAAGAAGAAATGTTTTCAAGTTCTAATGAAACCAGGCATGGAATGCAGGTTAATTTACATGTTCCCCCCACCCACCTGTTTAATTAATTAATTAATTTTGTTTTATTTTTATTTCATTGACACTGGCTCTGAACTGACACCCCCACCTGTTTAACACCATGACTAGGAAGGTGCTTCAGAATGTGGCAGAAAGTAGTACAGAATACTGGACTGGAAATGTTTCAGTCAAGGAGGCATCAGGCAGTCTTCTGATTATGGGTCTCATATTCCCCTCTGAGCCAAAGAGTAAGTTATTTAGCTTCCTCAGCATGCAGTGTTTTTTTTTTTTTTAATGTGTGTGTTTGGCAGTTCATCTCAACTTCTCAGTTTTGAAATCTTTGCATTCAAATGTCACTTCCCCAGAGCACTCTCCTTGACCCTGCCAACATCCCTTCTCCCTCTCTTACTTCATTCAGTTTAGTTTCTTTATAGGGCTTATTATGACCTGACATGGAACACTAGATCTGGTGTTTTGTTTACTGTTTTCCTAATGCCTGGAACAGTGCTTGGTACGTGTGTTCGCTTCAATCGTTATTGAACAAATGTATTCTCCAGGAAACTGGGATAGGTAACAACTCTTAGAACCAGGATGGGATCTTTCACAACAATATATACACTTGGCACTGACAATTCCAAAACTGCCAAACAGAGGCAAAAGCTATGTCTTCTAGAATCTGCTGTTAAAGGGAAAGCTACATTTCATAAACTTGACTTGAAAGTAGCTGACTTGGCATAGTCGGGCATTGGGCGGATATGAAAGAAAGCCCTAGAGATCCAAGACAGTGAGATAGTCTCTACCAGGATTTCTTTCTTTCATTTTTCCTGAGGAGGAGGAATAACAGTAGCCACCCATGGAAGTGCTGAAGCTTCTGTCTTCTGGGAAACTGTCCTCTTTGCTTCTTGGAGGCAGCACAGCCCTAGACAGTCACATTGAAAGATACCCAAAGCGTGCTAGACATATAACTTCAGGGTTGATCTTTTTTATGTCAGTTTTTCCAAAACACATCTTTAAATAACACCCATACATTTCTAGTTTGTGAATAAATTAGAATGCAAATCCACATTCACTCTGAAAAACCCACGGTCATTTCCTTCTCTGTGCTCGCTAGAGCTTATCTTTAAGTAATTATCAAACCGGTTGTTAGGCGCGGGTCTCCAGCTGGAAAGCTGCTGAACCCTGGGGAAAGATGAAAGTGCAGGGAGACAGCTGAAGGCATCAGCAAAAGTTATTATGACAAACAGCTTTATAATAATCATTCCTCAAAGCTGGAATTTGTGTTTCTAACGTCTGGCTTCTGTGAAGTGTGGTTGCTGCTGTTTCTACTTTACCCCCAGTCTCTAATGTTTATGGAAGAAAGAAATCAACTAAACTTCTGGTTTGATCTTTCTCTTTGTAAAATGCAGCAGTCTGTCTGTTGATGTCACTTGACTGGTAGCCACATACTGTCTATAGAAGTCAACTTTTTTAGTACTGAGAAGTTTTGGAAGGAAGAGAAACACACTTAGAAGTTCAAAGCTTTTATGTGTTTAAGACTCATTTTCCCAAAGACAATGTTATTGAGTTCTAGAAAAATTCAGACACTTAGCCTGGGTCAGTTTAAATATTTGCTTCATCTTGTATAACACTCCACATTGGTGGGTATTTAAATGATTAGATGAGGGTTGCTTAACTTTAGGTCCGTGAATGAACTTTAGGCTGTCTGAGTAATCGCTGACATTGTAGGCAGAATTTTACGTGTTGTTTCCATTTACGTTTTTGGGAATAATAATTCACAGCTTTCATTAGGTTCTCAAAAGAATACTTCAGTGCTGTGGAGGATCTGTGTGGACGAGTGACAAATGGGAAATCCAGAGGCTTGGGTTCTTCTGCCTCCAATAGCAGCCAAAACTTCAAAAAAGACCTTACTCTTCTGGACTTTTAGTCTCCTCACCCATAAATGAGGAGGTTGAATTAAATCAATCAATGTTTTCCCAAAGTTCATTCATGTACATAGTCATTTATGGACTGTCTTTATGATTATTGCCATATCCAATCACAACCTGTTCTATTTACTTAATATTTTTTCTTACATCTCATCACTTAAGAAAATCTATTTTAAAAGAAATCTGTTTTGTGCGTCTGTAAATGGAAAACCAGCATCACATGAGGTAAATTTTAAAAATGTTATTAATTTACTACATAAAGATTATTGTCTTTACACCAATGGTAGGTGTGCCACACCTGACACATTGGCATAATGGATGTACAGTCATACCTTGGTATCTGTGGGGGATTGCCAGGACCTCCCTGAGGATACCAAAATCTGCAGATGCTCGAGTCCTTTATATAAAATGAAATAGTATTTGCATATATCCTATGTACATACTCCCAAATACTTTAAGTCAACTCTAGATTTCTTATGATACTTAATACAATGTAAATGCTCTGTGAATAGTTTTAACACTGTATTGTTTAGAGAATAATGACAAGAAAAACAGTCTGTACATGTTCATTGTAGATCCAATGACATTTTTCATTTGCAGTTGGTTGAATCCACAGATGAAAAACCCCTGGATATGGAGGGCTGACTGTATTGCATTTACTCCTCTAGATTCACTCTTCACCCTTTTCTACTCAGAAGAGCCCAGACAACGCTTTCTTCACTAAGGCATTAAGAAACGAAGACTGTAGTTTTTCTCTGTGGACCAGATATGATAACGAGGGATGCTGCTTTTGAATTTCAATGGGAAAAATAGGAGTCTGAAATAGTAGACAGAGGCCAGGGGGTGGTGCTTATCTTTCAGAGACAAGGATGCAATGACCAATAAGCCACAGGATGGAATGCTAAGCAGCATGTTTTGACCAATAGGGTTCTGTATGATGGCTACTTCATCACAGGTCTATAGGAAAAAATAGATAGACATCCTGTCCTACATTGATTGTCCACTTTCCGCTTGACATAAATGTGCTGCTTGACATAAAAAGACAAAAAAAAAATTCTACATTCACTGAGCCTAACTCAAATTGCTGTGGTGGGATGTATAGTTTCTTATCTAGTTTCCAGACCTAAAGCCCCTCAACTGAGGGGACATCAGGTTCCTATGAGGAAGAACCTTGAAATGTGGCCAAATTGTATACCATGATAGTTTCCCTAAGCCACTATCAGAGGGACCTGAGGCAATTAAGTAGGGAGAATGTGTAAGATGGGGGGTTATTAGGAAGTGGTTCTGAACCTTAAAAGCCTCATATTTACTGGTTAAAGCTTATAGAAGTAAGATGAGAAACAGATTTTTTTTTTTTTTTTTTTTTGAGATGGAGTCTTGCTCTGTCACCCAGGCTGGAGTGCAGTGGCGCGATCTCGGCTCACTGCAACCTCCACCTCCTGGGTTCAGGCAATTCTCCTGCCTCAGCCTCCTGAGTAGCTAGGATTACAGGCACACACCACCACACCCAGCTAATTTTTGTATTTTTAGTATAGATGGGGTTTCACTATGTTGGCCAAGCTGGTCTCAAACTCCTCACCTCAAGTGATCCACCTGCCTTGGTCTCCCAAAGTGCTGGGATTACAGGTGTAAGCCACTGCACCCGGCCTTTTTTTTAATTTATTTTTTATTTTGATCTTTATTTTTTGAGACAGGATCTCACTCTGTCACCCAAGCTGGAGTGCAATGGCGTGATCACAGCTCACTGCAACCTCCACATCCTGGGCTCAAATTATCCTCCTACCTCAGCCTCCCAAGTAGCTGAGACCACAGGCAGGCACCACCATGCCTGGCTAATTTTTGTATTTTTTTGTAGAGAAGGGGTTTCACCATGTTGCCCAGGCTGGTCTCTAACTCCTGGGCTCAAGCAACCTGCCAACCTCAGCCTCTCGAAGTGCTGGGATTACAAGCATGAGCCACTGCATCCAGCCCAGGAATAGATATATATAATAATCCCACAATGATTCTTATACCAATGGAATAAAAGTTATAGTAGGAAGAGCCAAGTGTAAGGAAGCCCCTGGAACTGTACACCTTCTTCCTTACTCCCAACAAGATAGCAAGTCTTGTAGGGAGAATTGCAGAGATTAGCATTATGATAGAAAACTTGGAAGATACAGAAAAGGTGTCCTACCACCTCCCCATTTAACTCACCTGTCTGGCTGGTGGAAAAGCTAAATGGGTCATGAGGAATTACAGTGGATTGTTGCAATCTTAATCAGGTGATGATGCCAGTTGCAAATGTATTTCCAGACGTGATAACTTTATTGGAGCAAATCAGCATAGCCCATGGCACCTAGTATATAGCTAGTGATCTGGTAGCTGTTTCTTTCTGTTCTAATCAGTAAGAAACATCAGAAGTAATTTGCTTTTAAAAAACAGGAACAATGTAAATTTATACTCTCTTGCCCTAGGACTATGTCAACTCTCCTGCAATCTAGCCTAACAGTCCTGAGGGTACTGGATCTTCTTTATATTCCATAGAACATCATGCCCATCCAGTACATTGAAGACACAATGCAACAGGATTGGATTAACATGAGGTAGCAAGCCAGAGGGTAGAAGATAAACACCAAAACATTAACGGTGCTAACAACATTTCTAGGGGTCTAGTAGCCTGAGGCATATTGGGATAGCTAAAGTTGTTTCCAAGTTGTTGCATCTTGTACCACCTTACAAAAAGAAAGAAGCACAATTCTTGTTGGACTTCTTTGTGTTTTGAAGGTAAAGTATACCACATATTGTATAACTCAGAAGGCTGGACATTTTGAGTAGACAGAACATGAAAGGGGTCCATCCTTGTTACTTGGGCATTATGACCCAGAAGACTCAAATGTGTTGGAAGTATCTGCAGCTGTATGAGACTTGTGGCAAGCCCCGATAGGAGAATAATAGCACAGAACCTTAGGGGTTTCTTTGTGAAAAAGTAGTTTTTGCCTTGCTACTGGATTCCACTAGACACAATATGCCTGACTATGGGATGCCAAATGATTGTTATTTGAGTTGCCCATCTTGAACTGTGTGATATATGATCAACTGAACCATAAAATGGAACATAACAGCATTTTATTTTAAATGGAAACATATATGATATCAGGCTCCAGCAGGTCTGGAGGGCTCAGTTAGATTGCACCAGTAAGTGGTTTAGACTTCCATATACTTCCTCTTGATGAGTATGTTCCTGGCTCATGGATTTCTGTATGGTATTCTGGCATCAGCAGAAAGTAGACAATCAATGTACTACAACCCCACTCAATGAGCAGAACTTTAAATGGAATTTCTGGTTATCTATTTTGTGTAGAAGGAGACGATGGCTTGTGATACAGATCTACACTGACTCAGGGTTAGTACCAGATGGGTCACCTGGTCAGGGACTTGGAAAGAATAAAATTGAAAGATTGGTGATAAGGAGGGTCTAGAAGACAGGTTATCTGGACAGTCTTCTCAGAATGGGACACAGTATGAAGATTTTTTTTTTTCTCATGTAAATGCCTGGTAGAAGAAAACCAAAGTAGAGGAAATTCTCAATAATCAATATGGCTTCTTCTGAGAGTGACATTTAGCCTCTTTCCCTGGCCACCTTGGTGTTTGCCCAATGGTCCAGTATTTGAAGTGACAATAGTGGCAGGGATAGATGTTATTCAACGACTCAACAACATGTTGTCTCCCCTGCAAAGTTGATCTGGCTATTACCATTATTATTATTATTGTTATTTTTTGAGATGGAGTTTTGCTCTTGTTGCCCAGGCTGGAGTGCAGTGGCGTGATCTCAGCTCACTGCAACCTCCGCCTCCTGGGTTCAAGCGATTCTCCTGTCTCAGCCTCCTGAGTAGGTGGGATTACAGGCACATGCCAGCACACCTGGCTAATTTTTGTATTTTTAGTAGAGATGAGGCTTCATCATATTGGTCAGGCTGGTCTCAAATTCCTGACCTCAGGTGATCCGCCTGCCTCGGCCTCCCAAAGTATGGGACTACAGGTGTGAGCCACCGCACCCGGCTGCTATTACCATTATTAAGTGTCCAGATGATCAGTAAGAGAGACTAACTTTGAGCCCCTGCTGTGGCAAGATTCACTGGGGAAACCAGCATGTGTGTCTCACAAAAGCATGCTCTGAATTGCAAAGAAGGACCAGCAGGGCAATGGTTGGAGTGTTAATGGAAAAACACAAATTCATCAGATAATGGGAACAATTCCATTCTTCCACTGTTGCTGCTGCTGTTTTGCTGAATACTCTTTACCAAAAGGATCAGTTGGAAAAGAAGAAAACTGCTATGATTCAGCAGTTTCATCTGTGAGCTTTATCTCATTTCATTCTCATAACAACTCTCTATGCTAGGTCGTAGCCCCATTATAGAAATGAAAACACAGGCACAGAGAGATTAAGTTTCACATCGAAAGTCACATGGATAATAAGATGTGATACCAAAGTTTGAACCCAGATCTGTTTATATGTATTGTACCATACTGCTTTTCAGGAAACTGTCTGCGATGCTAAGATAGATCTCAGTGGGTATCTGCTGGCTACTATGGAGGTCATTCTCCTACCCTCGCACCTTTGCCAGGGACACTAGGGGAGGCAAACTGAAATTTTTCTTCTGTATCTCTCTTTCAGCTGCAGTTGATGGAGTGAGGATGAGCAGAACCCTGCTTAAAGAGAGGGAGGCAATAGGTGGTGGCTACATGCTCCTGGTAAGCCTCCTGAAGTCCCCAGGTTGGGAGGCATCTCAGGGCTCTTTTTTGTGGGTTGCATCTACGGAATCTCCATCAATGGATGTAGAGAAGTTTGAGTTTCATGGAGTCGAAGACCTGGGTTGGGCCACTTAGGAGAAGGTGAAGAGAAGGGGGTAGGAGGCTACTTTGTAGGAGTGACCAGATCTGGGCTGGGAGCCCTTTAATTTAGGTGTATAGCTCTGCTCGATACAACCTAGCCCTGGTGACAAGCAAGGGTCATTTTCTGCATCCCCCTTTCCCACATTATATTTCACAGGAATGAGCTAATTTTCACATGACACCCACATGGCTCTTTTTCTGTTTCTTCCTCTTGGAGAGTGAGGGCTCTCGCTCTTGAAACCGTTTCTAGAAACTGTTCTGAGAAAACTTGTCTGATTCCTCCTAGACTCTCCGATGACCCTCAGGCTGGGTTAGGCACTTCTTCTCTGTGGCTCCAGGGGCACCCTGTGCTTGGCCTTTTCATAGCACTTTTCACATGTGCTGTGGGGTTGAGTGTATCTATTTCACAGTATTGTTGTGGGATAATATATGTAAAGTAATTGAGCTTGGTCTAGGGTTTTGTTATGGTGATTGTCTACTTGTCAGTCATGTCCATTGTAAGCTTTGAAGGAAGGGACTGTATCTTTGATACCTTGCACTGCACCCAGGACATGAATATTCAGTAAAATTCTGATGAAAGAATGAATGAATTGAATACAATGAATTAAAGAGAAGCAAAGGTAGAGGATGAGTATGCTTTTCTTGAACCATTTAAATCTATATAAATAATAAGCATACAATTCCTGATAATTTCAGTGAGAAAAATTCTTTATTTAAAATAGGCTAGATTTTTTATACTAGATTAAATAAAATACTCTATAAATGAGAATTTTAAATTAAATTATACCAAACCCAGTAATACCAGTCAGGAGTTTTCCACCAATCCCCATTTAATAAAGTTTAAATGAATTAGCTTAGAATTATGAGGATATTTGCCTTTGCTTAGAGAAAAAAGCAGTGCCATGTTTCCTGAATATAATAGTGTCATGCTGGTAAGAGAAATTCTATAATGCTTAAGACAGCTAAGAAAAAGTGATGATCAAATGCTGAGACCCTTAGAACCTTGCTCTGATGTTATTAATAGTGTTTCTAAATCACAGAGACAATTGACACATTTTATTTCAACAAGATATTGAAAGCAAGAAGGGGACCTACACTATTTCTAGCCACTTGCATTTATTAATATATGCTTAGCGCTTTTAATGCCTTTGCTGCAGAAGGGTAATAAGTGTTTTAGCAAAAAGGTACACTGTGGGGACAAAGCTGGGAAGCTTGTGCATACAGAAAGTAGCTAATATCTTAGAGCTGTCAGGGCTCTTGGAAATGCCATGCGTCATGCATCATCTCGGGCTCCTGGGCTTTGTTTCCTGGCATGGATGTTTGCAGAGAGTTTGGGGCCATCGTGGTATCCATGGTTGCTTCTTCCTGGAAATCCACGGATGTGGTCATGTCAGCATCGTAGGTCCTATAAACATCAGCTAATTCAGGGGTCATCAGTGGGTCAGCAGCTGCTGGGGTGACGCTGGGGAGTCCCTTCATCTTCCCTGAAGGGCTCCTTGGCAGGCCGGGAATGTCATCCTTAGGGAGAGCAAGGAGCCCTGCGTGGGGAGCAGGTTCTAGCTCTGTAAGGAAAGCTGGGTTTTCTAGATTGTCTGGGTTGGCCTCCGGCATAGGGGAGCCTTGTGCACCTCCTTCTTCGTTCTCAGGGCCTTTGGTGGCAGCCACTGGGGAGTCAAATTCCAGAGTGAAGTCACCGCCCATAGCTGGGTTGTGGGGCATTCCCTCAAAGCCGGGCCTCATGCCTCCAAATCCTGGAAACATGGCTCCATAGGCCATTGGGTCTTCTCTCCCGCCCTGGAAAAAAAAACATTCGTCAAAGATGCCATCATCACATGCTATTAACTATACCATGCAGCTATACCTGGTCACATTCACCAAGGATCTCTAAAAAACTGGTGGAGAATAGGAAGTTGGCTGATTGATAGCTTTGTGTAAGCTCATTTCTCACTAAACTGGCTTTGAAACATAATGAAGAGGATTCTGCACTTATCTGGGTGGATCTCGGCATGATTTCCGTAAAAGGGAGATAACAGGGCAGAAGCAAGACTTGAGGCAAAGGTGAGTTTGAATTTAATTTTAAGAAAACAAGCAGTTGAAATGAGTACTACCATCACAAAACAAATAAGAACTGAAATTCATAACTGCATTTGTTGAGCGAGAATCTTGTCAATGGCATTTTTCAGTGTCCCCCAAATGAAGTTCCATGTACTTTTTTTTTCTTTTAGGGGTCTCATTATACGGCCCAGGCTGCTGGTCTAGAACTCCTAGGCTCAAGTGATCTTCTTGCCTCAGCCTCCCTAGTAGCTGGGATCACAGGGGTGAGACACTGCACCCAGCTAAGACTTTAATTTTTTTAAAGCACAAAGTTTAAGAAAAAAAATGTGACTTCCCTGGAGTAACTAAAATATTTTCTTCTTGTGGACAAATAGAATACCAGCACTGACCATGTTTCTTTTTCTACCTTTGCTGCCAGAAATATGGGGTCCAAAATCTTAGGCTGTTTGTAGCAATTGAGCAGGCCTGTGTGACTTGCATATCTGTATTCTGATTTTCTTGAAATTATGACTCATTTTAAATCCTACTTTCAATTTTTTGTTATATTTATTGTGTGTTTTTCATAAGCTCTACAAAATCTTTTGGGAATGAGGCAGAATAGAAATAATTAATACTATGTGATGGCAATTAACACTTACTTGAATTTTGAACTTCCAGCCACTTGTATTGGTGCTATATAGATACAATACTCTTTCCTTCTCCTTTCTCCTGACTCTTCATTCTCTCTCAGCTTTCACATCATCTCCTCCAGGGATGATACTGTGAATCCCTGGACTGGGCTAACTGCCCTTCCTCTCTGACTCTTTCTCTCTAATAAAATTGTTATTACTTTTAGCCCATGATTTTGACATTAGGTATCTGCCCTTGTACCTATCTTTTCCATTCATTAGACTGTAAGTTCCTTGAAAACAAGACTTTTTTTTTTTTTTTTAAGGCAGGGTCTTGCTCTGTTGCCCAGGCTGGAGTGCAGTGGCGTGATCTCAGCTCGTTGAAACCTCTGCCTCCCAGTTTCGAGTGATTCTCCTGCCTCAGCCTCCTGAGTAGCTGCGACTACAGGCTCGCGCCACTAAACCTGGCTGATTTTTGTATTTTTAGTGGAGACGGGGTTTTACCATGTTGGCCAGGCTGGTCTCAAACTCCTGATCTCGGGTGATCCATCCGCTTCAGCCTCCCAAAGTGCTGGGATTATAGGCATGAGCCACTGCGCCCAGCCAAAAACGAAAATCTTACCTTGTCTTGTTTACAGTATTTTCCTATGTGTGTGGCACATGGAAGGCACACAAAAATACTGAGATGTAATTTTTCTTTCACAGATAATATGTGTGTGTGTTTGTTAACTTGACAGGATCTGTAGTTGACAGTGATTTGTTAATTCAATATAGCTTTTGTTTTGTCTTGCCTTGTGCTCTAACAGATGTAACAGGCAAAAATTTTCTTAGGGAAAAAGTCAAGTTGTATGACTTTATTGATCTCAAATCTTAAACTTGCATGGATAATGATAACATAATAAGAGTATATGCTCATTGACAATGCACATTGACATTTATAATAATCACATTTTAAACTTGGTTTTCTTTTGCTTTTTGATCTTTCAATTTTGAGATCTGAATTACTTGTAATGCTGTTGAATTTGATGTTTTGAGGGGTTAAATGGTCCCAGAAAGAACAAGAACTCTGTATGAACCACGTGTATCCTTTTGGTTTGAAGTGTTTATAGTTCAATGACGGCCTTTCAAGGGGAGTTTTCTCCTCTGTTCATCTACAAGCAATGGGGCAAAACTCTATGCTCAAGAATAGTCATCACCCAGAAATGAAAGATTACATAGGAAACATGATGAAATCTTTGGATATTGCTTCAGAATTAAGCTTAGTTTTTGGAGTGGAAAAATCTGAGTCCCATGCTCATTTGGCTACATTCATGGCAGACGTCTCTTGCAGCCAGTCATAAGTGACTGTTCTTCCCTGGCCACTATTTTAAGAAGAGTTAGAAGACATTACTCACTGCCACTTCTTCTGAACTCATGATGCCAAGTCTGGCAGGGGCATTCTGTTCAAAAAGAAATATTGCGTCAAATTACGAACCAGCTACCTTCTTATCTACTCAAGACAAAGTTAAAAGTTATTTAGTTTTCACTTAAACCTTAATATTAATGCTGTGTACAGAGGCAAAGTGGAGAGGTGAGTCATTATGGAATAAATGTAGTCAACTCGGATAATTCAGATCTAAAATTTGTTTTTTCTTTAATACCCTTGTGTGCGTGTGTGTGCGTGTGCGTGTGTGTGTGTGTGTGTCTGGCCAAGATTATCCAAATAGGAAGTTTGCCTCCTTAATATTTCAGTACTAATGTAGGTGTTCAGAGAATGTTTATTTGGAATCTCTTGTGTGAGACCTAGATTTTTGAATTTTAGCTCTTAAGATAAAATTTAATTAAAAACAATACTTTTTATAGAATATGGACTTACCAATTGATTTGCTCCAAAAGGCACGTACAACATTCCTGGATAAAGCTAAATAAAATACAATCATTATCACAAAATGCATTTTCCAATGGAAAAACTTTTAAGTAAATTGCAAACAGAGATGTGGTATTAAAAAAAACTTACTGGAGATTGTTTATTTTGTGGCATTGGTCCGTGAGAAATCAAACGGGCTATTTGGAAAATCTTTAAATGGTAGAAAACAGAATAAGTAATTCTCACAGGCACATCCCCATAACAGTAATTTTTGAGGTATATGAAACACATTTTCAGATGGATTAGTATAGAAAATAAGTATTTAATATTTAAGAGAACAAAGGAACCCATTATACTTCATATTCATGGATAAATGGGACAATGAAAAAATTCACTCTTATTTTTTGAAATATAGAGACAGTTTTTGCAAGACAGTGTCTCATTGAGATCTGTACTTACTGTTGAACCTTGTGGATCAGCAAAATCCAATCCTGGGAGCTATATTACAGATAAATATTAAAATTATCAGTCAAAAAAGGAACAAAATAGATAAATGCAAATAAAAGATAGACAAAGTGAACAAATAAAAATAAAAATAAAAAATAGAAGTGTCTCACTGAGATCTGTACTTACTGATGGACCTTGTGGATCAGGAAAATCCATTCCTGGGAGCTATATTGTAGATAAATATTAAAATTATCAGTAAAAAATGAACAAAGTAGTTAAATACAAATAAAAATAAAAAAGTGAACAAATAAAAATTAAAAAATAAAATACAGAAAGTGTCTCATTGAGATCTGTACTTACTGATGGACCTTGTGGATCAGCAAAATCTACTCCTGGGAGCTATATCACAGATAAATATTAAAATTATCAGTCAAAAAATAAACAAAATAGACAAAGTGACATTAAAAATAAAAAAATAGACAAAGTGAACTGATCACATCCTTATCTTGTTTACAATTACAATAAAACAATTAAAATGAGTTTCATTATTTTACTTTCTTTTAGTGTTTTGGGAGGTATGACCCAAGAGTTTGCAATGGTCTTTTACTAACATTACTCAAATGTACCTGCAGGGAGATGAGGCACATCTATCATGGCTTTGCTATCTCTTGCAGATTAGAAAGTAATGAATTTTGGAACTGGAACATACCTGGTTGGTTTGAACCCTGGCTCTGCCACTTAATTTTTGTGTACTCCTGGGCAAATTTTGTAACTTCTCAAAATCTGTCTTCCTTTCTTTAAAAAGGCTGATAATATATATTTTTATAGGATTGTAGGCAGGGTGATATGGGGGAATGATAAATGCCCACAACATACTGGTTACTTGGTACCTTCATTTTTTTTTTAATCCATTACACTTTTCTCTACATTATTACAAGATACTTTTTGCATAGTGGTCACCTCTTTGTCAGAGAGATAATAATGCAAAATCCTACTTGTTATGCTGAGGGATCAATCACTTTTTTCAGTTTTTCCAATACCAAAAAAGACCAGTGATAGGAAACCTGGACTTCTCTGGGGTTTTATTCTATTTCCTATGGGAGTTTTCATCTTTCGCAACTAAGAAACCCAGTTTTATAGGCACAGTATCTTTTAGAATCCATGCCCTGTCTCTGATGGCAAAAGATAGGAATGGATATTTACGTTTTACTCAAAAAATAAATCTCAGATGTGGAAGACTGATTAAGAATATATTTATATCACGTATTATGCCTGAAGGCTACGATTATTTAAAAGTGCCCTGCAAATTCGTTTTCTTCTATTAGGTTAGCTGGTGATTCTGATCTGACTTCAAGAGAAAGGAAGTACCTCAGGCTTTGGTGGCTTATCTGATGGTGCCACCTGCTGCTGAACCAGAGGCAGTTCTCCTTCCTGCAAGGGCAGATGTCCCAGGTGAATTGGAGGCTGAAGTGCTTCTTTCAGTGCTGTGGCCTGGTTGGTGGTTGCAGCAGCAGACTGGAGAAAAGGTTTCAGTCCTGGCTGTTGAGGCTTCAAGGATGGCTGTGATGGGAGAGGTGGGGGATGCACAGGCAAAGAATATTCATACTGCAGAGAAATTTGAAAAGAGTGTTAGGAAGGGATGGCTCATTAAACAACGGTGCCTAGAATTTCTAAACAAAGGGGCTTGGGGCGCTTTCTATCTGGAAGGGAGGCTAGGAGACTTGTCTTGAAGTTGAGTTTACATAGCAAGCACCAGTTAGTGTTAATGTTGTTTGGGGAGGTCTTGTGTGTGCCTCCCCTACCTCCTTTGGGACCACCATTGCTCGTAAAGGTGAAGCTACATGAACCTCCTGGTAGGATGAGTCATGTCCTTCTCTAAGTTCCCATAGCTGTCTGTATGTATCTGTATCTTTATTTTACCACTTTCTCACTGGATGATAATTATTTGTTATAAATCTTTGTCCCCCAGTCAACGGAGAGAGAATGATATGTTTTGTTTTTCTTTATAGCCCGTGTACATAACATAGCTCCTAACAAGTGCCTGGCCCATGGTGGGTGCCTAATATATTTTTCGAGTTAATGAAAGGATAAAGGGTAATTAATTAAAATGCCAATCAAATTCTTGCATCATGGAGTCCACTTTGGAAACAATTAAGTTAAGAAACAGTCACCATTAACATAATTTATTGTTCTACTGAATGTGACCTCGTGGTAATGCTCCTGCTGTGGAAGACCGCCTGGAACTAAAATTCCCTGTTAAATCTTGGTTCTGAGTCCATATATTAAACGAAAAAATTCCCCGTTAAAATCACCATGTTTTGTTACTTCTTGTAGAAATTACTTTTGGTGAATGGCTCCCTATTGTTTGTAGATTGATTGTAAACTCCTCAGACCAGCAAGGAAGTCTCGCAACAATTTGGGGCTCTGCTTTGCCTCTCCAGCCATCACCCCTCTCTGAGCTCACGCAGTATTCATTACTCACATGTCACAATTCAGCACTTTGAAATATGTTGTCTTGTCCTATCTGAATCAGATAAGATGAAATTTCACAATCCTTGGAGCCATTCTTAAATGTCTTCGCTTTTACTACCAAACCACAATTTGGTTTATGTATTTATTAGGCACCTAATCAATAATGGTTAACAGATTGATATATTTATTGACTTCTGTAGGGTTCATGATGTTTTTTTTTTTTAAATTTCTTAATTTTTTTTGAGACAGAGTCTCACTCTATTGCCCAGGCTGGAGTGCAGTGGCACAATCTCGGCTCACTGCAGCCTCTGCCTCCCAGGTTCAAGCTATTGTCCTGCCTCAGCCTCCTGAGAGTAGCTGAGATTACAGGTGCCTGCCACCATGCCTGGCTAATTTTTGTATTTTTAGTAGAGACGGGGTTTCACCATGTTGGCCAGGCTGGTCTTGAACTCCTGACCTCAAGTGATCCACCCACCTTGGCCTCCCAAAATGCTGGGATTACAGGCGTCAGCCATCGCACCTGGCTATGGTATTTTAACCAGGATTATTGTCATCATTTGAAATCAGCCTTTGAGGAATTATTTAGGAAATCTTGATTCAAATGAAAATTGTCCAGGATGTAGCCTGCTTTGATTTTCGAGGATTGTTTACTGATATCTTTAATATAGGTCTCATATTTTGGAGGCTGTATCTTCCTATTTTAAATAAATATGCAAATAGTTTTAAATTTAAAAATATTTCTTAAGCGCTAAAAGCAGTTATAGGCTTCGATTTATTTGGCACGAGAATAATTTTTTGTTAATGCTAGGACTTGGCTGTTTCTAATATATCATAACTTAAAGAAGGCAAGTAAGAAGAGGTTTTAAAGCCTGAGGTTTCAAACATATTGATGCTATTCACTCACCTGTTGAGTTTCATGTTCTCTTGGCCTCATCCATGGAAGAGAGGAATGTGGTGGGAGGAGACCGTGCATCCACAAAGAATTAAATGATTTTCCAAAGCCGTATCTAGAATACTAAAGACATGGATAAAAAAAGACATGCTTATATTTAAATGTTAAATATAACATTGGTTATATTTGGTTTTCCTTTTCCTTTTTCTTTTTTTTTTTGAGATGGAATCTTGCTCTGTCGCCAGGCTGGAGTGCAGTGGCGCAATCTCAGCTCACTGCATCCTCCACCTCCCGGGTTCAAGCGATTCTCATGCCTCAGCCTCCTGAGTAGCTGGGTCTACAGGCACGCACCACCATGCCCAGCTAATTTCTGTATTTTTAGTAGAGACGGGGTTTCACCGTGTTGGCCAGGATGGTCTTGATCTCTTGACCTCATGATCCGCCCACCTTGGCCTCCCAAAATGTTGGAATTACAGGCGTGAGCCACTGCTCCTGGCCTGGTTTTCATTTTCTAAAAAATCAACACATAGCATAAATATAGCAAAAGCAAAAGTGATGTTGGTTAATTTAAAATGGATAGGTATGGCTGGACGTGGTGGCTCACGCCTCTAATCCCAGCACTTTGGGAGGCCGAGGTGGGTGGATCACCTGAGGTCAGGCATTCGAGATCAGCCTAGCAACATGGCAAAACCCCGTCTCTACTAAAAAATACAAAAATTAGCCTGGCGTGGTGGCAGATGCCTGTAATCCCAGCTACTTGGGAGGCTGAGACAGGAGAATTGCTTGAACCCAGGAGATGGAGGTTGCAGTGAGCCGAGATCATGCCATTGCACTTCAGCCTGGGCAACAGAGCGACACTCTGTCTAAATAAATAAATAAATAAATAAAAATAAAATAAGTAAATCAAATGGGTAGGTGAACTCTTCCTTTCAATGAACTTAAATTTCGTTTTGAGCTAGTCTGCAATATTTGCATAAATTGTTTGAGATTTAGCTTTTTAAGCACTTGTGTTTTGTGCCACATAATAAAATTAATAATGCAGGAAAAGATTCTTTTCTTAACTCAATAAAATTCAATATTGTTTTTGTTTTTCCCTGTCACTGTATCTTATTTTGTTTTAGGCTCTCATTTACTTCTTGGTTCTTCCAATCTTTAGTATATTGTCTATTCATAAATAAATTTGATGAATTATAATGCTGCTGCTAATATTAACACTACCACCACCATGAATACTTGCAATAAGAAATATGATTACCTGAGAAAGTGTGTTTAATCTCTGCAGACTTCCCAACTGTCTCATTGTCTATCAAGAAAAAAAAGTGGGTTACTGTTTATCGCATATGCTGTGTTTGACACAACTGATTTCTCATGATATTTGACATTATCAACACAAAGTTTGGTGTGAATCAATTTAATAAAATGAAAGTAGACACAAATCATCACTGAAAGGTGGAAATATTAAATTTGGTTCTGCCATTGTTATTATTATTGCTATTAAAATAATGCAGTTGCTTTTATCATTAATTAAAGGAGAAAAAGTATTATTTAAGTGGAGGTTACATTGAAACATGGGAAAATAGCTCATTCCATTGAAATATAAGTGTAATTGTGAGGACTTTGCTTCATTGACTCTTTCTCCCCATTTAATTTACTTTGCCCTTTACAAGTTCAGCCAGAAGAGGAATTTGAAACAAACAAACAAGACAAACAAATAAAACTTCTACCTCTTTCCCATAAAATAAATCTTTCAAAATATTAAAAATAAAAACTATTGAAAGAAATGTTAAGTATCTGGATAGATTATCGAGAATGCTACCATTTCAACAGAATGCCAATTTAACTTTTTTCACGGGAAGAGATTTAGAATGCTTTGGATTGAGTTTAAGCTAAAAAGTGAGAAAAAAACCCTCAGCGAAATTAGCTTCCATGTGAAATAAGCGTCTAGCTCAAATAGGTATTGACTGCCCCCAGCTTACCATGACACATGGAAATTTCACAAGACCTTGTGAAAAATTTATAATCTTATAAATATCTTTCTATATATAACTGTCAATATTTTTCATTGACATGACCAAAATTTCTGTTTTGCTGGAGTTTTCTAAACAGAATATATATTACATGAGAACTGCAATAAGACAAATACACTGTACAACTTATGCAGGAAGTATCATAGTACAATGTTAATGTTATTTACCAGACTTATAAAAAATTAAATTTTGTACAGGTACAAAATTTTTCATGAGAACTTTATCATGTAAGATAGTATAAGGAGCAGGATTAAAAATAAACTATTTGTGAGTATGGAGCAATGTATTTTAATTAAGGTAGTAATTTTATTAATGTGCATATTATATATAAGGCATTAAATACTAATATTGCTTTGGTTTGCATAGAAACAATGTTCTAAAACTTAAAACACCTGAGAGTTTAAAACTGCAGTAGAATTATAAGACAAAGCTCTAGTAAATGTCATAACTTTTCTAGCACTCCTCAGGATAACAGCCACAAACTTCTGGCTAGGAAAACTGAGAAGCACACGATTATATTTCTCCTGTACCACAAATATACCAATGTAAAGTTAATATGTTAAAAATTCTGACAATACATACCTCAAGGCTCAAACTAGCCATACCCGGTGTTCCAGATTGCTGAGGAAAGAACTGAATGAAAATAAGAATAATTTTGAGTCTTATTGGTACAAAACTTCCTTCAATGCCCATTGGGCGTAGGATATTGCTCCAGTACATACGGGCTACCTGAGAGGCCACCATTTTGGTTTATTATGCAAATGACTTGAGTGCTTGGGCAGAATGAAGAAGAGCATAAGTTATTTGGGAGAATCAACATAGTATTTGATAATTTTGCTCCCACCTGCATCATCTATCCTTTGTCTGCATCTTAATGCTTCATTGCTTTAAAAGCAAAATATGATTTAAAGTTACACACAAGGAGAAATAGAATAAAGCAACAAAATAGAAAACTACTAGTACTTTATTTTCTTTAAAAATTACCACAGAAAAAAGTAAAGGGGACAAACCCAAGCTGAATTTTCATGTGCTTTCGACAAATCTATATGATTTTGGTTTACAAGACATGGCATGGGATCATGACATTCAGAAAAATCATATGAAAAATCTAACTGGATTCCCATTCAAAGGGCTTCAGCAAATTCCCTATCATTTTTAGTGAAAGATTATTTTATGTGTAAACCTACTATACTTTGGGATCATATCAAAGGTTTTTTTCCCTTAAATAAAAAGCATTCTAGCACAAAATACTATTATACTTAATGTGTTCACTTAAAAGTTGTTCAAAAATATACCTATCTATACAATTAGCTTTTTAAAATGTAAGATATTTTCCTTTTTTTTTTTTTTTTGAGACTAAGTTTCACTGTGTCACCCAGGCTGGAGTGCAGTACCGTGATCTCGGCTCACTGCAACCTCTGCCTGCTGGGTTCAAGTGATTCTCCTCCCAAGTAGCTGGGATTACAGGTGTGCACCACCAAGCCCGGCTAATTTTTGTATTTTTGGTAGAGACAGAGTTTCACCATGTTGGCCAGGCTGGTCTTGAACTCCTGAGCTCAAGTGATCCGCCCACCTTAGCCTCCCAAAGTGCTGGGATTACAGATGTGAGCCACTGCATCTGGCTTCCTTTTTTAAAAAATAGAGATGGGGGTCTCACTATGTTGCCCAGGCTTGTCTTAAACTCCTGAGCTCAAGTAATCCTCCTGCCTTGGCCTCCCAAAGTGCCAGGATGATAGGCATGAGCCACCATGCCTAGCCTTTTCCTTTTGTTTTTTGTTTTTTTGTTAAATATATTTTTCTTTTGAAACCAATCCTTATTACTTTACACAAATACCGGTAGAAAACATGGCGAATGGAAGAGTAGGAATTAGAGTAAATTGGATTTTGAGAGTCTCTGGTTCTTTGGATATTCTCACTTTCTAAGACCAAGGGGTTGTAATGCCGTCTTTCCTTCAGTTATACCACAAGGATTTAGGGAATGTTTACCAAATATATCAGTATTATTTTTCCTTTATGAGTAAGAAGTTAAAGAATTACACCCCCTACTTTTTCCACCCACCACCTTTTTCATGTAAGTAAAATCCCACCTTCTGGGTCATAGTGAGAATTTCTTTAAATAATTCAGTTTTGGACAAGAATAGAGGGAAAGGGCCAGGCATGGTGGCTCAAGACTAATCCCGGAACTTTGGGAGGCTGAGGTGGGCAAATCATGAGGTCAGGAATTTGAGATCAGCCTGGCCAACATGGCGAAACCGCGTCTCTACAAAAATACAAAAATTAGCTGGGCGTGGTGACACGTGCCTGTAATCCCAGCTACTTGGGAGGCTGAGGCAGGAGAATCGCTTGAACCCAGAAGGAGGAGGTGGCAGTGAGCTGAGATCTCAGCATTGCACTCCAGCCCGGGCAACAGAGCCAGACTGTAAAAAAAAAAAAAAAAAAAAGAATAGAGGGAAAGGCATTACAAATGTGTAGCAAATACTCTGGGTAGGAAAGAGGTTAGCTGTGTAGACAGGAAGAGTGATTGTGCATGTATGTGTGTATGTGGTGGTTAGCTTGTTGAGAATTTGGGGGAATCGTGAGAGCAGGACCTTCTTCCCCACTATTTGCCAGTGCATAAATAACACATCCTGGATTGAGCCACAGAACAAAGTGTACTTTGCTTTCCATCTGCTCTAAGTCATGACTTAAAGAATATTTACACGAATGTATACAGATAGGGGATACATTTCCCATGCAGAATTAATAGGAGAAGAACATCTGATTTGACAGGCAATGAGTTGGCAATAATAAGCAATTGTTCTGTTCCTCAGAGTGGACCCAATTGATTCAGGTGTGGATCATTATAGGTTCAAAGAATGCCAATGTGTTAGACTGATAGTGAATGACTGAGGCTCATCCCAACGTCAGTATCATATAAAGGTAAGCTAGGGTGGCACCCTCAATTTTTCTTTCATTTAAAATTCATCTTGCGTGATGGAACAGAGACTATTTTTATTTGTGGAATTAAGGTTTTCATCATTATAATCAGTTTTCAACCTCTTTCTCCATTTCCATTCTCTTTCTCTAAAACACTTTAAGAAGACCAAGTAGCTAACCTTTTCTTTCAAGGAATTAAAATACTCTAAAGTTCATTTGAGGCCAACTGTGAGCTACTGGAGACAAGAGATCATGTCTTATTTACTTTCATTTTTCCATGTCTTATTTACTGGATGCATGGCAGCTGCTCAACATATTTGCTAAATGCATATAGCAGCCAAATAAAGTTTTTGTGATAACAGAATTGCATGCTGTTGGCTGGAGTAGTTCAGTGTTCAAAAGATTGTGTTTGTATGAGATCATTTCAATATATACTAGAATGGATCAGGTGTGGGACTGTAATACACAATTAGCCCCATCACTATGATATGTTTTGATTTATGAAACTTCAGCTCTCAGTCACACAATTTCATGTTTACAAGGTAAATTTGCTAGTTAATTACTAGCTTTAAATGGAATTATCTAGCTGAGTTTTGTAACCATAGAAATTTAGAGATAGTTCTTTTTGAAATGAAGAAAATGTATTTTTTTCAAAGAAATTTCCTCTTTCCATTTCAACTTTATAATGATAGCAATAAGTTGATAATAAAATTTCGCCATGCATTGTGGAGACTATCTAAGCTTTTAACTTTGAATGAGTGGAATAAGATCTAGAAATTGTCTTGGGACTATTTTAAATAACTTTTTAGTAGAAATATCATACTTCACTTACTGCTTTTTTTTTTTTTTTTTAAATGGAGTCTCACTCCGTCACCCAGGCTGGAGTGTAGTGGCACAATCTTGGCTTACTGCAACCTCCGCCTCCCAGGTTCAAGCAATTCTCCTGCCTCAGCCTCCCAAGTAGCTGGGATTACAGGTGCCCACCACCACGCCTGGCTAATTTTTGTATTTTTAGTAGAGACAGGGTTTAGCCATGTTGGCTAGGCTGGTCTCAAGCTCCTCACCTCAGGTCATCCTCCTGCCTCAACCTCCCAAAGTGCTGGGATTACAGGCGTGAGCCACCGCACCCGGCTATCACTTACCGCTTTTGGATTGCAAGACTGACATCTGAGCAACTATGGCTTTTGACTCAATAGGACTAAACCACTGGATTAAATCAAGTGAGTCTATGCGTGGACTCTCAGTCCATATCCCTTCAGTGTTGTTTGGAGTTCGACAATCAATAACCTTTTCTGGGACACACTCTAAAGACTGACTTACCGGCACTGCAAAACTCATTTCCAGGAGGCATAGGATCAGTATCAGGTCCTTCATTTTGAAAAGTGGAATCTAAAACATAATTAAGTTGGAGAATTAAATCAGATGAATTTTTATTCAGAATGGTTAAAAGACAATTTTTGAAAATGAGCCTGAGTCTCTGCTCTTACAAAAACCACCGGGATAAAGGTTAGAAGAACAAAAACAAAAACTAAATGTTACTAAACAACCGATTTGTATGTAGTAGTTTCTGAAATAAATTAACAAGCAATTAAAAAATATCTAAGCACGTTTTAAATGGATCTACAGCCTAAATAAGTATGTAGGAACAACCTCCATCGATATTCTTTGTGATATATTTCATTTCATAAAGTGAATTATGAGTTTAAAAATCCTTCCCACTAAGTAAAATATTGGTCTATAAGGTATTATTCACAGAAGTTTATACTTTGCTTACCCTTTGGGACACATTTTGAAATGCATGTGAAATGTAATGCAACTAAGTCATTTTATAACAAACCTTTATTTGCAGGAATAGAGGGTACATCATTGCATGTTTAGGTAATCTACGTAACCATGACAAAATTTTTCTTTTCAAATGAGAGTAAATTGGCTATCTTAATTTTCTTTGATGTTAGTGGAAAATATGTCTCAAATTTAGCTTTCCTCTTCCTAAAATGAATTATCTTTTAAAATTTATTCTATAAATTCAAAAAGCTCTTTATTCTTACATGAATAGAGATCTGAATAGCCTAGAAATTTACTCATCTTCTAATATTAAAAAGAATTAGGCACTATAATCAAAAACATTAAAAAAAACACAATCTATAAATAAAAGTCTTTTTTTTTTTCTTAGTTGAATGGGTGTTAGGCATGTCATCTCTGGGACATGCTAATGGATTACAACAAGCAATAATTCAGCTACTGGTGACAAATGAAGATAAATCCTCTTTATAAAAGCTGTCAGGAGATAGGAAAAAAAGAATTTACAGGAAACACATGGAAATCATAAAATCCCATTTTACCTTAGATGCTGACATGCACTGTGCTCTCAGGGCCTGATGATGCCAACCAAGATAGTTCTAAGAAAAGAAGATTAAAATTTTTTTCAGGACTGTGCGTGGGACTTGCTCTGTACTTCTCATTCAGGGAAGATTAGAAACCTTTATTTAAAGTGCCAATCCACCAATCAAAGTGAAGCAAAATGGCGAGGGGTGGCGGGGGGGAGTTGGGGCGGGAATCTCTGCTCCTGCAATTAGTCCACACCCTTTTATTGCGTGCAGGGACATTGGCCCAGTAGGGTCTCATTATTTTTAATTGTACTGCAGCCCCTGTACTTATTCAGAGAACTTGATAGCAGGGAAGGCAGTAAAGGAATAATGGACATAGGCTCTGAAGACAATTATTTTGGTGAGCTGGGGAAAATATATGTAAAATAGGTGCAAAACAAAACCTGTTTTGTGCAGGTTTTATCTGCAGATAAAGCTAGTGACCCAATGCTAGCATTCTTCAGGTTTTCACCCTCCTGTTTGTTGTAGTAAAAGAGACTACTGTCCTTCCCCCCAGCACACACAGAGTTTAAAAGAAAACACTAAAATGTTAGATGGAAAATTAATGTGTGTGATTTCTTCCTTGAATTTCCTAGATATTTTCATATCTGGAGATAATTGATTAGAGATAGCCAAGCTTTTGTAAGAAACTACAGTTGGACCCTTTGCAAGAATCAGGTTTACTTCAGGTAAACGTTTGGTGCATTTTAAAAAAAATCTGTGGGGACGGGGACGTAAATCAGAACATTCTCTATGAACCAAATCAATGGGCACAAGTGTCAGTTCACTCTTCAGATAGACACATTCCCAGGCATTAGTATCAAGCCAGGTTAATAAGACATATTTCGATCACTTAAAAGGTTAACGTCAACACAGATTGGTTTTTCTCCGTGAACAGATAATATCTTGGATGTGGATTGAATATTAGCTGCTTTTGTTACTTCTCTGCCCATCCTTGTCTTTCCAAAGTTGTGATTTCAGATATGGTAGGGATAAGCATTTAAGATTAGTTCTGAAGAAGGGATGAGTCAGTACACTCTTTAGGGAAGTAGGGATCTTGTCAATTACAGGGAACATTGAGGAAGCTGGTATTTTGAGAGAAAGCTGTATCCATACCCAAATGTAGGCCTAACAGCTTCAAATAATGTTATCTTAGAAGCTGCTCCTGAAAACCTCTGTGTTCCACTGATACCAGAATTATCTTTAGGATGCAAAGAAATGAAGAATGTGAATGTGTTTTGCAAACAGCAAAATGTTATTGAAATGAAAAGTATTATTTTTCATGCTGTCTCTGGTGCTTGATGCAGTCCCTTAATCTCTTTTGAGCCCCAGTTCCTTCTTCTGTTATGTAAGGATAATAATTAATGACCACAAGCTAGTCTTTTTTTTTTTTGAGACGGAGTCTCGCTGTGTTGCCCAGGCTGGAGTGCAGTGGTGTGATCTCAGCTCACTACAACCTCCGCCTCCTGGGTTCAGGCGACTCTACTGCCTCAGCCTCCTGAGCAGCTACGATTACAGGCCTGCGCCACCATGCCCGGCTAACTTTTTTTGTATTTTTAGTAGAGACAGGGTTTCCCCATGTTGGCCAGGTTGGTCTGAAACTACCGACCTCAGGTGATCCTCCTGTGTTGGCATCCCAAAGTGCTGGGATTACAGGCGTGAGCCACCACGCCCAGCCTGAGCTTGTCTTAAAGATTGGTGAGATGGTGAAGATGCAGCAGCTGCCATTTATTGGGTGCTGAATGAATGAGTTGATTGTCCTTTTGGTAGGAGAAACTACATGAAATATGAGACCACAAGAACTGTGTGTGTGTGTGTGTGTGTGTGTGTGTGTGTGTGTGTGCTGGAGGAGGAGGAGTGCTGGCAGCTAGGTTCATAAGCTCCAAGGAGGTAGAGGAGGGACCTGATGGAGGACATTTTCTCTGTGGAAGTTGATGCTGAATCCATAGGAACGAGCTTCCTAGTTGGCTAAAAAACTGGCAAATAGTGTGTATGTGTGTGTCTTGTAAAGTTTATAAGCGTGATCATGACACACTAATAATGATGTTTTGGTAGGATTCTTATGTTCTGCTTTGCTTTTGAGCCAAATATCCAATATATCATACACACTGTTGCTTCTTCCTTTTTTAAATGTCACACTCCATTCTGGCTTACTGACTTCCAGATGTTTATCTGGTAGTTTATTTCTCCTCCAATATCCTGCACACCAACACTAGACTTATCTTCCTAAAATACTGGTTTTGGCATTTCACTGCCCCACTCAAAAACTATGTAAGGATCTCTAAGGCTGTCATAAAGTTCACCCTCTGTAACTAGACAGTCAATTGAACATTTCAGTTCCTCTTTCCAATCTTGTTTCCCACTTTGCATGAGACAGTGTGTATTCATATTGTAATAATGATTGTAATCAATTGGAGTTGGTTTCATTTTTTCAGCTAATAAACAGTTTTTTGTCAGATTTTATGGGATGTATGTTACTGGGAAAGTTGGTAAATGTAATACTAATATATCCTACAAAAAATTTTCTATTACAATGAAATCTGGAAATTAGTATGAATGTATGAATGAGTTTCTGACAGTGATTATAGATATAAGGAAATTACCATAGCTGATGGAAACCATGTTATGTTGGCCAAGACCATACCTGTATGAAGAAGAATCAGAGAGTCAGTTATAAGAAAATACTTGTGTCTGGAGTACAGCAAAATAAAAAAAAATCTCAAAGTGACAAAAGATGTGAGACACATGAAGAGACATAGGCCATAGAAAAAGTTACAATGAAAAATTTAGAGCAACAAGATCTGGCAGAATATGTTAGTAAAGTGGTTGAGAGCACAGCTGTTTAAATCCCCTCTGTAATACTCACTGGTCATATGACATTGAATGAGCCACTATATAATCTTCATGTAGTTTTTTTTTTTAAAGTTTTTTGAGACGGAGTCTCACTCTGTCATCCAGGCTGGAATGCAGTGGCACGATCTTGGCTCACTGCAACCTCCGCTTCCCAGGTTCCTGCAATTCTCATGCCTCAGCCTCCTGAGTAGCTGGGACTAAGGGCACGCGCCGCCATACCCAGATAATTTTTGTATTTTTAGTAGAGACAGGGTTTCACCATGTTGGGCAGGCTGGTCTGTAACTCCTAGCCTCAAGCGATCTGCCCACCTTGGCCTCCCAAAGTGTTGGGATTACAGGCATGAGCCACTGCACCTGGCCTCCATGTTTTCACTTTATATAAATACATATATTTTATATATATATACACATACACATATATTTTATATATATGTATATATGTATGTATATATGCATATATATGTATATATACATTTTATATATGTATATATGTTATATATGTATATATGTATAAATGTATATATATTTTATATATACATGTATATATAGTATATTTTATATATTATATATACACATATTTTATATATGTGTATATATACATACATATATAACATATATACATATATAACATATACATACATACATAACATATATACATATATGTTATATATGTATATATGTATGTGTATATATTTTATATATGTGTATATATAGTATGTTTTCTATATGTATATATGTGTGTATATATACATATGTTTTATATATATACACATTATATATATATATATAGAGAGAGAGAGAGAGAGAGAGAGAGAGAGAGACAGAGTCTTGGCTCACTGCAACCTTCACCTCCTGGGTTCAAGTGAGTCTTCTGTCTCAGGCTGTCGAGTAGCTGAGATTACAGGCATCCACCACCATGCCCAGCTAATTTTTTGTATTTTTAGTAGAGACGAGGTTTCACCATGTTGGCCTGGCTGGTCACGAACTGCTGACCTCAGGTGATCCACCCACCTCGGCCTCCCAATGTGCTGGGATTACAGGCATGAGCCACTGTGCCCAAGCTCATATAACATTTTTATCTGTGAAATGTGGTCTACCGTAGGTCAGCATTAATTTAATTTAAATACGAAATATAAGGTGCTTAGCACACTAGCTGGTAGCCAAGAAATGTTCAGTGATCATGAGTTATTATCATTCTTGTGGAAATGAAATATGAAGGCTAAAAATCTGCTTCATATTAAAATACTTTCTCAGCTTTATTGAGGTATAATTGATATACAATAATTGCACATATTTAATGTATACATCTTGATGAGTTTAGACATACGCATATACCCTTGATATCAGCATTACAACTAAGGTAATAAACATATGCATTACCTCCAAAAATTTCCTTGTGTTCTTTTGTATGTGTGCTTTTTTATTAAGTAGTAAGAACATTGAACAAGAAATCTGTCCTCTTAACAGATTTTTAAGTGCACAATATAGTATTGTTAACTATGGGCATATTGTACAGCAGATCTCTAGAACTTATTCATCTTGCATAACAGAAATTTTATACTCATTGAAGAACAATTCTCCATTTCTCCCTCCCCCCAGCCTCTGGCAACCACTATTCTTTGCTTCTGTGAGTCTGGCTATTTTAGATACCTCATGTAAGTGGAATCATGCAGTGTCTGTCCTTTTGTGACTGGCTTATTTCACCTGGCATAATGTCTTCTGGGTTCATCCACGTTGTCACAAATGGCAGGACTTTCTTCTTTCTAAGGCTGAATAATATTCCATTGTATGTATATTTCCCATTTTCTTCATCCATTTATCTGTTGGTGGACATTTGGGTCATTTCCATATCTTGGCTTTTGTAAATAATGCTGCAATGAACATGAGGGTTTTGTCTAGACTTTTTTCTTGCCTGTTTACAACTTGTTTTGCAAAGTCCCAGTCAAATTTGACCTCTTCTGTGACTCCTTCCCCTACTTTCCACTCCACTGTGATTTTTCCCTTCTCCGAATTCCAACTATGTGTCATTCATCACTTCATTATGACGGCTTGCTCATTAAAGATCTTTAATATTTACTTTGTATGTGGTCTTCTAACTTTTTGGATATGGCTTTCATGTCTAACATTCCTGTCAGGTAGAAACACCCATTCCTCTAACTTGCTTCATTTGCTGTTTGATGTGCATCGTAATATTAATAGCTAATATTTGGATAGCACTTACTGTGGACAGGTAATAATTTGACTGTTTTACATATATTAATTTATTTAATCCTCACAAGAACTTTAGGAAAAGGTGATTCTTCCCCTTTCTATACATAATACAACAAAACTATAGAGAGGCAAAGAAAATTGCCTGAAGTGACATAGTCAGTAAGTGTTAGAAGTAGAATTCAGACTCAGATATCTGGCTCTGAGTCCTTGCTTTTATGCACTATGTCAACATGAATTAGTTACCCCCTGGCAGATGACACGGACCAATCAATCACTGGCAGATGCAAAGAGGCATACCACATACACCTGTCTGTAAAGAATTTATCAGATATTTATATAAGGAAGAGAGGAACACAGAGATTGTTAATGAAACATACAACAAATCAATAATAACTTAATTAAAAAGCACGTATAATATCAGGAGACATAAACCCACATGAATTAATCTCCAAAATAAGAATGCTACAGAACAGCAGTTCTCAATTACTGGGAGAAAGGGTAGGTATTAAGTGTTCCAAGGAAAGAATCGGATGGAGTATCACGCATTAAGCTTCAGCATAAGGGATCAAAGGCAGAGAGCATGGTCATGTCAGGGAAAGGCCAACTTTTAAAGCTGCCTGATGTGGCTGGGCTGTGTCCTCACCCAAATCTCATCTTGAATCGTTCCCATATTCCCCACGTGTCATGGGAGGGACCCAGTGGGAGGTAATTGAATCACGGGATCAGTTACCTCCATGCTGTTCTTGTGATAGTCAGTGAGTTCTCATGAGACCTGATGGTTTTACAAGGGGCTTTTCCCTTTTTGCTCAGCACTTCTTCTTGCCACCATGTGAATAAGGATGTGTTTGGTTCCCCTTCTGCCATAACTGTAAGTTTCCTGAGGCCTCCCCAGCCCTGCAGAACTGTGAGTCAATTAAACCTCTTTCCTTTTAAACTACCCAGTCTCTAGCAGTTTTTTATAGCAGTGTGAGAATGGACTAATAACACTGCCTTTGTATATTAGAATAATAAAAGGAATAATAAAGGTTGTGTGAATCTTGAAGTCTATTGTATATAATCTTAGTTGCTTATTTTTACTGGTCACTTCACATATGGCAGGTGCTGTGCTTCATATTCCTTACCTTAACTGATCTTCATGAACCACCCTATGAGATAAGTACTATGAAAACTGGGCTTTAGAAAAGGTACTAATATCCTGCAGAGTTAGTATGTAGCATAGCTGGGACTCAAACTCCAAGACCTTGCTCTTGACCACCAGGCCACCCACCTTGATTGCTATCCTTTAGTGTTTTTGTAGGGCCTATTATCATGATGGTTTGGGCTAATGTTTACATTCAATTTTTAATACCTGCTAAAATAAATGATAAATATAAGTGAAATCTATTGATATAATTATCATATAGTGCTATAACATAGAAGTCAAATTTGGATTATTTTTGCCTGCTAATATGATGGTAAAAATTATTTTGAAAACTGCAGACTATGTTAGAAGACATTGTTTTTAATTGGTTTCCATTTATTTCATAATCAAGAACAAGAACCAGAAAAACAACACAGTGATGATGATACAAATATAAAAGAAGACAAATTAGACAGAATTTTACTCAACTTAAAAATTATTTTTTCTTACAGTACTTATTCATGTTAAATTCATGTTTAACATAGTTATGATTATAGTGTAAATATCATTTTGTATTGGTCTTTATGTACTTACCATTATGTCATAAATATTGACATGTAGCTACAGAGATAAATATTACATTTTTTAATTGTCTGGGTAATAAATCTTCAAATCGATGCTTAGGACCTCTGTTTTTCAACCTTTGGTTGTTTCTAATTTTTTACAATGAGTATTTTAATTAGTAAAGATTCAAAACAATTTTTATATTTTGAATTATTTTCTTGGTATAATTTACCATGAGTATGATTCCTAGTTAATATGCATATTTTTATGACTTTTGATAAGTATTGCTGAATTGTCTAAGTTATACCCTACTAATAATTCATCTATACCAGTTTTACCACAACTTTGCCAGAATTTGTTCATTTAATTAATTTTTCCCCTCATAAATTAACTGGTATTATGCACTATTTCACTGGTGTTTTAATTTATATTTCTTTGATCACCAAGGTTAAATATTTTCTTTACATATTTATTTACTAACTATATTTCCTTTTTTTTTTGTAAATTGTTAATGTTTTTGTTTATTAACCACAGGGGAATTGATATTCTTATTAGTTTGTATGTGTTTTCTATATCATTAAGCATATATTATACAACATTTTATGTAACATATGAATGGATCTCTTATCATGTTTGATGTAAATTTTTTGATAGACATTAAAATAAAAATTAAGTTAAAATACCTTCCTTGGAAGCCTTCCTAGTTCACAGTAACTTCTCAGGTAGTATACTTCATAAATACTCATTGGAGTCAGGCTGATGTCATTTTTTGCCCCTGCTTCCTTTCTTTCACGGTGGATTCCAAAGGCACCTACCTGGAAACTCTGACACTGAACAAATTTGGCATTGGTCCTTTACAAACAGAGGAGTTTGCAGCAGAAATATATGCCATTGATACAGTAGCTCTTGGCAGCTTGTCAGTAAAACACCCACTTGCTTTGTGTATTAAAATGATGATTCATTTGTTTCTGTCCCGGATTATTACCTGCTGTTTGTACCTGTAGTAAGCCCATGCAGAAGGACTTTTGGAAGAAGAGAGTTGACCACAAGCCAACACAGAATGACTTCAGCTTTTCACACGTGGACCCTTCATGATTACATCAGAGTCAGTTTTATAGTAGAAGTGGTATTTGGGTTTGCTCGGCCCAGAAGTTTTTGGTGTAAATAACTGAAAAGCAAGTCACGCACATGTCCTGTGCTAGTCACTTAACTGCTGAGTTTGTTAAAGAGCATTTACTAAAGGCTATGAAGAGACCGTTGTATTAAGTTTAATGGAGGTAAAGAGAGCAATTCAGGCTTATTAAAAAAAAAAGTTATAGTCTAGTTGGAGAAACAATACATGACATTGACACATGAGCTGACATGAGACTTACTATAAAAAAATGCGTAAAAGAAGATAGGGTATGAAGTGCTTAATTGCTAAGAGCGTCGGTTTTGGGGATCAGACTGCTTAGTTGAGATACAGTGTCATGATTGTCTAGTTGTGTGTCCTGGACAAGTTATTTTACCATGTGTTACCTCAGTTTCCTCATCTGTAAAAGGGTGTTAATCAAGGAGCCTACATAGGAATAAATGAAATAATACACTAAAGTGCTTAGAACAGTTCCTGATACATTAGAAGCACACAATTAATGCAAATGATTATTGATTCAGTATAAATATTGGAAGGGTGTCAAATAATGAGGTTACTAGAACGAAATAGGCTTAATTATAGAAGTATTCTTGTAGAAGTTGTTTCAAATACAGGATTGCCGGGGATGAAAAGTATATACTGATATGTATAAGGTAAAAAACCCTTCCATACTGAAGGAATGATCCATGAAAAGAAATGAACTGGATCCATGATGGTGACAGATAAGCAAATTGGCCGAGTTTAAGTGCTACTAGGAATTTAGTGAAAAATGTATATAATTGGTAGGACATGATATGATCACAATGCCAAGCATGCTAAAACCTTAGTTTTTCCTTTTGGAAGATGGATATGGTAATAACTGACTAGGAGAACATGAAGCAAAGAAGAGTATCCTTACCTTTTTTTTGCATGTAAGCTACATGTAGACAAATAATAGTACCATGAAAATTAAAAGTTTTATTCTAACTTTTGGATTTTTTTGGTTCCATAATGTAAAAATCTGATATTTGGATATATATATGTATACACACACACATACACACACACACACACACACACACACACACATATACACATATATATGTATATACATATATACACATATATATGTATATACATATATACACATATATGTAATTTATATGAAAAACAATAGATTGTATTTATCAAGTCTTTTCTATGTTCTAGGCCCTGGGCATTTATTTCGCCTAATCCTTACAACAATCCCATAAGGCAAGTAATATCATTAAATCATACAGCCAGTAAGCAGTCTGGATTCAACCCAGATCTGTCTGATGATGGAACCAAATTGTACCAAACAGTTTAAAATTTCTCTATGGGAAAAAGCTAAATGTATGAAAGGAATTAATTGGATGTTTGAATTTCAGTGCAACTTAAATGAGAAGTTGAAGATCAGTAATGGAAGCCAGTGTGGTTGGAGAGGACTGAATGAGAAAAAGCCATAGGAGATGGAATCATGTAGAATCTCAGAGGTCATAGTAATGGCTTTGGCTTTTATTCTGAGTGAAGTAGGAAGCCATTGGAGGGTCGTGAGCAGAGGAGGATTTATGATTTATCTGACCTAACATTTTATTTACTTACATTTATTTATTTATTTAGAGACAGAGTCTCGCTCTGTCGCCCAGGCTGGAGTGGTGTGATCTTGGCTCACTGCAACCTCCACCTCCTAGTTCAAGTGATTCTCCTGCCTCAGGCTCCTGAGTAGCTAGGATTACAGGCACTGCACCACCACACCCAGCTAATTTTTTTTGTATTTCTAGTAGAGACAGGGTTTCGCTACATTAGCCAGGCTGGTCTCCAACTCCTGACTTTAGGCGATCCTCCTGCCTTGGCCTCCCAAAGTGCTGGGATTACAGGTGTGAGCCACCATGCCCGGCCTGACCTAACATTTTAAAAGGACCATTCTGGCTGCATTTGATAGACTGAAGGAAGTCAAAGGAGGAAGCACAGAGATGGGTTAGGAGGGACTGCAGTGATTCAGCTGAGAGATGATGATAATTTGGGCTAGAGTGGTAGCAGTGGGAGCAGTGAAATATGATTGACTGCATTCTGGATATTTTTTCAAGAATTTGTTGAGGGAATATGCGTAGGGTGTAAGGGAAAGAAAGAAACCAAGGGTGGCATAGTATTTATCAAGTGCGCTTATACATCACTAGTATGGATGCCATTTATCTTTAAATGAAGCTATCTGGATAGAAATAAGTCTCTTAGAAATAAGCAAAACAAGTCTCTTCAAAGCCAGCAAAACAGAGTGCACATTGCACTAATGTTTACATACTCATAAAAGACTTTCTTGGTTCCCTTTTTTTCATACCTGAGTTGTAGTTCAAATTAATGTCATCATTTTATCTTTTCTTATAAGATATTAGAAACAGTAAATCAGAAGGGAAAGAGAAGTGTTTCCAGATTTAGAAAAACTTCTAGTCACCACAAATAATAGCTGATGCCAAGAATAAAGACAAAAACAACTAAAACAAAATAAAAACAAAAAGCAGAGAGCCCAAGGATACTTTGTACAGGATCTAATGTTTCTCACCACTCTGGAAGCCTCTGTTAAAATAGGAATGGGTGTTTGTAATGGTCATTGTGCCATTAAAATCAGGGTAGATTATGTTCTGAATTTTTTGGTCGAAGAGGCAGACAGGTAACATTGTACATATTTTGCCTTTAAAAGAATGAAATGTGTTGGAGTTCCTTCCCCTCATCAATTTCTAGGGCAAGCACAGTCAATATTCTGCTAGATGTACAGAGGTCTGATCCTGAATTATGATCTCCTTCTCTACCCTAGAGAGCTGGCTTACAAACCAGAAGAAAGTATAGAGGGTCTTTCCGCTTCATTTTCTTTTAAAATTGGAACCTAGCTCCAGCCCCATCAATGAATTCTGTTTTCTTTTTTTCTGGAGCCTTTCTTAACACATTCCAAAGGCCTATAGAAGCCCTCAAAGCTCTCAATAAGCCCCAAAGACTCCTAAGACCAAATTCCTTCAAATCTTTAAGTCAATACTGTAGACTAAAAAGCCATACATTTTCTTTTTTTAGTCAGATATTTCAATACCATTTGTTAAATAATCTATCATTTTTCCAATGGCTTTTTTTTCATCCAAATATTTATTTATTATTATTTTTTAACTTTTAAGTTCGGGGTACAAGTGCAGGTTTGTTACATAGGTAAACTTGTGCCATAGGGGTTTGTTATATAGATTATTTCATCACCCAGCTATAAAGTCTAGTAACCATTAGTTATTTTTCCTGATCCTCTCCCTCCTCTCACCCTCCACCCTCTGAAAGGCCCCAGTGAGTGTTGTTCCTCCCTATGTATCCATGTGTTCTCATCATTTAACTCCCACTTATAAGTGAGAACATGCAGTATTTGGCTTTCTGTTCCTGTGTTAGTTTGCTAAGAATAATGGCCTCCAGCTCCATCCATGTCCCTGCAGAGGACCTAATCTTGTTCTTTCTTATGGCTACATATTATTCCATGGTGTATATGTACCACGTTTTCTTTATCCTATCTTTTTTTTTTTTTTTGTCTCACTCTGTCTCCCAGGCTGGAGTGCAGTGGTGCAGTCTTGGCTCACTGCAACTTCCACCACGCGGGTTCAAGCAATTCTCATGCCTCAGCCTCCCAAATAGCTGGGACTATAGGTGTGCACCATTGCATATGGCTAATTTTTGTATTTTTAGTAGAGACAGGGTTTCATCTTGTTGGCCAGGCTGCTCTCAAACTCCTAAACTCAAGTGATCCACCTGCCTTGGCCTCCCAAAGTGTTGGGATTCTAGATGTGAGCCACCAGACCAGGCCTTTATTTAGTCCACCATCGATGGGCATTTAGGTTGATTCCATGTCTTTCCTATTGTGAATAGTGCTGCAATGAACATATGTGTGCATATGTCTTAATAGAATGATTTATTTTCCTTTGGGTTTATACCTAGTAGTGGGATTGCTGGGTTGAATGGTATTTCTGTCTCTAGGTCTTTGAGGAATCACCACACTGTCTTACACAATGGTTGAACTAATTTATACTCCCACCAACGGTAAATAAGTGTTCCATTTTCTCCAAAACCTTGCCAGCATCTCTTATTTTTTTTTAACTTTTTAGTAATAGCCATTCTGACTCGTGTGAGACGGTATCTCATTGTGGCTTTGATTTTACATTTCTCTAATGATCAGTGACGTTGGGCTTTTTTTCACATGTTTGTTGGCTGCATAAATGTCTTCTTTTGAAAAGTATCTGTTCATGTCCTTTGCACTCTTTTTTAATGGGTTTTTTTTCTTGTAAATTTGTTTAAGTTCCTTATAGATGCTAAATATTAGGCCTTTGTTGGATGCATAGTTTGCAAACATTTTCTCCCATTCTGTATGTCGTCTGTTCACTCTGCTGATAGTTTCTTTTGCTGTGCAGAAGCTCTTTAGTTTAATTATATCTCATTTGTCAAGTTTTGCTTTTGTTGCAATTGCTTCTGGTGTCTTTGTTGTGAAATCTTTGCCTGTGCCTATGTCCTGAATAGTATTGCTTAGGTTGTCTTCCAGAGTTTTTACAGTTTTGGGTTTTACATTTAAGTCTTTGATCCATCTTGAGTTAATTTTTATATATGGTTTAAGGAAGGGGTCCAGCTTCAATCTTCTGCATATAGCTAGCCAGTTATTCCAACACCATTTATTGAATTGGGAATCCTTTCCTCATTGCTTGTTTTTGTTAGATTTGTCGAAGATCAGGTAGTTGTAGGGGTGCAATCTTATTTCTGGGTTCTCTATTCTGTTCCATTGGTCTATGTGTCTGTTTTTGCACCAGCACCATGCTGTTTTGGTTACTGTAGCCCTATAGTATAGTTTGAAGTCAGGTGATGCCTCCGGGTTTGTTCTTTTTGTTTAGAATTGCCTTAGCTACTTGGGCTCTTTTTTGGTTCCATATGAATTTTAAAAGAGTTTGAGTTTTCTCTAGTTCTGAGAAGAATGTCAATGGTAGTTTGATAGGAATAGCATTGATTCTATAAATTGCTTTGGGCAGTAAGGCCATTTTAATTATATTGATTCTTCCTATCCATGAGCATGAAATGTTTTTCCATTTGTTTGTGTCAACTGTGATTTCTTTGAGCGGTGTTTAGGAGTCCTCCTTGTAGAGATCTTTTACCTCCCTAGTTAGCTGTATTCCTAGGTATTTTATTCTTTCTAAGCTACACATTTTCCAATTCAAGAAACCTCTAATTTCAAATCTTCTGTCTCTAAACCTGTCTAGCTGCCCATTTCTGGTTCCATCTCTCCTACCAGAGACCATACCCCATACCCCACTGTCTTTTTTTTTTTCCTTTGAGACAGAGCCTTGCTCTCTTGCCCAGGCTGCAGGGCAGTGGTGCGATCTTGGCTCACTACAACCTGCACCTCCTAAGTTCAAGCGATTCTCCCACCTTGGCCTCCCGAGTAGCTGGGATTACAGGTGCACATCACCATGCCCAGCTAATTTTTTATATTTTTAGTAAAATCGGGGTTTTGGCATCTAGGCCAGGCTCGTCTTGAATGCCTGACCTCAAAAAGTAATCCACCTGCTTTGACCTCCCAAATTGCTGTGATCACAGGTGTGAGCCACCACACTCAACCCCCAACTCCCTACTCCCTCCCGCTCTTAATCCCTAATCAGGCTGTCTACTTTGCTCTGGGTTCTGCGTGTGGACTTTGTCCTTTCTCCAAATCCTCTCCTGCTTTCTAATGCTTCTTTCTAAGCAAGGTGAGATGAATGGAGTAGGAAGTAGGGCAACTATAACCTTCATTATCTAGAAAATTCACTTATGTGGAATAGCTCATTTTCTGACAAGCTAAATGAGTGGAGTATTATTGGTTATAGATAATATATGAAGATATGTTTCACCTGATTACTTCTTTCAGATTTAGTTTTATCAGCAAAAATAAATTTCACCTATTTTTAGACAAACATGGACTGTAGTCGTGACTAGGGAATCTGTATTGTGATTCTCAGATGCTTCATTTCACAGAGTGTTTGAAATGTTTAGTTAAATATCATCTTTTGTTTTTCTTAAAGAATTTCCTGACCATGAGAGTCCTGGGAATGAAGAGCTTAGAGGATTTTACTGAATTTTAGATGAGTAAGGTAATGTTTGGTTGATGTTATAAAAATGTAAGACTCTAAAATCAGCTGAAGGCTGCACACGGTGGCTCACGCCTGTAATCCCAGCACTTTGGGAGGCTGAGGTGGGTGGATCACTTGAGGTCAGGAGTTCAAGATTGGGCTGGTCAATATGGTTAAACCCCGTCTCTACTAAAAATACAAAAATTAGCCAGGTGTGGTCATGGGCGCCTGTAATCCCAGCTACTCAGAAGATTGAGGCAGGAGGTTCTCTTGAACATGGGAGGCAGAGGTTGCAGTGAGCAGAGATCACGCAACTGCACTCCAGCCTGGGTGATACACACACACACACACACACACACACACACACACACACACACACACACACACAAATAAATGAATAAATAAATAAGTAAATTGACCTGCCAGTGTCAGAACTTCTTTTCTCAAAAGACAACCAGGAGATTTCTCATTAAGGTAAGGTAAAGACCTTGTTGTTTTCCTTCTGTTGTCTCAGCATTTCTGGCTGGAAGACAGAAGTGCAAAGAGGTACAAAACTCTTCAGGTACAAGCAAAATAATAGAGGAAGCACAGATGATGAAGCACATGCATCTGCTCTTTAAACCAGCAGGATGTATTTATCTCTGACTCATTCATTGCGCTGTGCTTCCCAGGATATAATAAAATGTAGCATAGAATAAGGGGGCAAAGGGAATAGAAGGGGCTATCTATTAGGTTCTACTTTTACTGTATGCCTGACACTTTCCCTATGTTATTATATTTATTTCTCACAAGAACCCCAGAAAGAAGATGTTATTATGATCCCCATTGTTTAGGCAGTGAAACAAGCTCTTAAGATCAAAGAGCTTTTACAACTTGCTCCAGGCCACGCAGATGAGCTGCAGAATCAAATTTCCAGTCCAGTCTAGGTTCAAAGTTTATGGCTCTCCCACTACTCCAGTATGTAGGGCTGAAATAGCACTGCACAGCGTTATCCAGGAGACTGCCGGCTTCCCCCCAGCCTCCCCTGAAGGCTTGTAGGAACAGCTGTGTGGGAGAACGCTCACAGCTGTACTATAGGTCTGCTCTTCCCAAAGCATGACCTGAGCAACACTGCTAGCCTCTTGAGATGCTCCTTGATAAAAACGTTCTGTGATCAAATATGAACACTGCATTCTATGTCTCCAAGCCCATTACTGGTTCTGAAAAACCTCATAGTAAAGAAACTTTAAAACTTTCCTCCAAACTTAGTTTTCTTCTAACACTTTTAACCTGTGGAAATGGTGTTCTGTGGAGCATACCTTAGGAAATGCTATTTAGGATGAGTCTGTTACAACTTGGGATGTGAGCTCCCTGAGGGCGGCGGTGTTATTTACCTTCAGTATCTACAGTGCCTGTCACAGAATAGGGTTCAATGTTTGTTACATAAATAACTTTGCGAGTAAACAAACTAATTACATTGCTCAATCCACCTACTCCAGACAGATCTACCTGAGGTGAAGGAACAGCCCATACCTGTGCTTACTCAAGGCCTAAGGTGGAAGATCCTTCATCCTTCAATACATATTGTGTTTAAGATTATGGAAACCATCTCTACTTACCTTGTAAGGCATATGGGACACTTGATTGATCCTTACATTGTGCTCGGAAGAGGGAATGGAAACGAGAAAGCCATTTGTTAAATGTCTACTAAATGGTAGGCAATGGGAAGGCACCTTTTCTGTGGTATTTTATTTAACCTTCATCACAGACTTAAAAGTAAGTCTAGTTGTCCCATCTTTAGAGATGATAACATACGCTCAGAGAAGCTAAGGAACTAGCCAAGATACGTATTCGACCAGCATGTCAGAATTTGAATCCAGGTCAGTCTGACTTCAAAATCCATGTATGCTCTGCCTTATCACATCCTGCCCCTAGGTAGGAAACTGGATTTGAATGGATTATATCAATACACATTTTTTATTTTGAGATTTTGACATGCCTTAAATATATTGTGAATATTAATTTGTAATAATTGTTAGAAGGAAGCCCAGAGGCATGACTGAATTACTTTCATTTTGACTATGGGCTCTCTACTTTGATTTTTTTTTTTTTTTAAACAAAACAAGATGAATTTGTTTCTACCATTCTAAAGCCTGGAGTTGTAAGTTATGTGGAAGTGCTCTGCAGTGTGTATGTTGTGTTATGATGCTGCTTTTTCAGATACAATCTCCTTGTTCTTTTCTTAGTTGAACTTCATTACTTGTACCAATCCTTTAAAACAACAAAACTTACTGATTTGGTTTAGAAGGGCTGGTCAGAAATGGCAGTCTCTGATTAAAGACCTAAGCCAACTTGGAGAAAATTATACTGTATTCAATCTACATTTTTGCTTGATAGGCAATGTCTGAAGGTGTGCATGGGGTAATTACCCACAGAAAAGATAGGCTGGAAAAACACAAAAATGAGTTTCTCCAAACCAGAGAAATGAATCATTAGCAAAAAGCAAACCAGATGAGTTAGCATACCTCACATTTTAAGGTCTTCATGAATCAATTAAGAGACCAATTAGAACTAGAGAAGCATTTTAAAGAGCATGATCAAAAAATATTCTTGAGATAAAAATATGTTAAAGAATTTATGTAAATTTGTCAAGTAGTATCATTTGTCCAGATAATTCCTATAGATATATAACTGCTAATGATGATTGTAAATGAATATAAAACTAATAATAATTAATATTAATGAGCTGTTACAATGTGCTGAGCATACAATAATCACTTGACATGCATTATCTCATTTAAAACTTGGAAGTTCTGTCAAACAATGAAAATATTCTTCTGAATGTTAATTATGACCAAAGCTGGGGAGCAGTTGCTCCAGTTAGCAGGGCAAGTATCTTCCTTGTTGATCCCACACCTGGCTGGCTTACTTATATATGTTACCTGCCTTGCCTGGGTAGGCATTTTGGTTTTTTTTACACCTGACCTAAATCTTAAGTGCTTTTATTTTACTACAACATGCAGGATAAATGTGACTAAATTGTCTTCCAACTCACAGAGCAGTATGTTGTTTAGACCATGTAACAACAAAATATGCTTCTTAATTAATTAAAGCAAAATAGATGCATTTTCAGGCCTCATGAAGATGGAATGTGATCCAAGACATTGTGATTGCTCTGGTATCTGCCAGCAGCTTCAAAGACTTAACGGGCACTGTAGCTTTCTTTAGTGACAGCTACCCTTACGGAGACACAGCTATTCTCTGTCCCTGCTTTAAGTGAGCCAGCTGTTACTAACTACCTCTTCCTCAGTCTGATTGTTCTATTTAGGAAGCCCATATTTGGCAAAGCTTTTGAGTCAGGGCATCTCATGGACTGTTGGCCAGGAAAAGAATCCATCTCTAGTCCAATCAGCTATGGCAGGAGGGCAGGATGAAATGGCATAGGCATGATTAAAAAACCTTCTAAAAGGGAAGTGGGCCTGGAAGGCATTTTCCAACTCCCAGAAAGAGGTTTCCACTGTTAGACACCTGTCCAGAATAAACTTCCTGACACAATGGTTATATTGAAAAACAAAGTTAAAATTAGATGACTATTTTATTAATTTATAATGAGCAGAGTTCTTTCTCTAGTCAGATTATTCATAATCACTTTAGTATCTCCCCATAGAAAGATCAACATCAACATCAAAATCATAATCATATAATTTTGTGTGGACACAGGTGTTAGATGGCAAAAAAAAAAAAAAAAACAAAAAACAACCCCAAACCTAACACATGGCTCATGACCGGGACATACAGGGACATATGTAGCTCATGATAGGGCTGGACGTGCCACTGGCCCTGGAATATGTGGAGTTCCTTGGCTACAACCTCCTGCATCTTTCTCACATTTGAGATGGCTTTACAAATGGTTTGGTTCACTGAAAATGGCTCCTTTAGTGGGTGATGTTTGGCTAGACACTACTAGTGTTGGTCTTTTTATTTTTCCAAGAATGATGTATTTTTTTATTTTTTATTTCATTTTATGTATATTTTTTGAGATGGAGTCTCTCTTTTTCATCCATGCTGGAAGGCAGTGGCGCAATCTCGGCTCACTGCAACCTCCGCTTCCTGGGTTTAAGCGATTCTCCTGCCTCAGCCTCCTGAGTAGCTGGGATTACAGGTGCCCAGCACCACATCCAGCTAACTTTTGTATTTTTAGTAGAGATGGGGCTTCCCCATGTTGGCCAGGCTGGTATTGAACTCCTGATCTCAGGTGATCTGCCCGCCTCGGTCTCCCAAAGTGCTGGGATTACAGGCGTGAGCCACCATGACCGGCCTAAGAATGGTGTATTAATCAGGGTTTTCCAGAGAAACCGATAAAGGTATAGTTATATATAGAAAGACATTGAATATATATAGAAAGGAATTGGCTCACTTGGTGATGGAGGCTGACAGATTCCAAGATGTGCAGTTTGCAATCTGGAGACCCAGGAATGCCCATGGTGTAGTCCTAATCTCCAAGCTAGCAGGCTTGAGACCCAGGGGAGCTGATGTCTCAGTTCAAGTCTAAAGGCAGGAAAAAATCTAATGTCCGGCTAGAAAATCGGCAGGAGGAGTTCTCCTTTCTTCTCAGATGATCAGCTTTTTTGTTCTAGTTAGGCCTTCAATTGATTGGATGATGCCCACTCACATTGGAGAGGGCAATTTGCTTTACTCAATCAACTGATCTGAATGTTAATTTTATCCAGAAACACCCTCACAGACACATCCAGAATCATATCTGACCCTGGTGTCCAGTCAAGTCGACATGCAAAATTAACCATCACAGATGGTGTTTAATGTTTTAATTTATAGCTAAATAAATGCTAATTTTTTTCAAAATAAAAATATCTTTTTTTACTATAAAAGTAATATATGGCCTTCCTTGGTACTTCCAGTCACAAGCATTTGCCCAGCCCAGCCCAGCTGAGTCTCTGGTTGTTTATAGTGCCATTGTGGTTGTGGGACCCGAGGTATAGTGCATGTGCAAATTTTTGTCCCCCAGGACTGTGACACAACCACAGCCAAGGCCAGTGTTCTAGGGCCTACCTGGGATGGCAGGACCAATATGGAACTCTTAAAGTGTATGAAGCAGAATCCAGAATCTGCATTTGAAGAAAAGGTCTATTAAGATTTTCTCACCCACTTCAAAAAAAAAAAAAAGGTTTTTCTCACCCACATCCAGTCTTGTGGGGTGGTGGTTCTCAAAGTGCGGTCTGTGAACTCACGGAGGTCCCTGAGATTCTTTTGTGGGGCCTGAGGTCAAAATTGCTTTTATAGTGATATAGTTGATCTTTGAGCAACATGAGTTTGAACAGTGTGGGTCCACTTATTAGTGAATTGTTTTCAATAAAGATATTGAAAAATTTTTTTTAGGGGAGGTGGCCAAGATGGCCGACTAGAAGCAGCTAGTGTGTGTGGCTCCCACGGAGAGGAGTGGAAGGGGCGAGTAAATACAGCATCTTCAACTGAACCATCCAGGTACTCACATTGGGACTAATTGAAGAAACAACTTGACCAATGGAGAATGGAAAAAACCAAGGCAGGACGATGGCCTACCCAGGAATAACATGGAACCAAGGGAACCTCCCCTCACTCAGGGAAGCAGTGGGTGAATGTGCCACCCTGAGAACCCACGTTTTTCCCATGCATCTTTGCAACCTTCAGGTCAGAAGTTCCCCCTCATGAACCCACTTCACCAGGCCCTTCAGAGCTACGTGGAGTTTTGGCATAGCAGCTGCTCAGGCACTTGTGGAGACCTGTGAGCCTTAGATACTTGGCCTCCC
Organism: Homo sapiens; assembly: GCF_000001405.40. NCBI lineage: Eukaryota > Metazoa > Chordata > Mammalia > Primates > Hominidae > Homo > Homo sapiens. The sequence goes on along the minus strand of NC_000004.12, from coordinate 70,572,579 downwards.
CAGGCTTCCTAGCAAAAAAAGCTGCAACATCGGCAAAGTGGGAGGTTAGACCCCCATAAAACCCCTAGGAAAGAGGCCAAATCCAGGGAGCTAAGCAGCAACAGTTTGTAAGCCCCACTTCCACAGCACCTCACAGGCTAAGACCCACTAGCTTGGAATTCCAGTTAGCCACTGGTAGCAGTGTTGCACCTCCCTGGGACGGAGCTCCCAGGGGGAGGGTTGGGGTGGGCTGTCATCTTTGTTGTTTGGGCATCTTAGCCATTCCAGCCTTCTGGCTTTGGAGAATCCAAGCTGACGAGGGGTGGAAGGGATCCCCCAGCACAGCACAAATGCTCTGTGAAAACATGGCCAGAGCTTTTTAAAGTGGGTCTCTGATTCCGTTTCTCCTTACTGGGCAAGACCTCCCTACCATGGTTTCCATTTATGCCTGCCAGTGCTTTCTGGCAAACAGAAATTTGAAACCTCCCTGGGATGGAGCTCCCAGAGAGAGGGGTGGGCTGCTATCTTTGCTGCTTGGGTGATTTAACTATTCTGGCCTTCAGGCTTTGGAATGTCCGAGGTGACCAGGGCCTGAAGTGTACCCCTAGCACAACACAGCTGCTTGACAAAAATGTGGCCAGACTGCTTTTTAAAGCAAGTCTTTGATCCCATTCCTACTCTGTGGGTGGGACCACACAACTGGAGTCTCCACCCACCTCCTACACGTGTGCTCAGGCTGGCAACAGGTCTGTACCTGGGATGGAGCTGCCAGAAGGAGGGGCATGCTGCCATTTTGCTGTTTCATAGCCTTCACTGGTGATACCTCCAGGTACTGGAAAATCCGAGGTGACTAGGGACTGGAGATAGCCCCCAGTATGCTGCAGCAGCCCTATGGAAAAGTGGCCAGGCTGTTAGATGGGTCCCCGTTCCCATATCTCTTCACCAGGCAGGTCTTCCAGGCCTGAGCGTCCAGCCACCCCCACCAGAGCTACTGAGCCAGTAACAACTCAGCAACTCCCTGAACAGAGCCTCTGGGGCAAATGAAAGCCTCTCTGCCACTGCCTCTGCAATGAAACTGCCCTTGATACCCTGGGACTGGCGAAGAAGCAAAGACCCTAAGTGCCATATCCATACCTCCAACAAGCTGCAATTGACTCAAGGAGAGAAGGTCAGTCCATCTCCCATGGGTTCCACACCCCCCACTGCTTGTCACCAGACAGGGAATGCCTGGCTTAGGCCCACATCACAGACCCTTCATCCTAGGTTGATTGCACTACGTGATTATTGACCTGCATCTCTGTGGTGTGGAGCCCCAGGAGACAAGAAAAAGATGCTTGGCCACAACCACTACTAAGGTCCCTTCCTCTGCTGCCTCCAAGTTGGGGAAGGAATATAAACACTAAGATTGCTCCAGAGCTGTAGTGGGTAGCCAGGAGTGCCAAACCATGATCTACAGCTAGCACTCAAGGGAGAGAGGAACCCACATTTTCAGAGCATTGAGAGGGAATGCAGCTGCAGCTGTAAGGAAACGTAGGAGAACCACACAACAGAGCTGGAGTCTACCAACTGACCAATAAGCCTAAATGCCACCGACTGGATCACACCCCAAAGCTTCAACACTAAAAATACCTCACTAACATACCCACCTCTGAAACCAGAGACAAGAAGTCAGTTTCACATAAAGACCTGTACAAAGCCTCAGTCTGGTGAAAACATCTAGAAAAGAAGTCTATTGACTGTACTCAATCTACACTGCAGTTAAAGGAACACCCACATGCAGAGATGAGAAAGAACCAATGCAAGAACTCTGGTAACTCAAGTGGCCAGAGTGTCATATGTCCTCCAAATGACTGCACCAGTTGTCCAACAAGAGTTCTTAACCAGGCTGAACTGGTTGGAATGACAGAAGTAGAATTTGGAATATAGATAGGAACAGATTCAGTAGGACAGCAAAACCCAATCCAAGGAAAACAAGAATCATAATAAAGCAATACAGGAGCTGAAGGCCAAAATAGCTGGTACAAAAAAAACCTAACAGGTCTGACAGAGCTGAATAACAAAATACAAGAATTTCACAGTGCAATGACAAGTATTAACAGCAGAATAAACCAAGCTGAGAAAAGAAGCCCAGAACTTGAAGACCGGTTCTCTGAAATAAGATAGTCATAAAAAGGAATGAATGAAAACTTCGAGAATTATGGGATTATATAAAGAGGCCAAATCTATGAACCACTGGCCTCTGTGAAAGGGAGCGGGGAAAGAAAACAACTTGGAGTACATATTTTGGGATATCATCCATCATGAAAACTTCCCCAACTTTGCTAGAGGGGCCAACAGTCAAATTCAGGAAGTACAGAAAACTTCTTTAGGATTCTACACAAGAAGAGCATTCCCAAGACACATAATCATCAGATTTTTCAAGATCGACATGAAAGAATGTTAAAGACAGTTAGAGAGAAAGGGCAGGTCACCTACAAAGGGAACACTATCAGGCTAACAGCGGACATCTCAGCTGAAATCCTACAAGCCAGAAGAGATTGGGGGCCTATATTCAACATTCTTAAAGAAAAAAATCTTCAACCTAGAATTTCATATCCAGCCAAACTAAGCTTCCTAAGCAAAGCAGAAATAAGATCCTTTACAGACAAGCAAATGTTGGGGGAGTTTGCTACCATCAGAACTGCCTTACAAGAGATCTTGAAAGGAGCACTAAATATAGAAAGGAAAGACTGCTACCAGCAAATACAAAAACAAACTTAAACACACAGACCATTGTCACTGGAGAGCAACCACACAAATAAGCCAACATAATAACCAGCTAACAACACAATGACAGGATCAAATCCACACATATCAATACTAACCTTGAATGTAAATGGGCTAAATGCCCCACTTAAAAGGCACAGAGTGGCAAGCTGAATAAAAAAGCAAGACCCAATGGTATGCTGTCTTCAAGAGATCCATTTCACACAAAATGACACCCATAGGCTCATAATAAAGGGATGCAGGAAAGTCAACAAAGCAAATGGAAAACAGAAAAAAGCAGGGATTGCAATCCTAATTTCAGACAAAACAGATGTCAAACCAACAAAGATAAAAAAAGACAAAGAAGGGCATTACATAACAGTAAAGGGTTTAATTCAACAAGAAGACCTAACTATCCTCAATATATATGCACCCAACACAGGAGCACCCAGATTTATAAAGCAAGTTCTTAGAGACCTACAAAGACACTTACTCTCCCACACAATAATAGTGGGAGACTTCAACATTCCACTGACAATATTAGACAGTTCATCAAGGCAGAAAATTAACAAAGATATCCAGGACCTGAACTGAACCTTGGACCAAATGTATCTGATAGACCTTTACAGAAGTTTCCACCCTGAAACAACATAATATACATTTTTCTCATTGCTACATGGCACATACTCTGAAATTGACCACATAATTGGGTACAAAATAATCCTCTGCAAATGTAAAAGAGTTGAAATCATACCAAACCCACTCTCAGACCACAGTGCAATAAAAATAGATGTCAAGACTAAGAAAATTGCTCAAAACCATGCAATTACATGGAAATTAAACAACATGTGGGCCGGGCGCAGTGGCTCACGCCTGTAATCCCAGCACTTTGGGAGGCCAAGGTGGGCGGATCACGAGGTCAGGAGATTGAGACCATCCTGGCTAACACAGTGAAACCCCGTCTCTACTAAAAATACAAAAAATTAGCTGGGTGTGGTGGCGGGCACCTGTAGTCCCAGCTACTCGGGAGGCTGAGGCAGGAGAATGGCGTGAACCCGGGAGGCGGAGCTTGCAGTGAGTTGAGATTGTGCCACTGCACTCCAGCCTGGGTGACAGAGTGAGACTCTGTCTCAAAAAAAAAAAAAAAAAAAAAAAGGAAATTAAACAACATGCTCCTGAATGGCTTCTGGGTAATTAGTGAAATTATGGCAGAGATAAAGAAGTTCTTTGAAACTAATGAGAACAAAGATACAATATATCAGCATCTCTGGGGGCACAACTAAGGCAGTGTTAAGAGGGAAATTCACAGCACTAAATGGCCATATCCCAAAGTTAAAAATATCTCAAATTAATAACCTAACATCACAATGGAAAGAATTGGAGAAACAAGAGTAAACCCACCGCAAAGCTAGCAGAAGACAAGAAATAACCAAAATCAGAGCTGAACTGAAGGAAATCAAGACACAAAAAACAATTCAAAAGATAAACAAATCCAGTAGTTGGTTTTGTTAAAAAATTAACAAGCTACATAGGCTGCTGACTAGACTAATGAAAAAGAAAAGAGGGAAGATCCAAATAAAGGCAATTAGAAATGACAAAGGGAATGTTACCACTAACCACACAGAAATACAAATAACCATCAGAAACTACTATGAACACCCTTATGCACACAAGCTAGAAAACATAGAAGAGATGGATAAATTCTGGAACACATACACACTCCAAAGTCTGAACCAGGAAGAAATTGATTACCTGATCAAAAAAAAAAAAAAAAAAAAAAAAGAAAAGCCCAGGACCTGGTGGATTCACAGCTAAGTTCTACCAGATGTACAAAGAAGAACTGGTACCATTCCCATAGAAACTCTTCCAAAAAGTTGAGGAGGGAGACTCCTCCCCAACTCATTCTATGAGGCCAGCATCATTCTGATACCAACACCTGGCAAAGACACAGCAAGAAAAGAAAACTTTGGGCCAATATCCTTGATGAACATTGATGTAAAAATCTTCAACAAAATACTTGCAAACTGAATCCAGCAGCATATCAAAAAGTGAATCCACCACAATCAAGTAGGTTTCATCCTGGGGATGCAAGATTGGTTCAATATATGCAAATCAATAACTGTGATTCATCACATAAACAGAGCTAAAGACCAAAACAAAATGATTATCTCAATAGGTGCAGAAAAGGCTTTCAATAAAATTCAACACATTCATGTTAAGCACTCTTAATAAACTAGGTATTGAAGGACATACCTCAAAATGGTAAGAGCCATCTATGACAAACCACAGCCAACACTATACTGAATGAGCAAAAGCTGGAAGCATTTCCCTTGACAACCAGCACAAGACAAGGATGCCCTCTCTCACCACTTCTATTCAACATAGTATCGGAATTCCTGGCCAAAGCAGCGAGGCAAGAGAAAGAAATAAAGGGCATCGAAATAAGAAGAGAGGAAGTCAAACTATCTCTGTTTGCAGATGACATGATCCTACATCTAGAAAACCCCATAGTCTTGGCCCATAAGCTCCTTCAGCTGATAACTTCAGCAAACTTTCAGGATACAAAATCAATGTACAAAAATCAATAGTATTCCTATATACCAACAACAGCCAAGCTGAGAGCCAAATCAGAAAGGGAATCCCATTCACAATTGCCACAGAAAGAATAAAATGCCTATGAATACAGTTAACAAGGAAGGTGAAAGATCTCTACAATGAGAACTGCAAAACACTGCTCAAAGAAATCAGAGAAGACACGAGCAAATGGAAAAACATCTCATGCTCATGGATAGAAAGAATCAATACCATTGAAATGGCCATTCTTCCCAAAGCAATTTACAGATTTAATGCTATTTCTATCAAACTATCATTGACATTCTTCACAGAACTAGAAAAAACTATTTCAAAATTCGTATGGAACCAAAAAGGAGCCCAAATAGCCAAGGCAATCCTAAGCAAAAAGAACAAAGCCAGAGGCATCATGCTACCTGACTTCAAACTACAAGGCTACAGTAACCAAAACAGCATGGTACTGGTACAGAAACAGACACATAGACCAATGGATAGAGAGCCCAGAAATAAGGCTGCACACATATGACTACCTGATCCTTGAGAAGGCTAACAAGAAGCAATGGGAAAAAGGCACTCTGTTCAATAAATGGTGCTGTGATAACTGGCTAGCAGTACGCAGAAGACTGAAGCTGGACCCTTTCTTTTCCCTAATACAAAAATCAAGTCAAGGTAGATTAAAGACTTAAATGTAAAAATCCAAAACTGTAAAAACCCTGGAAGACAACCTAGAAAATACCATCCTGGACACAGGAACAAGCAAGGATTTCATGATGAAGACATTAAAGCAATGGCAACAATAGCAAAAATTGACAAGTGGGATCTAGTTAAACTTAAGAGCTTCTGCACAGTAAAAGAAACTATCAACAGAGTAAACAGACAACCTATAAAATGAGAGAACATATTTGCAAATTATGCATCTGACAAAGGTCTAATATCCAGTATCTATAAGGAACTTAAACAAATTTACAAGAGAAAAACAAACCCCATAAAAAAGTGGGCAAAGGACATGAACAGACACTTATCAAAAGAAGACATACATGCGGCCAACAAGCATATGAAAAAAACCTCAATATAACTGATCATTAGAGAAATACACAATAAGATACTATCCCACAGCAGTCAGAATGGCTGTTACTAAAAAGTCAAAAAAATAACAGATGCTGGTGAGGTTGTGGAGAAAAGGGGACACTTATAAAAAGTTGGTGGGAGTGTACATTAGTTCAACCATTGTGGAAAGCAGTATGGTGATTCCTCAAAGAACTAAAAGCAGAACTATCATTTGACCCAAGAATCTCATTACTGGGTATATATCCAGAGGAATATAAATCACTCTACCATAAAGACACATGCACGCAAATGTTCCTTGCAGCACTGTTCCTGATAGTAAAGACAGGGAATCAACCTAAATGCCCATCAATGACAGAATGTATAAAGAAAATGTGGTATATACACCATAGAATACTATGCAGCCATAAAAAAGGATGAGATCATGTTTTTTGTGGGAACATGGAAGGAGCTGGTGGCTATCCTCAGCAAACTAATGCAGGAACAGAAAATACTGCAAATACTGCACATTCTTACTTATAAGTAGGAGCTAAATGATGAGAACTTATGAACACAAAGAAGGAAACAACAGACGCTGGGGTCTACTTGACGGTGGAGGATGTGAGGAGAGAGAGGGGCAAAAAAGATAGCTATTGGGTACTGAGCTCAATTCCTCGATGATGAAATAATCTGTACAACAAACCCCCATGACATGAGTTTACCTATGTAACTAAACTTCACATGTACCCCTCAACCTAAAATAAAAACTAAAACATTTTTTTGAGATTTGTGATATTTTAAAAAAGTTTGCAGATGAATCATGTAGCCTAGAAATATTAAAAAATTAAGAAAAAGTTAAATGTGTCATGAATGCACAAAATATATGTAGATACTACTCTATTTATGTGTTACTTGATTAATTATGTTATTGATAAGGCTTCCAGTCAACAGTAGGCTATTAGTAGTTAAGTTTTTGGGCATTTAAAAATTACACATGAATTTTTGACTATGCAGGGTTGGCACCCTGCATTGTATAAGGATCAATTGTACTAAGAAGTTATTTGCGCTTTTTATTCTTATTCTTTCATGATTGCATAGCGGTTTTCCAGAGGCTACATGATGTGTGACACAAGAGAATGAGTGCAGAAGCAGATATGAGAATCTACCTATCTTCTATGTAGTCAGACAGTAAAGAGGGTTACAAATATGTAAAAACAGTGCCACAATTCTTACCAAATTTTTGTTTTTTTGTAATTTTGCTTTTGTTTTGAAAATATGTAATTTTTCATGTAGTTTATGTTATCATGTATTTGGTTTATTGTTATTATTAAGAAGTTAATTAAAATGTTAAAAAATTTGGCCAGGTGCTGTGGCTCACGACTGTAATCCCAGCACTTTGGGAGGCCGAGGCAGGCGGATCACCTGAGGTCAGGAGTTCAAGACCAGCCTGGCCAACATGGTGAAACCCCATCTCTACTAAAAATACAAACATTAGCCGGGCATAGTGGTGCGTGCCTGTAGTCCCAGCTACTCAGGCGGCTGAGGCAGGAGAATTGCTTGAACCCAGGAGGCGGCGGAGATTGCAGTGAGCCGAGACACGCCAGCCTGGGCAACAGAGTGAGACTGTCTCAAAAAAAATAAAAAATAAAAAATTTAAAAAAATTGCTTTAATCCACAAAGCCTGAGGTATTGCTCTTCACATGAGGGCATGAGCTGTGGGGGTCTGCCCGCAGACTTTGACCTAAATGATGGATGAATAAAACGAACACTGACACACAGATATTCTGCTTTGCCAGTCCTGCTGAGCGTCCGACTGGCTGCACACCAAGAGAGGTTTGTCACTGCAGCCGACCTTGAGCAGCTCGCACTTCAGGAATTTATTTAGTATACAATTAACAGCAGAAGCTTTGAGTAAACACACTTGTGGATAATTAACATGGTTAAGAGAGTAGTTCTAGGAATGATTAAAGCTCAGGTATTGGCCCCCAAAGTGCTGGGATTACAGGCGTGAGCCGTCGCGCCCGGCCTGAGTCTAAAGTAAATACTATTAGGGGACAATATCTTTGGTCAATCTCTGACCCACCCCCTACCTGGGGCCATCTGGCTCAAAGGCTAGTTAATGGAGGTAGGGAAAACAGACTTAACTGGGGAAGCCTCTATTGTCTTTAATATGTACCTTATGACCTAATGCTCTAAGGTAAGAACCAGCTGCCTTCAGCCTGTTCAATTATTATGAGCTACATAACCTTTCGGCCTTCTAAAAGGTTTGTGACTATTCTTTATAATTTCCCTTAATATTTCCTTTTAATATTTCTGCCACCATCCTGAGTGAATCACAGCAAAAGCCCTTGGGGTCCTTGATCATTTTTAAGAGCGTAAAAGCATCCTGAGACAAGAACATTTGAGAACCTATGTAATAGAATTTTGTTTTAACCAATGATATAATGTAAACATTAGAGAAAACAACTGGTTATGTTATGTGACTCTAATTCCGTAAAATCATAGATATACAGATGCATAGAGAAGAGACTGGAAAGAAATATATAAAACAGTATTCATCTTTGTTAGAATTATGGATGATAAATGTTGACTACATTTCTTTTTAGCATTTCTACAATGGATGTGAATTCTTTTATTATTAAGATGGAATGGGCTGCTTTGCCTATGCAGTAGCTATTCTTTTATTCCTTTACTTTGTTAATAAGTTTGCTTTCACTTAAAAAAAGATGAAATAATACATTAGATGTCATTTAAAATATAGCACATGCTGATTCTGTGGTAATGCGTATGTGGTAAAATAGACTAGAATACATTATTTTAGATGTTTAAGATTATTTTCAACTGTATGCAATTTAGTCCTTGAAAATAATTTCTCCCATTTCAAAGAAGGATAAAAATCTGTCTAACCTCAGGATGAGCTTATCTCTATTTTCTCAGAACTCTTTCAAATGATTTCCTTGTAGAGAAAATTTTTGCAGAGAAGAGGATTGAAAATTAGACATGAGGTCAGAACAAAATGATAATGCAAATCTGAAGATACAATTCTGGGAACCTCCGTTCTGGGATTTCTCATGTTGAAACTCATATAATTGCATTCATTCCTATTAGGTTGTTGCCATGTAATTGATAGTTACATTGGAATGCACAAATTTAATTAATAAATTCTTTCAGTCATTTATAAACACATACTGGATTTTTGTTAGTCAGTCTGCTCAGATGCTGAGATTACAAAGGTGAATAGTCATGGCCTCTTTCCTCAAGGAACTTACAGTTTGTGAGAGAATCAGACATATAAAGAACAAGTTAAGGTTTGGCCTGACAAGTGTTATAGTAGAGATGTGTCAAGAACTATACTACTATATAAAGTTTAAAAGTCAGTTTATTTACTCAACCAGAACTCATTAAGTTCTAACTTTGTGCAGAGTATAGTGGTAGGGGGTATAAGATCATGGCAAATAATTTTGCCTCCTAGAAGTTTACACTCTAGTCGAGAAGACAATTATGCACACACATAAACACAACCCAAATCCACAGTGGTAGTTCAAGGCTAAGTGCTAATTATTTATAGTAAATAGAGCCATAGGATTTTACAGAAGAGATCTTTAGAGGCAGGAACAGTTGCAAAGCCTAATTGCAAATGACCTTGAATGAACCTTGAAGAGGAGATAGAACTACAGGTCAGAGAGGAGGGAGACAGTGTCCGAGGGTGGGGGGCAGTAAAATAATATACACTTTTTGTTCTCTTCAGACCTGAAGCCACTTTTTAAATACCAAGTATTTCCTTTTCTGAAGTTAAATTCATGGCAAGACCCATTTGCCCATATAATTTAAACAATACATTACATTGAATAAAAATATGTTCTTATTATAACTTAAAGGAGAAAGAAAAGTGTAATAGAATGTACATTTTAATATATAACGCTTGAACATGACTACAGAAGTAGCCAAAATGAAATAGTCAGATGTTTGCACCTACTTGTAATGACCAAGGCAGAACTTAGCAGAAGCTAAATTAAAAGCCATGCTGAATACAAAGTAGAAGAAAATGAAAGAGCAGAGGTACAGAGGATACTTGAACCAAAACTATTGCTAGGATAAGTAATGACAGTCTAGACCTGTCTGTATATGATATGAGAAGGAGATAAATAACCTTAACTGCAGAGGGGATAACATGTCAAGACAAATTACAGATTGTTGAAGTGAGAAAATGAGGAAGTATAATATTCTTGCAAATGACCTGGACCTTATTTATGAGTGTGTGTTAAAATAATTCTGTGTGTTGCATAGGATGAAGACAAGACAGAATATTTCAAAAAACAAATCCTATCTTGAAACCACATGAGGAGGTATACATTCTGTCTTGAGTATCTCAAAATACCACTTAGCTTAGCTGTTGAAAAAAGAAATAGGGCTGGGCGCGGTGGCTCATGCCTGTAATCCCAGCACTTTGGGAGGCCGAGGCGGGTGGATCATGAGGTCAGGAGTTCAAGACCAGCCTGACCAAGATGGTGAAACCCTGTCTCTACTAAAAACACGAAAATTAGCTGGGCGTGGTGGTGGGCGCTTGTAATCCCAGCTACTCAGGAGGCTGAGGCAGAGAATTGCTTGAACCTGGGAGGCGGAAGTTGCAGTGAGCCGAGATCATGCCACTGCACTCCAGCCTGGGCGACAGAGCAAGACTCCCTCTCAAAAAAAAAAAAAAAAAAGAAAGAAAGAAAAAAGAAATAGCAGTACAGGGGACAACAGAGAAGTTTCGTGGCAGATCTCTGGGAGTGGAAGATTGAAAAGATAGGAAAAGACTGAAGAACAAGAGGCAATTTCAAGATTTCTTATCATTATGCCACAAAATTAAAATAATAGACATTAATAAAATGCGATGAGATCATTACATTTCACGTCTATCAATTACAATTTTTTTTTTTTGAGCTGGAGTTTCACTCTTGTCACCCAGGCTAGAGTGCAATGGTGCGATCTTGGCTCACTGCAACCTCCACTTCCCAGGTTCAAGCAGGCCTCCTACTTCAGCCTCCAGAGTAGCTAGGATTATGGGCATGTGTCACCATGCCCAGCTAATTTTGTATTTTTAGTAGAGGCAGGGTTTCACCATGTTGGCCAGGCTGTTCTCGAACTGCTGACCTCCTATCAATTACTATTAATGGTGTCTCAATTTTTTACTGAGAAGTATTTGCATCAGCTACAAATGCCAGTGATATAAGTATATGCTATTGGCTCAAATGCCATGAGTGGTGCTGCCTGTAGGGACATTTCCACAATGTAGAGAACTCTTGGAAAAGTTTGAACAAAAACAAAGTACAATCTTCCCATGATTAAGATGAGGAGATGAGCTTAAAATATTTTGCTTGTGTTAACATTGGGCAAAAAATATATTGTGTTATAGATAAATAAGAATTAGTTATAGGCTCAGATAAACAAATTGTTTTATTTACCTGCATGAAAATCTGTTGGGGCATTTGAAAGTCATGCCGAGTATGAACCAAATATTCCTAGTCTGGCTCTTCCCTATGCGTTATGAGACATCTAGTAGCACACATGAATAGCACCTCAAATCATTGGCACTGACAAACATGCTCATAAAAGTTGCCAAAATTCCTCCCAGGGGTGTCCGATCTTTATTATGAAGTCCTATTACTATGCAACAATGAAAAAAGCTTGGGCTAAGTGAAGATACACTGTTAAACTAATTCATTATAGTGGATTTGCAAAGAGTGATGTGGTCTTTTTTTGGGTGGAGCCAACTGGTGGAGACAAATGACAACGTAGATTTTGTTCAAATCTACGTTGGAAAGATTTGAAAGTTCTTTCAATCTTTGGTTGGAAAGTTCTAATGTCTTATTGTAAAATTCACACCTTTGTAGTTTCTCATGTTTCTGCAATTTTTATACTACCACAGCTCAAAAGGATCAAACTCCTTGGATACAAAAACAGTGAGTCCTGCTGCATTCACTGCAAAGCAAAAGAAAAAAACTTACAAAACAAAAAACAATGAGCTTGCAAGTTGTACTGACCCACTAGTAGATGTTTAAGCGGCTCTCAAATCCCAGCTGTCTGCCATACATTTCTGGTTAAAGTATCAATTGTAGACAATGTTTATTTTAGGGATGTCATTCCTGGAATATCATGTTTGCTCACCACATCAAGCAGATAACTACTAGTTGTGTAATAATGGGGGTAGAAATGAAATGTCTGCTAGAATTTTGTTTTCTGAAATTTTGTAGTTTGCAATGATGTGAATATTTAAATCATGTCTAAGTTAGGAAAGAACCAAGAATGTACCTAACTTTTCTGAGGACAACTGACCACATTTGTACTCAAGTTCTTGGGTCTTTTTTCTCCTTTAATGTCAGGTCTCTTACTGTATACTGACTGTAGTGTATTATGGAAATTTGAAGTTTAAATGTTCAGTATCTTCCAAAGGATATTGTATCCTTTCATAGATAGATGTTATTTTCCTGATTTTCATGGAGAAAGAAGTTATTTTCATAGCCCAGCATAAATACATACCAATCATCCTTTCTTGCAAGAGTTGGTGCTTTTTCTTGAGTCCCAGGCCCAAGAAATTTTCTGAGACTTGGTAATTTCCTGGAAAAAAGTATAGGGTGATTTCAAGGACAGAGATTACATCTTATATCTTTTGTATTTCCAGCTATAGTGTCTAGCACATAATAGGCACACAGTGAGTGTCTTTTGAATGAAAGAATGAGGGACAAATACATGTGTAAAGAGAATGGTGACTGCGCTGTGATTTTTCTTGGTTTCTTTTCACTGTCTTTTTCTGCTGATGTTGTCTGGCCAGCAGAGGGCATTCAAGGTCCACCTTACAATTAGGGACCTTAGGGAAAGGAGACAGTTTCTAGCTACAGAAATTCAACTGTCAGAAAAGGAAACAGATGAATTTGAAATTGTCAAGACGGCTTAATTTAAGTCTTCCAGTATAAGGTTAATTTTATAGTGCTAACTAATCTTGACACCATGTGAATAATACATTAGAGGAAAGTGTCTATTTTTATTTGATTTTGAAATGTGGAAATACCAGAAAGTTTAAAGGAGAAAATAAAAATTGCCCAGAACTAACTTTTGCTCACATTTGGCTGTATATCTATTTTTATTTTTAGATACATCATATACAGAATGTAAGCTCCTCAAGGAATGGGATTTTTGTATTTACTGCATTATTCCAAGTGCTGTTTGAAGTGTATGGAAACTCACTGTGCTATCTTTCTAATGCTTTTGTAAGTTTAAAATTATTCCCACATAAAAGGTTAAAACATAAAAAACTGTTTATGCTACAAAATGAAAAGTTTAACTATGCCTTTTCATCCTGATTCAGTTCATAGCATATGACTGCAACCCTAACCATCTTCATGAAAAAGAAGAAATAAAAAATATAAATGTAATTCAGATTTTCTTTTGTAAAGAATGATAATTTCATTACAGAAAGCAGAAGCAGCCTTGGCTATCTGCTGTGACACCTTAACTGTCACAAGGTCCATAAAGCATTGTTCCTGTGAGGTGAAGATTATATTTTCTGCAGAATCTTTTTTTTTTTTTGAGACGGAGTCTTGCTCTGTCACCCAGTCTGGAGTGCAATGGCACGATACTGCGCCCGGCTAGAATTTTATCTTAAACCTATCACGTAGTCCAACCTGTTTATTTTCACTTTGTATTTTAAAAAGAGAATTGAAATTATAAGTATATATTGCTCAAATTTTGCAGAACAGCTTTGAATTCATTTCTCATTTTATCCTCCACAGCACTGAGATAGGGTGATTATTATTAGTTAGCATCACTGTTTTACAGATTTCAAAATGTAGGCTTTGAGATGTTAAGTTGTCTAAGGACACAGAGCAGGTTATTGACCAGTACTCTTTCCTTCCTCCCTGAAACTTTCCAACACTTTCTGAAAGTGAAAGTGGAATGTAAAATTCTCTTGCTCTTCTTACAGGCCAGAAAACTTACAGTGCAATAAATAATAATTATAGTCAATCTTTATTTAATTTTTATGACATGCTAGAGAGTTTGTCAAGTTTGTTTTCCAAGTAAATGCTCTTACTTAATGTTCTTTGCAATGTCACCAGGGTGTTGAAGCAGACAAGGAGAGGATTGGCACCTGATTGAATATGATGGGCAGGAGAAGAGGGAAGCATAAAGGGTCACGATGGTTATGAGCTTTGGTAATGTGGAATGTGGTAGAACCATTAACAAAAATAAGGATGAAGAAAGAGAAACTTGGGGGAAGGGGAAGAGAATTGCATTTTCTTTTTTTTTTTCCTTTTTATTTTTTTGAGACGGAGTCTGGCTCTGTCGCCCAGGCTGGAGTGCAGTGGCGTGCTCTCCGCTCACTGCAAGCTCCGCCTCCTGGGTTCACAGCATTCTCCTGCCTCAGCTTCCCGAGTAGCTGGGACTACAGGCGCCCACCACCACGCCTGGCTAATTTTTTTATATTTTTAGTAGAGATGGGGTTTCACCGTGTTAGACAGGATGGTCTCCATCTCCTGACCTCATGATCCACCCGCCTCGGCCTCCCGAAGTGCTGGGATTACAGGCGTGAGATACCGTGCCCAGCCTGCATTTTCAAATATGTCATGTGTGTAATGTCAACTCTGCAGTATGCCCACTATTTGACTTCTTTAAAGCATCTAGAATAATTTGTCAAAATTTTAATGTGCTTACGATTGTAATGGTTTAAAGACAGATTTGATCAGATCTGAGAATGTAAGCTTATGACTTTCGGCAGTCATGTAGTAGTCACTTGTTTGGCATGGTGTAAAAGCTTCCCTAAGCATGTTTCTTAAGATTGCATTGGTGTAACTAGCTTCAATTAGTCTGGTGAGACATTTCTTTGAAAAGCAAACCAGATTACGATTACAGTGTGTAGGGCAGACAGAACGTGGAGGTGGGTGAATGATTGGTAATTAACTAGAAGAAACTTGCTGACACAACGTCTGATTTTTAGCAGTGTTATATATGCATGTTGGTGCTTATTGTACAGGAATTTTCCTTTTCTGTTACCCCACAACTACATCCTTCCGAGTGTTAGAGTTTGGGGAGAAATAGGACATAATTAAGCAATCTTACATTAGCTGATCAATCACACAAATAGTGCCCACAAGAATGTACAACACAGTCCTGGTCAGAGTCATATCTTGCAACTCATATAGATCCCTCAGGGGCATGGGTGCAATTAGTCATCCTCACTGGCTACTCACAGATAAGAGTTCTTCCATCTCTCATAGAAATAACAGTTTAAGTTTATATATTACTCTATACAGCAGAGGGGAACAAAAAAACCTTCCCTTTGGATTTAAGCATTTTCCATGGCTGCTAGATTATTTTAGTTTAGGCCCCACACTTTATTTGTCCCAGGCTTCCAAAGCAAGTAGTCATTTCTATCTGATTCCTCATTGGATAGGGCTGATGGAGCGGTCTCATTCCATGGATGGAGTGCCTATGAGGTGGTAAGATCTTTCACATTGCTAAGACAGACCACCTCTTAGCTTGTCTTCCATTTGATATTATTCCTAAAAACTCTCCCTTCCCTTCTTTTTGTTCTCTTACCAAATGCCCCCTCTGTTATCCTTAGGAAATATCATGTTGCAGCAACAGAGAGGGATAAACAGAAAAAAAAAATTATCTCACTGATTCCAGTTTTCAGGAAGGGATAAAGAGTAAACAATTCACAATGATAGGAAATTCCAACTTAATTTTTTATATAGTTGGATCAACAGAGACAAATTTTTTTTTGATTCAAAATTTCTTTTTTTTTCAGATACATTATGGTTTATTACTATCATGTAATATTTGTCAACTATCTTTTTAAATTTTTTTTTTAAATTATACTTTAAGTTCTGGGATACATGTGCAGAGCGTGCAGGTTTGTTACATAGGTATTCGTGTGCCATGGTGGCTTGCTGCACCCATCAACCCGTCATCTACATTAGGTATTTCTCCTAATTCTATCCCTCCCCTAGTGCCCCACCCTCAATAGGCCCCAGTGTGTGATGTTCCCCTCCTTGTGTCCATGTGTTCTCATTGTTAAACTACCACTTATGAGTGAGAATATGTGGTGTTTGATTTTCTGTTCCTGTGTTAGTTTGCTGAGAATGATGGTTTCCAGCTTCATCCATGTCCCTGCAAAGGACATGAACTCATCCTTTTTTATGGCTGCATAGTATTCCATGATGTATATGTGCCACATTTTCTTAATCCTGCCTATCATTGATGGGCATTTGTGTTGGTTCCAAATCTTTGCTATCGTGAACAGTGCTGCAATAAACATACATGTGCACTGTCTTTATAGCAGTATGATTTACAATCCTTTGGGTATATACCCAGTAATGGGATTGCTGGGTCAAACGGTATTTCTGGTTCTAGATTCTTGAGGAATCACCACACTGTCTTCCACAATGGTTGAACTTATTTACACTCCCACCAATAGTGTAAAAGCGTTCCTAGTTCTCCACATCCTCTCCAGCATCTGTTGTTTCCTGACTTTTTAATGATCGCCATTCTAACTGGCGTGAGATGGTATCTCATTGTGGTTTTGATTTGCTTTTCTCTAATGACCAGTGATGATGACCTTTTTTTCATAGGTATGTTGGCCGCATAAATGTCTTCTTTTGAGAAGTGTCTGTTCATATCCTTTGCCCACTTTTTGATGGGGTTGTTTTTTTTTCTTGTAAATTTGTTCAAGTTCCTTGTAGATTCTGAATATTAACCCTTTGTCAGATGGATAGATGGCAAAATTTTTCTCCCATGCTGTAGATTGTCTGTTCACTCTGATGATAGTTTCTTTTGCTGTGCAGAAGCTCTTTAGTTTAATTAGATCCCATCTGTCAATTTTGGCTTTTGTTGCCATTGTTTTTGGTGTTTCAGTCATGACATCTTTGCCTATGCCTATGTCCTCAATGCTATTGCCTAGGTTTCCTTATAGGGTTTTTGTGGTTTTAGGCTTATGTTTAAGTCTTTAAACATCTTGAGTTAATTTTTGTATAAGGTGTAAAAAGGGATCCAGTTTCAGTTTTCTGTATATGGCTAGCCAGTTTTCCCAACACCATTTATTAAACAGGGAATCCTTTCCCCATTGCTTGTTTTTGTCAGGTTTGTCAGATCAGATGGTTGTAGATGTGTGGTGTTATTTCTGAGGCCTCTCTTCTGTTCCATTGGTCTGTATATCTGTTTTGGTACAAGTACCATGGTGTTTGTTACTGTAGCCTTGTAGTAGTATAGTTTGAAGTCAGGTAGCGTGATGCCTCAAGCTTTGTTCTTTTTGCTTAGGATTGTCTTGGCTATACGGGCTCTTTTTTGGTTCCATATGAAATTTAAAGTAGTTTTTTTCTAATTATGTGAAGAAAGTCAATGGTAGCTTGATGGGGATATCATTGAATCTATAAATTACTTTGGGCAGTATGGCCATTTTCATGACAGTGATTATTCCTATCCATGAGCGTGGAATGTTTTTCCATTCGGTTGTGTCCTCTCTTATTTCCTTGAACAATTGTTTGTAGTTCTCCTTGAGGAGGTGTTGGAGGCCGCACAAGTGTTTCTTATGATTGGGCATGATTGAAGCCTGTTAGTAAAAATATGAACCTGTGATCAATTGAGCAGCTGATCAATCATTACCTCCTCCTTCCTGCTCTTGTTATCCAATATATACAGGGGGTGGCCTATGATCATTGGGTAGTAGGGAGCTCTCTTCTTCTTCCCCATGCTAGCCTTTCCTTAAAATAGTTTCTTTTTTCCTTGGTTTTCATTTCTATGTTTGTCCCTTCGTTCAGATGTAGTGGTGGTCTCAAGTGGTAACAGTAGTAACTGCTGTAGTGATGGTCTCAAGTAGTAACCGTGGCAGTCAGCCACAAGTGGTGCCCCAACAGGGACTATCAGGGACAAACGGAGACCTGAAGAGACCTGCAGGGATAGAGATAAATAGAGATAAGTAGAGATAGGTAAGAAAAGACAGGGACTTGAAGGAACTAACAGGTACCATAGGGACAGACCGGGACAGATAGGGATAGATAAAGACTAGCAAAGACTAGCAATATAAGGTCAGTACCCTAAAGAGGTACAAAAGTAGAGACTAGCAAAGACTGGCAGAGATTTGCAAGGACCAATAGGGATAGGTAGGGTCCTATGGGGACTTGAACGAGGAGGGTCTGCTGGAACAGAAAAAACTAAAGCCCAGAAAAAACTAAAACCAACCCAGACGAATGAGAAACCCTATTACAGGTCTGCCGGCAGCAACATAAGGTCAGTGCTTTAAAAAGGTACTGGTCAGTGCCCTAGAGGTACAAAGAAAGAGAAGTTTTTGAATCAGGTTAACATGAGGAATAATTTGGTTATTTCTTTTTTTTTGTTTGTTTGGAGTTTGGTATGTACCACCTTTTTGCTATTTCAAAATTTGAGATAATTTTTTCCCACACCTACAGCACCTATGGAAAGTGGTGAACAGGAAAGACAATGGAAATTGGCTTGTACCGTCTTTTGTGGCTATAGAAAGGCTAACTTTAGCTTTGGCTTTCATCGATTGTAAACATGCACTGGCACCTGTGAGATGTGCAGAGGACTTGAGAGGTTTTCTCAGAGCTTGTCAAGATGTGGGAACTGAGCTTCATTGCTCTGCAGTTTTGACTCAGGCTATGGCTAATTTGGTAGCTGACAGATCTAAAAGAAGCCAAGGGTCAAGCCCTAAAGTGGGAAAGTGTTATAAGTGTAGAAGAATTAGGCGTTTCAAAAGAGAACAATGCCAGACCTCTGGAAAAAAGGGATCTTGTAACACAGTTCCCATCTTAACAACAAAACGCCAGGACTTCGCCCTCATTGCAATCATTGGGCTAATCAATACCACTCAAAATTTCATCAAAATGGCATCTTCCTGTCGGGAAGTGAGAAGGCAGCCTGGACCCAGGCACCTCAAACTATGAGGGCATACCCTGTCCAGGCCACATCTCGGTTTCAGGGGTGGGTTTCCGGAGGCACATTGATTGTCTCTCCCCAGGAACACCTGGAAGTGCAGGATTAGCTCTCCCAGTTAGGGAACAGGTTACGTTAATTGGAAGAAACAAACCCACTAAGATTCACACTTGTATTTGGAGATCTTTGCTAACAGGATATATGGGATTAATTTTGGGTAAAAGTCATCTTAACTTATAGGACATTACTGTAGTCCCAGGAATTGTTGACTCGGATTGTGAAGGAGAAATTCAGGTGGTTGTCATATCACAAGATCTTTGGGTTTTTGAACCGGGAGAATATGTTGCTCAACTGTTGCTTATTCCCTGTAAATTGCACCCTTCTCTATGTAGGAGGAAGCAAGGAGGTCAGGGATTTGGAAGTGCAACTAGGAGAGAGATTTATCTATCACATCCCATAGCATCTCACAGACCCACTTGTGCAGTGTAGATTGAAGAAAATAAGTTTTGTGGGCTTATGGATACGGGGGCAAGAGACTGGTCTCTCATGGTAATAAATCTTGAGGATTGTTTATAAGGAGGATAAGCCTTGATTTACTTTCTCTGTCTTCTGTTAATCAGAAAGAGCCTGTCTCTTGTTATCAGTGGAAAGTTTTACCTGGCGGCAACTAACCAAAGAGGCAGAGGCTCTTCTTCCCCATGCTAGCTTTTCCTTAAAACAGTTTCTTTTTTCTTGGTTTTCATTTCTACATTCGTCCCTTTGTTCGGCTGTAATGATGTTCTCAAGCAGTAACAGTAGTAAGTGCTGTAGTGATGGTCTCAAGTAGTAACCATGGCAGTCAGCCACAAAGAGTCCTTTACATCCCTTGTAAGTTGGATTCCTAGGTATTTTATTGTCTTTGTAGCAATTGTGAATGAGAGTTCACTTATGATTTGGCTCTCTATTATTGGCCTATAGGAATGCTTGTGATTTTTGCACATTGATTTTGTATCCTGAGACTTTGCTGAAGTTGCTTATCAGCTTAAGGAGACTTTGGGCTGACATGATGGGATTTTCTAAATATACAATCATGTCATCTGCAAACAGAGACAATTTGACTTTCTCTCTTCCTATTTGAATACGCTTTTTTTTTCTTTCTCTTGCCTGATTGCCCTGGCCAGATCTTCCAATACTATGTTGAATAGGAGTGGTGAGAGAGGGCATCCTTGTCTTTTGCTGGTTTTCAAAGGTAATGCTTCCAGTTTTTGCCCATTCAGTATGATATTGGCTGTGGGCTTGTCATAAATAGCTCTTATTATTTTGAGATACGTTCCATCAATACCTAGTTTATTGAGAGTTTTTTTTAGCATGAAGGGGTGTTGAATTTTATCAAAGGACTTTTCCACATCTATTGAATAATCATGTGGTTTTTGTCATTGGTTCTGTTTATGTGATGGATTATGCTCATTGATTTTCATATTTTGAACCAGCCTTGCATTCCAGGGATGAAGCTGACTTGATCATTTTCAAAAAACCAGCTACTGGATTCATTGATTTTTTTTTTTTGAAGCGTTTTTCATCTCTCTCCTTCAGTTCTGCTCTGATCTTAGTTATTTCTTGTCTTCTGCCAGCTTTTGAATTTGTTTGCTCTTGCTTCTCTAGTTCTTTTAATTGCGATGTTAGGGTGTCGATTTTAGATTTTTCCCACTCTCACCTGTGGGCATTTAGTGCTGTAAATTTCCCTTTAAACACTGCTTTAGCTGTGTCCTAGAGACTCTTGTAGGTTGTATCTTTGTTCTCATTGGCTTCAAAGAACTTATTTATTTCTGCATTAATTTCATTATTTACCCAGTAGTCGTTCAGGAGCAGGTGTTCAGTTTCCATGTAGTTGTGCTGTTTTGAGTGAGTTTCTTAATCCTGAGTTCTAATTTGATTGCACTGTGGTCTGAAAGACTGTTTGTTATGATTTCTGTTCTGCATTTGCTGTGGAGTGTTTTACTTCCAATTATGTGGTCAATTTTAGAATAAGTGTGATGTGGTGCTGAGAAGAATGTATATTCTGCTGATTTGGGGTGGAGAGTTCTGTAGATGTCTATTAGGTCTGCTTGGTTCAGAGCTGAGTTCGAGGCCTGAACATTGTTGCTAATTTTCTGTCTAGTTGATCTAATATTGACAGTGGGGTGTTAAAGTCTCCCAGTATTATTGTGTGGGAGTCTAAGTCTCTTTGTAAGTCTCTAAGAACTTGCTTTATGAATCTGGGTGCTCCTGTATTGGGTGTGTATATATTTAGGATAGTTAGCTCTTCTTGTTGAATTGATCTCTTTACCATTATGTAATGCCCTCCTTAGTCTTTTTTATCTTTGTTGGTTTAAAGTCTGTTTTATCAGACTAGAACTGCAACCCCTGGTTTTTTTTGCTTTCCATTTGCTTGGTAAATCTTCCTCCATCCCTTTATTTTGAGCCTATGTGTGTCTTTGCATGTGAAATGGGTCTCCTGAATACAGCACACTGATGGGTCCTGACTCTTTATCCAATTTTCCAGTCTGTGTTTTTTAATTGGAGCATTTAGCCCATTTACATATAAGGTTAATATTGTTAGGTGTCAATCTGATACTGTCACTATGATAGTAGCTGGTTATTTTTCCTGTTAGTTGATGCAGTTTCTTCATAGTGTCGATGGCCTTTCCAATTTGGTATGTTTTTGCAGTGGCTGGTACTGGTTTTTTCTTTCCATATTTAGTGCTTCTTTCAGGAACTCTTGTAAGGCAGGCCTGTTGGTGACAAAATCTCAGCATTTGCTTGTCTGTAAAGAATTTTATTTCTCCTTCCCTTATGAAGCTTAGTTTGGTTGGATATGAAATTCTGGGTTGAAAATTCTTTTCTTGAAGAATGTTGAATATTGGCCCCCACTCTCTTTGGCTTGTAGGGTTTCTGCAGAGAGATCTGCTGTTAGTCTGATGGGCTTCCCTTTGTGGGTAACCTGACCTTTCTGGCTGCCCTTAACATTTTTTCCTTCATTTCAACCTTGGTGAATCTGACAATTATGTGTCTTGGGGTTGCTCTTCTCGAGGAGCATCTTTGTGGTGTTCTCTGTATTTCCTGAATTTGAATGTTGGCCTGCCTTGCTAGGTTGGGGAAGTTCTCCTGGATAATAATATCTTGAAGCGTGTTTCCCAGCTTGGTTCCATTCTCCTTGTCACTTTCAGGTATGCCAATCAAAAGTAGATTTGGTCTTTTCACATAGTCCCATATTTCTTGGAGGCTTTGTTCATTCCTTTTCTTTCTTTTTTCTCTAATCTTGTCTTCATGCTTTATTTCATTAATTTGATCTCCAATCTCTGATATCCTTTCTTCCACTTGATTGATTTGGCTATTGATACTTGCATATGCTTCACGAAGTTCTAGTGCTGTGTTTTTCAGCTCCATCGGGTCATTTATGTTCTTCTCCAAACTGGGTGATTCTAGTTAGCAATTCCTCTAACCTTTTTTCAAGGTTCTTAGCTTTCTTGCATCGGGTTAGAACATGCTACTTTAGCTTGGAGGAGTTTGTTATTACCCACTTTCTGAAGCCTACTTCTGTCAATTTGTCAGACTCATTCTCTGTCCAGTTTTGTTCCCTTGCTGGCCAGGAGTTGTGATCCTTTGAAGGAGAAGAGGCATTCTGGTTTTTGGAATTTTCAACGTTTTTGTGCTGGTTTTTCCTCATCTTTTTGGATTTATCTACCTTTGGTCTTTGATGTTGGTGACTTTAAGGTGGGGTTTCTGTGTGGACGTCCTTTTTGTTGATGTTGATGCTATTCCTTTCTGTTTGTTAGTTTTCCTTCTGACAGGCCCCTCTGCCCCAGGTCTGCTGGAGTTTGCTGGAGGTCTACTCCAGACCCTGTTTGGCTGGGTATCACCAGTGGAGGCTGCAGAAAAGCAAAGATTGCTGCCTGTTCCTTCCTCTGGAAGCTTCATCCCAGAGAGGCACCTGCCAGATGCCAGTAGGAGCACTCCTGTATGAGGTGTCTGCCAACCCTTGCTGGGAGGTTTCTCCCAGTCAAGGGACACGGGGGTCAGGGACCCATTTGAGGAGGCAGTCTGTCCCTTTGCAAAGCTTGAATGCTTTGCTGGGAGATCCACTGTTCTTTCAGAGCCAGCAGGCAGCAACGTTTTAGTCTGCTGAAGCTATTCCCACAGCCGCCTCTTCCCGCATGTGCTCTGTCCCAGGGAGATGGGAGTTTTATCTGTAAGCCCCTGACTGGGGCTGCTGCCTTTCTTTCAGATGCCCTGCCCAGAAAGGAGGAATCGAGAGAGGCAGTTGGCTACAGCGGCTTTGCTGAGCTGCAGTGGGCTCTGTGGAGTTTGAATTTCCTGGCGGCTTTATTTATACTATGAGGGGAAACCCGCCTGCTCAAGCCTCAGCAATGACAGACGACCCTTCCCCCACCAAGCTGAAGTGTCCCAGGTCAACTTCAGACTGCTGTGCTGGCAGTGAAAATTTCAAGCCAGTGGATCTTAGCTTGCTGAGCTCCATGGAGGTGGGATCCGCTGAGCTAGACCACGTGGCTCCCTAGCTTCAACCCCCTTTCCAGGGGACTGAACGGTTCTATCTTGCTTGTGTTCCAGGTGTCACTGGGGTATGGAAAAAAACAAACAAACAACAACAACAACAACAACAACAACAAAACTCCTGCAGCTAGTTCGGTGTCTGCCCAAATGGCCTCCCAGTTTTATGCTTCAAACCCAGGGCCCTGGTGATATAGGCACTTGAGGAAATCTCCTGGTCTGCGGGTTGTGAAAACCATGGGAAAAGTGTAGTGTCTCGGACAGGTAGCACCATCCCTCACAGCACAGTTCCTCACGGCTTCCCTTGGCTAGGGGAGGGAGTTCCCCGACCCCTTGTGCTTCCCAGATGAGGCAATGCCCCACCCTACTTTGGCTTGCCCTCCATGGGCTGCATCCACTGTCTAACCAGTCTCAATGAGATGAGCAGGGTACCTCAGTAGGAAATGCAGAAATAACTCGCCTTCTGCATTGATCTCACTGGGAGTTGCAGACCGGAGCTGTTCCTATTGGGCCATCTTGCCAGCTACCTCCAAAATTTCTTTAAGAATGTTGGGGAATTGGTGCATAATAATGGTTCATCAATAAAGAGGATGCAATTTAGTCATTAAAATTATGTTTAAGCAGAATAATGACATAAGAAAATATGTGAAAGGTAGGATATGTAGATAGTAGTACATATAGCAGTATATACTACTGTAGTATAAACCCAACTTTGTGAAAATATACATATAATATGCATAGAAAACAGTTAATGGAAAATATTCATCAAAATGTTAATGGTAGTAACACATGAATGGTAGGATTTGAGTGACTACTTTTTTTTTTTTTTTTTTTTTTGAGATTGAGTCTTGCTCTGTTGCCCAGGCTGGAGTGCAGTAGCATGATCTCAGCTCACTGCAACCTCTACCTTCCGGGTTCAAGCAATTTCTCGCTTGATTCTCCAGCCTCAGCCTCCCAAGTAGCTGGGATTACAGGTATAAGCCAGCACACCTGGCTAATTTTTTATATTTTTGGTAGAGATGGGATTTCACCTTGTTGGCCAGGCTGTCTTGAACTCCTGACTTCAAGTGATCTGCGCGGCTCGGCCTCCCAAAGTGCTGGGATTACAGGCATGAGCCACCATGCCTGGCCTGAGGGACTAATTTTTAAAATAATCTTCTATATTTAGAAAAATTTCTATCTGCTTCTATTTTAAAAAACAAAGTCATAGTAATCAGTTGGTGACCATAAGTCTCATTATTTGATATGCTATACCAGCTTCAAAAAATACCATGGGCCAAGGGGGAAAGTTGGGTAAATGTTGGTCAAAGGATACAAAATTTCAGTTAGAGAGAAGGAATAAGTTCAAGAGATCCATTATACAACATGGTGATTATAGTCAATTTTCTCAAAAATTGCTAAAAAGAGTAGATTTTATGTGTACTCATCACAGAAAAGTATGTGTGGTAGTACATATGTTAATGACCTCAATTTACCCATTTCACAATATATACATATTTCAAAACATTATGTTGTTCATGATAAATATATATAATTTTTGTCAACTAAAATAAGTAAATTAATTTTTAAAAATAGTGCATATTTTACACTGGTATAATAATTTGTTTTACTTTTTAAATGAAAATATTTTTACATATTCAAAGTAAGCAAAAAGATGACTAGAGTAATATTCTGGAGTCCACTATGCATATACACAAACACACTCATATGCCTTCTGTATAGAGTTCAGAGTTCTTGTTAATGTTTTCTTCAGGAAGGAGAGGACTGTTAATGTTAATTTTTGAGAATCCCAGATGTACTGTATTTTAAAATAATCACTTATTTGATATAGGGTAGTGTGAGGCACCATGTGGAGTTGTTCCTACTTCATCAGAATTAGCGACTAAACCCCAAATGGGAACAATAGGGACTGAGTCTCCACATTCTTTGTTTCAGGAAATCATCAGGTATTAGGACCAGTAATTCTCTTGTGCACTCTACACCTATTGGTTGGTAATAGATATTCTTGCCAAAGATACTGTGGAAAGGGGTTAGGAGCAATGATCAGGAATGGACTTCTAGTTTTAATAATGGTAGATTGAGTAATTTGGATGAATTAACTGTGTTCAAGACAATTAAAAAGCTGAATGATTTGTTAAAAAAACTGAAAACTATCAGAGTTAATAAGATAGTGAGGAATTACTAGGTCAAGATCGGGGAGAGTATGGAAGTCTAGAAGGGAGAGCACAGCATTTGGGACCATTTTTTCCCTAGAGCTGGTTGCTGATCTGGAAGTGGTTAAACTGTATACTTGATAGTCTAGCTGGGCTAGAGGGTCTAAAGTCAGAGTTCAGAGCCCACCAAGGTGGGAGCCCTAAAAAACTATGACTTGCAATAGACTAGGGAACTCCAGGGGTGAAACAGAAGTCAGTTAGCCTTCACAAGGACCGCAGCCTAGCTTTCTGTTGTTTGTGTGGCCCAGAAAAATCTCAAACTGCAAAACTGGATTAAGATGATCCAGATTGTTGTTCACCTTGGCTCCTAGTAGAAACAAACAAAAATATTATCTGGCACTCATTGTTTCTACAAAAATTTTTTAGAAGCAACTTTGAACATGCTATCAAAGATAACCTGACTCAGTAGGAAGAAAGATCCTGTGAGGAAGAATGGAAAGAAAAACAGACAATAGAAAAAGACCCATATGGAATCAAGATAATTAGAATCATAGTTTGTTTTAAAAAAAACTAAGACTATATTCAAGAAGATAAAAGCAAAGTTTGTTTTTTTTTTTTTTTGAGATGGAATTTTCTGTCGCCCAGGCTGGAGTACAGTGGCTCCATCTAGGCTCACTGCAGCCTCTGCCTCCCAGGTTCAAGCGATTCTCCTGCCTCAACTTCCCCAGTAGCTGGGATTACAGGCACATGGTACCACACCTGGCTAATTTTTGTATTTTTAGTAGAGATGGGGTTTCACAATACTGGCCAGACTTGTCTTGAACTCCTGACCTCAGGTTATCTGCCGACCTCAGCCTCCCAAAGTGCTGAGATTACAGGAGTGAGGCACTGTGCCTGGCTGAAAAATTTGACAAGGAACTGGAAACTATAAAATATGGTATAGCAGATTTCAAAAAGAGCCGAATAAAAATTCTAGAAGTGAAAAGGCCAATAAACAAAATTAAGAGAAAAATAGATGAGTTAGATGGGTTTAACAACAGATTACACACTGCTGAGGAAAGAAGTACTGAATGAAATATAGATCAGAAGTTTAGAATGTAGGATGACAGTAAAAGTCCTTAGCAATATATATATATAAGCTATATATATATACGTGTATATATTTATACATGTACACGCACACATACACACACACATATATATATAAGGTTGCACTCACAGTATTAAGGATGCAATTTGCAGCATGAATGAGTCTACCAAAACCAGTGGTAGGTATCTACCTAGAAAGGCAGTGAGGAGATGTTGTAAATATTTGTAAAGAAAGTGATTTTCTATGTGCTAACTTTCTTTGACTTCTCAAATGATTCTATTCTCAGTTACACAGGAACACTTAAATAAAATAGTAGATGCTTTAATATATAGACACTTTGATAAGATATGAATAGTGGACTCTTAGAAAATGTTTAGTAGATTCCAGAAGGGATATAAGTACATGACTTTTTGAGATGTTCTTATACATAACATCCTCTTGTGATTTTAAGTTTAAAATAAGTTGAATTCAAATTTTATTTTTAATTTGACTCTGAAGTGAATAATTGTTGCAATTATTTGTACTATTTGTTGATCTAAAATCTATTATATACTGACTTCATACTGGGTATGTAGTTATCAATTTTAGTTTTACAAATTTAAAGTTTTAATTAAATTAACAATTAAAAGTTCAACTTGTTTCTTAGCACTGTTGAGATTTCTGAATGTGGCTTCTTAAATCTTAGATTAGATTCCTACTGGTCAAATCTGCAAACATTTCATTTGGAGGATTAGCCTGCATTTTATGGCCCTTTTCATGTGACTTCTTTTCCTGGTCTGTGGGAGATCTTCCTATCTAAGGGATACATAATTATAGAATTTGGTTTCCTTTTTTTCTGAGTCACTCCCATGGTGTTGTAGGGATCACCTACTCATTTACTTTGCTCAGACACTGTCTGGTTTTCCCAAAGTGTCATTCTTAACCACCCTCCTGCCTGACTACTTGAGTCCTTACTTGGGTTTACAGACTGCAATCTGATTTGAGACAATTTGTTTCTAGTAGCACCTTGCTGTCTTTTCCCTGGCTACACAGCCAGTTCACTACTCTTCTAGTTTTTCTGTCTCAGCACCACTAGGGGGAGGTCATTTTAAGCAAACCACACCAATTTGCAAACACTGTGGGCTAATATTTTAAAATACTAACCAGTGGGGTTTTTTTGTGTGTGTATATTTTAGGAAAATTAATAGATTTTTAAAAGTAGTTTTATGTTTACAGAAAAATTGAAGAGGAAGTCCAGGAGTTCCCACTTACACCTCCTCTTCCTTTCCCCTACAGTTAATTCTATTATTAACATCTTGCGTCAATGTGGCACATTTGTTACAATTGGTGCTACAATTGTACATTAAGATACGTTAAATATATGATCCAATAAAATACATTATTAACTAAATTCTATAGTTTACATTAGCATTCACTCTTTGCATTGTGTATTTTATGGATTTTGATAAATGTATAATGGCATGTATCACTATTATGGTGTCATACGGAATAGTTTCATCACCCTAAAAAAATCTTCTGTCTTCCGCCTATTCATCCTCCCTTCCCCCTGAACCTCTGGCAACTACTGATCATTTTGCTATCCCCATATTTTTGCCTTTTCCAGAAAGATCATGTAGCTAGAACCATACAGTGTAGAGACAGGGTTTCACCATACTGGGCAGGCTGCTCTTTTTTGAGACAGGGCCTCACCCTGTCACTCAGGCTGGAGTGGTGCAGTAGTGTGATCATGGCTCAACCTCCTAGGCTCAAGTGATTCTCTCACCTCAGCCTCCTGAGTAGCTAGGACTACCACAATGCCTGGCTAATTTTTATTTTATTTTTTTTTTTAGGGATGAGGTCTCAGTATTTTGCCTAGGGTGGTCTCGAACTCCTGGGCTCAAGCAATCCTCCTGCCTTGGCCTCTCAAAGTGTTGGTATTACGGTAATGAGCCCAGCCTGTATGTAGCTTTTTAAGACTGGCTTCTTTCAGTAACAATAAGGCATTTAAGGGTCCTTCATATCTTGTTGTGGTTTGACAGTTTATTTTTATCACAGAATAATATTTCATTCTCTGGATGTACCACATTTTTTTCATTCATTAACCTATTGAAGGACTTCTTGATTGCTTCTAAGTTTTGGCAATTATGAATTATAAATTATGAATTGTGTAGATTCTTGTGTGAACATAAATTTTGAACTATTGGGGTAAATTCCAAGGATTGTATGGTTAAGAGTTTGTTAGGTTTTGTAAGAAACCGCCGAATTGTCTTCTGAGGTAGTTCTATCATTTTGCATTCCCATTAGCAATGAATGAGAATTCATGGTGTTTCACATCTTTGACAGCATTTGGTATTATAAAGTGTTATAGGGTTTAGCTGTTTTAATAGATATATATGATATCTCGGTGTTTTTGAATTTGTAATTTCGTGCTGACGTGATATTGAGCATTTTTCATAGGCATATTTAAGATTTGTGTATTTTCTTTGGTGCGATGTCTTCAGATCTTTGCTGATTTTTAAATTGGGTTATTTTCTTCTTACTGAGTTTTGAGTTCTTTGTATACTTTGTATATCACTTCTTTATAAGATATATGTTTTGCAAAGATATTTTCCCTAGTCTATGGCATATCTCCTCATTCTGTTAACACTGTTTTTGGCAGAACAGAAGTTTTCAATTTTAATGAAGCCCAACTTTATTTTTTCTTTCATGGATAGTGCTTTTGGTATTGTATCTAAAAAGTCATAACCAAATTCAAGGCCACCTAGATTTTCTCCTACATTATCTTCTAGGAATTTTATAGTTTTGCATTTTACATTTAGGCATAAAGGTATAATGTGTCTAAAGTCTGTTTTTTTTTTTTGCATGGGAAGTCCAATGATCATCCTTTCTGTGCTGAGTTGACTTTCTTTGCTAAAGGTCAGTTATCTATATTTGTGTGGATCCATTTTGGTACTCTGTTCTGTTTTACTGATCTAATTTTCTATTATTTCACCAATACCACACTGTCTTAATTACTATAGTTTTATAGTCAGTCTTGAAGTTGAGTAGTGTCAATATTGTGTTGGCTATTCTGGGTCTTTTGGCTTTCCATATAAACTCTAAAATTAGTTTGTCAAAATCCATAAAATAACTTGCTGAGATTCTGAGTGGGATGGCATTTAACCTATAAATCAAGTTGGGAAGAACTGACATCTTGACAATATAAATCTTTCTATCCATTAATACATAAAATATTTCTCCATTTATTTAGATCTTTGATTTCTTGAATTTTGCATATTTTACCAGTGTATTTTTGTTCTGTGTTATTACTTTCAACCTTGTAGCTCTTCCTTCATTCAATCTAGACCTGTACTAATTATCTAATACGGTAGCCACTAGCCACATGTGACTATCAAGCACTTGAATTGTGGTTAGTTCAAATTGAGATGTAAATGGAAATAAACATTGGATTTCAAAGACTTAGTAACAATAACAAAAATATAAAATAGTTTATTATTTTTTATATTGAATATATGTAAAAATACATTGAGGATATATTCACTTAAATAAATATATATTCATAAAATTCATTTTATCTGCTTCTCTGTCTTTTCCATGTGGCTACTAGGAAATTTAAAATTACATTTGTGGCTTATATTATATTTCTATCAGATCACTCTTCTCTAGACTTTAGAATCCATTCCCTCAGAGAAAAAAGGAAGAGCAGAAATACTGAAAGATAAAAATTAGTGCATTCTTGGCCTTTCAGCTTCAAAATAAACTTTAGAATTTTACGGTAGAAACAATGGTTTGAGGGAAAATAATTTTGGTCTTAAAAGCCAAGATCTGAAGCATTTGGTATAAAGTAAATGCCATAAAATAGATCTGGAAGAACGGATCAATGCCAATATTTTTGCTCTCTTCTCCAAAATATAACGGAAAAGATTATACAAACTAGGAGAAGACAAGGGAAGCAGGAAAGAAAGATCTTAGAATCTGTGTCTCTGATAAGATGCCCTGTGAAGAAGGGATCAGCGTGGGGAACATTAGAACCCTAGGTAGCGTAGGAGAAACTGAAAGGGAGGAGAGGGAAGCTCAGCCCTTCTTTTAGATGTGCCCCAGGAGGCAGCATTAATGGCAGTGTTTTCATGTGCCAGTCTCAGGAGTGATGGAGTATAAGAGTCCTAGGACAGAGTTTAGGCAGAGAGATCTAAGGCAGCTTTGCGGAGACTTCCCAGGGGGAGCAGGGGGAGGCAGAATGTGGGTGAGTAGGATACAGTAGTAACCTGCGAAGACTGTTGGCCAGGCAGAATGTCAATATCTCAGCAATGCCAGTATGGACTTATGACAACAGAGAAAAAAGAGTACAAAATTAAAAATACAATTTAGTAAGAGAGTGAAAGTTTATTTCAAATGAAGAAAGATGTCACAACAAATTATTAATTAAAAAAGCTGACAACCCACATAAACATCACCAAATCCAGATGGTTAATACTATTGTTTAACTACTTGACAAATCTTTTTTTTTTTTTTTGAGACAGGATCTCACTCTGATGAACAGGGTAGAGTGCAGTGGCATGATCAAAGCTCACTGCAGCCTTGACCTCTTAGGCTCAAGTGATCCTCCCACCTCAGCCTCCTCAGTGGCTACGACCACTGGCAAATGCCAGCATGTCCAGCTTTTTCACTTTTTGTAGAGATAGGGTTTCGCCATGTAGCCCAGGCTGGTCTCAAACTCCTGGGCTAAGAGATCTGCATGCCTTGGCCTCCCAAAGTGTGGGATTACAGGCATGAACCACTGCTTCTGGCCCTGACGCATCTTTATAATACTTATTCCTTACACTTTTTGAATTTTGATTGTCTCTTCATATGACAATGATTTCATAGTTTTTTTTAATAAAAGGAATAGAAAGATGATCCAGTCTTTCCTCTAGCATTATTGATTAAATCAGCATTTTATTTTTGATGATTTAGAAAAGTTTCTTTAAACTTCATAACTTTTATGCAAAACTAAGTTCAAAGCCCAGTTTCACAAAATGCTAGCTCCTGTATGATCTTGGACATATTACTTACACAAAACAAGATTTAGATTCCCCATTAGTTAAGTAGGGTTGTTACTATTAGCCTCATGGTTCTTCTTCCCTAGACCTGTGCTGTTCAACACGGTAGTGGCTAATTGAGCTCTTGAAATGTGGCTAGCTCAAAGTGAAATGTAAATGAGAATATATACTGGATTTCAAAGATTTAGAAACAAAAATAAAGAATGTAAAATAGATCATTAATAATTTAAAAATATTGAATACATGTTAGAATGAATATTTTGGATTTATTACATTAATAACATATATTATTAAAATTAATTTTGTCTATGTTTGGCCAGGCGCAGTGGCTCACACCTGTAATCCCAGCACTTTGGGAAGCTGAGGTGGGTGGATCACCTGAAGCCAAGAGTTTGAGACCAGCCTGACCAACATGGTGAAACCCTGTCTCTACTAAAAATACAAAAATTAGCTGGGTATGGTGGCACACGCCTGTAATTCCAGCTACTTGGGAGGCTGAGGCACAAGAGAGTCACTTGAACTTGGGAGGTGGAGGTTGCAGTGAGCCAGGATTGTGCCATTGTACTCCAGCTTGGGTGACAGAGTGAGACTCTGTCTCAAAAAAAAAAAATAATTTTTTCTGCTTCTTTTTACCTTTTTCATGTGGCAACTGGAAAATTTACAGACACATATGTGGCTCACATTATATTTCTTTTGGATAGCACTTCTCTAGACTTTGGTATCTATTACCTTGTCAAAGTTTTTCTGGCCAAAAGAGAGTAAATTAGAATGTAATTTTCCAGAAATATATTGTACTTCCCTTGTAAAATGCCCTCAGTATATACTACATGAGGTACATACTTTATGGTATAAGCAGAATTTGTCACCCAGAACAAGGCAGGTATTATTACAAACTTGGTATCTTCTAATAAAGACATAAATAGGATTATTGAAAAACCCAAAATGCAGAGGAAAGAAGGGCAAGTAGAATGTTTAAAATTGGGTAAAGGTGGGGAGGCAGAGATGTATTTATTATGAAGCTAGTGAAGTTTAAGTTGAAACTTCAGGGCCCTTCACTTATACTGGTCTCTTCCAAGATCCTAAGATGATACTAGCATGGGTTCACAGGATCCTGTGTTTTGTAGCTTTTGAAAAAGTAAGATATTTTAACCACAACAAGTTATGACTTCTCTTTCTACTCTGACTTTCCTTTTATCATACTTCATGTTGTGTCAAATGGCATTGATGTAGTTACAGGTGTTTTTGTGATCCACCTATGAAAGGTTAAATTGAGAACACTTTTAGTTTGGGTTTAGTGGGGTATATTTATGTGGCTTGTAAATAGTTGTTTCTGGTTGTTTTATTTTAGAAATAGCTTCCAGAAATACTCCTATTTCACCCATCCCCTAAAGTTCCAATGCACCAAGTACAGGTATAGGGACACCAAGTGAAAGGCCAGAGCTGGTATCACAATGTGTCTTGTGATGTTTGGTAGCAGAAGTAATGTGGTTATGTGGTGAATGGAAGAGAAAAAGTCTGTAAGGTTGGAAGCCAGAAAGTAGTCTGTGGGAAATTCTACCAGTTGTCAGACAGTAAAATTGGAAGCAGAGTTTTCATCTTTCATTGATGCCTCATGTAACAGGAAGATCTCTTCTGTCAGGAGTATGTTTGATATTAAAGCACATAGAATTATACATTTACTATAATTTTTTTGTTGAGAATTGAATGAAACTGGTTTTATGAGAATTACCGTGTTTGTGGGGGTATATTCCTGTAGTAGTATAACAAGCAATGAGAGTATGTGTGAGTTACATACACACATGAAATCATGTGGTTTTCAGTATATGTAACTAGAAAGAGGATAAAAATAAATGGGTGTAATACTGTTCAAAGTTTTTTTCAAAGTTTGATTTGAAGATCCTTGAAAGTCTCTGAGATCCTTTTGATGGTCATCAAGGTAAACTACTTTTATAATATCAAGGTTTTATTTTCCTGTTTCATTCTTATTCTCTCGAGTTACAGTATAAATTTTCAGCACAACATATGTAATATTGTGACAGATACAGTGAATGGAGAAGCAGACACAAAAATCTTAATATTTTTGATTAAATCAGACATGAAAGATATTTTAAGAATAAAGTTACTATTCTCACTAAATTTTGTTCATTAAACTAAGTACCTCACCTTCTCATCAAAGTAAAAAAGTAGTTATTTTTCATCAAAAGTAAGTTATTTGTATTAATATATAATTTATGTATTTTGATATTTAAAAATGATTCATAACTAAATATTTTTAATTTCTACCACCAAAATTATTTTTAATGATTAGTCACCTGATGATTCCATTAGGTCCCTATTTAATCCTATTGATATTTGAAACTACCTGAACTACCTGATTTGTAAAAGGTCATTTTCATTTTTAACAACAGTATCAATATTTCAGATTCTCAATTTGTTTTGTGTCCTAGAGGTTTTTAAGACAGAAAAATTTTCCACAGTGAAATCAGTGATAGATAAGAAATGTGAGGGGGCTTCAAAAATTTATGGAAAACGTGTATTATGAAAAACTGTGGATGGATTAAAAAATATTTTCGCACCAAAATAAACTTGTACTAACTTGTCTGAACAAGGTCTCATTTGATGCACTAAGAAGACAAAACATCAGTTTGAAAAGAGCCCCTATCAGAGCAACATGGATTTTGCTAAAATTGAAGTGAGAACAAACATGAAATTGATGGTGAAGTTTGGGTGGGAGACTTGGGAAGTCATCAGTGCTTTACAAAAGTTTATGGGGACAGCACCTCAAAAATCAGCAATTTATAAATGATAACTCATTTTAAGAAGGGACAAGATGATGCTGAAGATGCGAAGATGCGGTAGACTGTCCACATCAATTTGCGAGGAAAAAATTCATCATGTTTGTGCCCTAATTGAGGAGCACTGATGATTATAGCAGAAACAGTAGCCAACACCACAGACATTTCAGTTGGTTCAGCTTACACAATTCTGACTGAAAAACTAAAGTTGAGCCAACTTTCCAGTCGATGGGTGCCAAAACTGTGGGTCCCAGATCAGTGCAGTCAAGACCAGAGCTTTCGATGGAAATTATAAACAAGTGGCAGAAGGATCCTGATGCATTTCTTTTTTTTTCTTTTTTTTTTAAATTATACTTTAAGTTCTAGGGTACATGTGCACAATGTGCAGGTTTGTTATATATGTATACATGTGCCATGTTGGTGTGCCACACCCATTAACTCATCATTTACATTAGGTATATCTCCTAATGCTATCCCTCCCCCGTTCCCCCACCCCACAACAGGCCCCGGTGTGTGATGTCCCCCTTCCTGTGTCCAAGTGTTCTCATTGTTCAGTTCCCACCTATGAGTGAGAACATGCGACGTTTGGTTTTTTGTCTTTGCGATAGTTTGCTGAGAATGATGGTTTCCAGCTTCATCCATGTCCCTACAAAGGACATGAACTCATCCTTTTTTATGGCTGCGTAGTATTCCGTGGTGTATATGTGCCACATTTTCTTAATCTGGTCTATCTTTGTTGGACATTTGGGTTGGTTCCAGGTCTTTGCTATTGTGAATAGTGCCACAATAAACATATGTGTGCATGTGTCTTTCTAGCACCATGATTTATAATCCTTTGGGTATATACCCAGTAATGGGATGGCTGGGTCAAATGGTACTTCTAGTTCTAGATCCCTGAGGAATCGCCACACTGTCTTCCACAATGGTTGAACCAGTTTACAGTCCCACCAACAGTGTAAAAGTGTTCCTATTTCTCCACATCCTCTCCAGCACCTGTTGTTTCCTGACTTTTTAATGATCGCCATTCTAACTGGTGTGAGATGGTATCTCATTGTGGTTTTGATTTGCATTTCTCTGACGGCCAGTGATGGTGAGCATTTTTTCATGTGTCTTTTGGCTGCAGAAATGTCTTCTTTTGAGAAGTGTCTGTTCATATCCTTCGTCCACTTGTTGATGGGGTTGTTTTTTTCTTGTAAATTTGTTTGAGTTCTTTGTAGATTCTGGATATTAGCCCTTTGTCAGATGAGTAGATTGCAGAAATTTTCTCCCATTCTGTAGGTTGCCTGTTCACTCTGATGGTAGTTTCTTTTGCTGTGCAGAAGCTCTTTAGTTTAATTAGATCCCATTTGTCAATTTTGGCTTTTGTTACCATTGCCTGAAGCGTTTCTTTGAAGCATTGGAACAGGAGATGGAACATGGCTTTACCAGCATGATCCCAAAGACAAAGCACAATCAACGCAATGGCTACCAAGAGGTGGAAGTGGTCCAGTCAAAGCAAAAGTGGGCCAGTCAAGAGCAAAGGTCACGGCAATAGTTATTTTGGGATGCTCAAGGCATCTTGCTTGTTGGCTTTCTGGAAGGCCAGAGAATGAGAACATCTGCTTATTATGAGGATGTGTTGAGAAAGTCAGCTACAGCTTTAGCAGAAAAATGCTTCTCACTGGAGAGTCCTCCTCCACCACAGCAATGCTCCTGCTCATTCCTCTCATCAAACATGGGCAATTTTGTGAGTTTTGATAGGAAATCCTTAGGCATCCACCTCATAGTCTTGATTTGGCTCCTTCTGACTTATTTTTGTTTCCTAATCTTAAAACATCTTTAAGATCACCTATTTTTCTTCAGTTAATAATGTGAAAAAGACTTCATTGACATGATTAAATTCCCAGGACCCTCAGTTCTTTAAGGATGGACTAAATGACTGGTATCATTGCTTACCAAAGTGTCTTTTTTTTTTTTTTTTTTGAGACTGAGTCTCTCTGTCACCCAGGCTGGAGGGCAGTGGCACAATCTTGGCCCACTGTAACCTTCACCTCCTGGGTTCAAATGATTCTCTCGCCTCAGCCTCCTGAATAGCTGGGATTACAGGACTGTGCCACCACGCCCAGCTAATTTTTGTATGTTTAGTAGAGACTGGGTTTCACCACATTGGCCAGGCTGATCTCGAACTCCTGACCTCAAGTGATCCACCCAACTTGGCCTCCCAAAGTGCTGGGATTACAGACATGAGCCACTGTGCCTGCTAGAAGTGTCCTTTTTAAAAAAAAGTTAATTTTAATTTTATTTTTAAAAGTTGACAGACAGTAATAGTGCATATTCATGGGGTACATAGCAGTGTTTTGATACACATAATGTATGAAGATCAGATCAGGGTAACTAGCATATCCATCATCTCAAACATTTATCATTTTTTTATGTTGGGAATGTTCAATACTTTTTTCTAGCTATTTGAAACTATATATTATTGTTAACTACAGTCATTCTACAGCGGTATAGAATACCAGTACTTATTCCCCCTAGCTAGTTGTAATTCAGTGTCTTGAACTTGAAGGAGCTTATGTTGAGCAATGAAGCTTATATTTTTAATGATATATTTCTTTTTACTCTATAAATGTTATTCTATAATCTATTTATTTATTTATTTATTTATTTATTTATTTATTTATTTATTTTGGAAACAGAATCTCACTCTGGAGTGCAGTGGTGCCATCTCAGTTCACTGCAACCTCTGCCTCCCGGGTTCAAGTGATTCTCATGCCTCAGCCTCCAGAGTAGCTGGGGTTACAGGAGTGCACCACCATGTCTGGCTAATTTTTGTGTTTTTAGTAGAGATGGGGTTTCGCCATGTTGGCCAGGCTGGTTTTGAACTCCTGGCCTTGGCCTCCCAAAGTGCTGGAGATTACAGGTGTGACATGTCTGGCTAATTTGTGTGTTTTTAGTAGAGATGGGCTTTCACCATATTGGCCAGGCTGGTTTGGAACTCCTGCCCTTGGCCTCCCAAAGTGCTGGGATTACAGGCGTGAGCCACTGCATCCAGCCAATAATCTACTTTTAATTTCATTTTCCCATTAACTTTTTGAAGTTCCCTCATAGATCTGTCTTTTGAAGGTGGGAAAAGAGTGAGTATGAAAGGGGAGGAGGAAAAGGAACATGTTCTCAGGCAGATATGTCTCAAGAGAGTACATAGGTGAGAGTTGAGGATGGAAATTAAACCCTTAAGACCCTGTAGCCCTTAGAAAGTCTTCAGGTTCCCCCAGGAGTAGCATATCCCAGTTGGAAGACACCCTGGCTTTGATGGTCTAGATGGTAATCTCACACCTTGTGTATTAATGCTGTCATGGCAATATGTATGCAGGAGTTTAGGGAGGAAGATATGGTGCTGGAATAATTGATAGCCTCGATTGGTTTGAAGAACATTGAAAGTAAACAAAATGGATTTCTATAGTGGAATTTGTAAAGCACCTTGTGTATTTGCTTTGATGATCATATTAACTTTGTGGGACATCTATGACAGGGATTTTTTTTTTTTTTGAGAGAGGGTGTCACTCTGTCATCCATGATGGAGTGCAGTGGCATAATCTCAGCTCATTGAAGCCTTAACCTCCTGGGCTCAAATGATCCACCCACCTCAGCCTCTTGAATAGTTGGGACTCTAGTTGCATGCCACCATGCCCAGTTAATTTTTGTATTTATTTATTTTTGTAGAGATAGGGTTTCACCATGCTTCCCAGGCT
The DNA here is from genome assembly GCF_000001405.40 of Homo sapiens. Lineage (NCBI taxonomy): Eukaryota > Metazoa > Chordata > Mammalia > Primates > Hominidae > Homo > Homo sapiens. The sequence goes on along the minus strand of NC_000004.12, from coordinate 70,533,999 downwards.
GGTCTCAAACTCCTGGGCTCGAGTGATTCACCCGCCTTGGCATCCCAAAGTGTTAGGATTACAGCGGTGAGCCACTGTGCCTGAACATGACAGGGATTTTTGCCTCCATTTTACAGATTAAAAAAATGAGGCTCAAAAAAATTAAAAAATTAATCAATTAGTTATTTTAAAGACAGAGTCTTGCTCTGTTGCCCAGACTGGAGTGCAGTGGTGCGATCATAGCTCTTTGCCGCCTTGAACGCATGGGCTCAAATGATCCTCTTGCCTCAGGCTCTCAAGGAGCTGGGACTACAGGTACATACCAGATAACTTCTCAAACTTTTTTTAGACATATGGTCTTCCTATTGTGTCCAAGCTAGTTTTAAACTCCTAGCCTCAAGAGATCTTCCTGCTTCAGTCTCCTAACTGAAAGAATATTTTTTTGATAGATGGTTATCCAGGAAGTCCTTTATTAGCACTTTTAATTATTATCACAAGTGGCAAAATATTTTTGGAAGTTTGAATACTAATTTACTCTCATTTGGTCATGAATATTGACAGTTTATAAGTAAGTTATTCAGCTTCTGCATATCTGAAACAAGGTGGCTAATAAATCATTAACCACTAGCAAATCTGTAACCACCTGATACACTAAACATGGAATATATTTCATGGTGCATATTTCCATTTGTTGCGTACTGATGGAGTTGAGCCGTATATAGTGAGAAATGTTATTAACCCTATCCATACCTTTCTTTTTGGGGGGCTCTACTGCAGTTTATATTAATCCCCCTCACTATAGATGAACTGCAATGGTCTGTTATAAGTTTAAATCAGATTAGTTTCTACCTTTTAGGTGAATGGAGCAAGAGTATCACCTTGGTTTGTTTTAGTGATTATGATTACTTTTTTCAATGCCATTTTTCACACTCAAGCATACCAAAATTAAACATTAAATGCCATTATCATGAGTTCTGAATATAAACACTTGAGGATAGGCAGAATTATGATTTGTAATTCTTTGTACTGTATGTTTTAGATGTTCAAAAGTACTCTGCTTATTAAAAATTAAGTTTGTGACTCTTATAAGAAAGCAAATGATGAGGTAACTGTGAAGAGACCAGAATTTGTCTTCACATTGCTGGATGTCCCTTTCTTGACTGCTGTGCTTCCTACTTCCAAAGAAAGTTCTAGACCTGGAGTATCATGTTAGTGCCCTGAGGAAATGTAGTTTCTGTAAGGGCCAACTTTCTTCCATCTCCAAAGAAGAAAAAGAGTCAGTTTTCCAAATATGTTTTAATATGCATATCATCCAGGCAGCATAATGTTATATTTCAAAGACAGATTTATCCATTGAATTATTGTTTTTAAAAGTTGGGATTCTCTACATAGAACATATTTTCTGAAATTTCAAGAATATTTTCAGGTAAATTAAGAATTAATTTCTTCTAAGACTATCCAATGTGTCTCAATCTATTCCATAATATAATCAATGATAAAGATTCACATGTATCACCAAATTCGAGGCAGCTTAGTTGAAAAAATTTGAAACAGCTTACTGAATTCCTGGAAGAAAATAAAACACCTTTTAAATGTAGGTAAAAAGTATATTTAACATAAATATCTTTTACTTGAGATCCAAGTTTCTTTTGCAGGATTAGGAGCATCCATATCATTCTTTAGTTATCTCTAAGGATATTTGGTTCTAGACATTTTCACATGTTAAGCAATTAACTTTGCTTGTGGGTGCAAGAAAAGCTTATTTTTGTCACATTTCTTAGGTTCCATCTAAGAACGGCAGATGGGTTTATCTGCTCTGCTAGCTATTACTAGTGCCTGCTATTACAGTAGGTAATCACTAGTGGCTGCTTGCAGTATTACAGTAGGAAGGTTCTGAGGCTCCATCAGTGAGTGGAGACAGGGTCATGATGAACTGAAGTGTGTCTCCTATAGGCTTCTATGTGCGTGTGTGTGTATTGGGGCAAGGAACACATTCTGCTTTCAAGTATTTTCAGTTCTGACCCAAAATGGAACATGTGTTATGCCAACAATTAAAAATCTTTCAGGCCAGTCATGGCGGCTCATGCCTGCAATCCCAGCTCTTTGGGAGGCCGAGGCAGGCAGATTGCTTGAGGCCAGGAGTTCTAGACCAGCCTGGGCAACATGGCAAAACCCCGTTTTTACAAATAATACAAAAATTAGCTTGTATGGTCAGGTGCGGTGGCGCACTCCTGTAATCCCAGCACTTTGGGAGGCCGAGGTGGGTGCATCACTTGAGGTCAGGAGTTTCAGACCAGCCTGGTCAACATGGTTGAACTCTGTCTCTATTAAAAATACAAAAATTAGCCAGCTGTGGTGATGTGCGCCTGTAATCCTAGCTACTGGGAGGCTGAGGCATGAGAATCGCTTGAACCTAGGAGACGGAGGTTGCAGTGAGCCGAGATCATGCCACTGCACTCCAGCCCGGGCAACAGAGCAAGACCCTGTCTCAAAACAACCAAAAACACTCACACAAATTCTTCCTTCAGTGTTAATACCTGGGGGTTGGTGGCTGAGTAAAAATATTCCCTCATGTTGCTGGAGTTAACTGTGAGTGAGTAAAGGGGCTTCCTAATCTTACTAAGATCTGCATTTGTCAAGGCAAGACAAAGAACTCCTCTTTTCCATTCTGCAGATGACTTTTATAGCCAAGAAGCATGTTCCAAGCTAGGAGAATTTACCATTTGCTGATTCTGTGGTGGCTTCCTCGATGGCATGTGTGCTCCTTTGGATGCCTGCAGGGGTGGTCACTGCAAAGTCGTCATCTGTGCCACTGGGAGTTGGGAGGCGGCCTGCTGGGGTTCCCTGGGTGGCAGGATTTACACCTGCTCCTCCTGCTGGAAGGCTTCCATCCTGGACATCTGGATTAGCCCCTGCCTGACTGGTGGGCAGGATGCCTCCCGGGAACAAGGAATGGATGATGAGGCTCGTGAAGATTTGTGGCTGGAATGAGGGAAGCAAACAGAAAACAAAGTTAAAAGCAACACATTTTCTTTTCTCTTTTAAGGGGAGCAAGTTTGGGTAGGAATGGAAAGATGGAGAGAGTAAAGTCAGAGAAGACAGCAAAGACCTGGCATTCCTCAGGGGAAATACACCCTTGGTCCAGCCTAGTCTGATTCAATACTGGGACTCTTTGCTATGCTCCATTTCCCTCAGAAATAAATTACATATTATTAAACCTAACATGTAATCTTTCTTTTGCTCATAACATTTTTTCAAAAAATAAGAGCATAAAAATTAATGGAAAAATTGATTCAAGTAGATTAATCCTGATGGCTTTCATCCCTTCAAGTTTTTTTGATGTATTTTTCAAAGGCATTGGAATACTTAGTTAGAAACATTTATCCTGGCAATTCAGCTATTGTATGTTCCTTGAAGATACATAAAGAATTCCTGTCTATTGGAGTTTTTCATTTTTAGAGAGATTCTGATCGAGCAGGTCTGGAGCAGGACCTAGCAATCTGCCTTTTTAACCAGCTTTTGATGCCATCCTGATTTGCTGGGCAAGGAATGAAGTTTGGGAAACACTGTGTTACATTTAAGAGATATTGAAACCAGAATTAGACTTACGCTGGATGACAGATAGGAGCAGAGTACAGACGTTTTCAAACTGAGGGTTGTGATATCCACAGTTTTGAAGTAAAAAAGGTGAGTGTCAGTCATCATTAAACAATAAAACAGGCAGTAGACTAGTAGTGCATTCTATATAGTAAAGGTGAATGCTGTTTCGTGAATGTGTGTGTGTGTGTGTGTGTGTGTGCTAAGCTGCATGAAAAATGTAGTTGCTATTGTGAGTTGTGTTAAAAATGTTTGAAAAACCACTAGTGTAGTAGGTTAAAAAATGGCATTGGATCTGGATCCACTCTTTTCTTCTCATTGTTGCCTTTGAGGCCTAAATTACTTAAACTTTTAACCTCAGTTTCTTTATCTGTAAAGCTGGGTCAAAAATATCTGCTTTGTGCTTTGGGGAAGGTTGAAAGCAACATATGTAAAGGATCTGCTAAAGTGCTGGTTATATAGAAGAACCTTCAGTAGCTGGATATGGATGTTCATGCATCAATGTTGGCAAAACAGACACTAGCCCCATTCCTTGATGATTATTTATGGACAATATAGAAAATATCTACATTTTCCATAATAGAAAAGCTGTTGAATAACTGTGTTCCCAAATATTGCCTCAATTCTGTACTGTTGTCATGTTTAGATATCATGTTAATTCAAGTCCTTTTCTCTAGAAAAGGACCTATGGAGGAATGCATAGAAGTGTTTAGCAATGGTGATATGAACTATATTTAGGTACAGCCCTCCAATTATTTATGTGTGTAGGAAAGAGTTCATTTATCACTATCTGACGCTGGAAAAAGATATATTTTTCCATAAAAATTAAATATCCAAGTCAAGGAATTTAATCTTTCCTGTAAAAAGTCAATATTTATGTTATTCTACATTTGCATACATTTCAATAGTTTATAATCCTAGACTGAAATCCTTATGAAGTTAAAAAATGTGCACTGCCTTTCTGGATAGAACTGAATCTGATAGCAATAAACGGAAACAAAAGCTAAGTCAAATTAATAGAAAAGTAGCTGGAGAAGTATAATGAAATCCCCAAACAAAGAAAGGATAATCTAATGTAAGGAACTATAAAAATGTTCAGTTCATTGTAGTACATACCATATTTAGGATTTATGGTCAAAAGAGACTATATGAGGACAGAAAACATTGTGATAGAAGTGAAAATAATTTGAAATAGTATTTTTATTTTTTTTACCAATTCCTCTGAGCTTAGGATAGTGCCCTAAAAGCAAAATGACAAACACAATTTGTTAGACACATTTTAATGTATTTGTAGTAATATATGTATAATATCACTTAAAACTTAAAATACTTTCAAAGATTATACAGATTTTGCCTTTCCAATAATATGTTAAACTGCCTTATGATCTATATTACAAAACTCAAGTCAGCATATGATGTGAGACTGCTGACATTCATTTTTTGAGTAATGAGTTAATCTCCATCCAAAAAGTATATATTTTTCTATCATTAAGTGGATGTTCATTGAAGAAAACTTATGCAGAAAGCAAGCTCTTGTGATTATCAGTGTCCATACAGTACAAAGTACATTGGAAACCTCACAACTATCTAGTGAATTGAGGAAAGAAAATCACCTTTCACAGCAAGGTGATTTAAAATCAAGACAATATTAAGCATAATTTTTACCTGGGCTCCAAGTTGTGTGACAAAAATTGGTAACACCTGAAAAAATGAGAGAAAAACTCTTTCAAAAGTAAGCTCTGGAAGATGGTATAAATACTGATATCTTTTTTTGGAGATGGAGTCTTGCTCTGTTGCCCAGGCTGGAGTGCAGTGGCATGGTCTTGGCTCACTGCAACCTCTGCCTCCTGGGTTCAAGTGATTCTCCTGCCTCAGCCTCCTGAGTAGCTGGGATTACAGTTGCCTGCTACTATGCCCAGTTAATTTTTTATATTTTTAGTAGAGACGGGGTTTCACCATGTTGGTCAGGCTGGTCTCAAACTCCTGACATTGTGATCTGCCTGCCTCAGCCTTCCAAAGCTCTTGGATTACAGGCATGAGCCACCTCGCCCGGCCATTGATATCTTCTTAAAAGGATATAGTATCTGTTAAACAGATATTTATTACTAATGTATTATCTATAATCATAGATATAAATTCATAGATCTGGATGGGAGTTTGGAACTTTTCCAATTTGTAAAAAGAATATTAGTCCCAAGAGATTTAGAAACCAGTTCAAGATAGCACATTTAGAAGATAGAAGTTAGTAAACTGGATAAACAACAAAAAAAAATTGTTCTCAAGAAGTCTCCAAACTGAAAATTATTTCAAGTAACAATAATGTTAAAATGTACAGATTTCTTTCAAATGGCATCTCAGAAGACACATTAAAACACGCGATGGGTATTTTCAAATGTGAAGATTTCTTGAGGTATATATACTTAGTCTTGCAATAGTTGTCTGGACATCTTGCTGTTAAAATAAAGCAATTATAGGGAATATTGCTCAGTAACCCCTGGCATTGGTATAGCTCTTAGTACTAGGCGAGAAATAATTCAAGGGTCACTGATAACAAACTAAATATTATAAATTTAGTTCACAAAAAGATGAAAAAGATTCGAGTGAGGTGTTGGCATTCTCCCATACTCTGCTACTTTGAGAACCGGCCAGAAGTTTGTCAAAGAAAGCTAAGGTTTTAAAAATTTATTCTTATTTCTATAGAAAATTCAAAGTGTCAGGAAAGTAATCAAAATGGGACTCTTAATTTCATAATTACCAAACCAGAAGATTTGAAAGTCTTATGAAATAGACTGTTAACTATTGTTTCCCAAGACAGTTGGTGCAGGAATTATGGAACTATGGAATGCCAACAAGGAAAAATTACGTACATTTATTAAAAAGCCTTACTCACAATCAGGTCCTTCTCTACTGACAAAAAAGGACAACAAAACAAGAACAAAAAACCCAACTAGCCTTCACGTGGCAATGGGAAAGTGGTTGGTATATTTTTGATTTAAGAGAAAATGAAATGGAAATTTCTTTTTTAATGGAAAGTTGGAGTGGAAAGAACAAAAAGATAAAAAGAGGAAACCATAGATGTCTAAGTAAAAACTGTAATGAAAGGTACTCTAATTGTTCACCAATATAACAATAAAGAGGACTTTTTTCTTAGTTGTCGGTAGAGAAATTATTTGAAATCGTAATAACACATCGCATGTTTACTATGTGGTAGGCATTGTTTTAAGTGTTTTCCATATATTTACTCATTTGATCTTTGCAACAGCTGTAGAGGAAGGTTCTACTTTAATGCCCATTTTAAATTTTGAGCAAAATGAGCCACAGAGTGGTTAAGTAACTTGGCCAACATCATATAAGTAATAAGTGTAGAGCTGACATTTAACCAGAAATTGTGTGGTTCTAGAGTTCACAAGCATGGTTCATTTTTCTTTGATAAATGCGAGCCACCAGTAGGTGTCCAGGTTGTGGCAGAGATAATAAGCCACTCTGCACAGGGAAAGGCAGGGTTGGAGGGACTAGAGCTGCCCAGGGGAAGGTCAGGTATGGGAACCCTTGGTGGTAGCACATTCTAGAGACATTGAAGAATTCCCACAGCAAATGGGGACTGATTTATAATATTGCACAGAGAGTGTACAACGTGAAACTCTCTGTACTGAAACTTTTGTAACATCTCCAGGCTCCACTAATGCCTTGACTTAGGAGGGTACTCTCTGGGGAACATGAAGATGCAGTAAGTCTACCTTCAAGGTTAGAGGAGGGCAACAATGGAGACTGAAGCTGGGCAATCAGTATGTAGATTATAGTATGATCACCTGTTATGGAGAGTCTCTTTTTATTTGCATCTTAAATCTTTTACAGAGGTTCACTTTTATTATCAAAAATTTTATTATCAAGATACTTTGTGTGTCTTTGGCTCCAGAAATTGTGTTCCTAAGAGTTGGTCCAAAGGAAATAGTCATTGGAATATCATAGACTTAGTCACAAGGATGCTCACTGTAGCATTGTTTATAGAAGCAAAGACTTTGGAAAAACCCCCAAATTTTCATAATAAGTAATTTAGTATACCATGGACTACTAAGCAGTCATTAAAAACAACATTGTGAGTGAATATTTTAAAACATGAAAACTATTCAAAATATATTTGTGGAAAAAAGCATGTTACAAAACATTATAGCAAAAACATTTTATTTAAAAATGTACTTATGTGTATAGAAAAAAGACTGGAAGGACATACTCTAGAATGTTGACAGTGTTTGATTATGGCTAATGAGATTCCAAGTGAATTTTATTTTATTTTTTGCTTATATGTAAATTTTAGAAAATTTACATTTCCTAAATTCTTTATAATTAACATATATTACTTACACAATAATAAATGCTTCTACAAAAAATTAGACCATTATGTTGGATAATGGGGGCCGAGGTCACATGTTGGGGAGAATAAGTTATCTACAAACAACTTAGTCTTGCTGTAAAAGGATTATTGTATTTTCCTCCAGAGACTTTCTTTTCCTTCTCTTTTTTTTTGAGACAGAATCCCCCTTCATCACCCAGGATGGAGTGCAGTGACACAATCGCTGCTCACTGCAGCCTTGACCTCCCTTGCTCAAGTGATCCTCCCACCTCAGCCTCCCGAGTACTTGGGACTATAGGTGAGCCCCACCACGCCTGGCTATTTATTTTATTTTATTTTTTGTAGAGATAAGTCTCACTATGTTGCCCAGGCTGGTCTCAAATGCCTGGGCTCAAGTGATCCTCCTGCCTTGGCCTTCCAAAGTGCTGGGATTACAGCGTGGGCCACTGCACCCAGCCCCTCTGGAGCCTATTACACTATTTAGAAAAGTTTCGATAAGGTAAAAATTTGGAATTTGTTCAATGTTAAAATGCAAACACTTCAAAAACAGGTGATGCCTAAAGTATGTCGTTTATATCTTAGTGTAAGAGGATTTTCAGGTTTCGTTTTTTTGAAAGCAAGTGATAGTGGGAGGTGGTAAATACTGAAAAGTCCTTGGGGACTTTCAAGGGGGAATGAAAAGGCGCAAAAATGGGACAATTAGATTTGCTGAAGATAAACTTTATCCACCTCTTAATTTTTCTTTGAGATGATCTTGGTCACCAAGAAAGTCTTCAAGAGAAAACAATATGCTAGAGAAAAATCCTGGGATCTCTCAACTTCCCCCCATGTATTTTTCACTTTTCAATCTTCCCCAACTTTTCAAGGTTTCCTGTCCATTAAACATATATTCTAGAGAAGTTGTGAGGTAGCATGGTCAGTTCTCTGGGTATGTTTATGAATTTTCATTAAGAACCAGATTGTCAAATACTGGTCTATGTTCAGCAGAACATTCGTCAGTTAATAATCTGGGCAAAATTTTCAAGAAGCTTTAAAAAATTTCTACTGTAGGCTTTCACCTGAGAGAAAATGCTCTCTAATGTTAAAACTAAGGTCCAGCTGTTCAACTTACATGTGGGTGCAGTTGCTGTTGTACATTCAACCCTCCCAGGGTCAATGGGTGGGTCTGGGTACCAGGTGTCATTCCTGCAGCAGGATTTAACTGTAGGGCAAGGAAGAAGACTTTCATTGTATTTTTTTTCAGTTTGGACATTTAGGAAACTAAAATGTTTTTACTAAACGTAAAATATATTTAAAGGAAGGAGTTGCTATGTAAATACATAGTGTTCTATTGCATGTATACTTAGACACAAAGATGAAATTTAAAGACTTATTTAGTCTGCTTGTACGACTACAAGGGCTATTGCTAACTTTTCCCCTGTTAAGTTTTTCTTTGGCATTTAACCTATTCTGTTTGAGAATTACTTAAGTGATTTATTTTTATCTTTGCTTTCCCCTTTTGGCTACAAGAGCAATTCTTCCTGAAAATTTTCTGATAGCTTTTTTACAATTAAGAAATTAACTCCTCTAGGTTATGCGTGAAAATTATGAGGTTCAGACTACATATTTTGTCTGGAACATGAGCTATATTTAAATTTGACCACTAAAAAAATCCACTTTAACTCAGGAAAGAAACTTATTGTTCTTCTCAAACAGATTACACAGATATTCTATGAGAGGGCTGAAGATCTATACAGATATTCTATAAGAAGACACTGAAGATCTTTGTCTCTTCCAGTTTGCTCCTGTCATTGTGGGTGATAATAGCAGTGATAGTGTTTATGTGGATGTGTGGATGCTGTAGGGGCATTAAAGAAGGTATGGTGGAGGAATGGAGAGAGGAGGAGAAGAGGTTAGAGAAACTGGAGAAGGAAAGAATTAGATTAATTTGTTTAGAGACTCTCTTGCTAAGAAAAACGTTTAATGATGTCCAACTCTCTTGGACTCTTCTCTCCTCTCTTTCAACTTATCTATGTGAATAAGTATATGTGTGTTTTCATTTGTGGATATACGCACCCATATACATGCTCCCCCCACTGTAATATTAGGCATTATATTTATTTCACAATGGGTATTAAAATAATATAAACAATCACTTACCAGATGCAGATCTGGCCCCAGTGTGAGCATCTGTGTTAATGGTATCAGACTTAAAGAAGGAAAGACCTGCAGGGGATTGAAAGTGATGTATGAGACAAGAGGTTGTCTGCTTCCCTTACTCTGTCAGTGGTGGATATCCTCATGTAATTGACAGTCCTGTCAGAGGTGGGTTTACCATGAAGGTAAATAAAGATGAAGCCTCGGGGCCTCTCACTAGCATTGCTCCCTTTGTGGCCCTGGGAGGTGCCCTAGCAATGTCTCAAGCTTACGGTACTTATCAGCTTAAGAAAATTTGTGATTTACTGTTATTTCTTATCACATTATAAATATTTATTTCAGTACTTAATTTTACATATCGAATTTTGTATTCTTTTTCTTAAAGAAGGTTCCCAAATTGTATAAGATTCAGATTCCTTAAGCGGGGAGAATGGGTCTTGACTTGAGTGTTCTGTTGACTGAGGAGAAGACTTTAGACTCTAGTGTTATCTGATTATATTACTTCACAAAATGTAGAAGTAGGTAAGCCATGGCCCTTCACAGCAGAGGAAGAGTTGAAGTGGGAGGGAGGGCAGTAGCCAAAAGATAATGCAGTTTTCAAAAGTATTTAAATACGCTTTGAAGAAACAGATTGAACAGCAACACATCAACACATCAGCAACAATGAAACTTTACAAAGCCAGGAGGAAATCTGCAGTTATTTTTTATAGATCATCTCTGATTCCCTGCTATTGCTGGCAAATACTGCATATGATAATGCCACAGTACCTCAAGTCCATAGATGACCAAGCTTTGTAAACAGACGTAGGTATTCCTTTTCAAAGTTGACTAGATTTCACTGCTAAACCAAATTATTATTCAGATAAAAGGAAAAAGAATTAGAGTACTTTACTTTTCCTATTCAAATTTTTCAGAAAATTATATCGGTTCTTTTCCCCACTCCCAAACGAAAAGCCTCTCTCTTGTTCAGTCTTGTACAGTCTTCATGTAAATTTTGATTTTAAACCTACCAGTCTTAACGTGTTTTCTTTACCGGTTTGTACATGTTCCGTATTTTCTTTACCGGTTTGTACATGTTCCATATTGTAGGACTCTTACCTGATTTGACTGCTGTTGGTTTGGTAGTGTTCCCTGATCCGGAGCCAGTTTTGTGGGAGGGAGTCCCAAAGCAGGTTTGAGCTGCTTTTGTGAAAACAAATACATATTTGATGAGGCAGGAATGTGTTTAAGATTTTGTGTCCATTTATATCCAGGTTGCCACCAATGCAAACATGTCTATCTTTTAGGCTTTGTGTATTTTAGAGGAGTTTGATTCCCTGAAACATTATGTGCATGGTAGGACATGTAGAGTGGAAAAATGCCAGCCCAGGAGGGGTGGGATGGTGTGGAGGGAAGGGGGCTGGGATGAACCCAAGCAGATGGGATGTCTTGTGGTGGTTCCTGGCTCCCATTTCTTTTCTGTACCTTTCTTTCTCTTTTGCCAGGACATGAATATATAATCTGTACCTTAGCTCTGTGCACATTTGCTTTTTCTCAGGGCTTGAGGTAAGCTGCCGTCATTCTTACTACCTTTTCATGAAGCTTCCCACTATTGCCATGCCTGCCACATCGGTCTTGTAACAGAAGTTCAGTTTTTCTTCCTGGCCTGGATATTTTATTAGTGTATTAAAAATCACTGAATTTTTAGATATGAAAATATTCCTCCTACACATTTGGTCTAGTTGTATTATTTTTTTCTAATAGATGAGGCAACTGATGCTTACAGTAACTTGCCCAAGGTGACATGGTGAGCAGCAGAGCCAGTGCTAGATCCCTCTAAGTGCTCTTAGTCTCCGAAAAAAAAACTTCTCTTTTGCCAGGTTGACCAAATCTGCTTTTGCTCCTGGAGGCATCCTGGAAGGCACAGGGGTGTGGCCCTCTGGCTCTGCACCAGCCCTTGAGTCATCTAAGGTTACCCTGGAGCAGTTTTGGTTTCACGCTGGAATTTCCCCCTTAGTTATGAGGAGAGGTTGGGGCTGGGCACGGTGGCTCATGCCACCGTGTAATCCCAGCACTTTGGGAGGCCAAGGCGGGCGGACCACTTGAGGTCAGGAGTTCAGGACCAGCCTGGCTAACATGATGAAACTCTGTCTTTACTAAAAATATAAAAATTAGCTGAGCATGGTGGTGCACGCTTATAGTCCCAGCTACTCGGGAGGTTGAGGAAGGAGAATCACTTGAACCCGGGAGCCAGAGGTTGCAGAGTGAGACTCTGTCTCACAAAAAAAAAAAAAAAAAAAAAAAAAAAAAAAAAAAAGAGAGGTTGGTATTATCTGTTCTAGGAGGTCCCTTTCAGCTTTAAGATTATATATACATATATATACATAAAATACATATATATAATATATATAAATTTTGTAAGTAAGTCTTTTCATCTCCCACAATCTATTGTTAGTATAGTAGCCAGAGTGACCCTGTGAAAATGATGGTCTAATCTTGTTGCTTCTTTTCTCAGTCTCTGCAATGACTACCAATTTTTTTTCTTTTCTTTCTTTTCTTCTTCTTTTTTTTTTTTTTTTAAGTGGAGTCTTGTTCTGCTGTCCAGATTGGAGTGCAATGGAGTGATCTTGGCTCACTGCAACCTCCACCTCCCAGGTTCAAATGATTTTCCTGCCTCAGCCTCCTGAGTAGCTGGGATTACCGGTGCACACCACCACGTCCAGCTAATTTTTTGTATTTTTAGTAGGGACGGTGTTTCACCATATTGGTCAGGCTGGTCTTGAACTCCTGATCTCAAGTGATCCGCCTGCCTTGGCCCCCAAAGTGTTGGGATTACGGGCGTTAGCCACCGTGCCTGGCCAACGACTGTCAATTTCACTCAGAGTAAAAGCCAGAGACCCCACAGTGGTCTACAGGGCTCTGGGCCCCCAGTAGCTCTCTGATCTTTCCTACCTCATTTCCCCTCCCTCACTCTGCTCTGGCCATCCAGCCATTTTGCTGTTTCTGCAACAGGTAAAGTCCATTCCTGCTTCAGAATTTCACCTCCACCTGTTCCCTCTGTCTGGAATGTTCTTTCCCTGAACATTGGCTTTACTCTCTCACCTGTTTCTTTACTTGAATTTCCCTCTTATTGAGGCCAAACCTGACTGCTGTCCTGAACATGCAGCCTGCCCCTTCTCCACTGTGCACCACCAGCCTGCTCCATCTCACCCTGCTCTGGGATCTTTTTTTCATAGTGCTCACTATCTCCTAACCTGTCATGTGACCTACTGATTTAGACTGCTCACCATTTATCATTTATTTCCTTGCTAAAATATAGACTTCACTGTGGTTTATTCAATGATCCATCTCAAAAAGATAAATCCATGTCTGGCATATAGTAAGAACTCAATAAATAGTTGTTGAAGGAATAAAATCTTGTTTTCTTCTAGAGCCTTCACTTTCTGTAAATTTGATTTGTCTTGTATTTATTTCTTCTACTCATTGTGTTTTCCATCTGGTACCTATCCTCAAAATTTTGATCTACTGAAAATAATTGCTAGGCTGTTGTATGTGTCCACATTTGCAAATGGATTCACTCTTTTTACCTTTATGCTAACTCAATACATTCATTTACAAATAATAAAAAATACCTTGTCTATGTGTCGTGATGTTTCATTTGGTATTGTTTCCATACTGAATAGACATTTCAGTGTCGCCTCCCTGCTGCCCTGCCCCACTAGCTCTCTAGCTGCTCTCATTGTCTATTAGCAATCTGCTGTGGCCTGCACAGCCGGCCTGCTCCACCTCAGCCCACCTCACATGAGAGCTGCACTCCTGGAAAGTTTTGCTTGTTTTGAGTTTTCACCAATTATGTGGTAATTTAAATATACTAGAGAAACTATTTTGAAGAATCTTTCGGTCAATGTATTTGACGAAGTGAAAGAACCATTTGTTTTATAAAAAAATTAACTTCATACTTTACCTTGTTTAGAAAATTAAACTTTTACAGACAACTTCTTTCAAGGAGGACACACACACACAGACACACACACACACACACACGTATGTAGTATGTATTTGGGATAAAGTAAGAAGGAGGTTGGCTACCGTATCTTGCTTCATCCTCCCCCCGCATAATCCCACCCTGTTCATTTCCTTCACATAAATAATCACAGTTATTATTTATAATTTAACATTTCTTTAAAAATCATTTGAGTAAAAAATAAAAAAATTGGCAAGTGACATTGGTAAAAATAAAAAAAAAGTTAAAAAAAAAATTAATGTCTACAATCCTTGTGAACACCATGAAGGATTATGCCTTTTTTTCCCTTCTCACTATTGTTTCTTCAGCACCTAGCACAATGTCTGGCATATAGAAAGTTTTTAATAAATATTTGTTGATTGTACGAATGGATGCAGAAGTATTGAGTAAGCTTGAGGCCCAACTAAGTATGCTTTCTTTTATTCTGTTATTTCATAGCAAGTATATTGTAATTTTTTTCTTAATGGTCTTGAACCATCTTGAACAGTCAAAGAGAAGTCCACCTAGAGATCCAAACCATTCATCCCTATGTCTACAAAATAATGGAGTAAATGTTGGAGTTATAGGGCTTTTTAATTTTTTCCTGTTATATGTGAATACTATTTATGATTTAATGTTCTAAGTCAAAAATTTTGATCATTTTAATCATATGCCTTTGATATCATATGTTTTGGTGGTCTTTTTAGAATTTATACAATCTAGATATTTAGCATTTCCAAGTAGAAAAATTAGAAAATATAGTTCACCTCTTTATTCATGAGCAAATAACTAGTTGCCAAGAAAAAACTTCTTTTTGGAAAATAAAATAATCATCCACTTAACACATTCATTTTTCTCCTAATTTCTAGCCTATTGCTCTGCCAAAATAATTGACCTTTTACCACGATGGAGTGGATGCATTTAAAAAAATGCAAGTACATTGAAATATGTACCAACAGCTTATTAGCTTGTCATTTTCTGTCTTGGAAAATAAACACTGGACACTCTCAGGGAATGAGTCACAAAACAGAGCAGTTTTGATGGAGGGCAGGAGAGAGGTAGGTCTGCAGCTAGAGATGCTGTTGAAACTGGCTGGCATATAAAACAAACATAACATACTTACTGGTAATGACCGAGTTGATCCTAGAAGACAAAACAGTAGAATCGTACTCCTCATGTTTCAGATTGCTACCTACAACAACAAAAAAGTGTTACTCTTCCATGTATTTTTTTTCCTTTTAAGAGAAAATGATACTTTAAAAACAAAAGTTCTACTTGAAACATGGTCAATTAATGTTACCTTTGGGTCCACGAGGCAAAATGTACAATACTCAAGGTCCAGTTGGTTTCTCAAGTTTACTCTGGTGAAAAATTTTACCCTTCAATGATGTATGTGTTTGTAGAAGAAATTTAAACTCAGTTCCAGGAGATTGGAAACTGAGAGACCAATCAGGATTTAGCTGTCTGTTAAATCATTTGTTTTTTTTTCATTTCCCAACACTTCATTAGGTGGGTTATTAGCTGCAGACATTATGTTACCCAATGTCTACCATTTGAATAGAAGGTGTTTCAAGGAGACAGGCCTTATGTAATTAAAAAAAGATGCAGACAATAAAATAATTTAAATGCTTCTTCACCTCCTTCTTCTTCCCAAATGATTTCTCAGATGTACGTGTTTTATCATGTAAGTATGAATACATAAATCAAACATCAAAATATAGGGCTCTGTACAAGGTTTAAAAAATGAAGTCTACTATGTAGATTGCTCTGGAACTTATGTTTACTTAACAAATAATGGACAACTTTATGTGTTAGTACATACAGGTTTATTTTATTTATTTAATGGGTACACATCATTATATCACATTTTGATGAACATTTAATCCATTTCCAGTTTATTTTGTAATTACAAAGGTATCACAAGCACCATTCTTATAAAACCTTTTTTTCACACATATGGGAGTATTTTCGTAGGTGTTATTCTTAGAAGTAATGTATCAGAGGATATGTACATTTAAGTAATGTATCAGAGGATATGTACATTTAAGTAATGTATCAGAGGGTATGTACATTTAAGTAATGTATCAGAGGGTATGTACATTTAAGTAATGTATCAGAGGATATGTACATTTATGGCCAAATGGTGAATGGCTTGCTTTATATTAAACAGGGAAAATGATACTATAACCTAAGCAAAACACAGGGAATCAACTGAGATTTCTTTTACAAGAAGAACAGTTAAGTGCTACTTAACATTTTACCATGAAGCTGTGGGCTTCACCTGGAATTTTTGAGATATGCCCCAAAGGGAGGTGGAGGTCTGTTAATCAATTTCTGAGACCATTTCAATGATGAGCCTGTGTCGCACCAGGATTTGGGATTTGACCTTTAAAAAAGAAAAACAAAAAAAACCTATAGAGTGTCTATGAATGGAAAATTAACTGAGATGATACATTTTTTTTTCAAAGCTTCTCTCTAACTGTTCAATTAATCTATATAATCAATGTTTGTTACTCTGATACTCTGTTAGGAATGGGGAACATTATGTAGGAGGAGAAATACAAGATCAACAAGTATGTGCAAATATAGGAGTATTCAGGTGTAAGAAAGAGTGTGGTGAATTTTGTTGGGGGCAAAAGGACAGGAAAAGCTTAAAAGAGGAGATCATCCTTGAGTTTGGATTTGAAGAATAAAAAAAAAATTTATGAAGAACGCAAGGAGAGCACCCAGGCTGATCAAAGGTCTAGATTTGAAGTAGTGACATTGCTTTCTGTCACTGGAACAAGATGGGGTGAGGATAGCAGTGGAAGACAGGGTTGGAGATGATATCTAATTTTAACTACCTATAGCTTTTTTTGGTTTGTTTCTATCACTGATTTTGGCACTTGGTCAGATATTACTTTATATGGCTTTTTTATTATTTCTTGACTTTTTGTTTCTCTTGAACTAGATGGAGAGTTCCTGGGGCCGCATCTTATATTTCTTGTCTTTCATGTTTGTAATATTTTAAAGCATCATATGGTCATCGAATGTTGACGAATAAATGGTAAAGGCATATACTGTGGGGAAACAGAGCAAGATTGAGTTGAGGGAAGATTTTAGAGAAGAGATTGGGCTTTAGGTGGATTTGGAGAATAAGTATAATCCACAAGACAGACTAGCATGTTAAAGTGGCTGATAGTGAGAGGAGCAATGAGACATAGTGCTGAAGGATGTGGAAGGAAAGCAACTTTAGGTTCTCATGGGCTTTCACAGGCAAATTCATTGTTTCTTTTATTCAATCAATTCATTTTTCCAGCTCTCATTTAACATAGATTCACTCTTTGTTCACCAACATTGTGTCAGTGTCTGGGATAAAACAATTAATGGAAGGGACAAAAACCCTGCCCTTAAAGAGCTTAGGTTTTGTTGGGGGAATATGAAATATTCAACCAGGTCATTGCAAGAGAGGGACTCCGTGACACTGGGCATCTACTTTATTTGGGCATTATTTTCAGTGAATGTAGAGGGTTGGGAGCGTCATATATATATATATATATATATATATATACGTATATATATATATACGTATATATATACATGTATATATATACATATATATGTATATATATACGTATATATATATATACGTATATATATATATATATATATATTTTTTTTTTTTTTTTGGGTGGAGGTAGAGTTGAATTTTATGTCACTGTTGTTCTTGGCTTAGGTGAGGAGACCTGTGTTATAGTGTTAGTCTAGAATGTGGTTCTATTCAATAGTTTATTTGAATTGAATAATTCCTCGTGACTGGGCATCAGGTGATTTAGGGACCTCACAGTGAGTCAATTGCTTGTTGCAGACATGACTCCAACCCTCAGCGGGAATCGGACATGCCCTAGCCAGGAAACTGAGCAGTCAGTGGGATTAGATCAAAATAAACAAGCAAAATTAAAAACACTGAGTAATTTCTTAGGCAAGAAATTTTAAGTCTGAAAGCAGACAACTTGCAATAATGTGATTACGGAGTTGGGAGTCAAGAAATACATATTATAAAAGGAAAAGAATTCTTAAATCATTCCAAGACAAGGAGACATCAGCAAAAACAGTGAGATAATTTATGTTTCCAAAATGACATAGAACATCAGAATTCATTAAAGTGTTTTATGAACTATAGGACACATCTCTTAGCCCTTTAGTTCCAGGCATTCCTTAATCTTTCTTATTAGCTTTAGTTGTAAGTTTCTTTGGGTTATGGACCCTTTTGAGAAGCTGATTGAATGCACATGTCATCTCCTCAGAAAAATGCATATATGCTTATGAATGTAATGATTATGAAATAACTTCAGGGATTTCATGGATCTCCTGAGAGCCCAACTATAAAGAAACAGGTTAAAAATCTCTGGGTTAGAGGAGTCTTAGTGGAATTCCTTAGTGATTTGTGTCATCCCTGTGCTTTCTAGGATTTCTCAAGGCAAGAAACATACCCTCTCTCCAACTCCATCACACTCAATGGATATAGGAAGATCTAGGATTACCCAGACCTGAGGCACTCTTTATGAATCTCAGTCTAAGAGCATCTTTTTGACAATGAAAGGATAAAACAGACTGGAAATTTTCTATATTTCCTTACACCACTTGGTAACTCACAACATTAAAAGGATTCTGCGCACAAGATTATCATTAATTATAGTAATAGCTTGATTGAACAAATTAAGTACCTTGATAATTGTAAACGACATTCAGCATTTCTTGATGCATGGCAATCCCTGATACCTACTAAACAGAAGCCTCCACTGTACTGGACAAGGTATTGTACAAGGTGCTCGGGTACAAAAGTGAGTAAGAGGAAGCCCTTATTTATGTTCTTGTGGAAAATGCAGCAAGTCTCATATCACTATATAATGTGGTAGAGGCAAAATGGATGTATGCACAAGAGGCTAGAAAAGATGCATTTTGATCTTCTTTTTCTGCATTCGTTCATGTTATTTCCTCTGCCTGGAGTCCTCTTTTTCATCCTTGACTGTCAATGTTTTACTCACCCTTAAAGATCCTTCTTTATGCTACCACCTTCATGAAGCCTTTCTTTTTGTTCCTCTCATTTGGAGTTAGACTTTTCTTTCTCTGAGATGCTTTTGGAATTCATGACTTTGTTATTTATTTTATTCTACCTCACCTGATGCCATTGTTATTTGATTACTGTTTTGAGATATTAAATTTCAAGGAAGATTATATGTTTTGATATTTTCTTTAGCTCTCAGCTTGTATGTGATAGAACAATAAATATGGGTTGAATTGAATTGACTTGTTTGCCTTTATAAATTTACAAAAGTATTTAAAATTGTCAACCAGTCCCCAGAGGAAACCGGACTTACGCTTGGAGGCCAGAAGTAGAGCAACTTCTCTATGGAGTAGTTTAGTAGGTGCCCGAAAAACAGCCACTGAATTAAACATATCTGAAATTCTACTAAATAGATCAAACTATATAGGTTTTTACTAATCTTTTAAAGTTTTGCCAGAGGGGGTATCAGGAAACTATGTTCAGACTTCTTGGCAGATTGAATTGACCTTTGTCATAAGTGATAAAGTTCAGTGTACAATGTCATTACAAATGTGGCTATATTATACCGAATTTACTCATGAAATAGGGTTAAGCTTGCAAGAGTGTGGCAACTTTGTATTCTGTCCGTGTAGACATCTTTCTTTCTTTCTCTTTTTTTGAGACAATGTCTCCTTCTGTCTTCCAGGGTGGAGTGCAGTGTCGCTATCCTGGCTCTCCTGGCTCACTGCAGCCTGGACTTCCCCAGCTCAGGTGATTCTCCCACCTCAGCCTCCCAAGTAGCTGGACTACAGGTGCGCACCACCACATCTGGCTAATTTTCTGTAGAGACGGGTTTCATGTTGTTGCCCAGGCTGGTCTTGAACTTCTGGGTTTAAGCAATCCTCCCGCCTCAGCCTCCCAAAGTGTTGGGATTACAGGCATGAGCCACTGCACCTGGCCTATGTAGAAATATTTCAACTTAACAATAGAATTACACACTTATGGAATTAAAAAAAAAAAGCTTGGGTGTGATATTTAAAATAGGAAAGAACACCCTGCAAATGGGCAACAGATGAGGATGCTGAAGGGAAGGTAAGAGATACAGTACTAGTGTGAGGAATTAATTAATGATTTCAGTGTTTGGACGACAATATAACGCTTTAGGTAAGGGTAAGGAAGGTGCTGGGAATTTATGTTCTTTGAGTTGATACTGTCAATTGGGCAGTTACTTTCAGTTTTGTAGACACAATCGAGAAAATGTGTAGTTTCAAAGTCAAATGGAAGGTCAGTATGTATTTTGTGGTGTCATAAGAAGTTTCTGTGATTTCAAAGTTGGATGCCGAGTCAATGTATAGTTTGGTGCCATCATAGGGAGGACCCTTTGTTTCAAAGTTGCTGTTGTATATGACAGCTTCTGGGATGTTGTAGGATAATGTGGCTTGATTTATGATTGTAGCAGATGATAGCATGGGAGTTGTAGTTAAAACTGAAGTTGCAGATGGGTGGTAGAAGTTGCTTTAGAAGTAGTGATAGCTGGGGTAGTTATACTGGTTTGGGTTTGAGAGTGAGAGCTTGAAAATAAAAATATTGAATCTAGATGTGGGTTTGTATAGAGGGATATAAAAGGAAAAATTTCACTTTTATTAGATGAATTTGTCCAGGTCTTTTGTTGATTTGTGGATTTGGATAAAATTTGATATGAGCAGACTTTTTTTAAAGGTGACTTTGGGTAAGATTGGGATTTATTTTTAAAAAAATGAATAGCAGATTTTGGGGAATATTTTGATAGAGGAGATTTTGATTGGCTACAGGTTTCATATGATGTTCTGGAGAGCAGGCTCCTGACTGAACTGCTGTTTTAAGAGGAGCTTTGGACAGGACACTTCCTTGCTTTCCAGCTGTACTTAGATGGTGATACAAAAAGTCAATCCCTGATGAAATAACTGCTTTGGAATCATTTTAGATGGGCTTGTTACAGGTAGTTAGGCATAAGTAGGGCAGAAAAGGGCTCTCCCCCACCCACAAGGAATGTTGGGTGACGGTTTGGCAATGATAACATTGCATCTCTAAAGGTTATAAATTGGTAGCCAGTGCCAGGGAGAGGTCATTTCCTGATGGTCCACACCTGTTGCATTAAAGTGTTAACTGAATGTAGATGCCAGGGAGAAGCAACTTCCTGGGCATGCACATTAACAGACAAAATGGCAGAGTATGACCTTCTGGGGGCACACTACCAGAAAAGGGAAGAAAACCTCAGATGGTCATGGGTACAACTTCCTAAACACACCGTACATGCTCACCTCCCAAGGGTAAGGAGGGCACTGTACATGCAGGCAGCTCACCCTAAGGAAAGAATCATGAGAAAGGGTCCAGCCTAAAAAGTCCTAGGATCAAGGTAAAACACTGGACTTGACCTTCAGGTGTTCATTTGGGTCTCTTTCAAGTGAACTTTCCTTTCTTTCCTGTTATAAAACCTTTTCAAATAAACTTCCACTCCTGCTGTGAAACTTTCATCGGTCTCTTTTTCTGTCTTATGCCTCTCAGTCGAATTATTTCTTCTGAGGAGGCAAGAATTGAGTTGTGGCAGACCTGTACGGATTCACTGCCAGTAACCTGGATAACTTCCACCAGTAACAAGCTGGCTTTTGGCTTTTAAAAATTTTTTTGTCTCCCAGGCTGGAGTGCAGTGGCATGATCATAGCTCACTGCAGCCTCAAACTCCTTAGCTAAAGCATTACTCCCACCTGAGCCTCCCAAGAAGCTGGGACTACAAACATGCACCACCATGCCTGGCTAATTAAAAAATTTTTTTTTGTGGTGATGAAGGTCTCACTATGTCACCTAAAACTCCTGGCCTCAAGTGATCTTCCTTCATCAGCCTCCTAAAGCATTAGAATTATAGGCGTGAGCCACTGCATTGGGCTGGCTCTTTGCTTATTTGTTATTCTTGAGTGATTTTGTGTAGATCCAGAATGTAACTAAACAGCTGTTTTTGGACCAGCTTTTGAAGGGGAAGCATTCTGCTAAGTTAAATATGAGTTTGTGCTATTTCTGGACGTGTTTTGGATGGTGCAGCTCTTTGTATATCGGCTTGTTTCAGTGAGTTTCTTTGCAGGGGCTGGTTGCTGAATAGCTTTTTGGACAAAAGAATTATTTGCAGATCACCTTGTCTTAAAATAATTTGTGTGGAGCAGTTCCTCCTTATCCTTGGTTTTGCTTTCCATGGTTCACTCATCCATGGTCAACCATGGTCTGAAAATACTAAATAAAAAAATCCAGAAACAGACAAATCATAAGCTTTAAATTGAATGCTACTCTGAGTAGCCTGATGAAATCTTGCACCGTCCAGCTTTGCCCGGCAGGAGATGTGAATCATCCCTTTGTCTGGCATATCCACTCTGTATACGCTACTTCCCCTATATAATGTAATTGTATAATATAGAAAAAAAGATAGTGCATATAGGGTTTGATAGTATCTGTGGTTTCAGGCATCCACTGGTGGTCTTGGAATGTATCTTCTGAAGACAAGCAGGGATGACTGTATAGCCCTATCCTGCCCAAACAGCTGATTATGGATGAGCTTTGGGCAAGGGAGCTTTTTCCTGTTAAGGTGATTTCAGATGACTTTGTGTGGAGTAAAATCTTGAATAATAGCTGTTTTTGGATGAGTTTTGGATGGGGCGGTTCTTTTTTGATTAGCTCATCTCCAGTGACTTCGTATAGAGCCATATCTTGGATGAATAACTGTTTCTGAATGAATTTAATATGAAGCTATTCTTTGCTGATCAGCTGATTTTGGAAGAAGCTGAATTTGATTAGGGTTATGTTGAGATGACATTGTTCTGCAAACAGGCAAATCAGACTGTGCTCTTTGTCTGTCCTGGCCTTTGTTTGTTGAATATTACTGAATAGATAAGAGAGATGATGGATAAGCATCAAAACCCATCACTGAATCTTAGGAGAGAATCAAGCAGATAAGCTGATGGTAGTGTTTTCATTTGACTCTCATTTTACTGCGAGGGCTAAACTAGCTCTCATTTGTCTCTATAATTTAATTGTATGATTTTCTTGATTGTAGACCCTTGGCTTAAGGACTAAGATACTCCAAACAGCTCCCTAATTTTGTTTAAAAATCACCAGATGTCAAGGAGGTGCTTAAGCGTCAATTGTTGGCTTCTTAATTGGCTGTCCAGTCTAGGTAGATTATGTTAATAAGTTTGAGAACTTGTAGATGTAAGGTGGGGAGAAATTGCTTGTCTTGGGGCTTGCCTTAGTGGTTAGCTTCACAGTTTGTCCCCTTATCCTAAAGTCCAATTGCATTCTATACCTCTAACTAATTAATTACTCAAATAAATATTTATTCAATATTTACTATTTTCCAGACAATGTGCTAGACATTGGGGATTGAACTAGTAGGTTGTCAATTTGCTGTCTCTTATATAAAATGAGAAGGCCTAAGAATCAGTCCCGAGGAAGTCCACTGTTTTGAAGTGTGGAAAGTGGTGGAGTAAAAAAGTTGAAGAAGTGACTGAGGAGAAAAACTTGGAGAGGGTGGTTTTTATCTAATGCATAGAAAGTCCTTTTTTTTTTCTTTTAGAACAGCTAAATGATCAAAGTGTGGAAGGTTGCTGAGAGATCAAATACAATAACAAAACTGAAATGTGTTCACTGAAATTAGCAACAATAGGTCTGGTAAATTTAGGAATTGGAGTCGAGGGTGAAAGCTGGATTAGAGTATGTTGAGTAGTAAATGGAAGGTGAAGAATAAAGAATTGAGCAATATCTGTAGGCAACTCAGGCTTTGAAGACTTCAGCTGTGAATTGGTGTGGTGAGATATAGTATTAAATAAAGGGGAATGTGGTGGTTCTTTCTTTTCTTTATTTCTCTTCCTTTCCATTCTTCTTCCTTTCTCCCCCTCTTCTCTTCTTCCCTTCCTTCTTCTTTTTCAAAAATAAGACACTTAAATAATTATGGGAAACCTCCCCAAAAGAAGAAGTGGCTGAAGATATAAAACAGGGAAATATTTACAGGAAAAAAGGCTATGGAGAGAGGATGTTTTTGGATTTAGAGCACAAATGGAGATTGACCTTTGACTAGGTCATTGTAACAGGAATAAAGAAGAAGATGGAACAGATGCAGGTAGATTTGTAGATAGGGTGACAGTGAATCAAAGGAATCAATTTGGCAACTTCGTTTATTCTGTGAAATATTAGGCAGTTCATTTGCTAAGAGTTGGAGGAGAAGGGAAAGAGACCAAGATTTTAGATTGAAGAATAGATAATATAATCCTTTGGTGTGTGAGTGAACATGCTAATACAAGACTACTGGTCTGGGGCAAGCATTTCTAGTAATTCCAATTGTTCTGCTGTGTGGTTGTCTCCAGTAACCCTCAGCATCTTTGTTACAGTGATGCAGTTCAGATGGTTGTGTTTCTAGTGGGATGTCTGTACCCTAGTCACAGTGTTATGACAAATGTACAACTGGCTAAAGATCCTCATTTGGGATTGTCCCTCCTCAGATCTCTTCTCCTTCCCTGCTTCTTCCAGCCAATTTCCTCACCTGCCTTAATTGAGACAGCATCAAGAAAATAAAAGCTATTATAAGAGAACTGTTTTATCTTTTCAACCTACCTGCTCCTGGACTCAATTTCTTGTTACAATGAAATAAATATCTTTACTCTTACTAAAGAACAACTCCTCTACTATTGTTCCCATTCCTTTTTACTTTCTTAAAGGCTTCACTTTTTCTGCTATCTTTCCATTTCCTTGTCTTGGACCATTTCCATCAGCATATCAACATGATCCACATTAAGAAATGAAACAAAACCCTCTTGAAGCTACCTCTCCATCCAACAACTGCCTTATTTCTTTGACTCCTTTTTATAGAAATTGTCTGCATTTTCTCTCTCTGACTCTTCATCTCATATCTACTCATTTCACAATAGCTTTCATTCCCACTCCATGGAAACTGCTCTTGCTTAATGTCACCAATGACCTCCAAGTTGTCAGAGCTAATGGATGTTACTGGTTCTTCATTTTACTCAACCTTTTAGTGGCATTTGTATCATTAACCACTGCCTCTTTCTCGAAATACCTTCCTTTTCTCTATTGGCTTCCATGACACAACTCTCCTGACTATTCTTTCTAGTTTTTTGCATTGTCTTTAGAAAAGTCAAGAGTGCCTCAGGGTTTAGTCTTGACTTTCTTCCTTTGCCTTCTCTTTCGTTCTTGTCCCTTCAGTTCCCTTCCCTTCTCATTTCTTGTCATCTCTTCCCTAATCTGTCTCCCTGTGTGATTTCACTTGATTCCAAGTCTTTCTTTTTTTTTTTTTTGGAGATGGAGTCTCGCTCTGTCACCCAGGCTGGAGTGCAATGGCACTATCTCGGCTCACTGCAACCTCCGCCTCCAAGGTTCAAGCGATTCTCCTTGCTTCAGCCTCCCAAGTAGCTGGGATTACAGGCACCCACCACCATGCCCAGCTAATTTTTGTATTTTTAGTAGAGACAGGGTTTCACCATATTGGCCAGGCTGATCTCGAACTCCTGACCTCAGGTGATCCGCCTGCCTCGGTCTCCCAAAGTGCTGGGATTACAGGCATGAGCCACTGCGCCTGGCCGATTCCAAGTCTTTAAATACAATTCAAATGTTGATAACTCACAATTTTATTTTTGCCCATATTTTTCCTATGAGTTCAAAGCTTCTATACCTAATGGCCTATCTGACATCTCTACCTGGATATCCAACAGTTATTTTGAATGTAATACCCAAAATAAATACTTAACTCCACTCCATTTTCCTCCCAAACTTCCTTTTCCTGAAATCTTCACTATCTTGGTAAGTGGCACCCCATCCACCCAGTTGCCCAAGGCAAACATCTAGGAATTATACTTTATTTAACCCTCCCCACAGGTATTGGCATGCCTGTCAGTATTACTTCTGAAATATATCCCAAATCTCTCAGTTGTTCTCCAGTTCTGTTCTGGTTCTTTGTTTCTTCAAGTCTTGTTTAGTTCTTGTTTTTTCTACCTTGGTACTATTGACATGCTAGACCTGGTAATTCTTTTCTGTGGGGAACAATCTTGTGCGTCGCAGGATGTTTAGCAGCATCCTTGGCTTCCATCCAACTTGATGCCAGTAACATGCCCCTAGCTATGACGATCAAAAATGTCTCCAGACATTGCCAAATAGCCTGTGTGGGAGGGGGCGCAGCACCATCACTAAGAACCCCTGATCCAGTCTAACACACCATTAGCTCTAACACCATTGCTGAAGTAGCCTTCAAATGAATCTCTTGGCTTTTACCGCTGCCTCCCACTTCCAGGTAGCATGATCTGTGCACAGATTGCTGCAGTAGCTTTTTAACTAGTCCCCTGCTTCCACTCACATTTCCCTGAAGTTCCCTCTCTATCCAGTCCCTATATAAAATGTCAATCAGATAATGTCTTGCCCTACATAAAATCTCCAGTGACTTTTTATTGAATTTTGAGTAAAATACAAACTTGTTACTATGGCCTACAAAATCTTAAATATTTCGTTTCTGTCAACCTTCTCTGGTACTAGTCTTCTTGTAGCTCGTTATGTTCTTGCCACATTGGATTCCTTTCTGCTCTCCTCAAGTGCATCAGGGCCTTTGCTCTTGCTTTTCCCTCTGTCTGAAATCTTTGGCTCCGAGATGTTTGTCTGGCTGGTTCCTTTTCAACCTGTAGGACTTGACTTAAATGTCTTCTTTTCAGAGAGCCCTTTCCCAGCATGCTTTAGTGCCCAAGGAAGTGCTCTCTGTCACTTTCCATCACATCATGCTGCTTATTTCCTTCAAAATACTAATCACCACCTCTAATAACCTTGCTTATATATTATTTACTTGCATATTGTGCACCCTTCCTGGCTAGAATGCAAGTTTCATGAAAATAAGGGCATAGTCTTTTCCACTACTGTCTTGGTGCCTGGCACATAATGGTTGAAAATTCTTGAAAAATATTTATCGAATGAATGAATGAGGCATTTGGTGTGGTGGAAACAGCACTGTAATTAGAATTAGACCTGTTTACACTTCACTTCCGACTTTGTTATTTACTGACTGGAAAGTCACAGGCAAATTAAGGAACGTTGCTAACCTTTAAGTTTTTCATCTATAAATTGGCATTTTCATCTTCACCTTATAGAGTTGACAGTTTGTATGTCTATGAACACTTAGCACCATGCTTGGCTCCTAGTGGATACTTAATATTAATTTTCTGTTTAAGAACTGAGACCCAAAGCTAAGCTGACAGTAGAGTAGTGTCTGTGGGAAGGACATGTTCACTAGGTCACTTTGTTGGTGGCTTTAAGCAACAAAAGGTTACTTCTTCACAAAAGATGAAGGGCTTTTCTCCATCCTTCCTTTATAGCTTCTTGGTTCTCCAGTTCTTGATTACAGTTGCGTTTTCTTAGCACGTGTGGGTTAAGAACAGTTAGCACCACCAGTCAGTTGTTCCTGGGAATCCTGTATTTCTGGAGCTCAACAATTCACTAGAGAATGTACACAGTTCAGATGGGGCTGGGAGCAGCTTATATAACCTGACTTGAGATCCCCACCCTCTCTCTATCATTCATGCTACTAGCTGGAAATTATAATGTTTCTGACATAATATGTACAGCTATTTTGCCCTTTGTTTTCTCATATCGCAATATTCAGATAGCCCATCAATTCTATCTTTGCATAATCAAAAGCAGTTAAATAAAGAAGCAGTTCTTTCCCTAAATGGAATGTTACTCCTTCCAAGGCTCAAACTGTAGCCAGCAAATATATGTATATATGTGTGTGTGTGTGTGTGTGTGTATATATATATATAATTCAGTATATATGTATAATTCTACATGTATACTTCTACATGTATAATTCAATGGAGAAATAAAATCGAACTAGCAATGATGAGTACTATTGCTAATATATGCTCATCACTGATATAAAGTGGAGAAGATAGGTAAAACATTCAAGTGTTCTTTAAGTACTATTTTGGAAGTTATCTGACAAAGTTGTTGTATTTGTCCACAGAAATTATGTAAGGATGCTACTTACTGTTCCTTGTTTTCCATAGTCCCTGGCCAAGGTAAAGTACTATTTACTCTCAGGTAGTTCCTAGGGTTGACAGGTTTGCCTTGGAAGATTAAGGATATGTGACCTGCTGCTTATAGCCTAAAAGAGTGAGCTTCACTTCTAAGGTAGTTGATCATCAGAAATTGTGTGCATAATGTATTATTATTTTGTTTAAGTCTTTTGCTGACGACAATGTTGTTCTGTTTTTAGCATGTCTGTATTATTCTGTATTCTCTGTATGTGCTATTATATATTAGTAATACAGTTAGTAAAAAAATGAGATTGCAGTAATCCTGAGTCACAGCAATTTAAGAAGATGTGATGCAGTGTGATGTTTGCTGTTGCTTTTAAACTCCACATGTTTAGATTTTTAAAGATTGTGCCTTTTAAGGAGACTCGGTGCTTCTCAAACAAAATAAACAAATAAAATAATAAAGCAAGCAAGCCAGGAAACAAACCCAAGTAAACCAAACACCAGTCAAGAACAGTGTCTGCACTTCAGCGAGGCCACCACCAGAGGGTGCCTCTGTCAAGGCCACGCCGTGGGACTGGCGAGGTGGTTTTTCTGAAGTCATATCTGTCTTCGCCAAAAATGGGAATTCTCTATAAAAAGTGAAAAAATCCAATAGTGGTAGGCATGTTTGCAAATTAAAAAGATGCTGAAGCTGCAAGGTGATCATCTTTTTAATCAATATTCTGTAACAGTTTCTGACTTACTTCAAATCAAATTTTCTGGAACTCCTTGATTATAAATTTATGCTATTTATTTTTAACTGAATGGAAGTGTAAACAAGAAGAAAAAATCGATAGGAGACCTATTTAGAAGGTACTCTTTATGGTAAATGTGATGTTTGGATCCGTTAATTCAACTGTATATTTACTGAGTCTTGCTATGTCCAGGCACTGTTTAGCCACTCACTCCATATGACCTAGTGAAGGAGAGAGGGGAGTTTGGCGTGGCTCATTTTCTTTCCGAGTGTGGCACTGCCATCTCCTTTAACTTTTCTCTAGGACCTCCATTCCTATGAATCTGGGTAGTGAACAGAGTTGACTCCAAAAAGTTTAAACCAGAAAATTTACCAAAAAAAAAAAAAAAAAAATCAGGGGAGATTACTCAAGCATATTTTAGGATTCCTGATTTGTTTAGGAACTTTAAATCATAAATTGCTCTTTGCTTTGAAAGCCCAGAGCCACAAGAACAGCCTGCTTAATTTGACTTTTCAATGTTTCCATATAGAACCAAGCCTCCTTGTGGGTGAGGAATGTAGCTCAGGTGCCCAGTCAGAGTGCTAGTTTATGGAAAGTGTGCATTGAATTGACTGTAATATCTTTCCTTTTTTAGCCATTAATGGTCCCTCCAAAAAGGTGTTTATAGTCAAATAAGTTTGGGAGAGGCTGCATATTGCAAAGCTTCTTGGAGATTCACATTGCTTCTTGGCATGTTCAAGGCTCTCACAGGTCCTACCATCAATGAATGGGTTTTGTCTAAGATACTTCAAACTTATTTGATTGGAGAATTTATTTTCATGCAACTACTCTTCTGTGGAATACCTTTTAGGAAACACAAAGCACGTTATCCCTTGAAATGTACTTTTTTTGTGAGTGTAGATATGCTGCATTTGAGGCTTAAGTGAATTCTTTTAGAAGATTTTATTTTTATTTTACATTAATTAATATTTTATTTATTTATCTATTTTGAGATGGAGTCTTGCTCTGTCACCCACGCTGGAGTGCAGTGGTGCAATCTTGGCTCACTGCAACCTCTGCCTCCCAGGTTCAAGTGATTCTTGTGCCTCAGCCTCCCGAGTAGT
Organism: Homo sapiens; assembly: GCF_000001405.40. Classification (NCBI taxonomy): domain Eukaryota; kingdom Metazoa; phylum Chordata; class Mammalia; order Primates; family Hominidae; genus Homo; species Homo sapiens. Next base: position 70,504,041 of record NC_000004.12, on the reverse strand, counting down.
TGGGATTACAGGTGTGCACCACCACACCCAGCTAATTTTTTGTATTTTTAGTAGAGATGGGTTTCCACTATGTTGGCCAGGCTGGTCTCAAACTCCTGACCTCAAGTGATCTGCCCGCCTCCACTTCCCGAAGTGCTAGGATTACAGGCGTCAGCCACCATGCCTAGCTAATATGCGATTACAGGAGTGAGCTACCATGCCAAGCCTGTTTTCAATTTTTTGAGGGATCTCCATGTTGTTTTTTTATAATGGCTGTATTAATTTACATTCCCATCAATAGTGCACAAAGATTCCCTTTTCTCCACATCCTCACCAACACTTACCTCTTATCATTTTAAGAATAGCCATACTAGGCTGGGTGTGGTTGCTTATGCCTGTAATCACAGCATTTTGAGAGGTTGAGGAGAGACAATCGCTTGAGCCCAGGAGTTCAAGACCAGCATGGGCAACATAACATGACAAAACCCTATCACTATTAAAAAAAAAATACAAAACTTAGCCGGGTGGGGTGGTGCATGCCTGTAGTCAAGCTACCTGGGAGGCTGAGGCAGGAGGCTTGCTTGAGCCCAGGAGGTCAAGGCTGCAGTGGGCCATGATGGTGCTATTGCACTCCAGCCTGGGCAACAGAGTGAGACTCTGTCTCAAAAAAAAAAAAAAAAAAAAAAAGAGTAGCCATACTAACAGGTGTGAGAATCCTTAGCAGAGAAAGCAGCAACTTTCTCTAAAAGAGGTATAAACTTCCTGACAACTGTCAAAGACAAATTGCACTTGATATAATTAAACAGGCTAAGAAGACTATTATCATAGGGGAGAGAGAATAAACTCAGTTTCACTGAAACAAAAGGCAGGAGGGGTTTTAAACCCTCCTGTGAGCTAGTAGCAAAGTACTACAAGTTTAGACGGGAAGTTGGTCAATGTGATTAGACTATCTGTTTGCTAATGAGTTAAGCTAATTAGAGAGTTAAACTCCTATGCTCTCAGAGACTGGGAGATGGGGGGCTATTTTTCTTGATGATGACATTTCAAAAGGATGGTAGTTTGGTCCTTGAGAAAGACATTTTTGGGGCTGTAAGACTGACAAGAGGCTGGGAGATTTATCTACATTTCAAAGGGGCGGAGAAAGATATGCAATCACAATATTTCTAAAATGCTCTAGGACAAGAGAGGTCAAGAGCCTACAGTCAGAAAGAAACCTATTTAAAGTTTAGTTGAGCTGAGGGGATATGTTAAGAACACCTTGGTCACCACCCAGAGTTTCATGGCAGAAGCAAAATATGCAGATGATAATATATTGGTGAGTGAGGATTATATCAATCTTCTGGAAGCTTAATCATTTCTCTCTAGGCCCAGACTTACACATAAATACATGTGTTAGAATAGTCCTATGTGTAACTAGTATGAATAACTCTTGGGGACCACATTACCTGAACCAAGTACAGCCCATCATACTCTAAAATAAACATTACTCAATGTGATTGCTAAAACATAATACATAGATCTTTAGGATCCAAGTACACTTTTGGACTTAATTGCTATTGAATCTAAACAGGGGTTTAGATCTGCCCACCTTGGACTCCCAATGTGCTGGAATGATAGGTGTGAGCCAATGCATCCATAGTTAATATTTTAAAAATAATCTAGATATTAGAGAAGTATATAATATTGTAGAAAGTTAAAATCCCCTATGAATACTTCCACTTTTTCTCAGATAATTTTAAACAATTTGGTATATATTCCTATATATTTAAAAATATACACTTTTTGTATGCTGTATAATAGTTCTCTATACTTTTTAAATCCTATATATTTTAAATACCTATATATTATTTAAATTAACATTTAATATTAATATTTTAACAAAATATAGTAGTACACATATTATTTTTAAACTTGCTTTTTTCCCTCCACTTAATATCTTGGACAGCTCCTTATGTGAGTACATAGCTATATACTTGATTCTTTCCTTCTTTCTTTTTTTTTTTTTGAGATGGAGTCTTGCTCTGTCGCCAGGCTGGAGTGCAGTAGCGCGATCTCGGCTCACTGCAGCTTCCGCCTCCCAGGTTCAAACGATTCTCCTGCCTCAGCCTCCTGAGTAGTTGGGACTTCAGGCGTGTGCCACCATGCCCAGCTAAATTTTGTATTTTTAGTAGAGACAGGGTTTCACCATGTTGGCCAGGATGATCTCGATCTCTTGACCTCATGATCCACCCACCTGGGCCTCCCAAAGTGCTGAGATTACAGGTGTGAGCCACCATGCCCAGCCTATACTTGATTCTTTCTGAGGGTTATTTTCAGTTTGTTTTAAGTGTATGTTTTGTTCTTGACTTTATATTCAAGTGTATTAATAATAATACCATTCTCACTTAACTTTTACATAGATGAAGGGAGCTGAAATGGAATGAACATCTACTATGTGCCATTATGGTTCTAGGCTATTTAGGTATTGTTATCTCTATTCTGCTGGAAAAATTCTAGTTCAGAGAAAGGAAGTAATTTGTCAAAGTAAGTAAATAATTGGTGGGTAATTCAAACTGAAATCTATATGACCAGAAAGACACTGATTTTTCTGTTACATGGTTCAAAGTGCTTTGAAATATGTTTGTTGGCTAATATGCAAGCACAGATATTATTATTATTTTTAAATTTTTATTTCAATAATTTTTGGGGAACCGGTGGTGTTTGGTTGCATGCAGAAGTTATTTAGTGGGGATTTCTGAGATTTTGGTGCACCCATCACCTGAGCAGTGTACACTGTACCCAATGTACAGTCTTTTATCCCTCATTCTCCTACCACCCTTCTCCTTAAGCCCCTGTGATGGTTAATATTGAGTGTTAACTTGATTGGATTGAAGGATGCAAAGTATTGTTCCTAGGTGTGTCTGTGAGGGTGTTGCCAAACAAGATTAATATTTAAGTCAGTGAACTGGGAGAGGCAGACCCACCCTCAATCTGGGTGGGCACCATTTAATCAGCTGCCAGTGGGGCTAGAATAAAGCAGGTGGAAGAAAGTGAAATGAGCAGACTTGCTGAGTCTTCCAGCCTTCCTCTTTCTTCCATGCTGGATGCTTTCTGCCCTGGAACATCAGACTCCAAGTTCTTCAGCTTTTGGACTCTCGGACTTACACCAGTGATTTGCCAGGGGCTCTTGGGCCTTTGGCCGCTGACTGAAGGCTGCATTGTTGATGTCCCTACTTTCGAGGTTTTGGGACTCGGACTGGCTTCCTTGAACCTCAGCTTGCAGATGGCCTATTGTGGGACTTCACCTTGTGATTGTGTGAGTCAATGCTCCTTAAGAAACTTCCCTTCGTATATACATCTATCCTATTAGTTGTGTCCCTCTAGGGAATCCTGACTAATACAGTCCCCAAAGTCCATGATATTAGTCTTATGCCTTTGTATCCTCATAGCTTAGCTCCTGCTTATAATATACGATGTTTGTTTGTTTTTTTTCCCTGAGTTACTTCTCTTAGAATAATGGTCCCCAACTCCATCCAGGTTGCTGCAAATGCCATTATCTCATTGTTTCTTTTTATGGCTGAGTAGTATTCCATGGTGCATATACCTATATCTATAACTACCTATATCTATATCACATTTTCTTTATCCACTCATTTGTTGATGGGCATTTAGGCTGGTTCCACAATTTTGTGATTTTAGCTGCTGTAAACGTGTGTGCAAGTGTCTGTTTCATATAATGACTTCTTTCCCTCTGGGTAGATACACAGTAGTGGAACTGCTGGATCAAACTGCAGTTGTACTTTTAGTTCTTTAAGGAATATGCATATTGTTTTCCATAGTGGTTGTACTGGTTTACATTCCCACCAGCAGTGTAAAGTGTTCCCTTTTCACCACATTCATGCCAACATCTGTTATTTTTTTGATTTTATAATTACGGCCGTTCTTGCAGGAGTAAGGTTGTATCTCATTGTGATTTTGATTTGCATTTCCCTGATAGTTAGTGATGTTGAGCTTGTTTGTTGGTCATTTGTATATTTTCTTTTGAGAATTGTCTATTCATGTCCTTTGCCCACTTTTTGATGGGATTATTTGTTTTTTTCTTGCTAATTTGTTTGAGTTCCTTGTAGATTCTGTACATTAGTTTTTTGTTGGATGCGTAGTTTGGGAATATTTTCTCCTACTCTGTGGGTTGTCTGTTTACTCTGCTAATTATTTCTTTTGCTGTGCAGAAGCTTTTTAGTTTAATTAGGTCCCATCTATCCATCTTTGTTTTTGTTGCATTTGTTTTTGGGTTCTTGGTCATGACCTCTTTGCCTAAGCCAATGTCTAGAAGGGTTTTTTGGATGTTATCTTTATAATTTTTTTGATTTCAGGTCTCAGATTTACATCTTTGATCCATCTTGAGCTGATTTTTTTTTATAAGGTGAGAGATGAGGACCTAACCTCATTCTTCTACATGTGGCTTGCCAATTATCCCTGCACTATTTGTTGAATAGAATGTTCATTTCCTACTTTATGTTTTTGTTTGCTTTGTCAAAGATCAGTTGGCTGTAAGTATTTGGCTTTATTTCTGGGTTCTCTATTCTGTTCCATTGGTCTATGTGCCAATTTTAATATCAGTATTATGCTGTTTTAGGAACTATTGCCTTGTAGTATAGTATAGTTTGAAGTTGGGCAATCTGAGACCTCCAGATTTGTTCTTTTGCTTTGTCTTACTTTGGCTCTGTGGGCTCTTTTTTGGGTCCATATGAATTTTAGGATTGTTTTTTCTCGTTCTGTGAAGAATGATGATGGTATTTTGATGGGAATTGCATTGAATTTGTAGATTGCTTTTGCCAGTATGGTCATTTTCACAATATTGATTCTACCCATCCATGAGCATGGGACGGAAACACAAATATTAGAAGGAAATAACCATACAAAGTACACACAACTAATTTTAAGTACAGTTTCCTTAAATAAGTACTTTAAATGGTAGATCATGATCCACTCAAAACTTTTAAAGTTCTGTTTGTTGGAGACCTTATCATTCTGCAAAATCCCACCATGTCTCTCCTGTGATTCTCATGGACCGTCACTGGGAAGAACACAGCTGATGATAGGGCCCACTATGCACACTTCCTAAGGGACTTTACTGCTAATATTTTCTTCCATGATGTTAGAACCTTGGGAGATTAAAAGGGAATGCTTCATCACTAAAAATAGAAAATCCTTAATTTAACAACTCCCTGAAAAATTTTAGACCATTTCTGTTTAAAGACATGAGTAACTTATTCAAGGGAGAGGTTCAAGATAGTGTGCTGCTAATCCCTGTGTAGGAAAAATTCATAGTTACTAATTTGATATAACACAGTAATTTGATGTTCTTTAGGGTATCTTAACTACAGTCTAGAGAAATCTCCCGAATTATAAATTAAAAGCCACAAAGATATATACAAATATAGATTTGCATGTTGAGTAAATCAAGATCAAATCTTATGTTCAACAAAACAAGGCTAATGTATTGTCAATAAACAATGCTGGACTTCCAATCATCTTCTGTGAATATGTCAATAAAAAGGTTAGACAAACACCTGTTCTTTATTGATTCATTTATGATTCTCATTCTTTTCAGTCTGTTTATCTTGCAATTGACAATAGTCTGCTTTTGTGTTAGGAAAGGAAATCCGAGATTTATTTGCTTATGGTAGATTCTTGGGATAAGGTAGAGAAATTAAAGACAGAGTGTTCTTGATTTAAACTTTTACATATGTCATTTTCTTTTTGCTTCTACAAGTCTTAATTATAAAATAGATTCAAATATTACATGGGCAATTGAACTAAACTAAATATGAGTCTTTTTTTTTTTTTTTTTTGAGACAGAGTCTCGCTCTGTCACCTGGGCTGGAGTGCGGTGGTGCAATCTCTGCTCACTGCAACCTCCGCCTCCCAGGTTCAAGCGATTCTTCTGCCTCAGCCTCCCAAGAAGCTGGGACTACAGATGTGCGCCACCATGCCTGGCTAATTTTGTATTTTCAGTAGAGACAGGGTTTTACCATGTGGCCAGGCTGGTCTTGAACTCCTGACCTTAAGTGATCTTCACACCTCAGCCTCCCAAAGTGCTGGGACTACAGGTGTGAGCCACCGTGCCTGGCCAGACCTACTGCACCTGGCCTGACATCTTAAGTATGTATTTTAATGCTCTTTCATCCTGGGATACTGTGTTTCTATCAGATCTATTGATCCAAGATCACCCAAGGAGTCCATCATTAACAGGAGGCTTTGGCTTTTGCTCTTGCTTATTTGAGGTAGGCCTGTTGTGTTGGCACTGTGTTCAAACCACAGAAGGTACCAGGTAGTTGGGTTGAAGACATAGAGATAGGAAGAATGGAACAGCTGGAGGAGAGAGATCCTTGGCTTCAAGCAGCAAAATGTAATATTTGTGGGAATAATTAAAGATGAGACAGTAGGAAAATAGAAGGAGTAACTGCATATACCATCTTTTCCTACACTGGGGTCCAGGACATACTGTTTCAATGTTTTCTCATGGAGCATTTATAAATCATTCTACACTGGGAAGATTGAGAAGGCAGAATGGTCAGGTTAGGCATATATTTATTCAAAAACTGATTTTTTATTGCAAAGTTCAAACCCTAAATCCTTTTCTTGGAGGGAAGATTAACCACAAAGTTCATTTTATTCATTAATTCATTCATCCATTTATCCATCCATTCATCCATCTATCTATTCATTCATCCATCCATCCACCTATCCTTTTATCTAGCCACAAAAAAATTGTTGAGATTCTGCTCTGCTCCGGGCTCTTTATGTAGCCATTGAGGATAAACAGAGAACAAAACAATCACGTTCCCTATCCTGTTGGAGGTATAGGCAAATGGAGGAGACAGAAATCAGCAAATAAACATTCCAAATATCTATAATTACATTTTTATTACATTAAGAAGTTATATAATTGTGACAAGTGCTAGTGAGGAAATAACAGTTGCAATGAGAGTAACAATTCCTGTTTTGCTCTCTAAATAACATTCAAGTGGCCAATCTTTCCCATGGTTTCATGTATTTTACACAATTGAGGGAGTCAAGTGTTAATTAAATAAGCATACAAATAAATACCCCATGAAAAACTGTGATAAGAGGGAGTAATTGTAATGGGACAATTCAGATTGAGAGAGGTAGGGCAAGGATAGGAAAGACCACTTTGATGAAGTAACATGCATGTTGAGACCTGCAGGGCAAGTAAAGTTAGCAAGACAATGAAGGAGTTATGGGAAAAGGGTTTGAGGTAAACCCTGTCTAGAAAGATAGCCAAACTTGGCCGGGCGCGGTGGCTCACACCTGTAATCTCAGCACTTTGGGAGGCCGAGGTGGGTGGATCACGAGGTCAGGAGATCGAGACCATCCTGGCTAAGATGGTGAAACCCCGTCTCCACTAAAAATACAACAAATTAGCCGGGTGTAGTGGCACATGCCTGTGGTCCAGCTACTCAGGAGGCTGAGGCAGGAGAATCCCTTGAACCCGGGAGGTGGAGATTGCAGTGAGGCAAGATCACTCCACTGCCTGGGTGACAGAGTGAGGCTCTGTCTCAAAAAGAAAAAAAAAAAGCCAATCTTAAAGAGTCCATTGTGGCCAGAGGACAGTGGTTAACAGGAAAGTGGTTGAGATAAAGCTGGAGAAGAGCCAGCGGCACGTTAATGCAGAGCTTTTAAAACTGCGGCCTGAGTTTGGATTTTGTATTTCATCTTAGTTGCAAGGGTTGTTCCCAAAATAACTGTCGCCGAATACAAAATACAACAAAACTCTTTTCTTTGTCACATTCAGTCACTGAAAACTTCAAATCTTTTAAAAATTTTCATGTTTCTTTTTCCAATGTGCAAAACTTTGAATCTTAATTTAAAATATTATATTTCACCTCTTTCACTTAGGGCACATTTGAGTTTTTGGATTGGCTGCAATTAATGTTTCCTAGCATTTTTCATAAGTATTCTTAATTAAAAACTCTATTTTAAGTTGAATAATTTTAGGTAAAGTTCTTATTTTCAAATATCCGTATACTTATCCTGGTAGAAGCTTTTGTCAGATTGGCTTTTATTAGTATTGTGTATAAGCTTCCTCTTGATAGTAACTCGAAATTTAAAACATTAACAAGGAGAAGTTGTAGAAAAATATTGGTGATTATATATGTCCCTCGTACTGGATTTCTATGGATGATGTAAAAAGGTTTGATGAGTTCATTTCTAGACTGATAGTCTTCTCTTAAACAAAGGGTAGTTGTAGTGAGTAGAAATTGGCAGGAATCCTTTATATATATATATATACTTTTTTTTTTCTTAAGCAAATACAGACTCATATTCTTCTGGTGCACAACTTGTACTTTCAGAGTCAGTTTTGAAAACTATCTAAACTCTTTTGCATTACTGGGAGTGCATCCACAGGAAGACCTTTAGTTGATAGAAACTTATGGTTCTTGGTGTCTTTCAATGTGATTTTATACAGTGTCTAACATGCTTTTAGGAGGAACTAAAATATTAGGAGAATTTAATATATTGAACTTTTCCTGGAAATGACATCACGTTGATGATACTCACTTGAGTCTTGGAATAAAACCTTTTATCATTTTAGCTTATTTTGAAAAAAAAAACAAAACAAAACTCACAAACCTCATTAACCTTGATTCTCAGCCTCACAAGCTCAAGAGCAGGTGCTCACAAAATCGGTGGCAAAATTAATCGATCAGAGTTGAGCTAAATCTTCTCAGAATTTATTTCAGAAAAGACTTCTAAAGATCTGTGAAAGGAAACCTTGAATCCTCTTAGCTGATGATGACTCTGACATTTACAAGGTTAAATCTGATCTCTTTCTAACTTCTGGTACTGCCTACTAAGCATTCAGCTTCAAAGTCCTGAGGCTACCTCAAATTTAACATATCTAGAATCAAATTTATTGCCTCTGAGCAGTTGGTTTCCCAACCTGACTCCATTATTCTTTCCAGCACTTGCATTCGGAGCATGGAATCCTTTTGCTACCACCTATATCTAATTAGTCAACACGTTTTATTCTTTCCCTCATGTCTCTTGCATATATATATTTTTCTTACTAGTCTCCTGTAAAAGGAAGTCCAGGCTGCCCCCAGGACCTTACATTTGGGTTATTGTAATAGCTTCCACATTGTCTGAATTCTAAGTTTTCTCTCTCTCCTGTGCAAGATTTATCACCCTTATCCCTCCATTATAACCTCCTCCCAAACACTTTCATCATGTCACATGTCTCCTTATGAGATTTAAAAATTTCCCTGTTGCTTAGCAGGTAAGATATTGCTATGCAAGATGATCCCACATCTTCACCATCTCTCGCTTTATTATTGTTATGGGTTGAGTTGTAACCCTCTCAAAAAGGTATGTTAAAGCCCTAACCTTCAGTACCTCAAAATATGATCTTTTTTGGAAATAGGGTCTTTGCAGAGGAAATTAAGTTAAAATGAGATCACTAGGGTGAGCCTTAATCCAGTATGACTGACGTTCTTACAAAAAGGGAACATTCAGACACACAGATAGATACCCACACAGGAGAATACCATGTGCACATAAAGACAAGGATTAGCGTAATGAATGAACAACCCAAGGAGTGCCAAGGAAGGCCAGCAAACCTCCAGAAGCTAAGTGAGGAGCATAAAAGATTCTCCCTTACAGCTCCCAGAATGAATCAACCCTGCTGACACATTGATTTTCGACACAGTTCTAGCAACAGTTCAACAATATACATCTGTTGTTTAAGCCACCCAGTTTGTGGTACTTTGTTTTGATAGTCCGGACAAACTAATGCAATTATCTACCATGAACTCTCCTTTCAAACGAGGTTATTTTGCTCGTTTACCCTGATACATCAAGCACATTTTTCTTATTGCTTCTCCTGGACCTCCCTTTTCTCTGTCTAAAATTGTGTACACATTTCTTTTAGGTTCTAATTTAAGCAAATGTTTACAAAATCATCAAATATTCCTTGTCTTTTCTGAGCATTTATTATCACCAGTCATTGACCCTATTAAGTTGCTTTGAATTGTCAGTAATTTTTACTTTCTTGCATTCATTTGAAACTAGTATTCTGCATATCACCCAGTACAGGGTTTTGATTTTCAGAGTCATTCTTCAAATATATCTTGGTGTACTTAGTTTCTTTGATGGAAATGTAAGTGTATATAAGTACTTCAACTGTGGATTTAATTGAGTAAGTGGGTTGTTTGAAGAAGTTTTGAAGAATGAAATGGAGAGATTGGTAAATATGGTTAGAGGAGGTTTGGAGCTGGCTTAAGAGAATTAACAAAGGCCTGGGAAGGTCCCCCAGGGGATTCTGTGCAAGTGGTCCAGGAATCAAATATCACATTTGACTAAGAGTTGTTTGGGAAGGCATGGCTTATCTTATGTTTTGGATATCTGGAAAAATGAATGGCATTTAAGTAAGTAAGTACTGTTTTCTGAATGAATAGGTGGAAGAGAGTTTGCATAGCAGATCTCTCCTGGATGTGGGATGACCGTTACTCGTACTACACATTTACTGTACTAGGCAACACATTTACTGTACTAGACATAGAGAATAATAGAATATCCTTTTTGTTTTAGTGGGTTAGAAATCTATTCTTGGTTAGGGGTTAGAGAGAACTGATATTTAATATCAGCAAGACAATTTTACTGAAAAGGGATAGCAGATACAAATTGGAGCTATTTACCTGTCTAAGATCTTCAGCCATTACTTCATGGTAAATTCCAGGGATGGTATAATATCTTATGCAATGTGATACAGGGTTTTAATTCTCTGTTCAAATGTTTGTATATTTTATTTTTAAATTTATTAATATTTTTTATTGAGATGGGATCTCACTCTGTCACCCAGGCTGGAGTGAAGTGGTATGATCTTGGCTCACTGCAGCCTCTGCCTCCTGGGCTCAAGGGATCTTCCCACCTCAGCATCCTGAGTAGCTGGGACTACAGGTTACAGGTGTATGCTACTGTAACTTAAACTTAAATACAAAAAATTTTTTGTATTTTTGGTAGAGATAGGATTTTGCTGTGTTTCCCAGGCTAGTCCTGAATTCCTGAGCTCAAGTGATCTGCCCACCTCGGCCTTCCAAAGTGCTCAGATTACAGGCATAAGCCACCACATCTGGCCATGTTTGTATATTTCAGTACTTGTGAAAACTTAATATTAAATGAGCTTAAACAGGTGGACTGTTTTATGTTTATAATATTACATGACTAAATTCATTAACTTTGTTGAGAGGGTGGTGTGGGAGAATTAAGTGCAAAGACGCTTTATCCTAACATAAATTTGTTCTTCCCATTAAAAAATATGATTCCTAAGTATAACTTTTCTTATATTTTAAAGTTTTTTTCTTTGTGTTTGGATACATATCTCCAGCACCATAATAAAATTTAAAGACATAATATGATCAGTTACCCATATATTTATTTGAGATAAATTATTTTGAGAAAAGAGTAAAATAATTAAATGAAGCCAAACTGTTTTCTATCCTGGCACATTGACCTGTGTTCACAGAGAGATTTAACTAAAGATAAGTTGAAGGAACATCAAAATATTTTCTATTCCACTTTCCACAAAAGTGTGGATTTTAGAAAGGTTAGACAAACAATTTGCAATATTGATTGATGCTAGTATATTTTTGTGTTAGTGACAATTGAACTTTGAGAGGCTGTCAAAAAAAATTCTACAGGCTTTACACTAAACCTACTCTTGGCACTGGCATTTCCTTATTCTTTTTCTCACAACTTCAAACCTAGGAATCCTAAAGTTTGAATAGGGTGTCCTTTATCTTGGAAGTTGTTTCATTACTTGACTGTATTGTCTGTACTCTTGTAACAAAGATAGGCCTTTGACTGGGCACAGGGACTGCACAGAAGTCATGGTGCTAACTGCATTTCCTTGAAAATCTACAGGGTTGGGTGCACACACCCCAGGTGTGTGAAAGATGATCAATTAAGTGTAGGAAGAAAATGATAGGACTTATCCAGTATTTAGTTAAAAAAAGTCTTAGTACTATTTAATCTATGTACTGATAGGCCCAAATGTCGGACATTCACATGCCATTTTCTGTCTAGGAACATTGTTTTTTCTTAGTAGAGCTGTTGAGCTAGTGATAAATAGGGGGCAAATCATGATATTTTCCATTCTATTTTGTGTAGTAGGATGGGTACGGAAGATATAAGTCTGAGTGTCCCTATAAACTTTTTAAAATTAATCAGGGAAGAAGGGAGGGGGAGAAAGGAAAATGAACCGAGCTTGCAGCACTTTCAGCATTCGTCAGGAGTCAGTTCGCTCGCTGACCTGCTTCCTCATATTTCTTTCTTTCTTTTGTTTTTTTTGAGATGGAGCCTCACTCTGTCCCCCAGGCTGGAGTTCAGTGGTGCTATCTCGGCTCACTGCAACTCCCGCCTCCCAGGTTCAAGTGATTCTCCTGCCTCAGCCTCCTGAGGAGCTGAGATTATAGGCACACACCACCACGCCCAGCTAATTTTTGTGTATTTTTAGCAGAGATGGGGTTTCACCTTGTTGCCCAGGATGGTCTCGAACTCCTGATCTCATGATTTGCCTCCCTTAGCCTCCCAAAGTGCTAGGATTACAGGCGTGAGCCACCATGCCCGGCCACACTTCCTCATATTTCTTTGCTCCTATTGCTGCAGAATAGCTCTTTGCATCTCAGAGAGAAGCACCAGCAGGAGGAAGTGCTCCTCAGATTGTATTTCATAGCTGGGCTTTCGAGGGAAGCAACTCTCCAAAGTTTCTGAGCAAGGAGAGCCATTCGGTGTGTCTAACATTGAGGCAACGGGGCCAGAACTTGGTTCCACTATCCTGACTCCATTAATTAATAATTGAATGTAGGCTGTCCTAGGGAGGGCTTATATGTTGGTTCTCTTCTAGGGCAATTCCTGGAGAGGGAATTGGCTATCAGCTGTCAGCAACCAGCAATGCAGGCAGCTGTAGGCTTGAATGCCTTGGTCCTGAAGGAGAAATCTGGACTGTGTGAGACAGGGCTTCTGTGCTGCCCCAACTCACCCCTCAGGTTTTCTGGGCCAGAGGTCCAAAGGCCAAAGTCGGGGAGAGCAGATTGCAGAACCCCTATGGTTCCCTTTCTACGTTGTCTTCTTTGCATTGCCAAGCCTACCTGCCTTCTGCCAAAGCCAAAACCTTCCATGTCATACATCAGTTTAAACACTTCTCCCCATCCCTTCACTCCATATTTTCCCAGTTTTCTTCCTTCATAGTGCTTTTTTTTTCTCTGTAGTTAATTTGGGATTAATCGTGGGGAAGGGACTCAGAGCTGCTAACGCAGCATCTTCATCCAGTACATTTTTCCCACACGGTAGCCAAAGTCATCTTTGAAGGATGACAAGTGAATAGCTCAATAAATGGATACAATTCAATCTTGTTAAGTGTGCTGCCAAAATTTCTAACATTTGGGAAGTTCAGATAACACAAAAAAGGTTGAGAATTATCACTGTGTATTTGCAAAGGTGATCTGAATAAAATAAGAAGGATGAAGATAGTGCTTGATGAGACTTACCAAGAAGCTGGAAGTCATTACCCGAAGTCCAGGAATCAGGGAGAGTGTTTTCACCTTTTTCTGTTATGTCCTGAAAATGGTCAGATGGTTATTCCTCAGCCACACTGATGAATACATTGATTAAGTTCAAGTTAATTGAAAAAAATGCAGTTTATGTTTTTATATACAATCTTTAAGAGACATGGCCTTGTGAATAATAATGATGAGAAAATCTTCAGGAATTTTACATATCTCATATCTGGAGTCACTGTAAGAAGTAAATGATCTGGTAATGTGACAGCACTTTGAGAGATGTAAAGTGATCTCCAGCTGTATGGCCCTTATGTAAATATAATCATTGCAGATATCTCAGTTCCCAAATCCCCAGCATCTTCAATTATTTAAGAGATATTTGTTACATAACTTATCTATGCCAGGCTCTGCACTGGGCACAGTAGGGAATACAGAAATCTCTAAAGCAAGTTTCCTGTGGGAAGAAGGTCAATGTTTAAAATAAAAGTTACATGTAAGATTATTGCAATAAAAGCAGAAGGAAACGTGATAATCATAGAGGTGTAACAGAGGTATATTTGTCACTGCCTTGACTCAGAGCAGCCTGAAAAATGTTCCATTTGCTGAGAGTTAACTTTTTATACAACCCTGTCAGGTGACTAGGTCATCTCTGAATCTCTGGAGTTTGCAACTCTCCATTCTTTGTATTTCTGAAAAAAAAAAGTCGTTTTCTCTCTTTTCTTTACAAATGTTGAAATCTGGGTTCCTGTTTCAAGTCTGTTTCCTCAGGATAAAGCATCCACATTTTAAAAATAAAAAAACGAAAAGATAATATGATGCTATGAATTTTTATGCAAAAGAATCTGAGTAAAAGACGTCTCAAATTCAGAATTTCCAGTATCTACCTTTATAAGGAGTTGCTTTCTTTTACATTTATTTTTTATTATTATACTTTAAGTTCTGGGGTACATGTGCACAACGTGCAGGTTTGTTACACAGGTATACATGTGCCATGTTGGTTTGCTGCACCCATCAACTCGTCATCTACATTAGGTATTTGTCCTAATGCTATCCCTCCCCTTGCCCTCCACCCCCTGACAGACCCCAGTGTGTGATGTTCCCCTCCCTGTGTCCACGTGTTCTCATTATTCAACTCCCACTTATGAGTGAGAACATGCGGTGTTTGGTTTTGTCTTCTTATGTAGAGGTCAAAATGTTGGTGAAGTTCGATGGTGGCCAGTGGCTGTATTATGTTAAGGGACATACTATTTGTTATAGTCTTCAGTGTTTGTTGGCAATAGGAGAAAGTTTTGTTGGAAGGGAAGGTCGCTTGTAGAGTTATAATCTTTATCCACACAAAGAAACAGCAGTTACGATGTTTGGCAGCAGATCTTCTCGTATCTATTCATTGCTGAGGAACAGTGATTTTTTTTGAGTCATGATTTCCCAGTGAATTTTATGTGCTGGGATTAAGCTATGTAAATTCTTTTGGGTCATTGGATTCCCACTGCCATTAGCACTAAGAGGCCCAATTCTTTATTAAAACTTTGTACTCATAATATGTGATTTACCTGCCAGGCAGTTAGGGACTCATGCAAATATTTACTAAGTCTTTCAAAAGCGTACCTAATTAGTTCCATGTGCTGTGAAAAGGAAAGTTGTAAAAGACATTGGCTCAATATTCAACCTCATTTTCAAACCCATTTTTAGTTCCTAGGGACACAGCTAATCTGAATTTCCTACCATCCTTGTATCTAGGGCCTCGTGTCTAGTTGTGGCCAATGGAACATGATCAGAAAAAAATGTATGACACTTCTAAGCTTGGCCACTATAAATTGTACCCCACCTTCTCTTTCCTATCTTTGAGCAAAACATGAAGGAGTAAAGAAGTCAAGCATGAAGATATTTGGCTGAAGGGAGTTTCAGGCAAAGAGGACAGTCATGCATAGACCCAGAGGTCAGCGAGTGCATAGTTTGAAGAACAACAAGGAGATCAGAAAGGCTCAGAAGATTTTCTCTTCCTATCTTTGCTCGAACATCATCTTCTCAGCGAGGCGTATCTTCACACTCTATTTAGAATCGCAGCATGTTCTCCTTGCTGATGTACACTCATTACCTTTGACATATGACCCAAAAGACATCCACATTCTGATCTTCAGAACCCATGAATATGTCAAATTATGTGATACAAAGGTAATTAAGGTTACAGATTAAATTAGGGTTTTTTTAATAGTCTGACTTTAAAATTGAGCTATTATTTTGGATCACCTGGTGGGCATAATATAATCACAAGTATACACAATATAATCACGAGTATAATCTTTAATGTGGAAATAGCCGTAAAAAATAAAAAGTAGAAGAGAGAGGCAGAAGAGAGTCACAGGGAGATGTGACAATGGAAGAAAAGCACAGTATTGCTGGCTTTAAGATGGAGAAAACAGCCTCTAGAAGTTGGAAGAGGTGAGGAATAAATCTTCCCTGGAAGCTCCAGAAAGGACCTCAGCCCTGCCAAAACCTTGATTTTAGCCCAGTGAGACCTGTGTGGAAGGTCTAACCTACAAAACTATAAAGAATAAATTTGTGTTGTTTTCAGCCACTATGTTTGTGGTAATTTGTTGCAGCAGTAATAGAAAACTAATACAATATACTGCCCATGACTTACATCGTTATTGTGTTTATTGTTGTCAGCTTTTTCAACTAAAATTTATTTTTAATAAGTAGTGTATTTACGTGGTTCAAAATACAAAACTACCCACAAGGGTATAAACACAGAAGTCTAGTTTCTGCAATGCCCCCGTCTCATTTCTCTTTTAGGTAACTATGTAAATTAGGTATTTGTTTATCCATATTGTGATGCTTACTGTTAGGTATTAACTGGACTCGATTGAAGGATTCCTAGATGGTTGGTGAAGCATTGTGATACAGACTTTCCATTCCTTAGCTCAGCTAGGTCTGAGTTCTTGTCTCACAACCAGGAACAATTAGGTGCATGGACACTGGAGAGTGAGTGGAGTAGAATTTATTAAGCCAAAGGAAAGCTGTCACTTCTGCCAGAACTACCATTGTGGACCTACTGAATATCTTAGCCTCAGTCATGGTATTCCACACCATATTGATTCTGACCAAGGAACTTGCTTTACAGCCAAAGAGGTGCAGCAATAGGCTCATGCTTATGGAAGTCACTGGTCTTAACAATATTCCACATCATCTTGAAGTAGCTGGCTTGATAGATCAGTGAAATGGCTTTTTGAAGTTGCAGTTACAGTGCCAGGTAGGTGTCAGTACTTTGCACAGTTGGGCCAGAGTTCTCCAGAAGGCTGTAGTGCTCTGAATCAGCATCCAATATATGACACTCTTTCTCCCATAGTTAGGATTCACAGGTTCAGCAATCAAGGGGTGGAAATGGGAGTGGCACCACTCACCATCACCCCTAGTGATCCACTAGCAAAATTTTTGCTTCCTGTTCCCATGACATTATATTTTGCTGGCCTAGAGGTCTTAGTTTCAGAGGAAGGAATTCTTTACTGGGAGACACAACAATAATTCCAAAGAATTGGAAAGTAAGACTGCCACTGGCTGCTTTAAGCACCTAGTGCCTCCAAGTCAATAGATTAAAAAGGGAGTTAAGATATTGATTGGGGTGATTGATCTGGACTACTAAGGGGAAGTTGGATTGCTACTCCACAATGGAGGTCAGGAAGTTTATGTTTGGAATACAAGAGATCCTTAGGGTAGCCTCTTAGTATTATGTCCTGTGATTAAGGTCAATGAGAAATTAACCTTAATCCAACCTAATCCAACAACAAGCAAATCCAGACAGGACTACGAATGATCCAGACCCTTCAGGAAGGAAAGTTTGGGTCACCCCACAGGGAAAGATTTCATCCATAGTTGGTATTTATTACTACCTTCTTCTACTACCCATTCTTTATTCTCTTTGACTTACCAAGAAAACAAAGAAAATAAAGAATGGGTAGTAATAAATATCAGCTATGACCACATGATCAGCTACAGAAATGAGAACTGTAATTGTTGTAAGCATTTCCTCCCTATTTTGTTAAGAATATGTTTGTGCATCTCTATAATATATATATACACATATATGTATATATATATACACATATATTAAACAAATATTTTTATTTTCTTTCCTCTGTTATTCCTTTATCATGTAACCTAAGATTGATGGAACTTTGGATCAGTATTTAAGTATTATTAATATTACATCATAGTATGTAAGCTTTGGGATGTTAAGTTACCAGAAAAGGAGTAAACATCACTGAAGAACTTTACTTCCTCTTTTGAGGACAGGATAAGTGCATTTTTGGTAGTATGCAGGGTAGTTGTATCAGGTTAGGCAGAATTATGACCTTGTTGTTGGCTTTATTTAGAAATTGTTTGGTCTAAGGAGATGCATATGGATGCCAAGCTGACCAGCGGTGGACTTGTGACAGTTAATATTAGGTGTCAAATTGACTGGATGGAGGGATGCCTAGACGGCTGGCGAAGTATTGTTTCTGGGTGTATCTGTGAAGGTGTTTTCAGAGGAGATTAATGTATGAGTCAGTGGACTGAGAGAGAAAGACCCATCCTCAATGTGGGTGGTCAATATCCAAACAGTTGGGAGCCCAACTGGAACAAAGCAGGTGGAAGAAGGATACTCAGCTCGCCTTTGCTTCATCTCTTTCTTCTGCCCTAGGAAGTCTTCTTCTCCTCCTGCAGACTCTAGAGTCTTTGGTTCTTGGACTCTGGGACTTGCACCAGTGGCATCCTGAGTGCTTTCAGGCCTTCATTCTCAGACTGGGGGTTGCAATGATGGCTTTCCCTAGCTGAAGCCTTTGAACTTGGACTAAGCCACATTACTGCCTCCTCTGGTTCTCCAGCTTGCAGACAGCCTGTCCTGGGACTTCACCTTTGTGATTGTTGAGCCAATTTTTCTCTAATAAATTCCCTTTCATATACATATTCTATTGATTCTGGTCCTCTAGAGAACCCTAATATATATACAAATGTATATATGTATATTTATATAGCATTTATACTATATATAGTATTATATATAGTTTTTTAAAAAAAATAAGCAAATACACATACACTTGCTTATTTTGTCCACTCTCATATACAAAATGTAATATACTTTATATATTATTCTTCATCTTGGTTTTTTTTTTTTTTGAATACCTTTATTATATATCTTGATCTCTCCATGTGAGAACACAGGCTTTCCTGATTCATTTTCATAGCTTGTATCACATTTTGTCATGTAGAATTACCATGTTTTATTCAACCAGATCCCTATATCTGGACACATAGATTTTTCTTATTCTTTTGCCATTATTAAATGCCACAATGGATAAGTTTTTATATATATATATATGTATATATATATCTTTTTGTACTTGTGCAGGTATATCTGTAGGATAGATTTCTAGAAATGGTATTGCTGAGTAATAGAGTAAATATAGCTGGGATCTTAAAAGATATTATCAGATTTTGCTCTCTAGGTTCCATTTTTAATTTCCACAAGTGAAGTATAAGAGGGCCTGTTTCCCCCAGCCTCACCCACAAAAGGTGTCTTTTTTTTGAATTTATGCCCATATATTAGATGGGAAATAGTATCTCGGTGTAGTTTTATTGTTCATTTCTATTACTGTAAATTAAGTTTAGCAGCTCTTCATATACTTGGACTGTATTATTATTATCATTTTTTTCTGTGAGTAGTCTGCTCACATCATTGTCAATTTTTACACTGACCTGTTTTTCTTCTCCATTCGTAGGACCTTTTTGTGTTTTATTGAGAAATTAACCTTCTGTCTGTGATACAGACAAAAAAGTGCTTTTTTCCTAGTTTGTTATTTGCTCTTTATTTTTCTAACATTTTTATCCACATAAAAGATATAGAATTTTGTGCAAAGTAATCAATGTTTCTTTCTTTGGCTTTAGGCTGTAGGGTTATATTTAGAAAGGACTTCCTTATTTTAGGGATATAAAAGAATTCATCCACGTTTCTTCCTAGTACTTAAGTTTGGAAAATTTATAATTTTGCTCAATTTGGTGTGTATCTTTCTCCAAAAGACCCTCAATTTCTTTTCCAAGAAAATTTATTAAAATGCCCCATATTACCTCTGATTTAATTATTATATTAGGGTTCTTTAGAGGGACAGAACTAATAGGATAGATGTATATGTGAAGGGAAGGTTATTAAGGAGTATTGACTCACACGATCAAAAGGTGAAGTCCCACAATAGGCCATATGCAAGCTGAGGAGCAAGGAAGCCGCTTCAAGTCCCAAAACCTAAAAAATAGGGTAGCTGACAGTGTAGCCTTCAGTCTGTGGCTGAAGGCCTGAGAGCCCCTGACAAACCACTGGTGTAAGTCCAAGAGCTTAAAAGCTGAAGAACTTGGAGTCAGATGTTCGAGAGCAGGAAGCATCCAGCATGGGAGACAGATGAAGGCTGGAAAACTCAGCAAGCTGACACTCAATATTAACCACCACAAGTATGTACTGAAATTCTGTATACATCTGGGTCTATTTAAGAAGTTTTTATGGGTTCCATCCTATTGTTTTTTGGTAGTTGTTGTAACACATGGGAATATTTTAATTTTACTTTAATAGTCACATATTAATATCTTTATGTGATACCCTGTGTTTCCTCTTCCTTAAGGCAGTTTTATTGGTTTCCTACTACGAGAAATAAAATTAACCTGTAGCATCTTCTTCCTTTTACTGTCTCTTTCTCCACCTTCCAGTGTTAGTCCACAATGTCATATTTCTTAACATTTATTTTGTTTGCTTACATATACTTAAGTTTTTACTACTTGATTTGTCAGCTTTAAGTGGTATCTTGTCTCTCAGCTTTTATCAATAAGGCAGTCAGTGAATTTATTCTACTTTCTATTATTTTTCCCCATTCTCCTAGGAAACTAAGCAGTTTACTGGGGAGTAATGCATATGAAAATAGGGGGATGAGGGAGAAGTGGGCAGGGAAAGCTTTCACATTATGATGTAGATCAGATACTCATGAGAGGAAAGAGAGGAAGAAAGCAAGATTAGGAGGGAAAGCCTCAGTCCATGATGTAGATATGATAAAGCCTTGGCTCAAAGGGAAGATCTGAAGCAAAGATTGCCTGTTGCAGGAGTTCTATTTTGGGCAGAAATGGCCAGGTTCCAGTACTCCTGCAGTGATCAGTCATGGACTGGTCTATACAGAGCTACCAAAATGAGCCTAGATGGACAGAGTAAAGTGAGGGAGATGGGGTCTTTAATTGTCAGACCGAGAAGCATAGGGCAAACACATAATTTGGATTGGAAACATATATTAAGAAGTAAGATTAAGTTAATTTAAGTAAATTAATCATTTTGAAAAATAAAGAAAATGAATGTTTAGAGATAGAGTGCCCTACCCAAGTCACTTGACTCATTAGTGGCAGAGTTGACAAAAATGTAAATTTTCATTTGGGTCTCTTTTCACCAGTCTCAGAGTCTAAGAAAGGCAAGAAACTTCCAGATACACACAATGAATATAAATTGCCATTTGAAATCTTTATTAGTTAGCAAAAAAATCTAACATAATCATCAGAGTTTTAAGTAGTAGTGACAGAAGATAAAAATGCCTCCATATCCCAAATTAACATCTCCGTATACCAAGTAGCTAACTTTTATTGTTTTACAACTAAAGTCAGGGTTTTTATTTTCAGAGACAATTCTGCAAACTTGACATTAAAGCAGTAGTTTGGCATGGTTTAAAATACATTCAAATGTATACTAAATGTTTTAGAAAATATTCCATTGTTGAATACATTTCACATGGAATTTATGTGAATTAATTGAATTGATAGTGAAATATTATAAGCACCATGTGAACATACACAAACATATTCTTGTTGTTCACAGAGGCTAGAATCAGGTACATTAGATCGAAATTAACTTAGACACAACACAATAAATGTCAACCTTGCAGTTTAAACAATTATATACACTAAGAAAAATAGTGCCAGTCTTGGTTCGTGCTTGGCTGACAGACTTTATTGTCATTCACTTCTAATCCTCACTTCAAATCAACTTTCCTCTTTCTTGGCTCATATTTGTGAAATAAAATTTTATTTAAAATGGAAGATAATTATCTAAAGGGTTTTGTCATTAATCAATACAATGACAGGTCTATCAATATATTTAGATAGATAAATGTTTCTATCTACAGATATTTAGATGTCTTTGTTCATCTGGAGAGTTCCAATTTTACCCCTTTATGTTTATAGGATTAGATGGTTCAGGTGGGATTTTGATGGGGGTACAAGGTAGTGGTTTTGTAGTTTCTAACATTCAGGGAAAAGTAAATGGTTGATGGCCCATACAATATTCTCTCTTTATCTAAGGACTTTCTTTGCCCTCAGTAGGCTATCTCTGTAGGATCCAAAGAGTTATTTTGAACCCCAGACCTGCATCTGGCTTGTGGGATAGAGGCATTTTGTCTTGTTAATAGGTCTTGTGGTGGTGAATAATTAGATTGAAAGATTAATGATAGTGCTTTAAATCTGAGTAATATAATTTCATGTTGGGATTGGTGCTAAAAGAAAGGTGGTAGTTCTGCACTCATGAATCACATCTTGTAAATGACAGAACACTTTACAACATACAATATACTATTGCTCCACCATGTCGTCAATAATTCTGTTTAGTAGATTCTTCATATATAAAAGAAATCGAGAAATTTTATTTTGGCCAGGAGCTGAAGTTGGTTGTTTAGTAGTAGTAGTTTGAGTAGTGACCGAAGTAGTAGTCTGGTGTGTGGGTGCAGCTGAAGTTTCAGAAGTGTCAGGTGCAAGAGTAGTTGGGGAAGAATTAGGTGTGGTAATTGGGGCAGCTGTGGTCTCTTGTGGAGCTGGGGAAGACGGTGGAGCTGGTGTAGTTGCAGAAGGTGTGGGTGGGGCAGCTGTGGTCTCTGGTGGAGCTGAGGCGGATGATGGGTCTAGGGTAGTTGCAGAAGGTGTGGGTGGGACAGCTGTGGTCTCTGGTGGAGCTGAGGAAGATAGTGGAGCTGGTGTAGTTGCAGAAGGTGTGGGTGGGGCAGCTGTGGTCTCTGGTGGAGCTGAGGAAGATGGTGGAGCTGGTGTAGTTGCAGGAGGTGTGGGTGGGGCAGCTGTGGTCTCTGGTGGAGCTGAGGAAGATGGTGGAGCTTGTGTAGTTGCAGAAGGTGTGGGTGGGGCAGCTGTGGTCTCTGGTGGAGCTGAGGAAGATGGTGGAGCTGGTGTAGTTGCAGAAGGTGTGGGTGGGGCAGCTGTGGTGTCTTGTGGAGCTGGGGAATTCACTGGTGCTAATGTAGCTACAGAAGAGCTTGTGTTAACATTTTCTCTTGAAGATATGGTGGTGGCATTCTGGGGAAGAAAAGTCACATTTGGAAGGGTAGTAATTTTGGTGGAAGCTGATGGGAAAGTCACAGATGGAATTTGGGTTGTAGCCACTAAGGTAGGGTTGACCACACTGCTATTTTTATCTGGATGTTTAGGTGGCTGGTGAGGATTTGGGAATTTGGGGGGGTTATTAGGTGAAGGTGGAAGCTTAGGCCTACAGCGTTTGTGCAGACATTTATAGGACTTTCTAATGAACGGCTTCTGGTGAGCTAGCAGTCCAGGATAATGTGGTAATTCAAAGTGAGATTTGGGTGATTGGTGATGATGCCTTCTGTGACGTAGTTCATGATCCCTTTCTCGACCTTCACTGAACTGCAGAAAAGAAAGAAAATGTAAGAAATGAAAAAAGTATCCATTTATCAATCAGGTGATCACTGCTGACCATGAGATGAGCGGTATTTGTGGAATGCTGGGATTAGAAACCAGAGTACATTATTGAGTCAAGTGATTATCTTCCTAATTTCACCAAGTTTCAAGAAAGAATTGCTACTAGAGAGTTTTCTTTTGTCAAATGTCTACTCTCTAGATAGCTGGGATGAATATATTCCTGTGGGTTCTAGCTTGAATGCTTAGCTGGATACGAACTTTTGTGCTTACAGTTCCTCTCTTCTTCCTCTGGTGGAAAATGGTCAAGTTACTGCCTGAGGTCCCATCACAAAAGCTTCCTGCTTGCTCAGCCTGTTCACAAAACTTTAGTCAAAGACATTCAACTGAGATCCAGGAGCCCTTTCTAGATTACACCCCTCATATCTACCATCATCAAAATACGAAACAGCCAAACAACAACAAAGCCCCAACAAACAAAATATCCCACCCCGGCTTCATGTTCTCCATATTTCAGGAAACAGTTTTTAGCCTTTATAAATTGGAGAAACAACTTTGGTCATTACCTTTTAACTTTATTGTTTAAAAAATTAGAATTATAGAATTCATGATTCGGGGGTTCATGAGTCATCTGATTTTTAGAGAAAATTTGCATGTTTATGCATTTTGTCTGGATAGAGCACCAATGGTTTTCATGATTTCTGAAAGGTGTTTACATCTGAAAAGAACACTGATCCAGTCCAACTGTACATCTGATACTTGATCTTTTATCAATACACCTGCTGAAAGGCTTTCTAGTCTATGCATCTAACCTCTTCTGATTAGGAACTCACTACTGTAATTCCTAAGGCCGCCTGGTAGAGAGTTCTTGACACTGAATGTAGGTTTGTTTTTTGGGATTTTCATTCTTAACTGAGTAGAATTTTCTTCATGAAGATTTCCATCCTTTGGTCCTAATTTTGTTTTGGCAGATTTACAGAAGATCCAGAAGTCTTTCAAAATTTGAAAATAACTTCTATGCCATGTGGGTCATCATTTTGCAAGATATTTTTATTTCCTTTAGCCATTGCTGACATTATTTGAGTTAGAGTACCATCACTGTTTCAGTTTCTTATCTGTAAACATACTTCATGCCTTTTATATCCCTCTTCCCTGTATTCAATCTCATACTACATTTTTTAGTGATCAGTTATATTAAATTGGAGAAAAGAAATATAACAGGATAAATGAGAACATCCCAAACAAGGATAGGTTACGTTTTCTTCCTAATGATGTTCACAGAAGCCCTTTTTAGATGACCAAATGGGTAAATCATTCCAGTCGCAAGTTATAAAGCTTTCTTTGGACACAAAGTTTAGTGCAGATGAAGTGACAACTTCTGAGAGACTAGCTGAGTTGTTTAACTAAGATAACTTCCTCAGAGACTAATATATCCAACCTCAAAAATAGCTTCTAGGTACTGGGCTTTCAGAGGTGAATGAAACAGGGACCATCGTGAGGCTCATGTGATTGAGGGAATGAACCACATAACTATTTCAAAGCAAAGAGGTCATAGAATTAGATTTTGGATCTGGAATTTAATTTAATCCGAATCATTTCATAAATGAATAAACTGAGATCCAGGCATATTAAGTGACTTGCCCAAAGTCATTCAATTATTCAATGCCAGACATAGGACAGACTAAAACCTCCACTGCTGGTCTGTTGCAGTGTGTTTCAAATATGTTCCTCTAAGATCTGGACATTCTCCACAACATCCATCAATACAAGAAAGTATTATTTGTTTAGAAAATTAAATTGTCCAGGAAATTTTAATTCACAACTGAGAACAACCAATAGCTAACATAATGGCTTCTGATACTCACATGACTTTGGTATTTTTCCATAAATCTCTCTTAAAAGGGCATAGGTTTTCAGAATCGGTAACACTGACTCCAGGAATCTCTGAGGAGATCCTTTCCATTACAGGGGTAGTTGTTTTCTCATATAAAATAGAACAGGTCATATTGTTCAAACAGATCTTTCCCTGGAGATTGAATATGCAATCCACATAATTAAGGACCTGCTCTGACTGAAGCAGGATTGAGGGCCTCACATTCCATGATCTCGGTCTTTCCCTTTCCAGATGGTCTCTGAGGATGTTGCAAAGAATGTCCAGATCTTATAGGAACATGTATGAAACATGCTGCAACAGACCAGCAGTGGAGGTTTGGCTCTGTCCTGTGTCTGCCACTGAATAGCTGAGTGACTTTGGTCAAGTCACTTAATGTGCCTGGATGTCGGCTTATTCATTTATAAAATGATTTGGATTAAATTAAATTCCAGATCCAAAGTCTAATTTTATTTGCTTTGAAATAGTTATGTGGTTCATTCCCTTAATCACATGAGCCTCACGAAGGCCCCTCTTTGATTCACCTCTGTAAGTCCAATACCTAAAACTATGCCTGGCATATGGCAGGTACTCATTAGCTATTAATTGAATGAGTAAATGCATGGAAATGATAACAATAACTAATTTGTTATTGAATAAAGTATTAACATTTAAAAGTGTTTATTCATATGTAAAATAGTTTCAGCTATTTTACTTTAGGTGACCAAAATAATACCTACCACATTTTTATATGAAGGCAAATTGATTAAAATCCTATTAATTTTAATGTTAGCTTGGCCTGGAACATGTATCAAATGACCAGTTTGTTTGATTTACTTAATATATTGATTAGTTATTATGATTGGCAGTTACAGGTGGTTATAACAGAAATTGTAGACTAGAGTTGGATTTAGAGAAGTCTGAGAGAGGAAGGAGTTGAAAATGCATGCCTCTAAAGTTTGAGTTTAGGTGACTGAAGTATGGAGGTCCTTATAATAAATATAGATATGCCAGGGAGGGTGTATTAAAGATAGCAACCCTGCCTGCCTGTTCACATTCATTATTTATTTTTATTAAAAAAGTCTTCATGTAACACTTTATGTTAGGCCCTATTCTGAGTGGTTTACAAATACAAATTTATTTAATTTCTTAGTAATATCATAAGGTGGGTACGGTTATTATCTTCATTATATGGATGGGAAAACTGAGTCTCAGACTAAGTAACTTTTAGGAGAATGTTTCTCCATTTGCAAACTGTACTTTTGAGAGCAGAGAAGAGGGAGAAGACATGAGGAACAAGGATAGAGTAGGCTGGAGTCAAGGGAAGGAGAAGGAGAGACACATGGCACTTGCAGCAAGAAAGGAGGGTATGAGAAAGCAGAAGACTCCTAAAATAACTAGAGGAATGCCAAATTCTCTGAGGAAGGAAGAGGAGGAGAAAATTAGTCAGAAAGGGAGAGAATTAGAAGACAGAAAGGCCAAGATTACATTTTTTACTTTTGTATTTTGAGACAGAGTCTCACTCTGTCACCCAGTTGGAGTGCAGTGGCATGATCTCAGCTCACTGCAACCTACGTCTCCTGGGTTCAAGGGATTCTCCTGCCTCAGCCTCCCTAGAAGCTGGAATTACAGGTGTGTACTGCATGCCTGGCTAATTTTTGTATTCTTAGTAGAGATGGGGGTTTCACCATGTTGGCCAGGCTGGTCTTGAACTCCTGACCTCAGGTGATCTTCCCGCCGCGGCCTCTGAAAGTGCTGGAATTACAGGTGTGAGCCACGGCACCCGGCCCAAGATTACATTTAATTGAAATTAGAAAGCACAATTCATTTCTTCATTTGCTACCAGCTTATTTTTATGACCATTTGAAAATCTGTGATCCTTTTTTAAAGAGAATGAAAGCATTATGCTAAATAATGCTATAGTTGACAGAGCTCTTCATCTGACTCCAGAATACATCCCTTCAAGTCTTTCTTTGGGACATCTGGAAGAGAGAAGCCAGACTATCTGCTCCCTGAAATCACTCCACAAAAGCAGGTTGTTGCTAGAGCTCCAGGACTGACCTTTTCTGGCTGTGGGTTAATGCTAATCTCCGGTACATTCCTGTATTTTCTTTTCTTTTTATTTTTTTTGAGACGGAGTCTCGCTCTGTCACCCAGGCTGAAGTGCAGTGGCACGATCTTGGCTCACTGCAACCTCTGCCTCCCAAGTTCAAGTGATTCTCCTCCATCAGCCTCCCAAGTAGCTGCAATTACAGGTGTGGGCCACCACGCCCAGCTAATTTTTGTATTTTTAGTAGAGACGATGTTTCACCATGTTGGCCAGGCTGGTCTCGAACTCCTGACCTCACATTCCTGTATTTTCTAAGGATCAGGTCAAGGTATTTCTGTGCTACCTTCTCATATTCAAGTTCTTTGGAAACTCTTTCTCTCACCAGGCACTTTTTTGAGATTTGGGCAGCTTGAAGAGTTTTATTTATTCTAAGCACTTGGAAGAAAGGATTCTTTAGGTGTCTGGATTTGAGGGAGTTATGATGAAAGGCCACTTCAAAAGAACAACCCAGATTCATCATTTCACAATAACATGACTTGTGTTGATTGGAAAATTATTTCTTTCAATATAGAGGTGTTGGTAGCCAGGGATTCCTTATTAAAACTTTACTTATTAAAAAGTTAACATCACTGTGCATATTCAGAACTTAAAGCCTTATCAACTAGTATGTAAATTGAGATTACAATAATCTTGTCATAATTTTTATATCTACACTATAGTTTATAATTTATAAATTCTCATTTACCCTTCAGCAGCCCTGTGAAGCATATAGTGTTGTTATTATTTTACACATAGGGAAATTGGGGCCCTATAAATAGATTCTAAATTGCTCAAGATTCATCTGGATGGTAAACATTAGAGATGAGTTTAAGCCCACATCTTCTGAGCCCAGCTTGAACACTCTTCTAGTCACAGAAATCAGCATTAGGGTCCGGGAAAAAGCCTGATTGTTTTCTGGGGGATATTATAAGGTAAGTGAGAAATATGAGAATATCCAAGAGTAAATTCCGTCCACTTCATCAGTTCTTCTGCCCTCTCTCTCTCTACTCTACTGGCGTAATATTCTGAGGCTATCCATCCTCATTCAATAAAAAAGTACATTCCACTTCTTGATTCTTATTTGAAATTTTGTCAAAATAAAATTTAATAAATACTTGCAGGTACATAGCATGAGAGAAAAATATGGTTATTATTACAGCATGTATCACCTTGTAATCACATTATATCATTATTAATTTTAATCTTCCTTTGCCAGTACACCCTAAATTTCTTAAAGATAGAAGGTCCACTTTGTAGTCTTCTCTTGGTTTTGGAAGCCATCCTTTCCTGTCCCCTCTTGTGGGTCCTCCATTTTCTCTATCCATATCTAAACTTCCTACATTTTCTCCCTAGGTGAAAATGTTGTAAGGTTTCATGGCTTCAAGTATGTTTTAAATATAGACTTTACCCCTAGATTTCTTTCTGAACTCCAGACAACATATATCCACTGTTTTCTTGATATCTTGATGTGGAAGTCTAATAGCCATTTCAAATGTAACATGCCCCAAACTAGAACGTTTTTGTTCATTTCTTTCTTTTTTTTTCTTTTGAGACAAAATCTTGCTCTGTCACCCAGGCTGTAGTGCAGTGATGCAATCTCGGCTCACTGCAAACTCTGCCTCCCAGGTTCGAGCAATTCTCCTGTCTCAGCCTCCTGAGTAGCTGGGATTACAGGTGCCCACCACCACACCCAGCTAATTTTTGTATTTTTAATAGAGACGGGGTTTCACCATGTTGGCCAGGCTGGTCTTGAACTCCTGACCTCGGGTGATCCACCTGCCTTGGCCTCCGAAAGTGCTGGGACTACAGGCATGAGCCACCGCGCCCGGCCTGTTCATTTCTTTCTTTTACCACATATACAATCCAGCAGAAGATATAGTAGACTCAATCACTAAAATATATCCTAAACCCACTCTTATCTTTTAATTGCTGAAATTTAGTGCAAGTCACCATCATCTTTTATCTGGACCACTGCCATAGCTTCCTGACTAGTCTCCTTATCTCAGCTTTTGTTACCTGCTACCTATCTTCTCCTGAGAATCCTGTCATGTAAATCCCCTGGGAGTGCTTTGATCATGCTGAGACTTCCTGACAGATTTGAAACCATATTCCACACCAAGACCTAAAGGCCTTACAAACCTGGGTTTTCATCTGTGTCAGTTCTCATCACACTCACTATAAAGTTTGTGCTCTATAGATATTGGATAAATGAAACAAATTATTTCCTTATGCTCTATCTACCTACCTACCTACCTACCTACCTAGTCTATCTACCTATCTATCTAGTCTATCTACCTATCTGTATATATTTTTAAGACAGGGTCTCATTTTGTCACCCAGGCTGTGGCATAGTGGTATGATTACGGCTTGCTGCAGCCTTGACCTCCCAGGCTTAAGATCCCAACCTCAGCCTCCGAGTAGTTGGGATTACAGGCACGCACCACCACACCTGGCTAATTAAATTTTGTTGTTGTTGTTGTTGTGGAGATACTGTCTCATTATGTTACTCAGGCTAGTCTTGAACTTCTCTGAGCTCAAGTGATCCTCCCTCCTAGGCTTCCCATAGTGCTGGGATTAGAGGTGTGAGCCAGTGCACCGGCCAATTGTCCATATTTATAGGTTTCCTGGAAATAAAAGATGTCAAGCTTCTTGGAAATAGGGGTTGCCTATTATGCTTTAAAAGTCTCAGGTAGGTACACTAAATGTTTGTTATTGATAGTTAAGGAAAAAACTTATTTGGGTGAATACTTACCGAGAAGCAAGCACTCAGTGCACAGATGCACACAAACAGCGGCAGAGTTTTCATTCTTTCTGATGTCTCCTGGGAAAAGCAGAAATGTGGCGTACTATTAGTTATGATATTATGGGAGAGGAATGCGTTTTGGTAAATAACTTATTTTTATTAGAAAGTACAGGCAAAAAGAGACCAATGGTTTCTGAAAATTATGTATACATTTTCATTCCATAGGGGTGATGCAAAATTGCTTCAGGCCTAAAATGCATTCTTTTAGAGAGGAAGCAATGGAGGAGGCTCAAGAATTATTCTAACTAGTTTGCAAAATGAGCATTTTCTATTGATATTAAAGATTGGCTAGGAAAGGCAGGATCTTAGGAAGTTTAGCAATAAGAAAAGGAAATAATTTTCTTCTTATTTCTTTTCTAATTCAGGAAGCTCCCCTCTGTGGGGAACCATCATATAAATG
This sequence comes from Homo sapiens, assembly GCF_000001405.40. Taxonomy (NCBI): domain Eukaryota; kingdom Metazoa; phylum Chordata; class Mammalia; order Primates; family Hominidae; genus Homo; species Homo sapiens. The sequence continues at coordinate 70,473,624 of NC_000004.12, read as the reverse complement.
ACCTGATACTACACAGTTTTGCAAAGACTCCTGATGTTAGAGGAAAATGCTCTTTGTCGCTGTGCTATAAGGCTGTCACTTGGAACAAAGAACCAGGTCAAATGGACTCTTCCTCCAATTTCATTCTACTGAAGATTTTGCCATTTGATAATCCTTTTTCTTGTACCTTTTTTTTTTTTTTGAGACAGAGTCTCGCTCTGTTGTCCAGGCTGGAGTGAAGTGGCACACGCATGGCTCACTGCAGCCTGCACCCCCCAGACTCAAGCGATCCTCTCACTTTGGCCACCCTAGTAGCTTGGACTACAGTCATGCACCACCGCTCCTGGCTATTGCTATTATTATTTTTATTTTTTGTAGAGACACGGTTTCACTGTGTTGCCCAGGCTGGTCCTGAACTCCTGGGCTCAAGCAATCCACCCTCATCGGCCTCCCAAAATTCTGGGATTACGGGTGTGAGCCACCGTGTCTGGCCGATACCCTTTTTCTAAGTCCCAAAATGACAGGAATTATTCTTTATTCATTGTTATGTCATCATGCCTAGTACATAGTGCAGACTTAATACATATTTTTTTTGAATAACTACTTGCAAAAGAGAATTGTATTTTGGCTATAGGTTGTAGAAGGGAAGAGTGAGAGAAGAATGTGGTCTTTTGTTTTTCTCATTTTGGTTATATATGTAATGTGTACATGTCAGCTTATCAGCTTTAGAAAACAAAATAAAGGTTAAATCATATAGACAGATTACATATTAGGGCAGGTAATTAGTGTGCATGTCAATGTGGTGGGCTGTGAGATTAGACACACTTTACAATACAATCCCATGGTTTATAAAATGGGTGTTAGAGTCAGTCAGAGACTTGATTTAAGCTCTGCCCACTTACTGTGTGACTCTGCCACTCACTGCATGACTTTGAGTGAGTTGCAATCTTACATCATAAGAATGTCCTGAGGATTGACTGGAATAATATATATATTACAAATCGTACTGAGAATAATGTCTTATCCATAATAAAGTCTCAGTGGTATTATTATAGTACTAGCACACTAAGAAGAAAACAATCTGACCCAATTGAAAAACGAAATGGTTACTTATTATTCTTCAGGTTCCTAATATATTGTCAGATTTGTTTTTAAATTTCAAGACCAAAAAACATTCCTACCAATCATATTGTGTTCTAATAACATATGAATTGAGTGTTACCACACTGTTTGGCAGTTCATAAGAAGAGAGGAGAATAACTGTATTAGAACAACTATTGCTATTACTTAATATATGTATATTACTTGAAAGCTGTTTAGTTTATATTAGAACCTATCTAAAGTATCCACATACCTGGTGCAGTGTGAATCTTTCTTCTTAGGGTGTTCAATCCAGTTGCTTGCTTTTAGCCAATCCTTTGAGGATGGTAACTAGAAGCAAAAGAAGAGAAAGCACAAGAGAATTTTCAGGTTTTATAACACTCCAGTCGAGCTTTTTGGAAATAGGAAATCTATTAGATTTAAGATAAGGTCATTTGTGTCAAGGAATTTACTTTTAAAGAAAAGAATAGTTGTGGTTTGCTGAGATTGACAGTAGTTCTTTGTGCATCAATTTCTTCCTGATGAGCACAGTGACGATCAGAGGTTCTCAATGAGTAACTTATGTGCTTGATGAGTAGTGGAACAGTAATTGAAGGCGCTTACGGAGAAACAAACAACCATGGCCCAGGTCCTCCCAACAGGAACAGATCATCCACTCTTTCCTGTTGGGCTCTCAAAGTAAGCAGAGTGATTGCCTTCTGACAGTTAATGTGATGGAACACCATATTTCCTTGTCAATAAGACAAGTTAATAAAGGACAGAGGATTTAAAAAAAATACTGTGGTGCCAAGTACTGGTGCAGGGCAGTATTTAAAGCCAAAAAATCAACACTGAATTTTTAAATACAAGTAATTAAAAACAATTTTTGACTTTTTGTCTTGAAAAATATTCAAACATATAGAAAAGTGAGGAGGGTAGTAGAACTATATACTCATTCCCTGGTTTTCATAATTCTTAACATTTTGCTATATATCTTAGTTGTTTTGCTGAAGTATCTTAAGGTAAACTACAGAAATTGTAACAGCTACTCTCTATTTCAGCATTTCTCTCTAAAAAGCCTTTCTTTTATAACACAACACCATCAACCTATAACAATATTAATAATTCAAACATATAATCTAAAATTGAGTTTATACTCAAATTTTGGCAAAAATATTTTTAGTCATTTTGTTCCTACCAGGACTCAACTAAGGGCCGTGTGTTGCAGTGACTTGTTATGTCTCTAGTTTCTTTTATCCCAGAAAATTTTCTCCCATTTCCCCCATGGTAGTGATATTTTGATAGCTAGACTAGTCATTTTATAAATATTTATTTTTAAAAAGAAACTTAATAACTTAAAAAAGAACTTAAGAATCATTTTAATAGAGATCTTCAAAATTAGATATTTCTACTATGTAAAATCGTTAATCTGGAATACAGTTTTGAAGGTGTGATTCCACTTCTAGCTAGTCAGTTTGTTCTTTTGCACATACAGTCTCTGAGGGCTTACATTCTTTGGGTTTGATTCCTTGCTTCTCCACTTAGTAGCCATGTAATTTTTGACAGGTTAGCTAACTTCTTTGAGCCTCAGTTTTTCTATCTGCTAATTAGGTGTGACATCTACTTTACAAAGTTGTCAGACTGAAAGTAGATAAGTTAAAAGTTCTGACATGGTTCTTTTGAATGGAACACCCTCAGCTATTATGCTGCCATTAGTGGAAAGTTAGGGACAGTTTTTGAGATAGCAATGAGTTAGTAAATATGGGCTATAATATTAATTTCTTTTCATCTTTTTTTGCTAGCAACTAGTGATATGCATTTACAATATACTTGTTATAGTTAAAATTGACTGTAGAATATAATTTTTATTGATCTGAACAAGCTTTTCTAAGTACATGACTTCAATAGAAAAATTTTCATATCACCTTGCTATTACCCAATTAGTGATAAGTTGTAATGACCTCAAAAATTGATAGAATTTCAAAAATTGTCTAATTATCCTCAGTCCTAAATAATGCCTGGAGATAACAAATTTAATTTTCTTTAAATATTGGAAAAATATAAGAATATCTGGACATATTATGACTGAATCCAGTACATTTCAGGTTTTATTTTTCAATAAATGAGTAACACTTATGCATTTATTATTTTAATTTTTTAAAAATTATATTCTCTTGGGATACATGTGCAGAATGTGCAGGTTTGTTACATAGGTATACATGTGCCATGGTGGTTTGCTGCACCCATCAACCTGTCACCTACATTAGGTATTTCTCCTAGTGCTATCCCTCCCCCAGCCCCCCACCTGCCAACAGGCCCTGGTGTGTGATGTTTCCCTCCCTGTGTCCACGTGTTCTCATTGTTTAACTCCCACTTGTGAGTGAGAACATGCAGTGTTTGGTTTTCTGTTCCTGTGTTAGTTTGCTGAGAATGATGGTTTCCAGCTTCATCCATGTCCCTGCAAAGGACATGAACTCATCCTTTTTTATGGCTGCATAGTATTCCATGGTGTATATTGCCACATTTTCTTTATCCAGTCTATCATTGATGGGCATTTGGGTTGGTTCCAAGTCTTTGCTATTGTAAATAGTGCTGCAATAAATATATGTGTGCATATGTCTTTATAGTAGAATGATTTATAATCCTTTGGGTATATACCCGGTAATGGCATTGCTGGGTCAAACGATATTTCTGGTTCTAGATCCTTGCAGAATCGCTACACTGTCTTCCACAATTGTTGAACTAATTTACAGTCCCAGAAACAGCATAAAAGCATTCCTATTTCTCCACATCCTTTCCAGCATCTGTTGTTTCCTGACTTTTTAATGATTGCTATTCTAACTGGCTTGAGATGGTATCTCATTGTAGTTTTGATTTGCATTTCTCTAATGACCAGTGATTATGAGCCTTTTTTCATATATTTGTTGGTTGCATAAATGTCTTCTTTTGAGAAATGTCTGTTCATATCCTTTGTCCACTTTTTGATGGGGTTGTTTGCTTTTTTCTTGTAAATTTGTTTAAGTTCCTTGTAGATTCTGGATATTAGCCTTTTGTCAGATGGATAGATTGCAAAAATTTTGTCCCATTCTCTAGGCTGCCTGTTCACTCTGATGATAGTTTCTTTTGCTGTGCAGAAGCTCTTTAGTTTAATTAGATCCCATTTGTCTATTTTGGCTTTTGTTGCCATTGCCTTTGGTGTTTTAGTCATGAAGCCATTGCCCATGCCTGTGTCCTGAATGTTATTGCCTAGGTTTTCTTCTAGGGTTTTTATGGTTTTAGGTCTTACATTTAAGTCTTTAATCCATCTTGAGTTAATTTTTGTATAAGGTGTTAGGAAGGGGTCCAGTTTCAGTTTTCTGCATGTGGCTAGCCAGTTTTCCCAACACCGTTTATTACATAGGGAATCCTTTTGCCATTTCTTGTTTTTCTCAGGTTTGTCAAAGATCAGATGGTTGTAGATGTGTGGTGTTATTTCTGAGGCCTCTGTTTTGTTCTATTGGTCTATATATCTGTTTTGGTGCCAGTACCATGTTGTTTTGGTTACTGTAGCCTTGTAGTATAGTTTAAAGTCAGGTAGCATGATCCCTCCAGTTTTGTTCTTTTTGCTTATGATTGTCTTGGCTATACGGGTTCTTTTTTGGTTCCATATGACATTTAAGTGGTTTTTTTCTAATTCTGTGAAGAAGGTCAATGGTAGCTTGGTGGGGATAGCATTGAATCTATAAATTACTTTAGGCACTATGGCCATTTTGATGATATTGATTCTTCCTGTCCATGAGCATGGAATGTTTTTCCATTTGTTTGTGTCCTGTCTTATTTCATTGAGCAGTGGTTTGTAGTTATCCTTGAAGAGGTTCTTCACATCCCTCGTAAGTTGTATTCCTAGGTATTTTATTCTCTTTGTAGCAAATGTGAATGGGAGTTCTCTCATGATTTGGCTGTTTGTCTATTATTAGTGTATAGGAATGCTTGTGATTTTTGCCCATTGATTTTGTAGCCTGAGACTTTGCTGAAGTTGCTTATTAGCTTAAGGAGATTTTGGGCTGAGAAGATGGGGTTTTCTAAATATACAATCATGTCATCTGCAAACAGAGACAATTTGACTTCCTCTCTTCCTATTTGAATACCCTTTATTTCTTTCTCTTGCCTGATTCCCCTGGCCAGAACTTCCCATACTATGTTGAACAGGAGTGGTGAGAGAGGGCATCCTTGTCTTGTGCTGGTGGTTTTCAAAGGGAGTGTTTCCAGCTTTTGCCCATTCAGTATGATATTGGCTGTGGGTTTGTCATAAGTAGCTCTTATTATTTTGATGTACGTTCCATCAATACCTAGTTTATTGAGAGTTTTTAGCATGAAGGGGTGTTTAATTTTATCAAAGGCCTTTTCTACATCTGTTGAGATAATCATGTGGTTTTTGTCATTGGTTCTGTTTATGAGATGGATTACATTTATTGATTTGCGTATGTTGAACCAGCCTTGCATCCCGGGGTAAAGCCAGCTTGATCTTGGTAGATAAGCCTTTTGATGTGCTGCTAGATTCAGTTTGCCAGTATTTTATTGAGGATTTTTGCATCGATGTTCATCAGGGATATTGGTCTGAAATTTTCTTTTCTTGTGTCTCTCCCAAGTTTTGGTATTAGGATGATGCTGGCCTCGCAAAATGAGTTAAGGAGGAGTCCCTTTTTTTCTATTGTTTGGAATAGTTTCAGAAGGAATGGTACCATCTTCTCTTTGTACCTCTGGTAGAATTTGGCTGTGAATCTGTCTGGTCCTAAACTTTTTTTGGTTGGTAGACTATTAATTACTGCCTCAGTTTCAGAACTTGTTATTGGTCTATTCAGGGATTCAATTTCTTCCTGGTTTAGTCTTTGGAGGGTGTATATGTCCAGGAATTTATCCATTTCTTCTAGATTTTCTAGTTTATTTGCATAGAGGTGTTTATAGTATTCTCTGATGGTAGTTTGTATTTCTATGGGATCAGTGGTGATATCCCTTTTATCATTTTTTATTGCATCTATTTGATTCTTCTCTCTTTTCTTCTTTATTAGTCTGGCTAGCGGTCTATCTATTTTGTTAATCTTTTCAAAAAACCAACTCCTGGATTTATTGATTTTTGAAGGGTTTTTTTGTGTCTCTATGTCCTTCAGTTCTGCTCTGATCTTAGTTATTTCTTGTCTTCTGCTAGCTTTTGAATTTGTTTGCTCTTGTTTCTCTAGTTCTTTTAATTGTGATGTTAGGGTGTTGATTTTAGTTCTTTTCTACTTTCTCTTGTGGGCATTTAGTGCTATAAATTTCCCTCCAAACACTGCTTTAGCTGTGTCCCAGAGATTCTGGTATGTTGTGTCTTTGTTCTCATGTGTTTCAAATAACTTATTTATTTCTGCCTTAATTTCCTTATTTAACCAGTAGTCATTCAGGAGCAGGTTGTTCAGTTTCCATGTAGTTGTGCAGTTTTGAGTGAGTTTCTTAATCCTGAGTTCTAATTTGATTGCACTGTGGTCTGAGAGACTGTTTGTTATGATTTCCATTCTTTTGCATTTGCTGAGGAGTGTTTTACTTCCAATTATGTGGTCAATTTTAGAATAAGTATGATGTGGTGCTGAGAAGAATGTATATTCTGTTGATTTTGGGTGGAGAGTTCTGCAGATGTCTGTTAGATCCACTTGGTCCAGAGTTGAGTTCAAGTCCTGAATATCCTTGTTAATTTTCTGTCTCTGTTGATCTGTCTAATATTGACAGTGTGGTGTTGAAGTCTCCCAGTATTATTGTGTGGGAGTCTAAGTCTCTTTGTAGGTCTCTAAGAACTTGCTTTATGAATCTGGATGCTCCTGTATTGGGTGCATATATATTTAGGATAGTTAGCTCTTCTTGTTGCATTGATCCCTTTACCATTATGTAATGCTGTTGTCTTTTTTGATCTTTGTTGGTTTAAAGTCTGTTTTATCAGAGACTAGGATTGCAACCTCTGCTTTTTTTTTTGCTTTCCATTCGCTTGGTAAACATTCCTCCATGTCTTTGTTTTGAGCCTATGTGTGTCTTTGCACATAAGATGGGTCTCCTGAATATAGCACACTGATGGGTCTTGAGTCTTTATCCAATTTGCCAGTCTGTGTCTTTTAATTGGAGCATTTAGCCCATTTACATTTAAGGTTAATATTGTTATGCATGAATTTGATCCTGTCGTTATGATGTTAGCTGGTTATTTTGCTGGTTATTTGATGCAGTTTCTTCCTAGCCTCAATGGTCTTTACAATTTGGCATGTTTTTGCAGTGGCTGGTACTGGTTATTCCTTTCCATGTTTAGTGCTTCCTTCAGGAGCTCTTATAGGGCAGGCCTGGTGGTGACAAAATCTCTCAGCATTTGCTTGTCTGTAAAGGATTTTATTTCTCCTTCACTTATGAAGCTTAGTTTGGCTGGATATGAAATTCTGGGTCAAAAATTCTTTTCTTTAAGAATGTTGAATATTGGCCCCCACTATATTCTGGCTTGCAGGGTTTCTGCAGAGAGGTCCTCTGCTAGTCTTATGTTAGTTTGATGGGCTTCCCTTTGTGGGTAACCTGACCTTTCTCTCTGGCTGCCCTTAACACTTTTTCCTTCACTTCAATGTTGGTGAATCTGACGATTATTTGTCTTGGGGTTGTTCTTCTCAATGAGTATCCTTGTGGTGTTCTCTGTATTTCCTGAATTTGAATGTTGGTCTGTTTTGCTGGGTTGGGGAAGTTCTCCTGGATAATATCTTGAAAAGTATTTTTCAACTTGGTTCCATTCTCCCCATCACTTTCATGTACACCAATCAAGCGTAAGTTTGGTCTTTTCACATAGTCCCATATTTCTTGGAGGCTTTGTTTGTTCCTTTTTATTCTTTTTTCTCTAATCTTGTCTTCATGCTTTATTTCATTAAGTTGATCTTCAATCTCTGATATCCTTTCTTTTGCTTGATCGATTTGGCTATTGATACTTGTGTATGCTTCACGAAGTTCTCGTGCTGTGTTTTTCAGCTCCATCAGGTCATTATGGTCTTCTCTAAACTGGTTATTCTAGTTAGCAATTCTGCTAACCTTTTTTCAAGGTTCTTAGCTTCCTTGCATTGGGTTAGAACATGCTCCTTTAGCTCAGAGAAGGTTATTACCCACCTTCTGAAGCCTACTTCTGTCAATTTGTCAAACTCATTCTCTGTCCACTTTTGTTCCCTTGCTGGCAAGGAGTTGTGATCCTTTGCAGGGGAAGAGGCATTCTGGTTTTTGGAATTTTCAGCCTTTTTGTGCTGGTTTTCCTCATCTTCGTGGATTTATCTACCATTGGTCTTTGATGTTGGTGACCTTCAGATGGGGTTTCTGTGTGGATGTCCTTTTTGTTGATGTTGATGCTATTCCTTTCTGTTTATTAGTTTTCCTTCTAACAGTCAGGCCCCTCTGCCCTAGGTCTGCTGGAGTTTGCTGGATGTCCACTCCAGACCCTGTTTGCCTGGGTATCACCAGCGGAGGCTGCAGAACAGCAAGGATTGCTGCCTGTTGCTTCATCTGGAAGCTTCATCCCAGAGGGGCACTTGCCAGATGCCAACCGGAACTCTCCTAAATGAGGTGTCTGCCGAACCCTGCTGGGAGGTGTCTCCCAGTCAGGAGGCACAGGGGTCAGGGACCCACTTGAGGAGGCAGTCTGTCCCTTAGCAGAGCTCGAGCACTGTGCTGGGAGATTCATTGCTCTCTTCAGAGCCGGCAGGCGGGAAGGTTTAAGTCAGCTGAAGCTGCGCCCATTACCTCCCCTTTCCCCAGGTGCTTTGTCCCAGGGAGTGGGGAGTTGTATCTATAAGCCCCTGACTGGGGCTGCTTGCCTTTCTTTCAGAGATGCCGTGCCTAGAGAGGAGGAATCTAGACAGGCAATCTGGCTACAGTGGCTTTGCTGAGCTTTGGTGTGCTCCATGCAGTTCAAACTCTTGGTGGCTTTTTTTACACTGTGAGGGGAAAACCACCTACTCAAGCCTCAGTAATGGCAGATTCCCCTCCCCCGACCACGCTTGAGATTCCCAGATTGACTTCAGACTGTTGTGCTCGCAGCGAGAATTTCAAGCCATTGTATCTTAGCTTGCTGGGCTCTGTAGGGGTGGGAACCACTGAGCTCGACCACTTGGTTCCTTGACTTTAGCCTTCTTTTCAGGGGAGTGAATGATTCTGTCTCACTGGTGTTCCAGGTGCCACTGGGGTATGAAAAAAACTTCTGCAGCTAGCTTGGTGTCTGCCCAAATGACCACCCAATTTTGCGCTTGAAACCCTGGGCCCTGGTGGTATAGGCATCTGAGGGAATCTTCTTGTCTGCTGGTTGTGAAGATGGTGGGAAAAGAATAGTATCTGGGCCAGAATGCGCCATTCCTCATGGCACAGTCCCTCATGGCTTCCCTTGGCTAGGGGAGGGAGTTTCCAATCCCTTGCACTTCCCAGCAAGGTGACGCCCCACCCTGCTTTGGCTCACCCACTGTGGGCTGCACCCACTATCTAACCAGTCCCAATGAGATGAGCCAGGTATCTCAGTTGGAAATGCAGAAATCACCCACCTTCCGTGTTGATCTCACTGGGAGCTGCAGACTGGAGCTGTTCCTATTTGGCTATTTTCGGATGACTATCTCATTCCATTATTTTTAACTTTACGAATGTAAAATGCTGCCATTACTTGCATAGAACAGTCATCTCAGTTATGGAGTTTGAGAAGTCCAAGATCAAGATCTGGCCGACTTGGTGTTTGGCGAGGACACAGTCTAATTCATAGAATGGTACCTTCTTGTTGTGTCCTTGCATAGCGGGAGGGCTATTTTAATGTTCTTACGGTGTTAAAGCCACTTGGGGTTTTAGAAACTGATGATGGTATACGCCAATTACACAAAAATTTAAAATTAACATGTTGAAATGACTGACATGTGGACTACAAATCACCATTATGACATATTTTAAATTAGCACTGAATGTTGTGATATGGGATACAGCATCATAAACTCATAGTGTACTGTCAACTGAGTTCTGCTCTTCTGGAGCTGAAAAGCTACAGCTGTTTTTCTGTTCCTCACTATACTTTCACTTCTACACCAAAATGCATTATAGTTGCAAAAAAAGTGAAAAAATAATAGAAACTTCTCATTTGCTATAGCCACAACTAGAGCATGGTTAATCGATTGAAAAGTAGATTTAAAAAGAATTCATGGTAAAGGCTTTTGCCTAACTGCTTTTTATGTTGACCCCCAGCCCCAATGGATTTTCCAGATTGTCTTATGCTAATTTCTCTGTAAGACATAATTTGAATATGGAAAACATCAGTTATTTTAACCAGTTAATCAAGATAGCTTCTGTTGTGTCAATATTATTTTAGGATTTTTTTTTGTGGTTTGAAGTGTATCTTCTGGTATTACTAAAGTTGTGAGTTGGCTTTCATTAGAGTTTTGAGAAGATCTTTGCAGAGAGAGGGTCTATGGAATCTACTTCCTAATCTGGAGTTAAGAGTAGAAGAATTTGACCATAGGACCAACAGAAGATTGACCTGCAAAAGTGATAGAGAGTAGTGCTTCAGTTTTATTTACTTATTCATTCATTCATTCATTCATTCATTCATTTTTAGAGACAAAGTGTTGCTCTGTTGCCCGGGCTGGAGTGCAGTGGTGTGATCTTAGCTCAGTGCAGTCTCAAACTCTTGGTCTGAAGCCATCCTCCTGCTGCAGTTCCTGCTGGGACTACAGGCATGTATCACCATGCCAAGCTAATTTATTTTTTTTTTTAGAGATAGGGTCTTGCTATGTTACCCAGGCTGGTCTTGAACTACTAGCCTCAAGCAATTCTCTTGCCTCAGCCTCCCAAGTATCTGGGATTACAGGCATGAGCCATTGCACCAGGCAGAGTGCTTCAGCTTTAACTAGTCTTGGCAGGGACTATATAATCTAATTTATGTCTATATATGCAAAAAAGATAATTATATGCATCTTCTTTCCTTCTTTATTTGCTACTATGAACTGTTTTATCTGCATGATCAGTTCTAATATCTTAAATGTATCTAAGTCCTTTTCCTTTTTAAAGTACTTTCATATACTTCATAATTATAAATGATCTGGAACAATTACTAGAAGAAAATATAGTGATTTGTCAATTTGTGGGAGCACTCATTTTGTTTAACATAACAGAATCATTGAACTATAATGGATAAGGTGACATTGAAATTTTCTTAATAACGCTTTTAAAAAGTATGTTAATTAGAGGAAATTAGATAAACAGTTTGTGCTTTCCAGTAAAATAATTCATTTTTTATTTTTGATTTTTGCTACTTAAGTTAGCTTGTTAATCTTTCTCTCTCTCTCTCTCTCTCTCTTTCTTTTTTTTTAAGACAGGATTTTAGTGTGTCATCCAGACTGGAGTGAACTGGCACAATTATGGCTCACTGCAGTCTTGACCTTTGGGCTCAAGTGATCCTCCCGCCTCAGCTTCCTGAGTAGCTGGGACTACAGGTGTCTGCCACCTGAGTGGCTACTTTTTAAAAATTTGTTGTAGAGACGGGGTCCCCTTATGTTGCCCAGGCTGGTGTTGAGCTCCTGGGCCCAAGTGATCTTCCTGCCTTGGCGTCTCAAAGTGCTGGTGTTACTGGCATGGGCCACTATGGTCGGCCCAGCTTGTCAACCTTTCTTTTTCATGCCTATTTCTTTTGTATTAGCTGTGTCCCTCTTGTTTTGGTTTACTAAAGCTGGCTCTTTTTAGCTTGGAAATTTTTTCTTTCTCCTTTTTTTTTTTGATTTTAAGATTTCACCTTTATTATATCCTTTTGGCTTGTGTTTAGCAAAACCTAATCTAATCTACAAATCTTAAAAGGTAAGCGGAGAGCTCTGTGTCTTTCCCTTGAGTAAGGCTCTTCCTCATTGAGAGAAGTGATAATTATTTTTGTAATTGCCATGTCTGCCTCTGAAGTTTTAGGTCTACTTTAAAGATAGCATTTTGTATTGGAATAGGAGACAAAGACACAGAATAAGAAGGCATTAGACTTAAAGGGCAGGGAAAGAAATATGCTCTACAAGAGATAGAAGGATCAGTGGATACTCATAGCAAGAATAGGGAGGCAGAGTATACCCAAAAGATATTATTCCTTAATTCTACTGGAAAATCAGTAAAACACACAGGTTTTTCTAATAATGAGTCCATGATATCATCTGCATATAGAAAGTGTGGCCTTTGTCATCAAAGAGCTCAGTCCCGTCTTCACTGGGACCATGAGTTATTTGTCTAGGATAAACTGGTGAATTAAATTTGATTGTGATCTGACGCAGGTTCAAGATGGCTTGCTAGAGACACTGGACATTTGCATTCCCCAGAAAGAACCAAAATTACCAACAGATTATCACACCTCAAATAGAACATCTAGGAGAGGCCACTACAGTCCAACAGAGAAGGCATGAGTAACATGTAAGGTGCAGACGGAGAAAGAAGCTAGTGGCCAGCTTGGCCAAGATAAGCTCGGAGCCCCAAGGGGTTCAGTATTGAGAGCAAAGGGTAAGTTAGAGACCTTCAGTGGTCCACATCCTCACTGCACGGAAACAATCTGACTATGGGAGAGATCCTCTACCCACATGATCCCTGAAACTAGCATACGCAGTGATCTGGAGACTCCATGAGGGCATTGCACCAGATAGGGAACTTGCACTGAGTCCCTCACACCCTTAACACCTATGTGGCTGCAGTAGGGTGCCGTTGTGAGAGAACACAATCACAGGACTACATCCTTCCCTGGGAACCACAGCCCCCATATGACAACATCCCAGAAACCTCCACTGACATCCCCCAGTGTCCACCCTGAGGGCCATAGCAGCACAGTGCTGGCTGGACCAAAAGGCACTGCAGGGTCCTCAGTACTCTATCCTACCGGGAGTACTACTCCCTGGAAGCAAGATGGCACAGCACATCAAAAAGATGGCCCCCAGGACAAAGGAAACCAAAGTGTGTGCTTTTCAGAGCCTGAAAACACCCTTTCTGGGGCTGTAAGAAGTGACCCCACCGGTAAAAGTGGCACAAACTGCACTTGGGCTTACAAGTGGAGAGTGAGATTCCATCCCCCACTCCATCTCAAAAAAAAAAAAGAATTTTTCATAACTTTCATGTATATTATTCACCTCACTCCTGAGGCCCCATCACCTTTCTTTTTGCTCTTGCTTCTCACTTAATATTTGGCTACTTATCTATCAAAACAAGGCTTCTCAAATTCTATTAGTTTATGGAACCATCCTTGATGATATTACCAGCATTGTGGATTTTTCTCTTTCACCATTCTGAGCTTTGATAATTGATTGGTACCTCACAATTTAATCTTCTATCCTACTTTGTTATGTATCTGTCTTCCCCTTCTCTTTTCCTTTTTTTTCCCTTACATCTAGCCGTCTATAGTGTAATCTAAGTGTTGTAATATTGTCTTCTAAAGCAGCGAAGGATCTAGTGTGATATTTTCTTTTCTATTTTCGTGACAGAGACATAGTTACCAAAAATGGGCCCATAACTTTAATTTAGGAAGTCTTTGTATTCTCTAGTCTATAAACTTTGGTGTCATGCTTATGGAAACTTGTTAGTTTATAATACAGATTTGTCTTGTTTTAATAATGTTGACATTTATTAATCTAAGATTATTAGTCAATTAGCTAAAATGCAAATAAAGAAAATAAAAGTCCTTCTATCTAATTGCTTGTTACAGGAAGTGGTAAATTCTTTTATGTCAGGGTAACTGTGGGGCATTCATCTTTGATAACATCCAGGCTCCCTGGAGATTAGAGATGAACAAAGATGAAATTTTTGTATTCATTATACCTGTTACTATGTACATTGTAAAAAGGCTAAACAAACAATTCCTACTTTGTGGTAAATGTCTCATTTGGGGTTTTCAGTCTTTCCAATTGGTTCTGTTTCTGTTATACTGTCTGTATATAAAGCTTCCATACATATTTGTAAAAAATGTGAATTTTTATTTTATTTCATTATTATTATACTTTAAGTTTTAGGGTACATGTGCCCAATGTGCAGGTTAGTTACATATGTATACATGTGCCATGCTGGTGTGCTGCACCCATTAACTAGTCATTTAGCATTAGGTATATCTCCTAATGCTATCCCTCCTCGCTCCCCCAACCCCACAACAGTCCCCAGAGTGTGATGTTCCCCTTCCTGTGTCCATGTGTTCTCATTGTTCAATTCCCACCTATGAGTGAGAACATGCGGTGTTTGGTTTTTTGTCCTTGTGATAGTTTACTGAGAATGATGTTTTCCAATTTCATCCATGTCCCTACAAAGGACATGAACTCATCATTTTTTACGGCTGCATGGTATTCCATGGTGTATATGTGCCACATTTTCTTAATCCAGTCAATTATTTTTGTTTGAGGTAACTATTAGTATTAAATGTAAATATAATGCTACCCAGATTCTCTGTATCCTTATTTTTTGTCATCTGATTTGCTGAGAAAATGCATGTTAAATTTTCTCACCTGGATTTGGAATTATCAATTTCTTCTTGTATTTATAATACTGCTTTATATTTCAAGGTTTATAAAGTTAAGTACATATAGTTTTATGACTTTTATATTGTCTAGATAGACTATAACTTTTATCAGTCGAACATTTCCCTGCTTATTCTATTAAATATTTTCCCGTTGAATTCTGTTCTTTAATATCATCACACTACTTTTCTTTATGTGATATTTTTCTGAACAATTTTTCTTTTTTTCTGTTAATAACTTTGTCTGTTTTTCTTATAATCATGTTTCTAGCAAATAGCATGCAGTTGTATTTTTAAAATAATCTGAGAATTTTTGTTTGAAAATATGGAATACAATCTATTTGCATTTTCTGTTTACTGTTATGTTCCAATTTATTTTCTTTAACTTGTTTTACATTTTGTTTTCCAAGCTGTTTTGTTTCTCTTTTTTTCTCATTATCTTAGTTTAGGATGCTTACATTTTTTGTTACTTTTTTTCCTTGTGGGCTTGGAAATTTTATAACTTATTGGTATTATTTTGTTATGAGTAGAAATTATCATTGCCATTAATTCTAATGTTAGAGATCAGAAATTATACAATGCACATGTAACTAAAATTATGTAACTTTGATACATACAAAAGTATATACAAAGCATAATAAGTGAACACCCATGAACTTATCACACAATTTAAGAACTACTAGAACATTACCAATATCCTTGTATCACCTGTGCACTATTCCTAGTTCATCATTTATCAGGCTAATGAAGTCTCCTGTTCCTAGTTGCTAAGAGGGTTTCTTTTTTTAAATTATGAATAAGTAGAGATTTTATCAATCTTTTTTTTTTAGATCAATCAAGATGATCATGTGTATTTTTTTCCAATCAGTGTGGACATGCATTTAAGGTTTTCTAATGTAAAACCATCTTTGCATTCCCAGAATAAGCTTAATTTAGTATGTGAATTTTAATATATTGTTGGATTTGTTTTATAAATATTTAGCTTAGAATTGTTTCATCTATATTCATCGGAGAGATTAATCGCTACTTTTTTTTCCCTCATGCTAACTTCGCTTTTAATATCAAAGAATAACAGCATTATAGATTGAATTGGAGACTATTTCATGAAAATTTTAATTTTTGAAAGAGTTTTCAGAATATTAAAATGCTTTAACTTGGAAAAGTTGATAAAATTTTCATATAAACCATGCAGGGAAGATTTTTCCTTTGTGAGAGGATTTTAATGATTCATTTAATAGTCACCATTTTTAATGGTTATAGAGTTATTAAAGCCTTCTATTTTTTTGAGTCAGACTTGGTATCTCTCTCTCACACACACATTTTCCTTCTTTCTATTTAAATTTGTCTATTTCATTTGTCTTAAAAACTATTTTCAGAAACATATTCATTACATTCTTTTATTTTTACCTTCTGCTATATATAATTATGTAACAGTTTTTATTGCTAAATTTTTTATTTGGGTTCCTCTTCTCTTTTCACAGGTTTGCAAGGAAACAATTTTTGAGTTCTTTGTTTTCTCTATTTTATTTTGGTTTATATTTTATTAATTTTCTACTTTTGGCTCCTCTCTCTCTTTTCTTAGTTTTAATTTTTGTCATAATCATAAGTGTACATGATTGATTGATTGAGACAAGGTCTTGCTCTGTCACCCAGGCTAGAGTGCTGTGGCATAATCAGCTTACTGCAACCTTAACCTCCTGGCCTCAAGCGATTCTCCCACCTGTCTTTTGAGTAGCTGGAACTACAGTCATGCACCATCACACCTGGCTAATTTAAAAAAATTGTATGTAGCGATGGGTGTCTCACTATGTTGTACAGGCTTGTCTCAAACTTCTTGCCTCAAGCAGTCCTCCCCCCTTGGCTTCCCAAAGCATTGGGATGACAGGTATGAGCCACCACACCTGGCCAAGTGTCGGTAATTTAAAGTCAAATGGCTACATTGTTCTGTTATGAAGAACATTAATCCCCTGCCCCATCCCCATTCCCTTAATTACCACTTCCCAGGGCAACCATGTTTGCAGTCCCCTGTCTTCCATCTTATTATTTGGTGTTTACATTTATTTCTCCAAATAGCATGATTGTGTATTATTTCTTGATTCTTTTTCAATTTTGGGCATGGTCTATTGATTTTTCAATATAGAGGAGAAGGCTTTGAAGATCTTTTTCTCCTTCATCTTCCATTGTTCACTTTTAACTTTTGTAACCCCAACTGCATAATATAATAAAATTAAAGTGTTAGTTAATGCCAATAATCAATTCATATTTACACTACTTTGAATGTGCAAACATTATTGACATATTTCACAACTTTTTGTTTTCCCTTGCTATGGTTTGGCTCTGTGTCCCCACCCAAATCTCATCTTGAACTGTAATCCCCATGTGTCAAAGGAGGTAGCTTGTGGAAGGTGTTTGGATCATGGGAGTGGTTTCTTCCATGCTGTTCTCATGACAGTGAGTGAGTTCTCACAAGATCTGATGGTTTAAAAGTGTGTGGCAGTCCCCCCTTTGTTCTCTCTCTCTCTTCTGCCATCATATAAGATGTGCCTTGCTTCCCCTTTGCCTTCAGCCATGATTGTAAATTTCCTGAGTCCTGCTCCCAGTCATGCAGAACCATGAGTCAATTAAGTCTATTTATAAATTACCCAGTCTCAGGTAGTTCTTCATAGCAGTGTGAAAATGGACTAATAAATCCCTGGAATTAATACTTGTGTCCTTTTTCCATTTCCTTCATTTTTGACATGCTTATTATCAGTTCAATTCCTCATTGGCTATTTAAATATCTGAAGACATTTAGGTATTACATTAAATTAATCTTTTTGAGTAAATGTTTTCAGAGTCTTCTGAATGCCTCCAGAAAATTGATACCAAGGAGCGGGGCATTGCTATAAAGATATTTGAAAATATGGAAGTGACTTCGGAACTGGGTGACAGGCAGCGATTGGAAGAGTCTGGAGGGCTGAGAAAAAGACAGGAAGATGAGGAAAATTTTGGAACCTCCTAGAGACTTGTTAGAATAGTTGTGACCAAAATGTTGATAGTGATATGGATTGCAAAGTCCAGCCTGAAGAGGTCTCACATGGAAATTAGGAACTTCTTGAGAACTCTGCCTCCTTGAATACTGAATCATAAATTACATGGGGTAAGAGTACTATAGGGAGGCACAAGAAGAGGGTGGTGAAGGGTGACCAGGGGACTTCAGATTTCCCATGGGTATGTAAGAAAACATGGGCTTAGACTGGAAATATAAGGCACTGCTCCTTTGTTGTTAAAAGTATACGGAGTTGGGAGGGGCGTGGCGTGTGACATCTTTTCGTAAAGCTCGAGTTCCACATACACCTTTTGATTCCATATTCAAGATATTCATCCTGATTTTTCTCAGCAATATTTCAGAGAGTCTGTGAGAATAAATAGTAGATAAAAATTTTATTATAAATACTATCTTTCTCCCAATTTAATCTTGTTACACGTTTTGATACCAGGCTCTGTAAAATGATGAGATTAATGTCCATAAGGCACTCAACAGCTCACACTGAAATGCATATAAACTCACAAACCAGAAAGAATTGCAAACAGGGTGATAATATTGAAACATTTAAAGGATAGAGTGATTAGGAAATTAAACATAAATATTAAGTCAAAGAAATGGAGTACTGAATTTGAATACATTCTAGCTTGATATATGGCATATAAGAACAGTTTTATATGAGATCAGAAACAATGTATGACTTAAAATATGATAAAACTCATAGAAAGATTGAGCCTAATGAAGCTTTTTAAGAAGTGGGTCACCAGCTCTGACAGACCCAGGGGCCGGTGTAATACCTTTGTACTTTTTGCTGTTCTTTGAAAGCAGACACAGAGGGGGCTCACTCTTAATTGTTGTGGAAGACAATATATGCTTCACCAAGAATTAGTGTTTTCATAGAATAAATAATTTAGAAAAAAATTAGCATAAATCATGATCACTGGAATTCTGGCAGAAAAAAAAATATCTCCAAAGGCATAAAAAGCCTTGGAATGCTAAAAAAATATAAAATATAAATGGAAATAAATATCACTGAAATTATCTGTCTCATTTGCCTTATCTATAAAAGGGTTTAATATTAGTACATAACTGAGAATGGACTTAGTTTTGTGGCTAAACGTTATACAATTTAGGGGCCTCATAAGAAAAGA
Organism: Homo sapiens; assembly: GCF_000001405.40. Lineage (NCBI taxonomy): Eukaryota > Metazoa > Chordata > Mammalia > Primates > Hominidae > Homo > Homo sapiens. The sequence continues at coordinate 70,454,891 of NC_000004.12, read as the reverse complement.
ATATAAAATTATTTTTGCAAAATTTCAAATATATACAACCACATGAATGCATTGTTAGAGTCTCTAATGAAATGCCATTAGTTGTCTTGAAACCCGCTTCTGCATTCACCCCGTTGGGTTTCTGGGAAGAATAAACCAGAAATGGAGGGGTGGACCAAGATGGCCTAATGAAAGCCTCCACTGATAGTCCCCCACAACAGGAACACCAAATTCGACCACTATCTACACAGAAAAGGACCTTCCAAAGAACCAAAAATTAGGTAAGCAATCACAGTACCTGGTTTTAACTTCATATCACTGAAAGAGGCACTGAAGAGGGTAGGAAAGACAGTCTTGAATCTCTGACACAACCCTTCCCTCATCTGTTGCAGTGGTCATATGGCAGGAAGAGAGTCTCAGTCCTTGCAGGAGGGAGGAGGGAGCATGCAGTGCCTGTGGGACTGTTCATTGGACTCAGTGCTTCCCTGGGTCACAGCACAAAACAAAACCGGGCTTAAGTCAGCTGATACTTGCCCACAGAAGGAAAATGAGACCAGCTCTAGTTAGAAGGGAATCACTCATTCCAGCAGTTGAAAATTGAGTTTTGGCAAGCCTTGCCATCGCTGGCTAAAGTACTCTGTGGTTCTAAATAAACTTGAAAGGCAGCCTAGGCCACAGAAGCTGCAATTTCTAGGCAAGTCCTAGTGCTGTGTTGGGCTCAGACCCAGTGGACATGGGAGGCATATGACCTAGGGAGAGACCAGCCAGGGTGGCTAATGGAGAGCCTGTGCCACCCTTCCCCTAGCCACAGGCAGCACAGCTTGAAGCAATGAGAGAGTCCTTTATTCTGCTTGAGAAGAGGAGAGGGGAAGAGTAAAGAGGATTTTGTCTTGTATTTTGAATATAAGCTCAGCCACAGTAGGAAAGGGCATCAGGCAGAATAGTGAGGCCCCCATTCTAGGATCTACCTCCTGGACAACGTTTCTAGACACAACCTGGGTCAGAAAAGAACCTGCTGTCTTGAATGAAAGGAAGAAGTCCTAGCAGGATTCATCACCTGCTAACTAAAGAGCCCTAGGGCCCTGAATAACCAGCAGCAATACCAAGGTAGTATGCCATATTGCTGCTGGTTATTTCTGCTGTGGGTGAGACTCTGAGATGCAGTGGCTTCAGGTGAGACCCAGATCATTCCCAGCTGTGGTGGCTATGGTGAGAGACTCCTTCTACTTGAGAAAAGCAGAGGGAAAAGTAAAGGGAACTTTGTCTTGCACCTTACATACCAGCTTGGTCATAGTGAGATAGAGCACCAAATGGGCTCTTGGGGTCTCCAGTTCCAGGCCTTACATTTTGGACAGTATTTCTAGATATCCCCTGGACCAGAAGGGAGCCCAGTGCCCTGAAGGGTGAGTCCCAGGCCTGGCAGCATTCAGCACAAGCTGACTGAAGAGCCCTTGAGGGAACATCAGCAGTAGTCAGGCAATACTATTCATGAGCCTGTGGTGGCAGTGGCTGTGGGGTAAAACTCCTCCACCTTTGAAAAGAGGAGAAAAGACTGGAAAGGACTGCATTTCGTGGTTTGAGTGTCATCTTAGCTGCACTACACTAGAACAGCAGGTAGACTTCTAAGGATTTTGACTCTAGTCCCTGTTTCCTGGACTACAGCTCTGGACCCACCTGGGGCCTGAGGGAACTGGCTGTCCTGAAAGGAAGAATACAGACCTGGCTGGCTTTGCTACCTGCTGATGTCAGAGCCCCAGGTTCTTGAGCAAACAAACATAGGTGGTAGCAAGGGAGAGGTTAGAGCAGGCCTGGCATGAGATCCAGTGCTGTGCATACAGTGGAGCTCTAATACATATGGCAGAAGAATTTTCAGTGGAAACTTTACAGGCCAGGAGAGAGTGGCATGACATATATAAAGTGCTGAAGGAAAACACTTTTAACCTAGAATAGTATATCTGGTGAAAATATCCTTCAGACATGAAAGAGGAATAGAGACTTTCCCAGACAAACAAAACCTGAGGGATTTCATCAACACCAGACCTGTCTTACAAGAAATGCTAAAGGGAATTCTTTGATCTGAAAGAAAAGGACATTAATGAGGAATAAGAAATCATCTGAGGGCAGAAAACTCACTGATAATAGAAAATACACAGGAGAACATAGAGTATTGTAACACTGTAATTGTGATGTATACACTGCTCATATCTTAAATGGAAAGATGAAAAGATGAACCAATCAAATATAGTAACTACAACAACTTTTTAAGACACAGGAAGTACCATAAGACATTAATAGAGAGACAAAAAGTTAAAAGTGCGAAGACGAAATTAAAGCATAGAGGGCTTTTTTTTTTGTTTTTGTTTTTTGTTCTTTTTTAGTTTTCTTTTTCTTGTTTGTTTATGGAATCAGGGTTAAGTTGTCATCAGTTTAAACTAATGGGTTATATGATATTATTTGTAAGCCTCATGGTAACCTGAAATCTAAAAACATATAATGGATACACAAAAAATAAGGAGCAAGAAATGAAAACATACCACCAGTGAAAATCATCTTCACTAAAAGGAAGACAGGAAGGAAGTAAAGGAAGAAGAGAAAAACACAAAACAACCAGAAAACAACAAAATGGCGGGAGTAAGTCTTTACTTATCAATTATAACATTGAATGTAAATGGACTAAACTCTCCAATCAAAAGACATAGAATTGCTGAGTGGATGAGAAAACATGACCCAGTGATCTGATGCCTACAAGAAACACACTGCATCCATAAATGTGCACATAGACTGAAAACAAAAGAATGAAAATATATATTCTATGCCAATGGAAAGAGCAGGCATAGCAATACTTGTATCAGAAAAAATAGATTTCCAGACAAAAAATTTGAGAAGAGACAAATAAGATCAGTATATAAGGATAAATGTCAATTCAGCAAGAGGATATAGCAATTGTAAATATACATGTACCCAACACTAGAGTGCCCAGATAAATAAAGCAAATATTACTAGAACTGAAGAGAGAGATGGACTCCAATACAATAATAGCTGGAGATTTCGGTACCTCATTTTCAGCATTGGATAGATCTTCCAGATACAAAATCAACAAAGAAACATCAGACATAATCTGCACTATAGAACAAATAGACCTAATACATATTTACAGAATATTTAATTCAGTGGCTGAAGAAAACACATTCTTCTCCTGAGCACATGGATCGTTCTCAAAAATATACCACATGTTAGGTCACAAAACAAGTCTTAAAACATTAAAAAAAATTGAAATAGTATCAAACATCTTCTCTGACCACAATAGAATGAAACTAGAAATCAATAATAAGAGTAATTTTGGAAAGTATACAAACACATGGAAATTAAACAAACCAAGAGGCAGAGCAAGATGGTGGAATAAAAAGCTCCACTGATCATAACCCCCCAACAAGGACACTGAGTTAACAACTATCTACAGAGAAAAAAACACCTTCATAAGAACCGAAAATCAGGCAAGCACTCATAGTACCTTGTTTATCTTTATATCACTAAAAGAGGCATTGAAGAGTTAGAGAAAACAGTAATGAATTGTCTGTGCCACACCTGCCCTAGCCCTGGCAGTCACCATGTGGTGTGGAGAGCATCTCTGGGCACCAACGGAGGGAGAACACAGCAATTGTGAGACATGGAACTCAGTGCTGTCCTGTTAGAGCAGAAAGAAAAACTAGGCCAAACTCAGTTGATGCTTACCCATGAAGGGAGCATTTAAACCAGCCCTAGCCAGAGGAGAATCACCAGTCCTAGTGGTCTGAACTTGAGTTCCTACAGACCTCACCACTGAGGGCTACAGCACTCTGTGTCTCCAAGTAAACTAGAAAGGCAGTCTAGGCCATAAAGGCTGCAACTCTTAGGCAGTCCTAGTGGTGAACCAGCTCAGAGACAGTGGACTGGGGGGGCATGCAACATACTGAAACACCAGCTGGGTCAGCCAAGGAAGTGCTGGCATCACTCCTCCCCATCTCCAGGCTGCATATCTCATGGCTCGAAAAGAGACCCCTTCTTACCATTTAAGGAGAGAAAGGGAAGGGTGGGGAGGACTTTCTCTTGCATCTAGGCACCCAGTTCAGCCACAGCAGGATAGGGCATTGGTCAGAGTCATGAGGCCCTTGTTCCAGGCCCTAGTTCCCAGAAAACCTTTCTTGACACACTCTGGGCCAGAAGGGAACCTGCTGCCTTGAAGGAAAGAACCCAGTCCTGCCAGCATTTATCACCTGCTAACTGAAGAGTCCTTGGGCCCTGAATAACTAGTAGTGATAGCCAAGTACTACATTGAGTACCTTGGGTGAGCCTCTGAGACTTGCTGGCTTCAGGTGATACTCAGCACATTATCTGCTGTGGTGGCTATCAGGCAAAAACTCCTGCTTAAGAAAAGCAGAGGGAAAAGCAAAGGAGACTTCATCTTGCACCTTAGGTACCAGCACAGCCACAAAGCTTGGCTCTAGGCCAAGTGGGCCCTAGGCATCCCCAATTCCAGGACTTGACTCTTGGATGGCATTTCTTCTAGACCTGCCCTGGGACAAAGGGGAGCCCACTGTCCTGAAGGGTGAGTCCCAGGCCAGACAGCATACATGACAAGCTGAAGTAAGAGACCTTGGAAACATTGGTGGTAGTCTGTCAGTACCCCTTGTGCCTGGGGTGGCAGTGGCTATGGGGTGAGGCTCCTCTGCCTTGGGAAAAGGGAGGAAAGAGGTGGAAGGACTGCATCTTGTGGCTTGAGTGCCAGCACTGCTGCAGTACAATAGAACAGTACGTAGACTTATAAGTTTTTCTACTCTAGACCATGACTCCCAAACAGCACTTCTGGACCCATCTGGGGAATGGCGGACCTCACCATCCTGAATGGAAGGACATAGGCCTGGCTGGCTTTGCCACCTGCTGATTATAGAGCCCCAGGGCCTTGAGTGAACAGAGGCAGTAGCCAGGGAGTGGTTAGAGCAGGCCTTGGGCAAGACCCAGAGCTGTGCTTGCTTCAGGTCTGACCCAGCATGGTCATAGTGGTGGTAGCCACAGAGGTGCTTGTGTCACTCCATCCCCAGCTTTAGGTGGCTCAGAACAGAGAGAGAGAGACTCTATGTTTGGGAGAATGTAAGAGAAGAGAACAAGAGTCTCTGCCTGGTAATCCAGAGAATTCTATCAGATCTTGTCCAAGACCATCAAGGCAGTACCTCTATGAGCCCACAGGAACCACAGCATTACTGACTCGCGGTGCCCACTAAAGCATATGCACCTTAGACCACAATACCCAAGTCCTTTCCAATATCTGGAAAGCCTTCCCAAGAAGGACAGGTACAAATAAGCCCAGACAGTGAAGATGATATGGTTTGGCTGTGTCCTTGCCCAAATATTGTCTTGAATTGGAGCTCCCATAATTCCCATATATTGTGGGAGGGACTCAGTGGGAGATAACTGAATCATGGGGGTGGTTTTCCCCATACTGTTCTCATGATAGTGAATAAGTCTCATGAGATCTAGTGGTTTTTTAAGGGGAAACCCCTTTCGGTTGGTTCTCATTCTCCCTAGTCTGCTGCCATGTAAGACATGCCTTTTGCTTTCCGTCACAATTGTGAGGCCTCCCGAGCCACATTGAACCATGAGTCCATCAAACCTCTTCTGTATAAATTACCCAGTCTCAAGTATGTCTTTATCAGTAACGTGAAAACAGACTAATACAGAAGACCACAATAAATACCCAACTCCTACTCAAACTATTCTAAAAAGTAGAGGAGAAGAGAACACTTCTAAACTCATTTTATGAGGTCAGTATTACCCTGATACCAAAACCAGACAAAGACTCACAAGAAAATAAAACTACAGGCCAAGAACATCCATTGAGGAAAGAACAGTCTCTTCAATAAATAGTGCTGGGAAAACCGTATATCCATATGCAGAAGAATGAAATTAGACCCCTATTCCTGGACATATACAAAAATCAAATCAAAATGGATTAAAGACTTAAATCTAAGACCTCAAACTATGAAACTACTAAAAGAAAACATTGGGGAAACTCTCCAGGACACTGGAGTGGGCAAAGATTTCTTGAGTAATACCTCACAAGCACAGGAAACCAAAGCAAAAATGAACAAATGGGATCACATAAAATTAAAAAGCTTCTGCACAGCAAAGAAAACAATCAACAAAGTGATGAGACAACCCACAGAATGGGAGAAAATATTTGCAAGCTACCCATCTGACAAGGCATTAATAACCTGAATATATAATGTGTTCAAACAACTCTGTAGGAAAAAATCTAATAATTTGATTAAGAAATGGGCCAAAAATTTGAATACATATTTCTTCAAAGAAGACATACAAATGGCAGACAGGTATATAAAAAGGTGCTCAACATCACTGATCTTCAGAGAAATGCAAATCAAAACTGCAATGAGATATTACCTTACTCTATTTAAAATGGCTTTTATCCAAAAGCTAGGCAATAACAAATGATGGCAAGGACACTTGAACACTGTTGGTGGGAATGTAAATTAGTACAAACACTGTGGAGAACAGTTTGGAGGTCCCTCAAATGACTGAAAATTGAGCTAGCATACGATCTAGCAATTCCACTGCTAGGTGTATACCCAAAAGAAAGGTAATTAATATATCAAAGAGATATCTGCACTCCCATATATATTGCAGCACTATTCACAATAGCCAAAATTTGGAATCAACCTAAATGTCTACCAACAGATGAATGGATAAACAAATTGTACATACACAGAATGGAGTACTACTCAGCTATAAAAAGAATGAGAACCTGTCATTTGTAACAATATGGGTGGAACTGGAGATCATGATGTTAAGTGAAATAAGCCAGTTACAGAAAGAAAAAAGTTGGCAAGTTCCCACCTATTTGTGGGAGCTAAAAATGAAAACCATTGAACTCATGGACATAGAGAGTAGAAGCATTGTTATTAGAGGCTGGGAAGGTAATGGGGAGTTGGGGGCACGTGTGGATGGTTAGTGGGTATAAAACAAATGGAAAGAATGAATAAGAACTACTGTGTGCTAGTGCTACAGGGGGACTACAGTGAAAAATAATTTAATTGTACATTTAAAAATAACTGAAAGAGTATAGTTGGATTGTTTGAAACACAAAGGGATAAATGCTTGAGGGGATGGATACCCCATTCTCCATGATGTGATTATTATACACTGCATGCCTGTATCAAAGTATCTGATGCAACCCACAAATATATACACCTTATGTATTCACAAAAATTAAAACTAAACAATTAAAAAAAGAACAAATCAGTTAATGTAAAGAATTTTAAAATAGTGTCTGACATGTCTATGGTATATAAATGTGTGCTTCTCTATTACTATGATGTATTATCAAGAGATAGTGTAATTAAAAGATTTTCCTCTGAATTAAGAATACTTGATTGTATATAATCATAACTTATTTGGATTGGAAGGAATAAAACCATTGTGACTTTTTTTTTCTGAGTATGTAATATGATATAAAGCTACCTCCTTCCTCAAAATAATAGTTCTAAACACGTTGTAAAGAGGAGCCAACATTTAATGAGCTCTCATCATAGGTCAAGTGTTGGGCCAGGCGCTTCTCAAAATATCTCACAGTCTTCTCCATAGTCCTTTAAGACATCATTGTTATCCCCATTTTATGTATGAAAAAGCTGAGATGGAGAGTTTAAGTAACTTTTTGAAAGTAATAAAGGTTGTTAATAGCACAATCAGGATATGAACTCAGGACATCAAGGCCCTGCTTTCTGTACATCCTCTCAAATGGTTTGTTTGGACTTGGTGATACTTTTGGAAAGGTTGCCCCTCTTCCCTGCCCACCCACCCAATTCCTTCCATAATATCATAAAGAAAATCTCATGTTGGGATGTCTTTCTCATTTGCACTTGTCTGCATTTCTTGTAAAATGTTATTTTTGGCAAAATATTTGCCTGCAGATGAAGATCTATGCAATAATATTAATATAAGAGATAATCAGTTCTTTTTTTCTCATTTGACTTACTCTTAATTATAATAAAGAAAAACTTGACACAATAGTTTTGATTTCTGAAAGAACCATTATCTAAACCAACATTCTGTTCTACCTGTACATTAGTGAGGTAGTCAGTACATGTGATCAGCAGTAACTGTTATTTGGCATTAGAAGTTTAGGAAGGGATAAGAAGAGAAGCATGGTAAATGGTGTTATAGATTGAATTGTGTCCACCAAAAGATGTGTTGAAATCTTAACCTCCAGGACCTCAGAATGTGGCCTTATTTGGAAATAGTCATTGCAGATGTAATCAAGTTAAGATGAGGTCATATTTGAGTAGGATGGGCTCCTAATCCAATATAACTACTGTCCTTATAAGAAGATGGTCACATGAAGGAAGATACAGGAAAATGTCATTTGAAGACAGAGGCAGAGATTGGAAGTATACTGCCACAAGCCAAGAATGTCTGGGGCTACCAGAAACTGGAAAAAGCAAGGAAGGAACATTCCTCTACAGGTTTCACAGGCAAGATGGCCCTGTAGACACCTTGATTTCAGACCCCTAGCCTATAAAACTGTGAGAGAAATTTTTCTTGTTTTAAGCCACCCAGAATGTGCATGCATTATTACAAATGAAGACAAGGGTTTCTTAGTAAGTAATATCCCCTTGAGGTCTTGAATGCTTTTCTGCTTCATATTCATATGTATCTATAATATTTTTAAAAGGCCCATGGCATTGCAGGCATAGTAACCCATGCACATAATATATTTAAGGATTTGAGAGCCTGGATCTGTATTCAAAAGCTTCTGTATGTGGATCCTAAGGACCTACCTGAGTGGGACCTTCCTCCCAGATCTCTTAGAGTCCCATCAGCCCCTGTGCTTGGGCATCTTCCAGCCCAGGAGAAACAGAAAAACAAATGAGTGAGTGGCCATGAGATGATGCCTGTCTAATTGATTCATTTGAACATACAGAGAGAAGGTCATGTCTGGGGTGAAGCATTTTCCTCAAAGAAAAGATAGCTGCTCCTGATGAAACTTGGCAGTTGTTCCGTTGTACATTCATTCTCCTTGAAAAACTGTGTTGTGACTCAGTGAGTCAGATTGCTGGAATATGCAAGTTAGGTTTGCATCCAGCTTTCATTCCCTCAACTAATACCTTTCAGCAATTGGTGGTGTCTATTATACGAACCTCTTTTTTTGTTTCCATGGAAGCATTGTTGTCTTACTTAGACAAAGCTCAGACTGGGTTGGGATTTATGTGGATGGGTTTCTCAGAATGACCCTATCTCCAAGTGTTTTCCAGTTAGAGGTGGTTTTGGCCTAGTCTGGAGGACTAGGTGCTGTGCTGAGCACCTAGAGTGGTGCTGGAGAGAAGACATTATTAAATAGGGGAGAGATTTTGAAACATGATTTCTATTGAATAAGTGGTGGATAAAATAGTATCAAAGGAATTTATATGAATTATTTGTGCTGCTTACATAATCTTCTATGGCAGACTCATAATCTTCTATGGCAGACTCATAATCAAATGTAGTGTCATAAAATGTGCTGGGGCAATTGTTATAGCATCATTAGTTTTGTTTAATATACCAGCTGGAGCAACAGTTAGTGGAGTTGTGGTTTCAAGGAAGGTAATATGAAGTACGGAGGAGGCAGATGTGGCTGAGGGCAATAGATGAAGTTGTGCCAGACACAGTTGTGATCATTGATACAATGGTAGCTGGTGTCATGGGAGGAGTATGGTGGAGGCTGCAGGTGTGGTATTGATGGCAGCAGGTATGGTAAACAGAGCAGTTGAGGGAATGAAAGTTCGTTTGGTTTCAAGGGGAACAAAAGTGTTTTGTTTTTGTTTGTTTTTGTTTTGTTTTGTTTGTTTGTTTTTTAGACAGAGTCTCTGTCACCCAGGCTGGAGTAGAGTGGTGCAACCTCCTCCTCCCAGGTTCAAGCGATTCTCTTGCCTCAGCCTCCCAAGTAGCTGGAACTACAGGCGCATGCCCCCACACCTGGATAGTTTTTGTATTTTTAGTACAAATTGGGTTTCACCATGTTGGCCAGGCTGGTCTCGAACTCCTGACCTCAGGTGATCTGCCCACCTTGGCCTCCCAAAGTGCTGGGATTACAGGTGTGAGCCACCGCACCTGGCCCAAAAGTGTTCTTGATAGCATTTTTGATACTGATAGTAGTAGAATAAGTACCAGTATATGATATGGTATTGACAGCTGATGTAACTGCAACAGGGATTATATAGAGACAGTAGAAATAGATGTTGAAAATATGGTTGTTTTAGGTTCAAGATAATCAGTGGCTATAAAAAAAGATGCATCATCAATTGCAGTGGTGTCAGAAGCGACCATTTCAGTATTAGATGGGGAGGTTGAGTCAAATCGGGTGGCTGCAAGTGCAGTGGTGGTAGTGGCAGATAGAGCTGAAGTAGAGGACTGGGTAGTAGGGGAAGGTGTTGTGATAGTTGTAAGGAGTAGGCTAGTGTTGGTCACTCTCAATGTGGTAGAAGCTGAAGTAGTGACTTGTGTTGTCTTGACAGCAGCAGTGACCACGGGTGTTGTGGCCTTTTCCACAGATTTGGTTCCTAAGGAAGAGGGGATGGGGATGGATATAGAAGCAAAATACCCAGTGGAAGCAGGTGTGGAAGCTGATGGGTTTAAAGCATCAAATGTCATATTTCCAGGTGTTTTATTGGAGGCCACCGTGGTGTCAAGAGGTGAGCTGACAGGAATCTCATCTGTGGAAGGAACATCAGATAAGGTAGCTATAGCCTCAGATATGGACTTTGTGGAAGATTTAGCATTGCAAATGTCACAATATTTGTGGAAGTGGTTGTAGTCGATCTTGTAGCAGTGGTTTAAGGCTTGTGGATGGGAAATTTGGTGATAAATGAGGGTCAGTTTGGCTGCTGTGAAACTGGAAGATGTTGATGTCCAGTGGATTTGGGCTTACAAGAAAGAACTGGATTATGTCGTGGAAAGTGAGTTTTGTTTTTCTTAAATGGATTTAAATGAGGTTTGTATGAGCCAGCTTTCTGTGGAAAAGCTTTTGGTTTATCAGGATTCCTGTGTGAAAGACAGTTTAGGTGTGATTTTGGTTTGCCAAGTTTTTTTTTGGACCAGTCTCTGCTTCTGATATTGTTGTTTTGTGTGCTAATTATTTTCATCTATAAGTTTTTGCTTGAGTTTTTGAGTGGGTAGGTTGTTTTATTTTAGTCATTTTTGTACCACATCTTCTTGGTTAGTTTGCTGTGGAAGACAGATTTTTGTTTGTCTTGATCTTTTTCCCGGATTTGCACTAATATTAAGTTTTAACCGCACAAAGTGTGGTTTTGACTTGCTTCGAAGCTGACCATTTTGTTTGCCAGTCGAAAATGAAACAGGTTTAGGTTGATATGGGTTTTGTTGCTTGTTGGTACTGGATTGAGATTTAGATTTCCTTGGTAGTATTCTAACAGCTTTGTGTGGATAATATTTGATAGTGTGAGATCTTTTGTTAGGGGGTTGAGTTACTGTGATTTGGTTGTTGGTGGCCACTTTGTTGTGTTGGAGATTTTAGCGCAGGATTTGATTGGCTGTTTTTTTTTTAAGGTAAATTCTTTTTGTGTTAGGTTGTTCTTTTACATATTTATTTCCCTGTTGCCTAGATCTTTTTGTCTGAGATCTTGATTTTTTTTTTTGGCCAAATTAATGAGTTTGGCTTAATTTTGATTTGAGAATTTCTTCAATTAATGGAAAGAGATTTGAATTGATCTAATTTAGGGTGAATATAAACATCTGGGTGTTTTAGATTTTTTGGTGAACTTCAGTGAAGATTTTCCTGGGTGAGGTTTAGCAGATCTGGAACTTGTTTTAAGAAGTAAGTTCACATGAGTTTGGGGATGAAAGAAGACTTCCTTGTTGGACAGGGAAAATTTGACTAGGATTCATCTCGGATCTCCTGGAAGCAATAGAATTTAAATGACTTTGAGAGACCATGGATCTTTTGACTAGATGGATTTGATTGAAGTCTAATGTGACCAGTTTTAACTGAAGAAGGTACTTGCTGATGTGAAGCTGGTCCTTGAGAAGAAAGATTTTGTAATAGTCTAGTTTTTGGCTTATTTCTCTTGTGTCCCACTTGACTGCAAAAAGAAAAATGAAAACATTAAGCACATATAAGATGGCAAGAACTGCCTTCAAGCCCAGGCAAAAGGGATCCCTCATCTGGGTCTTGAAGTTTAGAGATCCTTATTTTGGCCCTCATGTGGCCATAGAGGGCAAGAGGAGTAATCACCAGGAGATTTTCTTTCTCTATCCCTGAGTTCACTTCCAGAAAGTGCAAAAGCCTCTTCCTTGGGTTCATCCTACAAATGGTGACCATGCTGCTACTGTGCATATGTACCCCTAGGCTGGAGGGGAAATTGAGGAGGATGTTTGGCCTGGAGTATACACATTTGTTTTCACATGACCACTGTTGGGGTGGTGGGGAGGGAGGGAGGAGGAGCCAGGGATGAGAGGAGAAGCAGGTGGGCTGCAGGCCAGGGGCCAAGACCTGGCTCATTATTACTCTGCCACCTTCTGACAAAGAATTCATGAGTCTGAGAATCCTAAATGCACTTTTTTTTGCTTCTGTTTTTCTTTGATTTTTCTACAATACACTTGTATTACTTTATCATTAGGAGAAATGCAAAAAGAGTATGTTGATGCTATTTGAGAGGTTGAGCTGTACATATACGAACCCAAAGTATGATAGCATTTTTGTTGTATAGAAAATATAGTGTTTACCAAGGAGATGAACTCATGCTTAACTCAGTTGGCCAAGGCTGTTAGGAATGAGCTCCCTCAACTTCTTGAATTTCTAAATATCTTTGTATCTTTTCAATCCTAGTTTCTTTGTCCTGAGGACTTGGTTTTGTTCAAGGTCCTTTCGCTGTTCCACATTTTTTTGAATCTTCCTGTCTAGAGTTGTATTCACTCACCTTAATGGGCTTCCTTTAAGACAGTATATTTTCTTTGAATAACTGGGTATTGACTAAAGGTCACCACTCAATTGTATTAATAGGTGCTCCATTAACCACTAAAATAAACTGAACTAAAATGGATGGTAGGCCTAAAGGACAAATTGTCTTTTTCATCATTCAGACTATTTTTTTGCAATAGTTTTGGATACTGAGATCTACTTTGTCAACCCAGATTGCAGCCTTACGGTGAATTTTAACTCAATTATTTTCTTCAGTCTACTTTTAGTTTACAACTTAAAGCTGCAAATCCATCCTTCTCAATGCCTTTCAGAAGCATCTTAACTTTTCTATATTTCACACTTCTTTGCAAATATAAGCTAAGGGATTAACCATTTTTTTGTTTGAGAGAAAGACAGAATATTCACCATCATAGTTTTTATTAAAACCTCTCCCTCCATATATAGATGCTGCCACCAATCTTTCTTCACCCATTGATTTTTCTCATTATTGCTGATACACTATTTTAAAGATACTCTCTTTTCATTATGAAACTCCCTGCATGAGTTATAAGTATTTCCGATATAGTGGAGTTATCAATTCCAGTATTTTCATCCTAACATTTTGGGTCATTTAATGGTTGTACTCATGTGCATATTATAGGCCTTCTTTCATTAGCATTATCATCCCTATGTGATAAGATATTTATATAATAATAAAGTTCTTAAACAAGAATGTTGACTACATTTATAGACAACATATGTAATATTAAAAAGGTAACTGGACTGAAAGATATATGGAGGTAGGGATATAATCTGTCTGCTTCTCTACTCAATTTCCAGAACCTATAAATACATGTAATACCACACAATAAAAATTATTGAATCAAGTTTAATAGCTGATATACTTGGGTTTATTCCAATCTTTATAGTTTACTCTTTGGAAGCTCTTAAAATGCTTTAAATTAGTTGCATATATTAATAATTTTTTTCTGCCTCCCAACTTCCATGAGCTCCCCTCACCCCACCTGTCCTGGGCCCACTGTTTATGTTTCCAAATGTTTAGCATGCCTTATGTTTCTCAAAATGTATTTTGAGGGAGCATGTCTTTTTCCTACAAGGGATGTGCTGTTAATTTTCCTTCTTCTCATCCATTCTCTTTCCCTCCCTTTTTCCTCTATTTTGTTTTTATTCTTTCTATTTTTCTGTCTCCCTCCATTTTTAAATTATGTTTTGAATTGATGTCCAATAGATATACATATTTTCAGGGTACATGTGATAACCTAATACATTAATAAAATTTGTATAGATCAAATTAGTGTAATTGGGATATCCATTACCTTAAATGTGTCTTTTCTTTATGCTAGAAACATTCAAATTATTTTCTATCTATTTTGGAACATATTATTATTATAAACTATAGTCACCTTACTGATCTATCAAATGTTAGGTTTTATTTCTTCTCCTTTTGTTTTTGTTTTCTTATTTATCATTTACGTACTGTTGCTTTGTCCTGGGCAGAGTGTTAGATGCGGGGGAATTCAAAGATGTACAAGACAGATATGATGCATGTGCTCATGCGGTATAAGTTGAGCATTGATAATGAGAAATATTATTGTATATTCCTCCACTGGAGCATGAAATTCATATGACATTTTAAAGATGCTGAGAAATTCTGCAGCTAAATCAAAACAAAAAAATTAATGTTTCTGTTCTATTTCTAAAGCTATTTGACTCCAGGAACTTTTAAAAATTAAGTTTTTATGTAATATAATATTATGCAGATATAATAGTATATGGAACATGCATCAGAGAAATGAGAGGAAACAACATAAACCTATGCTGAATATTATTTTAAATTATACTTCCTTCTTTCCATATATGTGCATCTCTAGGTATTTCACATTCGAGATGACATATATGGTGACCTCTTTTTATATATGTTAGGACTAAGAAATGAATAATAATAACTAATGCTGATAGTATCTTGGAGTTAAAAAATAATTTTCTGATTTATCAAAACAGAGTTTCTGGTCATAGTTTTGTTGTGAAGATAAACTCTATTAAACATCACATTAAAACTTTTCAAAAATTTCTAAAATAAGTGAAATTTAACTGCTAAAATGTTTAAAGATATTAAACATAATAATTTTTAAATTCTAATGAATTATCAATTAGCATGTGTGATTAACAAAATGCATTTCATTCATATAGTGCTTTTAAATTTTCACTTCTAAACAGTCTTATTTGATTGAAATAATACATATAAAATTACTGAAATTAAGATAAGAAACCATTGTACAATAGGTCCATGGTGATTATTGAGGAAAAGTGTGAACAAAATCATAACATAACACTTTAAGATAAATATTATATTATTATAAATGTATAAACATATTAATGTGTACTTTTATTTAGAAATATGATGTTCAGTCTTACTAGGTATGATGAACTAAATGATGTGGCCTCCATTACTACCTAACCTCTCGACTTTCATTTTGATCCCCTATAGCCTATCTCCAAACAGGAGGCAGAGTGCTTTTAAAAACAAAAGTCGGGCACCAAATCCCCTGCTTAAACTTCCCAGTGGGATCCCATTGACTTCTGAATGAAATCCAGACTTTTTGCCACCACTTAGAAGGTGCTAAAGGAACCAGCTCGTACCTTATTCTCCCTCACAATCACTCACTTCCAGATTCTGACCTGCTAAGCTTCTTCCCTCCTTGGTGGACTTTTGTCTAGAATTCTCTACTCCAATATCATCACTTGGCTGTTATTTTTTCTCTTTTTATTCAGCTTAAATGACATCTCTTTAAAAAGGCTTTTTGAAACACCCAATCTAAACTAGCCTTTTTAATCTCTATCATTTCACCCTATTTTAGTTCCCATAGTTTATTTTTATCACTGTCTAAAACAATTTCTTTATTTTGTTTCTTGTGATTTGCCTCCCTTCTTTATGAAACTAGGCTCAGTGAGAGCAGTAACTCTCTTTCTTTTCTATGCTGTATTTCCAGTTCTTTGAACAGTGCCTGCCACATGATATGACTTTGATAAATGTATGTTGAATGCATAAATCAATTGTTTACCTTGTATTAGTGTCCCTTGAATATAACCTGGAGTAGGTTTATTAATTCTTATTGGAAAAAACATTTAGATTCTTATATCTAGAGTGCAGACTTTTAGAGTATCATTTTGATCTTAGAAACTTCATTTCTGGCCAGGTGCGGTGGCTCATGCCTGTAATCCCAGCACTTTGGGAGGTGGAGGCGGGTGGATTATCTGAGGTCAGGAGTTCAAGACCAGCCTGGCCAACATGGTGAAACCTCATCTCTACTAAAAAATACAAAAATTAGCCAGGTGTGGTGGTGCATGCCCGTAGTCCCAGGTACTTGGAAGACTGAGGCTGGAGAATTGCTTGAACCTGGGAGGCAGAGGTTGCAGTGAGCCGAGATTGCGCCACTGCACTCCAACCTGGTGACAGAGTGAGACTCTGTCTCAAAACCAAACCAAACCAAAACAAAACAAAACAAAACAAAACAAAACTTCATTTCCTGAAGTGTTAAGTTTTCTATTTCAGGGCTAATATTTTCCAGGAGTTATCAAACAAACATCAACAGTCTTTAAGAATTTGAGCTTTCTTTATGATAGTTATTATTTTTGTGTTGTAAAAAGGTGAAAGAAAAAAACAAATGCAGTTTATTATATTGCAATGTCTGGACTTTTGGTTGGGGATGATGTTGATCAGTACCCTGTGGTTACCTATTCAGAAATGGTAATAAATGGCACCTGGACAGAAATGAAGTTTCTAAGATCAAAATGATACTCTTTTGAGGTTGTAAGCCTTTCCAGTACATGAGCCATTACTTACAGCTTGAGTAGCTTACAGATAGAAGGGATAGTGCTGTTCTACATTCCACATGATTTTCAAAAACAACCAGGCCTGGACAGGCATTATTAGTTATATTCTTTTAAAAATTATTTATAGTATCCAAAGCTAGCTCTTTATATATGGACATCTATTCAAGATCTGCTCAAACTCTATTTTCTTCATGAACCTTTCCAGGACTTAGTGAGGGTAAAGAATAGATTTTTTTAAAAGCAGCTCCCTGGAGTCACTTCCAAGGTAGCCAAATAGGAACAGCTCCAGTCTACAGCTCCCAGCGAGACTGATGCAGAAGATGGTGATTTCTGCATTTCCAACTGAGGTACTTGGTCCATCTCATTGGGACTGGTTGGACAGTGGGTACAGCCTACAGACAGTGAGCTGAAAGAAGGTGGGGTGTCGCCTCACCTGGGAAGCGCAAGGAGTCGGGGAATTTCCCTTTCCTAGCCAAGGGAAGCCATGAAGTGACTATACCTGGAGGAACAGTACACTCCTGCACAAATACTGCACTTTTACCATGGTCTTCCCAACCAGCAGACCAGGAGATTCTCTCCTGTGACTGTCTCAGTGAGTCCCACGCCCATGGAGCCTTGCTTGCTGCTAGTACAGCAGTCTGAGATCGACCTGGGACGCTACAGCGTGGCGGGGGGAGGGGCATTTGCCATTGCTGAGGCTTGAGTGGGCAGTTCTATGCTCACAATGTAAACAAAGAGGCAGGGAAGCTCAAACTGGGTGGAGCCCACTGCAGCTCAGCAAGGCTACTGCCTCTCTAGATTCCACCTCTGGGATCAGGGCATACTTGAACAAAAGGCAGCAGACAGCTTCTGCAGACTTAAACGTCCCTGCCTGACAGCTCTGAAGAGAGCAGTGGTTCTTCCAGCACGGCATTCCAGCTCTGAGAACAGACAGACTGCCTCCTCAAGTGGGTCCGGGACCCCTGTGTAGCCTGACTGGAAGACATCTCCCGGTAGGGGCTGACAGACACCTCATACAGGTGGGTACCCTTCTGGGATGAAGCTTCCAGAGGAAGGATCAGGTAGCAATATTTGCTGTTCTGCAGCCTCTGCTGGTGATACCCAGCAAACAGGGTCTGGAGTAGACCTCCAGCAAACTCCAACAGACCTGCAGCTGAGGGGCCTGTCTGTTAGAAGGAAAACTAACAAACAGAAAGAAATAGCATCAACATCAACAAAAAGGACATCCACACCAAAACCCCATCTGTAGGTCATCAACATCAAAGACCAAAGATAGATAAAACCATAAAGATGGGGAGAAACCAGAACAGAAAAGCTGAAAATTCCAAAAACCAAAACGCCTCTTTTCCTCCAAAGGAACACAGCTCCTTGCCAGCAAGGAAACAAAGCTGGACAAAGAATGAGTTTGACGAATTGACAGAAGTAGGCTTCAGAAGGTTGGTAATAACAAACTTCTCTGAGCTAAAGGAGCATGTTCTAACCCATTGCAAGGAAGCTAAAAACATTGAAAAAAGGTTAGACGAATGGCTAACTAGAATAACAAGTGTAGAGAAGAGAATGACCTGATGGAGCTGAAAACCACAGCATGAGAACTTTTTGAAGCATACACAAGCTTCAATAGCCGATTTTATCAAGCGAAGGAAGGGTATCAATGATTGAAGATCAAATTAATGAAATAAAGTGAGAAGACAAGACTAGAGAAAAAAAAGTGAAAAGAAATGAACAAAGCCTCCAGGAAATATGGGACTATGTGAAAAGACCAAATCTACGTTTGATTGGTATACCTTAAAGTGATGGTGAGAATGGAACCAAATTAGAAAACACTCTTCAGGATATATCCAGGAGAACTTCCCCAACCTAGCAGGCAGGCCAACATTCAAATTCAGGAAATACAGAGAACACCAGAAAGATACTCCTCGAGAAGAGCAACCCCAAGACACATGATTGTCAGATTCACCAAGGTTGAAATGAAGGCAAAAATGTTAAGGGCAGCCAGAGAGAAAGGTTAGGCTACTCACAAAGGGAAGCTCATCAGACTAACAGCAGATCTGTGGGCAGAAACCCTACAAGCCAGAAGAGAGTGGGGGCCAATATTCAACATTCTTAAAGAAAATAATTTTCAACCTGGAATTTCATATCCAGCCAAACTAAGCTTCATAAGTGAAGGAGAAATAAAATCCTTTACAGACAAGCAAATGTGAAGAGATTTTATCACCACCAGGCCTGCCTTACAAGAGTTCCTGAAGGAAGCACTAAACATGGAGAGGAAAAACCGGTACCAACCACTGCAAAAACATGCCAAAGTGTAAAGACCATTGATGCTAGGAAGAAACTGCATCAATTAATGTGTGAAATAACCAGCTAGCATCATAACGACAGGATCAAATTCACACATAACAATATTAACCTTAAATGTAAATGGGCTAAATGCCCCAATTAAAAGAATAGACTGGCAAATGGGATAAAGAGTCAAGACCCATCAGTGTGCTGTATTCAGGAGACCTATCTCACATGCAAAGATATACATAGGTTCAAACTACAGAGTTGGAGGAAGATCTACCAAGGAAATGGAAAGCAAGAAAAAGCAGGGGTTGCAATCCTAGTCTCTGATAAAACAGACTTTAAACCAACAAAGATCAAAAGAGACAAAGGAGGCCATTACATAATGGTAAAGCGATCAATTCAACAAGAAGAGCTAACTGTACTAAATATATACACACCCAATACAGGAGCATCCAGATTCATAAAGCAAGTTCTTAGAGACCTACAAAGAAACTTAGACTCCAACACAATAATAATGGAGACTTTAATACCCCACTGTCAATATTAGATCAACGAGACAGTAAATTAACAAGGATATCCAGGACTTGAACTCAGCTCTGGACCAAGTGGATCTAATAGACATCTACAGAATTCTCCACCCCAAGTCAACAGAATATACATTCTTCTCAGCACCATTTCACACTTATTCTAAAATTGACCACATAATTGGAAATAAAACATGCCTCAGCAAATATAAAAGAACAGAAATCACAACAAACTGTCTCTTAGACCACAGTGCAATCAAACTAGAACTCAGGATTAAGAAACTCACTCAAAACCGCACAACTACATGGAAACTGAACAATCTGCTCCTGAATGACTACTGGGTACATAATGAAATGAAGGCAGAAATAAAGATGTTCTTTGAAACCAACGAGAACAAAGACACAACATACCAGAATCTCTCGAACACAATTAAAGCAGTGTGTAGAGGGAAATTTATAGCACTAAATGCCCACAAGAGAAAGCAGGAAAGATCCAAAATCGACACCCTCACATCACAATTAAAAGAACTAGAGAAGCAAGAGCAAACACTTTCAAAAGCTCGCAGAAGGCAAGAAATTATTAAGATCAGAACTGAAGGGGGTAGAGACACAAAAAGCCCTTCAAAAAATCAATGAATCCAGGAGCTGGTATTTTGAAAAGATCAGCAAAATAGACTGCTAGCAAGACTAATAAGAAAAGAGAGAAGAATCAAATAGATGCAATAAAAAATGATAAAGGGGATATCACCACCTATCTCACAGAAATATAAGCTACCATCAGAGAATACTATAAACACCTCTATGCAAATAAACTAGAAAATTTAGAAGAAATGGATAAATTCCTGGACACATACACCCTCCCAAGAGTACACTAGGAAGAAGTTGAATCTCTGAATAGACCAATAACAAGTTCTGAAATTGAGGCAATAATTAATAGCTTACCAACAAAAAAAGTCCAGGACCAGATGGATTCACAGCTGAATTCTACCAGAGGTATAAAGAGGAGCTGGTACCATTCTTTCTGAAACTATTCCAATCAGTAGAAAAAGAGGGAATCCTCCCTAACTCATTTTATGAGGCCAGCATCATCCTGATACCAAACCTGGCAGAGACACAACAAAAAAAGTTAATTTTAGGCCAGTTTTGCTAATGAACATTGATGCAAAAATCCTCAATAAAATACTGGCAAACTTAATCCAGCAGCACATCAAGAAGCTTACCCACCAAGATCAAGTCAGCTTCGTCCTTGTGATGCAAGGCTGGTTCAACATAAATCAATAAACGTAATCCATCATGTAAACAGAACCAATGACAAAAATCACATGATTATCTCAATAGATGCAGAAAAGGCCTTCGACAAAATTCAACAGCCTGTCATGCTAAAAACTCTCAGTAAACTAGGTATTGATGGAACATATGTCAAATTAATAAGAGCTATTTATGACAATCCCACAGCCAATATTATACTGAATGGGCAAAAACTGGAAGCATTCCCTTTGAAAACTGGCACAAGATGGGGATACCCTCTCTCACCACTCCTATTCAACATAGTGTTGGAAGTTCTGGCCAGGACAATCAGGCAAGAGAAAGAAATAAAGGGTATTCAATTAGGAAAAGAGGAAGTCAAATTGTCCCTGTTTGCAGATGACATGATTGTATATTTAGAAAACACATTGTCTCAGCCCAAAATCTCCTTAAGCTGATAAGCAACTTCAGCAAGTTCTCAGGATACAAAATCAATATGCAAATATCACAAGCATTCCTATACACCAATAACAAACTGAGAGAAAATCATGAGTGAACTCCCATTCACAATTACTACAAAGAAAATAAAATACCTAAGAATACAATTTACGAGGGATGTGAAGGATCTCTTCAAGGAGAACTACAAACCACTGCTCAACAAAATAAAAGAGGACACAAACAAATGGAAGAAATTTCCATGCTCATGGGTAGGAAGAATCAATATCTTGAAAATGGCCATACTGCCCAAGGTAATTTATAGATTCAGTGCTATCTCCATCAAGCTACCACTGACTTTCTTCACAGAATTAGAAAAAAACTACTTTAAATTTCATATGGAACCAAAAAAGAGACCCCATAGCCAGACAATCCTAAGTAAAAAGAACAAAGCTGGAGGCATCATGCTACCTGACTTCAAACTTTACTACAAGGCTACAGTAACCAAAACAGCATGGTACTGGTACCAAAACAGATATATAGACCAATGGAACAGAACAGAGCCTTCAGAAATAATACCATAGATCTACAACCATCTGATCTTGGACAAACCTGACAAAAGCAAGCAATGGGGAAAGGATTCCCTATGTAATAAGTGGTGTCGGGAAAACTGGCTAGCCATATGTAGAAAGCTGAAACTGGATCCCTTCCTTACACCTTATTCAAAAATTAATTCAAGATGGATTAAAGACTTACATATTAGACCTAAAACCATAAAAACCTTAGAAGAAAACCTAGGCAATACCATTCAGGACATAGACATGGGCAAGGACTTCATGTCTACACCAAAAGCAATGGCAACAGAAGCCAAAATTGACAAATGGGATCTAATTAAACTAAAGAGCTTCTGCACAGCAAAAGAAACTACTATCAGAATAAACAGGCAACCTGCAGAATGGGAGAAAATTTTTGCAATCTACTAAAGGGCTAATATCAAGAATCTACAAAGAGCTTAAACAAATTTACAAGAAAAAAACCCCATCAAAAAGTGGGCAAAAGATACGAACAGACATTTCTCAAAAGAAGACATTTATGCAGCCAACAGACACATGAAAAAATGCTCATCATCACTGGCCATCAGAGAAATGCAAATCAAAACCACAACCAGATACCATCTCACACCAGTTAGAATGGCGATCATTAAAAATTCAGGAAACAACAGGTGCTGGAGAGGATGTGGAGAAATGGAACACTTTTACACTGTTGGTGGGACTGTAAACTAGTTCAACCATTATAGAAGACAGTGTGGTGATTCCTCAAGGATCTAAAACTAGAAATACCATTTGACCCAGCCATCCCACTACTGGATATATACCCAAAGGATTATAAATCATGCTGCTATAAAGACACATGCACAGGTATGCTTATTGTGGCGCTATTCGCAATAGCAAAGACTTGGAACCAACCCAAATGTCCATCAATGATAGACTGAATTAAGAAATTGTGGCACATATACACCATGGAATACTATGCAGCCATAAAAAAGGATGAGTTCATGTCTTTTGTAGGCACATGGATGAAGCTGGAAACCATCATTCTCAGCAAACTATCATGAGGACAAAAAACCAAACACTGCATGTTCTTACTCATAGGTGGGAATTGAACAATGAGAACACTTGGACACAGGAAGGGGAATATCACACACCGGGGCCTGTCGTGGGGTGGGGGCAGAGGGGAGGGATAGCATTAGGAGATATACCTAATGTTACTGACGAGTTAATGGGTGCAGCACACCAACATGGCACATGTATACATATGTAAGAAACCTGCGCGTTGTGCACATGTACCCTAGAACTTAAAGTATAATAATAAAAAAATAAAAAAATTGAAACCCATAATTTAAACCAGACTTACCCTCAAAGCTGTGAAATTGGTTAATAAGTGCATATTCATCTAATGTTACTACGGTTGAATAAGAAATAACATTTATGTAATTCCAATGAAAACTACAACTGATTAAATCAAATGTTATTGCCTAAAGAATTGTGATATAACCTTGATCTGGAAACAGTTTCAGTTTTCTCTTTTAAAACATTATATACTTCTAGAATAGTTGTATATTCATCTCCCACCCCCCCAAAAAAAACCCACTAGTAGGAATGAAAATCATATGCTCTTAAATTCATGAAAAATACCCTCTGACTTCATCTACCATGAACTCTTTGTGTTTGAAGATGTTTATTGTTTGTATCTGTATTCCCAACACAGAGCACATTGTCTTGTGTAAGGTAAGCACTAAACACAGTTTTGTTGAATTGACTCTATAAGGCAAATAAAAGCCTTTTTGGCCTTGTTACAAATGAAAAAAAAGTAAATACAATACAAAGAAAAAAGTCTATTGTAAAAACATTTTTCTCATATGTTCTTGGTTTCATGGCATCTAAGACCTTATCTAGGGCAAAGCTGTTTTTCCCCCTGGAGATCAAAGATTTTTGTGGTCTTTTTTTCTTCTTATTTGGAGTTTTTCTTAGCCAAAATGTAAGTAAACTAGATATAACCATTACATACTGAAAAGTAGCATACAGCTCCCCATACAGTGAATTATTTTAGGACTAATGTCAGATAGACAGGAAATATCACTAATGTTAAAAAATTATTTGCCAGTAGAAGAGAAAATCAAGACATGGTAAATTAGGAAGAATGTGGAGTTCACTAGTATTAGTCCTATGAAATCTCATGAATTTTTTGTCATACTGTTAAATTACATTGAAGATTAGAAAAATAAAATAGCATTACTAACCATATTTTAATCTAGAAGAACATTTAGAAATGCTGTTCTACCAGTGGATTTTTACAGTAATCATTAGAAATGCAATGCTTAAAAAAATAACCTTGATTCTCTATTCAAAAGTCTTAATTTGTGAATTCCCAGGTACCTACCTTTGAAGGAATCCTTCCTCCAAGTCTGGTCAAACTACTTGTCAGTTGAATTCTTGTTAGTTACTGTGTCTAGGCATTTTGGTAGCCAAGAAGCAACTTAAAATCTAAGGTGGCAAATAAGAAGGATCAGTAAGAGAACATTTCTTATAGCCTTCCTACTAGATTCTTTTAGGAATAGGAAATACTGTAATTGAGTAAAGGTCATGTGTGGATTGAGGCTTTTAT
Source organism: Homo sapiens (assembly GCF_000001405.40). Lineage (NCBI taxonomy): Eukaryota > Metazoa > Chordata > Mammalia > Primates > Hominidae > Homo > Homo sapiens. The sequence goes on along the minus strand of NC_000004.12, from coordinate 70,430,462 downwards.
ACCAAGAATGGTTGGTTGTTTGTTCAGTTGACAGTTGTCCTTTGTACCTTGATTACTTCCTGAGAAACAGTGGATTGTGTCTTAATATGCATATTTTCCTCTGGTTAAGTATGTGCTCTCAATAGAAGTATCTGTGTCGATTATTTTTGGGGTCATAGTAGACTCACTTGCTAATCAATAGAAATCAGGCTAGCTAAAAATATCCCTACGCATATGAATGAAATCACATGTTAATACATTTGAGACTATAAAATAATTAATAAAGGAAATTACAAAATATTTATAGCTGAATAAAAGCGAAACACAAAAAACCAGTATTTATGGGATACAAAGGGAAATGCAACTTCTAGCTCTCAAATATTTATAAAAAAATAAGAAAGACTGAAAATATATGAGCTAAAGTTTTAGCATCTCTTAGAACTTCGCAAAAGCAACAAAATACGTCAAGAGAAAAAAGAAAGCGATATAAGGGCAGAAATAAATGAAATAGAGAAAAAGTAACAACAACAAAAACAGATGCCTTGTGAACAGAGCCATAACCCTTTCACATTTTTGTAGGCTCACTAAAATTTTTTGTTCAGTCTGATGAGAGTTGTTCTTGATGATATTACCATCAGTTTTTTAAATATCATACTTTTCTTATATCTAATATTAGTTAATCTGAGTAGTTTGCATTTCATCTTCAGATTTTTTTCTTCTTTTTTTAACTTTTACTTTAGGTCCAGGGTACATGTGAAGGTTTGTTATATAGTTAAACTCATATCATGAGGGTTTGTTGTACAGATTATTTCATCACCTAGGTACTAATCATTGTACCCAGTATTTAGTTTTTTGGCTCCTCTCCTTCCTCCCACCCTTCACCCTCAAGTAGGCCCCAGTGTCTGTTATTCCTTTCTTTGTGTCCATGAATTCTCATCATTTAGCTCACGCTTATAAGTGAGAATATGTGGTATTTGGTTTTCTCTTTCTGCATTAGTTTGCCAAGGATAATGGCTTCCAGCTCCATCCATGTTTCTGCAAAATACATGATCTCGTTCTTCTTTATGGCTGCATAGTATTCCATCATGCATATGTACAGATTTTCTTTATCCAGTCTGTTATTGATGGGCATTTAGGTTGATTCCATGTTTTTACTATTGTGGACAGTGCTTCAATGAACATTCATGTGCATTTTTATGGTAGAATGATTTGTATTCCTCTGAGTATTTACCAAGCAATGGGATTGCTGGATTGAATGGTAGTTCTGTTTTTAGTTCTTTGATGAATCACTACATTTCTTTACACAATGGTTCAACTAATTTACACTCCCACCAACAGTGTATAAGTGTTCTCTTTTCTCTGCAACCTTGCCAGCATCTGTTATTTTTTGACTTTTTAGTAATAGTCATTCTGACTGGCGTGAGATGGTATCTCATTGTGGTTTTGATTTGCATTTCTCTAATGATCAGTGATATTGAACTTTTTTTCATATACTTGTTGGCTGCATGTATGTCATCTTTTGAAAACTGTCTGTTTATGTCATCTGCCCACATTTTAATGGGGTTGTTTTTTTTTCTTGTAAATTTGTTTAAGTTTCTTCTAGATGCTGGATATTAGACCTTTATCTGATGCATAGTTTGCAAATTTTTTCTCACAGTCTGTAGGTTGTCTGTTTACCTTGTTGATGGTTTCTTTTAAGTTTAATTAGATTTCATTCATCAATTTTTGGTTTTGTTGCAATTGCTTTTGGTGTCTTCATCATGAAATCTTTACCTGTTTCAATGTCCAGAATTGTATTGCCTACGTTGTCTTCCAGGATTTTTATATTTTGGGGTTTTACATTTAAGTGTTTAATCCATCTTGAGTTGATTTTTGTCTGTGGAAAGAGTCCCATTTCAATCTTTTGCATGTGGCTAGCCAGTTATCCAAGCATTATTTATCAAACAGGGAGTCCTTTCCCCATTTCTTTTTTTTTGTCAGCTGTGTCAAAGAACAGATGCTCATAGGTGTGTGTTCTTATTTCTGGGCTCTCTATTTTGTTCCATTGATCTATGTGTCTGTTTTTTATAACAGTACCATGCTGTTTTGGCTACTGTAGCCCTGTAGTAAAGTTTTGATGCAGGGCAGGTGAGCCCCAAAGTGGAGCTTAGTCTGGGAGGGCTCCTGGCTTTGCCCAAGAAAGAATTCAAGGGCAAGCCAGAGGGAGAAGAAAAAAGCTTTATTGAACAGGCAGTGTTACAGCTCCAGTGGTGTTATAACTCCTTGACTGCTCCTGCAGAGCAGAGATACTCCTGTAGGCAGAGAGTAGCAGTTTAGGGCAATTTTGGGGTCATCTTTATACCCATTTTTAATTGCATGCAGTTTAAGGGGTGGTTTATGCAGGGAAGGGGTAGTAACTTTTGGATTATTGAGTGCCATGGAAATGGACAGTAACTCCCAGATGTTGCCATGACAACAGTAAATTGACTTGGCACACTAGTGGGTTGGTCTGATTGAAAGCTTCTTTTGACCCTGCCCTGTTTTAGATAGTCTTCAATGTGGTCTGTGTCTGAGCCCTGCCTCTGGGGTCAATTCCCAACCCCTACTTCAGTTTGAAATCGGATAATGTGATGCCCCAGCTTCGTTCTTTTTGCTCAGGATTGCCTTGGCTATTCAGGCTCTTTGTTGTTCCATATAAATTTTAAAATAGTTCTTTCTAGTTCTGTGAAGAATGTCATTGGTAGTTTGATAGGAATAGCATTAAATTTATAAGTTGCTTTGGGCAGTATGGCCATTTTAATGATATTGATTCTTCCTATACTTTCCTTAAATTTTTTCCCCAACAATCCATAGCATCAGCATAGTGATTGTATTTCCTTATAACATCAAATAAACATATATTTAATTTATATACAATATAACACATTTCTTAGAAGAAATAATCATTACAAAGCTTTTGGTGTCAGGTTAGGTCTTTCAGTAATTATCTGTATGTCTGCCTGTCAACCCCATGATTGACATAAAGTGGTAAATATTAGAATTACCAGCTCCATGATCCAATCACCTCCCACTAGGTCCATCCTCCAACACTGAGGATTACAATTCGAAATGAGATTTGGGTGGGGACATAAATCCAAACCATATCAGAGATGATCCAGATGTGGTAGAAAAAGCTCTTGTTCCAGAAACAGTAGTGGCAGCTGGTGTTGCAGAGAGTGGTGATAAATAAAACAGCAGTGGGTATATAGAGTTTGGAATGAGAAGTTAGCTTATATGTGTGTAGGAATATTCAGTCATTGGTAATATCAGAGTTTGTAAAAGCATTAGAAGAACTGATGAAATCAGTTGTGCTTATGTGGAGATCAGTGGTGTCAGGTTCATAATCAAGTGTAATATTATCAAATGCATTGGGATAAGATGTTGTCACATCCTCTGTGGGGACTAGGGCATTTACTATATAGAGGAAGTAGGCAAAATCAATTTCAAGTATGGTAGAGTCAAAGAGTGTAGATGAGGCAGTTGAGATAGAGGAAGTAGGAATGTCTGTGGGATTAAGGTGGTCACAGTTATATTGTGAGCTGGAGGCAGCAGATGTAATGGAAGCTGATGAAATGTTAAAAGATGTGGTGGAATCAGACCAAGTATTAGTGGTAGCAGTGATGGAGGAACCTGAGGAAGTATTGGTGACTGCCAGTGTAGTGGTAGAAAGAGAAACAGTGGGTTTAAGTATAAGAGGTGGTAAGTAAAACTGTGATGAGAGCCAGTGCAGTGATGGCAGCTAGAGTGGTGACAGAAGATGTGGTTCTTGCTAGGGGAGATTGTGTTAGTCTGTTCTCCCATTGCTATAAAGAGCTACCCAAGACTGGGTAATTTATGAAGAAAGGAGGTTTAATTGGCTCACAGTTCTGCAGGCTGTACAAGAAACGTGGTTGGGGAGGCCTCAGGAAACTTACAATCATGGCGGAAGGTGAAGGGGAAGCTGGCATATCCTACATGGCTGGAGCAGGAGGAAGAGAGCAAAGGGGGGAGGTGCTATGCACTTTTAAACAAGGGGATCTTGTAAGGACACACTATTATAAGAACAGCAAGGGGGAAATCCGTGCCCATGATCCAATCACCCACCTCCCACTATGTCCCTCTCCCAACATTGAGGATTACAATTGATGTGAGATTTGGGTGGGGATACAAATCCAAACAATATCAGAGATGATCCAGATGTGGTAGAAGAAGCTCTTGTTCCAGAAACAGTAGTGGCAGCTGGTGTTGCAGAGAGTAGCTGTGGCAGCCTCTGGGAAAATGGAAGTAGAAGTGGTAGTAAGGTTGGACCTTGTAGGGGAAGCTGTGCCTATGGGAGAAAGGGCAGTGTAGGCCACAGTGGTGGTAAAGGGTGACAGCGGGAGTGGCTGGTAGTACCTCCAGGTGAGGCAGAGAGAGCAACTGTGGTGGGGGCTGGTATTAGTAAGTGCAGATGTGCAAGTATAGTTGTCAGGGGAGTGGTGGCAGGAGAAACGTTGACAATTGACATGTCAATTGATGTTGGGGGAAAGTCCCTAGATATGGTCAGATAGACAGATTACTAACAACATCAGATATAGAGATAGGAGTAGAAGGAGAATATGTAAGAGCAGGTGTGGTAGGTACTGAAGCTTCAGATATGGTAGTGGCAGCAGTGACTGCAGGTGTTGTAAAGACAGTGATGAAATAGTATCATCCATATATGGTTAGTAGGTTCATATGTAGATAAAACGTTAAATGTTGAAACTTCAGCTGTCTCACCTTTCAAGGTAAATGCAATAGATATGCTGATTGCAATCATATCTGTGGCAAAAGTCTTAAATAAGTTTGTGGCATTAGAAGTGGTGCTTCTAGATTTCAGATCAATAGCTATGGTGACATCTGTGGAAGCAAGTGTGCTGATAGTTTCAGCAGTTTTGAAGGTACTTCCAACTTGACTGGTAGTAGATATGCAAATTGATGTGATACTGGCAGTGGGGGTGGAGGCAGTTGTCATGGATTGGGAAGTTGCCAAGACCAGCTCAGTCAGGGAGGCCCTAATCCAGTGGCGCTAGAGGAATTAAAGACACACACACAGAAATATAGAGGTGTGAATTGGGAAATCAGGGGTCTCACAGCCTGCAGAGCTAAGAGTCCTGAATGGAGATTTACCCACATATTTATTAACAGCAAACCAGTCATTAGGATTGTTTCTATAGATATTAAATTAACTAAAAGTATTCCTTATGGGAAATGAAGGGATGGGCTGAATTAAAGGAATAGGTTGGGCTAGTTAACTGCAGCAGGAGCATGTCTTTAAGGCACAGATCGCTCATGCTATTGTTTGTGGCTTAAGAATACCTTTAAGTGGTTTTCTGCCTTGGGCGGTCCAGGTGTTCCTTGCCCTCATTCCAGTAAACCCACAACCTTCCAGCGTGGGTGTTAGGGCCATTATGAACATGTTACAGTGCTGCAGAGATTTTGTTTATGGCCAGTTTTGGGGCCACTTTATGGCCAGATTTTGGGTGGCCTGCTCCCATCAGGAAGTGTTTGTGGGAAGTGAATTGATGTTGGTGGCATCTGATGAAGAGCTGGTAGCAGATGTAGCCTTAGCAGTAATTGATTAGGTGGAGATGATATATATAGAGAAGGTTGAAGTATTGTGAAGAGCATCCTGGTAGATACAGAAACTTTTGTGTTGGTGGCCAGAGTTTTGGTGGTGAGGATACATTTTATGCTCATAAGTAAAGTGATGAATTTCATGATATCAGCTACTAATTTGACAATGACAGTGAAACTGGTGGTGGCACTCTCATGTTCTTGTTAGTGGGAGCTAATAGAAGTTTACTAGTGATCATTTCAGTGGTATTCTCCATAGGAATAGAGGTGGAGGAAGTTTAGTAGTAAGTGCCACTGTCTTGATAGCAGTAGCTTTGTTGCCAGCAGCCATGGTGGAGGCTACAGGTTTAGAAGTTGTTGGATGTGGTAGTAACTTTTCAGGTTGAAGTGTATGGGGCACTACTGGAGGATAATGATGATGTGAGTGAGGTTTAATTGATGGCTTATTGGGATATTTATGTGAGTGAGGATGGAGTTTTTTTACTGGCTTGATTTGATGATGTTTTTGTGTGCCCTGTCATTGAAACAGTTTACATGTACAATAATAAGGTGAAACAGAATAGCATTTTTGTACTACTTTCAAAGTGAAGGCACCTTAGGTTGAAGTTTTGGTTGACCAGGATAGGGATGTTGATGGAATAGTGGGAGATGTCTCTGATGATGTTTTGCCTGTTTGCTTTTCTGTTCAGTGATGCTTTTGGCTTCAGTTTTGAGCATCTATGTTATTTGTGTTTAATCACATTGACCTCATATTATCCTTCACTAGTCTGATATTTTTTGACAATGTTTGGCTGTATTTTTTCTTTATGATTGAATTTTTAAGAAGTTTTATTTGGGGGTGGAGCCAAGATGGCCGAATAGGAACAGCTCCGGGCTACAGCTCCCAGCATGAGCGATGCAGAAGACGGGTGATTTCTGCATTTCCACCTGAGGTACCGTATTCATCTCACTAGGGAGTGACACACAGTGGGTACAGGACAGTGGGTGCAGTGCACCATGCACGAGCCGAAGCAGGGTAAGGCATTGTCTCACTCAGGAAGCACAAGGGGTCAGGGAGTTCCCTTTCCTAGTCAAAGAAAGGGGTGACAGATGGCTCCTGGAAAATCAGGTCACTCCCAACCTAATACTGTGCTTTTCCAATGGGCTTAAAAAATGGCACACCAGGAGATTATATCCTGCACATGGCTTGGAGGGTCCTACGCCCATGGAGTCTCACTGATTGCTAGCACAGCAGTCTGAGATCAAACAGCAAGGCGGCAGCAAGGCTGGGGAAGGGGCGCCTGCCATTGCCCAGGCTTGATTAGGTAAACAAAGCAGCTGGGAAGCTCCAACTGGGTGGAGCCCACCACAGCTCAAGGAGGCCTGCCTGCCTCTGTAGGCTCCACTTCTGGGGGCAGGGCGCAGACAAACAAAAAGACAGCAGTAACCTCTGCAGACTTAAATGTCCCTGTCTGACAGCTTTGAAGAGAGGAGTGTTGTCCCAGCATGCAGCTGGAGATCTGAGAATGGGCAGACTGCCTCCTCAAGTGGGTCCTTGACCCCCGAGCAGCCTAACTGGGAGGCACCCCCCAGTAGGGGCAGACTGACACCTCGCACGGCCAGGTACTCCTCTGAGACAAAACTTCCAGAGGAATGATCAGGCAGCAGCATTTACAGTTCACCAAGATCCGCTGTTCTACAGCCACCGCTGCTGATACCCAGGCAAACAGGGTCTGGAGTGGACTTCTAGCAAACTCCAACAGACCTGCAGCTGAGGGTCCCGTCGGTTAGAAGGAAAACTAACAAAGAGAAAGGACATCCACACCAAAAACCCTTCTGTACATCACCATCATCAAAGACCAAAAGTAGATAAAACCACAAAGATGGGGAAAAAACAGAGCAGAAAAACTGGAAACTCTAAAAAGCAGAGCGCCTCTCCTCCTCCAAAGGAATGCAGCTCCTCACCAGCAATGGAACAAAGCTGGACAGAGAATGACTTTGACGAGCTGAGAGAAGAAGGCTTCAGACGATCAAACTACTCTGAGCTACAGGAGGAAATTCAAACCAATGGCAAAGAAGTTAAAAACTGTGAAAAGAAATTAGATGAATGGATAACTAGAATGACCAACGCAGAGAAGTCCTTAAAGGAGCTGATGGAGCCGAAAGCCAAGGCTCGAGAACTACATGAAGAACGCAGAAGCCTCAGGAGCCGATGCAATCAACTGGAAGAAAGGATATCAGTGATGGAAGACGAAATGAATGAAATGAAGTGAGAAGGGAAGTTTAGAGAAAAAAAGAATAAAAAGAAATGAACAAAGCCTCCAAGAAATATAGGACTATGCGAAAAGACCAAACCTACATCTGATTGGTGTACCTGAAAGTGACGGGGAGGATGGAACCAAGTTGGAAAACAATCTGCAGGATATTATCCAGGAGAACTTCCCCAATCTAGCAAGGCAGGCCAACATTCAGATTCAGGAAATACAGAGAATGCCACAAAGATACTCCTCAAGAAGAGCAACTCCAAGACACATAATTGTCAGATTCACCAAAGTTGAAATGAAGGAAAAAATGTTAAGGGCAGCCAGAGAGAAAGGTCGGGTTACCCACAAAGGGAAGCCCATCCGACTAACAGTGGATCTCTCGGCAGAAACTCTACAAGCCAGAAGAGAGTGGGGGCCAATAGTCAACATTCTTAAAGAAAAGAATTTTCAACCCAGAATTTCATATCCAGCCAAACTAAGCTTCATAATTGAAGGAGAAATAAAATCCTTTACAGACAAGCAAATGCTGAGAGATTTTGTCACCACCAGGCCTGCCCTAAAAGAGCTCCTGAAGGAAGCACTAAACATGGAAAGGAACAACCGGTACCAGCCACTGCAAAAACATGCCAAAATGTAAAGACCATCAAGGCTAGGAAGAAACTGCATCAACTAATGTGCAAAATAACTAGCTAACATCATAATAACAGGACCAAATACACACGTAACAATATTAACTTTAAATGTAAATGGACTAAATGCTCCAATTAAAAGACACAGACTGGCAAATTGGATGAAGACTCAAGACCCATCAGTGTGCTGTATTCAGGAAACCCATCTCACATGCAAAGACACACAAAGGCTCAAAATAAAGGGATGGAGGAAGATCTACCAAGCAAATGGAAAACAAAAAAAGGCAGGGGTTGTAATCCTAGTCTCTGATAAAACAGACTTTAAACCAACAAAGATCAAAAGAGACAAAAAAGGCCATCACATAATGGTAAAGGGATCAATTCAACAAGAAGAGCCAACTATCCTAAGTATATATGCACCCAATACAGGAGCACCCAGATTCATAAAGCAAGTCCTGAGTGACCTACAAAGAGACTTAGACTCCCACACAATAATAATGGGAGACTTTAACATCCCACTGTCAACATTAGACAGATCAAGGAGACAGAAAGTCAACAAGGATACCCAGGAATTGAACTCAGCTCTGCACCAAGCGGACCTAATAGACATCTACAGAACTCTCCACCCCAAATCAACAGAATATACATTTTTTTCAGCACCACACCACACCTATTCCAAAATTGACCACATAGTTGGAAGTAAAGCACTCCTCAGCAAATGTAAAAGAACAGAAATTATAACAAACTGTCTCTCAGACCACAGTGCAATCAAACTAGAACTCAGGACTAAGACATTCACTCAAAATTGCTCAACTACATGGAAACTGAACAACCTGCTCCTGAATGACTACTGGGTACATAACAAAATGAAGGCAGAAATAAAGATATTCTTTGAAACCAATGAGAACAAAGACACAACATACAAGAATCTCTGGGACACATTCAAAGCAGTGTGTAGAGGGAAATTTATAGCACTAAATGCCCACAAGAGAAAGCAGGAAAGATCCAAAATTGAAACTCTAACATCACAATTAAAAGAAATAGAAAAGCAAGAGCAAACGCATTCAAAAGCTAGCAGAAGGCAAGAAATAACTAAAATCAGAGCAGAACTGAAGGAAATAGAAACACAAAAAACCCTTCAAAAGATTAATGAATCCGGGAGCTGGTTTTTTGAAGAGATCAACGAAATCGATAGACCATTAGCAAGACTAATAAAGAAGAAAAGACAGAAGAATCAAATAGATGCAATAAAAAATGATAAAGGGGATATCATCACCAATCCCACAGAAATACAAACTACCATCAGAGAATACTACAAACACCTCTATGCAAATAAACTAGAAAATCTACAAGAAATGGATAAATTCCTTGACACATACACCCTCCCAAGACTAAACCAGGAAGAAGTTGAATCTCTGAATAGACCAATAATAGGCTCTGAAATTGTGGCAATAATCAATAGATTACCAACCAAAAAGAGTCCAGGACCAGATGGATTCACAGCCGAATTCTACCAGAGGTACAAGGAGGAGCTGGTACCATTCCTTCTGAAACTATTCCAATCAACAGAAAAAGAGGGAATCCTCCCTAACTCATTTTATGAGGCCAGCATCATCCTGATACCAAAGCCTGGCAGAGACACAACCAAAAAGAGAATTTTAGACCAATATCCTTGAAGAACATTGATGCAAAAATTCTCAATAAAATACTGGCAAGCCAAATCCAGCAGCCCATGAAAAAGCCTATCCACCATGATCAAGTGGGCTTCATCCCTGGGATGCAAGGCTGGTTCAACATACACAAATCAATAAAGGTAATCCAGCATATAAACAGAATCAAAGACAAAAACCACATGATTATCTCAATAGATGCAGAAAAGTCCTGTGACAAAATTCAACAATGCTTCATGCTAAAAACTGTCAATAAATTAGGTATTGATGGGACATATCTCAAAATAATAAGAGCTATCTATGACAAACCCACAGCCAATATCATACTGAATGGGCAAAAACTGGAAGCATTCCCTTTGAAAACTGGCACAAGACAGGATGCCCTCTCTCACCACTCCTATTCAACATAGTGTTGGAAGTTCTGGCCAGGGCAATCAGGCAGGAGAAGGAAATAAAGGGTATTCAATTAGGAAAAGAGGAAATCAAATTGTCCCTGTTTGCAGATGACATGATTGTATATCTAGAAAACCCCATCATCTCAGCCCAAAATCTCCTTAAGCTGGTAAGCAACTTCAGCAAAGTCTCAGGATACAAAATCAATGTGCAAAAATCACAAGCATTCTTATACACCAATAACAGACAAACAGAGAGCCAAAGCATGAGTGAACTCCCACTTACAATTGCTTCAAAGAGAATAAAATACCTAAGAATCCAACTTACAAGGGATGTGAAGGACCTCTTCAAGGAGAACTACAAACCACTGCTCAATGAAATAAAAGAGGATACAAATAAATGGAAGAACATTCCATGCTCATGGGTAGGAAGAATCAATATTGTGAAAATGGCCATACTGCCCCAGGTCATTTACAGATTCAATGCCATCCCCATCAAGCTACCAATGCCTTTCTTCACAGAATTGGAAAAAACTACTTTAAAGTTCATATGGAACCAAAAAAGAGCCCTCATCGCCAAGTCAATCCTCAGCCAAAAGAACAAAGCCGGAGGCATCACGCTGCCTGACTTCAAACTATACTACAAGGCTACAGTAACCAAAACAGCATGGTACTGGTACCAAAACAGATATATACATCAATGGAACAGAACAGAGCCCTCAGAAATAATGCCACATATCTACAACTATCTGATCTTTGACAAACCTGAGAAAAACAAGCAATGGGGAAAGGATTCCCTGTTTAATAAATGGTGCTGGGAAAACTGGCTAGCCATATGTAGAAAGCTGAAACTGGATCCCTTCCTTACATCTTATACAAAAATTAATTCAAGATGGATTAAAGACTTACATGTTAGACCTAAAACCATAAAATCCCTAGAAGAAAACCTAGGCAATACCATTCAGGACATAGGCATGGGCAAGGACTTCATGTCTAAAACACCAAAAGCAATGGCAACGAAAGCCAAAATTGACAAATGGAATATAATTAAACTAAAGAGCTTCTGCACAGCAAAAGAAACTACCATCAGAGTGAACAGGCAACCTACAAAATGGGAGAAAATTTTTGCAACCTACTCATCTGACAAAGGGCTAATATCCAGAATCTACAATGAACTCCAACAAATTTACAAGAAAAAAACAAACAACCCCATCAAAAAGTCGGCAAAGGATATGAACAGACACTTCTCAAAAGAAGACATTTATGCAGCCAAAAAACACATGAAAAAATGCTCATCATCACTGGCCATCAGAGAAATGCAAATCAAAACCACAATGAGATACCATCTCTCACCAGTTAGAATGGCAATCATTACAAAGTCAGGAAACAACAAGTGCTGGAGAGGATGTGGAGAAACAGGAACACTTTTACACTGTTGGTGGGACTGTAAACTAGTTCCACCATTGTGGAAGTCAGTATGGCGATTCCTCAGGGATCTAGAACTAGAAATACCATTTAACCCAGCCATCCGATTACTAGGTATGTACCCAAAGGATTATAAATCATGCTGCTATAAAGACACATGCACACATATGTTTATTGCGGTACTATTCACAATAGCAAAGACTTGGAACCAACCCAAATGTCCAACAACCATAGACTGGATTAAGAAAATGTGGCACATATACACCATGGAATACTATGCAGCCATAAAAAAGGATGAGTTCATGTCCTTTGTAGGGACATGGATGAAGCTGGAAACCATCATTCTCAGCAAACTATCGCAAGGACAAAAAACCAAACACCGCATATTCTCACTCATAGGTGGGAATTGAACAATGAGAACACATGGACACAGAAAGGGGGACATCACACTCCAGGGACTATTGTGGGGTGCGGGGAGGGGGAAGCATAGCATTAGGAGATATACCTAATGTAAATGACGAGTTAATGGGTGCAGCACACCAACATGGCACATGTATACATATGTAACAAACCTGCACATTGTGCACATGTACCCTAAAACTTAAAGTATAATAATAATAATAAAAAAAGAGGTTTTATTTGGCCAGAAGTTTTCTAAGACCTAGTACTTGTGGCTTGATTTGTGTTGGTCCATTTCTTTTACCAATGGAAGTTGAATGTGGTTTAGATTATTAGCAGTTTTGTTGAATACTTTTTCTAGAAGTAGTTTTAGATTTCTTTGGCAACTTTTTACCAGTTTTACTTGGATGGTATTTGCTCACACTAGATCTCTTGTATGTTACTGAGTCCTTAGAATTTTGGTATTGCCTACTCCTTGGCTGTGCTGGAGATTTTTTTTTTAACCAAGAAGTTTTTGATGAGGTTGATGATGCCTCCTCTTACATAGGATAGGTCTCTGCTCACTCAATGGCTGTTTATGCTGTTTAGATTTCTTCTGTATTTTTGTCTTTGTCTCTGCATTTGAGAACTAGCTTGTTTTGATTCAGTTGTGTTAAAGTAGTATTTTCTCTGGTTAGTTTGCTTTTCTAAGGGAATTTTTATTTCACTGATTCATTGCTTCTTGATCATATTTTTGTGAAATTTTGATTATACAGGTATTTTCTGAAGGTCTTGTGTCATAGTTTGGCATAGACCATTTCTCTTACTAGTTAAAGCTGAGCGTAATAGGTGTTGTTTGGAGCTCTGTTAAATATTGGTTCTAAAGTGGGGGTTAATTTTTTTTCTTTTGCGTCATTGTGGCTATTTGGACTGGATAAGGGGTAGATTTTTTCTTAGCTGTTGTGTTTCTATAAGTTATGATTTGGTAGCTTCTTTGTTGTGTAGGGGAATTTTTGTTAGAAAATTAGTTGTCCAGATCCAGGGTTGATAGATTGCCTATTTAATTCTCATTTGTCTATACATTTTAGGCAGAGATTTTGGATGGATAGGCTTTCTTGACTCAGTATTATTTAAATTTTTTTTTCTTTGATTAGCTTGCTGTGAAATTTGTGATTTTATTTGGTTGGATTATTTACTTTCTGGTTGTAATTATATGAACTTTTGATTGGCCTGATGTTTTCTGTGGACCCAATTCTTATAATTTAATTTTGTTGACCAATTCTTTTACCAGAAGAAGGAATTTGGGATCAAATTGGGTCTTAAAGAATATTGTTTCTGGGCTAAGAGTTATATCTAATTCCTAAATTTTTAGCAGGTTTAGTTGGCCAAGATTTGGAAGTATTATAACTTGATTTATCTTACAAAGTCATGTGATGTTGAGGTTTGTGAACACTTTCTTGCATAGGGTAAATTTGACCAGATTTTGTCTTTTTTGTTTCTTTTTAAAGCAAGAGGTTTTAAATAGGTAGAGAATACTCTAAATCTTTTTTTTTGTTTGTTTGTTTGTTTTGTGGATGGATTTGGATTAAATGGAATCCTATGAGTTTGAACTGATGAAGGGGAATGCTGATACAGGAGCTGCTACTCAGACAGAGAAAAGTACCTTTCATCTGTGCTTGCTTTGTGACTTGCTAGATTTTAGAAAGAAAGGGGAAATTCATTAGACATGTATAACCATTCTTTTTTTCTTTTCTAATTTTTCTTTTTAGTTCTGATTTGCATGTGCAGGATGTGCAGGTTTGTTACATAGGTAAATGTGTGCCATGGTGGTTTGCTGCACCTATCAACCCATCACCTAGGTATTAAGCCCAGCATGCATTAGCTATTCTTCCTAATGCTCTCCCTCCCCACCCCACTCCCCTGCCAGGCTCCAGTGTATGTGGTTCCCCTTCCTGTGTCCATGTGTTCTCACTGATGTATAACCATTCTTATTTAATATTTCATTATGTGAGAAATGTTAATGAGCACATTGCAATTCCTGAACTCATGTATAGAGAAATCATATAGCTAGATGACCCTAGTGTCCTGTTCTCTTAGAGATTGGTCCCCAGAAACAAACTAGCTGTGTCTGAACTTCAACTCTGCCATTTACTCTCTTTGTGGTTTCCGATATATTACTTAATTTATCTGTTCCCCTTCGGAGTCTCATTACCTCCACTTACAGAATTTTTTTAAGTGAGACTATCATTTTTGGATGTCTAGAAATTTGCTGTTTAAGGCAGATTGTTGGGTAGGAGAGAGTTCAGCTGTTTAGACCATTTTCTTATACAAATTATTTGAAACAAAGGCCAAGGCGGGTGGATCATGAGGTCAGGAGTTTGAGACCAGCCTGGCCAACATGGTGAAACCCCGTCTCTACTAAAAATACAGAAATTTGCTGGGCATGGTAGTGTGCACCTGTAATCCCAGCTACTTGGGAGGCTGAGGAAGGAGAATTGCTTGAACCTGGGAGGCAGAGGTTGCAGTGAGCCGAGATCGCACCACTGCACTCCAGCCTGGGTGACAGAGCAAGACTCCGTCTTGGAAAAAAATAAAAAAAGGATGCCTACATGCTTGCAACAGTGAAATGAAGAGTACAGAAGTACCTCATTTTATTGTGCCACTCTTTTGTGTGCTTTGCAGATATTGCATTTTTCACAAGTTAAAGGTTTGTGGCAACCCTGTGTTGAGCAAGTCCATAGGCACCATTTTTCCAACAGCACGTACTCATCTCATGTTTCTATGCCACATTTTGGTAATTCTCACAATATTTCAAACTTTTTCATTATTATTATATCTGTTATGGTGATCTGTAATCAATGCTCACTGATGTTACTATTGTAATTGCTTTTAATTGCCACAAACTGCACTCATATTAGACACCAACTTAATTGATAAATGTTCTGTGTGTTCTGACTGTTACCAGCCTTTCACTCATCTTTCTCCCTACTCTTTGGCCACCCTATTCCCTAAGAAACAATAATTTAAAATTATGCCAATTAATAACCCTACAATGGCTTCTATGTGTTCACATAAAAGAAAGAGTTACACATCTCTCACTTTAAATCAAGAGCTAGAGGCTGGGTGTGGTGGCTCACGCCTGTAATCCAAACACTTTGGGAGGCCGAGGTGGGTGGATCACAAGGTCAGGAGTTCGAGACCAGCCTGGCCAACATGGTGAAACCCCGTCTCTACTAAAGATACAAAAATTAGCTGGGCATGGTGGTGGGCACCAGTAGTCCCAGCTACACGGGAGGCTGAGGCAGGAGAATCACTTGAACCTGGGAGGCAGAGGTTGCAGTGAGCCGAGATCGCACCACTGCACTCCAGCCTAGGAGACAGAGCAAGACTCCGTCTAAAAAAAAAAAAAATCAAGAACTAGAAATGATTAAACTTAGTAAATGGATGTCGAAAGCTGAGATAGGCTGAAAGGTAGGCCTCTTGAGCCAAACATTCAAGTTGTAAATGAAAAGGAAGAGATTTTGAAGAAAATTAAAAGTGCTACTCCAGTGAACACACAAATGATAAGAAAGTGAAACTACCTTATTACTGATATAGTGAAAGTTTGAGTGGTCTGGATAGAAAATAAAATCAGACACATTTTCTTAAGCCAAAGCCTAATCCAGAGCAAAGTCCTAACTCTCTTCAGTTCTATGAAGACGGAGAGAGGTGAAGAAGCTATAGAAGAAAAGTTGAAAGCTAGCAGAGATTGGTTCATGAGGTTTAAGGAAAGAAACCACGTCTATAACATAGAAGTGCGAGGTGAAACAGCGAGTGCTGATGTAGCAGCTGCAGCAAGTTATCCAGAAAATTTAGGTAAGATAATTTCTTATCTAGCTAAGAAAATCTAGCTAAGGTATAATCCACAGATTTTCCATGTAGACAAAATAGCAGTGTATTGAAAGAAGATGCTATCTAAAGAAGATGCTTTCATAGCTGAGAAGTCAATGCCTGGCTTCAAAGGACAGGTTGACTCCCTTGTTAGAGTCCAGTGTAGCTAGTGACTTTAAGTTAAAGCCAATGCTCGTTTGCCATTCCTAAAATCCTAGGACTCTTTTAAGAGTGACAGTAAATCTACCCTTCCTGTGCTCTATAAATGCAGCAAGAAAGCCTGGATTATAGCACGTCTGTTTACAGCACGGTTTACTATTTTAAGTCCACTGTTGATACATACTGCTCAGAAAAAAGATTCCTTTCAGAATATTACTGCTTATTGACAATGCATGAAGTCACCCAGGAGCTCTCATAGAGATGTACAGGGAGACAAATGTTGTTTGCATGACTGCTAACACAACATCCGTTCTGCAGCCCATGGATCAAGGAGTAATTTTGACTTTCAAGTCTTATTACTATGGAAATACATGGCTGGGCGCAGTGGCTCATGCCTGTAATCCCAGCACTTTGGGAGGGCGAGGCGGGCGGATCACGAGGTCAGGAGATCGAGACCATCCTGGCTAACACGGTGAAACCCCATCTCTACTAAAAATACAAAAAAAAAAAAAAAAAAAAAATTAGCTGGGCGCAGTGGCAGGCGCCTGTAGTCCCAGCTACTTGGGAGGCTGAAGCAGGAGAATGGCGTGAACCCAGAAGGCGGAGCTTGCAGTGAGCCGAGATCTCGCCGCTGCACTCCAGCCTGGGTGACAGAGCGAGACTCTGTCTCAAAAAAAAAAAAAAAAAAAAAGGAAATACATTTCGTAAGACTATAGCTGCCATAGATAGTGATTTCCATGATGGAACAGAGGAATGGAAAAATATTTGTGATTCTTAAGAGGAGTCCAAATATCAATATTTAACAGGAGTTTGAAAGAAATTGACTTCAGCCTTCATGGATGATATTGAGGGATTTGAGACTTCAGTGGAGGTATATATATATATATATATATACACACACACACATATATATACACACACACATATATATACATATATATCTACAGTCATATATATATTTGGTTTCAAATTCAGTCTTTTAAAAGTGTTCCTGTATTAAATCCAATATTGCAAAAAAATGTGTAGTTTTATGCAAGGTTCTGAATGTTTAATAAAATAATGTCATTTCAGATCAATACTCATCATAGCTTTTAGAGCTATAGTTTCTTGTCACAGTTAAGATAATTTCACATGCACTCGCTTAATCATATTACATTAGTGTGTGACTATGTTTTGAAATATAATAAACTTTAGGAAATGTATCTTCATAAATAAAAATACCCAGGGAATGAAAATATGCTTGGACTCTGAGAGAAGATTGAATGTCAACTTTCAGCCTTTTGATCAACTTAGGAGAGCAATTAGTATCTTTTATTATTTTATTGAAATTTGTTGTCAAGTTTTAGAATTATATAAATATAATAATTTCCTTCAGAATGAAACTGTTCACAGGCACTTTAAGCAAATTGCTAGGGTCAAGATGCTAATATCAATATTCCTTTACATCTTAGTTCTGAATATTCATGAATGGAGATAGCATATAGTTTACTTCCTATATGTAAAATATTTATTTTACTTCTTGTTCTATCAAACAAGTTGGAAACAGGGATGATGCATTCTTACCTAAGTAACCATTTTATATGCATTATTATCCAGAACATATAGCCTTCAGCTTATTTACATATTTTTAAGCATAGTAACATTTTGCTTTCTCTAAAGAGTCTAGGAATCTTAAGCCTAGGTAAAGTAAATAAGTGAGAAGGCAGGTAGAAGAACAGAGAGTATATAATGTTTGGAAAATGAATAATATAGGCCCAAATATCTTCAAATTCAGTTCTATAACATGTTATACAAGCCAAGAAAAACGGGTATAAGTCTAAGTGACCTCTTGAACTTGTAGATTGCTATTGCTAGCAGTCTATTTGTTGTTGTTGTTGAGGGTTGGGATGGGGACAGAGTCTTGCTATGTTACCTAGGCTGGAGTGCAGTGGTGCAATCATAGCTCACTACAGCCTGGAAATCCTGGCCTCAAGGGATCCTCCCACCTCAGCCACCTAACCAGGAGTTAGGACCACAGGTGTGTGTCACCAAACCAGCTCTTTTCTTTTCTTCCTTTTTTTTTGAGACGGAGTCTCGCTCTGTCGCCCAGGCTGGAGTGCAGTGGCGCGATCTCGGCTCACTGCAAGCTCCGCCTCCCGGGTTCGCGCCATTCTCCTGCCTCAGCCTCCCGCCTCAGCCTCCTGAGTAGCTGGGACTACAGGCGCCTGCCACCGTGCCCGGCTAGTTTTTTGTATTTTTAGTAGAGACGGGGTATCACCGTGTTAGCCAGGATGATCTTGATCTCCTGACCGTGTGATCTGCCCGCCTCGGCCTCCCAAATTGCTGGGATAACAGGCGTGAGCCCACCGCGCCCGGCCTCTTTTTTTTTTTTTTTTTTTTTTTTTTTTTTTTGTAGAGATGGGGTCTGGTCAATAAAATGTAAGTGTCGTTTGTTATAGGGTAGTTTATGATTGTGTGTAGGATTCAAGTGAAAGGTAGGGGTTCAGTTTCATTCTTCTTCACATGGCTAGCCATTTATCCCAGCATAATTTATTGATTAAGGGCTCCTTTCCTCATTGCTTGCTTTTGTTGACTTTGTCCAAGCTCAGATGGTTGCAGGTATATGGCTTTATTTCTGGGTTCTCTATTCTGTTCCATTGGTCTATGTGTCTGTTTCCACTAGATCAATTTAAGTTGATATTTTAATTATTTTCTTTCTTTTCTCTTAGTTTATATTATTATTTGCTTACATTTTTGTTACCTGGTTGACCTTATATATATGTGAATTTCCTGGGTAAAGGCAATAAAAAACTGATCTCATATTTTTCTGCTGTCTCTGCCCTTTCTATGTAGGAAGTCAGGAACCCTCATATTTTTCCTTGTCTGCTTGTTTGGCCTCAAGATGCTGAGTGAGGCTACTTGTGGTGTTAGCCTACGTGCTGATAAATCCTCATTAGCAGTCCGCCTTTCTCTGCCTCATTCTCAATCCTGGGAAGATGATCATACAAACTCTTACACGTGAGTTTCCTTACCTGTGAGATTTTTGTTGGGTTCTGCTGATGAAATAGGTGGAAGAGAGACGTAGGGTTACTATTTGGTATAAAAGATAAAAAATGGTACAGCCATATAGGTTCCTTGCCATGAATGGAGCTTAGCTTCTAAGAAATCAGAGAACTAAGAACTAGGCAGAGAAGAGTGGACTGCTAATGAGGAGTAGCAGTCACACCTGTCAGTAGTCACATCTTTGAAAGTAGTTTCAAGTAGAAGTAAACACTCCAGTGGGATTATCTAGGAAAATTCTTTCTGACTCCATTCTAAGAATTCAGTGAGATTCCAGGCTCTGAACCATTAATCACGTAACTATTAGGAGACTATTAATTGTGTAACTATTAGGAGCTTAGCTTAGCTCCATTCATGGCAAGGGACCTATACAGTTGGACCATATTTTATCTTTTATACCAAATATAAAAGATTTGTACCTCTCCCTTCCACCTATTTCATCAGCAGAACCCAACCAGAACCCCCAGGTAAGAAAACCCACATGTAAGAGTTTGTATGGTTATCCTCCCAGGATTGAGAACTAGGCAGAGAAGAGTGGACTGCTAATGAGGAGCAGTAGTCACACCTGGCAGCAGTCACATCTTTGCACAACGGGTCTTATTGTGTGGCCTTTCCTTCATTGTCCCAACTCTTCTTCAGGCTCTGGGCTCCTTATTTGTTCCCTTTGCTTCATCAAACATAGGCCCATGACCAGCTCTACTGGGAGACCCTGAATGTCTCAGCCCTGTATTTTTTTTTTAAATCCTGTCCACTCTCTTTAAATAAACCCTTTATTAATTTTTTTTCCCATAAAGGGTCTCTGTTTTCTTCTGGGAACCTGTCTCATCAACTGTTGGTAGATGAGAAAATATAGGATAGAGTGGTAGTCATAATGATAGCAATAGGTGCATATTATTGCTCAAATACTTTATTTAGTGTGCTGGTTAGATCAGGGTTGGTTCCATCAAAATCATTGCAGTTTATTTCTTCTAAGATATCAGAGCAGTTTGGAAAATATCATTTATTGCATGTTCAACCAAAAATGGCAAAGAGTTTTTGCCAAAAACTTTTAAAGGCTGGGCTGCTTAATATAGTTTGGTTGGAAGTCGTAACTTGGACAGTGGCATTGAGCAATACTGTGTGAGGACGGTTGGCGAGAATTTGAGTAGTATTTTCAGTAGATGCTGCGGGGGTTGCTGCTGATATGGAGGTGGCAGGCTCTGGTGTTGAAGAGATAGGTACTGTTGAGGAGCTGATCGTCATTGTGGGTTTTGTGGAAGTGCTGGTGGTTGCTGTTGCAGTGGTGGGGGGATTTGTGGTGATTGTTGTATCTGCGGTGGTGATGTTTATTTGGGGCTCAGGGTTAGAGATAGGAAGGTAAATAGCAAGAAAAAAAGGAATAGGAGGAAATGGGGGTTTTAATATCCTAATAGGTCCTACATAGTAAGGTCTTAGTGGGAAATGTAGGTTTGGATAACCCGGAAAGAGTCGAGGTTGTCTAATAGATTCCAATGGAAAGAGTTGAGATAGAATGACTGCTTGGCTAAATCGAGAGAAAGAAGATGGTGGAACTCGCCCTGGGACAAAGGGAAGAGAAAGTGGTGAATTAAGTCTTGAGTCATAGGGAGGTGGGGGACTTGGTGGAACCCATCTTGGCCTGTAGAGTGGAGGTGGTGGCAGCTGGCCAGGTAGATATGGTCTTCTGGAGAATCTTTGACTCTCACTGGGCTGTGGAGATAAAAACAAAGGTAAAAAACAAAATTTCTAAATTTGATCATTTAAAGTTCAAACATTAGGATATACTATGTATTAATATATCTACTATGTAAACATTAGGATATACTAAGCCATAAGTCATGTATTTCACTGAGAAAATAACTTAGAAAAAATAAGGAATAGAAAATTTCCTGTTTATTCTGGATGCCTGGGCAATCAAAGAAAAGTAGAATAGTATTAAATGAGAAAAAACCAAAAAAGTGGTAACCTTGCTATCTGACCTGTAGGTTTTAGGGAGGGACCAAATCACCTTGATTATGTATAAGAAAAGACCACCTTTGAATGTAGTTTCAAGTGGAGGTAAATACCCAGGTTGACTATCTGGGAAAATTCTTTCTTACTTCATTCTAAGAATTCAGTGAGATTCCAGACTCTGAACCATTAATTGTATAACTATTACATGCAACACTTCTTTCTAGGGACAAAGAGAAACAGATTTAAGACTCTGCTTATGTGAGTCTGAAATCAGTGGAAGATATAACCCTCCAATGACAATACAAGGCAATACAACAAAAAGCCTATGGAGCTAGTATAGTATGTTGGTTAAAATTTAGACACTGGAGTCTGATTGCTAGAGCCTCCTAGAGCCAGTCCTACCATTGTTAAATGCTAGCTGGGTGACTTGCTTATGGTTATCTCTGCCTGTTTGCTCACTCCTCAACTGGTTCTAGAAATAGTTCTTACCATTTATAGTGGTAGATAGGATTATACATAATCTATGTAAAGTGCTTAGACATAGTAAGGTAGAGTAAGGGCTCAGTATAATTTTGAGTGATTTTGTACTCTATTAATAACAAGCATGGCTTGTAGATGGTAGCAATTCAAGAAATAATTGATAAATATTGTAACAATTTTAGTAATTTAGATGAAAATTTTAATTTTTATCAAAGAGAGAGGACTAATTGCCATGTAGAGAAGAT
Source organism: Homo sapiens (assembly GCF_000001405.40). Lineage (NCBI taxonomy): Eukaryota > Metazoa > Chordata > Mammalia > Primates > Hominidae > Homo > Homo sapiens. The sequence goes on along the minus strand of NC_000004.12, from coordinate 70,408,411 downwards.
GGCATTTGAAATGAGGATAAAATAACAGGGTAGAAATGAGGAGGAAGAAGCCAAATTAGGATAATATCATAAACAAATGAACAAGGTCAAGAAAATATAGGTTCTATTCTAGCGACCATCAGAAGACCAGTTTGCCTGAAACAAAGCTTTAGGAAGGTGCAAGACTCTAATCATTCCCCTACAACATTCAACTCCTTCCTGTGTCTCTGCCATATTGCCTTCAGAAACATCAAACTTTTGGATCAACTCTATGCAAACTACCTTCCCTAGTCCTACTTCCATGGTGATGAACATTGCTGGAGAATGCCACAATCTCTAATGGTAGCAACACTAGAGAACTATAGTGTCTGTGTTTGTCTGGTGCATCAGCACTGCTAAATCATTTCCTCCCATTTTCCCCAAAAGGCTATCTTCTCAGCATCTATACCTCACTTCTACTTTTCTTGCTCCCCTCTACACCCATCAGAAGATGATCTTGCCTTCTAATTCACATAATTTAGGCCATGATACGTGAGAACTTCTTCACTTTCCTGCCCTATGCCTATAAAACTCATAAATATCTTGCTGTTCTCTCTTCCTGTTTAAGACCAGTCTCTTCACCTGTGTTTTATATCTACATCTTCTCTGTCCCTAGGGTCTTTCTTCTCTTTTATTTTTGTAAAATAAACCTCTTTCTAATCCCTGGCTGTATTCTTCCTGTCTATAATATTGATTGATATCTCATGTATTAAAGAATCTCATTCTTAACCTAGGGTACCCTTGAAGCTTTCTTTATTAGTTTATCTCTCTCCATTCCTAGCCAGATAGTAAGGAAGGCTGGTTTAGATTTTCTGTCTCCACTTCTCAATTTCCCTTTTATCTGGTTACTGTCCCCATCACACAACTTAACTGAATCTCTTACAAAGATCAGTGACAACTCAAAAATTCCAAGTCATTTCAGAGGGAGCCATAGTGATGTCATGGTCACATGATCAATTCCTCTGTATATTTTATATCTATGTTTTCTCCCTTTCCAGGGACTGTCCTGTCTTAGTCATCACCTTTTATTCTTGTAACATAAACATAAACACATTTATTTGGGTTATTTCTGGGCTATTGTTCCATGGACTTCCAAACCACTGGCTATCCAGGATCTTAGGCCTTATGGCCAGAAGAAGAAAAATAAGCCACGTTAATAAAATTCTCTTTCTCTTTGTAACTTGAAATAGGAAATATTGAGATATCCTACTTAGAAGTAGGAACTAAAATGTGAATATTGTGAGATGAGAGGAGCCAGACAGAGGCTGGAGCATTAATAAGGGCCACGTGCAAACTAAGCTATAAGGACACAGGGACTGTGAGTAAAGAGAGCACATCTCAGGGAGGGAACAGTACAGAGAAAAGCAGGGTTGCCATGAGAAGCAAAGACCGGTTTTTAGGGCTGCCTGCTTTTGCTGTGCCAGTTCTACTTTATATTTATTCTTGCATTGACTTTCTTATTTAAGGAAGGAAGAAAACATTTATTGAGAACCTGGCCAGGCATGTTTCCTTCCTTTAAGGAAAAAGGAAGTCAATGCAAGAATAAATATAAATTAGAACTGGTGCAGCAAACTAAGGCAGCCCTAAAAATGCAAGAATAAATATTGTGAGTGGAACCCTGTTCTTTGCAACCAAACAAAAGCCTATACCGCCATCCAATCTCATCTTTTGCCACTTCTTTATCCTCACTCTGGCCATGTAGAACTAGTACTAGTTCTTTCAACATAACGAGCTCTTTTTGGTAGTCCCTGTGCCTTCATAAAAGCAGTTCCTCTAGCTGAGAATGTTTCACTCCTGCCCTAATTTCCATTCACTTGGCAAGCTCTTCCTTCAAAATGTTTAAGTGGCTTCACTCCTCTCCCCCAATAATTTGATATGATAATTAAAAGAATTGTACAGAAAATATCTTTATACAATATAAAATCAGCCAAAATTTTACTTTTGTAAATCTTTTATTGGAGACAAAAGCAAACTTCATCACTTTTTTTCACAGTGATAGTAATTGTTTGTTTTGATATTTTTCTCCACTTTTAGGCCATGTGCTATTTTACTGCTGTTGAAGGAATAAGTTGTATCTTCTTTAGCTTTGTGTCTTTAGTATCTTAGTCAGTGCCTGGCACCTTTGTGAATAATAAAAGGTATGAGGAATTCGAAGTAAGTTAGGTATCTTTGTTCTTTTTGTTGCTTTAGCACTTCTATTATAATACTTATAGTCACTTATTATATAGTGTAGTAATTATTAACTTCTTCAAACAATGTCTCTGTATTGTTTATCATTCTATCTCCAGTTTCTGGCACGTTGGAGGTTCTCAGTACATTTTTTTTTTAAACGGGGTCATGCTCTGCTACCCAGGCTGGCGTGCAGTGGTGTGACCTCAGCTCACTTCAACCTCTGTCCCCCAGGCTCAGGTGATCTTCCCACCTCAGCCTCGCAAGTAGCTGTGACCACAGGAGTGCACCACCATACCTGGCTATTTTTTTTTTGTATTTTTTGTGGATATGGGGTCTTGCTATGTTGCCCAGGCTAGTCTCGAACTCCTGAGCTTAAGCAATCCACCTGCCTTGGCCTCCCAAAATGCGGGGATTACAGGTGTGAGCCACCATGCCTGGCCAAGTTCTTAGTAAATGTTTTTGAATAAATGAATGTGGACTCAAATGAAATTGAGATCTTAAGTCATGGCTGCTAACATTAATGAAGATATAGGTGTCAAGAGGAAAAAAATTAATTAAGTTTTAATCCTTTTGAGTTTGAAAAGTCATGGAAGTTTGTAGATGCAGATTGAAATCTCAGAACTGGAGAAATAGATTTGGAAAGCACTGTTGGGTCAAAGCAATAAGTAAGAAAGTAATGAAGAAGAAATGGCTGAAGACAGAAACTTGGGTATCAATAAGAGAAAGGTGAGCAGCCAGTGAAGGAAAATCAGAGACAGGAGGAAACCCAGATGGTACAGTGTCATGGAAATTAAGTTCAAAGTGATCTTCAATGAGCTGCTCTCTGGACCCTAAGCAGAGGTGGGGAGAAATCATGTGAAAAATTACACCTTACAGCAAATAGCTGACCCCTGATCTCCATTCTTATTATTTTTATCTTTTCCTATTCTCTTAATACAATTTTTCACTAGCTAGTTTCCCTCCTCCACTGGCCAATGGTAGTGAACATTATAACCCTAGACAAATGATGAAAATGCCTTCTTAAGGAGTCTACATTTGGGGGGATTACCTTCACAAATGATAAGCTTATTTGAAACAGAATAGAGAATTGGCTATTTTGAGTTTCATTTTACTTATTTGTTAAGAGAGGATAATAATAATAATTGTCACACTGGATTTCTGGAGAGATTAAACAGCATACTTTTGTAATATACTTCTTGGCATATATTAAACACTCCATAAGTGGTAGCTTTAATATTATTATTATGCAGCCCACCTATATTTAAATTTGATTATATTCTCTCTGTAGTTTTAACATTTGATGGTTTAAAATAATCAAAAACGATTTAATGTGTGAGTTCCATGAGGGCAGATATTTTTAAATTTATTATTATTTATTTGTAAAACATTTAAAGAGCATAAATGCAATTTTGTTACATAGATATATTGGAGTTAAGGTGCGGGGAGGACAAAGCAGGGTCTTGTAGGTAGGGGTAAGGACTTTGTATCCCCGCCTTCTAAGTCTTATGGAAAACCATTAGAAGCTTTTGAACAAAGGAATGATATGGCAATATTTACTTTGGAAAAACATCTTTCTGGTTGTTGTGTGGAGAATAAACTGCAGGGACAATAGTGAAAGCAGAGAGATCAGTTATTGTTGCCACAGGTAGGAAGTGATGATGGCTTGGCCTAGAATGGTAGCAGGAGGGTGGTGAGAAAGGGTAAGATTTAGATGATGTTTTGAAGGCAGAGTGGGCAATATTTGCTGAAGGAGTGGATCTGGGAGGTGATAGAGTCAAGGATGATTTCAAGTTTTTTTTGGCTTGAGCAACTGGATTTGTGCTCATAGATGGAGAAAGGGTAAGAAGATGGTGTCCTGGGAGACTCTGACATTTAGAGATCAGGAAGAGGAGATGTGTCTGGAGAAGGAGACCAACAAGGAGTCGTCATTGAAGTAGGAGAAAAATCAGGAGAGTGGAGTTGAGGAAAAAGAAAAAACTCTTTAAGTAGGAGACTGATCATGTCAAATACAATTTAGACATAATTATCATGGGGACTGAAAGCTGACCCTTACGCCTGGCCATTTTGAGTACAATTTGACAAATGTGGTTTCATCCAAATGATGTGGGCAAAGTCTGCTTGGAGTAGGCTTAAGACAGAACAGGAAAAGAAGTGAAGATGTACAGAGGCAACTTTTTCAAATGGACCATGATGGGAGCCATAAGATCAGTGGAGTATGAAAACAAACATATAAATGATATTACCTCATATTTATGTGCTAGTAGGAACAATCAATAGAGAGAAGGAAAAATTGCTGATATTTAGATTTAGAGTAGATAATTGCAGGATAATTGCAGGAATCTCCTTGCTTAGGGGAGAGGATGGGATCTAGTGTACAAGTTGAGGGGTTGGTCTTAGAATATATTGGGTTGATTTTAGTCCATCCCAGATAATAGAAGAAAAGGCAGAAGATAGGCAAATAGATCAAGGCAAGTTAAAATTTTGTTTCTCCATTCACAAGTTATGTGAATTTGGGTAAGTTATGTAACCTCTCTGTTACTTTTCCTATCTTTAAAAGAGAGAAAGTAATAGTATCTATCACATGATGTTCTTTAGAAAAAATAATTAAAATGACAAATAATTTAGCATAGTATTTTGCATGCACACAAACATGCAAACATGTTTCAATGAAACATAAATATTTTTTGCAAACTCATGAATAATGTTGGGTTAATTTTATGATTATTTTGTAAATGAAATATCAGGTTTTTACATGCCATATTGCCTTGTTCACTGTCTCTGTAGACTGGGAGTTAGCAAACTAAGGCTGTGGGCCAAATGTAGTTTGCCTGTTTTGGTAAATAAAGTTTTACTGGAACATAACCATGCCCATTCGTTTATTGTAGCTGCTTTCAAGCTACCTCAGCCAAGTTGACCACTTATTACAGGCCCACAGAAGCCTACAATATTTGTTATCTGGCCCTTTTCAGAAAAGTTTGTCAACTCCTGCTCTGGCTATTATTACCAATCTATCTTGTATCCTCTGACAGTCATATACCCCTTGAAGTTAGAGGTCATGTTTATCAGTGTTTGTATCCTTCTTAAGCTGTAGGTGACTTTAAGTAAATATTTATGGATGCCATTCAGATATTTTAGAAGTTTCATTTTTTTTCTCCAAATCATTATGGATGATGGAAAGCAAGAGTGTGTGGGAAGAGACGGCATCTTTCTGAGGTTTTGTACTGACTTCATGTACTAAAGTTTTGCATGTCACTCAGAGTAAAACTAAGGCTCTGCAAAAGCCCATGAGACCTGATGCAGCCTCACCCTCCTCTAACTCTCTAGTATCACCTCCTGCTCCTCTCTTCCCATCTCACTCTCTACCAGCCATGCTAGCCTCCTTATTCTTCACACTAGGCAAGTGTACCCTACTCCAGACTTTGGAACTCCCTGTTTCCTCTGCTTGCATGGTTGGCTTTTTCACCCACTTCAGGTCTTTAATCAAATGCCATTTTCCACTGGGCTACCCTATCTAAAATCACATCCTTGTTCTACCTCCTCCTAAAATTCCTTCTTCCCAAATTTTCTGCATTACATAGTCAGTTATTTTGTTTATGGCTTGTCTTCCCCAAGTAGAATATAAGCTCCATGAGGTTAGAAACTTTTTGTCTGTTTTGTTCACTGCTGTTTACCCAACATCTAGAATAGTGCCTGGCAAACAATAAGTGCTCAATAAGTATTTTGGGTTGAATGAATTCCCCATATTTGGTGATAAGCAGAAATTTCTCTTACTTGATTTCAGAATGCCATTTCCTTCCTTGCACATGGCAAGGAGCGTAATCCTTTCCCGTGACAACATTTGAGCATTTATACAAACCCGTAAGAAGTCCTCAGCCTTTCTCTGTTTGATTTCTCAGTTGACCAGGGCCTTGTTACTCAAAATGTTATTTGCTGACCAACAGATCAGCACCAGTATCACCTGAGGGCTTGTTAGAAATGTAGACTTATGGGGCTCAGGCAGACCTACTGGATCAGAGTCTGCAGTTCTACAAAATCCCTAGATGATTTGTGTTCCTGATAGAGTTTCTAGAGTTTGTAGAGTTTGGAGAACCACTGTCTGTCTTCGGTTATTTGATATCTGCTTATCGTTGGTTTAGTTCAGGCTAAAGGTTTTGCTTTGCTTTTGGCAATTATTTTATCATAGCCCTTTCTGTAAAGTATTTTATTTATGTTCTGTTTTTAAGTTTATTTTACTTTTTACTTTTTTTAAACTTCTATTTCCTATTCTTAAGGATTAGAAACTGCCAGACTGACAGCTTAACCAACTGACAGCTGACAGCAGTTTAGTGGACAGATTGTGCTGCAAACAAAGTCTTCTCTAAGTTAGGGATGGCAGGTATTGGCAAAAATGCTGTCGTTACTCATCTTGTGAGCATGGCAGATATCCTTGTCCACCATGAGATACTTTACCTTTGAGCTTACACTTGGCCTATTATCCATCCCTGTGTCATACTTCATATAGCCTATCCAATGGCATGAATGAACAGGTAAGACTCTGAAACCTATTTGTTATTACTTGGCGTCAACTACACAAAGGCCCATTCACTTGTTGTGTCATTCCCCTAATACTTATTGAGGGTTTGTCTCATGTTCAGCTCTGTGCTATGTAAAGGAGCATCCCAAATAGTTCCTGGGTTTTTGTGAGGTTTGAGGGTAAAACTGTGCTCCAGAGTACATTGTAAATATACAAATATGAACTGTTATTTTTAATTTAAATCCTAGATAGTCCCTATCTCATAAAAGATAATCTCTGATATATTGAAAGTTCTAGATGCTAAGTACAATAAAGTTTCTTTATTTAGACTAATGCTTAAGACTGTTGTTAAGATTTACCAACTTCTCATGAGACAATGAATACAGCAAGAAATTTTTGCTAGAGTGACCTTAAAATTATGTCTTGTGGTTCTTGTTTTCTTATATCCAATAATATTTAATTCTAACATGAGAAAATTTATGTATTAAACTCATGTTTTTTTAGGACATGGAATCCTCTGCTTCTTATATAAATGGGATTCTATACTCTTTCAAGGTAGAAAAGAATTTAAGTTACATTTGTCTTGCAATTCAGGCTTCTGGAATAAAAATATGCCATTAATTCATATGAATCCTCAAGGTAGATGCTTTATGTAGGACTCCTCAGAAGTTGTCTGTCCTCAGTATGAAACAGAAGGTTGTAGATAGAGAATCAAAGACAGCATTTCCTCTATTATTGTCTCTGAGAAGTATTCTAGTCAACAACCTCTATTTCATTTCCCCAAATTTCTCAAGTTTACTTGATCATGGATCTTTCTTTACCTTCTAATCTATTGTATAAAGTCTGAATTAGTGTTTATTAATGTTAACAGAGAAGTCATATTTGTCATATTTGGGGAATTCTACCAAAAAAGTGGTTTATTCCAGAGTAATAAATTTGATAATTAATTCTAATTATTGACTTAGGTTTTTTCATATGATGGATTGATTTAAGTTGAATTTACCTTGAAAGCTCTCTTTATATATTTCATGCAATTATAACATAATAGCTTGAGAAGTAAATTTCAAGAAAATTTACTCAAGGAGTCTCAGATTTCAGCTTGAGTAAGAGTATCCTAGAATGCAGGTTTCCAGGCCCCAAGATCAGCTATTCTTTTTTTCTCAGGTCTGGGATAAGGTCTGGAAATGTTCATTCTTATTAAGTGGATCAGGTGTTTCTGATATAGGTATCTCATGGAGTATAATAATCTTCTATTTCAACCTCAGAAGTATAATTTTTTTATACAAATGTTATTACATAGCACTATATGCTTCAGAACAATACAGATGTCATTAAATATCAAAAAATGCTTCAGAAAAATAACGTTACTTTATCTGACAGTATCATTGCTAGGGTCTATTGATATTTATTTGCTCACTAGTTTCTCTTAGGTAGATACTATATTATGAAAAGAAGACCTAATCTATGAAGATCCCAATTTGGAATTCGACTTTGGTATTTCTGTATCAACCACCACTAGGCCCAACACACAGTGGATTATCAGTAATTACTAAGAAATGAGATAAATAGGGCTCTTTCTCTCCTCGCAAGCCCACCTAACCCCAACATATGCTAGGGAAACTGATCTTACTCTGAAATTCGTATCATGCTATGATGTTTTTGGCTATGGCACTTATCACTTGTTACTTTGCATTATATATTTTTGGATCTCCTATAGAGCTTTAACAAATGATTTTCAAAAGTTTGAATTAGTGTAAGTGCTTCTTGAGTAAATGACTTCTTTTTCTGTTTGTATTTTTTTCCCAAGTGAGTAGCACTTTAATTTCCAGTCAGTTAAAGGAATATTTTAGTCATAATGAATATATTTTCAGGCATCAGAAAGGCTTCCTGATTTTAGTTTTTATAAATATTTTCAATAAAAAACTATTGTACAATCAGCAATCCTTGCATTGATATATCATGTTGTCTTTTTAGAAAATTTATCATGAAGCTCCAACTGTATGCTTTCTTATTCCCTACAGCTTTTAAACATTTAGTAAGCTTAAATTATATTTTTCTGACAATTTGATAGTAGTCCTTTTGAAAAAGAAATAAAAAGGAAGAGATATCTCTAGATAAGAGCTAGCTCTCCTAGATACTACCTGCCCTGTGTCCTCTTCCTGCAGTCCACTGTCCCTTCATGCTTAGCAACCGCTGACTAGATGGTTAGTCATAAATGAGAAAGGAAAAGGAAAGTAAGAGCAAGTCCATAATTATCAACAGCCTGACACTGTATTTTTATATACAGGACAAAATTCTTGGTATCAAAACTTTCTTTGAAATCATGATTAACAATAAATATAACAAGTAAATTTAGAATTGAGGGAACTTACTGTGAAACATGAAATAAGAGCCAACAGGCCCAAGAAGAAAGTTAATTTCATTCTTTAAAGTTGCTCCTACAAACAGGCCAAAGATTATCCACAGTTAGCCAAATCGATCAACAGTGTTTTTCAGAAAAAATTTTTTAAAACATTTTAACACTTGTTATGTAAAATGATGAAGAAAGACCAACATAACCTTTAAAGATGTGTTTGATATTTTGGGGAGAGGAAGCAGCATAGATGCACAGCAATACTGTCATGTTTGTGATTTTTTTTTTAATGGTGGTACTTTATTTTATGAAAGATAATTTTCAGATAATTGTTGAAAGTACATTTTAAAATTAAAGTATTTTTGGAAATTCCTTGTTGCCTTTAGTGGTGACTACTTTGGAACATAACTACTTAGGGTATACTTTTAGTATGTTTACTTAAAATTAGTCAAAGCTTACAGATTTCTATAGATTTGTGACCTAAATATTGTCAACGTGACACGACTATTGTAAAAAATAACTTCTTAATACAATTATTGTGTTATTGTTATTAGATCTGTCTGAAGCAAAAGAAACCATGTAATGTGTATTTTTCCTTTAACATCACTCTACTGAAGTATTATTACTTTGATATGATTTTTTTCCAAGTTATTCCAAAAGTCAATTATTGTCTATCAGTGTGTGAATTAGAAAAAAGATGTTTTTATCCTAATTTGTTTATAATTTTCAACAATATATAAGAAGCACATGGCACCCTGGGTTCTGGGAAGGCAAAATTCAAGCACATAGGCTGACAGATTGTCTTGGGGTTTATGTGGTATCTGTCATTGGCATTAGCCTTGAAAGTGATGTAAGACAGGTTGACAGATCCTATAGTTGTATGTGCGTGTGTCTACCCCCTTAAAATAGCTTTTTTCTTATATGTTTTCATATTAGAAAGCAGTTTGACAATACATAAGAAACCTAACTCAAACAAGAACAACAAAAATGCAAATCTAACTTAATATACCTTTTTAAGACTCTTCTACTCATGATTGACTTTAGAGACCATAAAATACAGCAGTGGAAAAAGTCAATAGATTGTGAAATTGGATGTAAATTGTGCAACTAATCAATATGAATGTTCTTGACATTTTTTCAGGAATTTTAAGCAATTTTACCACAGACAATGATTTTTTTTTTAAAAACACATCTGAGATTTTTGGGTAACGAGGCTATTTCCATTAAAAGCCATGAGGATGATATTCTTGAGAATATGAGCAAAAGCTAGAATTCCGAAGTGAAAATTCTTACATTTATATTTCTATATACCTACCTTGGTAGAAGATTCTTCTTTGGAACAAATTACTGCTTAATCTTACTCTTGCCAGATACTCAATTTAGGTAGCCACAATTTAAAAGTCCAAGAAGAGAAAGAACTTTGATAGAAAAGCCTTTCTTCTTAAATACCTCTGTCTGGATTTTTATTGGAGTTAAGAGAAAGGTTGAGAGAGGGTAAAGTTCTGTATTGATATTCTTTACTGAAACAAAGAAATAATAGTTGCAGTTGCCAGTTTGGCAGCTTCATCTATAGAACTGTGATCCAATCACTGTCCTAGCAGGCCCTGGGGCAGCACACAGAATGCTCAAGTACAGTGGTTTTCAAACTTGACTGCACATCACAACTATCTGGGAAGCTTTAAAAAATTCCACTTCTCAGACCTTACCCCAGAACAATTTATCAAAAGTTATGGGGCAGAAGACAGACAAAGTAATTTAATTTTGTTTTAAAAATTTTATTAATTTTATTTATGTTAGTTTTTTCCTTCCAACTTTTATTTTAGGTTCAGGGGTACCTGTGTAGGTTTGTTACATGAGCAATTTGTGTGTTTCTGGGGCTAGTTGTATAAATTATTTCATCACCCAGGTAGTGAGCACAGTACTCAACAGGTAGTTTTTTGATCCTCACCCTCCTCCTGCTCTACACCATCAAGTAGGCCCTGGTGTCTATTGTTCCCTTCTGTATGTTCCCGTATACTCAATGTTTAGCTCTCATTTCTAAATTAGAACTTGCAGTATTTGGTTTTCTCTCCTTGAATTCGTTTGCTTAGGATAATGGCTTCCACCTGCATGCACGTTGCTGCAAAAGAACACAAGAATTAAAAAACTCCCCAAGTTATTGCAAAGTGAAGCTTTGTTTGGGAACCACTGTTGTTAAAGGCTATAGATACTGGAGTTTTAATGTGTCTATACATATGTATCAGAACTGACATATATATATGTATAGTAAGAGTTGGTTTATTTGAGAAGAAGCTTATTTGGGAAGAAGGAATTTAAAGAATGGAAAAAGGAGGCAGTTGAAATAAATTCTTTGTCTTAATTTTGGAAATAACAGAAGATATCTAGTGGTGGGAGATAATTAGGAAATAGAATCCTTCTAGTTTCTTATTTTCAATTTCATATTTATTTCCCAGATGTGTAATTTTAAAGATACTGTATACATGCATTTGAGCTACTTAAAATGTTAAATATATAGAAATTACTTAATACATTTTTCTGAAGCTAATAATGAATATCTGGACTGCTTAATGGATAATAAATTCTCCAATATATGTTGTATTCTGTAAGTATGTGGTGTTATCCCATTATCTAAATCAGATGGATAAATTCAATGTACACTTGTCTACCAAAGATGGGAGGTATTACACAATCTATTTTCAATTTATGGCAAAAGGATGTAGTAAATTACACAATTTTATGTATAAAATGAAGGCAGGTACTGAGAAATTTACTCATAGGAAATAAAATCTATTCATTTGAGAGGAAATTACCATATGCTAGAAGATGTTATGCTTTATTTTCTAATAGCCATAATTTGTTGAATCCTTACCATGTCCTAGACTATGTGCTAATCACTTTATGTAGATTAGCTCTCCTCATGCTCACAACAAACCCTTGCAATTTATGTTATTATTATCAGATCACTGATTAGATAATAAATTAGAGAGGAGTCACGTAAGTTGCTCAAATTCACTAAAATAGCTGGGAAAGGAATTGACCTTAAATTTGCCATATTTGAGAGCTTGAACTTTTCCCTTCATTACGCTGCTTTGTCTCTCAAATCCAATTATTTGAACCACTGAAGTAATTACTATATTTTTAATAGTAGCACTCATTGACGCTTGAATGCAACTCATCAGTAATACATGAAATCTATTTAGGGAGTAGCAAACAGAATTTAGAGGATGGATAGAGCAGAATAGAAGTAAATATCAGATTGCATTATATATTAATACTTTTCAGGATATATTATATGGTTATACATATGGGTGTACTGGGTTATTATGTAAAAATATATGTTTTCTGTCAGCTGCAGCCAATAAAATGTAAGAGTCTTTCATTATAAGGTAGTTTAGTGATTGTGTGTAGCATTCAAGTCAGGTGGCCTAAGCTGAAATGTCAACTCCCCTCCTATTAGCTGTGTTTTATATGACCAGCTATTTAATCCAATTATGTCTCAACACTGTCATTTACAAAATAAGATAGTAATATGTCTACTTCTTGATATTGTTCTGAGGATTAAATAAATAGGACATAGAAAATTGTGACCCACGTTATTAGTAAGTGTTAGCCTTTCAGTGGGAATGTCCTTCTTCCATCATGCAATTTTTAAAATATTCTGGGTATGATGAATCTCTAGTAAAGGGGTAAAACATATTCAAATTTAAAACGTGACTTAAAAGCTTTTGGTAGTGAATGGGGAATTAAGTTGGAATTGATCTTAAGCTACCTAGTTTTCTTTGCCTCTGTCTTTGTTGATGATAAGTTGACAATTAGAACTCTTGTCTCCTTTTTTAGTATGCTCATTATAGACAGTTTTGTTTTCTGTACCCTTCTATGACTCAGGAAATCCTTTAAGTTAATATCTAATACTTCCTGAATTGTTACCTTCTCTAGTAACATGCTCATTTTGTGAAAAAGATGAACAACTTCTCTTTTTGGTTGGTGTTGTAAATTGTTTTGATGCCCAGTATATTTTCAGCCAAGTGTTTTAAGTACAAGGTGTGATTTGTTGTTATAATGGATCATTGGATATGAAGGACTTAAGAATGAACATTATCAAAATTAAAATAATTTCTGCATGACTTATAGTCAACAAAGGATTAGTTTCCAAAGCAGGGGCAGCACATTTCTTTTCGAAATAAGAACTGTTATTCAAGAGAAATTTTAATTAACACCTGGCTTTAAAAGATCTTGACTAGATATTTTCTGGAACAATACTTAAAGCAACAATTGCCTTTTGTTAAGGAAATTCAAGTTGCTGGTGTAGTCTCACTGCTGTTGGTGAATAAAATTATTTATCATGACATCTTTCTGATCAAGAAACTGATTTCACAGCAAAAGAATGTGATTATGAGCTCATGCATATGAAGTTCATTCTTCTTACCACATACCCCATCACAGAGAATCATCTAATCTGATAAAACAGTGTAATGACCACTGAAGACTTTATGATACCAGTTGAGAGTATATACCCTGCAAGAATGAGGTTCTATTTTACAGGATGCAGTACATGCTTTCAATCAGTGAGCAACATATGCATCCAGCTTTCCCAGGGCCAGAATTCATGGGAACAGAAATTAAGGCTCTTCTTATTATTACAACTAATAGCCCACTCACAGAATCTTTGCTTTCTGTCTTTGTAACTTTGAGTTATGCTAGTTTGGAGGTCTTGGTTCATAAAGGAGGAATTAGGACATTTTGATCTCCTCATGTCACTGAACAAAAATAAATAAGAGTTACTCTACTGGTTAGCAGGATTGTTCCTGATTACCGAGGGGGAAATTGGGTTGCTGCTAACAAAGAGGAACACAGAGGACTGTCTGGAATTCAGGAGATTCTCTGGGACACCATTTAGTATGTTCATGTCCAAAAGTGAAAATTAAGGGGAAACTACTACAACCAAGAAAATGTATAACCACTGAGGATTGAGATACTTCAGGAATGAAGGTCTGAGTCAAGCATTTGGAAAGGAACCTTGGGCAGTGTTGAACTCTGTTGTTTTTCCAACACGTACAAAAGCAGCCTCATTAAATCCTCTCAGAGATTCCAGGACCAACCTTCCAGCATTCCTCCCTACTGGACTAGGTCTTAGACAAAAAGGACCATTCCTGTATACATAGAGAGACCAACACAAGTCTACTTTTTCATAGGTTTGCTTTTCATACTGTGGGACCTCATCTGCAAACTTCTAAATTTCAATAATTTCAAACTTTACCCTTCTTTCCTTAGCCCTAGGAGTCTTAGCTTCTTTCTGCAGTTGCTACCTCCATGAGGTAAATCCGGTGTTCTCGTTTTGCCTTTTCAGTTACCCCGTTAACAATTCTTGCTGCCTAATTAATGATACTTGATATTAAATTCTTTTAAAAATAATTGGCAGTATTGCTGCCTCCTGACAGCACCATAACTGATGCAGTGACTGATGGCTGCAACACCCACTAGGCTCCATTAGTAGCAATAGTCTTGGGCTCAGGATGATGTCCAAACTCACTAGACAAAAGATGCATCACATACCAAGTTTATTTAGCGTTTACTTAAAATGTATACAGAACAGGTAATAACATAGCACGCTTGACAATAGCTTGCTGGAGAATTGGTAAACTTTAGGCACAGCTTCCTATGTCCCAGCCATTCTGAACCTGGGATGTATATGGTCATGAGAAACAAGTTTGAGTGTGATTGGAAAACCTCAGTTCAGAGAAACTTTAATGATAGATTGATTGCACGGAAATCTGATGTATTTGATGAGTCATGACTGGCTGTGCTAGAGGCTCAGAGTAGAGGGATATTTCTATGGGAATACTGTGGCCAGTCTAAACTATAGCAATATGCCACTTGTAAATGTGATCTGTTACTCCCTCAAAGTCAGAGTACTGAAAACAAAAGCTAAAATTTTATAGTTGGCAATATTTCTCCTTCACCTCCTTAGGCAACACATGCTCCTTTGAGGCCAATTCCATTCAGTTCTACACTCTGACTTCTGCTCATGTGATCACCTCTTCTCATTTCATTTGTCAGTTATATTGCTATTTGCTTGAAGTCATGCTGGGTGACTTAAATTTTCTTTTCTTTTGTTTTATTTCAACTTTCATTTTGGGTTCATGGGGTACATATGCAAGTTTGTTACCTGGGTATATTGCATGATGCTGAGCGGGGAGTGAAAATGATCCCAGCATCCAGGTACTAAGCATAGTACCCAACAGGTAGATTTTCAGCCCTCACCTCCTCTCACTCCCTCTCCCCTCTAATAGTTCCCAATGTCTGTTGTTCCCATCTTTATGTCCATTGTACTCAAATTAACTCCCACTTATAAGTGAGAACATGCAATACTTGGTTTTCTGTTCCTGTATTAATTTGCTTACAATAATGGCCTGCAGATGCATCTATGTTGCACAAAGGACATGATTTTGTCCTTTCTTATGGCTGTGCAGTATTCTATATGTTTATATGTAGCACATTTTCCTTATCCAATCCACTGGTGATGCACATTTAGGTTGATTCCATGTCTTTGCTATTGTGAATTGTGCTACAATGAACATACAGGTGCATGTCTTTCTGGTAGAATGATTTATTTTCCTGTGGGTATATACATAGTCATGATAGTTCTGTTATTAGCTCTTTGAGGAATCACCACACTGCTTTTCACAATTGTTGAAATAATTTACACTCCCACCAACAGTGTATAAGTGTTTCCATTTCTCTGCAACCTTGCCAGCATCTGTTATTTTTTGACTTTTTAATAATAGCCGTTCTTACTGGTGTGAGATAGTGTCTCATTGTGGTTTTGATTTGCATTTCTCTGATGATGAGTGATGTGGAACATTTTTTCATATGTTTTTTGGTCACTTGTGTGTCTTCTTTTGAGAAGTGTCTGCTCATGTCTTTTGCCTATTTTTTTAATGGGGTTATTTGTTTTTTTTGCTCAATTGTTTAAGCTCCTCATAGATTTTGGATATTAAATCTTTATCAGATGCATAGTTTGAGAATATTTTCTCCCATTCTACAGGTTGTTCGTTTACTTTGTTGTTAGTTTCTGTTGCTGTGCAGAGGCTTTTTAGAAGTTTCTGTTGCTGTGCAGAGGCTTTTTAGATTAATTAGGTCCCACTTGTCAACTTTTGTTTTTGTTGCAATTGCTTTTAAGGACTTAGTCATAAATTCTTTGCCAAGGCAAATGTCCAGAATGATATTTCCTAAACTTTTTTCTAGGATTCTTACAGTTTTAGTATTTATTCTTAAATTTAAGTCTTTAATCCATCTTGAGTTAATTTTTGTATGTGGTAAAACATAGCGGTCCAGTTTCATTCTTCTTCACGTGGCTAGCCAGTTACGCCAGCATCATTTATTGATGAGGGACTCCCTTCCTTGTTGCTTGCTTTTGTTGACTTTGTGAAAGATCAGATGGTTGTAGATGTGTGGCTTTATTTCTGGGTTCTCCATTCTGTTCTATTGGTCTATGTGTCTGTTTCCACTGGATGTCCCATCCAATCCCTAGCTTCTCTCATCTTGCATCTAATCTCCTGTGACTTTTCTCTATTTCAGCTACTCACTGCTGCAGTCACACATTGGATTGCAGTTACACTAACATTTCTTATTTCTAAATCGCTCATTCACACATCTCACTCCAGAATGACAACTGCCTCTCCTTCAAGTTTACAAGTTTAACTATTCCCACTGGAAACACCAGTTAATTGACCTCATGACTTTCTCCCGATCCATCAGCTCTCTTTAACCTTTCTCTCTTTATTCAGCATAGGGTCAATGGTAGATCACTAAAGTGACATTCTTTCTCATCCCTAAATAAGTGTTTAAAATTTTTATTATTATGAATAACAGTTAAGAAATACATTGAACAACATGTCCCAGTATGCATAAAGGTGAATGTATTTGTCAGAATAAGGGGTATGAAGTACAGTGCACTCTGTTGTTCCATTCCATTCTATTAATCTCATTCCATCTAATCCTATGTTATTTAATTTCATTCAGTTATATTTCATCAAAACTATTTCATATCTGGGGTGGAGAATAAATTCCCTGCTGTGGCTTCATTTGGCCATATTGGTTCCAATCCATTTCAGCTAGCTCTTTGATCTCATAAGCAGAGGGAGTGTTTCAGCAATTTGTTTCTTTTCTTATCTGCCATCCTGCAAACTTAAGAATTTCTGTTAGTTACTGTTTCTTTAACTCTTCAGGGCACTGTGTTAGGGTTCTCTAGAGGGACAGAACTAAAGGAATATATATATGTATGTGTATATATATATGTATGTGTATATATATATGTATGTGTATATATATATGTGTGTGTGTGTGTGTGTGTCTATATATATATATATATATGGAAGTTTATTAAGTATTAACTCACAGGATCACAAGGTCCCATAATAGGTCATCTGCAGGCTGAGGAGCAAGGACAGCCAGTCTGAATTCCAAACTGAAGAACTTGGAGTCTACTTTTCAAGGGCAGGAAGCATCCAGTACAGGAGAAAGATGTAGGCTGGTAGGCTAGGCCAGTCTCTCTTTCTACATTTTATCTGCCTGCTTATATTCTAGCCACGCTGGCAGCTGATTAGATTGTGCCCACCCGGATTAAGGGTGGGTCTGCCTTTCCCACCCTACTGACTCAAATGTTAATCTCCTTTGGTGACATCCTCACAGACACACCCAGGATCAATACTTTGTATCCTTCAATCCAATCAAGTTGACAATATTAACCATCACAGGCACAGTTTCAGAAGTAACTCTTATTTGTTTCTTTTTTCCTTTCATTGGCTGAAATTCAGCACATGGCCATGCATAATTGCAAGGAAGGCTAAGAAATGTAGTCTACCTGTAGGTCCAGAAAAAATAGAGAAATGGATATTCCTTTGAAATTATGAGATTTGTGCTATAATCACCATTTCTATGATAGTTAAACTATTTTCTCACTTTAGGAATACTCTAAGAGATTTGATATTTCTTCAAAGTGATTCTAGAATAAATATTTTCTTAAGGGTTCAAATGATCTATGTTCACTCATTTAGGTGACATAACTGGGGGAAAAATGTTGGCTTTGATGACAACAGTGGAGACTTCATATTGGTGCTCAATTCTTTATTTTTGCCTCATTGGTATAAATGTTATGTCTGCATGGGTTTTTTCTACAATTTCTTTCTAAGATTATTTCTCCCCAAAGCTCAGCACTTTTGGAATTTTTCATTCTCATCCAAAAATGGAAGCAATTTTATGTAAATGTCTCTTGGAAGCAGTGTTGGAATTCATATTTTGGGTAGTAGAAGCAGTAGTTACAAGGGTAGTGGTGTCTTTTGTGGTGGTGGTGGCACCTGCTGCAGTTGTTCATATTTGGGGTGCAGGAGTAGGGAGGGTAGGATCAGTTGGAGAATTTACAGGGAAAAATGGAGGTCCAGGTGGATAGGGTCTTGGTCGGGAAGGAGGCTGTGGATAACCTGGGGCATCAGGATGGAGTGGTGGACCTTAGGGTTGAGGAGGGGGTGGTGGAAATATCCCTGGACCATAGGGTGCGGGAGGAGGAGGTGGGATTCTCCCTGGACCATAGGGTGGAGGAGGAGGTGGTGGAACAAATCCTGGGCCAAAAGGTTGAGGAGGAGCCAGCGGTCCAGGTGGATATGGTCCCCTGGGGCCTCTTTGACTCTCACCAGGCTGTGGAAATAAGAAGTAAATAATTTCAAATCAGATATTTCACAGTTAAATATAAGGGTGAATGCTTTCTGTGGTAAGCAGAACTCTGAGATGGCCCCAAGATTTCTACTCCCTGCTGGCACATGCTGGCCTGACCTTATCAGGTGAGCCCTTTTAAAAAAGGTTCTACAATGTCAGAGACAGAAGAAATCAGAGAGATTTGAAGCTGCAGTAAATGTTTTTCTCTGGGCTTTGAATCAAGATGCCATGTTGTGGGGAGGGCCATGTGGAGGTACATGGTAGACTGGCTATAGCAGCCGAGAGTGGCCCCTGGCTCGTAAGCAGCAGGGAAGTAGGGGCTTCAGTCCAATAACCAAGGGACTGAATCCTGCCAACAACCATACAAGCTTAAAAAAGGACACTGAGCTGCAGAAAAAGAAATACAGCAGTGGGCACACCTTTTCAGCCTTGTGAGACTGAGCAGAGAAGCCAACTAAGCCAAGTTTAGAGTTGTGGCCAAAGAAACTGAGATAATAATGAGTTTTTAATGCTACTAATTGGTGGTAGTTTGTTATGCAGCAATAGAAAACCATTACATTGTATCTAAGTCACATAGTCTGAAAGTCTATTATCAAAGAAAAAAAGTTTCTCTTTTGCTTTCTGAATACGTAGGCTCTCAATGAAAGCAGGGATAGTATTGACTAAAAAAATATATATAATGAGCAAAAATCTTATCCTTTGCCTATAGTCGAATCTGTCATTTAAGTCAATTGTAAGTGGAAATAAATGCCCTTCCAGGATGAGAAAAATGTCTTATTATGTCTAATTCAAGAGTTCAGGGCTGTTCAGACTTTGAACACTAATAAATTGTGAGAGACGTCATGAGCACCTACTTTGTGCAATGAGCTAATGTAGGAGCTGTGGTGGGGATCCAGGGTTACAAACAGATCTTCTATGAATCTACAGGCCAAGGAGTTACAATACAAGGCAGGATAAATATGATCTAAAGGGAAATGAAATGAGTGGAATGAGTCTCTGGGATTTCATGTGAGGGTTTGAGTTCTGCTTCTGGCACGTAGAGGTTGGGTGAGTGTGGAATCCTGTTTGAGTCTCTTTTTTCTCATCAGAAAAATGACGTTAATAAAAGGACCCACCTCCTGTTGTTATTGTCAGATTTTTGTTGTGAAATATTACCTGTAAAATGCTTAGAGTGATGATTGGCTCAAGTATGGTTTACATAGAGCACAATTTTTAGAAATAAAAATAGCTGAGGCTGGGCATGGTGGCTCATGCCTGTAATCCCAGCACTTTGGGAGGCTGAGGCAGGTGGATTGCTTGAGGCCAGCAGTTCAAGGCCAACTTGGACAATGTAGCAAAATTCTGTCTCTATTTTAAAAAATAAAAAAAAAATAGCTGAAAAGTAGTGCAAGGAACAAATACATTAAGGAGTTAAAGCGATCAGTTCTGGATAGGAAAATGATGAAGGATTGTTCTAGTGAGAAGAAGTCATTTGAAAAGAGGCTTAAAGAATATAAAATAAGGAGAGAACATGCCAAACAGAATGAAAATACACAAATGCTCTGGGGTAAGAATGAAGTTCCACTCTACTGATGACAAGAAGTCCAGGTTGCTTGGAGCAGATGGTTTACACAGGACACAAAACTACATTCACTTCTTGTGGTTCTCAGTCCCTTCACCTATTTGTCTGGTATTACCCTTGTTAAATCTAAACTTTAGTATTACGGCAAAGCATCTCTGTCCTGGATTCCTAATTCCAGGTTCTTAACAATGGTAGAGGATGTCACAAGCACTGTACCATCAGAAAGTTAGCGTCCTTCAGTGCTGCCTGAAATCCTTTTTTGAGTGTCTTATCTTAGATTATCTCTTCCCACTTCCCCAGAGGCCTGTAATTTTCCAAGTTGATGCCAGTTTTATCAACATTCTCCACCTCATCCTGAGCTATCATTTACCCCCACCAAACTGGCTTTTCTCCTGCTTCACCAAGATATTTCAGGCAATTAGAAATGAACTTCCCTGATTTACTGGCCACACAACCATGGAGTCATTGATAGCTAGGAATTTTCTGTTTCTTTACAAGTGTCTTCTCAGGGACTTGGCTCTGTCAGTCTTCCCTTTACTTCCTGTAACTATAATATTGGAATTTGTTTTCTGAGGAAAATGAGCCAGTTAAATGGCAGGAATTATAAACTGGATCATTTTCTTCAGAAAACAACTATCATTTATGTTCCACTCACCCTTCTCCCCCACAATCCTATTGGCTTTGCATCTCCCTTCCTGAATTCTAAGTCTAACCACTTCTTATCATATCTCTTACTTCCACTTTAACCTAAGTCATTTGTTTTTACCCAAATTACTGTAATGACACCTTGATTTGACTGCTTGATTCTACTCTTACACTTTCACCTAAAATATACAGAAAGTTTAAATAGATCATTTGCAAAAGAAGTATCAAGTTATATTATTTCCCTGCTTATAAAAGGTTCAGTTTCAACCACCGGTACCCTTGTTGTTGATTTTCTTGTCACCTCTTTCCTTCAAAGCGAAACTTTGAAACTTTGAAAGGGTATTCTAGATTTGCCAACTCCACTTCTCATTTCCCATTTGCTCTTCAACCTGGCTTCTGCCTTTAACATGCCAGTAAAAGTTTTATTAGGATCACTAATACAACAAATGAAAAATACCAAGGCACTTCTGTAGAACTGGCCTCATGTTTGTCTTCTCTAGCTAATGACATTCTGTGGTATTATGGAGGGCATTTGACCCAAGTGCTGCCAAGCCAAAGACTAGTCAGGATGTATGGAAGTTCAGGACTTGATTTTTAATTGTCAAGAAAACAAATCCTTAGTGTGGGAAAATACTCCATTCACTTTTATTGTTGAAACAATTAAAAAATTAGCTGAAAGTGCCCTCGCCTCCTAAAGATATCCTGATGTTGATCTTAATATTAAGTAATGAAAAATCTTCATAGTAAGTATACCCAATCACATTGATTAGCTCCCTTTCCGCAACTGGCTAAAGGTAACGAACTCAGAAAAATGATGAAAATACTATTTTAAGAAGAAACACTACGCTCTCGAAGGACTATAATTGGCACTAATCTCCTACATTACTTTATTTAGGAACAGTCCATCTAAGACACGGATACTTTGAACCTAAATTTATTTGTATTTTAATGGGACTAATAGTAGTTAGACTTGCTTTATTTGTGTGTGTGTGTGTGTACATATACACACACACGTAAAGGACATGCTACCCTTCATATTTCCAACATTCAATAATTATTAATCATCATGAATCTCATATAATTAAGTTGGGGAAAGGTTGATTTCCATTTAAACTGCTTATGTTATCAGAAAACTATCTTTTTCTTTTTTCTTTTTTTTTTTTTTTGAGATAGAGTCTCACTCTGTCACCCAGGCTGGAGTGCAGTGGCACAATCTTGGCTCGCTGCAATGTCCACCTCCCGGGTTCAAGCGATTCTCCTGCCTCAGCCTCTGGAGTAGCTGGAATTACAGGTGCATGCCATCATGCCTAGCTAATTTTTGTAATTTTGGTAGAGACAGCGTTTCACCATGTTGGCCAAGCTGGCCTTGAACCCCTAACCTCAAGTTACCACCTGCCTCAGCCTCCCAAAGTTCTGGGATTGCAGGCGTGAGCCACCGTGCCTGGCCCAGAAAGTTATCTTTTTCAAATTAATCTTATAAAAAAAAATTTATATAATAAAAGCCTGATACTTTGAAATTATAAATGTTTTTCTTTTGTATTCTGAGGGAATAAAAATATTGAAAATAAGCTTTATAATCAAGCCATTAAGATATTACCTTTAAAATATATCAATATATTTTATTGGTTTATTAAAAATTATGTCAACATATAATGCTCTCAGTAATTTAGCCAAGGTCAGACTACCTCAGTAACCTTAGAATTTCCTGATTTTGTTCCTTTTTGAAAGTAGATGAGGCCGGGCACGGTGGCTCACGCCTGTAATCCCAGCACTTTGGGAGGCCGAGGCTGGCGGATCACGAGGTCAGGAGATCGAGACCATCCTGGCTAACACGGTGAAACCCCGTCTCTACTAAAAATACAAAAAAATTAGCCGGCCGTGGTGGCGGGCGCCTGTAGTCCCAGCTACACCGGAGGCTGAGGCAGGAGAATGGCGCGAACCCGGGAGGCGGAGCTTGCAGTGAGCCGAGATCGCGCCACTGTACTCCAGCCTGGGCGACAGAGCGAGAGTCTGTTTCAAAAAAAAAAAAAAAAAAAAAAACAAAGTAGATGAAAAAGGAATTATTTTATGTTTCATGTTTCAGAATGATGTAAATTTATGTTGCTTGATTTGTGGAAGTCATAATCTAAAAAAAACAGCTTTCATATTTTTCAATTTGATATAGATTTTATAGTACTTTGGTGGAAATTACTCTGGAATTAATATTCTCTTTCTGTCACTGGAATTAATCTAACACTACTTTGAAATCGAGTATGATTCTACTACTTTGAAATACGTGTGTTTTAAAAACATTTTTGTAATTTTGTATGATATTTAGTATCTCATTTGTCTTTAACCTGGTTTTGTATACAAAGTAGCTGTTTATATATAAATGCTTAGCATTCTCCCAAAATTTAGCATGCAAAGATACTTGTAGATCCTTAGTAAAATGCATCTTTCCAGGTCCCATTATCTGATACTCTTATTGAAGCTTGGATGAGGTCTTTACTATATTTTTAATAAGTGAGTTAGGTGACTCTGGTGTAAATGATCCATAAACTACATGCTGGGAAAACGGTTTTATTTTGATTATCTATTTTTATAGAGTTTTACCTACTGTGTAACTGACTAGAGTATGGGAACTTAACATTTATACGTATCTGTTTAATGCAGTCTGATACCACAGACTTGAGCTGTCCAGTATGGCAGCCATCAGACATGTGTGGTTATTTAAATTAGATTTTAAATTTAAATTTAAGCCCTAAACAGTGTTTCATTGATGATTAATAGTTACTAATATATAAGAAAAGGTAACATCATTAATGTAAAAAGAAATCTGAAGTAATGGTTAATGAGAAACTATAAAGAAGTGTGATCGTGATTAATGATACTTACTGTGAAACACGCTGCAAGAGCCCAAAGGCCCAAGATCCAAGTCAGTGATTTCATCCTTTCAGTTGCCTCTGAAAGTAAGCACAATAGGTGATCAGTATGATTGTTTTTTATTAAAAAGTACTATTTAAAATGTCTCAACACTTGGATATAATGTAATACAAATATCCTACTATAGCATTTTTAGGGAATTTGCCTAATGTTATTTTGAATTCAGTATTACTGTGGGGCAATATTAGTAGGCTTATAAAATTTGACTTCAAAATAGTGGAAGTAGTTTTTATTTTTGACTTGTAAACTGATCCTGGGGATAATGCCAAAGAGTTGTTCATACATTGCTCTGAGCAATAGAAGCTTTTATGACTAAGGTTTTTCCCTTAGAAGTAACTACTTTAAAATGTATACTTATTTTCATTTGAACATTTTGATATTTTAAAAATAGTAGATACATTATAGATTTCTATGGATGGGTTTGAGATATTAACATTTTAACTAGATCTTATGTTACAAATTTTATTGCTTGGAAGAGCTTAAAAATAAGGAAAAAAAAAAGGAATCACCCTGTTGGATATAGTCTAAAAGAAGAGTCACATAATATATTTCCTAGTTTTAACAACATTCTATTACATTAATTTAGGCTGTGATGAGTGGTCTCAAAGTGCTTCCAAAAATCCATATATCAGAGACCAAGGCAAGAACATGGAGATGTCCAGGTATTCTACTCTCAATTGGGTCAAATTTTACAATATATTTCAAGTACATGATAGCTTGATTTTTGGGAAAGCAACTCCATACACCATGGTGCAAATTGGCTTCCTGTTAGTCAACTCTGCACATAGGTTGAGTGTGTGGTCTGAGCAATGCAAGTCTTGAAAGAATCCTATGGACAAAATTTCACTGGATATTCAATTATATATATGTGGGTGTGGCTATTCCTTTAACTAGTACTTTTCCTATATCCATTCTTAAATTAAGTTTGAAAAACAAAAGAAAAACCAATAATAAAAATATTCTGTAGAGCAATTCTGTCTTTTAGAGTACACCTGAGACTATTCTATCCTTATGAAGTTTCAAGAACTTTAAGGTACATCAGGAGGAAAAGTCAATTGTGTACTTGGATGGACCGATTGGCCCAAATGCCCAACATGAATGTTTTACTCTGACCTGTAAAAACCAGAATTTTTCAAAATTTATTGCATTTAATGACTTACAATTTCATGTAAGCTACTTATGTTTTTGCTGATAATGAATGTTCTATGAAAAGCCCATAAAATGTTATCGTTGAAAATGTTATCTTTGAGAAAAATTTCAATATTCAAAGTAAAAATATTCAGTTTATATTTCCAAGTACCTACCTTTGTGTGAGGATCTGTCTTACAGTTGATTAATCTGCTGGTCAAAATGACTCTTGCCAGTTGAAAGACGGCAAATAAAGGTGAAAAGGGACAAGAAATCTTAGCTCTTATATATTGTAATGGATTTCTGTTGGCAATAAGAGAAAGGCTATTCGGAAATAAAATAACTTCCGAGTTGATGCTCTTCAAAGATAGGAAAGTTGTTCTTGCCAATTTGGCAGTCTTTTTCTGGATTTTTTTTCATTCCTGAAAAGCATTGACCTGTTCAACATTTGCTGTTTCCTGAGGAAACAGATACAACAAATCATAATATCCTATCACCTCAGAAAAACAATCTGGGGCCTGTGGTGCACCATTTCCTCTTTATTTCAAAGGAAAAGCTGGCACGAGTTTTTTCTGTTCCAAGTGATTTAATGGGCCATCTTTTGTTATTTGCTAGTCTCATCATATTTTCTATTTTATTTCAAAGGCCTCCATATGTGCGAAATACAAATATTTTTAAACTGAATTCTAACATGATCAGGAGAACCTAGGGGAACAAAAATGATAATTAAAATTAAAAGTGCCTAATTAAATAAATATTGCTAAATACCACACACACACACATGCACGCAGGTACGATGCATGGCCAGTAATGTAAAGAATATCTAAAATTTCACTTGACTGTTTTGATCACTTTGCTATATGTTGTGGGTTTCATGTTTCTATTTTTTGGTTGAAATAATGAAATTGTATTATTGTTTTGTGCTTGAAAGTTTGTATATATCTTATCCTATGTATGGTTTTTCACAGTTGTCTTCATTGAGTAGATGTTTCTGAAGGATGATGAAAATGAGTGCTGCTATTAAGATTTGGATCTAAGTTTCAAAAAAGCAGGAAAGAAAAATCTAGTGGTGGAAGAGGGATAATAGTCAGAAGGTTCATGCAGTTTCTCAGTCTTAACTATATTTCATTTCTTTGTGATTATCTTAAGTTAGTAGACTATTTACAAGACCTTATATATGCATTTTTTAGGAAGTTCCTTTTGCCAGTGAAGAACTAAATGAGAACAACTGTGTTTTAAAAATCATGTGGTCCTTGCCATTATTAACTTGAGACATTTAATTAAATAAAAATATAATGACAAGCAAAATTTTTGATTATGGCAAAATTATACGGATATCTTGACTTTGAAGTGGATGTCTAATGGAAAATTACAGCCTTGTTTTTTTGATAAATCTAGGCTTTGAGCATAATTTTTCCTAAGCTAGATGATCCTATAATCTGTAGTTTTGACACATTATTATTTAATAATAACAGCTATTACTTATTAAACCTTTAGCATATTCCACGTGGCAGGATAAAATGAGTTCTATTGTTATCTCTGTTGTACACATAGATGACATAGATGCTAACTAGCTAAGTGGGGCTTGACCTAAGTCTTCCCACTGAGTGAAGACCTAAGTCTCCCTACAGGGGCCTGAGTGAGTTTTTAACCAGCATTCCATGTTGCTCCCCAAATCTTAATAATCACCATACACTTAACTAACTTTATGTTACAGTACACTGTAGAGATGAATCAAGTGAACTTAATAGTCAGGTAATTCTACTTCAAAGCCAAATACCAACAATTCTTTGCTGGGTTATATGAGACAAGCTATTTTATCTCATTGTGTTTCAATTTCTTCATTTGAAAAATGTGTATATTTATAATTTTTAGGTCATGAAGTTTACAACCAACCTTCCTTTCTCCCCTCCCCTCCCCTCCCTCCCCTCCCTCCCCTCTCTCCTTCCCTCCTTCCCTCCTGCCCTCCTTCCTTCCTTCCCTCCCTCCCTCCTACATTTATTGAATATCTGCTGGGTACAAGACATAGTGCAAGTTGCTGAATTTACAGCATATCTAAGTGCTTAGTGTTTTAAAAATCCTTTGTGAGGTGGGATAGCAATAAAGAAGCTGCACTTCCAGAGTTGATGTTAGTTTTGAATGACTCTTCTTAATTTCATTTACTTTGTTGGAGTTTCACTGCCTTTAAAAAATTCTGATGACTTAATTAAGTGTAATACAATATACTCCTGGTTTGCTAATCTTAGCCCTTAATATGTTGCTGAATGATTACATGCCCCAACATCAGTGAAGATGGTTCTATTCCTAATTAACATAGAAATTTCCACTTCTTTCTTTGATGATAATTCAGTTTGTCAAAAGCTGAATATCTCTTCTTTCTTGTTTTGATGCCAACATATTCACCAGCCAAATGTCTGAAGTCAAAGTGGGATCTACATTGTAATGGATCATTGGCTCTGAGGGATTTAGGATGAACGCTGGCAAAACCGAAAGACAATTTCTGAGTGGTTTGTGACCAGAAAGAATCTGAGGAACACAAATAAATGGAAGCACACATCTGTTAAGAAACAGGAACAGTCACTCAAATTAATCTTTAATTAACTTATGGCTTTAGAAGATCCTGACTCAATACTTACTAGAACAATATATAAAAGAGCTAATGTCTCTGGCCACAGGAAATTAAAAAAGTGACAGTAGAGAAAAATTATTGTTAGTGCAGAGATTTACGTGACAGATGGAAAATATTTTCTTAATAGAGGTAGATTAGCAGAATTAAATTCAGTCATGCAGCAACATATTTGAAGTCTGATTTCCTGTTGTATTATACTCATTTCCACTGAAATATAGCAATCATCATAGTTTCTTTGGACCTATGAAAAGTATGTGCTTCTTCTTGATTATCCAGAAGGAAGTGATATTGTTTCTGGGATAATGCCACCTGAAATACTTATCATGCTTTAGAACTTACAGATTACCTTGAAAATTTCTGTGGAAATATTGTTGTGTAGGATATCAATAATGCCATTGAGCTCTGAGAGAAAATATGTTCTCTTGGATTGAAGTCTAGCATGATGAAATGTAATTAACAATAGAACTTGTAGACTGAAGAAAAGTTAATATCTCTAACTTGTGCAGCATGGATGCTTCAAGAAACCCACATCACATAGGTCTGTAAACTTTCTGGAAGTTGACAACAAATTTGCCCTGAGATTCCAAGTAGCCAAAGTTGAAAAAGAAAGAAATCAGGTAAAACATTTACGATGTCCATAAAATATAATCATGGTAATTTCTTGAGAAAAGTAGCTTTGCTTTCCACTGAGAGTCATGGGAAAATTTCCCAATAGTTTTAAGCAGAAGGTCTATTTTTCTATAGTAAATGCCAAATTGGTCTTTGTAGTATAACCGGGATGTCCCCAGACTGTGAATGTAAACAAAGATACAATTGCCCTTTAATCAGAATTTTGCTAGATTGATAACCTCAACCATGTAACCACATAAATTCAGTTCCCCTTTCAAAATCTTTTTGGGGAATATTCCTGGATTCATCTTAATTCTAAAAATATATTTTCTTTGCTGTAATATTATTTTTACCAAAACAAATCTAGTCATACACATGTTTTCTCTGTAAATGACATCAAGTACTTTAAAAATTTTAAACCATTAGTGTAATACATTTATTGTATAGTAAATCATGCTATATTTATTTTCTCATTGAATATTCAAGATAACTGCAAGACATAGGAAGATGTTAATGTCTTATTTATTTATTTATTTATTTTTGAGAAGAAGTCTCATTCTGTCACCCAAGCTGGAGTGCAGTGGCATGATCTCGGCTCACTCCAACATCTGCCTCCAAGGTTCAAGCTATTCTCCTGCCTCAGCCTCCTGAGCTGCTGGGATTACAGTCACGAGCCACCATGCCTGGCCTATTTTTGTATTTTTTTTTTTTAGTAGAGACCGGGTTTCACCATGTTGGCCAGGCTCGAACTCCTGACCTTCAGTTATCCACCCACCTCAGCTTCCCAAAGTGCTGGGATTACAGGCATGAGCCACTGTGCCTGGCCAATGTCTTAGTGTTTTAAATGAAGAAAGAACATCAGAGAGGGGCAGAATTAATACTAAGATCATGTTGGGCTTGTATAATAAAGTTATTACTAAAATTTATATATAGTCTATTGGTAAGAATTTGTTACTTAAAAATGATGAGGGACTCTAAAAATGAAATCTATTGAAAATAATGAAGGATTAAAAATGTTTAAAAAATGAAAGATACACATATTCTAACCTAAAAGTTAGTACAAATGCCTTAAATTACAGCTTTATATTTTGGAGTAAAACAGTGTATTGTTCCCTGAAATGGAAATGAAAAGACCTCAGTTCCAGAATTGACTTTGGTAAAACGAATGACTTATTTTACAATGAACTGTGATTTCAGGTGTTTTAAACTTTTGATATTTGACAAACATTCCAAAATCAAATTATAAATTATGTCTTTTTCTGACCTAATTAATCTTTTACGATATCAGATTCCCTAAAGTCCAAAAATGACATAATTTGGTTTATTTGGTATAAAAATTATACAAGAAATGTCACGCGCTTCCGTGTGAAGAGAGTCCAACAAACAGGCTTTGTGTGAGCAACAGGGCTGTTTATTTCACCTGGGTGCAGGCGGGCTGAGTCCGAAAAGAGAGTCAGCAAAGGGTGGTGGGATTGTCATTAGCTCTTTTTTTTTTTTAAATTGTTATTATACTTTAAGTTTTAGGGTACATGTGCATAACATGCAGGTTTGTTACATATGTATACATGTGCCATGTTGGTGTGCTGTACCCATTAACTTGTCATTTAGCATTAGGTATACCTCCTAATACTATCCCTCCCCCCTTCCCCCACCCCACAACAGTCCCCGGTGTGTGATGTTCCCCTTCCTGTGTCTATGTGTTCTCATTGTTCAATTCCCACCTGTGAGTGAGAACATGAAGTGTTTGGTTTTTTGTCCTTGTGATAGTTTGCTGAGAATGATGGTTTCCAGCTTCATCCATGTCCCTACAAAGGACATGAACTCATCATTTTTTATGACTGCATAGTGTTCCATGGTGTATATGTGCCACATTTTCTTAATCCAGTCTATCATTGTTGGACATTTGGGTTGGCTCCAAGTCTTTGCTATTGTGAATAGTGCTGCAATAAACATACGTGTGCATATGTCTTTATAGCAGCATGATTTATAATCCTTTGGGTATATACCCAGTAATGGGCTGGCTGGGTCAAATGGTATTTCTAGTTCTAGATCCCTGAGGAATTGCCACACTGACTTCCACAATGGTTGAACTAGTTTACAGTCCCACCAACAGTGTAAAAGTGTTCCTATTTCTCCACATCCTCTCCAGCACCTGTTGTTTCCTGACTTTGTAATGATTGCCATTCTAACTGGTGTGACATGGTATCTCATTGTGGTTTTGATTTGCCTTTCTCTGATGGCCAGTGATGATGAGCATTTTTTCATGTGTTTTTTGGCTGCATAAATGTCTTCTTTTGAGAAGTGTCTGTTCATATCCTTCGCCAACTTTTTGATGGGGTTGTTTGTTTTTTTCTTGTAAATTTGTTTGAGTTCATTGTAGATTCTGGATATTAGCCCTTTGTCAGATGAGTAGATTGCAAAAATTTTCTCCCATTCTGTAGGTTGCCTGTTCACTCTGATGGTAGTTTCTTTTGCTGTGCAGAAGCTCTTGAGTTTAATTAGATCCCATTTGTCAATTTTGTCTTTTGTTGCCATTGCTTTTGGTGTTTTAGACATGAAGTCCTTGCCCATGCCTATGTCCTGAATGATATTGCCTAGGTTTTCTTCTAGGTATTTTATGGTTTTAGGTCTAATATGTAAGTCTTTAATCCATCTTGAATTAATTTTTGTATAAAGTGTAAGGAAGGGATCCAGTTTCAGCTTTCTACATATGGCTAGCCAGTTTCCCCAGCACCATTTATTAAATAGAGAATCCTTTCCCCATTGCTTGTTTTTGTCAGGTTTGTCAAAGATCAGATGGTTGTAGATATGTGGCAATATTTCTGAGGGCTCTGTTCTGTTCCATTGGTCTATATCTCTGTTTTGGTACCAGTACCATGCTGTTTTGGTTACTGTAGCCTTGTAGTATAGTTTGAAGTCAGGTAGCGTGATGCCTCCAGCTTTGTTCTTTTGGCTTAGGATTGACTTGGCAATGCGGGCTCTTTTTTGGTTCCATATGAACCTTAAAGTAGTTTTTTCCAATTCTGTGAAGACAGTCATTGGTAGCTTGATGGGGATGGCATTGAATCTATAAATGACCTTGGGCAGTATGGTCATTTTCACGATATTGATTCTTTCTACCTATGAGCATGGAATGTTATTCCATTTGTTTGTATCCTCTTTTATTTCATTGAGCAGTGGTTTGTAGTTCTCCTTGAAGAGGCCTTCACATCCCTTGTAAGTTGGATTCTAGGTATTTTATTCTCTTTGAAGCAATTGTGAATGGGAGTTCACTCATGATTTGGCTCTCTGTTTGTCTGTTATTTGTGTATAAGAATGCTTGTGATTTTTGTACATTGATTTTGTATCCTGAGACTTTGCTGAAGTTGCTTATCAGCTTAAGGAGATTTTGGGCTGAGATGATGAGTTTTTCTAGATATACAATCATATCATCTGCAAACAGGGACAATTTGACTTTCTCTTTTCCTAATTGAATACCCTTTATTTCCTTCTCCTGCCTGATTGTCCTGGCCAGAACTTCCAACACTATGTTGAATAGGAGTGGTGAGTGAGGGCATCCCTGTCTTGTGCCAGTTTTCAAAGGGAATGCTTCCAGTTTTTGTCCATTCAGTATGATATTGGCTGTGGGTTTGTCATAGATAGCTCTTATTATTTTGAGATACGTCCCATCAATACCAAATTTATTGAGAGTTTTTAGCATGACAGGCTGTTGAATTTTGTCAAAGGCCTTTTCTGCATCTGTTGAGATAATCATGTGGTTTTTGTCTTTGGTTCTGTTTATATGCCAGATTACGTTTATTGATTTTCATATGTTGAACCAGCCATGCATCCCAGCGATGAAGCCCACTTGATCATGGTGGATATGCTTTTTGATGTGCTGCTGGATTCGGTTTGCCAGTATTTTATTGAGGATTTTTGCATCAATGTTCATCAAGGATATTGGTCTAAAATTGTCTTTTTTTGTTGTATATCTGCCAGGCTTTGGTATCAGGATGATGCTGGCCTCATAAAATGAGTTAGGGAGGATTCCCTCTTTTTCTATTGATTGGAATAGTTTCAGAAGGAATGGTGCCAGCTCCTCCTTGTACCTCTGGTAGAGTTCGGCTGTGAATCCATCTGGTCCTGGACTTTTTTGGGTTGGTAATCTATTAATTATTGCCTCAATTTCAGAGCCTGTTATTGGTCTATTCAGAGATTCAACTTCTTCCTGGTTTAGTCTTGGGAGTGTGTATGTGTCGAGGAATTTGTCCATTTCTTCTAGATTTTCTAGTTTATTTGTTTAGAGGTGTTTATAATATTCTCTGATGGTAGTTTGTATTTCTGTGGGATCGGTGGTGATATCCTGTTTATCATCTTTTATTGTGTCTATTTGATTCTTCTCTCTTTTCTTCTTTATTAGTCTTGCTAGCGGTCTATCAATTTTGTTGATCTTTCAAAAAACCAGCTCCTGGATTCATTGATTTTTTGAAGGGTTTTTTGTGTCTCTATTTCCTTCAGTTCTGCTCTGATCTTAGTTATTTCTTGCTTTCTGCTAGGTTTTGAATGTGTTTGCTCTTGCTTCTCTAGTTCTTTTAATTGTGATGTTAGGGTGTCAATTTTAGATCTTTCCTGCTTTCTCTTGTGGGCATTTAGTGCTATAAATTTCCCTCTACACACTGCTTTGAATGTGTCCCAGAGATTCTTGTATGTTGTGTCTTTGTTCTCATTGGTTTCAAAGAACATCTTTAAATAAATGTGATATACCACATAAACAGAATTAAAAACAAAAATCACATGATCATATCAGTAGATGCAGAAAAAGCATTCAACAAAATACAGCATCCCTTTATGATTAAAACTCTCAGCAAAATCGGCATACACAGGACATAGCTCAATGTAATAAAAGCCATCTGTGACACACCCACAGCCAACATAATACTGAATGGGGAAAAGTTGAAAGCATTTCTTCTGAGAAGTGGAACAAAACAAGGATGCCCACTCTCACCACTCCTCTTCAACACAGTATTGGAAGCCCTAGCCAGAGCAATGAGACAAAAGAAAGAAATAAAGGACATCCAAATTGGTAAAGAGGAAGTCAAACTATCACTGTTTGCTGAAGATATGATTGTTTACCTTAAAAACCCTAAGGACTCCTCCAGAAAGCTCCTAGCACTGATAAAATAATTCAGCAAAGTTTCTGGATACAAGGTTAATGTACACGAATCAGTAACTCTTCTATACACCAACAGCAACCAAGTGGAGAATCAAATCAAGAATTCAACCTTTTTTACAATAGCTGCCAAAAAAAAAAAAAAAAAACCAAAAAAAAAAAAAAAAAACCTTAGGAATATATCTAACCAAGCAGCCAAAAGACCTCTACAGGGAAAACTACAAAACACTACTGAAAGAAACTATAGGTGACACAAACAAATGGAAACTCATCCCATGCTCAGGGATGGGTAGAATTAATATTGCAAAATGACCATACTGCCAAAAGCAATCTACAAATTCAGCACAATCTGCATCAAAATACCACCAGCATTCTTCACAAAATTAGAAAACACAATTCTAAAATTCATATGGAACCAAAAAAGAACCCGCATAGCCAAAGTAAGACTAACCAAAAAGAACAAATCTGGAGGCATCACACTACTTAATTTCAAACTATACTATAAGGCCATAGTCACCAAAACAGCATGGTACTGGTATAAAAATAGGCACATATACCAAGGGAACAGAATAGAGAACCCAGAAATAAACCCAAATACTTACAGCCAACTGATATTCAAGAAAGCAAACAAAAACATAAAGTGGGGAAAGGACATCTTTTTCAACAAATGATGCTAGCCACATGTAGGACAATGAAACTGGATCCTCATCTCTCACCTTAAACAAAAATCAACTCAAGATGGATTAAGGACTTAAATTTAAAACCTGAAACTATAAAGATTCTAGAAGATTACATTGGAAAAACCCTTCTAGACATTGGCTTAGGCAAGGATTTCATGACCAAGAACGCAAAACGAAATGCAATAATAAAAAAAAGATAAATAGTTAGGACTTAATTAAACTAAAGAGTTTTGCGTAACAAAAGGAACAGTCAGCAGAGCAAACAGACAACCCACAGACTGGGAGAATATCTTCCCAATCTATACATCTGAAAAAGGACTAATATCCAGAATCTACAATGAACTCAAATAAATCAGTAAGAAAAAAAAATCCCATCAAAAAGAGGGCTAAGGACATGAATAGATAATTATCAAAAGAAAGTATTCAAATGGCCAGCAAACATATGACAAAATGCTCAACATCACTAATGATCAGGGAAATGCAAATCAAAACCATAATGTGATACCACCTTACTCCTGCAAGAATGGCCATAATCAAAAAATTAAAAAACAGTAGATGTTGGCATAGATGTGGTGAACAGGAAACACTTCTACACTGCTGGTGGGAATGTAAACGAGTACAACCACTATGGAAAACAGTGTGGAGATTCCTTAAATAACTAAAAGTAGAACTACTGTCTGATCCAGCAATCCCACTACTGGGTATCTACCCAGAGGAAAAGGAGTCATTATATGAAAAAGATACTTGCACACGCATGTTTATAGCAGCACAATTCACAATTTCAAAATCATGGAACCAACCCAAATGTCCATCAATCATGAGTAGATAAAGAAACTCTGGTATATTTATATGATAGAATACTACTCAGCCATAAAAAGGAATGAATTAACAGCATTTGCAGCAACCTGGATGAGATTGGAGAGTATTATTCTAAGTGAGGTAACTCAGGAATGAAAACCCAAACATCATGTATTCTTATTGATATGTGGGAACTAAGCTGTGAAGATGCAAAGGCATAAGAATGATACAATGGACTTTGGGGACTTGAGGGGAAGGATGGGAGGGGGCGAGCGATAAAAGACTGCAAATAGAGTTCAGTGTATACTGCTCGGGTGATGGGTGCACCAAAATATCACAAATCACCACTAAAGAACTTACTCATGTAACCAAACACCACCTGTACCCCAATAACTTATGGACAATTTTTTTGAAAATTAAAAAAAAGGTTTAGTGGGTGGATTTTGGGAATAGCAGTGATTTGTGGAAGGAAAGGGGAGATCTGGAAAGTCATTGGGCATACACAGTTATCTCTTCATGCCTCCTCATGAGTCCCATATGCAAATTTGTGGGGAGTTACTATGCAACACGCAGTGGAAACTCAGGTTGTGACCTCAGCAAGCTCGTTCTGTGTAAACTCCATTTGGCCATATTGGTTCCAGCCGATTTCTTCCAGTTCTTTTATCTCTTAAGCAGAGGGAGTTTCAGTGTTTCAGCAACTTGTTTCTTTTCTCATCTACCATCCAGCAAACTCAAGAATTTCTGTTAGTTACTGGTTTCTTTAACTCTTTGGGGCACGGTTTCAGAAGTAACTCCTATTACGTTCTTCTCTCCTTTCATTGGCTGAAATTCAGCACATGGCGATGCCTAATTGCAAGGAAGGCTGAGAAATGTAGTCTGGCTGTATGTCCAGAAAGAATAGGGAGATAGATACCCCTTTGAAATTATAGAGTTTTTGCTACAATTGACATTTCTATATAGTTAAACTACTTTTCTCAGTTTAGGAATACTCAGATAGATTGGATATTTCTTCAAAGTGACCCTTTAGAATAAATATTTCCTTAAGGGTTCACTTGATCTATATTCATACAGAATTTTCTGGATATTTGTAGGCTTCTTAAGCCCAATATTTAATGATATGATGCTTCATCTGCAACTTGGGATTCTTGGGTGCATAGGAGACATTCTGAAGCAACATCCTTCTTGGTATTGCTACATCCATAGTATTTGTAATTGGCAGTGATGGATGACATCACGGTAGAACATAGCCCTCAGAAGGCTGCCATTATGACATAAACATTACAAAGCCGTGCTATCAGTAAATGAAATAAGAAGTACAAAATAGGAAGGTAGGTGAGATCATTTTTTATCCTTGCGAATTACTCAGCAAGGTCCTGTGTACTTAGCTGACATGTGGTGGTAGAGTGAGAGGAATGGGTATACATGATGTCTTCTTTACATTGTTATTTCATCCTGGTTCAAGATTTAATTTAATTTTTATTTGCAAAATATCGGAGTCTCTAATTTGCATATTTATAAAAACAAGTGATCTATACTTTTGCTGTTTGATTGCTCATGGTGTAGAGGAGATGGGTGGATAAAATAGGATACTGCAGTAAATGGCAGAAATATGTAGTGTGTCCAGACAGGCTGCCAGACCAGAAAGGATTAATGAACAATTTGAGGGTAGTGATTGTGTGTGTTTAACTTTATATGCAAAATTGACTGTAAAGTTCTGATATTTAGTTGATAGCGCATACAAATTGAATGAAGGATTAGAATGGACTTGAAACAATTGTTTAGCAGTTTTACAAAGGGACTGGAAAAGCAACAGAAAGATGTTGGTGCAGGAACTGTGTTTGCCAAACACTGTAAGATGAGGTGATTTTTGATGGTGCTTTCTTGTAAGGGGAAAATTTGGGGCAGTATATGTGCTTACAATGAGATGGGAGAAATACTACCTTTGCTGGTTAAAATGCCTGCAAGTAATGAGGTGAGGTGGTGGTTATAGATGTGTATGTATGTGCATATTTAATTAAAAGTACCTAGAGAGGACATTTGGGAGAGAAACAAATTCCAGATAATGGTTCTGCATGGCCTCCAAACTCTCAGTTTCAAACATTAAACCCTCTGCTACCCTATTTGTATTTTTTTTTGCTTACTTTAATAATTCACCCCTTCCAATAAACCTGCTATCTATTGACCTTTTACAACTACTCCTTGTTTCCTGATCTCTCATGTTAGTCAGAGGTTGAAAGTGCTTCAGGCATGCACTTGCCTTATTTTAAAGGGATTCAGCTCTCATTGTTGTGATATTTACACATGACTTATGTGAAACTTGTGATGCATTCCAAGGGAAATGCAGACACTTAGAATTATGCATTATTTAAAAAATAATTTTTTTTTCCGGCTGGTTATATATTGGTGTTCCTTGTATCCTCTTTTTGGTGATATTATAGTTTTAATTATGTACATTTTTCATGAATTTCAAGACACCTTTGAGAAGTAGGTTTGTCTAAAGATGGAATGATAATCACATATTTCTTTCTCTGCAGTCACCAAAACTGTTAAAGCAAAAATATAGGTATTTCAGCATTTGCCAATCAAATAATATCAAGGTGAACTTGAATAGATAAAGGTTTTTCACAGGATTGACAGAAAAAACATAACCTTCTCCCCCTTGATATTCTTTAAGCTCCAGGAGGGCAAAGATTTTAGTTTTATCACTTAGTTATTTCGGGTAACTATAATGGTTCATGGCACATGGAGGTCAGTAAATAATGTTAAACAAACTAAGAAAACATTGAAATAGAGGGTTTTTGAGCTTTGGGTGCTTTTGTTAAGACCCTCTTATCCTGACAGAATGATCCCGAGAGAGAAGATGTAATGAAAATGTATTACCCACTTTTCGCTAAGAGGCCATCAGGACTAATCTTGTGTCTTACACTTCTTCATCTTTTTCCTCTAAGATTTCATGTCTCTAAGTTCATCCACCTGTATTCAGACCGTCATCCTCAGAGGTCTGTATAATCTCTTTCTTCCCCCATCTACAAACATCAACACTGCTCTCTCAAACTCATGAAAATTCATCAGCAGGAGCCTCTATATTCTCAGTTTCTTCTCTGTGTGTTTGCAGTAATACATTGCAAAACTCAAACCTTGTCTGTATCTCAAGTACACTATGTGTACTAGAATACTTGGTGGAGGTGGTTGTGTTTTCTCCATACTCTGTTCTGCAGGGCTTGGGAGCAAAAGTATAGATCACTCATCTTTATAAATATGCAAATTAGAGGCTCAGATATTTTGCAAATAAAAATAAAATTGTACCTTGAATCAGGGTGAAATAACAATATTAAGAAGAATCACACATACTCATTCTTTTCACCCCATCACCACATGTCAGCTAAGTACACAGGACCTTGTTGAGTAATTCACAGCAACTTGTTTCTGTTTAGGTACTCCTTATTTCATTTACTGATAGCACTGCTTTGTAATGTTTATGTCATAATGAAAGCCTTTTGAGAGTTATATTCTACTGTGATGTTATCCATCACTTCCAGTTACAAATAACATGGATGTAGCAACACCAAGTTCAGGTAGATGACCTTGCCTTCATTGCTATTTCTAAACCTCATCTCTTTTCCATCATTCCAACTTTGAAGAACCTTCAAAAAAGCTATGCCTCCCCACTACTCTTCTGTATTGAAGTTATTTCTTCCTGCCCGATCACTACTTGACATTTTTAAAAGACTACCACTTTGGTCACTGTCTTCTCCCTTTATTTGTCACATTTGGTGACTTCAACATCCCTATAAATGATTCATCCAACCCATGGCCTCCTAATTCCTTGACCTGCTTACTTCCAACATTTGGATTTGAAAAGCCAGCATTGTTGTATTTTATCCCAACCTTTTTCACAGTAATCCCTTAGACATTGTCATTACCAGCAATTGAATTGCCCCCAATTTTTACAACAAAGCAATAAACTTCATATCTACTCTAGTCTATCTTTTATTAAATAATCAAGGAAAGGAAATTTATCTTAAAAACAGGTGAATTTTTTTTTTCTGGCTAGATTCAGAGAGATGCAGCCAAACAAGAGTCAGGAAGAAGAGATATATAGGAGAGATAAAAGAGCCTCAAAGCAGATTTTTCCCTGGAGTCTGCAAAAAGGCATGCAGCCCTATTAATACCTTGATTGTAGCCTTGCCAGACTCTAAGCAGAGGAACTATTTGAGCTATACTATTAACAAAATTCTTTCTATAGATTAGTGAGATAATTTGTTATTTTGTGCTTTTAATTTGGTGATAACATGTTATGACAGCAATACAATAATGCAGAAGTTAAACGGATAACTCAACCTTAACATGGCCAATGCAGAATTTATGATATTCCAAGCCCTTACACCCTGATCTTTTCCCATTTTTTAACTTACTAAATGACACCATTATTGACACAGTTGTTTAGGCCAAAATTATCAGAGTTGCTTCTAGATTACGTATTTTTCCTAGAACCCAAGATTCCGTACTTCATCAAAGATTTCTGGATATTTTTTCAACTGTATATTGTGGCTGACCACTTCGCTTCATCTCTGCTGATCTTTCCGTAGTCTAAACCACCTCTTCTCTCATCAGGACTCCTGAAATAGCCACCACTCTTGCTCTTTTTATTTTATTTGAAGTTCCAGGATACATGTGAAGGATGTGCAGGTTTGTTACATAAGTAAATGTGTGCCATGTTGTTTGCTGCATCTATCAACCTATCACCTAGGTATTAAGCACTCTTGCTCTTCTAAGTTTTCTATCCATAGAGCAGCCAGAGTGATGAAGTTTTGAAAATGTTAATCACATAATATTATTTCTTCATTTAAAGCTACAATGACTTCCCATAACATGTAGAATAAAGTTCAAAATCTAAATCCCTTTATGATGTGTTTTTCTCTGCCTTCTTCATATCATCTCCTTCCACTCTCCTCTTTTCTGAGTGTGAACCACATTAACTTTTGTTGACTCTTCTCATACACAAAATTTATTGCTGCTTCAGATCTTTACATGGTTGCTTTTTCTCTAGATCATTTAGTACCTTGCTTCTTAATATTCTTCAAGTCATTCCTCAAATATCACTTCATCAGAGAGCTTCTCCATTATTATCTTATATAAAACAGCCAGTCACCACTACTTAGTGTCTCCCTATGCATTGTTCATTACTTTTCAAAACACTCTCACATCTTACATTTTATTGACATGTGTTTACTTTTTAAAAAATATCTCACTAGATATAAGCTCCATGAAGACAGTTACTTTGACTACCTTCAATATTGCTGTTATTTTGCTACTAAAACAGTCCCTGTATCCTGGTAGGTTCTCAAAAGTGAAAGAGAAGCCTAGGCAACATAGCAAAACCCCATCTCTGCTAAAAATACAACAGAATTAGCCAGGAGTGGTGGCATGCACCTGTAATCCCAGTTAGGAAGCTGAGGTGGAATTTCCTGAGCTCAGGAATTCATGGCTACAGTGAGTTGTGATTGCGTCATTGTACTTCAGCCTAGGTGATGGGAGTGAGACCCTTTCCATGGAAAGAAAAAAAAAAGGAGAGCATTAAACACAAATAAAAATTGTGTGCTTACTTTAGGTGTCTTAAGAAGTTTTAATTTATAAGTGTTTGATGGCAATGTGGAAAGTTAAGTGTCCTGAAGAAAAAAGTCAAACATGGAATGGAAAGATAAAGCTCTCATGACATCATGAGGCCATTTCCTAAATAGTCGTATCATAATACTTCTGATTCAAACATCAACAAATAGATGCAGTAGAAACTTGGAAATCTCAGCCATCAGCTTCTTCTTATTGCTATCTGAAACCATTTCCTATCTCTATCTTAGCTTAGAAAATGATTTTTTCATATCAAACTCTAAGACTTGTGATTCACATCTCAGATATTTAGGTTTGTTAGAATGGTGTTTCTTCTCTGCAACTATTTATAAGCAGTGATCAGATGGTACTCAGGAATTTTTATGGGGCAAGCTATGGTAAGGGCTAAGATTCTTTCATTTTAGTATCTATTAACACTTATTTTGGGCTTTGTAATTGTATGATGGGTTGCCATACTGAAGAGGGCATCTTGTTGCCTACTCTTCTAACTTTGTAACTCTAAGGTTCAAGTCCAAGTGTCTCATTGCATTTTTCCTTAATTTACTTTTTTGGCTTCATGGGACAAGGCCAGGCTCTGTTAGCACTAATATTCATTTAGGTGACATAACTGGGGTGTAAACTATTGGCTCTGATAACAGTGGATACTTCATATTGTTGCTCAATTCTTTATTTTCCCCTACTGATATAAAGGTTCATGGGGATCGTTTCACAATTTCTAAGATATTTCTCCCAAAAGCTCAGTGCTTTGGAAATCTTTATTCTCATCCAAAAATGGAAGTGATTTTATCTAAAAGTCTCTTGGAAGTAGTGTTGAAATTCTTATTTTTGGGTAGTAGAAGCAGTAGTTACGAGGGTAGTGTTGTCTTTTGTGGGTGGTGGCACCTGTTGCAGTTGTCTGTATTTAGGGTGCAGGAGTAGGGAGGGCAGGATCAGTTGGAGAATTTACAGGGAAAAATGGAGGTCCAGGTGGATAGGGTCTTGGTTGGGAAGGTGGCTGTGGATAACCTGGGCCATAAGGAGGAGGAAGAGAGTGTGATTGAATTCTCCCTGGACCATAGGGTGGAGGAGGGGATGGTGGGATTCTCCCTGGACCATAGGGTGGAGAAAGGGGTGGTGGAAATCTCCCTGGACCATAGGGTGGAGGATGGGGTGGTGGAACAAATCCTGTTCCAAAAGGAAAACATGGTGGAGGAGGAGGAGCCAGTGGTCCAGGTGGATATGGTCCCCTGGGGCCTCTTTGACTCTCACCAGGCTGTGGAAACAAAGAAGTAAATAATTTTAAATCAGATATTTCACAGTTAAATATAAGGGTGAATGGTTTCTATGGTAAGCAGAACTCTGAGATGGCCTCAAGATTTCTACTCCCTGCTGGCACATGCTGGCCTGACCTTATCAGGTGAGCCCTTTTAAAACAGGTTCTACAATGTGAGAAGGAATCAGAGAGATTTGAAGCTGCAGCAAATGCTTTCCTCTGGGCTTTGAATCAAGATGCCGTGTTGTGGCGAGGGCCATGTGGAAGTACATGGTAGACTGGCTATAGGAGCTGAGAGTGGCCCCTGGCTCATAGGCAGCAAAAAAAATAGGGGCTTCAGTCCAACAACCAAGGGACTGAATCCTGCCAACAACCATGCAAGCTTAAAAAAGGACACTGAGGTGCAGAAAAAAAAAATACAGCAATGGACACACCTTTTCAGCCTGTGAGACTCTGAGCAGAGAAGCCACCTAAGCCAAGCTCAGAGTTATGGCCAAAGAAACTGAGATAATAATGAGTTTTTAAAGGCTACTAATTAGTGGTAATTTGTTATTGAGCAATAGAAAATTGTTAAATGTATCTAAGTTATGATGTATGAACTTCTGTATCAAAGAAAAATGTTTCTCTTTTGCCCTCTGAATACCTAGGCTCTCAATGAAAGCTTGGATAGTATTGACTGGAAAAAATAGATAATGAGCAAAAATCTTATCCTTGGCCTGTAGTGAAGTCTGTCATTCCAAATTCTAAATGGAAATAAATGCCTTTGCAGCATGGGAAAGACACGTCTTTTTATGTCTAATTCAAGAGTTCAGGGTTGTTCTGGGCTTTGAACATTAATTAATTGTGAAACACATGTGAGCAACTATTTTGTGCAATGAGCTAATGAAGGAGCTGGTTCATTCATGTCATGAATGTCAACCTGGCAGTTTGCCAGGGGTACAAACATGTCTTCTATGAATCCACAGGCTGAGTAATTACAATACAGGGGGGGATAAATGTGATCTAAAGGGAAGTGAAATGAATGGAATGAGTGTCTGGGATTTCATGCCAGTGTTTGAGCTCTCCTTCTGGCACATAGAGATAGGGTGAGTATAGAATCCTTTTTGAGTCTCTTTTTCTTATCAGGAAAATGATGTTCATAAAAGTACCCATCTCCTGCGGTTGTTGTCACATCTATTGTGAAATATCACCTGTAAAGTGCCTAGGGTGGTGCTTATCTCAGGTC
This sequence comes from Homo sapiens, assembly GCF_000001405.40. Lineage (NCBI taxonomy): Eukaryota > Metazoa > Chordata > Mammalia > Primates > Hominidae > Homo > Homo sapiens. The sequence goes on along the minus strand of NC_000004.12, from coordinate 70,365,418 downwards.
TGGTTTACATAGAGTACAATTTTTAGAAATGAAAATAGCTGAGGCTGGATATGGTGGCTCATGCCTGTAATCCCAGCACTTTGGGAGGCTGAGGTAGGTAGATAGCTTTAGGCCAGCAGTTCAAGACCAACCTGGACAACATAATAAGACCCCATCTCCATTAAAAATCTAAAAATAGCTGAAAAGTAGTGCAAGGAACAAATACATTAGGGATTTAAAGAGATCAGTTCTGGATAGGAAAATGATAAAGGATTGTCTCTGTGATAAGGAGTTATTGAAAAGAGGCTTAAAGAATACAAAATAAGGAGGGAGCATGCCAAATAGAAGGAAAATATGCAAATGCTCTGGGGTAAGAATGAAGTTCCACTCTACTGACGGCAAGAACTCCAGGTTGCTTGGAGCAGATGGTTTATATAGGGCACAAAACTACATTCACTTCTTGTGGTTCTCAGTCCCTTCACCTATTTGTCTGGCCATTACCCTTGCTAATCCTAAACTTTAGTATTACGGTAAACCATCTTTCTCCTGGATTCCTAGTTCCAGGTTCTTAACAATGCTAGAGGATGTCACAAGCACTGTACCATCAGAAAGTTAGCGTCCTTCAGTGCTGCCTGAAATCCTTTTTTGAGTATCTTACCTTAGATTATCTCTTCCCACTTCCCCAGAGGCCTGTAATTTTCCAAGTTGATGCCAATTTTATAAACATTCTCCACTTCATCCTGAGCTCTCATCTACCCCCACCAAACTGGCTTTTCTCCTGCTTCACCAAGATATTTCAGGCAATTAGAAACGAACTTCCCTGATTTACTGGCCACACAACCATGGAGTCATTGATAGCTAGACAGTTTCTTTTTCTTTATAATTGTTTTCTGAGGGACCTGGCTCTGTCAGTCTTCTCTTTTACTTTCTGCAAGTAATATCTGCCATTTAATTAGCTCATTTTCTTCAGAAAAACACTATCATTTATGTTCAACTCAATTTTTTTTCTCCCTATCCTATCAGCTCTTCATCCCACTCCCTGAATTCTAAATCTAACCACTTCTTATCATCTTTCTTGCTTTCATTCTCATCTGTCATTTACTTTTACCCAAATTACTGTAGGGCCCGTTGATTTGACCTCTTGATTCTAATCTTGCCGCTTTCACCTAACACGTACAGAGAGGTCGAAGACATCATTTGGGAAATAAATATAAATTGATATTTCCCTGTTTATAAAAGATTCAGTTTCAACCACCAATACCCTTGTTGTTGTGACCTCCTTTTCACCTCTTTCCTGCAAAGCAAAGCTCTATGAAAGAGTATTCTAAATTTGCCAACCCCACTTCTCACTTCCCATTTGCTCTTCAACCTGGCTTTTGCCCTTAACATGCCGGTAAAAGTTTTATTCATATCACCAATGAAACAAACAAAAAATTCCAAGGCACTTCTGTGGGACCAGCCTTGCATTTGTCTTCTCTAGCTAGTGATGGTTCAAGTTGTTATGCAGGGTGTTTGACCCAAGGGCTGCCAATCCAAGGACTAGTCAGGTTATGTGGAAGTTCAGGATTTGATTTTTTATTGTCAAGAAAACAAATCCTTAGTATGGAAAAATATTTCACACATTTTTATTGTTGAGACAATTAAAAAATTAGCTGAAAGTACCTTTTCCTAAAGATATACCGATGTTGATCTAAATATTATGTAATGAAAAATCTTCATAGTAAATATCTATTCTTTTCCTGTTCTCTTAACCCAATCGCAGTGATAAGCTCCCTTTCCACAACTGGCTAAAGTAAAATGATGAAAATGATGAAAATACTATATTAGGAAGAAACACTCCCCTCTCAAAGGGCTATAATTAATGTTAATCTCCTACATTATTCAATTTAGCAATAATCCAGCTAAGACATGCATAATTTGAATCTAAATTTATTTGTATTTTAGTGAGATTAAAAATAGTGAGACTTGCTTTGAGGATTAAAGAAGAGATAATGTATGTAATGCATTTGGAAAATTACCTATAACAGAGAAAACACTCAAAAGGTAACAGGCTGAATATGATGACTTACCCCATCTACAAATATGTATATGCAAAGGACATGCTACCCTTCACATTTCCAATGTTCAGTAATTATTAATCATCATTATCATATCAACTGGAAAAAGGCTCATTTCTATTTAAACTGCTTATATTATTGGAAAGCTCTGTTTTTCTAATTTATCTTGTAAAAAGTTACTATTTGTATAATAAAAGCCTGAATAAAATGTTTTTCTCTTGTATTTTGAGGATGTGAAAATGTTGAAAATCAGCTTTATGATGAAGTCATTAAGACATGACATTTAACGGATGTCAATATGTTTTATTGGCTTATCAAAAATTATGTCCACCCATAATGCATGCAGGAAGGTGGCCAAAGTCAGAATACTTCAGTCATCTCAGAATGTCCTGTTTTTATTCAAGTTTTTAAAAGTAGAAGAAAGAGGTATTATTTTATGTTTCATGTTTCAGAATGATATAATTTTATGTTGCCTGCTTTGTGGAAGTCATAGTCTTCTAAAAAATCAGCTTTCATATTTTCCCATTTGATATAATAGATTTTATGGTACTTTGGGAGAAGTTACTCTGGAATTAATCTCCTCTTTGTAACACTGGAATTAATTGACCCTTCTGTTGAAATTGAGTATCATTCTATTACTTTTAAAAATATGCATTAAAAAATTCTGAAACACTAGGTTAAGGACAATAAGGGTAGTTGTCCTTAACCTAGTTTTTAATATATGGTAGGTGTTACTATAAATGTTTATTATTTCCTCAAAATTTAGCATGCAAAGATTCTCCTAAATCCTCTGCAAAATGCATCTTCCCAGGTCCTATTATTCAGGCTTGGATGAGGACTTTAATACTATATTTTTAATAAGTGAGTTAGGTGACTCCATATGTTAGGAACAACTACTTTAAACTATCTCATTTTATAGAGTTTTACCTATTGTGTAATTGCTAGAGTATGGGGACCTACATTTATACTTATCTGTTTAATGCAGTCTGATATTACAGACTTGAGCTGTCCAGTATTGTAGCCATCAGACATATGGGGCTATTTAAATTAAATTAGATTTTAAATTTAAATTTAACCACTAGAACAGTGTTTCATCAACGGTTAATAGTTACTAATATATAAGAAAAGGTAACATCATTAATGTAAAAAGAAATCTGAAGTAATGGTTAATGAGAAAGTATAAAGATGTGTGATCGTGATTAATGATACTTACTGTGAAACACGCTGCAAGAGCCCAAAGGCCCAAGATCCAAGTCAGTGATTTCATCCTTTCAGTTGCCTCTGAAAGTAAGCACAATAGGTGATCAGTATGATTGTTTTTTATTAAAAAGTACTATTTAAAATGTCTCAACACATGGATATAATGTAGTACAGATATACTACTGTAGCCTTTTTAGGAAATTTGCCTAACATTATTTTGGATTCAGTATTACTGTGGGACAACATTAGTAGGCTTATAAAATTTGACTTCAAAATAGTGGAAGTAGTTTTTATTTTTGACTTGTAAACTGATACTGGAGATAATGCCAAAGAGTTGTTCATAAATGATTGAACAATAGAAGCTTTTGTAACTACAGTTTTTGCCTTTAGAGGTAACTACTTTGACATGTACAATTATTTACATTTGAATACTTTTGCATTTTTAAATAGCAGGTACATTGTTTTATAGATTTCTATAGGCTTGGGTTTGAAATATTAACATATTAACTAGATCATATGTTAGTGTAATTCCTTGGGATATCTCAAAAATAAGGAAAAGAAAGAAATCACTCTGTTTGATGTAGTGTAAGAAAAAAAGAGTCATATTATATATCTCCTAGTTTTAACAACATTCCACTAAATTAATTTAGTCTGTGATGTGTGGTCTCAAAGTGCTTCCAAAAATCCGTATATGGTAGATCAAAGACCAAGTCAGAGAATATGGAGGAGTCCAGATATTTTATTCACAGTTGGCTCACAATTTGTGAAATATTTCAAGTACCTGATAGCTTGAGTTCTGGGAAAGCAACTCCATGCACCATTGTACAAATGGCTTCCTGACAGTCAACTCTGCACATAGGTTGAGTGTGTTGTCTGAACAACGCAAGTTTTGAAAGAATCATATGGACAAAATTTCACTGGATATTCAATTGTATGTGGGTGTGGCTATTCCCTTAAGGATTACTTTTCCCAGGATCCGTTCTTATAAGAAGTTTGAAAAACAAAAGAAAAACTAATAATAAACATATACTGTGGAACAATTCCCTCTTTTAGAGTACATCTGAGAATAATCTATCATTATGAAGTTTCAAGAACTTTAAGGAACATCAAGGGGAAAAGTCAATTGTGTACTTGGGTGGACTAATTGTCCTCAATGCCCAACATGAATGCTTTACTCTGACATGTGAATAACATAATTTTTCAAGATTTGATATGTTTAACGACTTACAATTTTACATAAGGTGAAGGTGCTTATGTTTTTGGTGATAATGAATGTCCTATAAAAAGCTCATGAAAAGTCTGAGAAAAAATTTCTTCAGTTAATATTTCCAGGTACATACCTTTGCGTGAGGATCTGTCTTAGAGTTGATTAACCTGCTGGTCAAAATGACTCTTGCCAGTTGAAAGACAGAAAATAAAGGTGAAAAGAGACAAGAAACTTCAGTTCTTATATATTGCAAAAGATTTCTGTTGGCAGTAAAAGAAAGGCTACTTGGAAATAAAATAACTTCTGGGCTGATGCTCTTCAAACAAAGATAGGAAAGTTGTTCTTGCCAATTTGGCAGTCTTTTTCCGCATTTTTTGGGTCTCATTTCTGAAAAGCATTGACCTGTTCAATATTTGTTGTTTCCTGGGGAAACAGATTCAACAAATAATATCCTCTCACTTCAGGGAAACAATCTGGGGCCTGTGGCGCACCATTTCCTCTTTATTTTAAAGAAAAAGCACCAACTTTTTCTATCCCGAGTAATTTTAATGGGCCATCTTTTGTATTTTCTATTTTATTTAATGGGCCATCTTTTGTATTTTCTATAGGAAGTTCCCTTTTGTCAGTGAAGAACTGAGAACAACCGTGTTTTAAAAATCATGTGGTCCCTGTTGTTATTAACTTGAGAGTTTTAATTAAATGAAAATATGATGACATGCAAAGATTTGATTATGGGAAAATTATACAGATATTTTTACTTTGAAGTGGATGTCTAATGGAAATTTATAGCCTTGTCTTTTTGATAAATCTAGGCACTGAGGATAATTTTTCCTATGCTGGATGATCTTATACTCTCGTTTTAATACATTATTATATAATCATAATAACAGCTATTATTTATTGAGCCTCTAGCATATTCCATGTGGCAGGTTAAAATGAGTTCTATTATCATCTCAGTTTTATACAGAGATGCTAATTAGCTGAGCGGAACTTGACCTTAAGTCAGCCCACTTCAAGGCCTAAGTGATTTTTTTAACCAGTATTCCATATTACCTCCCTAATCTTAACAATCACCATACACTTTACTAACATTGTGTTACAGTACATCAGAGAGATGAATCAAGTGAACTTAATAGTTCATTCCACTTCAAAGCACAGTAACAATACTTCCTTGTTGGGTTATATGAGACAAGATATTTTGCCTTATTGTGTCTCAATTTCTTCATTTAAAAATATATATTTAAAATGTTTATATTTATAATTTCTAAGTCATGGAGATTAGGACCTTCCTTCTTTCCTTCCTTCCTTTCCCTCCGTCTTTCCTTTCCCTCCCTCCCTCTCTCCCTCCCTTCCTTCCTTCCTTCCTTCCCTTTTCCTTTTATCTTTCCTACTAACATTTATTAGCTACCTGTGGGTGTAAGACAGAGTGCAAGTTGCTGAAGTTACAGCATATCTAAATGATTAGTGTTTTAAAATTTTTGTGAGTCATAGGTGATGTAGAAATTAAGAAGTCACACTTTCAGAGTTGATGTTAGTTTTGAATGACTGTACTTAATTTCATTTACTTTGTTGGAGTTTCACTGCCTTTAAAAATTCTGATGACATAATTAAGTGTAATACAATATATTCCTGGTTTGCTAATCTTAGCCCTTAATATGTTGCTGAATGATTACATGCCCAAACGTCAGTGAAAATGGTTCTATTCCTAATTAACATAGAAATTTTCACTTCTTTCTTTGACAGTAATTCAGTGTGTCAAAAGATGAATGTCTCTTCTTTCTTGTTTTGATGCCAACATATTCATCAGCCAAATGTTTGAAGTCGAGGTGTGATCTACATTGTAATGGATCACTGGCTCTGAGGGACTTAGGATGAACGCTGGCAAAACCAACGGACAATTTCTGAGTGGGTTGTGACCAACAAAGAATTTGAGGAACACAAACAAATGGAAGCACACGTCTGTTAAGAAAAAGGAACAGTTACTCCAGTTAATCTTTAATTAACTTATATGGCTTTAAAAGATCTTGACTGAGTACTTACTAGAACAATACCTAAAGGAGCTAATGTCTCTGGTCCCAGAAAATTCAAAGTGACGGTAAAGAAAAATTATTGTTAGTGCAGAGATTTATGTGACAGATGGAAAATATTTCCCTAATATAGGTAGACTAGCAGATTTAAGTTGAGTCATGCAGCAACATATTTGAAGTCTGCTTTCCTATTGTATTACACTCATTTCCCCTAAAATAGAACAATAATGATAGTTTCTTTGGACCTATGGAAAGTATGTACTTCTTCTAGATTATTCAGAAGGAGGTGATATGGTTTCTGGGGTAATGCCACCTTGAATATTTATCAAGCTTTAGAGTTTACAGATTACCTTAAAAATTTCTGTGGAAATATTGTTGTGTAGGATATCAATAATGCCACTGAACTCTGAGAGAATATGTATTCTTTTGGATTGAAGTCTAACATGATGAAATGTAATTAACAATAGCGCTTTTAGACTGAAGAAAAGTTATTTTCTGACTTGTGCAGTATGGATACTGCAAGAAACCCACATCACATAGGTCTGTAAACTTTCTGAAAGTTGGCAACAAATTTGCCTTGAGCTTCCAAGTAGCCAAAGTTATAAAAAGAAGAAATCAGATGAAACATTTACAATGTCCATAAAATATAATCATGATAATTTCTCAAGAAAAGTAGCTTTTTTTTTTTTTCCACTGAGAGCCATGGGGGAAATTTCCTAATGTTTTTAAGCAGGAGGTGTATTTTTCTATAGTAAATGTGAAAGTGGTCTTTATAGTATAACCTGGATGTCACCAGTTTGTGAATGTAAACAAGTATTCAATTGCCCTTTAATCAGAATTTTGCTAGATTGATAGCCTCATCCATGTAACCACATAAATTCAGTTCCCCTTTCAAAATCTCTTTTGGGGAATATTCCTGGATTCATCTCAATTCTAAAAATATATTTTCTTTGCCATAATATTATTTTTACAAAAACAAATCTAGTCATATACAAGTTTTCTCTGTAAATTACATCAAGTACTTAAAATTTTTTAAACCATTAGTGTAATACATTTATTATATGGTGAACCATGGTATATTTATTTTGTCATTTAATATACAAACTAACTGCAAGATGTTAATGTCTTAGTTATTTAAATGAAGAAAGAACATCGGAGAGGGGCAGAATTAGTAGTAAGATCATGTCTGGCTTGTTTAATAAAGTTATTCCTAAAATTATATACAGTCTACTGGTATGAATTTATTACTTAAAAATGATAAAGGACTCTAAAAATGAAGTCTATTAAAAATAATGAGGGATTACCTAAAAGTTAGTACAAATGCCTTAAATAACAGCTTTATATTTAGGAGGAAACAGTGTATTGTTACTGTTTGACTTTGCCATCTGTTACTAGCATGGCATTGGAAATGTTCATTAATCTCTTGGAGCTTTATTTTCTTCCTTTGTAAAATGACAAAGTTAAATTGAATAGCTCCCTGGCATCCCCATTACAAGCAGATCTAGGTTTAGAGAGACCTGAAGCTTATATAATTTGGGCACTGACTACAAGGAAAACAATACAGCTTTATGATTAGAAAATTCCTACAACCACTGCAAGGCCACCTTATAAGAGAAATCATGAATACAAAATGGTCAGAGCTATCCAAAGTCCACCTGATATGAGGGGAGGTGTGCTCGTGGAAAAATCGGAAAATTAAGAAAAAGCAATGTTAGCCAATGGCAGTTAAAATATCCTGCTTTTTCAAATTTTATAAAAACACATGACTTTTTGAACACGTTGCTGTATCTGTTCAGGGGGCCTTACCTTAGAAGAACCTCAGCAAAGAAGTCCTGATGCCTCAGTTTCATTGTCATTAATCTCTTATTGGGCCTCTTCAAGATCTCACATATTTGTGCTAAGTCTTAATGTGCTTAATAACCACCTGGAGGTTGGTGATAACTAAAAATTCAAAGATCCATTGGCTGAGGTTCTGATTATTTTGGTTTAGGTTAGGGCCCAGGAAATTGCAGTGTTAGTAGGCACCATAAATACTTTCAGTGCAGATGTTTCATAAAGTATTCTTTGAGAAACATTCCAATAGAATCCAATTGAAAGGAGGAAAATAGACAAGAAAAATATTTCTTTCGTTTTAACTGGAAGCTGTTTTGGGGAGCAATTGTTGCTTTCGGAAGAAGATAAATAAAGGCTATTAAAGGATAGATGTGAAGGCCAAGAAATCTTCCTCAGAGCATGGGTATAAACTATGCTTTCCTATAGGTGAAGGCAGAAGCATCTGAAGAGCAGAACTAGGACTCAGTCACAAGAACAGCAAATTTCTGGAAAAGATTTATGCTCAATCTAGGCAGATCTGCAATGCCCATTTTAGGATCTTGATTGGTAAATAATGGGACCCTGAGATATAGATTGATTTTGGGATCTCTCAGTGTATCAGTTAGCTATTTCTGCATGACAAACCACTGCAAAACTTGATGACTTAACACGGCAATTGTTGAGTATTTCTTACTAAAAATACTAGTGTGATCACTGGGCAGGTTTCCTGGATTAGCCAGGCCTGACTGATTTTTATCTGGCCTTACTTATGTGCTGTGTTCAGCTGGTGAATTGGCTGGGGGCTGATTGGTCTAGGATGACCTTGGCTGGGACAGCTCACCTGTCTTCCACATGTCTTTTACTTTCCTCAAGCTAGTCTGGGCATGTTTTCATGGTGATGTGAGGGGTTCAAAAGAAAAAAAACAGAAATGTGCAAATGTTTTTTCAAACCTCTGCTTTTTTCAAGTTTGATTAGTGTAGTGTTGTCCTCTGGTAAAAAAAAAAAAATTACCAATTGTCAGGCCCAGAGACAGTGCAAGAGGATACAACCAATGGACTTTCTTTTTTTATTATTATACTTTAAGTCCCAGGGTACATGTACACAACATGCAAGTTTGATACGTAGGTATACATGTGCCATGTTGGTTTTCTGCACCCATCATCTCATCATTTACATTAGGTATTTCTCCTAATGCTATCCCTCCCCCAGCCACCCACCCCCTGACAGGCCCCAGTGTGTGATGTTCCCCACCCTGTGTCCAAGTGTTCTCATTCTTCAATTCCCACCTATGAGTGAGAACATGCGGTGTTTGGTTTTCTGTCCTTGTGGTAGTTTGCTGAGAATGATGGTTTCCAGCTTCATCCATGTCCCTGCAAAGGACATGAACTCATCCTTTTTTATGGCTGCATAGTATTCCATGGTATATATGTGCCACATTTTCTTAATTCAGTCTATCATTGATGGACATTTGGGAATCAATGGACTTTCTTAAAGGGAAGTGTGAAAAGTTGGGCCATAATTCAGTAAATCTATCACACTTGATGTTCTCAATGCCTTAACACTTATTTTTGAAGAATACAAAGTTGAGTATAGTCTGGAGCAGGGTTTCTCAGCCTTGGCACTATCGATACTTTGGGTCAAGTAATTCTTTGTTGTGGGTATCTGTTTTGTGCCTTTCTGGCCTCTACTCACTAGGTGTCCATTGCATCTTCCCAGCTGTGATGACCAGAAATGTTCCAAACATTACCAAATGTCCCCTGGGGGACAGAATCATCCCTAGCCAAAAACCACTAGTCTAGATGAGGAAATCACTTCTTATTTCAGTACCTAATTCACTTATTCAGATAGAGTTCTCTGAAGAGTATTTTTTATTTTGACGACTCTGAGCCCTAGAGCAGTATGGAGAGTGGATCTTAGCAAGTGAAACTTAAGAGAGAAAAACCTGTTAAAAGGCTGTTACTACAGTTGTCCAGATAGACTTGCGTAGTGGCAAAGGGGCTATGGATGGATAAGTGGACAGAATAAAGATATTTTCATGGGACATAATCAACAGATCCTTTTGATGGTCTAGATATGAAGACTGAAGGACAGAGCAATGTCAAGCTGATATCCATGAGTCATGTAAGATTTCAGTAAGAAGTTGGTAATTGAGTCAAGTAGGGTAAGTGGAGATAATTGGAAGGCTCTTTCAGAATGATAAAGATGTGTGAGTCAAGGCAATGAAATGGAAATTGAGATGTACCTAATTAACACTGAACCTGGGATAGGAGACAAAGAAGTATGGGTGAATAGCAAAAACAGGACTTATAGGAAAATCTGAAGAGAGAAATGGCAACAGATGAAACTCTTATTTCCAAACATTTGCCATTTCCAAGCATTTGCTCTTTATACTTCTATTTTTATTTTCCTTCTTACTCTCTCTTCTAAAGTGTTTAACCCTCTTTCTGAAACCTTTTTCTCTGCTTGGCTTTCATGTAAGTTTCTTAGTTCTCTCACCTCTGAATGCTCCCTTTTTAATCTGCTGTTTGCTCTTTTTCCTTCAGGTTTCTCACATGATTCTACTTTTCTCTTCTTCCTTCTTATTCCTCTCCTCTTTTTTCATACCCATCAATATCCAGGAGAACTTGTGTTGTGAGGAATAATGCTCTTGTATTTGTACTCTTATATTCCCTGTCCTAAATCTAGGTAAGTTTTACTAAATCACGGGGGTGAATTTATCAACTAGATATTGACCTAATATTAATATATCACTGGATGAAATGATATATGAGATGGTACAACATTTTGGTTAAACAATCTCTGGTGAAAATACTTCTTTAGTGGATGAAGTAGCAATTGGGAAAGAATATCTGTAGATCTGTGGGAATTTAACTTACTTTTTTCTGTGCTTTTTGAAAATGTCTCACTTAGACTATGATCCCTTTGAGAGTAGGACTGCCATTTCTTCACCTTTTTTTGTAGCTCTCATATGTGTAATTTTATATTGTGCATTTATGTAAAATATAATTGTATGTTTATAGATGTGTTTTATTATGACTACATGTACTTATGTTTTATATCAAAAAGAAAATTGATTTGTAAGATTTGTAATATATTAACATTATATGGGGTGGTTTTTAAACACCTTTTTTTTTAGTCTGTGAAGAGTTTACTTTTTTTTGACACCTACTTTGTGTGTTACAGAAACATTTGATAGGATAAATGTGCTGGTATTAGCACTGTCATTCTACAGGAATAAAGAAGAGATCAATACACATATAATCAAATGCATAAATCAGGTTTATCTTTGAAAGATTTTATGGTGTAGCAAGATGAAAGAAAAAACAGAAATAATCATATCTCTGTATTTTTATACCTCTTCCTATATTTTTGTTAAAACAAAATGCTGAGAGAAGGTGATCACAAATATATCAATATTCAGTTTTTCAGGATCTGTAAAAACAGAACAAAATATCATGAGCCATTAACTAAAGGTACATAAACTCTACCCTCTCGAATTGTTTTAAAATAGCCAAATGCTGCGTAGGACATTAGAAGCTGCAACTTTAGAGTTAAATGGATGTGAATTTGAAGACTGGTCTACCATTTATGACTTTGTGGTCTTTGGAAAGTCACATAAATTCTCATAGCCTCAGTACCCTCATCTTTAAAAAGAAGTCCACAAGACTGGTTTCACAGGGTTGATATGAGTATTAAATTAGATTCAAGGCCAGGCGCTGTGGCTCATGCCTGTAATCCCAGCACTTTAGGAGGCCAAGGTGGGCAGACATGAGGTCAGGAGATCGAGATCATCCTGGCTAACATGGTGAAACCCCGTCTCTACCAAAAACACAAAAAATTAGCCAGGTGTGGTGGCACGTTCCTGCAGTCTCAGCTACTTGGGAGGCTGAGGCAGGAGAATTGCTTGAACCTGGGAGGCGGAGGTTGCAGTGGGCTGAGATCACACCACTGCACTCCAGCCTGGGTGACAAAGTGAGACTCTTTCTCAAAAAAAACAAAAAAATTAAATTCAATAGGAATATTTAATGCTCCAACATCTGAACTAAGTGTTCAACAGTTGGCATCTATCATTGTGATTTTTACATTCTATAGTTAGGATAATTCTTCCCATTTATATTTATAATTAGAAGCTGCTATATTCAAAAATAAGATGAATATATGATCTCCTACTTCTTTGATATTGTTTCTGAATGATCATGTTATATCATGATGTGTGTGATTCAGTCATTGTTTATAGCAAGAGAGCTCTTGTATTGGTTGGGTTTTGTTTATATTACTATTCCCAAGGATAATTATAATATTTCCTACAATCTTTACTCCTTTTTTGTCTTATTATTGTTGGCGGATGCTGAAAGAGTGAGGAAGACTTCCTATGTGGAATGTGCACTATGTGAAATTTAATAAATATTGAAGTCCAAACTAACTTTAATTTATGAAAACCCTAATTAAAAGTAAGCTTTTCCAGGAAAATAAAACATATTTTAGAACTGGGATAAAAAAGCAAAATCTTGTGCACATTTGGTGATCCTTTAGTTGTGTGTTTCTTTTGTGGGAATCAGCCAGCATCAGGTTTATAGATATGACTTATACTTAAGGAGACCAAATGTAGTTTGTGAAATAGAGGGGGAATAAGAGCTTCTAATTCATATGCCAGAGTTAGGAACTATTTGTTTATCTTTCTCTTTGATTGTGGCCAGACACACCTCAAAGTTACTCAGAAAATATTTTGGAAAACATTTTCTTGGTTTGCTTTTATCTTCTCATGATTTGGTATTGTAGTCTCAGACAGTTGCAGAATGTACTAAAACTATTGTTGCTGGTTGGCAAGGGCAGTGTCAGCCACCTCAGCTGGGTTAGACTCAGTTGCCGCAGTGTTTGTGACAGCCTCAGATTGGAGCCTGCTGGGAGCTGTGGTGTTGGAAATGGCACCTGTAGTTTTGCTGGTAGAGGCAATGGGAGTGGCCGTGGTGGCCACAACAGTTGCAGGAGCAGAGGTGGCTAGCAGTGCTTGAGAACTAGGGTTTACATCATTCTCAGGTGGTTGTGTAGGTCCAGATGATGGACAATGTGGGTGGTTGGGGTGATGAGGGCTTTGATGGTGGAAGAGATGATGGAGACCAAGGGGAACCACAGGAACTGTTTCAAATTTTATAAACTGCTTGTAGTTTGGCTTTCCAGGACTTTGTTTCAGTGGTTTAAAATTCTTTTCAGAACTATGGCTAGACTTCAGAGAGAGAACACAAAACAAGCAAATAATTGTTTTTACACAGATGGGATGCATAAACTAAAGTCAAGCTTTAAATATGTATTTATATTACCATTTACATTTATACAATTATTCTAAATTCATTTCATAAGTAAGTTGATAGAATAATATACCCATCTCATACAGCATTTTTAATTATGATTTTGGGTGAGATATAAATGAAGTAAACTGTGTCCCTACTGTGCTCAAAGTTTGATAGTTTTATTACAGGTTTTTCCAAAATACGTTCCATAATACGCATTATGTTGTGAAAATTTTGGTGACCAAATAACTTTGGAAAGGTTTTGGGTAAAGTAAAACATGTTTCTTTACTGTAGGACTTATTGCAATTGTTAACATAATATATAGTGGATATTTAGAATATCCAAGGGATATCGATATTTCTCAATTTTACTTAATCATGGAAATTTTGTGTGTGTGTTTGTAGCATTTCTTCATACTAGTGTTTTAGTGTTTTGTGGAGCACTTGTTGAGAAATCTGTTCTAATTTCCATCCTGTAAAAAAGTATAATGCATTTTACTGCTCTGAATAAAGATAAACTTTTCATTGTCCCCTTTCATAGAGCTGAAAATACAATGAGATTGATAAAACATTCCATGAATCTATGTGGCTGACTCATTGCACAGAATCACAGACACTAAAAGCGGGAATTACCTTGAGTCAGTGCATTTCTACCCTGTGAAAGTCTTAATTAAATAACACAAAGGACACTTTGATTTAATTCGTTTCAGTTACAGACTTTTGACATGACATTCCCTGAGCATTTCTGATTAGACTCAGTTCTCTCATTTCGTCTTCACTGGCAGAGGCTAATTCTTGAAGTTCAAATATGATGCTTCACCTTCCTCTCTATGAAGCATTAGTTCTCATCTATTTTTGTGTTGTACATATTCCTAATGCCAATATCTTTTAGACTGAATTTGGAGTGTCTGATAGTGTGGACTACTGGGGGAAGACTCATTCCTCGGGCTCTGGTGCTCCCATGCCATGTGACTCTGACAGTGTTGTCTGTTCACTGAATAGATCTCATACTCCCGTAGATCTTTACTGGAAGACCCAGGAGCCACTCAACCTTTAGGATAAATTAATTTAACTAGAAGCCTGCTTTAACATTCTAACAATGTTGTTTTCTCTTCTCTTGACCCTTTTCAAGATTTTTATTGCTCTGTAGATGTGAGATCTCATGTATATTTCCCAAATTGATGCCTTGGTATATGTGGCTACATTTACCTTTAGGCAATCAAAAGGAAACGTGATATAATAATATAAATCAGTGATCAGTGAGTGAGAAAAATATCCTACTCTGCAGCTTCTGTCTTCCCTACTTACAACTCCAACAGTTAGGTAGATGTGAGTAGCTGATTTCAGGGATACTATGGAATGATCAGTGTTTGAGACAAATTGAATATTCACAGATTGGTCTAGGTTTCACTGAATGGAGGTTGTCAGACCAATCCTGTTACAGGTATCTGGCCATTTCTCAGAATTATTTCACATTGAGAATTATAAGGTGATGAAGCTGAAGGGGTGGAGAAAAAAAGAGAATGGAGAAGAAGTACATTGCTGAAATTTTCAAGGCAGGTTTGGAATGTTTTTTTTTTTCTTCTGAATATTAGAACAATTTGGGTCGTTAAACTTAGAAATGTATATTCCACAGGATTAGAGGCAGGATAACTTTTTTTGTTTTTTTTTTTTGGTTTTAAGGCTTCCTTTAGAGTACATGTCTGGTTGTGGGGAAAAAGGAGAAGAGGGATCTAACAGGATGTTATGACAAGTATTTTCAGGTAACACATCCTTCTGTGCATTCCACCTCCAGTCTGACGTGGGGTGGGGTTATGACAATTAGAAATGGCAGAGGGTGGACGCAGGGATTTGGAATTTTGAAAAGTCTTTCCAGATGATTTTGGATTTTCTCCCCTTTTTTACTGGACACCACTGAGTTTAAGAAAATAAAGAGTTTTCGCTTTTTTGCAGGATCATAGAAAATGTGCCTTATCTAAAAAACCATCAACCATCAACATGTATAAGGAAAATATATCTACATTGAACAAAGAAATATTAATTTTGGAACTGATAGCTAGGAAAGCATTGCATTTCATGAACTAAGTTTTCCTACTCCCATTGCAGATTAATACATATCAAGAGGCAGGTAACTGAGGCAAGATTTTGGTGCTTACACAGCTATTCCCATTTGTTTCCTAAACTTTGATATTCAGGCTCTGTCTCTTAACATTTTCTTTGGTTGGAAATAAAATATTTGTACATTATCAACTTGTCAGACATAATGGGTTTTGATTATGATTGAAAATATAAAAACATAACCAGAAATGTAATAAAACTTACTTTGTGTTTTCTTATGCGCATCAACAGACTAAAATGAGATGGAAAACACAAACATTAAAAAATTAGATCCAGAGCACATATGACATTTTGAGAAGAGTAGTGATTGTAAGTCAGGTATGAGGGCAAAATATGTTTGCCTTAGGATGAATAGAATGAAATACAGTTTTAGAATTTCTGGTGTCATCATTGCATGAGCAACATTCTAACAGTTTAAAGGGTGCACAGTCTGTGGAATAAGGATGATGTATTTTTCTTGAATCCTTTTAGCAGAAGGATTCCTTTTCCTCCACATTCACATGAGTGTGTTGGCACCTGGTCTCCAGTGGCCAAGTACTGCTAGATTTGGCTTCCTTTATCATTATAACTACCATTCACTCAGGTGTCCAGCCTGGAGACCACTATGCTACTACTACAAGCATCTTTATGGAGTTGGTGTAAGAAAAAAAACCAACCTGTCTTTTATGGAAGAGAAAAATGAGTGGTCCAAAGAAGTTCTGGAATAGGGTTTTTCATGGGATGGGAAATCATCCTGGCTGCATTTTAGCATGGGGAAGGAGAAGAAGAGGCAGTTCCCATAATTAGCAGTGCCCATAAGACACTGTTTGTTCATGAAATGATACTGGATTATGTTCGCAGCAGTAAGTCTTAGACAATGTCCCTCTCATCCTCTAGATAATGTTATTTAGGTGCAGGTGTTAGGTTAACAAATCTAAAAACATTATGGGATAGCAAGCACGTGCTCTTGCTTGGAAGTTAATACCATGTCTAGATTTTCTTAATTTATTTGATCCGTGTGGAATTCTTTATGTGGTTGCATATTCATTTGATAGTGTTTCTTATGATCAGTTTTCTTCTTCCCAGATTTTTCTTTCTGGAGAGTCCACCAAGAACTAAATTTTATTTAGGAGTGCTCCTGCAGAGGTAGAATCAGAGTACCTTAAAAACTTAAAAATCACAACACTACAATGTCCAATTTACATGTGTTTGGAATTCTAAAGACCTATCAGTATGTGGGAAAAGAAAAATATTAAGATTGCATTCTAAGGTCAACAAAAGATCATAGAGGAATTTAAATTAAGGTATTAGACATAAAATAAAAACAGGGTACATTTAGTATAAAGCTACATTGGCATAAAACAATGAACTGAATGTACCCCTTATGATTAGGAACTGAATAAGAAAATAAATATATGTAAAATATTTTATATAACTGTGAGGTAAGCAGTAAAGACCAAAATGATTGCAAACAAAATCAGAGCCTTCATCTTGTCTTTGGGTCCTCTGGAACCAAGCAGCTTCATTGGTGATGAGACAAAAAAAGAAATAAAAATTTGTTTTTGGTAAATTTTAACCAATGGAAAAACACTTATGTCTATTATGGCATATCTATGGCATATATCATATCTATGGCATAAGAAGAACATACAATTTAAAAGAAAAACATGGAGTTCAACATATAGGAGCAAAGGTTAAGAATAGTGAATTCTAATAACACTACATAAAGTAAATGAAGAATCCTGACAAAATTTCTCATTTAATTGTCAGGAAAACAAATATTGAGCCTACCTTTTTATCTATTATTTTATGATTACTAAACAGTTATTTAAGAAGGCAAACCCAAAATAAGATTGAGAATGTGGTAAGGTATATGACCTTTTACACAACCATTAGTTCTATTAATTTAGCTAATTTTTTTAATAGCCGTATAACAATACACAAAATAAACATGAAAATGTTGATACCTGTAACTTCAAAACCTAATTTATGGAAATCATCCTCAACTAATTAAGCAATAGAACAAACCCAATTGTGTTCATTTCAGTGTTACTGATAATTAAAAATATGAATACTCATAATCATAAAAATATGAATACTCATAATCATAATTAAAAATATGAATGCTCATAATCATCAATACTCATAATCATACAAGTTTGTGGAAATTTGAAAAATGCTTATGTTGTAATAAGGTAAATGTTTAAATATCATGCTATATGTAAATTATCCACATAGATGACAGAAAAATGTAAGCATAAATGAAGTTAGATATGAGATGATTGTGTAATTTATGTGTGGATTTTCTGTTCTCAAAAAAATTTATGGTATTCTATTGATATCATAATTTAAACACACAAAAAACCTAAGAAATTTCCACTAAAATGATCTTCTGACTCTAATTTTCACCTTACATACTTAAAACACTGGACAGAAAAATTTAATGTTAACTCATAACCTAAAATACATATATTGTTAGAAATATGAAATACTCATTTAATTTTACCATCAGCATTAATTTTATTATCAACAAATAACTCTTAAAATTTAGTATTTCTGTTAAACTTTCATTTTTTTGATACAATCATTACTTCTGAATTCTCTCATCCAAACAAAATGTAAAAAACAAATCCATCTCAAATGGTAATTATTTGAAGACTATTATAAAAATATTCTTTCTTCATAATTTTGCAATCACATGATACTTCAATAATGAATCTCTCTCTCTCTTTTTTCTTTTTTGCTAACATTCATTTTTTTCCCAAAGAAAAGTAGCTAAGAGCTTTAGTTGCCAAATCCTGGTCATATTACCTAAACTATCAGAGGCCTATTTTTCTAATTTTTAAA
This sequence comes from Homo sapiens, assembly GCF_000001405.40. NCBI lineage: Eukaryota > Metazoa > Chordata > Mammalia > Primates > Hominidae > Homo > Homo sapiens. The sequence goes on along the minus strand of NC_000004.12, from coordinate 70,346,903 downwards.
ATAAGGTGATTTATTTTTTGATTGATGAAGTGGTCAGATTTCAATACCCCAAAAATAAGAATAGAAAACCAAATTAACAAGTGTATTGCTTCCATATGAAACAGTCATAATCTCAAGCAAAATATGAGACACATTTCAAAATTAATATGTAGGTCCCTTTGTAACAAAAGAGATAAATAAAATAGAGGCAATCAACTAATATAAAATCAGGCCCAATGATTTCCTGCATCATTTAGTACATTGATTTTTCTGCCACTGAGAACATTTTCATTTTTATAGGTTCAAAACTAAAATATGGCATTATGTCTAGAAAGGGCCATTTTAAAGATTCTGAGATTCTGGAGGACAGGCTATTTTTATCATTATCATTTTTCCTGAAATTCTTACCATTTTACTGTTAAAAATGGATAAAACTTGTAGGCTGAGAACTTATTAAATCAGTATCATTTTTTTTCTGTTTACAGTATTTCCTTTCAAATGCATTTTTTTCTGTTGGAATTATGTGGAAAGCAGTCTGAGATTTCATAATACTTCCACTAATTAGAAACTGCATATAATCAAAGACTAAAGAAAATGGATTTTTAAGCCTTTGAAATTAAAAAAAAAAGATACTGTAACGAGGGGGTCTTCTTTTTGTTTGTCCAGAAATGTCAGCCTTTCCTCAGCTTGTGAAATCTGGAAGCTCAGTGAAAGAGCACAGGTGATTCGTGCCTTATAAAGGGTTATTTTTTCTCTCCTTTATCCCTTCTATATTGTGAAGCAAAATATTATTATTATTATTTTAGCCTTTGCCTCTGGGTTAATCCAAATCATTTCCTGAAACAAAAAAAGGACAGGTATAATTTTTAAAAGTTAACATTTGTCCTTTTCATTTTTTTCAGGAACGTCATGGTTAATTATCTGTGTATTAGAAAAAGTGAAGGTTTATTCATTATAATTTAAATGTGATACATTGAATCCACTCTTTCCTTCATTTCAGATATTACTTAACATTTTATTGCAAAGCAATAATTAATGAAACTTGACCAGAAACCCAAGGCTTAAAATGTTTTCTTTCTTTTTAACTGTACTCTGCTATTTATAATATAATGCTTGGCTATTATATGCTAATGTGTATTCTGAGCTGGGAGAAAGTATTTGAAAATGATAGCTTCTTTTATGTTCATTTTTGGCTTTTTAAAGTAAAATATTGCTGAAGTAAATTTTTAGAGATTATAAAATTAGCTCAACTGAAACATTAATGGGCTCTTTTCTCACATTTTCTTAACATAAAAATGAGAAAAAGGGCCCTCACACCTGTAATGTCAGCATTTTGGGAGGCCAAAGTGGGAGGATCGCTTGAGCCTAGGAGTGTGAGACTAGCCTGGGCAATATGATGGAACCTCATCTCTAGAGAAAACGCAAGAATTAGCTGAGGTGGGAGGATTGCTTGAGCCCAGGAATTTGAGACCAACTTGGGCAACATGATGAAACTCCATCTCTACAAAAATTAGCTGGGCATGGTACCCTTTTCTGTCTCTACAAAAAATTTTAAAAATTATCTGGACATGGTGATGTGCATCTGTAGTCCCAGCTACTTCAGAGGCTGAGGTGGGAGGATCACCTGAGCCTGGGACATTGAGGCTGCAGTAAGCTGTGATGATGCCACTATACTCCAGCCTGGATGACAGAGTTAGACCCTGTCTTAAAAAAAAAAAAAAAAAAAAAAAAGAAAGAGAAAAAGGCAACTAATGAACCATTTTGAGACCCCTTACTATACATCTTTTACCACTAGATTCAGAATAATTCTTTATTACACAAGAGTTTTGTATCACAGAAGAAACCTTGCTCAGAAGAAATGTGACAGTTATTAACCAATACAAAATGTGAACATTGTAGTAGTTTGACATTTGCTTTGATGCAAGCTTTAATTTCCATGAAAATGCCCTTGTTTGTTACCAGAAAGATAGAAAAACATCATCTGGAAAACCTACTGGTGGATAATCAGATTTTCAATGCTTTTCTTTCAAGTTAGCTGTTAACAGTGGTATATCCTCTTGGCATTAATTCATGCTGTGATGAATGAAAGAACGGAGAAGGACCTCTAGACTTTTTATCCCAAAGGTAAATTGGAGGGCACTAGGTGCAACGTCTCTTTGGTTATTGGATTTTCAGTTTACTCATACTTTCTAAAAATTATTTTAGGATCACTAAAAACAATGAGAACAACCTAAAGTATAAATCAGGATGTAGATCTAGATCCGTGTGCTTTTTCATAGATGGTAATTTTGTATGGGAAGACACCAAAATTTGAGAAAATTAATAACTTGCTCATATTTTCAAAAGCCAATATTTGAATCCAGTTTTTTTTTCTCCACAGCTTTTTCTTTCCTCTGCACCAAGATATTCTTATGTATGTTTAACTTTTGTTGTGAGACATTCTGGCTAATCATTATGGTGAATAAGTTGTAGACAGAGAGAGTCTGTCTTAGGTATTTTTGTGGCTCTATCAATTAGTAGATTTCCTGGCATTAATCTAGGTGAAATATAATGCTTTTGACCAAGTAAATATATGTATATATAAAAATAAATTTTCTTTCCTTTCCTTTGTTGCAAATGATTCTAATGTAAAATTCTGTAGACTAAGAGAAAATGTCAGGATTCCAATACACAAGATTCTTGCTTAGAAAACTTGGCTAGGAACACCTACCATACCTAACAGGGCTGGTCAGAGCTTTCAGATTTCAACGTAAAATGTTCATGTCGAGGAGTCTGTGTAGTTAAGCTCATGCTTTATTACATCATCATTTTGTTTAACAGTGTGATTGGAATACCTTGATAAATATTAAAATGTTAATAATTATTCTTACTGATTCTTGCTCTTCTTTTGGGCTTTATTTTCTCTTTCTTACATGAATGCCATAGTTGGTTGTATCTCTGTTTTTAGCTTCCTCGATCACCCCATCCAACTTTTATGTTTTTACCGAAATTATCTTTCTAAAATACAATCTAACATGCAAATCCAATGCTTAAAACTTTGGTTGCCTCCCATTGTCTATATCTGCATTTCCCAAAACATGTTACAGAACATTATCCTTAGAGGAGTTTACTAGAGCTCCATGACGATAGAGCTGAATGAACCCTTCTTACATACATTCTTATTTAAAGACTCCAGGAAATTCATTCCAATATTTCATCAATGCATTTTACCCTGAAACTCTAATTTCAGTGAAACTAGTTCAGGGAATATGGGCTGTTAGTTATATGAAGTTTTAATACTAAATTGCTACACAAGATGTGATTGGTTAATTTTCTGTGTCAACTAGGCTAGGCTATGATGCCCTATTGTCTGGTCAACCACTAGTCTAGGTGTTACTGTGACATTTACAATCAGTTGACTTTAAGTAAAACAGATTACCCTTCATAATGGGGGTAGACCTTATTTAATTAGTTGGAGGCCTTAAGAGCAAAGACTGAGGTTTCCTGGAAAAGAAAAAATTGTGCCTCAAGAATGTAACAGAACTCTTTCTGAGTTTTCTGCTTGCTGGCCTCCCCTGTGGATTTCAGACTCAATACTGCCATAGCAACTCTTGCCTGAATTCCCAGCCTGGCTTTTTCACTCTTTCTATATATCCCATTTGGTTCTGTTTCTCTGGAGAATCCTGCCTAATATGCATGGTCTGATACAATTTGATTATATTTCTGATTTGCTTGTAAAGCTGTAATATCACTTACAATCTATTTGTTATGATTTATACTCAGACCCATTGTGCTTACTTCATAGTTATTAATAACACCAAGTGCCTTCATGCTTCTGTGTTTTTGACCTTCCCCTTTTCCAGCTTGCAACCAGCAAGCTCCTTTTTGTCTTGGCCAACTGGTATTCAATTCTAATCATCTAGTACAGACCATCTCTCTTCTGAGAGCATTCAGTCTAATAAATGAAAACATCATTTCCTCATTTACTGGTACATTTTATTCATTTATTTAACAGATGTTTATTGAGCATCTATTGTGTTCCAAGCTCTCAGAATTGAGCACTGAACAATAGTGTCTGGTTTCTTTGCTTTGAATACAGTGTGGATAGCTCTATTAGGACATTCTGGTTTACAGCTGTTGTTTTGGAGTCATTATTATATTGTCTCTTTCAGTCTCAAAAACGTTCTGGTTTTCATAACAAATGATGTGATCATCCTAATTATCAGATATACAGTCTGGGAGGGAAAATAAGCATTAACCAGGTTATGGGTTAAATTATGTCCTCCCCCGCAAAATATGCTGAAGTCCTAACCCCCAGTAATTGTGAGACCCCAAATTTGGAAATGGTGTCTTTTCAGATGTAATCAAGTTAAGATGAGGTCATAATGGATTAGGATGAGCCTAATCCAATGACTGGTGTACTTATAAATAGAGAGACATCTTGACATGGAGTCACAAAGGAGAACCTCATGTGACAAGGAGGCAGAGAGTGGAATGACCTGTTTACAAACCAAGGAATGCCAAGGATTGCCAGCAGTTGGTTCCCAGAAGCTAGGAAGAAACACAAGAAAAAAATCCCCTAGAAACTGCAGAGAGAACATGGTCCTGCTAACACCTTGATTTCAACTTATATACCCCAGAACTGTGGGGGATATAGATTTCTCTTGTTGTTAACCACCCAGTTTGCGGCACTTTGTTACAGTAGTGTGAAAAAAGTAATATAACATGCAATTGAAATAATTATGGATGCTACATAAAGCAAGGTATAGTGTACTGTGAATAATATATGACAGAAGAATACAGGGGCTTATATAAATTTAGGGTCCAGGGAGGATATAACTGACCAAGTGACATTTAGGTGTACTTTAAAAGGTGAGTTACAGAATTTTTCAGGGAGAGCATAGCACATTCGGTGATCCTGATACAAGACATAACTTTATGTTCTAAGGATGATCAAAATGAGATCTATATAGTTGAAATTTCAGAACAGAAACTGATAGTAGCATATTACAAGGCTGCATAGATAAGCAGGGTTTCCATTGTGGTGACTCTGATGAATATCGTAAAGATTTTGGAGTTCATCCTAAAGTTGGTGGAAAGTCACTGGATAATTTTTTGAATTAGGAGGTGGAAGTGATATGATATATTTGTGTAATAAACTTCCACTTTTGCTTGATAGAGATTTGGATAAAGAAATGGCAGTGGCAAGGAGGGCAAATGGATTTCTGCTGTATTTAGAATGCCACGGTAAAAACTTTGTATTTATTAGGTATGGAGAATGAGAGGGAAGTGAAGGCTGATCCCCAGTTTCTGGCTTGGACAACTGTGAAGATAGTGCCTTTTGCTGAGATGGAGAATATTAGAAGAGGAGAAATTTGAGGGAAGGGAAATGCCAATTTTAATTCAGCCTTCTCTTATGTTTGAAATACATGTGAGAAAAGTAAAACAACACACCAGTAGTGCTGTAATGAAAATAAAGGCCATAGACTCAAAATGTAATTCATGTATCCTTTGTTTACTCCTAATTTGCAATAGGTAGAATTGGTGGAAGCACATATACTACAAAGACACTGGCTTAATTTCCCACTGTTCTTGGTGCCTTGAAGTTATGAGTGTTCTTTAATGCATCCTCATGTAGAGCTAGTTTAACTTTGGGAATCTCCTCAGGGTAACGTTCTTTCTTCATGGTCAGGAGTCTTTGCCTCTTAAGATTGGCTTCTCTCCCTCTCTTTTTGTGGTCAGAAGCTCCCTGTGACTTGGAGGATAGTGCTGTGCCCCAGGGTAAGGTTATCTGTAGGGAAGGGGTACAGTGGGGATTATAAACAGGGGTTACACTAGGACAGAGGGAACTTTGGACAGAGATATATGTGTCAGAGGAAACTATGGGTAGGATTATCTTGTGACACAGGAGGATCTTTTATCAAGTAAATACAATGAAATATTATAGGTAGTGTGATTAAAGAATGTATATAGTGAGATACACAACAGGTAATCATACCGAGGGGTGGTTAAAGAAGATAGCATGTGAGGTGAATATGAAAGACGATATTTACCACATGAGACTGTGGCACTGGGAGAACAGCAGGCACTATAATCTCAGCACTTAGGGAGGCTGTGGTGGGAGGGTTGCTTGAGGCCAGTAGTTTGAGACCATTCCAGGCAAGAGGGCAAGACCCTGTCTCTACCAAATAAATAAATAAATAGACACAGGGACTTGAAATAACTTGGGTTGTCAGTTTTTAAGGTGTGTTGGTTTCAAACAACAAAAAACATAACCCAAACTTGTTTAATTAGAAAATGCATTGTCTCAGGTAAATAAGCAGACTAGTTTGGCTTGCTACAGGATGTGACTAGTCTCACATTCTTTTATTATTTCATATTTATATTTCTTGTCTCTAATATCCTCAGTGTTCACTTTACTGTCAAGCAACCTGTCTCCTTGTCATCCAAGGTGATTCTAGCAGCTCCCGGCCCTAAATGTCTTTAGACAGAAGTTTCCTTCAGAAACTTATTCCCCAGAGTCTCCCCAAAGCACTTCCTCTTGTCCCCTTTGCTCTGACTGGTTCATGTGCTTATTCTTCATGACTGTGGCAAGGCATGTGGGAACAGGGAGTGAGCAAAACGGTTTAGAGATGAGTGCTGTGGGGCTTAATTAATTTGCTAAATACAAGACCAGAGGTGAGATGACCAGCTACAAGACAGCCATTAGCCTTAACCAAAGCAGTGGCAACAGGAATGGATCAAGGGGAAGGGTTATGATAAAGAGATGGAATGATTCATTATTCAACAGTTCACACAAAGCAGTGTGATTTGAACTTGAATTTTGGAGCCACTCAAGTCTCTGGAGCTGAGCTTTGTTACTTACTAGCATCGTTATCTGGGGCCAGTGACTTTTCTGTTTCACTTTGGTTATCTGTGAAATGTGACTATTCTAAATGTCTACTCACTGTATGCCCATCACTCCTTTCTCAGGTCATCACTATTTAGAATATTTGGGAAGAAAGACTGTCTCATATTCATTCTCTAATTACTTATCTGTTTCTTCTTTGCCTCCTATATTTCTTTATTTTTTCAAGAAGTGCATATTTAAGACCTTGTGTCTTACAGACGTTTAATCAAATTTCAGGGCAAGGAGAAACTTTGCTTTGAAATGGCGCAAGGTAAAACACATAATTAGGCACGCTTTCTTGGAAAAATGTTCATTGACCACCAGGAATCTCACTGGACACTCATCTTCCTGGACTCTAACCAATTGCCAGTGTGCTGTTCTTCTTGTTATTTCTAAGCCCTAGCCCCAAATTCTGTTAACTTGTATTGTACAGCACATTATCTTTTTAATTGTTTAACTGTTGCAGTTTGGTTTATGCCTCAGAGCCTCATCTCCTCCAAGCAAAGGGGACTATCAAGTTATTTTCCTAAACAAAGCCCTTGAAAGAAGTATAGTTGGAGTTTATAAAATAATGATGCTTTTCAGCTAGGCAGTGCTCTCAGTACTAAGACTGTTTTGAGGATAAAATGATTAAAACCTTTAATATCTTCCAAACAGATAAGATCCAGGATGTTTAACAAGTACTGTATAATTTCTCTCTTTCCTACCTTTCCAGTTTCATCTTATGTTCCAGCTGATACCGTGTCTGTTCATATCCTTGAAAAATCTAGCCTCAAGGATTTGGAGATGTTGTTTCCTTATCTCTCCACATTTTTCAATATTTTAGCTTAAATCCTACCCCCTCAGAGACAATTTCTTGGCCTTAAATGTATGTGAAATCTGCAATTATAATCTTTTGTTTTTTCTTTGAAACACCCACCATATTTTGCATGTAGTCATTTCTTCCTGTGTGATTATTTGAGATTGTCTAAAATTTGTCTTTTATGGTAGATTAATTTCCATGAAGGCAGGGATGGTGTCATTTGATTCACTACAGTGTCTCAAAACACTTTCATGGTGCTTGGAACATAGTCAGTGCATATACATGCCTTGTAAATGAAAAATAAAGTAGTGTCTGATACATAGGGAACACTCAAAATACTTGTAATATTTTAATTGGGTATGGGAAGCAAGTAAGAGTGAAAGATTTAGCTTGGCTTCCAGGTTTTCTAGTTAATGGGGTTGACAAACATTCATCCTCTCCTGTGTACAGTTTATGTTCTGGATGATTGGAGAGCATTTAAAAACGCACGAAAGCACAGAGAATGAAACAAAATCACCTGCAGTCCTTCCTAGAGATTATATATTGTGATATATGTAATCCAGACATTCTGCTTGCGTGTGTATGTGTGTGCATGTGTATATTGCATACATACCACTGTGTAAATTTGCTTAGAGTTGTATGAAAATATCATCCATTTGATTAAATATTCTTCCTTAGAACCATTTTAAAAGATGCAAGCTATGGCTTCATATGGGTATACAGAAGTGTAATTAATTACATGTGACTACAATTGTAGATTGTTTTCAGTGTTTTTCCCTTATGAACATGTAAAATCACATTCTTCAGTGTAAGAGTTTGCCAACATTCTTGTATTTAAATCTGAGGGCCCCTACAGTATAGTGATTAAAAGAGCATGGGTTCTGGATGAAGACTGCCTGGGTTAGAAGCGTTCTTTGCTACATATTAACTTTGAAGCTTGGTGCATGTTGAGTAGCTTTTCTGTTTCCTTATCACTAAAATGAGAATAGTAATGTTTCTCCTTCTAGGGTATCATGAGGATCAAATGTTATTCTAAATATAAACACAACTATGCTGACCAGTAGTCAGAGCTCAATAACTGCTGGAACTTTAATAGTTTCTGATTCTTAGGAAAATTCTCAGGGCTAAAATATGTAAAATATGTAAAATAACTGGGCCAAAACTTCCAATTTTTAAAATGCTTGCTACATGTATTGCCAAATTGGCTTCCAGCCTTCCAGAAAGGCTGGAGAAATTTGGAGAAAGTTTGGAAAATGAGTCAACAATGAATATGTACAATAATCACTGTCAATCCTCAAATGGCTAAAACTGATGTGTACTAGCTTTATTTTAATTTTTTGAATATGTCTATTGAATATTTTTCACATGTTCATTAACAATTTGTGTTTCATGAATTATGTTAATTTCTACTGTTCATTTAAAATACTTTGTAGAAACTTTTATAGAAAAATGATAGTAATCTTTTCACTGCTATGTAAAATAAAATTAGTTATTTACTTTTTAATTTTATGTTAATTTTCTTTGTTTCAGAATTTTAACTATTCATGGTGTCAAACCTATCAATCTTCTTATCACCTTTTCATATATGCTTACATTTCTCAGGTCCATTTGGATAGATATACAGGTACATTTCCTCCTAAGTTTTTGTATGGTTTTAGTTTTTACATTAAAGTATTTAATCCATGTAGAATTTATTTTAAAGTATGGTCTTAAAAAGAATTTAAAAATTTGTTTATTATTCCAACATATTTTTTTCCCAAATACTGATTGTTCAAGTAAGATTAACTATTATATCCCATGTTTTTGAAGTCCACTTCACTGTATAACAAATTTTTGTTTCGTAATTTGTTTCTGGGTTTTAACACACTGTTGTGATTATTCTAGTCTATAGTTTATCTAATGGTGCAAATCCCTATACAAACCCCCCGTACATAATATCTTTCATTCACTTGGTGTTTTGGCATTGTTCTTATTTCTTTTTTTAGTGTAATACAATTATGAATCTCTATAGAATAATTTTACTTCTGGGGATTAGAGCTATATTATTCTTTAAACAAACAATGAATTTTCATTTCTCTTTATTTCTCCTAATTTGAGAAGTCTGTAGTAGAATATCAAACACACCTACACACAGTAAATCAGTTGCTTGCCAAAAAGATTTATTGAAGAAAAATGAGCAAAGTGAAAACAGACCCATTTAAGTAGTCTGTGCCAGAAAAGAATGAAGATTTATGTCCTTGAATCGCTAACAAGAGTCATAAGAAGAGTGTGATATTCAGTGTTTAAGACCTGGAAAACATGGACAAAAATTCAGAAAACACATTTTAACAGAAAGAAAATTAAATTGATGTATATGTTTACAGAACATTTTTCTGACAAATATGCATATTTGTAAAATATCATTTTGCTTTAGTTTGTATCTAACATGTGCCAAGAACCCTATCATAAATCTTATGTATCTTACATGTGGGTGCTAAACAATTACTGAATTGTCTTAATTCTTATATGAGGATTAAAAATTTTTTAAATAGAAGAGAATCACTGATGAAATACTAATGAAAAAATTGCTTAGAACAAGCATTTTGGGAGAACTTTTTAGGCTATGGTAATGTTTTGGAGAGGTTAATTTGCTTCTCTTCATATCCTTAATTCTCACTTAAGTATAATATTGACTGTTAACTAAATGATATGCATCATTAAATGTTGTAGAAATGAGCCCCTACATTGCTCTGTCTTCATACTCCCTGAAGGCTAGGACGAAAAATTTTACATTAAGTAATTGTTAGAATATTGAAACTTTGTGATACTAGGGGGACCCTTACACTGCGGTTTTTTTTTCTAAGTTTCCGTAAATCTGTTACATGACCTGTAGTCCTAAGCATCTGCATTTATTGAGTCGAATACTTGCCTTAAATGCCCACATTCTTTCATTTCTAAAGGTTTTTGCTTGTTGGAAAAATTTCTTAGATGTTAAGGCTAGCTGGCTAGACTATTGCACAATTCTACATGGTATCCCTTTTGTTGCTTTTAAATCATGAACTCATCGGGTTCTTCTTTCAGTAGTTCAAAGATATCCGTTTCAGTTGTGGAGGTGTCTTCCTTATAGTCTGGGGTATCTAATACAGAGGTAGTTCCAGAAAATGGCTCAGTGATCTTAGGTACAGTCTCTGTATTATCAGTTTCAGACAAATCTTCTTCTGTAGATGATTCTTCCACTAGGTTTGTAGCTATTGATGCAGGGACAACGAAGTCATATCTGGATTCAACAGCAGTAAGCAAAACAGAATGGGTCTCTGCTTCATTTGCAGTATCTCTCTCCATCCAAATACTGGCTCCCTCGGTAGTTTCTTCATCAGTTAGCAGAGTATCTTCCCGTTTATCTTTGTCTTTTTCAGCAGAGGTAGTGAGTTCAAACACAGTGATAAACTTCTCATCAGAGTCAGTTAATGTAGCCACAGCACTGGTGTCATCTTCTAAAACACTTAGGTCAATTTCGGTTATTTTCTCTTCTTCAAGGGCAGTTATGTCTGGAATAGTAGTGAAGCTTTCTTCAGGAGCAGGAGGGATTTCAGCCTCAGGAATAGTGGAATCAGTGACCTGGACAGCCTCATCAGCAGGGACATTGGATTTGATGGAGGAATTATAATTGCTCATATCAGCTTCATCCTTTTTACGTGGAAAGGCAGGAGCGTCAGCAACACCAGCACTGCTGTCCTTTAGTGTGCCAGAGACTTCAGAGGTTATTGAGATCTCTGCATCTCCTGTGTCAATGGTAGCTAAGAGGATATCTTCTTTTGCTATGTCAGTGGAAAAATCTATTAAAGAAACAGTAGTAACTGGTGATGAAATATTCCCAATTTTCACTGGCATGAAATGTTCGGTAATAGAGTCTCTTGTTATGGAGTTTGTAGTGCCAGTCAGAGAGGTAATTTCTTTCTGTAGGTGAGTTGTTGACTTAATAAAGTCGGTCCCCATATCATCTTCTGATTTGAGTTTTTCCTTTTTAGCTGTCAGTTTGTTGTCTGTAGTTGTTGAAAAATCGCTTTCTAGCATATATTCATTTACTGAAGTGACGTGGTCTCCTTCTGAAGTAATAGTTGTTTCTGATTTGGGAATAGCATTGTCAGCCCCAAAGAAAATGGTTGCTGCAGTTGGTGTTTTACTGCTTTCTGTTGGAGGATGAGAATAAATTTTGGGCAAACCATCTTCAGCCATGGGGCGAAGTGGCACTGTGCACTCTCACAGGTCTTGCTTCTGGACTCAGTGGTATCTCTAGGCAGGAGAGCAGTGTTCATCAGAGTGATTAAAGCTTGGGTCATCATGGTGATTGTTGCATCAACTATGGGAGCAATGTCACTGGGTCTCCTTGGAGGTTGTTTCTAGGCTGCGATTGGTTATCTAATTGCAGGAATATTGAATGAAAAGACTATAGAGTCCGCTCTGATTATGAAATCAAATTCACAGCCAAGCATTTCAATTGCAGGGAACTTAAGATTTACCATGTTTCTGTTTATAAGGAAAATGTCTCCTGATATAGAGCTAGGGTTACTTGAAACAGACATAGCAGAGACTGCCAGGCACCTTTTGGGTTTAGAATTAGTAAGGAAAACTTTGGAAGCCACAAGTTTATCAGCATCAGCTTAAAGTCGTCTATCTTCCAAGCAAGTAACAGAGTATTTTTGAGGTGAAGCCATTTTCCCTTAAGATTCATAGTATTAAAAAAAATTGGTATCTAAAAAAATTAATGGTGTTTTTGTCAGTAAGTATAGCTACAGAAGGTAATTAGGTAGCAGGGAATTCAGTTAGTTCCCTTATTCATAACAGGAAGTCCCACTTTTTCAGTAGAGATAATAACTAATAGTTATTGGCCTGTTTGGGTCTTTTTTTTTTTTTTTTCTTTTTTTGTTTTTTGTTTTTTTTTTTTTCATTTATTTTTATTTTATTTTATTTTATTTTTTTTATTATACTCTAAGTTTTAGGGTACATGTGCACATTGTGCAGGTTAGTTACATATGTATACATGTGCCATGCTGGTGCGCTGCACCCACTAATGTGTCATCTAGCATTAGGTATATCTCCCAATACTATCCCTCCCCCCTCCCCCAACCCCACCACAGTCCCCAGAGTGTGATATTCCCCTTCCTGTGTCCATGTGATCTCATTGTTCAATTCCCATCTATGAGTGAGAATATGCGGTGTTTGGTTTTTTGTTCTTGCGATAGTTTACTGAGAATGATGGTTTCCAATTTCATCCATGTCCCTACAAAGGATATGAACTCATCATTTTTTATGGCTGCATAGTATTCCATGGTGTATATGTGCCACATTTTCTTAATCCAGTCTATCATTGTTGGACATTTGGGTTGGTTCCAAGTCTTTGCTATTGTGAATAGTGCCGCAATAAACATACGTGTGCATGTGTCTTTATAGCAGCATGATTTATACTCATTTGGGTATATACCCAGTAATGGGATGGCTGGGTCAAATGGTATTTCTAGTTCTAGATCCCTGAGGAATCGCCACACTGACTTCCACAATGGTTGAACTAGTTTACAGTCCCACCAACAGTGTAAAAGTGTTCCTATTTCTCCACATCCTCTCCAGCACCTGTTGTTTCCTGACTTTTTAATGATTGCCATTCTAACTGGTGTGAGATGATATCTCATAGTGGTTTTGATTTGCATTTCTCTGATGGCCAGTGATGATGAGCATTTCTTCATGTGTTTTTTGGCTGCATAAATGTCTTCTTTTGAGAAGTGTCTGTTCATGTCCTTCGCCCACTTTTTGATGGGGTTGTTTGTTTTTTTCTTGTAAATTTGTTTGAGTTCATTGTAGATTCTGGATATTAGCCCTTTGTCAGATGAGTAGGATGCGAAAATTTTCTCCCATGTTGTAGGTTGCCTGTTCACTCTGATGGTAGTTTCTTTTGCTGTGCAGAAGCTCTTTAGTTTAATTAGATCTCATTTGTCAATTTTGTCTTTTGTTGCCATTGCTTTTGGTGTTTTGGACATGAAGTCCTTGCCCACGCCTATGTCCTGAATGGTAATGCCTAGGTTTTCTTCTAGGGTTTTTATGGTTTTAGGTTTAACGTTTAAATCTTTAATCCATCTTGAATTGATTTTTGTATAAGGTGTAAGGAAGGGATCCAGTTTCAGCTTTCTACATATGGCTAGCCAGTTTTCCCAGCACCATTTATTAAATAGGGAATCCTTTCCCCATTGCTTGTTTTTCTCAGGTTTGTCAAAGATCAGATAGTTGTAGATATGCGGCATTATTTCTGAGGGCTCTGTTGTGTTCCATTGATCTATATCTCTGTTTTGGTACCAGTACCATGCTGTTTTGGTTACTGTAGCCTTGTAGTATAGTTTGAAGTCAGGTAGTGTGATGCCTCCAGCTTTGTTCTTTTGGCTTAGGATTGACTTGGCAATGCGGGCTCTTTTTTGGTTCCATATGAACTTTAAAGTAGTTTTTTCCAATTCTGTGAAGAAAGTCATTGGTAGCTTGATGGGGATGGCATTGAATCTATAAATTACCTTGGGCAGTATGGCCATTTTCACGATATTGATTCTTCCTACCCATGAGCATGGAATGTTCTTCCATTTGTTTGTGTCCTCTTTTATTTCCTTGAGCAGTGGTTTGTAGTTCTCCTTGAAGAGGTCCTTCACATCCCTTGTAAGTTGGATTCCTAGGTATTTTATTCTCTTTGAAGCAATTGTGAATGGGAGTTCACCCATGATTTGGCTCTCTGTTTGTCTGTTGTTGGTGTATAAGAATGCTTGTGATTTTTGTACATTGATTTTGTATCCTGAGACTTTGCTGAAGTTGCTTATCAGCTTAAGGAGATTTTGGGCTGAGACGATGGGGTTTTCTACATAAACAATCATGTCGTCTGCAAACAGGGACAATTTGACTTCCTCTTTTCCTAATTGAATACCCTTTATTTCCTTCTCCTGCCTGATTGCCCTGGCCAGAACTTCCAACACTATGTTGAATAGGAGCGGTGAGAGAGGGCATCCCTGTCTTGTGCCAGTTTTCAAAGGGAATGCTTCCAGTTTTTGCCCATTCAGTATGATATTGGCTGTGGGTTTGTCATAGATAGCTCTTATTATTTTGAAATACGTCCCATCAATACCTAATTTATTGAGAGTTTTTAGCATGAAGGGTTGTTGAATTTTGTCAAAGGCCTTTTCTGCATCTATTGAGATAATCATGTGGTTTTTGTCTTTGGCTCTGTTTATATGCTGGATTACATTTATTGATTTGCGTATATTGAACCAGCCTTGCATCCCAGGGATGAAGCCCACTTGATCATGGTGGATAAGCTTTTTGATGTGCTGCTGGATTCGGTTTGCCAGTATTTTATTGAGGATTTTTGCATCAATGTTCATCAAGGATATTGGTCTAAAATTCTCTTTTTTGGTTGTGTCTCTGCCTGGCTTTGGTATCAGAATGATGCTGGCCTCATAAAATGAGTTAGGGAGGATTCCCTCTTTTTCTATTGATTGGAATAGTTTCAGAAGGAATGGTACCAGTTCCTCCTTGTACCTCTGGTAGAATTCGGCTGTGAATCCATCTGGTCCTGGACTCTTTTTGGTTGGTAAACTATTGATTATTGCCACAATTTCAGATCCTGTTATTGGTCTATTCAGAGATTCAACTTCTTCCTGGTTTAGTCTTGGGAGAGTGTATGTGTCGAGGAATGTATCCATTTCTTCTAGATTTTCTAGTTTATTTGCGTAGAGGTGTTTGTAGTATTCTCTGATGGTAGTTTGTATTTCTGTGGGATTGGTGGTGATATCCCCTTTATCATTTTTTATTGTGTCTATTTGATTCTTCTCTCTTTTTTTCTTTATTAGTCTTGCTAGCGGTCTATCAATTTTGTTGATCCTTTCAAAAAACCAGCTCCTGGATTCATTGATTTTTTGAAGGGTTTTTTGTGTCTCTATTTCCTTCAGTTCTGCTCTGATTTTAGTTATTTCTTGCCTTCTGCTAGCTTTTGAATGTGTTTGCTCTTGCTTTTCTAGTTCTTTTAATTGTGATGTTAGGGTGTCAATTTTGGATCTTTCCTGCTTTCTCTTGTAGGCATTTAGTGCTATAAATTTCCCTCTACACACTGCTTTGAATGCGTCCCAGAGATTCTGGTATGTGGTGTCTTTGTTCTCGTTGGTTTCAAAGAACATCTTTATTTCTGCCTTCATTTCGTTATGTACCCAGTAGTCATTCAGGAGCAGGTTGTTCAGTTTCCATGTAGTTGAGCGGCTTTGAGTGAGATTCTTAATCCTGAGTTCTAGTTTGATTGCACTGTGGTCTGAGAGACAGTTTGTTATAATTTCTGTTCTTTTACATTTGCTGAGGAGAGCTTTACTTCCAACTATGTGGTCAATTTTGGAATAGGTGTGGTGTGGTGCTGAAAAAAATGTATATTCTGTTGATTTGGGGTGGAGAGTTCTGTAGATGTCTATTAGGTCTGCTTGGTGCAGAGCTGAGTTCAATTCCTGGGTATCCTTGTTGACTTTCTGTCTCGTTGATCTGTCTAATATTGACAGTGGGGTGTTAAAGTCTCCCATTATTAATGTGTGGGAGTCTAAGTCTCTTTGTAGGTCACTGAGGACTTGCTTTATGAATCTGGGTGCTCCTGTATTGGGTGCATAAATATTTAGGATAGTTAGCTCCTCTTGTTGAATTGATCCCTTTACCATTATGTAATGGCCTTCTTTGTCTCTTTTGATCTTTGTTGGTTTAAAGTCTGTTTTATCAGAGACTAGGATTGCAACCCCTGCCTTTTTTTGTTTTCCATTTGCTTGGTAGATCTTCCTCCATCCTTTTATTTTGAGCCTATGTGTGTCTCTGCACGTGAGATGGGTTTCCTGAATACAGCACACTGATGGGTCTTGACTCTTTATCCAACTTGCCAGTCTGTGTCTTTTAATTGCAGAATTTAGTCCATTTATATTTAAAGTTAATATTGTTATGTGTGAATTTGATCCTGTCATTATGATGTTAGCTGGTGATTTTGCTCATTAGTTGATGCAGTTTCTTCCTAGTCTCGATGGTCTTTACATTTTGGCATGATTTTGCAGCGGCTGGTACCGGTTGTTCCTTTCCATGTTTAGCGCTTCCTTCAGGAGCTCTTTTAGGGCAGGCCTGGTGGTGACAAAATCTCTCAGCATTTGCTTGTCTATAAAGTATTTTATTTCTCCTTCACTTATGAAGCTTAGTTTGGCTGGATATGAAATTCTGGGTTGAAAATTCTTTTCTTTAAGAATGTTGAATATTGGCCCCCACTCTCTTCTGGCTTGTAGGGTTTCTGCCGAGAGATCCGCTGTTAGTCTGATGGGCTTTCCTTTGAGGGTAACCCGACCTTTCTCTCTGGCTGCCCTTAACATTTTTTCCTTCATTTCAACTTTGGTGAATCTGACAATTATGTGTCTTGGAGTTGCTCTTCTCGAGGAGTATCTTTGTGGCGTTCTCTGTATTTCCTGAATCTGAACGTTGGCCTGCCTTGCTAGATTGGGGAAGTTCTCCTGGATAATATCCTGCAGAGTGTTTTCCAACTTGGTTCCATTCTCCACATCACTTTCAGGTACACCAATCAGACGTAGATTTGGTCTTTTCACATAGTCCCATATTTCTTGGAGGCTTTGCTCATTTCTTTTTATTCTTTTTTCTCTAAACTTCCCTTCTCGCTTCATTTCATTCATTTCATCTTCCATTGCTGATACCCTTTCTTCCAGTTGATCGCATCGGCTCCTGAGGCTTCTGCATTCTTCACGTAGTTCTCGAGCCTTGGTTTTCAGCTCCATCAGCTCCTTTAAGCACTTCTCTGTATTGGTTATTCTAGTTATACATTCTTCTAAATTTTTTTCAAAGTTTTCAACTTCTTTGCCTTTGGTTTGAATGTCCTCCCGTAGCTCAGAGTAATTTGATCGTCTGAAGCCTTCTTCTCTCAGCTCGTCAAAATCATTCTCCATCCAGCTTTGTTCTGTTGCTGGTGAGGAACTGCGTTCCTTTGGAGGAGGAGAGGCGCTCTGCGTTTTAGAGTTTCCAGTTTTTCTGTTCTGTTTTTTCCCCATCTTTGTGGTTTTATCTACTTTTGGTCTTTGATGATGGTGATGTACAGATGGGTTTTCGGTGTAGATGTCCTTTCTGGTTGTTAGTTTTCCTTCTAACAGACAGGACCCTCAGCTGCAGGTCTGTTGGAATACACTGCCGTGTGAGGTGTCAGTGTGCCCCTGCTGGGGGGTGCCTCCCAGTTAGGCTGCTCGGGGGTCAGGGGTCAGGGACCCACTTGAGGAGGCAGTCTGCCCGTTCTCAGATCTCCAGCTGCGTGCTGGGAGAACCACTGCTCCTGTTTGGGTCTTTAGTGTTCTCTTTTTCATTGTATTTCTTACTTCTTCTTGAATTTACTTGAGTAATAGTGAGAGTCTCAAGTTTTGTAGGTTAAAATTGTTTTAGGAATGTTTTTTCTGCAGGCTGTTATTTTAACCCAGAAGACAGGGAGGGTTGTCAGTGGCAGGGAGCTGGTGTCATGTGTCAAAATTCACCCAGAAACAAGAATCAAGATGTGGATAACTGCATTATTTTTAAGAATTATATTCTCAATTTCAGAGGGAGTATTTTTAATAATAACGTTAATTGTATCAAACATCCTTGTGTTATCAACCTTAAGGTTTAGCTAATTAGATGAAAGCAGATTGCAGTTTAGTGTTAATGCTAGAATGAGTCTTTTTCCAGTGTTGTTAGAAGAAATTGAATTTTCATACTCAGACACAACTAAATCTGAGAAAGGGCAGCAACATCAGCCTGAATAGTGGGTTCCATCTCAAGGACAAATAGTTATTATTTATTAAATATGGACTCAACTTCAAAGTTTTCAGCTTTCTGTCTTAGACGATTAGCCTGGTTGCAGATATATCATAATTCTCTATAAAAATATGTTTCTAAACAGAAATACCATCAGTTCCTGGGCCAGTAAAGAATGCCACAGGGACAGTCATTCTCTCAGTAAGCTTACTTAGTGGGAGGATTTTCTTAACCTCTATTTTTGTCCCCTATCATTTAGTTTTTATAAAGCTTAATTCAGAATAAAGCATGCTGTAAACAGAAGATTTGGTACCTACTTTGGTGAAGTTTTTTTTTGTGTGTACAAAAAGGAAAAGAAAAGATGGTGAGGTTAGCTGTATATTTGCTGGAAGATATCTTGTAAGACTAGGTATTTGTTATGATGAAGAGAGTTGGAATAAGCTATAAAATGTTTACTTTTATGAGCGCTTCATCTCCAATTAGATATGTCAGTTTAAATAATTACATCATCTTCATTGATATTAATTTGTCAAATAGTCTTTAATTTCAGGCATTAATTTTGTGATCACATTAACTCTGCTTCCACTAGTATAGCTGTGAGGTAGGATCACATTGATTGCAGCATAATTATTCCTTCTCTAAGGGGAATGCTATTCACATTATCTATGTTTTCTAAAACATTGCCCTTCAAAAGAACACTTCAGATTGACTATGTGTCATCCATCAAAGAGAAGAAAGCATATGGTGAAAATCCTGGTGGAACTGCAGGAATTTTAGCACTCTTGAGGATGAAACTGAAGTTATGTGCTCCAGGGAATACATAATAATATACTCATTTTTGACCAAACGATCATTCCCATTGAAGACATTATCTGACTAAAGGACAAAGAATCAGATTCTATAGATAAGTTTTATTTAATCCGAATAGTAATTTCTTCCATTGTTGGAGTATCTATTACACTAATTGAAACATTTTGTCTTTTCCAAGGAAAGTATTAAATTTATATCTATTGACATGTGTTCCAGAGTATATTCCTTACATTTAAGTGAAAACATGAAAACTGCTAATAAAGGAAGATTTCTTAATAAAACCCCAGGAAGGTCATTTGGCACATCTATGATTTTTCAGGGATACTTGACTAGGAAAAGAGTCCTTAGAAACAGGCTTTAAAAATGCCATTTTGTATAGAGTTTGTTTCCATCTGGATAACTAGATCATTTCCTGTTATTATATTTACATTTATAAGGTGATTGACTTAAAATTCACTAGCTGTGTTTTTCTCTGTAGAAGCTTTAGCTATTTCTCTTGTGTGATAGAAATTCGGATCATCATATTCATTAGGAACAAAAGCAGAAAACTTGGTGCTTGTTTTCTTAGGTTCTGAATTTCAAATGGCAGAGGCATCAATATCAAAAATTTTGTACCTGGTAATAAGAGTAGCAGATGTGTTAGGTTTGACATCTCCAGTATTGTCTGAAGAGTCAGTGGAAGCAGCTTGGAGAACAATACAGACCAATGGAAGAGCATTCAGAACAATTTGACTTTTAATGTTTTGCCTTCCTGAGATAATACCTTCCTTAAAGTAAGCGAAATATGTTGGCATAGGCTCCGATGCTGTTGAAATTAACATTGTTGGATGATGATGTAAGTTTTCACTTTTTGCAAGTCTGGGAGCTGCAGTGTCTTTAGTACGAGAATTAGCAGTTAAGATGAGAGTTTCAGGTACTCCAACAGACGTAGGTTTTAGAGACATGACACTCTCTGATGGAAGGCTAGAAAGGCCATGTTATTTCTGTCCTCAGTGGAGATAGCAGGAACATTTGGTTTAATGGACGACATCTTTCTCAAAGGAGAAAAAGTAAGAGCTGGGTTTTCATCCATATTGGAAATGTCATCACTAGAAAGCTAAGCTAAAGGAAAACCACTAAACCTTCAATCAGATGCTGCAGCTACACTTGTTTCATCTTCAGCAAAATCAGGTATACTGGATGTGATAGTGTCTGCCCTACTGGGTGTAAATGTCTTATAAATGGCAGGTGATATGTTTTTCCTGAACAAGTTATAACTACTTTTGATAGCATGATTAGTAGTATCAGTTGTGAATTTTCTGTTGTCAACTACAGGTTTCACGTATGAAAAAATGGAATACTCAATTATTTTATTTCCAAAGTCAGAGCATTCAGAGGGAATTATGATGTCATCATCACCATTTATGGTGCCTTTTTTTGACAGATGTTTTGTCATAAAATCTAGAAGCCTTCTCACTTGCATTGGTTAGGAAGTGAGTTGTGGGTCTATGAGCTTTGGTTTTGACATTGGCATAGGGATCTTTGAAAAGAATGGCCTCGATGTCAAAGTTCTTGTTTTTCTATTTAGGAATTATAGCTTGGTACTTTTCTTTAGCTTCGAACTCTGATGATGTTGCTTTAGAGAGACTATCTGAAGCAGCCACTGTGGTATATAGTGCTTGAGACCTATGCATCTTAGGGGAATATCTGAGTGTACTCATTTTTATAAAGGAATTATTTGCTTTATCCTCTAATTCCAAGACAGAGTTATCTGAGACATATTCAGAACCACTGTCATCAGACGTAGTAATTATATCATCCACATATGCTGGAGTGATTTTGCCTTCCGAAGAAATATCATCCATCCTTTCTGAAATGTCTTTTATAAAATAATTTTTTTCATACTCAGCAGCTTGCTCACTGTCTATAAAATCTTTGTGCTTAAATATGTTCTCTTTAAAAGTGCTTGCCATGGAGTTTTCAGAGGTAATGGTAATAGGCAAAATGATAACTTGGTCAGATGGAATAATTGTTTCCTCAGGTAGAAAGCTATAATCAATCTTCTTTGTGATATCTTTTCCCATGATGGTAACAGGAGTGAGTTCATAATATATGGGAGCATCCATGGATGTTGTGAAATCAGAAGGAAGAGTTGGTCTCCATTGCAGGCCATGTAATCTTGCTGGAGTGTTTGTGCTGGACCTGCCTGTGTTAGAGACTCTAATATGAAAGGCAGAGCTTTGATCATTAGGTCTAGATGCTTCTGAAAGAGTTGATGTGGAATAAACTGAGGAGATTCCTTTTAAATTGGGAGGTGCTTGAGATTTGAAAGAAGTATCATCAAATTTCACAGTGAAAGAATCATCTTTTAGTTTGCTGGTATCTTCTGAAAATGAGTTTCCTGCTTCAGACATATGGAATTCTTCATCAACATCACTGTCACTGTTGGAGAGAAGATTGAGCTTGGTTGCTGAAGGAGGGATTTTCCATATAGCTGGAATGAGAACTGTTGTATTTGTAAAGTGACTTAATTTAAACATAGTAGCTGGATCTTCTTGATCAGAAAGATTAGCTATTTTTCTTATCTTGTAGACACTATTTTGAGACTCTTTTATCTGGGAAAAGGCTTTCTCTATTGCTCTTTGAGATTTGGAATATATTTCATCAGTCTCAGTTTCATAATTTCCAGGAGTATTTCCATTCACAGAGAAAGAAAAGTTAATTTCACTATCTGTGGGATTATTTGAAAATGTGGATTCAATTGGAGAAACTTGCCAAGCCAAGGGATAGGAATGAATGTTGGTTTGAGTTATTATAACCTGCTTCTCTGGGACATTGCCTCCATTAATGGCACCAACATATTCAGTTGCTCTTTCTAACTCTTCTGACCTAGTTATTGAAGATTCAGAAAAGGAGTTATCTCTCATTAGGCCAGGGGTTTCTGGATTTTCATTTAAGGAATCAAGAAGGAGCATGTTGGTTCTCAGCAGAGATTGGAATCCTCTAGACTTAACATTATCTTCTCCAGGTAACATAAAATCACCACTCACATAACTGCCTTCAGTGGAAGGAACAGTGGAATCCACCACAGTGCTGGTTGGCTCATTCATAGATGTAAAAATAATTGAAGCTCTGTTGTTTGCCTCTTTAGTATCTTTACTGATGAAGGACAGATTGTCATCAGGAATGACATTGACCTCAATCAAAGGAATAATGCTGCTCTGTGAATGGAGTGCATCTGCCAAATTTGTTTTCAGTTTATTTGGATCAAATCTGGCCGATATGGTGGCCTTTGCTACATTTGGGGCAACACTGTTATAAAAAGCAGGTGAAATCTTTCCTATTGAACAGGTCCCTGTATTCTGTAGGAATGGTGATCATGACAGGATCAATGGAATCAGCTGTGAACATCTTGCTCTCTCCCATTGTTGACATTAGTTCTAGTTCTAAAACAAGAGGGTACTTCATTTTTTTGCTTTTAGGGAGAATGACGATGGTGTTGTCTCCAATTAGAGGATGATTTTTCAGATTTATTTCATCTAGAAATTCAGGCAAAAAAATTCCAACTTGGATCAGTTAGAGAATAAATCATGAACCTTGGAGTCTTGGTGTTAAAATTGGCAGTAGAACCTTTGAGAACAGTAATATCATTGTTAGGATTTTCCTCTTTGAAGATCAAGATTTGGTGTTTTTTTCTGGTACTGATATCAATTGGAGTTCCTTGAGAAAAAGTTTCAGAGGCTGCAGCACCGGCATAGAATTCATGGGACTCAAGTGCATTGGAATTATTAGTGACTATGGTCTCTTCTATAAGGAGAACACTTCTTTTCTCCACTGGTGCAAAGACATCATTATCTTCATCATATTCAAGGGCACTGTCAACAGGCATAATAGTTATCATATTCTCATTATTTGGAATATTTCCATCTGCCAAAGGGGTGTCATTTGTCTCTTTTGAAATGTTTTCTATAAAAGGAACTACTTCAATTGATATATCTTTCTCTATAAATGTCTTGTCCCCATATCTACTATTATAAATAATATTTTTCATACCTTTTGTTGAAATAATGGTAGCAGGTGAAAGTTTGAATTTGTCAGATGAAGAATTCCTTTCTCCAGGTGTAATATTGTTATTAGTTGTTGTGGTGTCTTTTTTCATTTTGATAACTGGATTAAATTCACAGTCCTTAGAAGAACTCGTTAATGTTGTGAAATTAGAAGGAAGAAGAGTTGATTTCCATGGTAGGCCATAAGTTCCAGTGGGAGTGTCTATAATGGTCCCTTCTTTGGTAGTGACTTCAGGAGAAGAGCTTTGATCATTAGACCTAGATACTTCTGGAAAAGTTAATATGGAATCAATTGAAGAGATTCCTTTTAAATTGGGATGTATCAGATTTAGCAAAAGTAACATCAAATTTAACAGGGAAAGAATTATCTTTCAATGTACTTGCATCGTTTGGAAGAAAATTACCTGCTTCAGAAATATAAACTTTCTTTTTCACATTGTTGTCACTTGTGGAGAGGCTATTAAGCTCAGTAACTGAGGGAAGGGGTTTCTCCATAGCTAGACTGAGATCTGTTGTATTTGTAATGTGACTTATATCAAATTTAGCAGCTGGATCGTCTTGATCAGAGGGATTGGTTATTTTCCTTTCTTTATAGATCCTATGCTGAGAGATTCTTGTAGGAGAAAAGGCTTTTATTATTCTCTGAAGTTCAGAATATGTTTCATCTGTTTCAGTTTTAGGAATGTTGGTAGTTTCTCTGTTTACAGAAGATGGTGAATCAAATTCATTGTTTGTAGAATTGTCTGCAGTTGGAAATTTAGTTGAGGCCAAGGAGTGAGGCTTGAAGTCCATTTGGTTTGTAATGAAAATATCACTACCTTTAATAAAATTAGCATATTCAATCATTGTCTCAAGCATCTCTGACCATGCAATTGAATAATTAATCAAGGGGTTATTTGTTAGTTACTGGGCCAGATATTTCAAGGTTTTCCATTGATAGTTTAGGAATTAGTATGGCTTTTCCAGGAATTTGTAGAGCTAAGAATCCTGTAGACCTAACATTGTGTTCTCCAGGTGGGCTAGAATTACCTTCTTCATAACCACCCTCAGTGAAGAGAAGAATAGTATCATCCACAGTAAGGATTGCATTTATAGGTGAGAGATTGAAGCTCTGCTATTTAAAACTTCAGTATCTTCATCAATGAAGGGAAGTTCACTATCAGAGTGACAATGAACTCAGCCAAAGGAAAATTGGTGTCCTGTGAGTGTGTCATGTCTGTCACATTAATTTTCCCTCCAACATTGTTTACTCTGAATGGTAAGATTTTTTTGCTCTTTGTTGAATATCAGTTTTATAAATAGCAGATGAAATGGCTTTCCTGTAGAACAGGTTTTTATTTTTTGATGGAGAGTGGATCACAATGGGATCCATGGTTTCATCTGGGAACATCCTTCCCTCTTCCATGGTTGCTGTTATTCCTGGGTCTGGAACAAGGGTGTACTCCATCTTTTTGTCTTCAGGGACAATGGTGATGATATAAATTCTCTTAGGGTGTCCCTGCCCAGAATGGTTTTACCTAGAAATTTGTAACAATTCTCACTTGTGTGAGTTAGGGGATGAGTCGTAGAGCTGGGAGCCTCAAAACTCAAATTGCCAGTGGAAATTTTGAGAACAATATCATCAAGGTCAGAACTGTTGTGCTCTTCTCTAGACACCAAATTTTGCAGTATGTCTTTAGTATTGGTCACAGTTAGGGCTCCTTGAGATAGATGTCCAGAGGCATCAGCACTAGAGTAGAATGCATGAGATCCAAATAGTTTGAGGTTGTAAGTGAGAGGAGTTTTTTTTAATAATAGGGTTGTATTTTCTCTCCTGTTGTTCCAGGACATATTCATTTGTGACATTCTCAAAAGCTCTGTCATCAAGCACAGTGATTATTACATGGTCATTATTTGGAATATTTTCACCTAAAGTAATATCTAATATGTTTTCTGTAATAGGATTGTATCTTTCTCTGCAAAGTTTCTGTGTGGAAATCTTTTACTAAAAATAGTATTCAGTGTTCCTGTTGTTGGAGTATTGGTACCAGGTGAAATGATGATTTTATGAGTTGAAGTATTTCTTTCCTCAAATGGAAAATTATTAGTCTTTGTTGTAGCATCATTTTTCATTTTGACAAATGGATCAAGTTCTGAATATTTAGATGACCTCACTGTTGATGTGAAACCAGAAGGAGAAAGGGTTGATTTCCATGCTTGGCCGTGTGATCCAGTGGAAGAATTATGGAACAAAACTTCTGAGCCTGTGTCTTTATCTGGAGGAGCAAAGTTGTTAGACTTAAGCTTTAAAGTCTTCTCCATAGACATGGTGGGATCAGCAGAAAAGATTATTTTTAAGTTGGGAAGAAGTTTGGGTCCAGCAGAAATATTAAATTTACCAGTGAAAAAATTATCTTTCAAAGTACTTGAATTTCCTAAAAAAATATTGTCTGCTTCAGAAATAATAACTTCCTCCTCCTCACTGTTATTGCTCTTCCGAAGTGTGCTGGTCTCAAAGGTTAAAGGAAGTGCTTTTTCCAAAGTTGGAATGATGATTGTTACATTTGTAACATGACTTAGGTTGAATTTAGAAGCTGTGTCTTCCTCAACAGAGTGCTTAGCCATTTCTTTTATTTTGGAAGGGAAAGGGTGCATTTGTTTGGGTGAAAGTATTCTCATAATTATACCCAAAGAATGAGCATCTGTCTTAAATTTAGAAATCCCAACAGTTTCTCTCTTCACAGTGGATAATGAATCAACATCACCATTTGTTGAATTCCTGTTAATAGTTGTTGAACTTGTAGAAGGAATAATTGGGTCCGAGGAGTGGGGCTGAAGGTCTGTTTGAATTTTAAGGACCTGATTTTCTGAAATATCAGTTCCATTAATGACATCAAGGTATTCGGTCACTGCCTCTGATACTACTGATATTGACACTGAAGAGTCAGCCAAGGAGTTATCTCTCATTAGGACAGAATTGTCAGTAAAGGCATTAGGGCTGAGGATTACACTTTCAGTTGCTTGTAGAAAGGGGAATTCTCTAGACAATACATTGTATTCATCAGATTGCATATAATCACTCCCTTCATAACTGTTCTCATGGAAAAAAGGAGTAGTATCAGCCATAGTGTGAGTCGTTTCCATCAGTGAAGAAGATGTTGAGTCCTTGTGTTTTTTAGCTTCAGAATCTTCATCAACAAAGGGAAGTTCATTATCAAGGTTGACATTAAATGCAACTGAAGGAATAGTGACATCCTATGAATGGTAACTCTCTGCCTTGAAAGTTTTATTCTTATGATACTCAGAGTTGGGTGACATGGTGGCTTTGGCTCTCCTCAGGATGTTAAAAGCAGTGGATGAGGTGTTTCTCCTGTAGGAGTGGTCTCTGTTTACGACTGGAGTTGAGCTCATGGTGAGATCAGTGATTTCACTTGGCAATGTCCTGCTTTCTCCTCTGGTTACCATTGCTCCTGGATCTGGAATGTGAATATGTTCAATCTATTTACCATCATGAAGAATAATCATGATGTCACTTCCACTTGGGCTGTTGTCTTCCAGAGTTTTATCATCTGAAAACTTTGAAGAAAAATTTCTATTTTCATCTACTAGGGGGTGAATCATCATTCTGGGTGACTTTCCATAGGGCTTGGCAATATAATCTTTGAGAAAGAAATAACCTTTGTCAGAATCAGGGTTTACTTCTCTGGAGCTCAACATTTGGTATTTTTGTTTAGTTTTGAGTTCTGCAGGATTTCCTTTCAATGGATTCTCAGTGACATGTGCAGTAGATAAGGGAGTATGAGATCCAAATACTCTGTAGATTTTTGTCTTGAGCAAAGGTAGGTATTTTTGATTTGGGGCTCTTTCCTTCTTTTCCAATATAAAATGCATTTCTCTCTGACACATAGTCCAGAGAACCATCATCGAGCCCAGTGGTAATTAGATCCATATTATTTGGATTGTTTTTCCCTGTTGGAAAAAACACATCTGGCTCTGCTGACAAGTCATTTGTGAAAGAAATTACTTCATATGGAGTTACATTATCTTTTTCTACAGAAGCTACATATCTCTTTACATTTATGTTGTTCATGTTTTCAATAAAGATGATATTGTCAGGTGAAATGGTTTCTTCGTCAGATAGACCAATTATATCATTAGATATGATAAAGTCATCAGTCATTATGTTGCTCTCTCCTATAATGAGTGCTGAAGCAAGTTCAGAATTATAGATTTCAATAAAATTAGTGGGCAAAAGAGTTGATTTCAGGGGTAGTTGATACACTTTATCATAAGAGTTTGTGATGGACCTCTCTAAGTAATCATTATCAAGAGAAAATGAGCCCCTAACCCTGATCTTTGTCTGCTTTGTTGTGCTCATTGTGGAAGCAAGGTAAAATGTTTCTTTGGAATTTTCAGGTGCTTTCTGTTCAGCAGAAGCCGCATCAGGCTTAAGGATGAAAGGATCAACTCCCACTGCATTTATATCTCTTAAGTTCACTGGAATATTGGCTTCAGAAATATAGAATTCATCTTCTGCAACAGCCTTATTGCTATTGAGGAATGCATTAGCCTTAGTTCCTGCAGTAGCAATTTCTTTTGCAGAAAATTTAATAACTGCTTGATTTACATCATAGTTAGGAGTTTTATTTATTCCTTCATTTTTGTGGATTACAGGTTGAAGGACCATATTAGGTGAAAAGACCCTGGTGTTAGTTTTATCATTAATGACCTCATTTTCAGTGGTAGGTATGTCAGTGGCTACATTTATGGGTTTCTCTGAAAAAGTAGCAGGATCTACCAGAGGAATAGGAAAGACCATGGGAAAAGGCTGAAAGGCACTTTGTGCTTTGGTGATTTCCCAGTTTTGGTTGGTGATGGTAGAGTGTTCTCCCAGTGGCTCTGATACCTCTAATGTCACCAGTGTATCAGATAAAGATTCATCATTTTCACCAAGAGGAAGTGCCATTCTAGTTACTTTTTGATAGGGAATTAATAGAAATCTTAATTTTATGGAGCTGACACCATCTACCTTAGGCATGGTAGTGACATTATTGTCATTGCTGTCAGACTCAAAGGCAGGGGCATTAAGTGAAACAATGCTGGCCTTTGGTGGCATTTTGGTGTCATTAACCAGATTAAGAGAAGTAATTGAATTTGCTTTGATTATACTGTTGGTAATTTTACTGACATCAGAGATAGTCCCCACTTGGTAGGCAACAACCTGAGCCAATGGGTTATCATGATCCTTTGAAGGGGTCACTTCAGCTAAATCCATTTCATCTTCATTGAGTTTGGATTTCTCCAGTGTGATGATGTCTGCCAACTGCAGGGCAGCTGTGTCAGGAATATTGGATGAAATGCCTTTCCTGTAGAAATGACCTTGAGTTTTTATGGGGGTAGTCACCACACTATGATCAGTAGGGATAGCACCCAATGTCCTGCCCTCTCCCATGGTAACAATTGTCTCCATGTGAGGTACAAAGAAATACTTGATTTTTTCATTTTCTAAACCAGAAACTTCAGGGAAAATGATGGTGGCATCATCTGCACTTAGAGTGTCCTTTCCTGCAGATGTTCTTTCTAGAAACTCAGGAAAAGAAGTCTCACCTGCATCAATTAGGGAAGGAGCCATGGTTTTCGGATGCTGAGTGTTGAAGTTTTTGGTATAATCTTTGAAAGAAGAGGCAACAATACTAGAGTCAGAGTTTTCTTCTTTAATAATAATGGTTTGGTATTTTTCTTTAGTTTCAAACTCAGGGTGAGTTATTTGATACAGAAGACTCCTTGAGGCCTCATGATTGGAGAAGGGTATATGTGATAGAAATCTACTGGGTTCATGTGTAAATGAAATAGCATTTACAATAGGGCTATTTTCTTCATTTTCTATTTCAAAGACATACTTGTTTGAAATATATTCAGAGCTACTTTCATCAGGTTCCATGATGACCAAATCCATATTATCCACATTATTTTCCTTTGCCAGAGTAGTCCCAAGCTGAAAAATAAGGGAATCATCTCTTATTTTGTTTTCATATTCCAGTGAGAGAGGAGTGCCTGTTTCAGATATATGGTAATAGTTTTCCTTATTTATGTCTTTAGAAGGAACAGTAGTGAAGGAAGTCACAGGTATGATGCCTGTATGAGAGTTTGTTATGATACCTGTAGCAATTTTGTCTTTTCCTGTTGCTGGATCACTTTTCTCATCAGTATAGGATGAATAATGATTGCTGAAAGTTCCTTTACTGAGTAATGCAGTACCTTCCAGAGCAGGATTTACATTATTTTTCATTGGAATACTAAAATCTGATGTTGTAATGGTAAAGTCTCTTTCAGGAGAATAGATATATCCTTCTGGGACATTTTCTTTCATTATTGGATAAAGTATATCACCACCAAAGGATGTATCATGATCAGAACCGCTATTGCTATTTCTTACAATCACTTTTCTTTGAACTTTGGGAGTAAATTTTCCAAGTAGAGGTTTTGAGATTTCAGCCTTATAAGATGATGAAGAATTCTCAAATTCAGGTCGGTCAGCTCTGCCTTTGGTTGTTCCTCTGAATGTAGTGGAGTCATATGTATTACAGTTGATAGAATACTGTTCAGCTGACAAGTTGTTACCTTTAGGAACATTGTCACCTGCAATAGGTATAGCATAAATATAATCCCTGACATTTCCTTTTTCAAGTGTGTCTTCTTCTTCTACCATAATGCTTACCTCATTTTGGGAAACTGCTTCATAGTTCAATATTATATCTTCTTTGAAAAAGTTTTCCAATTCATTTATTGGGATATAAAATATGGTGTCATTTCCTTGAGAGACAGTGATGATGGCTATTGTCAAAGCTTCTGGGGTAGCCTTATTATAAAAACAAGTTTTGGGACCTCTGCCAAAGAGTTCTTTTTCACCAAGTTTGTTGCTTGAGAATGAATGAAAGGGGCAACCGACTTCATAATGGTAGAGGAATTAGCAATTAATAAGGTACCATCATCTCTAGACATGTTAGGATTTTCTCTGGAACTGTTAAGGCCATCTCCTAGTTTATATGGTTTATTATTATGAGTATTAACGTCATTCAAGGTCAGAATGTCTTTCTTTATTGGTGAGGTGGCAGCTATTGAAGCCCAGTTTGTTGCAACTTTAGTGTTTTTATCCACATAAGAAATGTTGTCAGCTCCAATAGGAATAGCAAGAGGGATATTTATTTTGGTCTCAACCATTTTGCCTTTATTGGCTAGTCTCTTAACCTTGCTTGAAGTGATGGCAATAGGGGATTGATAGACATCTTGGAAATCAGCAGGCTCTGACTTGTCCATTGTGAAAAGTGATGGTTTGTGTTTGATGGTGTTCCAGGCAACATTTGGGTTCTTTCTGGTGGCAGTAAGTGAATTATCAGTGATTACATTATAGTATATGCTAGGAAGTCTAGGGTAATACGTTCTTCCAGTTTGGGGGATAGAAATGCTAGGTGGAAGGAAGACAGTGCCATCTACTGCTTTCACATTCTGTTTCACTGCTGCACTTTCACCTAAACCATTAACCATTGTTTTGGTAGCCATTGGCTTAAAGTGTTATTTTGTTCACCTGTAGGATTAGTGGCATCATATAGAACATCATTTTCTTCCCCAGGAGTAGTAAAGTATCTGTCACTTATTGTTACTTCAGCAGTAGGTATAATACTAAATTGTAATAGAGACTTTGTGATATCTGCAGCCACAAATCCACTCCTTTCAAAGCCACTGTCTTCCGATTCAAGGTACTTGAAATTATGTGCAGGTGGAAGGTGTTGGGTGCCAAGTTGGAAATTGTGGTACTGGCAGCGGAATTATCTTGCATAGCATCAGAGGAAGATGAAGCTTTGCTCTTTGAAACCTCTGCCTGAGTTGAGTTGCTTACTGTAACCTTGACATAAGCAAAACTAGTTGAAGTCTGGTTAGCTATAGAGTTACTTAGTGCATCATCTCCGAGTGGAAGAAAGTTATATAAGTCAGCTTGAAGGGTGTCTCAGTAGTTTCTCTCTGAAAGGAATTCAGAGAGCCTTCTTACTCCATCAGTAGACCCTGAGTAGCTATCTGAATCTTTTGTAGGTGCAGAATTTATTTTTGTTTTTATGATGGATGAGACTGAACTTGCTGGATAGCTGTCTGATGAGGACAAAGGCAGATTGGCAGACAAATCTTGATTTGTTTGACTGTGTATTTCCTGACTCCTATTAAACTAAAAAGGAAGAGGTACAACACTTTTGTGAGGTTACCCCAGCAGATATTTTACTAAAAATCTGAAATGAATATACAGCATTAAATTGATCAAATAAAGCAACATTGTGAAGGTCTCTGCTTTCTTCCTTATCCATTGATTGTTAAACTAATTAAGTTAGAAATACACAATATCAACGTAAAAAAGAACAGCTGATATTTATGTTAGGGTTGAGTACCCTCTGTGAGTATAAATTCAGATGTTCCATGGCAAACTTTCAGTAAAGAATCTCTTATAATATAAAAAGCATAGAGAAGCCCCTTCAAATCCTATACTACCATACATTATAACTTCTCTTATCTTACTTCACTGTGTATATAATTAATTTTAAAAGAAGGAAATGTACAAATATAAAATAGAATATTAACAAAATGATGTGTTATTTAGCAAAATGTTCTTTCTTGCATTAAATGTAAGCTGATGATCTAAATATTAATTTTTTCCCTGCATCTAATTACTATTATCCAAAATACTGAAACTTACCAGAAAGTAAACCACAAAATTTAAGATGGTCACAGTCAGGACTAGGATCTTCATCTTGTCTTGTGATTTATTCCCTGAAAGTAAGGTGTAAGATTATTCTCTGTTAGATTAGTCCACGGAGTTATTATAAATGACAATTTAAAAATACTAGAAATAATTTGTACTTTAATTGTAGTTTTGATTTGCATTTCTCTGATGGTCAGTGAGGTTGAGCACCTTTTCATACGCCTTTTTGCCAACTGCATGTCTTTTGAGAAGTGTCTATTCAAATCTTTTGTCTATTTTTTGTTTGGATTATCAGATTCTTTGCTGTAGATTTGTTTAAGCTCCTTATATATTCTGGGATTATGTTTTATTATTGTTAACATTAACTAAATATCAACTTAATAAGATAAAGACATTACCCAGATATTTCTAGTGCATTGTTAGAAATGATAGTATGTGGAATACTCAATTTGCTAAGGCCCATTCCATTTTATCTCGTCAGCAAGAATAGGAAGAATTTTGACTGTTTTCTATAGCTTATAGAGTATCAAGGAGTAAACAGTATAACTAGCAAATAGATTTTTGACAGAATACTTTGGTGAGGACTTTATCATATAAATTCACCCTTATTTTCACATTCATAATAATTACCTATCTGTTGCATTTTTAGGAGGCCATTTTGACAC
This sequence comes from Homo sapiens, assembly GCF_000001405.40. Lineage (NCBI taxonomy): Eukaryota > Metazoa > Chordata > Mammalia > Primates > Hominidae > Homo > Homo sapiens. The sequence continues at coordinate 70,314,205 of NC_000004.12, read as the reverse complement.
AAGTTAACAAAGTCTGCCCAATTAGATCCCTATACAAAGGCGTTTTAAGAAAGGGTAGGTGTTTGAAAAAGAATGGCTCCAAACATTCTGATTTATTCTAGTATTTACCTTGCAAAGGAGTCTTTCCTTCAGCTGCCTTCTAGTATTAACTCTTCACCAAATCAGCCTTGTTCAGCAATGCATGAAGATGAAATCCAGGCTGAGAAAGCCTAAATCTCAGAAAGAAACACAGCTTCCTCTTTCTTCCTCCTTTATTTCAGTGGGGGAGAGAAAAAGCTTCACATATAAAGGATTGCTTCTGAGTTAATCCCCTAACAAAAGAGAGGATAGGAAATGTCTGTTGTCTTTTGTGCATGCAGCTCTTAGGTACAGAGTGAACCTATTAAGCTTATCTTCAAATTGAAAGGGGGAAGGCTCATATTTTCAATATTATGAAGCCTTCTAAATGTTAACTCTCTAGCTCTAGTGTCATTTTACTTCTTTAAAAAAGTGTTTCTTCCTCTGCTCCACTGCAAAATTCGGATTCACTGTAATAGCATTTTACATCTATGGCCATTTATTAGTTTACATGAGGATTCACTGTACTAGGCTGTAGTTTTTTAAAGAACAGAATTACATTTGGTTGAGTGTTTGAAAAATATATTTATAATATATGAGAAGAAAAAATGAAAGGCTGTTTAATAGACTATTGCATGGCTTATTACATTTTTTTCTGGGTGATTTATAGATACCTTGCTGATTGCTCAGTAAACTTACACTACTAACAAGCTTTTATCTCCAGTTTCTGAAGATAATTGTCTGTTTACATGAAACAAACAAAAATACATCACACCTATTGAGTCACTCGCTGAGATGATCCATTGGTATGTATTCTAAAACTTCCATAAAAATCTGAGTTTAAGGTATTAGTGATTTTCAGCTATTTCTATGTAAGGCATGGTGCAACAATACTTTTATCAGACAATGTAGAGACTCAGTTGGAACTTAATTGGCTTGTTATCCCTTCCCATTTCATTACAGCAAAAATTTAACTTATAGTATATGCAACTTTTAAAAAACCCATATACTTCTTTCACATAATGTAACCCTAAAATTTATTAATGATTGCATATATGGATCTTACCAGCTAGAAAAGCAAATGAGGTCGAACATTTTGTCATTTTTTTTAAGGCTTCTTCAATTTTCCCTATCTTCTGGCTCATCTTAATACCTTTCTGTAGTTTACCTTCTTTTATTACACATTAGAACAAATACCATATCTCCAAAATTATATGCAAGCCAGTCACTGGATTGTTTTTTCAATCAGGCACCTATAAAGCATCTATGTATATAATAATCACCTTCAGATCAAAGGTAATGTGTTATGAGTTGAACAATTATAATGTTATTACTTTAGTAGCTTGGAAATACCATTCCCATGACATTAAATATTGCTCTTCAAAGAAATAAAGTAATTGTTGGAAAGCCAGTGCAATCATACATGCTTAAGGATGGAATGCTCATTCAATTAGAGATAATATTTGCATGTCTTTTCAAGTAAGCCACCATCTTCAGACACAGAATCCCTTGCTGGCACTAATTCATCCTTATAAGATCTAAGATAGCTAAAATTTCCACTTTGTGGTTTTCAAATAGAATCTGGAACAATAAAATCAAGGCTTTTTATGTTAAAAAAATTTTCATATTGAAATTCTTTTTTTTAATGGCCCAAGAAGTCCTAATCCTATTCACCCCTTCAATGAGGTGAATAGCTCTTTTATATTCCCACATGCTTTCCAGTTTATGATCTAGTCACTATTTGTGGAAATTGTCCCTTGCAATGCTCAGGTAGGTTAACACCAGTGCATTTTCATGTATTAAAATAATATAGAAGAGGAGCTACAGATTAGGAAACAGATGATGGTGTCCTCATCTAGCAGTGATTCCTGTAAGCTCCCAGGCATAGACTTAACTGATTTTCCCAGAATGCTTATTTTGTTTTATTGAATTTCCAACCTCACCAGTACCACATGTTTAATGAATAAGAATGCCTATCAATTCAACAATTACCTATCAAGTGTTTGTGAAAGGCACTTCTGGAAATAGAGAAGTGGAAGATACAATGGTTATCCTCAAAGAATTTATAATCTATTCTAGGAGGAAAGGTTTGCATATGATAGCCATATTCATTGCCATTTATTCATTCATTTGAATACTAATTGAGTGCCTATTAACTTTAAGGTTCAGCTCCAAGAACCCAAGTGCAGTATTTGGGAGCAAGACAGGCAAAATATGACCAACGAGTTACATAATCAAAACATTTTAATTTGTGGGTTTCAACAGAGGTAGAAATCACTATTATTTTGGAAATGTTCTTAATTTTGAAATTTGGGTAAGTTTTGAGACCTGGAGTTGGGTTAGAAAGAACTTTTTATGTGTAAGTAAAAGGCAACAACAACAGCACAGAGACAAGAACTCTTCAGTGCTAATTAGGTTTAAGAAGAGGGAATGTCTGATTCCCCGCTTCTTGCTAACATCAATTGCCTGGTGTCAAGAGTAAGATAAGCAGGGCTCTAAAGGAAGCCCTGAGAATTCTGATTCAAGTAAATTCTCCCTCTTCCATGTCACTGTACTCACTGGGGTCAAAATTGAGTTTTATACACTTGGAGTAAGACTGACAATTACTTGTCCTTAAAATCACAATATGTAAACGTGAATTCAAGACTTCAAGACTTCCATTCCTTCCAAGCCCCACACTCAACACCATTATCTGCTTTGAGACCATCAAGACTAATCTCATTAAGCCCTTTATTTCTGTTAATCTCAGTCACCATAAGAAGAGGCAGTCTCCTAGTCACTATGCATCTCTCATAATGTATTTCCAAAAATGCTCTGCAAATCCTGTTCTATACTAATTTCTTACCTTCCACCAACTTCTGAAGACTTTCCTCTGTCTTCAGTGACGTACAATGCCTAAAACCTAGCTCTTACAACCTGAAGACATGAATTTACCTGTAACTATGTTAAGTCTAGCCTCTTTTATTTTTGATGGTTTTATACCTTTAAGCCTGGAGGTGAGTTAGATATCTTCCTTGTTCTTTACTAATGCTTTGGATCATTTTGTGTCTGTCTCCAAATTTCCACCAGCTTGGACTCTTGTATCATTTGTATACTTCCCATGACATGTCCAATTAGTCATCTAGTGATACTCAAATCATTTTCTTTCTTCCTGTAAAGATTTTACTTCCTGGCTCACTGTAACTATTCTTTATATCATTCTTTTCTCAATTCATAGTGATTTCAATGTTCACATAAAAGGTGGTTTCATTCATTATTTTGTCATCTCAGTTCCTTGACCTTCTTTTCTCCTGTACACTGATAGTCCACTCTCGTAACCACACATTCCAATGCCCATATTTTAAAATGCTACTACTAATAGTCCCTATTAGAAACAACTCAATTTCCAACCTCCCTCTGTTACCCTGATTTTAATAATTCTTTAATTCACAAGGACCTACAATCCATCAATTCTATTAACTATTCACTCTTCCTTACACCCTCTGAGTCCTTACTCGCTTTATATCTCATGAACAATCATTATAATCCCACGCCTGCACACACTATTAATTCCCTCGTTTTGTTTTTGCTTTATTGTGCTTGCTTGGCAAAATATCTATCCAGAGTAAATTTAATTCTTCATTCACTAAGTTCCTATACCCACAGAAAACTAAAACTATACTTCATCATGAATTGAAGGCACCTATTAATGCTGACTGGTAACTGTATTAAAGTTCTTTAATCCATTTTTTTTTTTTAATAGAGATGGAGTCCTGCTCTGTTGCCCAGGCTGGAGTGCAGTGGCGTGATCTTGGCTCACTGCCAACCTTTACCACCTGGGTTCAAGTGATTCTCTTGCCTCACCCTCCCAAGTAGCTGGGACTACAGGTGCGCGCCACCATGTCTGGCTAATATTTTTGTATTTTTCGTAGAGACGGGGTTTTGCCATGTTGGCCAGGCTGTTCTCAAACTCCTGACCTCAGGTGATCCTCTCGCCTCGGCCTCCCAAGTGGGATTACAGGTGTAAGCCACCGCGCCCGAACTCTAATCCATTATTTTTCAGTCTTCTTATTATAGCTTCTCTCTCTTCAAGTTTCCACTACCTTTTTCCCATCCTCAGTCTCAGCTGGTGATCTTGCTCCTTATTTTATAAAAGAGTAAATAGATGAAATAAAAAAAAATTCACAAGCTCTACTACCCTATTTCCATGTCACCTATAATCTGAATTCTTACATTTTGTCTTCCTTTCAATGAGCATAGATGAGTTCTCTAAAGGTAGTCCTAACTTCAAGCCTTCCATTTCAGACTAGATCCCACCCCTCTTGCATATCCAGAGACATCATTTCAGAAACCCTATTTCTCCTGTTTATTAATTTTTCCCTTTTTGTTGGCTCATTATCAACATATAGACATTTTGCTCTTTTTTATCTTAAGAAAAATTTTAAAAACAAACATTTTTTCCTCTTGTCTTTTACTTCCCCATCTAGAAACTGTTTGATTTCTTTGCTTTTGTTTATTTATTTTTTTAATTTTATTATTATTATACTTTAAGTTTTAGGGTACATGTGCACAACGTGCAGGTTTGTTACATATGTATACATGTGCCATGTTGGTGTGCTGCACCCATTAACTCGTCATTTAGCATTAGGTATATCACCTAATGCTATCCCTACCCCCACCCCCACCCCACAACAGTCCCCAGTGTGTGATGTTCCCCTTCCTGTGTCCATGGGTTCTCATTGTTTAATTCCCATCTATGAGTGAGAACATGCGGTGTTTGGTTTTTTGTCCTTGAGATAGTTTGCTGAGAATGATGGTTTCCAGCTTCATCCATGTCCCTACAAAGGACATGAACTCGTCATTTTTTATGGCTGCATAGTATTCCATGGTGTACATGTGCCACATTTTCTTAATCCAGTCTATCATTGTTGGACATTTGGGTTGGTTCCAAGTCTTTGCTATTGTGAATAGTGCCACAATAAACATATGTGTGCATGTGTCTTTATAGCAGCATGATTTATAATCCTTTGGGTATATACCCAGTAATGGGATGGCTGGGTCAAATGGTATTTCTAGTTCTAGATCCCTGAGGAATCACCACACTGACTTCCACAATGGTTGAACCAGTTTACAATCCCACCAACAGTGTAAAAGTGTTCCTATTTCTCCACATCCTCTCCAGCACCTGTTGTTTCCTGACTTTTTAATGATCGCCATTCTAACTGGTGTGAGATGGTATCTCATTGTGGTTTTGATTTGCATTTCTCTGATGACCAGTGATGATGAGCATTTTTTCATGTGTTTTTTGGCTGCAGAAATGTCTTCTTTTGAGAAGTGTCTGTTCATATCCTTCGCCCACTGTTTGATGGGGTTGTTTGTTTTTTTCTTGTAAATTTGTTTGAGTTCATTGTAGATTCTGGATATTAGCCCTTTGTCAGATGAGTAGATTGCAAACATTTTCTCCCATTCTGTAGGTTGCCTGTTCACTCTGATGGTAGTTTCTTTTGCTGTGCAGAAGCTCTTGAGTTTAATTAGATCCCATTTGTCAATTTTGTCTTTTGTTGCCATTGCTTTGGGTGTTTTAGACATGAAGTCCTTGCCCATGCCTATGTCCTGAGTGGTATTGCCTATGTTTTCTTCTAGGGTTTTTATGGTTTTAGGTCTAACATGTAAGTCTTTAATCCATCTTGAATTAATTTTTGTATAAAGTGTAAGGAAGGGATCCAGTTTCAGCTTTCTACATATGGCTAGCCAGTTTTCCCAGCACCATTTATTAAATAGGGAATCCTTTCTCCATTGCTTGTTTTTGTCAGGTTTGTCAAAGATCAGATGGTTGTAGATATGTGGCATTATTTCTGAGGGCTCTGTTTGTTCCATTGGTCTACATCTCTGTTTTGGTACCAGTACCATGCTGTTTTGGTTACTGTAGCCTTGTAGTATAGTTTGAAGTCAGGTAGCATGATGCCTCCGGCTTTGTTCTTTTGGCTTAGGACTGACTTGGCGATGCGGGCTCTTTTTTGGTTCCATATGAACTTTAAAGTAGTTTTTTCCAATTCTGTGAAGACAGTCATTGGTAGCTTCATGGGGATGGCATTGAATCTATAAATGACCTTGGGCAGTATGGCCATTTTCACGATATTGATTCTTCCTACCCATGAGCATGGAATGTTCTTCCGTTTGTTTGTATCCTCTTTTATTTTATTGAGCAGTGGTTTGTAGTTCTCCTTGAAGAGGTTCTTCACATCCCTTGTAAGTTGGATTCCTAGGTATTTTATTCTCTTTGAAGCAATTGTGAATGGGAGTTCACTCATGATTTGGCTCTCTGTTTGTCTGTTATCAGTGTATAAGAATGCTTGTGATTTTTGCACATTGATTTTGTATCCTGAGACTTTGCTGAAGTTGCTTATCAGCTTAAGGAGATTTTGGGCTGAGATGATGGGGTTTTCTAGATATACAATCCCAGAAGTTATGGCCAGAGCAATCAGGCAGGAGAAGGAAATAAAGGTCATTCAATTAGGAAAAGAGGAAGTCAAATTATCCCTGTTTGCGGATTTCTTTGCTTTTATAACAAAGCCGCTCCAAAAACTTGTCTCAAGTTTCTCCTTCCCTTTCCTTTCAATCTACTTCAAAAAGCAACTTCTACTCTACCTAAACTGCTCTAGTAGTTCTCTTTGAATTGCTCAAGCCTTTGTATTGTTGAATCAAGCTGTCATTTTCAGACCTCATTTTGCTTATCAGTGCATTTGGCAGAGTTGGTCCTGCCTTTCTTCACGAAACATTTTCTTCATTTGGTTTCCATCTTGTTCTTTCTTCAACTTCACTCACCTTTCTTCTCACATATCTTTGTTGTTTTCCCCCATCTTCTCTTCTGTCTGAAGCATTCTGTGGTTCAGCCTTTGAATCTCCTCCCTTCTCTATTAATACTCCCTTGACAAATTTGTTTAGTTACACATATCTAACTATAAATATCATTGAAATGATAATAATTATCAAATTAATATCTCCAGCTCAGGCATCTGCCTTAAACTCCAGATATTATATCTATCTTTTTATTTAATAGAGACAATGGTCTGTCAATAGGTAGATCTATGGCATAGCTGAACAAAACTTCTGATATACTCCCAATATCATCCCAAAAACTGCTCTCATAGTTTTTCCAATCTCATTTGTTGGCAACAGCTATAAACTGAATTGTGTCCCCCCACAAATTCATATGTTGAAGTTGTAACCCTCAATGTGACTGCACTTGGAGATAAGACCTTTAGAAGGTATTGGAGGAAATTCTATATGAAGACACAGCAGGAAAGAAGCTGCCTACAAGCTAGAAAGAGATCCCTCATCCGGAATTGAATCAGCCAGCATCTTGATCTTGGATTTGTAATCTCCAGAACTGTGAAAAAATAAATGTATATGGTTTAAGCTACCCAGTCTATGATATTTTGTCCTGGCAGCCCAAGCACACTAATAGATGATAATTAAAAATTAATCCTTTTAATTATCAGGTCAAAAATTCTGGAGTCATTTTTACCTACTCTGTTGCATACCCAACAATCCAGTCATTGAGCAAATATTAATGGCTCTGCCTTCAAAATATATCTAGAGCCCGACTATTTCTCGTAGCTCCACCACCACTCCCATCCTGGTCCAGCAGCCATCAATTTTGACCTTGATTACTTGCTTTAGTATTTCAACTAGTTTCCTGTTTCCACTCTCTGTTATCATCAAAGGCAGCTATAGTGTTTCTTTTAAATGTTAGTCAGATTATATCACTCTTTTGCTCAAAGCCTCTGATGGTTATTCATCTTAATAAAGATAAAGCTAAAATTTTAAAGGCCATATAAAATACTGTTTCCTGGTATTAATAGCTCCCAGACCTTATGTTTTCTTTCTGTATAGCTCACTTGGCACCAGTCATGTTGCCTTATTGTGATAACCTTAATGTTCCAGCTGTTCTTGATCTTTACCGTGAGGAGAAGAAATTAGATTAATTAGAAGCAGGAAGACTTGTTTGCAGACTATTACATACGCAATATAAATCAGACATCATAAAGCTCTGAAAGGATAAGTTTGGATAAAAAGAAAGTATCATTTATAAAAAACCAAGAAAATAATAGAAAAGAACCAATAGAATAGTGATGATAAAGAAGAGGAGTTGAAGATAGTGCTGAGATTTGTAGCTTGGGCAGCTGAGTGGATGATAGATGTTAATTGAGAGGGGATCAGGAGGCAGAGACTGTGGGGGGCAAAGATAACACTCTTTTTCAAACATGTAGCATTTGAGATGTTTCCATGGTATCTACGTGGACATGTTCTGTTCAAAAGCAACTGAAAATGGAGATCTGCAACTCAGAAATGAAGTGATAAATGTCAGAATGCTATTTATCTTTTGTTTAGGGAAAATGGCCGGAAGGGAAAATGTGAGAGACTTCTGGCTTGTTGTAGTTCTTCGTCTGGGTAGCAGCTGGTTACATGGTGTGTTCAATTTGAAAAGTTAACTGGATTGTGCACCTATGATTGTGTCCGCCTTTTCTTTTTTTCCTTTTTTATTTTAGGTTCAGGGGCACATATGCAGATTTGTTACATGGGTAAATTTTATGTCACTGTGGTTTGGTGTATGAATGATCCCATCACCCAGAATAAATCATTTTATGCCCTCCCACCCTTTCCTTAATGTCCATGCCAACAAAGACTAGATGTTACAATATACTTCTTTTCATGTGGGTTTTTAATGGGAATTCAATTTAAAAATTCCTGTGTGTTTAAATTGTAGAAAAGAAGTCCTATCTACTTCTTGTTACATTGAGGAGGTCCTCAGGTCAGAGGGCCTCCCCTTGGCCTCCTAGGTGTTGATATAATACCTCCCAAAGACAATCATGTAAACTTTTCAGACTTTTCAGGAAATGAAAATTCTAAGTATAAATTTCATAGTGCTATTTTTTCTGAAGTACTTTCTTTTACATTCAGCTGTCTTTTTCAGTCTTTTGGTGGAAAGAAAATATCTAGTATCCAGTATAATCCTCTGAGTCTGCTTGCTTTAGATTATGTATTAAAACAACCTTAGTTTATATGCCCATTTCTTTCAGGGGATTTCAACTTCTTCACATGCTTAGAGCCAATTTTTCCATGCCTAAGATGTTGTATGCAACTAAAATAATTGTGTGTTAATTTTTCATGCATTTCACATTAAATCTAGATGTAATTTTATAAGTGCTAGATCCTTCACTTCCTAGCTCTTTGACCTTGAGCAAAACACTTAATTCCTCCAAGACTCAGATTTCTTATCTGTAAAAAGGGTCTAACAATAGAACCAACCTCACCGAGTTGTTGTTAATGTCTAATATGATTCCATGATAATGTATAGCGCTTAGTACATACGAGCACTCACTAATTGTCAGCTATTATTATTGTTTGTTTTGAACTGTACATGGTAATTTTGAGAGTGCTTTAGATGTATAAACAAGCTGGGCAAAACTTCAGTGTCTGTGATGTGGCCACATTATTCCTCTGATTTGATTTATTTATGAAGAGAGTACCCCTAGGAAAGGCCTGGTCCAATAGAACCACCACTGTCACTACAACAGGTCTTGCTTGAGGAAAAAATTCATACAGTCTCCTTGTTTTATTTTTAAAAATGTTTACATGTTTATGACTTCAATAAAAATTCGAATGATTCTTAGCCCTTTTGTCTTTGAATATTTCCTGTTTCCTTTATGTATTGTTTTATTGGGAGAATGTTATTAGGCATTATCAATCCATGCCCTTTGTCTTTTAAACTCTCTTTAATTTTCAGAGCTCAAGTGAGTCAGCACATTGCTTTTTATTTACCATTACCAGTAATCAAACGTCTTTGAGTGCATATGAGGGACATGGCTTCCCAAGAGTCCCAGAATTATGTGGAGAATCTTAGTTCCAACTATTTGCCTGAAGTGAGCCTAAAGTCCTGTCTTTTGCCTTCATCTTGGTTTTAAAATTCGAGATCCTGTATTAAAAAGGCCAAGCCTGCCCTTCAGGGCAGTCTCTGAGTCCCTACACATGTTCTCCTCCCTGGATTTTGTTTCCTTTTTGTTTTTGTGCTGGGGGTTTCCCTTACTATTATTTTGCACCAAAGTCAATTATACGTTTAAAAGTATATTTATTATAAGCAATTTATAATGTATCAGTTTCAAAAATTTTATATATATTTCCCATGCCCTTAAAAGTAGGCAAAATGGGACAGATATTTCATATTATTTTAGTAGGCATGATCCTCTATTTTCATTCCTTTGATATCTTCTTGTGGAGGTTGGTTAATGGGAGTTTTAACCCAAATTTTATTTGCCTATGGTTTCTGCAGCCCACACAGTTATTTCATCAAAGCAAAAATTGCAGGACAAAGTTTATCAGTCGAGGATGACTTAATTCAAAGTTATTACAATAGTCAAGTCTATTACAATAGTCAAGTCTAATGAAACAAGCGGTGGGAGGTTTTTTAACACTGGGGTGAGAAAAGTATTGGAGGATCTTGCAGGGAGGGCACTGACCAATGGCTTGGGTGGAGCACATTGCCTGATTTTTGAATTTACAAATGTTTTTCTCTGTCGTTAGACCATCTGTGTTTGCTAACTGGTATCTGTTAAAGTTAGGCTTCTACCCTCCCATAGAGACTGGAAGATGGGGGCACTATCTTCTTTAATGGTTACATTTTAAAGAGATGGCTCCCAGGTCCTTAAGAAAGACTTATTCTTGGTTCTAAAGCTGACAAGAGGCTTTTAAAAAGAATTACATCTCAAAGGGGCAGAGAAATAATTTCCTATTGTAAGTTTTCTAAAGAAATGATGTAATAAAAGGGAGGTCAGAGGCCTAGAATCAGGAAGAAATCTGTCTAAACTTTAATCAAGCTGAGGGGCACATGAAGGCCTTGGTCAATCTTATATTTAAGTATTGCTCATTATTGGGGGCTGTTTAAAGGGACAAGCATGTGAATCTTTTAATCCATTTCCAAACATGTGTGGGACTGATAGAGCATATGAAACTTTTAATCTAGTTCCAAAGATGTGTGGGACTGATAAAACGCATACAGGGAACAAATGAGTTTCAAAATGATTTATTGAACAAAAGCTGAAGAAGTAAAAATAAACACATTTAAAAAGTAAGAGAGTGAAAGAAGCATAATTTTTAGAATTATCTCATTTCTGAAGAATTATGATAGCAAATTCTTGAGGCAATGTTGGCAAAAGTTAGCAAGAAAAGTTTAATATTGAGCCATATTAAGACCTTGAAAAATGTTGAGAAATGTACAATTAATTCATACAGTCCTATAAGCATTAACTAGTCATTTTAAAATGGCTATTTTCTATTTCTTATCTGAAATGAATCACATTCTGTATAGCAGCCCCTAGCACCCCTTTCTTATTTTCCTGACAGCACATAATTGTATTTTAGAGGAAAACACATCTAGTTATGTGTTTTATGCTAAGGGTAAAGCGCATCTAGTTACACTTAAGGCTTCATTCATTATTATTACTACCTAGAATGCTTTTGTTCACTTGTTGTTTTTTTTTTTTTTTTTTTTTTTGAGATGGAGTCTTCCTCCGTCACCAGGCTGGAGTACAGTGGCATGGTCTTAACTTACTGCAACCTCTGTCACCCGGGTTCAAGCGATTCTTCTGCCTCAGCCTCCTGAGTAGCTGGGATTACAGGTGCATGCCACCACGCCTGGCTAATTTTTTTTTTTTTTTTTTTTAAGTAGAGATAGTATTTCTCCATGTTGGTCAGGCTGGTATCAAACTCCTGACCTCGTGATCCTCCCACCTCGGCCTCCCAAAGTGCTGGGATTACAGGCATGAGCCACTGCGCCTGGCCCACTTTTAACAACAACAACAACAACAACAACAACAAAAAAAACTTTATGTAAAATTTGATAGGTAATACGTTCCAGCAATTCTTTCTTTGAAATAGTCGTAGGAATGCTCTTTTTATCCTAGAGTTTTAGATTAGGTTCTATAATCTAGACTAGTTCTTCATCAAGATATGTATATAGTGTATATTGATGTCTACAAAATTCTATTTTCTTCTCCACAAATCTTCGTTATTAATAGTAAAATTATGCCCTCATTTACATCTGAATTTAACTGAGGTTTAACTCTTGCTATATTCCCGTCTAGGAAATGGCTTACAATTTCTTGACTTACAAGAATACAAAATCTTAACGTATTCTGGTTTGAGCTTGTATACATGCTGATTTCCCCTTCTGCAGTACCTTCCAGGTGAGTGTTTTCACACTCATAAGGTCATCAGATTCCCCTGTCTCCCTGAAGATCATATTAAGAATACAATTTCTGGCCGGGCGCGGTGGCTCATGCCTGTAATCTCAGCACTTTGGGAGGCCATGGTGGGTGAATCACCAGGTCAAGAGATTGAGACCATCCTGGCCAACATGGTGAAACCCTGTCTCTACTAAAAATACAAAAATTAGCTGGGCGTGGTGGTGTGTGCCTGTAGTCCCAGGTACTCGGGAAGCTGAGGCAGGAGAATTGCTTGAACCTGGGAGGCAGAGGTTGCAGTGAGCCGAGGACACACCACTATATTCTAGCCTGGCGACAGAGAGAGATTCCATCTCAAAAAAAAAAAAAAAAAGAATATAATTTCTATAGTGGTAGAGCTCAGTAATAATTATATTGAAAAAGAAGCCAACTGATTTTGATTCAACTATCTACTAAACTGTCTTTTGCAATCACTATTCTAGAACTCTAAGCTTTCTGACAGTGGGCTTCAGTATTAAGAAATTTGGTTTCTAGTCCTGACTTTGCCACCATGTGTTCTGAATTTGGGCACATCCCATACCTCTGTATTCTTACATATAAATTGGAAGAGTACCTGCTCTCTTTCACACAATTGGAAATTCAAAATTTAGTCAAATCAGGAATAACTAGCTATTATGCAATGTATTTGGGCATATATAGAACACTTTTGATTTTTCTCTTCTAATTGTTTACATGCATTAGTTTACCTGTTTATCAAGGTGATTGAGATGAACTTTAGCATTGCTTTCACTATGAGGAAGCAGTGTTAATGCCAATTGTAGGAGAACTGGCTGCAGTTATAGCAGCAGATAGTGCAGCAGAGGTGGTTCCAGATGAGGCTGTATTTGTGGTGACCATAGTCATGGGACTGGTGGCTGCCACTAGGGCAGTGGTGATGGAGTCACTGTTAGGTGTGATTGTTGCTGCTGTCATTGTGATAGCTGGAGCACTGTAGCTTCCTTCAGTAGTGGCCTCATCTCCTGAAGTTGTAGCTTCAATAATTGAAGCAGGTTCAGCACTGGAGGCAGCAGTAACTGTGATTGTGGTGGCAGGACCTGGTACAATCATACTGGCAGTAGTTGTGTCACCCAAGGCTTACTGTTGATGGCAACACTTGTGGAGGCTGCAGTTGTTGCAGTGGTGGCTGCTACAGGAATTACGGTTGTAGAAAAAGCAGCTGTTGAAGTATAGCCATAGATGGGGTGCCTGCTTCTAAGGTTGTGAAGGCAGCTAGAGGGTTGTGGCCTCAGTAGATGGAGTTGTAGCTTCTCTGGCTGGAGGGATGGCAACTCAGTTGTTGTGCCATCTGCAGTTTTATTGATGATATTGTCCCCTGGACTTGTAGCATCAGGGGTCAGGGTGGTAGTTGCGCTGTTACTGGTCAGTGAATCAGATTCAGCAGTATAGGTAGAAGTACCTGGTAAGGTGGTGGCAACACTTAATACAGTTGTGGCATCACCACCCTGTACAGTTGTGGTGGTACCAGAAGACGTGTTACCAGTGCCTGAAGGTATGGGTAGTGACACTTGTGGTGACATAAACCACTGGAGTTGTGGAGGCCTCTACGGTTGTAGTGGTAGATCCTACAGGTATTATGGCTGTAGTTGCAATAGCTGTTGTCCTGGTAGCTGGAGATGTGGAGTCTGCTGCTGAGGACGTAGGGTTAGCTATGGAGGTTGTGGCAGAAGGTTCAATTGTGGCATCTTTGGCCTGAGTGGTGACAGCTTCGGTGATTGTGTCATTTGCTGGTTTGGAGGTAGTCTCCACCTCTGCAGTTGAAGCTCCAAAACCCTGGGTGGTAGTTTCACTCAGGGTGGTCAACACACCAGGCTCAGCAGTAGAAGCTGAAGTCACAGGGGTTGAAGAGGTAGCACCTTGTTCAGTTGTTGTGGCAGTACCGGATATGGCTGTGCTGGCAGCAGCAGTTGTAGCACTGTGGCTGAAGTTGTAGCCATACCACTGGTGGTCGTAGAGTCAGTTGCACCAGTTGTGATGCCATCAATTGGTGTTGTGGAGGCAGCTACAAAAGTTGTATTATCTGCTGACTCAGTGGTTTCCTCATCCACTGAGGTAGTAGCTTTAGTGGTTGTGCCATCTACTGTTTGAGTGGTAGTCTCATCCACTGGTGTGATGGTGGCACTTAATGCAGCTGTGGTGGCAGTGTCAGGTGTACTTGTGGTTGTAGAACTTGGTGCAACTGTGGTTGTGGCACCAGCTGCAGTTGTGGTGGTGGCACCCAATGCAGCTATTGTAATAGAACCAGAAGAAGCAATGGTAGAAATTCCAGGTGTTTCTGTATCAACAGAAGCAAGAGTTGTGGCAGCACTGGCTGACAATGAGGCAGCACCACTGGTAGTGGCACAAATCCTTAGGGTTGTGGTACCTGTTGCAGTTGTGGATACAGCAAATGTGGAAGCTGTGGCTGCAGCAGTGGTGCCAGCAATGGCATGGTATGTGGAACCTGTGTTTGCTGAAGTTGTAGAGGCAGCTTGAGTGGTGGAATAGTCTATGGCCGAGAGGGTGATGTCCTCTGCTGTGTTTGCTTCAGTTTCTAAGTCCTCTGTGGTAAAATCAGAGGCAATGGTGGAGACAGAGGCTTGCAGGGTTGTGGAGCCACCTCCTGGGTTGGTAGGGGCTGAGGCACTGGAAGCAGCAGACCCTTGAGGTGTGGATTCCACTGAAGGTGCCTCTGAGGCCAACACAGATGCTGGGACAGTTGCAGTTGATGCCGGCTTTGTAGATACAGCAGCTATTTCTGAGTTAGTGTTTGATGTCATTGGGGTTACAGTGACAGGGGATAGGGTTTGAGGTGTTCTGGTGATTCCATCTAGTCCCTTAGCAGTAGTGGCAGTTGCCCTAGTTGGAGCAACTGACGTAGACATTTTGCTGTTGGATAAAGTACTAGTGATTGTGGCTAAATTAGTAGTGACTCTAGGTACAGGGTTGCTTGTACTAGTTGAGGTATTATTTACACTGGTGGGTTCAGTTGTAATGCCTGTTGGACTGGTCTGAGGTTTTGGTTTACAGAAAGGTGGTTTATGAAATGATTGATGCCGTTGGTGATGATGATGTTGGTGTGCATGGGGATGTGACCCAGCTGGCTGTAGTATTGGCGGAGAAGGAGATTTAGATGGAACAGAGGCATGAGAATGTGATAACAGTGTTTTTGTGACTTTAGGGAAAGGTTTCCTTTTGCTTTGTGGACCTTTTTCCATGTGTCTTGAACAGATTTAGATCCTTCTTGTTCAGATAATTTTAATCTTTTTGTGGGAAATGCAGATTGTCCTTTTTTAGATTGTTTTTCCATTTTGCCTGCTAAAGGAGGTTGTCTTTTTACTCCTTGAAGGGGTTTAAGTTGATTCACATCTTTCTTAGAAGGTTTAGATTGTCTCTTTTGGAAGTTACTTAGTCTTTTATTTGCTGTTGGGGATGTGGTCTGTCTTTTTTGAGGTAGTTTTACAGATTTGGTCTTTGCAAGATGTGTTTTTGTAGTCTTTATACCTTTTGTGGGCCATTTCTGTTGGTTTTTGGCAGATGTAGGTTTCTTTTTGATTTTCTTCTTGGCTGGAGATCTTTTTGGCCCTTCTTCAGTGGATTTAGGCTGATTGAACAGTTTTTTGGCAGATGTTGATAGCCTATTTATAGTATTTCTTAGAGTTTGCTAGTTGCTCCACATGTTTTTGGCTGTGCTAAGTGACTGCTTTTGCTGTTTATCGGTAGATTTAGACAAAGACTTTTTAGGTTTCTTTATATTTTTCTTTTTGGCCACAGCTGATTTTTCACCTGGTTTGGTTGGACTTATCTGATGCTGCTGTTTCTTTGCTGGTGTAGATTGAAATAGTTTAGATTTTCTTAAGTTTTTTTTTTTTTTTGACCACAGTGTTTTTGAGAATTGGAGGTTTATCATCTTTTGCCTGATTTGACTGTTCCTTGGCACTTTTAGATAAGGAACTTTTAGATTTAATTGGTATTTTCTTAGAGGCTGGTTGTGTGTTTAGTACTAATTTAAGTGCTTTAGGCTGATTCATTTGTTTTTTGGCAGGTGCAGTAAAGGTTTTTTGTGGTTTCTTTAACATTTTATTTTTGGCTGTAGGTGTCTTCCTTTTCATTACAACTGATTCTGGCTGAATTAGCTTTTTCTTGGCAGGTGTAGGTGCTGCCTTTTTGGATTTAGTTAGATTTTTCTTTTTGGCTTTGGAAGCTTCCCTCATTGCTGTTGCCTTAGTTGGATCTTTTTTTACTGGAGTTAGCCACATATTTTTTTGTTTATTTTGAGCTTTCTTTTTGGCTAATGTTTTTTGGGGGATTGCTTTAGCTACTGCTGCCTGATTTAATTTTTGTTTTGCAGATGAAGACAAAGTATTTTTAAATTTAGTTGGCTCTTTTTTGAGGGTCGAAGAGGTTTTAGGGGAAGCTTTTATTGCTGTGGACTTAGACGATTGTTTTTTTGAATGATGTAGACAAAGCATTTCTAGGGGTCTTTAGAGATTTTTTCTTAGGTTGAGATGTTTTTGGAGCTGCTCTAATTGTGGGTTGTTTTGTTTCTTAGCTGGCATGGACTGGATTTTCTTGGATGTTTTTGGACTTTTCTTTGTAGCTGAAATGGCTTTGGTGTTGCTGGGGTCCATTTTGACTGTTTCTTGGTGGTTTTCCATTGACTTTTTTTAGGTTGTTTCAGAGTTTTGCTTGCCCTCAGTGGGGTGTTTTGTCCTGTTAGACTAGATGAATGGAAAGTCAATCCTTTCTTGAGAGTGGTCAATGTAATTTCCTTAGGTTTAACTTGTAGACTTTGATGACTGGACAGGTATTTTCTTTTTACTTGATGTCCTAGAATTAGAGGTTGATTGGCTGGCTGCTTTGGCTGCTTTGTTAGTTGGTACAGAAAGGTGTGCAGCCCTAGCAGGTAGAGACTTTGATTTTTGAATACTGAAAGGTGACGATGAAGCCCTTTTGGGGGATCTATGGACAGGTGAGGCAGAGGCATGAGAATGGGCTTGAGGTTTCCCTAAGAGCTGTGTGAATGAAGATCTGCTTTATGGTGTCCTGGCAGGGGAGCTTTGGACTGCTGACTATTGATTGTCTTTCCTGTTGCCTGATGCTGTTATTGCTGACACTCACTGAACTGCAGGGGCAGAGAATAGAAGATATTACCAAGAGAGGCATTGAATCAATTATTGTTTCATATTTTCATTTTAGTTGCTGTAGCTGGTCTGTTCTTTAGATTAGGAGGAGTTTTGGTTTTGAATGTATTTTAATTTAGAATAAATTGCAATATAAACTTAAAATAGAACAAGATGGTGAAATAGGAAGTCTCAGACTTTACTCCCCCAACAGAAAGTTCAACTAGCAATTATCCACAGACTATAACTTCTTTATAAGAACCCCAATACTTGGAAACAGGCCTGGGAAACCTGCATAATCCATAGAAATGGATGAAAATAAATTAAACTAAATTAGAAGGGTAAGAAGGATGGTCTCACGTGAAGTGTGTTGCCCTTCCCCCTCCCTCAAGTTAGAACAATGCCACACAGACAGGACTTCCCTGGGCCCAGGGTTTCTACAGGGGAAAAAGAAATGGGAAACACTGGGGTAATGGCTTGGCTAGACCTCCTAGAGTCAGGTAGAAAAAAGTAAAGGAAGCAGGGCTCACAGAGACCAACATGAAGATCTTGGTGACACCTCTGTTTTGCTACCAATTGTGGTACCCTATCAGAGATATCAGCTAACTACATAGCCCACCTGCAAAGCTGAGCTGTTTACTTTAAGAGGCATGGTGGGAAGTTCAACTGGCATGAATCCCTAAACAGCTAGTCTGCATGCCTAGCCTTGCCCAGGCAGGGAGACAACTGCCTCTGTATGTTTCAGAGAAGTATGCAGATAGTTTAAAGAGTTTTAAGAGTGGATCAGCTTAGCCAAATAGTCTGTCCATCAACCTCCATGCATTTCAGAGAAGCATAGGGGCTAGGTTTGCTTGAATTGGGAGGCCAAGTAGCAGCTCTACTAAGTCAAATGCCCACCCTGTGACCTTGCCTTAGTAGGGAGATGCCTACCTCTGTGCCTATTGGAGAAGCATGGGGCTAAATTCTCTCATTCTTTAAGGTCAAATACCAGCTTGATTCAGCCAAAAGCCCACCCCATGTCTCTGCCCAGGCAGAGAGCTGCCCACCTCTGCACATTTTGGAGTGTAGGAATTACTAGGCTTGCTTGAGCTGGAAAGCCAAAGAGCAGCTCAACCCTGTCACAAAACTCACTCTACAGCTCTGCTGAAGCAGGGAAATGTCTGCTTCCATGCACTTCCATGCCAATTGTAGGGGCTAGAACTGATTGACCCACAAGGCCAAAGAGAGGCTCAGCTCAGCCACAAAGCCCACCTCCTTGTGCCAACAAGGCAGGGAAGCAATAGTCAATCATGCATTTCTTTTCTTTCTTTCTTTTCTTTTCTTTTTTGTTTTTGGAGTCTTGCTCTGTCACCCAGGCTAGAGTGCAGTGGTGCAATCTCGGCTTACTGCAACCTCCGCCTCCTGGGTTCAAGTGATTCTTCTGCCTCAGCCTCCTGAGTAGCTGGTATTACAGGTGCCTGCCACCACACCCAGCTAATTTTTGTGTTTTTAGTAGAGATGGGTTTCACCATGTTGGCCAGGCTGGTCTCAAACTCCTGACGTCAGGTGATCTGCCCACTTCGGCCTCTCAAATTGCTGGGATTACAGGCTCAATCATGCATTTCTATGGAGAATAGCCTCTGGTCCCACATGTTCAAAGCTCTTTGCCTAACCTTGGACCCCAGCCTGTATATCTGTCCAACTACAGGTCTTAACTAGCAAATCACCCAACCAGGGAATACATCCTGTTTTCAGTTTGACCAAATGCCATCACAGTACCTAGCCATCAGCTTTGCCTGGTCTTCTGAGTGAGTGGGGGCACAGCCAGCAGCCCAACCTAACATCAGAACAAAGACAGCAGTTCAGCCAAATAGATAATTCACAACAAACTTCCTTCTTGGCATTGTCACCATCTGACCCTTCAGAGTCACAGGTTAAACTAAATAGTAAAAGTCTATCCCTGCCAAGGAACACTCATAAAAGCCAGAAGAGGTGGCTGTCTCCTCATTTGCATACACAATAATGCAAGGACACAAGAATTATGAAAATTCAGGAATTATAGTAAGTCCCCCCGCCAAAAAAATTAATAAAACTCCAATAATGGACCCTAAAGAAAGAGATCTATTAAATAACTGATGATGAATTTGCCATACTCCTCTTAAAGAAGCTCAATGAACTGCGAGAATATATCATAGAAAATTAAAAAAAATTGAAAAACATACACAAAGTGAGAAGTTTGACAAAATTATAAGCAACAAAAAGGCCAAATAGAAATCCTATAGATGGAGACTAAATGGAAAAATTCAATAGGAAGCTTCAATAGAAGACTCAATCAAGCAGAAGAAAGAATCAGTGAACTTAAAGATAGAATATTTGAAATTATCCAATCAAAGGACCAAAAAGTCAAAAGAATAAAAAAGAATGAAGAAAGTCTATGGGAATTATGGGACACCATAAGAAGACCCAAACTTGGCATAATAGGATGGAGAATAAAGAAAAAAAAAGGGCCAGAAAGCAGATTTAAAGAAACAGTGACTGAAAACTTCCTTAATCTGGGGATAGATGCCAACATCCATGTAAAAGAAGCATAGAAGTCACCAATTAAATTTAGCACAAAAAAGAGTTCACCAAGACACTAGTAATCAAACTGTCAAAGACAATAAAAAAATTCTAATGGCAGCAAGAAATAAAAAACATATCATGTATAAAGGAGTCACAATACAACTACTAGCGGATTTATTGGCAGAAATCCTTTAAGCCAGGAGAGAGTGTAATGATATTTTCAAAGTGCTGGAGGAAAAAAGCAAAACTGCCAATTAAGAATAATTTACCCAGAAAAGCTGTCTTTCAGAAATGAAGAAGAAATAAAAACTTGCTCAGACAAACAATAGCTAAGGGAGTTCATCACCTCCAGGTCAGCCTAACAGAAACTGTTAAAGGGAGTTCTTTAAGCTGAAACAAAAGGCCACTAGTTAATAACATAAAACATATGAGAACACAAAACTCAATGGTATAAATAATGTAGAGCCACATTAAAAATACCATGAGACTGTAATGGTAGTCCATAAAACAATTATTTCACCAGTGTGAGTGTTAAAAGACAAAATTATTAATAACAACTATAGCTAAAATAAATTGTCAAGGGATATACATTATAAAATGATACAAATTCTAACCTTAATACCCCACTTTCAACAACGGACAGATTGTCTAGGTCAAATAAATAAAAAATTATTGGACTTGAACAACACTTCAGACCAAATCAACCTAACAGGCATATACAGAACATTTCATCCAACAGCAACAGTACACAATTCTTCTCAAGCATGCATAGAGCATTCTCCAGGATAGATCATATGCCATAAAACAAGTCTTAGAAAATTTAAGAAGATTGAAATTATATAAAGTATCTTTCCCAGCCACAATGGTATGAAACTAAATGAGAAATCAATAACAGGAGGAATTTTGGAAAATTCACAAATACATGAAAATTAAACATCATGCTATGGGACAACCAATGAAATAATCAAGAAATTAAAAAAAATCTTGAGACAAACAAAAATAAAAACACAACATACCAAAACGTATGGGTTGTAGAAAAAGTTTTAAGAGGAACATTTATAGCAATAAATGCCTATATCAATAAAAAAGAGGACTTCAAGTAAAAAACTTAACTCCTCAAGGAACTAGAAAAAGAAAAAACTAAGCCCAAAATTAGAATAAGAAAAAAATAATAAAGATCAGAGCAGAAATAAATGAAATAGAGAATCCAAAAGATCTCTATTGCAAAGGATCAATGAAACTGAGTTGGTTTTTTAATAAGATAAAATAGACAAAACTTTATCTAGATTAACTTAGAAAAGAAAGAAGACTCATATACATAAAATTAGAAATAAAAGATGAGACATTACAATGAATACCATAGAAATAAAAAGATCATAAGAGATTACTATGAACAAATTATGCCAAAAGATTGAATAACCTAGTAGAAATCAATAAATTCCTAGACATACAATCTACCAAGAATAAATGGTGAGAGAATGAATTTAACCAAACTGCTAGGTGATACCAAATACAAATTTCACTGGTATTTTAAGAATAAAGAAAAAATATTTTTCTGAAGTTAAACTTAAAATGTGGATACGAAATTAAAACTTAACAGATACATTTTTTGAAAATATCATCATTCTTTGCAATTACTAAAAAATTAGGTTTTCCCATTCAGTTTGCTAATGAGATTAATATTTTTATTTAAATTCTTACCCGAAGAAAGCATTTCATCTTTGATTAGGAATTGTACATAACTAAGAAGTTCTTCACCCACCCAGTACCCACTCAGTGCCACACACATCCCACTTGCCATCCCCTCCCAACTCCCATCATTTAGGATAATCCCAGTGGTTGTGGGATAGAGAGTTCTAGGAAGGTACATAGTGTGCTATTAAATTCAGGGGTCAGCTTTATAGAACTCAACTCCTATATGTATGATGTATGACATGGTGTACTATGTATTATTATGTTCCAAGAACAGGTTCCATGAGATTCTAAGATTCTGTGATATTATTTGAGTTTTCCTTTCTTCTTCTATCTAGTTTATAATTTTTAGTCTATAGGATGCTATGCATGTTCTTCTGAAAATATTTTATAAAACCTTATTTTATTTTATTTTTTTTTTGGGAGATGGAGTCTCACTCTCTCACCCAGGCTGCAGTGCAGTGGCATGATCTCGGCTCACTGCAACCTCCGCCTCCCGGGTTCAAGCGATTCTCATGCCTCAGCCTCCTCAATAGCTGCAGTTACAGACAGCCGCTACCACACCTGGCTAATTTTTGTATTTTTAGATAGGGTTCCGCCATGTTGGCCAGACTCTTCTCCAATTCCTGATCTCCAGTGATCAGCCTACCTCCGCCTCCCAAAGTGCTGGGATTACAGGTGTGAGCCACCGTGCCTGGCCCATACTTTTCTTATTGATAAGTCATCATTGTTAGACGACCTACAAATTGCAATAAATATATTGAATAATCAAACCTATTTCTGACCTGTGCTAGTCTAATTCTGAGGAACACAACGTTGATTTCCTAATATGACAGTAGTATTGGTGGAAAATGGACACTGTTTCCATGGTGCCAGATTATTAAGACAAGTACACAGAACAAACGGCTTCTGGCACCAGAATTTTGTGAAAGAAAAAGGGAAAGTAAAAGTGGTCTGTAGTTAACTTAGGGAAACTCAATATAAATAAGTTTCACAAAATCTCTGAGAGCATGTAGCTTGTGACAGTGATGGTAGGGTCATCAGTTTCACTGGCCTTGGTGCCAACAGATCCATTTTAGAACCATAATCAGAAAACTTTGAAACCACTTGGTGTTTTTCTCTGAGTCTGAACTGAATCAGTTTACATCATGATATTTCCCCACAAAATAGAATGTCTTCCTGTGTTCCCCCTTTCAGTAGATGGTATGCTATTTACCTAGTAGTATAATCTGGAATCCTGAGTCAGTCTTGACTTTTCTTCTTATCCTCCCATGTCCATCAGTCACTAGAGCCTCTCTACATTTTACTTCCTAGATAGTGTTTTGAATCAGTTCACCTCTGATCATCTTCATTAGCAGCATCCTATCCAAGTTAACATATCTCATCTTTTACTTGGAAAGAGCAATAGTTAAATCTGATAATTAAGAAACTTCATAAATTAACACTATGGCTTCTATGTTTATTACTCATCTTAAGAAAACAATGGTTCAATTTCTTATTTACAGTTATAGAATGACATATATATTGTGAAATGTCTCAGAATTTTTGGAAATTGTTCAAGTACATTTTTATAGTTTTCCTCAATATTCTAAAGTTTAATAGATTGAAGAATAAACCAATATTTGCAATAACTTAATAAGAGGATATCAATAATGTTTTCTCCATCAGGTTAAACATATTTAAGCACTTAAGCCCAATGTTCCTATGTTAGGGGAATTTGTGAAATGTGTCTACCCAACTGCACCCCCATTCCAACTCCTCACAACCCAGTGGACTTAGAATCTCCCAAATTTTGGAGACCGTGCATTACATTATCTACTAATCTACTTTCTGAATACTTTTTCAATTGCTGTGGCCATGCATCTGAGAAATGCAGGTAATTTTCACTGGGCATAATAGTTTTTCTAATTCCATAGTGATTTATTTATTATTTTCACATATTCATCTATGTTATACTACACAGCAGAACAATGGTACGTGTGCTGGTTCTGAACAACTATAGCTGTGAGAAATCACCAGTGTACTTAAGAACAAGAAAAGCAAAAACTTTTGCAAGGCATTCCTAGAATAACAAAAAGGAGCACTGAACTTGAGTTCAAAATGCCCAGGTTTGACTCTCAGCTCTGTCATTTTATTACTATGTGAGCTTGGTTAACTTATATATAAATGCTATGTTTCTCATCTATAAAAAGAGAATAATTAATTTACTATTTACTGGAATAAGTTGATGTCAAATTCAATTAGAATACTCACAGAAATGCTTTGCAAACTCTGTAGCACTACATAAAAATATTAAGCTTTAACTTGTGCGTTGAATTTTCCCAATAATTTTTTATTTATAGATATATTTAATGTAATTTTTTAACTCATAATTCCTGAATTTGGAATGACAACTTTTATTTATTCATTCAATAGATATTTACTGAGTATTCATTTTTTTTTAGCAGGCATTGTGGATTCAATAGGAAACAAGACAGGCCCAGTTCCTGCCGTGAGGGTATAATGATTTATTGGAAAGAGGTATAACCAACAAAAAAGAGTGGCTGTGATCGATTGAACTCTGATTAACAGAGCAAGTATGCTTCCACTCAGCCATTTCTTTTGGACAAACTTTCTTCATTCACCGTTTTTTCCAAGAACTTCACAAAGATCAGAAGTCAGAGCTTGGCTGCACTTAAATCACTGAGTGCCTGCGTGATAATCGA
This sequence comes from Homo sapiens, assembly GCF_000001405.40. Lineage (NCBI taxonomy): Eukaryota > Metazoa > Chordata > Mammalia > Primates > Hominidae > Homo > Homo sapiens. The sequence goes on along the minus strand of NC_000004.12, from coordinate 70,289,830 downwards.
TATTATAATAAGTGCTGTGCAACAACAATATGCAATGTTGTTTTTTCTGAGAATTGAGGTAATCACTTTAAAGTTAACAAAATTATGTATACGTCTACTGTCATACTGTTTTGATTCATAATAAAATTTGCCTCCTTTCTCTTTTACACTAAACACATACTCTTCTTTATGAAGTCAAAATTATCTTAGGCGTTCCAACTTATCTTTTTATTTTGATTGAATATTGGAATGTAGTAGAAAGAATGTCAGCAGCTAAGGACTTTGGTGTGCATATTCCCCAAATTTGAGTTTAAATTTAACAATTGTTTAAGAAAGGTCCTTATATGGACTTTTTATCATATAACATTATAAGCTTAATGTTTATATAAAAATTATTCTTGTCTTCTCCAATGTGAACTCAAGTACATTTAGCAAGTTTTAGGAAAGTAGACCAAGCTTCTTGTTATCAAAAATAAAATGCATTGTTTATTAACATGCTATTTATATGGAGAAAAGAGATTATTAGCTATTTCTTATTTAAACACCAATCAAGTTGAAATAAAATGTTGAATACCTGAAAGTATTCTTATCAAATTATTGGGTATTTTAATATGACCCTAGATGTATTTCTGTTAGGTTGATTTTTAAAAAGTAGGAGAATTTCTGACATGTGATTTATATCCAATAATGAGAGAAGGGAGTTTGAGGCCAGCTTACTCATCTGTCTTAAGGTGTCAAGTTTAGGAAAACAGAGCAGTGTAAAATGATTTGATAGTAGAAAATTTGAAAGGAAAACAAATATATATATGATATATATATATATATATCTTACAAAGCATTCTTTGTGTAACTGAATAGTACTTTGTAGTAACTTTGAGCTTCCTGAGGTCTTAACAAATATTAAAGGCATACCCTTGGCTTTACAGCTAGGTCATATGTTCCCGACAGTGCCTTTAATTTGAACTTTGGAAGCCATTTCATAAATCCAGCATATCTTGCTGTCAAGAGAGGCTGAGAATTTTCAAAACAATTAAATCCAACTCCTTTTAACAGTTTGTCCCTCAGTTTATAATTTACTTCTGTCCTTTTGCATTTTATTATCAGCAGCAAGAAGAAGCCAGACATACTTTTAATGCTTTGGAAATCTTATCTAGATCATGCAGTTCACTAGGTACATTTTCTTCTTTCCCAGTAGCTTCAGGAAACAAAGATACCTCTCCAGTTTCCAATAACATGTACCTCACTTTCTTCTGACCTATCACCAGCAGCGACCTTAAAGTCCATACTTTTCTACTGCAAGTCTGCTCAAGGCAATTTAGGATTTCTCTAACATGCTTCTTAACATACTTCCAGCCTTTATTCACTGCCTGGTTTCAAAGCCACTTCCACATTTCTGAGTATTTGTATACTTCTAAATACCAAATTTTGTATTATTTATCTATTGCTGCATGACAGTAGATGCTTGATGGCCACATCTGCAAAATATTGTAGTGGAGGTCCTAGCTAGAGCAGTAAGGAATTAAGAAAAAAAGAGTGAACAAAACTAAAATTCTCATAATTTGCAGACAGCAGGTTTGTGTCTGTAAAAGATTTAGAGAAATGTACAAGAAAATTATCAGCATTACTAAGCATCACTATATTACATGGTCAACATATGAAATCAATGATATTTCTATACATCAGCAATGAAAATATAAAATTTAAAAATAATTATCATTTCTAATATAAAAATCAAATACCTACTAAATCTAATGAAATATGTTAAAGCTCCACACTGAAAAATATGAAACTTTACTGATTAGTTTTCTGTTCTGCCATAACAAATGATCACAAACAGAAATTTATCACGTTATAGTTCTTAAAGTCACAAGTCTAGTGTGAGTTTTAACAGACTAAAACAAAGGTCTCAGCAGACCGCATTCCTTTCTTTTTTTTTTTTTATTAACTTTAAGTTTTAGGGTACATGTGCACATTGTGCAGGTTAGTTACATATGTATACATGTGCCATGCTGGTGCGCTGCACCCACTAACTCGTCATCTAGCATTAGGTATATCTCCCAATGCTATCCCTCCCCCCTCCCCCCACCCCACAACAGTCCCCAGAGTGTGATGTTCCCCTTCCTGAGTCCATGTGATCTCATTGTTCAATTCCCACCTATGAGGGAGAATATGCGGTGTTTGGTTTTTTGTTCTTGCGATAGTTTACTGAGAATGATGATTTCCAATTTCATCCATGTCCCTACAAAGGACATGAACTCATCATTTTTTATGGCTGCATAGTATTCCATGGTGTATATGTGCCACATTTTCTTGATCCAGTCTATCATTGTTGGACATTTGGGTTGGTTCCAGGTCTTTGCTATTGTGAATAATGCCGCAATAAACATACGTGTGCGTGTGCATGTGTCTTTATAGCAGCATGATTTATAGTCCTTTGGGTATATACCCAGTAATGGGATGGCTGGGTCAAATGGTATTTCTAGTTCTAGATCCCTGAGGAATCGCCACACTGACTTCCATAATGGTTGAACTAGTTTACATTCCTTTCTGAAGGTCCTGGAGGAGAATATTTCCTGCTCATTCAAGCTGTTGACGGAACAGTTCCTTGTGGTTGTACAACTAAGAGGTTCATTATGTTTTGTTTTAGCTATAAACTGGGGAATTTTAGTTTTTGGAGGCTGGTGCATTTCTTGACTTATCCCTTTCCTCCACCATCAAAGCTGGATGGTTCTTCTCATGTCACATCTCTCTGACTCACTCTTCTGCCTTTCTTTTCCAGTTTAAGGGACTAATGTGATTAGGGCTCACCTGGGTAATCTATGATAATCCCTCTATTTTAAGTTTCTAAACTTTAATCACTTTTGCAAAGTTCCTTTTACCATGAAGGATAAAATATTCACAGGATTCAAGAATTAGGGCATACATATCTTTTGGGGATGGGTACTGTTCTGTCTATCACAATGATTAAGCAGATTTAAAATGACCTAATAAAGCAGAGAGATCTACCATATTCGTAAATTGGAAGACAATATTTTAAAAATGTGAATTCTTCCCAAACTGAACTGTAGACCATTTTGTAACTGGTAGGTCAAGTCTTAAGTTTATATAAAAATGCAGAGGCAATAACTCAATAATTTACACTACCAGTTAACAATTTTTTTGTTCATATATAGTAATTAGGTCAGTATGCTATTCGTGCAAGAATAGTCAATTAGATCAATAGAATAGAGAAATGTACACGTAATTTTCTGATTTATGACAAAGGAGGAAGAAACAGAAACAGGTTGCCCTTTCAATAAATTAATCATGATCATTTACATATCTCTATGGAAAAAACAAAAGGAATCTTGACCCCAATCTCACACGATCTACCAAAAATTTAATTTGAATATATTATATATCTAATACAAATCTAATAGTAAATAAGGTGCAATTGACATCTGTAGGTGTGTGTCATCAAATGATGGCTTTATCCCCTTGAGTCATTAATTTGGAGGCCTGGATATTGATGTTATCCTCAGTGGTAGAGTTGGAAGCTAAAGATTCCGAGGATGAGGTTGTAGCACACGACAGAGCTGCAGCAGCAGCAGAAGTGGGAGTTGTCACACCCAAGGATGTGGACATGATACATTCACTGGTGGTGGCACCAATCCCTAGGGTTGTGGCACCTATTGCAGTTGTGTCCCCAACAGGTGTGGAGACTATAGGAGCAGCAGTGGTGGCAGCAATGGGAGGGAATGTGGAACTTGTGTTTGCTGAAGTTGTAGAGGCGGCTTGAGTGGTGGAATCACCTATGGCTGGGAGGGTGGCATCATTCTCTGTGTTTGTTTCAGCTTCTATGTCCTCTGTGGTAAACTCAGAGGCAATGGTGAAAGAAGAGGCTAAAAAGGTATTGGAGCCAGTCCTTGGGTTTGTGGAGTTTGTGGTGCTGGGAGAGGCAGATCCTTGGAGTGTGGATTCCACTGAAGCAGCCTCTGAGGCTGGACAGATAGATGCTGGGGCAGTTGCAGTGGAAGTAGGCACTGTGGATGTAGCACCTGTTGCCGAGTTAGTAATTTGTGTTATTAGGGTTGTGGTAGCAGTGATTGAGAATAGAGTTTTAGGTGTGCTGGTGGTTGCATCTGATCCCTGAATTGCAGTGGCAGTTGAACTAGTTTTAGCTAATGACACAGAGGTTTTGCTTTTGGATATAGTACAAGTGATTATGGCTAAATTAATAGTAGCTCCAAGGACAGTGGGGATTACACTGGTTGGGGCACCAGTTGCAATGTCTTCAATGCCTGATGACCTTGTCATAAATTTTGGTTTATGACAGTGTGGTTTGCAGGGTCCTGCACGTTTACGAGACATAAATTTGCCAGGTTGGAGTGGATGAGTTTGGTGCAAGTGATGCTAGTGCTTTACTTAGGCCTGACTTATAGACTTTGGACAGATTTTTTTCTTTAATTACTCACTTATCAATGGAAGATAATTAGTTGTCTTCTTTGTTACAATGAAGGAGGATACAGATTTGACAGGTACAGACTTTTGTTTTCGGAACTCAAAGGTAAGATGGAGCTCTTTGTGTATATTTACAGAGTGATGATACAAAAGCATATGAACCCATGTAACTTCTATTGAGGTGGGTGGATGGAGATCTTTTGTAATGTCCAGGCAGGGGAGTTTTGGACTGGTTAACTGCTGATTTTCTTTCTTGTTGTCTAGTGTTATGATTGCTGACTTTCTCTGCACTCTAGGAAATGATATTACTGAGTGAAACTCTTGATTAATTATCATGTGATATTTTCATTACAGCTATGTAAAGTGGCCTTATTTTTAAATTAATTTTATTTTTTATTTTAAGTTCTGTGGTACATGTGCAGAATGTGCAGGTTTGTTACATAGGTAAATGTGTGCTATTGTGGTTTACTGCACCCGTCCCCTAGGTATTAACATGAGATATTTCAATACAAGCATGCCACACATAACAATCACATAATGAAAAATGGGGTATCAATCTCCTCAAGCAAACATTTCAATTACACTCATTTAGTTATTTTAAAATGTATATTTAAATTATTATTGACTATAGTCACCCCAATGGGCTATCAAATACTAGGTCTTATTTATTCTATCTTTTTTTTTGTAACCAATAACCATCCCTATCTCCCTTCCACTCTGCCACTACCATTCCCAGGCTCTGATAACCATCCTTCTACTCTCTGTGTCCATGAGTTCAATTGTTTTGATTTTTAGATTCCACAAATAAGTGAAAATGTGTGATATTTGTCTTTCTGTACTTGGCTTACTTCACTTAACGTAATGATCTCCAGTTCCATCCATGTTGTTGCAAATGATAGGATCTCATTCTTTTTTTATGGCTAAATGGTACTTGATATGCTTTGGCTATGTCCCCACCCAAAATCTCATCTTGAATTATAATTCCCATAATCCCCATGTGTCAAAGGCAGGACCAGGTGGAGGTAATTGGATCACGGGGGTGGTTTCCCCTATGCTGTTCTAGGGATGGTGAATAAGTCTCATGAGATCTGATGGTTTTATAAGTGTCTGGCATTTCCCAGCTTGCACTCACTTTGTCCTGCTGTCCTGTGAAGAAGGTGCCTGCTTCTCCTTTCCCTTCCTCCATGATTGTAAGTTTCCTGAGGCCTCCCCAGCAATGTGGAATTCTGAGTCAATTAAACCTCTTTCCTTTATAAAGAACCCAGTCTCAGTTATTTCTTCATAGCAGTGTGAGAATGGACTAATACAGTACTCCACTGTGTGTAAGTACCACATTTTCCTTATCCATTTTTATGTTGATGGATGCTTAGGTTGCTTCTAAATCTTGGCTATTGTGCATAGTGCCACAGCAAACATGGGAATGCAGATATCTTTTTGATATACTGATTTCTTTTTGGGGGGATATGTACCTAGCAGTGGTATTGCTGGATCATATGGCAGCTCAATTTTTATATTTTGAGGATCCTCCAAACTGTTTTCCATAGTGGTAATACTAATTTACATTCCAAATGATAGTGTGTGAGGATTCCCTTTTCACCACATCCTCTCTAGCATTTTTTATTCCCTGCCTTTTGGATAAAAGCCATTTTAACTCACGTGAAATGATATCTCACTGTAGTTTTGATTTGCATTTCTCTGATGATCCATGATGTTGATCCATTTTTCATATGCCTGTTTGACATTTGTATCTCTTCTTTTGAGAAATGTCTATTAAAATCTTTTGCCCATTCTTTAATTGAATTATTAGATTTTTTCCTATAGAGTTGTTTGAGCTCCTTAATATCCTGACTATTAATCTGTTGTCAGATGGATAACTTGCAAGTATTTTCTCCCAATCTATGGGTTGTCTCTTCACTTTATTGGTTGTTTCCATTGCTGTGCAGAAGTTTTTTTAACTTAATGTGATCCCATTTGCCCAGTTTTGCTTTGGTTGCCTGTGTTTGTGGAGTATTGCTCAAGAAATTATTGCCCAGACCAATGTCCTGGAGATCTTCCCCAATGCTTTCTTGTAGTATTTTTTGGTTTGAGGTCTTAGATTTAAGTTTTTAATACATTTTGATTTGATTTTTGTATATGGTGAGAGATAGGGGTCTACTTTCTTTTTTTTTTTGATATGCAGTATAGCTGTGTCACCAGGCTGGAGTGCAGTGGCACAATCTTGGCTCACTGCAACCTCCGCCTCTCAGGTTCAAGTGATTCTTCTGCCTCAGCCTCCCGAGTAGCTGGGACTACAGGTGCACACCACCACGCCCAGCTAATTTTTGTATTTATTTATTTTTTTAACAGAGACAGGGTTTCACCATGTTGGCCAGATGGTCTCAATCCCTTGACCTAGTGATCCGCCCTCCCTGGCCTCACAAAGTGCTGGCATTACAGGCATGAGCCACCACACCCAGCCAGGGGTCTACTTTCTTTCTTCTGCATATGAATATCCAGTTTTCCCAGCACTATTTATTGAAGAGACTGTCTTTTCCATGGTATGTGTTCTTGGCACCTTTGTCAAAAATGAGTTCACTGTAGGTGTGTGGATTTGTTTTTGCATTCTTTATTCTATTCCATTGGTTTATGTGACTGTTTTTATGCCAGTATCATGCTGTTTTGGTTACTATAAATCTGTACTATAATTTGAAGTCAGGTAATGTGATTTCTCCAGTTTTGTTCTTTTGCTTAGGATAGTTTTGGCCATTCTACATTTTTTGTGGTTACATATAAATTTTAGGGCTTTTTTCTATTTCTGTGAAGAATATCATTGTTATTTTGATAGGGATTGCATTGAATATGTAGATTGTTTTGGGTAGGATGGGCATTTTCACAATATAGATTCTTCTAATCCATGAACATGAAATATCTTTACATTTTTTGGTGTCCTCTTCAAATTCTTTCAACAGAGTTTTATAGTTTTCATTATAAAGATCACTTACTTCTTTGGTTAATTTCTAGGTATTTAACATTATGTGTGGTTATTGTAAATGGGATTAGCTTTAAATTTCTTTTTCCCACTTGTTCAATGTTGGCATATAGAAATGCTACTCATTTTATATGTTGATTTTGTATCATGCAAATTTACTGAATTTGTTTATCAGTTCTAATAATATTTTGGTAAAGTCTTTAGGTTTTCCCGAATATAAGATGGTATCATCTGCAAACAAAGATAATTTGACTTCTTCCATTCCAATTTGGATGCCCTTTTTATCCTTCTCCTGTCTGATTGTTCTAGCTAGGACTACCAGTAGTATTTTGAGTAATACTTGTGAAAGTGGGCATCCTCGTTCTGTTCCAGATATTAGAAGAAAGGCTTTCAGTTTATCCCCATTCAGTATGATACTAATTATGGGTCTGCCATATATGGCTTTTATTATGTTGACGTATGTTACTTCTATCTCCAGGTTTTTGATGGTTTTTATCATGAAGAAATGTTAAATTTTATCAAATGCTTTTCAGCATCAATTGATCATATGATCTTTATCTTTCATTCTCTTGATATGATGTATCACACTGATTTGTTGCTATTAAGAGACTTTGGTGTATTCTTCAGTATGTCACTTGCATTTTTCAACTCTAGAATTTCTGCTAGAATCTTTTTAATTATTTCAATTTTTAAAAAAATTGATAGAATTCTAAATACCTTCTCTGTGTTATCTTGAATTTCTTTGAGTTTCCTCAAAATGCCTATTTTGAATTATCCCTCTGAAATATAACATATCCCTTTCACCAGGATTTGTCCCTGGTGCCTTATTTAGTTCATTTGATGAGGTCATGTTTTCGTGAATGGTCTTGATGTTTGTAGATGTTTATCTGTTTCTGGCCATTGATGACTTAGGTATTTATTGTAATCTTTGCAATCTGGGCTTGTTTGTACCTGTCTTTCTTAGGAAAGCTTTCCAGGTTTTTGAAGGGACTTGGGCCCCACACCCAATTATGCTGTTGTTTTTGCAGATTCATAGAGGTACCACCTTGATGGTCTTGCATAAGATCCAGAAGAATTCTCTGGGTTACCAGACAGAGACTCTTGTTCTTTTCTCTTACTTTGTCCCAAAGAGACAGTCTCTCTCTTTGCTTTGAGCCATCTGGAACTGGGGTGTGTTGATGCAAGCTCCCCTGTGGCCACTACTACTGGGACTTTGCTGGGTCAGACCTGAAGCCAGCATGGCACTTGTTCTTGCTGAAGGCCCACTGAAACTGCTACTTCACTACTACCTATGTTCACTCAAGGCCCTAGGGCTCTATGATCAGCAAGTGGAGAAGCCAGCCAGGTTTATGTTCTTCCTCCCTTTAGGGTGGCAAGTTCTCCCAGACCTCAGGTGGGTCCAGAGATGCCATCCAGGAGCCAAGGACTGGAGTCAAAAACCTTGGATATCTGTCTGGTACTCTATTCTATTTCAGTTAAGCTGGCACTCAAACCATGAGAAAAATCTTTGGTACTCTCCCTTCCTCTTTCCATAGGCACAGGAGCCTCTCACCTGTGGCTACCATCACCACAGGCCCACAAAGAATACTGCCAGGCCTTTACCAATGTTTACTTAAGACTCAAGGGCTCTTCAGTCGGCTTGTGCTGAATGCTGCCAGCCCTGGGACTCACCCTTTAGGACAATGGGCTCCTCTCTGGCCTATGGCAGGTCCAGAAATGCTAAGAGCCTAGGCTTGGAACTAGGGACTTCAGGAGCCTGCTTGTTGTTCTACTACTCTGTAGCCAAGCTGTTACCTAAGGTGCAAGACAAAGTTCCTTTTACTTTTACCTCTGCTTTTCTCAAACAGAAAGAGTCTCTCCCCATAGCCACCACAGCTAGAATCCAGCTAGGATCACACCTGAATCCAGCTAGGATGACACCTGAATCCAGCAAATCTCAGAGTGGGTACCCTTTTGGCTTAAGGCATGTCTAGAAATGCTGTCCACAAGCTAGGGCCTGAAATGGGGGTCTCCTGACTCTGCTCATTGCCTTGTCCTACTGTAGTTCAGCTGGTATCCAATTGCAAGACAAAGTTCTCTTTACTATTTTCTCCTCTTTCCTTAAGCAGAAGAAAGAAGCCACTTTCCTTGCTTTGAGCTGTACTGCCTGGGGTTGCGGGAGGGGTGGGCACAAGCGCTTTCTAGTTGCCCCAACTGGCATCTCCCTAGGTCACATGCCTCCCTAGTCTGCTGGCTCTAAGCCCAGGCCAGCACTAGGAGTTGCCTAGGAATTGCAGTCCTTATGTCCTAGTTTATCAAGTTTATCTAGGACCCCAGAGCATAAAGTGACCTTATTTATTATTACTGTGGATATTTTCATCTTGGGAGTAATAAGACTTAATAAATTAATCATAAATAAAACACAAATAATTATTAAAGAAATGATACTGACTTGTGGAAATAAGCTGATGGGTTGTAAAAAGAATGTGGGTCAATCTTATAGAATTTACTAAATAATTCTGGGAAATATTAAAATCTAATTTAGAGAAGTCAATTTTAATTGGTTGGTAAATTCAATTTTAATTGGTGACATTTTACCACTGTGACTATGGAATTTTGTAATTAATTTTTGGCTTTGCATTGTGAATTGAATGTAAGATATTTATATATGATAGACTAAAGAAAGTAGTAAAAAGGTTATTACAAGAAGGCACCTAAGTCTATGAAACTCAGAGATAATGTTGTGGCTAAACTCTAATGTAATCAGAAGTAAATTGTTTAGAAGTCAATTCAAGATACTCAATTTTAACAAACTACAGAAAATATGTCTTACAATTTTATTGTGAGTCAAAGTCTCATGTAAGCCCTAGAATGTTGTGGTAATAATTCTCTATGAAATGAAGGAAGAAGAATGGAATGAAACTTGAAAAAACTGAGAGCGTCTGAATGAATTTGTGCAGATTGTCAAAAAGCAATTGAAACTGTAGAACATTATGAAAATGATGCTGTTTTATAAAAAATTATATGATGCTTGTAAATCATGTATAATTAAGCTGGAAGAGCATAAGAGAATTATTTAATGAGTCTTTCAAGAGATATTTAGGAAACCCACAACATAGTGTCTAAAATTAAGGGGCCCAGTCTTAGCAAAGCTAGTAACAATCTGGTTATATAATGTGAGTTTCTGAATAGTCCAGTCTATGAATTAACTGTATATTTGATGTCTGAGTGGAAAAACTGCTTATTGCTCTTTCTTTTTAAGACAGAATCATAGGCTCAATTAGCTGAAAGGAAACAAGTTTGAGATGTGAATCCCTCCTTATGTAGACTTCAGAGGACACCACCCACGCATGCATTCGAGATGGGAAGATGTGGGGATGGTAAGGCAGCACAGGCTTTGTTAATAGCATCCACAAGTTTAATTCCAGTCCTCCCAACCTGCTTAGAAAGTGTCTCAAATCCTCTCCATGGTTTTGGTCCTGATTTTCCTTTGAACTCTCTTTTTGTCCTTGATTCTTGTTTTCAATACTTTTTATTTTTCTCTTCTAATCTGAGGAGATTATGATAGACATATTCTTATGATTAAGAAAGATTTTTCTTTACTTCCACCTGGCTCTGTCCAGTTTGTAAAACCCCAGTGCCATATTCTCGCTCTAAAGTCTGTATTTGTGTATGTATTTCTCAATATTGGGGAGTGATAGGCTTCCATTGAATGAAGACTTCAGTGGGAAACAAGGGCATAATTTACTTCCTTGTTATTTGAGTAGAATTGAAATAATCAGTGTATGAAAATATTTAAGGAGAAAGCTGAAACCAAGATTATTCTAATTGCTTAAGATATATTAAAATATTTTTAAAAATAGCTTTATTTGGAAAAAATGTAGCTACATCTTTCTTGTCCAGTTTGAAATTAACTATCAGAATTATTTTATTTGCACCATTTTAGAGCTTTCTTTTCTTTCTTTTTTTTTTTTTTGAGGTGGAGTTTTGCTCTTGTTTCCCCGGCTGGAGTGCAATGGCACGACCTCGGCTCATTGCAACCTCCACCTCCTGGGTTCAAGCAATTCTCCTGCCTCAGCCTCCCGAGTAGCTGGGATTGCAGGCATGTGCCACCACACCTGGCTAATTTTGTATTTTTAGTAGAGACAGGATTTCACCATGTTGGTCAGGCTGGTCTCGAGCTCCTGGCCTCAGGTGATCCACCCACCTCGGCCTCCTCAAGTGCTGGGATTACAGGTGTGAGCCACCACACTTGGCCCATTTTAGAGCTTTCTGAATGTATTCTGAGTTATGTGAAGCTTACTTTGCCTGGTTGTTATTTTATCATTTACTGTTTTTAATATGTAAATCTATAATATATATATATATATATAATCACCAGTCAGGACATATGGTAAACATTCTGTGATCTGAAGAAATGTAAGTGTGAGAATTCATCAGTATATTTGAAAATGCATTGCAGTGATTATGGTAAGGTTTTTCTTACGTGGTAAATGTAGTTGTCCTTAAAATTAGAACTATGTTTAAGTCCTAGCTGTCATTTAGTAGCTATCTGACTTTAGAGAGATTATTTAACCTCATCTTTATAAAATGGATAATATCTTCCCAATTCACAATACAAGATGTTGTCAAATTTATATGAGAACATTAGTAATGCATGAAATATATGGTAAATTCACTGGTAAGTCTGGTTAATAAGTTAAAATCTAACTCGTTTATATATTCAATTGAATGAACAACTGTTTAACTGATTTGTATGTAAAAATATTGATTATAACTTAAATCTCACATTGAAAACATTTATTTTGATAAATCCCATGTACTAATTCACTCAAAAATATTAAATAAGTACTATTTGTGGGGCTCTGTATTCAGTGCTGAGGATGCATCAGTTAATAGTAATAATGGTGCTAATGAAAGGTCAAATGAAAAAGAATGGCCTTCTTTTTCCATGGGCATCTTTTAGTAGATCAAACACATCTCAACTGAACAATTCCTTTACTACAACATTTCTTTGCATCCACCTTTGATTCCAAGAGGCTCTTGAGTTGGATGCCTGCTGGATAATCAACAATGTTGTAAATGTGCCAGTAACAGAACAATATATAATGCTGTCTTTTCATGAGATTTGAGGTCATCAGTTTCAAACCAGAAAGGCCACATACATTTAGGACTGTTCCACTGATTTGACTCATAATGCGATTTGCTTTCTTTCGCATCTAAGTTTTCCATTTGCTTCAGAACAATAACTAGTACATACCCCTTCATGAAGTTTACAATTATTGTTCTATTAGCTAGATATTGGGACATAGCCAAGAGGGTTTTTTTGGGTGAGAGGATTCTTGTCCTGAGATACCAGCAACTATTAAGTTGCAGACTCACATCTCATTATTTATCCAATATTAGCTACTATTTTTATTATACAATATCTTTATTCTGAAAGCATTCTTTGAGCTCTATTAACAAAACCTGAGAAATGAACTAATTATTTGCATTGTTTCCCCAGTAAGATATTTCCTGATAAAATTGCACTAAATTTTAAATAAACCTTATTTACTGATTATGTCCTTATAAAATGGAAAGATTATTGAAAACATAAGCTGATACTAAGATACGAATGTTTGTAGTTGGACACTGATGTTGAGCTGCAATGCAGGGCAGTGGTCAGATACAAAGGCTACAGAGCCAGACATATATGAGTTCGATCATTAGTTTCTCTGCTTACTAGCAGTGTGACCTTGGACAAATGACGGACTTTCTTCATGCCTCAGTTTCCTCTGTAAAATGAGGATAATTATTCTTTTTATTTCATAGGGATGTTATAAGGATTGAATGAATTAGTATAAGTGAAATATTTACAAAAGCATCTAACCCATAGTAAGCACTACAGAGTTGTTATTATTGTTGTTGTTAGTAGTAACAGTAGCAGAAGCAGCAGCAGCAGTATATTCATATATTCTAGTATTAGGAATTTGGGGTACAACAGAACCTTGAAATAGTAGCCAAAAATATACAAAAGTTTACTGGCAAATGAAGTTGAAGATTAATGTGGATTTTGTCAACTACTGTAAATTAGTATACACCTGAACTTCTTTTTCTTTTTCTTTCTTTCTTTTTTTTTTTTGAGACAGAGTCTTGCACTGTCACCAGGGCTGGAGTGCAATGGCGCAATCTCGGCTCACTGCAACCCCCACCTCCTTGGTTCAAGTGATTCTCCTGCCTCAGCCTTCCAAGTAGCTGGGATTACAAGCACCCACCACCATACTTGGCTAACTTTTTGTATTTTTAGTAGAGACGGAGTTTCATTTTGTTGGCCAGGCTGGTTTTGAACTCCTGACCTTGTGATCCACCCCCCTCAGTCTCCCTAAGTGCCAGGATTACATGTGTGAACCGCTGTGCCCCGGCTGCCACCTGAAGTTCTTCATAGTATCTCTTCATATGATTCATCTATAAAGTGTCATTTTTAGTTTTGAAAGTATTACAGTGTATGGCAATAGAAAATCACAGTAAATTATTTTGTGTGACAGTAATCAATAGAGAATTTAAAATGACAGTTTATTTCCTAATTAATTGCTACAGTGCTACACACTTATTTCTCTAGCTTTGTCCTTAACACATTCTCTTGCATGCTTTTTTTCAAATTGTGATTGGAGAACTATCTACTGCATAGATTATATTCACACATAAGCTTCTTTGGGATTGACATCATTTGGAGAAATAGCAATTGTTCCTTTTTCAAAGGTGGTGCCAGCTTTAAGGTCAGTGTCAAAATCCACATGATTGTCATCAACCTTAGTGCTGACTTACAAAGTTTCGGGGTAGTCCTGAATTTGCTAAGGCTCGCATTAGTCAAAGAAGTTCCAGATGCAACTTTTTGTCCAGTCCCCAATTTACCTCTAGATGAGTTGTTGCTAAACTTAGCCTACATTTTGTTGGTTAGTGCTGATATTGTTATAGGCACCCATGTTTCTGAAGAAGGAGATGTAGTGAGCACATTTGGGAGCATGTTGATGACCATTCTTGCTAATGTGGTCCTTGTGGAAGTAGTAGGTTTGGGGGCTGTCTGGGGAGTGGTAAGAGCGTGGACCCTGAGGAAGTGGTGATATGTGGTAGATTCTTTGAAAAAGCAGTGACAATAAGATTGTGCCTAGAGAAATGAAGGAAGTTAGCAGGATGTGAGTACAGAAGGTCAGGTACTGGTTATACCTGTAGAAAAGAGTTCATTTAAAAGTCTATGTAATTTGAACCCTGCCTCTCCTTTTTTAAATCTTATTTTCTCCTCCACTACCCTCTTCATGAACCATTTGCTCTGGATTATCTAAACCACATCCTATTTTCCTTAAAGGTCTGTTGCTTTTCTGATGTTCTTCACTCTTTCTGGAATGCTCCTAGACTTCTAAACTAGGGGTCTCAATGACCTTCATGTTCTTTCAGGCCCAAATAAAATATTCTCACTCTTGGGAGTCTTCTTATGTGCCCAACTTGAGTTATTTTTTTCCCTCATCTGAAACCCAATGATTCTTTATATATTTTTAATGAGATTTGCCACTTTTATTTTGGCATAAAACTTATGTGGCTAATATTCAAGAATGAATTCCTAAGTTCCTTGCAGTTGAGGTCCATATCTGCTTTATTTTCTTTCAGTATCATTTTAGCAGGAGTCAGGTGTTACATGTAATTTCCAATATACTTTTATTGAAATGAATTCATGAGAAATTTTATAGTAATGTACCTTATATTAGTGACACTAAGAATAAGAATATGGAAAGAATTTATTCTATTCTTTAACCTAAAGAAATATACAAATTATTTAGTCCAAATTCCTTTTATTGGGTATTGATAAACATATATACAATTTTAATGTAGAAAGGCATATTTAGAAACATTGCAGTAGTTAAGCATGGAGCATTTGAAGAAAGAATGCCTGGATTTCACACCTACCTGTGTTTTATATTTTCTTGCTTCATTTTCTTCATGATTGTAGAGTTGTTTAAGTGTTACATGAATAAATCAATGTGAAGTGCTTACATTCACACTGCCTGGAACATAGGAAAGTACTAAATAAATGCTGTTTAATGATGATAATTAGATTAGGGCTTTTATTATAATGGATTGAGGAATATATTAAAGGTCTATTCAGAGTAACAACAATTAGATGATATTCAAGAGAAGCATTACCATGCTGTGAAGCATTATCCTAATAGGATGATGATTTCCTAGTCTAAGGTATAAGACTTTCAGATGGCACTTTATGTAGAACAAGTACCATAATTTAATCAGGTATCAGAATTCTAATGTTAGAGTCTTGAATGCATGCAATATATTTATGTAAAGTCATGTATTATTTCAAAAATCAGACACTGGCACTATTTAAACATAGTGGCTTATTTCTCTCTTGAATGGCTACACAAAGCAGGTATTGTGAATGTGATATTTCTTACTACTTCTCATTACTATATCCTAGTCCCATGAAATTTCCTGAAAGCCTTTACAAAATTTGTAAATTTTGATTTTATATTTCTTTAACTAGAGTTTTAATTTTGTGATGGGAGACAGCATGCTTTATAATTTTCAATCCTGTTCTCTCAAAACACACACACACACACACACACACACACACATACACACACTCACAATTCAATATAGCCATGTAGCCCCAGGCATAAGCTATAATTATACCTGTGTATTGAATAGGAATTGCAGCATTCTTGCTGGTATTAGAGAGAGCATCAATTATAGTAGGTTCTGTGGTGGTGTGGTAGTAGGGTAGGTTTGAGTGGTTGTGAAGACAATAGCAATATGTTACTTAGTATTGGTATAAGGAGTTGGATTTTGGATAGACATGGTAACAATAGGGGTTAACAGAGAAGAAGTTGTTGATATTGCTTTAAGAATGTGTTGTGAGGATTGTAAGGATTCCAATATGGTAGATTTGTAAGATACGTAGTTGGTGGAAACCAGTCATTCTAATATTTAGCTGTATTGGTAGATGTGCTGGGGCTATTCTTGATTGAAATTGAGTTTGCTGGTTTTCCTTAAATGGAGTTGAGCAATGATGAGCTTTGCCTAGTGGATTTGAAGAGTTTAGAGTTTGTGATGGGTGTGGTGGAGTTTGAATTGATGTAAACAGAGAAGGAAATAAAGTGTTTTCTTTCTGTAGTTTGAAAAGGTAATCATAGATCTTGTTAAATGATTGTGGTACAAATGAGTAGATGCTTGTGGATGAGATGAAGGCCGGTAGGGTACAACCCATGTAGGTCCAATCCATAATGAGGAGCTCAATTTGGTTGATCAGATATTTCTTGATACTTGGCAAATTAAAGGAAAAAAAATTATTAAGTTCACTTGAAGTTCATTAAAATCAAACAAAGGTAATAAGCTTACCTTAGCGCTAACAGCAAATCAACCTTTACAGAGATTTTCCTATTCACTACTATAACTAAAAAATATCAAAATAAACAAAAATATAAAAAGTAAAAAATAACTAAAAATTTAAATTAAGATAAATAAGGAATTGTGCTGCTATTATAAAAAGAAAGCAACATATAAAAATAATCTTGTGCTTCATTCAGATTACCTATATGCAAAAGGAGATTATAATGGTATTCTCTTCATAAGGTCATTTTGATGATTAAAAATATATGTAAAGCATTTATAACATTGCAAGGTATATAATAAACTCAGTTTTATTTATTACTATCATTAGTGTTATTAATAAGAGTACAGCAAGAAAAATTATCCTATGTTACATGACAGAGGCAAGTTGACATAGTAGAAAGTGTGTGGGCTTTAGAATCAGAGAGATCTGAGTTCAAATCCAGATCAAGCACCTCTCAGCCTTGCGACCTCGAAAAGTTTCTTTGTATCTTTGCATTTTTCCATTTCTGTAATGGTAAAAATAATGAGTTACTGTAATGATCAGAAAAATACAATTTTTTAAAAAATTCTAAAATGTCAAACATTGTATGAGGAACCATTGACTAAATAACAGATTACGAGTATAAAGAAACAACCACTAATATAAAATAAATCTTCATTAATTATAGAACATTTAAGTTTCAGAAGTATTGAAATATAAAAATCTATCCAACTTAGAATTTAAAATTTTATAATATGTATAAAACGTTTAGACTCATATACAGAATGTGGGAGTTTTCACAAGGGATAGGCTACTTTACATTCATATTAAGAATGAATAATTAAGATCTAAATAAATAATTGAAACAAAATTGCAAAGTAAACTCAATTATTTTACCTTTGTAAGAAAAGGGTTTTCAAGAACTATGAAAGCATTCACATATGTGGAATAATTTTCTGTAGCATCTCCTTTACATTATCACCTATTTGCACTCTTAAAGTTATCTTTTTAAATCATTTGAAATTAGGCTCTGTGTGGTCAATGAATAGTCCATGACTGACAGTGGCTTTTCCAATAACTCTGAAAATGTCATGGGGCTCATTCTGAACACGAGAAATATTCTCCTAGTTTATTTTTCTTCACTCATTGTCTCAACTTCAAGAACGAAAAGGAGTGTGATAGACTGTCTTTTCCAACTCTAGTTGACAATAATTGTATTGGGGTTATGAAAATAAATGAGATCAAATTTGTGAGCCTTTCCTTAAAACCTTCCCAATTTGAATTCTTTGTGGAGTTACCTATTTAGATGCTGTGACGTATATTTTTGAAAATAGTGATTTTGAACTTCTAATAACTAACCACAATAAGATTCCCGGAATGATTTTAAATGATTAATTTTTTTTCTAGAAAATCAATTTGGTAGATCATATCTCATTGGGCAGTATTTTCTTTTTCACAGAACCTGGAGCTTCAAATTTATCTTAAAGTTTCCCTTTTAAATTCTAATGAAGCCAAGCAAATTATTAATTACATAATTTTTAATGTTTATAATGAATAATTTTGTATCAAATATTGATTCAATAATGTTATATTTTATGTGCTTTATAAATGTCTATGCTACAACTGGGATCTTTGCATAATCAATGTGTTTAACAATCTTATTTTGATTTCTAAAAATTTTTGTTAAAAATTATAGTCTCGAGATATTCTTATAAATGGTAAGGTACAGACCTCTCTAAGTAACCTGGAGGTGTAGAAAGAAAGATGCTGGAAGATTTTACATAATACAATTGTCATGTTTAACTTCATAGTCAACTTCTCATGGTTTTTGGATAACCCACAAATAACTACAATTTAGTTATTTTTCATGATTTTTGCCAGCCTGCTCAAGTGGAGCCTATCCAGACTGATCCCTTTGCTAGTTGCTGTTTTACCCCCAAAATGTAAAACATGGTTTATTGTTTCCAGGTTACTTCCATTTTTTTCTTTTCTCTCTTCCTCATCACAAGTCTCATGTTTTCCCTTTTCTCATTGACAACATTTGCCTTCATTTGCATGCAAATAACTGCACGTCTCAAAGTTATCCTTTGACAATCTTTATGTAACTTTTGAGCTATATATTTATTCTGTTTTTTTTTTTGTTATATAAATTCACTGGTGCCGAGTTGCTTGTTGAAAGTATTAACTCACATGATTTTTCCTTTATAATGTAATCACCAGCTTCATAACATGGTTGCAAGATATGCTGTGGCTTACAGTTAAAAATAATTTATAAGCTCAACATGGTTTAAATGGTTTTTTTAGTTTACCAGATTTATAAAATAATTTCTTACTCATTAGAACAAGACCTTCTAAGCAACTCCCAGTTAATGTATTTATTGTAATTGGCGAAACATAATTAAAAAAATACAGGTGTTTTAAGTGTCAATTTTTACACATTTGAAAACCTACTTCTAGTTATTTTAAATTAATAATTTAATTAGTTAATAAATTTCAAGAAACATTAAATATCTTAAAGATTGATTCTCTGGTTTTCAAAGTAAACTCAAAGTAAAACTGGTAGAATTGGAAAACTCAAAAAACTGTAATAAAAATAAAAATAATTACTTATAATCTCATTACCTTGATAACTTTCTTAAAAAAATTGTAGTTTAGCTAATTATATTTGACTTTTAATAGTTGTGATTATGCAAAAATTATGTATTATATTTTTATGTTATTTTAATATGTATTAAATTATGTATTATAGATTATATATTATGTTTTTTATACCCCAAATATTATATAAGCATGGAATTCTATTGTAAACTTTCTATAAATATAAATTTAATGACTTACGGTCATCCCATGTGGATATTCTACAGGACAGATTCTAATCCATTCTTTAATTGATAGGTCGTTTTCAGTTTATCATTACTACAAATAATTTGCAATGAATATATTATTCATAAAGCTTTCTCTTATTTTCCTTACTTCCTTTATCTTTAAGTGGTAAATAAGTATATTTTTTATTTACTTATAAGTAATTTTATTGCTATTCTTATGATTATGATATATTAGCTTATAATGTTACTATATTTTTTCTATTGTTTTTGTTTCTTTGCTGACTAAATTGTGCTGAAGTAACTGCATAAGCATAAGGTGAACTTCCACCACCCCAAAATTTAAAACCTTTGAGGTAATCTGAGAGCTTCAGAAACAAGCAGCCATCTTGTTTACGTTTATAATCACCTAAAGAGGGAGCTCTTGGTTTGATGATTTTTCTCATGTCTAGTGAAAGAGAAGCAAAGTATATTTAATATTTTAAAATGAGGATTTGAAATCTAACTTTTCTTACCTATTGCACTGAGGATATATGATTTCTGAGAGGACAGGAAAGAGCAAATGATGAGTCCACCTGTTAAATTTGAAGACAAGGATCACTAAGTTGGATAAAATCGTGCTCTAAACGTTTCTTATTATTCGTCCCTGCTGATTAAAAAATAAATTTATATCTAAATTATGCACATGTATTATATAAGATATATTATATATACCTAAAATATAGCGAACAGAGGAGTTTAAAGTGTCGGATAAAAAGATATTTAAGGTTTAACGCTTTCTTTCTGTTCTGCATTTGTCTTCTTAAAGACAACTAAACAAGGCTATGTATAAGCTAGTGATATTACACTATCAGATCATCTCTATTTCAAATGTTCACAATTGGTCCATAAAGAATTAGAAGATATTTTTCCTGTGAATCAGCAAAAATTCCTGGAACAACCCTAGGTTATATTTATATGCAAAACAATTTATACCACATATCTCCAGAGGAAAAATCTAGAACGCTAAAGGATAAACCTAACAAACATATAATGGAAAAAGAAGTATCAGAAGCCAAAAGCAAAACAAAAGTGATATAAGCACCTTTGCCCATAGAATTAGGCATTTCAGGAAATGGTGGCAAAGCATTCAGCCGTCTTAAATTCTATAAAAACTATTGACTTTTTATAATAATTCAAGTGAAAGAGATTTTATGGAATGACTTGTTTGTTTTTATATATCAAGCGTGCCCATAAATGTTTGCATATATATGTGTGTATTTCCGTGTGTGTGAAAATACATATACATATACATATTTAGATATTCCAATAGCCACTCCTGATTCTACTCTGAGAGCATTTCTACAGAATCATGATTTGATATAAAAACAATAAGGGGAAAAATGCTAAACTTACTAATACACACATAGTTGAGAACATAACTTATGTTGAGAAATTTTAAATAAACCTCGAGATAATCCTGAGTGCCCCCTCAGTTAAATTCTTGTTTTTTTTTAGAAGCAAATAGTATTTAATTTTAAATAACTATTCTGATGATAATCAAAGCTTAATTTTCATCAAGACAAGTTTTATACTTTTTTTATACGATTTTGCCGATAAAAGTACAATTTCATTGAAGGTGCTGATTCAAAGGGGGGAAAATATCCTTAATTAAAGAGAATGCTTAATTTAAGAGATCATGATTATTTTATTCTTGAACCAAATTGAATATTATTTCTTAACTTTTCTTCACATAACTAGTTTATGCAATCAAAATGACTGGCTATATATCAAATACATATCACGATATTTTAATGCCTGCCTGAAAGAGAAAAAAATCACGAACCTACTAAAATAAGACATTTCCAAAGACTCTGGCATTACCTACACAGATTAAGTGTCTGAGATCTTCAGATTCCTAGGAATGAATCAATGGTTTTTGATTTTACTGAGAATTACATTTATTTATTTATTTATTTATTTAGAGACGGGGTGGATTGCAGTGGCGCAATCATAGCTCACTGCAGCCTCGAACCCCCAGGCTTAAGGGATCCTCCCATCTCGGCCTCCCAAGTAGCTGAGACTCCTGGCATGCCACCAGGCCTGGCTAATTTTGTTTTGTTTTGTTTTGTTTTTTTTTTTTTTTTTTTTTTTTTGAGACGTAGTCTCGCTCTGTCGCCCAGGCTGGAGTGCAGTGGCATGATCTCGGCTCACTGCAAGCTGTGCCTCCCGGGTTCACCCCATTCTCCTGCCTCAGCATCCGGAATAGCTGGGACTACAGGCGCCCGCTACCACGCCCAGCTAATTTTTTGTATTTTTGGTAGAGACGGGGGTTTCACCACGTTGGCCAGGATGGTCTTGATCTCTTGACCTCGTGATCCACCTGCCTGGGCTTCCCAAAGTGCTGGGATTACAGGCGTGAGCCACCGCGCTTGGCCAGGCCTGGCTAATTTTTGTATTTTGTAAAGATGGGGTTTCACTATGTTACCCAGGCTGGGCTCAAATTCCTGAGCTCAAGCTATCTGCCAGCCTCAGTCATCCAATTGCTGGGATTACAGGTGTGAGCCACTACGAGAATTTTTAGCTGAATCTTAATGAGACAATCAAGAACACGTTCTATTCTTCCTACTTTTATTTTCTTAGGAAAGAGGGGAAAAATGAACAATTATGTGATTACTTGTGTTTTAATTGTTAATATTTCTTGAAGGAAAAATAAAGTGACAGTTCTTTGATAAGCATTGATTCTTCATATGTGATTCTCTTAGTAATGCCATTTTAACTTTAAAATTCCTTTTATTCTGTTAGAAATTTGATTTCTCTTGTTTCAATCATCTAGCTCTCTTAGAAGTTCATAACTTGTCTAGAATAAACTTTGAAATTTGGTGTAAATAATTGAGATGTATTTTAAGTCTATATAAAGGATTTTAAATAAAGTTTATTTCAAAGATATTTTCTACATTTTTTTGTGTTTTTTAGAAGCGGAAATCTTTAGTCTCTATATAGACTGTATGTATGAGCTCTGGTTTTCAAAATCTGTATTCAAAATGCATGCTGACTATTGCCCAGTGTTCATATACAAGCATGATGTGCCTTTTCAGAATAATCCTATTGCATAAAAGAGATAAGTGGAGATCAATGAAAAATTATGATGTCATATATTTGTATGTTATTATTGTGACATTCAATCTTATTTTTTAGGTATATTTTTATAACCACAAAGATTTTTTCAAGGTATCTGTTAATTATTAATGATACTTTAATCCCTTTCCTTAAGTGTAACTGTTTACGTGTTTTATCTGTATGAATCTGAGATTTCCTAAGAAGCAGGAATATATTGTTTCAAAGGTAAAGTTGAGAGTACTGCAAAAATTCTTCTTTCTCAATTATAAATTGTAATTATAGGAATTCTCCTTTTCTTTACATTATTAGGGAAAAATACCTGTTGTATTTAAATTAATATATTTGTATACTTCCCCTACTATTTTGGGAATCCATTTTATTAATTTCTGAGATGCATAAATAGAAGTATAACTTTTTGATATATCTACTCTAATGTCCCCATGATACTATAAATTAATACAGCACTTTACCTCTTCCTATGACTTTGACTGGGCCCCATGAGTTTGCATACATAGTCTTATTTTTAAAATCTCCTATTATTGCCTATTTTACTACAGTTTTCTTACTTTGAAAAAGTAAACTTTTTACTATTTCATAGTTTTTAGATTTGTTGCAGTCGGTAGGTCTCTGGTAATATAATTTCTGAGTTTTTCACATTTAGGGAGGTTATCTTTGTGACCTAATATGTGATCCAGTTTTGTAATGTACCATGGGTATTTAAAATAATGATATGCTCTCAGTTTTTAACACAGAGGTTGGAACAGATGCAGCCCATCTCAAAGTAAATTCTTCCTTTTGCCTACAGACTGACTTATAAATCTTGTTTTGTAATATCTTTTGTAAAAAAATTTTCTGAGTACGTAGAAGATATATATATATTTATCAGGTGAGGGAGATGTTTTGACACAGGCAAGCAATGTGAAATAAGCACATTATAGAGAATGGGCTATCCATTCCCTAAAGTATTTATCCTTTGAGTTACAAACAATCCAATTACCCTCTTTAAGTTATTTTAAAGTGTATAATTAATTATTATTGACTACAGTCACCCTAATGTGTTATCTAACAGTAGGTCTTATTCTACCTTTTTGTACCCCTTAACCATCCCCACATCCCCTCCCATCCACCCACTACCCTTCCCAGTCTCTGGTAACCATCTTTCTACTCTCTATGTTTGTGAGTTCAGTTGCTTTGATTTTTAGATCCCACAAATAAGTGAGAACATGTGATGTGTCTTTCTGTGCCTGGCTTATTTCAATTAACATAATGATCTCCACTTCCATCCATGTTGTTGCAAATGGCTGGATCTCATTCTTTTTTATGGCTGAACAGTACTCCATTGTGTATATGTACTACATTTTCTTTATCCATTCATCTGTTCATGGACACTTAGTTTGCTTCCAAATCTTAGGTATTGTGAAAAGTGCTGCAACAAACATAGGAGTGCAGCTATCTTTTTGATATACTGATTTCCTTTCTTTTGGGTGTATACCCAGAAGTAGGATGGCTGGATCATATGGTACTCAATTTTTCATTTTTTTGAGGAACCTCCAAACTATTTTCCATAGTGGTTGTAGTAACTTACATTCCCATGAACAGTGTACAAGGGTTCCTTTTTTCCACATCCTCACCAGCATCTGTTATTGCCTTTTGGATATAAGTCATTTTAACTGGGCTGAGGTGATATCTCATTGTAGTTTTGATTTGCATTTGAGCATCTTTTCATATACTTGTCTGCCATTCTGCCATTTGTATGTCTTCTCTTGAGAAATATCTATTCAAATCTTTTGCCTTTTTTTTTTTTTTTTTTTGAGACAGGGTCTCGCTTCATCACCCACGCTGTAGAGCACGATCTTGGCTCATTGAAACTTTTGCCTCCCACCCCCAGGTGATTCTCCCACCTCAGCATCCTGAGTAGCTGGAACCAAAGGCGTATACCATACCTTGCATTTTACCCATTTTAAAACCCAGAACATTGATTTTTTCTATAGAGTTATTTGAGCTCCTTATATATTTTAGTTATTAATCCCTTGTCAGACGGCTAGTTTGCAGATATTTTCTTCCATTCTAGGTGTCTCTTCAGTTTGTTGATTCTATCCTTTGCTGTGCAGAAGCTTTTTAACTTGATATGTTCCTATCTGTCCATTTTTTGGTTTGGCTGACGGTGCTTCTGGGTATTGCTCAAGAAATTATTGCCAATGTCCTAGAGACTTTTCCAGTGTTTTCTTGTAGTGGTTTCAGAGTTTGGGGTCTTCAATTTAAGTCTTTAATCCATTTTGGTTTGCTTTTTGTATATGCTGAGAGAAAGGAGCCTAGTTTCATTCCTCTGCATATGGATATCCAGTTTTCCCAGCACCATTTATTGAAGAGACTGTCTTTTCTGCAGTGTATGTTTCTGGCACCTTTGTTAAAAATGAATTCACTGCAGATGTGTGGATTTGTTTCTGGGTTCTCTATTTTGTTCCATTGGTTTGTTTGTCTGTTTTTATGCCAGTACCATGCTGTTTTGGTTATATAGCTCTGTAGTATAATTAGAAGTCAGGTAATGTGATTCCTCCAGTTTTGCTCTTTTTGCTCAGGATAGCTTTGGCTCTTATGGGTCTTCTGTGGTTCCATGTAAATTTTAGATTTTTTTTTCTATTTCTGTGAAGAATGTCATTGGTATTTTGATAGGGATTGCATTGAATTGTAGATTGCTTTGGGTTGTATGGACATTTTAACAATACTGATTCTTCCAATCCATGAATATGGAATATTTTTCCATTTTTGGTATCTCTTCAATTTCTTTTATAAGTCTTTAATAGTTTTCATTATAGAGATATTTCACTTCTTCAGTTAATTCCCAGGTATTTAATTTTATGTGTGGCTATAGTAAATAGAATTACTTTTTTTTCTTTTTCAGATTGTTCACTGTTGGCATATAGAAATGCTACTTAGTTTTGTATATTGATTTTGTATCCTGCAACTTTGCTGAATTTGCTTATCAGTTCTAATAGTTTTCTTGTGGAGATATTATCTTGTAACCAGTTATCCAATTCAGAAAATAGCTTCTTCTTTAACACCATCTTATCCAATATACAAATTCTCAATTTTTACTGATATTTATTCCCTAATATATCTCAAAATTGTCCCCTCAATTTCACCATTAGGCTTTTACTAACTCTCACCTTCATCTTACATTAGCTAAAAGAATTTACCTTCTTTTACACAAGTCTTAAGTTATTTCATTGTTTATAGCAAGGATTACAAGCTTAAATGCCTAAATTTATGAGAAGCTACTCTGCAGTGAATGGGTGGAAACAGGTGAAATGAGGAGAGCATGCCTCAGTTATAAGAGCAGGGAGTAGCCGCTACTTAGTTCTAGTTCAGGTATACTCAAATTATTGGTCACGAATGAGATAAGGAGCTTGCACCAGAACACATTGCCTTTGTCAACAAGAAAGTCTTGCTACTGAATAAGTGAATGAGTAAATGAATGAATCAATAGTTAAAAAGAAGCTGAAATAAATAGTGTGTGTACATAATGACAAAAAGTGATTTATGGCCTTCACTCATAACTGACCAGTAAACAGTTTATGGTCCAGCAGCCAGCTTGCAGCACACATCCATTCAAGTGCCATCTTTTCCATAACACTTTTTCTTTAAGAGACAGAATCTCACTTTGGAGTGCAGTGGCACAATCATAGCTTACTGCATCCTTGAATTCCTGGGCTGAAGCAATCCTGCCACTCAAATATCCCAAGTAGCTAGGACTACAAGTGCACACCATCATAACACTTTTTTTCCCTGATCACTGCCATGATCTCTCAGTCTGTAAGATGCCTCCTTTTCTATTTTGAATTGTACCATGATTAGTTGTATACATATGGTATGATTCCTCTTTTACTGTGAAGTCCATTAGTCCACAATAATTGTCTGGGTCTTTTTGTACTGTCTCATAGCACTTAGCAGAGGGACTTGCTATTAGTAGATGTTCAAAATATATTTTTAAGTGAACATGTTAAATGAATATACCCAATTACCTGAAATTACTTTTTTTTAACAAAATAAGAGCCTTGGTCAATATTTTAGGTGTATAAATGTTTAAATGTATAAGAAAAACCAGAGCAGTTAGCAGAAAATTATTAGACATTAACGTGTGACACTACAGAGCAGATGAAAATTTATGCCTGTGCTTAGCAGATTCTTATCATATTTCTCATCTGCAGTTAAGTATCTTCAATGGCTATACAAAGAAGAGAAACTTTGTCTACTAGTTTGGTTTAGGCTTATAATATGAATCTAGATTATGAAAATATAATATGTACTCATGATACATATCAATTATTTATCATGGGTACATTGATTTTAAAATCTGTGGAATAGTCTTGATAATGAGTATTTTAAGATAAAAACTGATAAATCTAAAACTTGTGGCCTGAAAGGAAAAATATTTGTTTTTAATTCTTCTTTTAAAATACTAGATTATGATATATGCATCCTGTTGACTCCACATTGCAAAAGAGCAGAAGAAATTTGTGATGGGAAAAGTAAATTTATGGGTATGGCCCTTTTGGTGAGCTATAGAATGATAGCTCTCTCTCTCTCTCTCACCAACACCCCCAACACAAACACACGCCCTATAAAATTAGATCAACATCCCATACTTATTTCTCAGAGGATGTAGGTGTTTGAAGGAATAGTGATAGCTTGGAGGAAAGGACCAGGTGCAGGATTTCTCAGTCCAATTACCCTTGGGACCCGATGTATGCATTGGGACCTGATCTATGAGTATGTGATTACAGTGGTAGGGAGAAGTCCCAAAGCTGCCACTGACATCATTCATTTGAGACAGTCTTGTTGGATCTGAGAAGCTCATGTCTTGTTCTTTCAGTGCTTTATAACTCAGGAATGATTTAAAGAGGCTTTCTATACAAGGAGATATGTATAGATTTCTAGGGCTCTTCTGGGCCAAATTTTCTTTCAGGCCAAGAAGAAATTTAGATTATCTGAATAAATCTCTGTCTCCTCTTTTATAGTATCCTAGAAATGTCATAGCCTACAATAAGTAATTCCTATTTTTCTATAGGTAACAACTTTAAGTGTTTGTTTCCTTTCATAAGAATGAAATTCACCAAGCCAATAAATTATCCCTTTAAACTATAAGAGACAAATTTTTGTTGAATAATTTAATCAAGGTCAGTGAATGAGGGATTTTAGTACTCAAGAGAGGGGAATTAAGAGGATTTAAGGATTGTTGCTCTTAGGACATCAAAGACACTTTAGAGCGAAATGAGAATACAAGACAAATTCCAATCATGTCAAGTGTTGAGAACTGCGAACTTTTTGAATCATCATTTAAAAATGCAATGACAATTCTCCTTGTGTTGCTTCAAATATATGATATGACATATTGGCATATAAGGAAAAAAGACTTAAAAACCACATTATAGTATGCTTACAGCATTGCTATGTTTTCACTGCTAAACATTTTCAGTATTTTCTCAAAGACTTTTGATCATTGGTTGGGGTATCCCGTCAACATTCAAGGGCTATATGGAGTAGCTGTCACCTGTAGATTCTGAGCAGTGTTATCAGTTGTAGTTTCTCAGGCATTTTGTATAGGCGCAGTGGCCCCTGGAGATGAAGGAATAACAGCACTTGTGGCATTAGATACTGTAATTATGGTGGAACTTTCAGCAAGCTCTGGGTCATACTCACAGAAGCTGGATTATAATCTTCAATATCGTAGGTATACTCTTCAGGGACAGTGACATTTCTTTCAGGCTCAGTGTCAACAGTAGTATTGGTGGCACTGGTAGCATCATCCAGGGCAGTGGTGGAATTAGGGGCAGCAGTGGAAGTGTTATTGGTCCCAGGCAGAGTCATGTCGAGGGTAGAAGTTGTCACTCTTAGAGTAGCTGTCATGGTTTCTAGAGCCTCCATAGTGATTTCAGTGTCAGTTGCACTGTTAAGTGCTATCTATAGTGGTTGTTGGTCATAGAAGCAGTTACAGCAGTCTCTTTAATAGTTGTGTCAGTTTTAGCAGTAGTGGCTTCAACTTCAAACATGGTTTTACCTACTGCGGCAGTAGTAGTGTTAGTTACAACAGTGATGCTTTCAAACGCAGTGGTACCTTGCCTGGTGGTAGTGTAATCTGCAGAGTGGGTGATGATTGAGATACAGAGATAGTTGTAGTAGGTAAGAGGGTAGTAGAAAAGTCCTTTGAGGTAGGTGTAATTTGAGACATGCTAGTAGTGATATCATTATTATCTCCAATGGCTGCCGTGGTGATATCTGCAAGGATAGGAGCTGCCGCTCTGTGTGATGAAGTAGCTGCTTCTCCAGAATTCTGAGATGGATACTTTTTAGGTCGATGTGGACAAGGTATGGGCTTATGAGGTTTAGATTTGTGAGTTTGAAATTGGGATGGATGCATTTTTATTGAACATGAGGATGGTGGATGAGGTTTGTGCACATGGTGCTTAGGAATATTTAGTAAAGTCAAGTAAGTTGGAGACGAGGACTTAAAGGGCCCATCTTCTCTGGTTTGTTTTTGGAAGCTGGACACTGGCTTCCAGCAGAATTGCATCTTTGAGACTTTTTGGCTGTGAACTTTGCAGCTGTTTTTGAAGTGGAGCTGTAGCCTGGGAAATTGTTTTGGTGGACCCCTCTTAGAAGAAACTCTTCTTGTGTTACCTGTGGAAACTTTAGATGTAGGAACTAGAGGCTCCTCACTGCACGCTGGAAAAATGATGTTTGCCAAAGTGCAGCTTTCGCAGCTGTGGCCTTTCTTTTTGCTCTCTTTACGAATGATTTCTGTGTAGCATTGGCAACTGATGACCTTTTGTTTGTTTTGTGAGAAGATGATGTCCTCTTGGGTATAGATTTGGTAACTTTTGACTGTTTCTGTTTAGGCTTAGCAGCTGTCTTCCTTTTTATAGCAGTTTTGGTGAGAGATGCCTGATTGGGCATAGACTTGTCAGGTAAAGTCACTTTGTGTGTAAACTTGTAGATTAATTTCTGTTGTTTTTTGAAGTTGTTCTGGTTGAGGCTGATTTTTTACAGTCTTTTTAGCTAGAAATTGCTTTTTGGTAGAGTTAGACTCCTTTGCTGGATTTTAAGATAATGAATGTTTGGATGTAGACTTGGATGTTGAAGATTTAAAAGAATTGGTTGTTAGAGATTGGTTTGTTAAAACTGACACAGGTGATTTTGGTTGAGTCACAGTAAGTGAAGCCTGGCTTGATGATTGCTTTGATGTCGGGATGTAGGCTTGTCTTAGTGCAGCCTGGATATGTGAGGTCTTTGTTTTTCTGGTTTTGAAAGATGAATTTAACCTTGATGGCATTTGTCTCGACAGATCATGAGTTTTTTTTTTTTTTATTATACTTTAAGTTTTAGGGTACATGTGCACATTGTGCAGGTTAGTTACATATGTATACATGTGCCATGCTGGTGCGCTGCACCCACTAACTCGTCATCTAGCATTAGGTATATCTCCCAATGCTATCCCTCCCCCCTCCCCTCACCCCACCACAGTCCCCAGAGTGTGATATTCCCCTTCCTGTGTCCATGTGATCTCATTGTTCAATTCCCACCTATCTATGCAGCCATAAAAAATGATGAGTTCATGTCCTTTGTAGGGACATGGATGAAATTGGAAATCATCATTCTCAGTAAACTATCGCAAGAACAAAAAACCAGATCATGAGTTTTAAGACTCTCGCTTGTCTAAATTAAAAATACATGTTTAAGTAAAGACTAAATATGTGTGGCATCAAGCTACATTGGGTGTATTTAAAAAATTAATTGATAAAAATAGGAAATAGCCATTTTGATGTTATTCATATTTTGATTTTCATTTCTTTCTTTTTCTTAAAAACTTTTCAAAAGCAGTTTTAGGTTCACAGAAAAACTGAGTGTGAAGTACAGAGAGTTCCCATATACTCCTTATTTCAGCCCCCTATCCCAGCCTCCTTTATTATCAATATCCTGTACTAGAGTGGCACATTCATTACAGTGGATTAACTTACATCGACACATCATCATCACCCAAAGTTTATAGTTTATATTAAGGTTCATTTGTGGTATTTTACATTCTATGGGTTTTTACAAATGTATAATGACATATATCCATCATAGCATCTTACAGAATAGTTTTCATTGCTGTAAAATCTTCTGTGTTCCACCTATTTATTCCTCCCTCTCATCAAATCCATGGCAATGACTGATGCTTTTACTGTCTCCATCGTTTTGCCTTGATCGGAATGTCATATAGTGGAATTACACAGTATGTAGCTGTTTTAGATTGGCTTCTTTCACTTGGTAATATTGACTTAGGGATCTTCCATGTCGTTTCATGGTTGGATAGCTCATCTCTTTTTAATGATGAGTAATATTCCATTGTATGGATGTACCACAGTTTATTTATCCATTTACCTATTGTAGGACAGCTTGGTTGCTTCCACATTTTGGCAATTATGAATTAGAGTTGCTATAAACATCTGTGTGGTTTTAGTGTGGACATAAATTTCTGATTTTTTTTATTGGCTACAAATATCATTTTATGAAAATATATAATAAAGATATAATAAAGTTCAAGGTAAAAATTTTTAATACAACAAAGCATATATTATTTGGGTTGCAAACACAATGATGATTTAGTATAAGATGTTTTTGTGGCATATGATTGATGTGGGCACCTTTACCTTTTTCTAAATGACAACAAAATTACCCATTTAAGACAATTAAAAATTTGCCAAGAAGAATATAATAATGTTCAAGATGATCATAGTCAAGATGAAGGCCTTCATTTTTTCTTCATGGAACTTAGCAAGACTTAAAAAAAAAGAATAAAGAGAATCCATACTTAATAGTGTAGTGATGAATATGTTATTCAAATCCACCTTCATTTCAATCTGTTATGGAATTAAGACTTCTCAGGCAGCAATGCTATCACAAAATAATTTGCTGGTTACTAGAGAGCTTTCTGTGAACTTTATAAAGGTCTGATAATAGAAGAGTAATTTAGAGTAATTAGGGTTAGGAGCTAAGTGCTTCTTTAAATATAAGAATAAGCCCATTATTTAAATAAAATTTTATTTTACAGAAGTTTTTAGCTTTAAAAAGTAGCAACTCATGCTTTTAGGATCTCAGGACAATACTATAGTCAATGCTTCCACAGAGGTCTCAAAGTGTTGAGGCAGGTATTGAATTCAGTATCTACTTTAATACCAGGAAACGTCTTAGGCAGAGGTGAAGCATTTCTGGTATAGAAATTTTTCTGAACAAAGACAGGTTTGCTTTATGATTTTTTAACTTAAATCCCATTTTACCAATGGTTGCTATACAGCAATAAAACTTGAATAATTCATAAGAATAAGCTTTATCTGTAGAATTAGCGAAAGTGAGTGGGAATCTATCTTTTAGTGAGTATGTATGACCAGTTCCCACCAGTAATTAATAAAAGAGTGTTAAAAACAAGTTTAATTTGCCTAAATCAGCAGATTTAAATTCCAGTTATTGATTTATTTAGCTATTACTGTTTTGTCAAAATGGCGGAAATCCCAGATCCTAAAAGAAAACTCTATGTCCCAAATTCTTCCCTGAATAGATACCTTAGACAGGGGGTTTCTCCTCTATGTTCTGGTCAGATGTCTTCTTCTCTTAACCAAGCTGGTTCTTCTACGACTGTCATTGTCTCCAAATGGAATGAGTTAGCACCCTTTTAATAAATAAACCCTTCATTCTTGATGTCCCTCCTACTTATTTCCTATTGGGGAGAGACTGAGAAAATTTTAATATGATTACTATTGGCAAGGGTTAATACTGATTAAAAGAAAGTCAAATTGGTTTACAAAATCAGTTGCTTGTGAAAATTTGTTTGTAAAAACAGTATGTTTCACTATTACATCTTAGGAAAAAGAAACAATAATTTTATTGCTTATAACATTTTTATTATTTGTATGATTACTTCAAATGTTAAATTTCAAATTTATTGCTTCCATAGCATGAAGTATGTCAAGATTTTATTATTTAAGGTCCTTGTCTTAGCCATCCCAACAATACTTGTAGATATTTTGTAAGGAATGATTCAAAAGAATTATTTTTAATATGGAAAATAACTATTAATACAAAACATTTATTTTATGGGGAACATTTAAGAGTTTAATCTTACCTTCCAAAGTTTCTGGGATTTTTCAGTATATGCCAATAAAATACAGACATAAACATAATACACTTGATCTTTTAAGTATAATTTTGCTCATTAGCCTTGACTATTAGCTTTATAATCTTTATCCCAATATCATGGACATATGGCAACTATGACAGCACATCACATTAGGAAGATTAGGAAGAGGAGATGCTATCATCTTCTTCCAAATATTGAGCCAGAGTTAAGATAATATATAATATTGATACAGCAATTTGGTTATCATTCTGTTGACATTCAATTTTCTTTCCTTGCAAACTGAGATTAAATTATAAAAACATTCTCTCTTTACACTTTCAGATTTCTGTGATTGATAATATCATTTGAGTAATTTTCTTTCGTATTTAAAGTTGGCCTAACAATGCCTTTGATAGCTTTGATTCATCATCACTAGTAAACTGTTAAGGTCAACACTGTTTTTTCTTTATGGATTTTGGTAAGAAAAGCCTAGGCTATTTAATCCAATTAAATCGGTATTTCTACTTTAGTCACCAACAATTCATTTTTCCTTTCCTTGTTTATTTGCTTAACAAATATTTATTTATCTCCTACACTGTATTAGGCCTCACCTTGGAGAGACAGTGGTGAGCAGAATACAGTCTCTAGGGTTTATAGCCCCAGTGGGAGAGGTGGATAGGCCGGTTTCATCGAGTTTAAGGAGTATTAAGGGACAGAGGAGCTGGGAGGGCCAGGATACTGGGTGGTACGTTAGTGGATCACTTGATTTTGGAAGTTCAGGAACTATTTCCTCAAGGACATAGGTCAGGGATTCATATTTTGATTAGATGCTATGAATTATCACGGTGATCTGAGCAGCTTCAGAAAAGTCCTGGAGGATGGTGATGGTATAGCTATAAAGCAGTGTGAGAAGTCTTTGAGTCACTGGGGTGAATGGTATGATGATCTAATGAAGAGAAATGAAGTGGGAAGGTAAATAATAGGACTATGAAAATTGACTTTATCTTAAGGACAATGGATGTCCTTGGCAATGTCACTTAGGGAGTTAAGGGATAAATGAATGAACACGTATTGAATGACCAACTAATATAAGGTACTCTAATACCTTAAATACTCTAATCAGATTAAAGGTTATATGTTCTAGTGATATGGCAATGAGGGCTGGCGGATTGAATTGCTAGAGTTCAAAGCTAAGTTCTACTACTCAATATTTTCTTATCTTAGCCAAATTACTTAATCCCTCTGAGCCTGTTTCTTCATATCTGCATAAGTATAATAATAGTACTTCCCTAACAGTGTGCAATATAAAATACCTATAAAACCCTTGTTATAGAGCCTGACAGATATATCAATAAATCAATATATAGTACTTTCCATTATATTTATTGCCCAAAGTTACACAGCTAAGTAATATTGAGCTGAAACTTTGATCAAATTCTAAGTAAATATGAACCCTATACATTTTCACTACCATATGTTTGACCATTTTGGAGCTGTTTCCACATATGTAAAATGAGGATCAATAACAAATTACTTCAAGAGTTTATTGGTGACGGTTAAAAGGTTGGCATGTGTAAAAGTGCTTTATACATTTTAAAGTGCTATATAAACAATTGTTACATAATGTAACACTGGATTCCGAGTACCTGGGAACTTTCAAATATGGCTGTTTTGCAGGATTGAGAAATAAAATGTTTTTCTAAATCTCATTAGACTATGACGTCCTAGAGGTGGGAGGGAAACATGCTGTATTTACAGTGGGCAATAGACTAGTAATCGACAGAAGTAAATGACTATGGGTGACCACCTCCAGATCAGATCTCTTCTATGCCAACAACCCAATTTCTCATGTGTAACAAACCACTTCTACCTGGATGAATCCTTGCATCTGAAGTAATTTATTCAAGTCAAAGATAAGCAGCTCAACAATGTATTTTGTGAATATGTAAAAATAGTAGCTGAGGGATTAGGTACATACAATATTCCAGTTAGTTAATCCAATTGACACAAATATGGAGTAACATTATATCTGGGAGGTAAGTGTTTAACTTAAATCTTACTTTTGGCAACTTATTATTAATGTTATTTAATTAGACATAATCATATTAATATGAGCCAATATTAAGAATGTTTTCCTTGTTGCAAAGTATTTTGCTTCACATTTTATTTCACCTGCTGTATTGAAAATGATTTTATAGTAGTTTTTACATGATTAAGATAATAGACTTTTATTTTTTATTTTATGTATTTAAGGTATACAACATAATTTTTTATATACATAGTGATATCGTTACTACAATCAAGGAAATTAACACTTTCATCATTTCACAATGTTACCATTTTTGTGTGTGTCAAGAGCATCAAAAATCTCTCTTAACAGAAACCTCAAATAAATACAATATTATTAACTGTAGTTCTCATGTTGTATATTAGATCTCTAGACTTATTCATCCTACATGCAACTCTGTATCCTTTGACCTACATCTTTCCAGTGTGGCCCACCCCCAGTAACTACCATTTTGTTCTCTGTTTTTGTGAATTTGACTGATTTTTTTTTTTTTTTTAGATTCCACATGTAAGTGAAATTATTCGGTATTCTTTTTATCTATATCTGGCTTGTTTCACTTAGCTTTCTGTCCTACAAGTTCAAAGTTTTTCCATGTTGTGGCAAGTAGCAGAATCTCTTTCTTTTAAGGCTGAATAATATCCCTGTGTGTGTGTGTGTGTGTGTGTGTGTGTGTGTGTGTTTCAATGTATTTTATCCATATCCCTTGATATACACTTTGGTTGTTTCCACACTGGCTATTATGACTAATGCTGCAATGAACAAGAGAGTGCAGATATCGTTACAAAGGGTGGTTTCATTACCTTTGAGTAGATACCCAGAAAAGGGCCTTTTGGGTCATACAGTAATTCTATTTTTAATTCCTATAGGCACCTCCGTACTGTTTTTCACAGTGGCTGCACCTATCTACATTCCCACCAACAATGCACAAAGACTGCCTTTTGTCCACATCCTTGTCAACACTTATTATCCCTTGTCTTTTTGAAATAGTCATCCTAACAGGTGTGGTGTGATATCTTATTGTGGTTTTCATTTGTATTTTCTTGATAGTGATGCTGATCATCCTTTCATATACTTGTTCACCATTTTTTTGTTTTCTTTGGAGAAATATCTATTTATGTCTTTTTCTTTTCTTTTTTTCTTTCTTTCTTTTTTTTTTTTTTTTTTTTTTGAGACGGAGTCTTGCTCTTTCGTCCAGGCTGGAGTGCAATGGCGCGATCTTGACTCGCTGCAACCTCTGCCTCCCGGGTTCAAGCGATTCTCCTGCCTCAGCTTCCCGAGTAGCTGAGACTACATGCACATGCCACCACGCCTGGCTAATTTTTATATTTTTAGTAGAGACAGGGTTTCACCATGTTAGCCAGGATGGTCTCTATCTCCTCACCTTGTGATCTGCCCGCCTTGGCCTCCCAAAGTGCTGGGATTACAGGCGTGAGCCACCGCACCAGGCCTGTCTTTTGCTCATTTTAAAAATCAGATTATTTGTTTTTCTGCTATTGAGTTTTGTGAGTTCTTTATATATTTTGGATATTAACCCCTTATTAGATAAATGGTTTGCAAATATTCTCTCCCAATTTATAGGCTGTCTTTTTATTTGGTTGATTATTTTCTTTGCTGTGCAGAAGCTTTTTAGTTTGATGTAGTCCATTTACTTATTTTTTTAAAGGTTTATGCCATGTTTTATTGCAGAGATTCATAAAGATGGCATTTTTTCTTATAGGACTTTTTTTTTAATTATACTTTAAGTTTTAGGGTACATGTGCACACCGTGCAGATTAGTTACATATGTATACATGTGCCATTTTGGTGTGCTGAACCCAATAACTCGTCATTTAACATTAGGTATATCTCCAAATGCTATCCCTCCCCCCTCCCCCCACCCCACAACAGGCCCCGGTGTGTGATGTTCCCCTTCCTGTGTCCGTGTGTTCTCATTGTTCAATTCCCACCTATGAGGGAGAACATTTACTTATTTTTGATTTTGTAGCCAGAGCTTTTAGTGTGATATCCGAAACAATTTTTGCCAAGGCCAATGTCAAGGAGCTTTCTCCCTAGGTATTCTTCTAGTAATTTTAAAGTTTCAGGTCTTACATTGAGCTTTTACCCATTTTGAGTGGATTTTTGTGTATGGTGTAAGATATGGGTCCAATATCATTCTTTTTCTGTGATATCCAGTTTTCCCAGCACCATTTGTTAAAAAGACTATAATTTTGCTGTTGTGTCTTCTTTGTACCCTTGCTGAAAATTAGTTGACTGAATACATTCAGTTTTATTTATGGGTTCTTTATGCTGTTCCATTGGTCCATGTGTCAGTTTTTAAAGAGCATGGACTTTAAAGCAAGACTTTGAGTTCAAATCTCAGCTTCACGTGGGGAAAATTACTTCATTTCTCTTTCACTTATAATAACAACAAGAATAAATATATGTAGTTCATGACTACATATTAAATGAGTAAATACATATAAACAAATAGAAGATTGACTGGCAAATAGTATGTACTTTATAACTGCTTGTTGCTTATTGTTATCAGCCATTAATATTGTTTGTATTATCACAATAATTCTTATAATACCTTGTGTATAATAGGTGGTAAGATTTTAAATTAATGATATAAATTTTGCCTTTTCCACATATTTACTTTGTTTTTTAAGAAATTAATAATATCATTAATGATCATAGCAAATAAGGTCTAGCCATGCCATATTCCTTCCATGTCTCTGTTCAAGACTCTCTATTTGAGTGAGAGAGCAGGTAAAACACTGTAAATCAATCCTAATAATAGCACATCTGTTGGGAGTCACAGCAGAAGATTAGATAGGTGACCAGTAAACATTTTGTAAGGGCTGAGTGAATTTTATTTTTTCTGGCA
The DNA here is from genome assembly GCF_000001405.40 of Homo sapiens. Lineage (NCBI taxonomy): Eukaryota > Metazoa > Chordata > Mammalia > Primates > Hominidae > Homo > Homo sapiens. Next base: position 70,252,098 of record NC_000004.12, on the reverse strand, counting down.
TGATGTGTTAAATATGGACCAAGCACAAAGGTGACCTGATTTTCCTTGCAATATTTGTTTAAGAAAACAACTATGTCCTATCCTTGGACCTTGAATATTCACGAGTTTTTCCAAACTGGAATACCTGAATTCCAGAAGCTTTCTGGTGTGTGATGTGTGTGTGTGTGTGTGGGTGGGTGGGTGGGTGTGGGGGTGTGTGTGTGTGTTTGAACAGATGTGAGACTGTGGAGTCCAGTGTGGGGAAATCTGGTCATGCATGTTTAGAGTCTCTGTCAACATCTATAATTTTGCAACGTATCTGTGTTTGTAGTTCTGGACATTTGTAGTTTGCCTGTGCCCAGAATTTGCTCTCAGGAATAATCTAGACTAACGTTAGCAATACATTTGGTCACTTAAATTTAATGCTAACTCTAGAGTTCCCATGGCTCTCAAGAGTCACTCTGTGGTCCCCTGGATTGGAACACTATGGCTTGGCTTTTCTCTGGTCCCAGTGTCATCCTAGAGGAGAAATTCTTAGTGTCAGACCATGAACCACTTTGAGAACCTGATGAAACTATGAGCACTGCCTTTAGGTAAATTTGTGTACTCTAACTCACACTAAATTTGTCATAGCGTTTCAAAGTTTCAGAGATCCCTGAGGTACCTTTGCAAACTCCTCTCAAAGAATCAGTTGCAATCAGTTGGCTTTATTGTGCAAGAATCAAAATATTGAATGTGGCATGAATGTAAAATGTAAGGAGAGAAGAGCTGAATCTGTGAAAATCACATTTTCTGTTGACTGAAGGCAGACAAATGGCTGAAGGAGAGTGTGAAGTAGTAATTTGGTTTCAGCAAGTCCTATAAAAAATAATGATAGTTTAGAAATTTATTCATAGTATGTTAACAGTTCTCATGATATATATTTATTTAGCTTCCACAATTTTTCTTTCATGTCTGTATCCAATAAGTCAATCAGATTACATATTTAAACTTAAATATTTAAAATAGGCATATAGTAAACTGAAAATAATAGACATTATGTAATATTTACAGAAAAAACTCTTTTACATGCTTCTTTATGTTTTGCATCAGTAAAATATGTAACTACTTATTAAATAACTTGCTTTCATGTTGTCTTTATTAATTTTCTTATTTTGTTCTCCAAAATATAATAAGCCAGCTGTTTAACCAGCTCTTGTTCTCTTTTTCTTAATGGATATCCTGTTGAACAGCAACTAAACAACACAATTTACCCATATGCTAGTCTAAGGAAATCACAGTGTATTTTCCCTGTTTTTCAGCAAGTTAGACAGCCCATATAAAAATAAATGACATAGTAATTAAACCCCACTATCTGAAATTAAACAGGTTTGGTTTGCCTCCCATTTGCAATTTCTAGCTGTGATAATTTACTTAATGTCCTCAGTCCTACTGGTTTTTATCCCTAAATTTGAGATAGGAATAATATCTGTTTCATATGGTTACTATGGGAATCAACAGACATAATTATGTACGGTTTTTATCATTTAGTGGAGACTTAGGATACTGGTATGAATTTTACTTTATCTTTTCCAATACATGACATTTTACAGATTGATCAGTTTTTAAAATCCTTTCCCATGTGCATTCTCTCTTGAGTCTTATAGCAACCAGAATTATGAGAAAATAAAAGTTCAGAGAAAGTAATGACCAGCCTATGGTCATTAGGCAAGCAGATGAAAGAAGCAACCTTTTCTGGGCTAATGGTAGTCCCATGATATCACAGACCATTGTCTGGTATTTTAGATCATAAAACATGTAGACATCTGATGGACTGAAAATATTTGTTGTAAAGAAACTCCACATTTTGCAACTTTCTCCCCAAATTATTTTACACTCTTTGGATATTTTCCACTTTATTAATCATTCTCTTTGTTTAAATTCTTCTCATAAGTTTCAAATTATTTTATATTCTGCCATTATCCATTGGTCCAAGTAATAAATAGTAACACTTTGCATCACATTGTGTTCTGAAAGTATCCTTTTAATATTTATGTGTTTTTCAAGTTAAGCATTATAATTCTTCCATGGGTTTATCTTAGAATAGGAGAAATTTGAGAGGCTTAACTTCATGAATCATTTTGGAAATGATGTCTGAAATAAAGAAATGCATGGAAGCATATCATTTCCTTTTACTCTGTTCATACTACAATGAGAGTGCAAGAGAATTGTTACAGAATTAAAATTTACTCAAACTCATATTCTATATAACTTCTTCTAAAAATTATTTTTGAAATATCATGAAAATGTTACTTGCTGTTTTACTCTACTGTCATAGTTTGTGTGTGAATAAGGATGAAATAAAACTATTACATTCTAAGAGTGTCCCAATTGTCAGAAAAAAGTTTGATAATGAAGTTGCCAATTATTTTCACTTTGTCAAATAAAATTATTTTAAATTTCTAGTTGGAACAGAATCTGGTGTATCAATGCTATGGGTTTACCAAGGTAAAACTGTAAGTACCCTGTTTTGTCTGCTTCTGTAACACACTTAGTTTATCTATTTGTACTATTTTAGAATTTATGGTTGTATTCATAAATCCATGCTTCTTGTCGGAATTACTCATTTTATATACTGTTAATTTACCTGCGTTGTGTTCTTTGATATTTCCTTGGTGTTTTTATGCCGTAGGTGGAGTAACTGCAACTGTGGTTGTCTCAGGGGTGCTCGTGATGATGGACTCTGAAAAAGCTTCTGGAGTGACTACACTGTCCACCGTTGGTTCAGTGGCAGGAGCTGGTGTAGGTTCAACAGTAGCAATGGTATTGATGGTAGGGATGATTATTTTATCCTGAATTTTCTTTGGGGGGATGGCAATAAATGATGGATGCAGGTTTGGGCGACGTACCACAGTGGGTGGGTGGCTATTTGGCAGGTATTGCCGCTGAGGAATTTGGGCATGTGGCCTAACTACAGCTGGGTTTGCATAATATGTGCGAGGCACATATGGATTATTAATTGCTATAGCTGGTCTACGTTGGTACAAATTGGTTCCATAATAAGGATAGCTATTTGGCACATAATACATTGGGACATATGGAGCTGTTTTCTGATAGAATGGTCTTTCATCATTCTCATGGCACTGCAAAAAAAATAAATTATACAGAATATTATTATTATAGACCCAAATGTGGAAATACCTTAAATCTGCATTTTTTGAAATAATATAGTATTTACCATTGAGTAAGATATTAGAAGTATGGAACCCAGCAGCAATATTATTTTATAAGATGTTGATTTGTACATTGCCTTTCCACTTTATGATTTTCAATATTATAAATATTATTTTGATAATATTAATATAATATTTGTTTCAAGAAATTAGATGAGTTTATTCATAATGTAAACCATATTGCCCAGAGATTGGCATATATGGAAAGTGATCTTATATGTTAGCTATTGTAGGTACAACACAGAGAAAAATCTCATTGAGAACTTTGACATGTTATACACAAGCACAACATGCAGACACACACAGAATGGCGCACACACACGTATGTATTCTCACCACATATTTGTAATTGGTCTCAAATTTTATTCATTTAAAAATTAGCCCAAGAGCACATTTATTTTTTCCTAAACTATAGCAGAATAGTAACATAATGTGATGTGGAGAGATTCCTGGATTTAGATTTTGGATTTTTTTTGGTTTAATTTTCTTCACAAAAGATTAGATAAAGAATTGTCTATATCTATGTGCCTCTGTTTAAAAATTTGTCAGTAGACCTTTCCATATGAATAGAAATAAATTGACAAAATTATACTACAAAGCAAACATTTCTCCTAAAACGAGACACATTTAAATGTATTCAAACATATTTGGGAAACGAAAGGGGAAGTAAATATAGATGTATGAGAAGTATTCAAAGATGGGTCAGAAAAGGATCTTCCCTTGTCTTAAAAAGTGGAAAGGGGAAATATTAAGCTTTACTTATGTTTTCATTTTTTTCCAATATGAAATGTTGAAAGAGTTTTCTCATATTGCTAAATATACATGAAAACCAAAGATACATGATTTGGGTTATATAAGAAAATAAAACTTTCAGATGAACATCAATGTTGATTCATATCACCTGTTGCTGAAATTATTTTCTTGCAAATATTATTAGATTGTTTTATGGAAATGAAATATTTAGGTTTTAGACAGAAGGCATCTATAATACAATTGACCTTTGCAGAATATATTTTGTAGTTCATGCCTGTAACAGAAGTAATTAAAATAGACTTACTGCTGGTTGTTTCTGGTTTTGAACCTCCACAGCCTGGGGAGTTCCAGAAGAAGAAATAATGAGAAATAAGTTAAAAAAGAAAAAAAAAGTACTTAAATCAGTTAAAAAAATCTTTTGTGTTAAAGACAAAATATGTTTTCTTTTTATTTTTTAAAACATTTTTCATGAGTGATCTATGAGGCCTATGGACTACTTAAGAAGCAACAGTAGTCTAACTGATTAGTAATAATAAACTGCATGTTTATATTGTCTTTAAACATCACCACCTAGAATGAAAAAGTCACTGTGGGAAAAATCTAGTCATCTGACTCCCATGCCAACAAATATGCTTAAATGAAAAATATGAATAATTTCTATTTAGTTTTTATTAAATATACATTGTTAGATTGTTAAAAATTAGAGGAGCATTGAGCCTTTTTTCCTTTCTCTGCTCTCATACTAAGATGATTCATAAGGTTTACTTAGAAGATTTAAAATATTGCCTCTTGCATAAACTTAACATATAAATAATAGTGTTTTTAATACCATCTTTCATTTGTTTTTATAGTGCTTTTCTTAGTTTTGGATTGTGACATATTTAGAGAATCAGGAGTGAGAAAACAATTTTTATGGACACATATTTATAAAACTAAAAACTCCAAAGCTTTTAGAAACTTTTGAAAGGAGGTATAATATTAAATATTTTTAAATTGACAGTTCTGTTTTAGGACATTACACATGTATTCCTTGGGTATAAAATGACTCTAGAAACCTTTTGGAAGGTGTGAGTATAGAAAATCAGAAAATTGAGAAGGTAATAAAGTTTCCTTGCTTTGAGACAAAGACTTGCTTTTCTTTAAATATATTAAATCATTAGTTTAAAATGTAAAGAAGTAATATGAGGCCGGGCACATGTCTCACCCTGTAATCCCAGCACTTTGGGAGGCAGAGGTGGGTGGATCATCTGAGGTCAGGGGTTCAAGACCAGCCTGGCCAACATGGTGAAACCCTGCCTCTACTAAAAATACAAAAATTAGCTGGGCATGGTGGCGGGCACTTGTAGTCCCAGCTACTTGGGAGGCTGAGGCAGGAAAATCGCTTAAACCTGGGAAGCAGAGGTTGCAGTAAGCCAAGATTGTGCCACTGCACTCCAACCTGGGCGACCAAGCGAGACTCTGTCTCAAAAAAAAAAAAAAAAAAGAAGTAATATGAATATTGTAGAAAGTATACTTTAAAAAATTCTGACAATCTAGATACCTTAATGCGATATCAACCTATGTTATGTATTCCTGGTATATGCTTGTCTAAAAAGTATCCTGCATTTTTATAGGAAATGTGGTGTCTCTTTTTTTTATTTATATCATAGGTTTCATAGTTACATTTTTATAGTTGATAACTAAGTGATCAATGATTATGTCATGAAATGTTTATTTCTTATCGTTATCTATTAAGATAAAATTTTAATTATAAACAGAGTGATGATTAACATCTGTATACCAGTGGCCTTTTTAATAATTTTCGTTAATACCTTAAAATGATTTTTCACAAATGAGATTTGATTCTTTGATAGAAATTATGAAATTGTGGTATAGAAAAGTTGTGTCAAATTATAATGTCACCAATAGGCTATGTGTTTATGCAGTTTAGTGCATAAGTGCTAGTAAAATATTATCTAACTATTTTTATTTTGGGGGAAGGGATAAAATAGTACATATAACATGGTATCACATTGATGTTTTAATTTGTATAAATTTGACTACTCATAAGATTGAATGGTAAAATCAATAAATTTTTTTTTTTCTGTATATTTGTTCATGTCCCTGAGGCCTGAAGCCTTTGTGAAAATGGGAAGGAATGTTTGAAAGACGAATCCGGCTCAGGTAGCTCAGGAAGAGGTTGCTATGCAGCAGGGATTTGTAGATCATTTCATGATTTAAACTTTAAGCCCTATTACTCAAAGAGACAACCTAAGTTCCAAATGTTCAGGTGACCACAAAGTATTGAGTTGTAGAACTCAAAGTTTTAAAAGGTAATTTTGACTCCAAGAATTGACCTAATAGAATTAATGGACATGTTATACACAAGCACAACATGCAGGTAATAGAATTAATTAATAGATGTTAACTTAAAAGCAACTCTAAACTTAATAATAAATAAATATTACAGAGATTCACAGAACGAGGACTAGTGTTCCTCAAAATTTTACAATCTAGGAGGAGGACATATACCATTATTTATGCTTGCCTCCTTTGTCAGTGCCTAGAATACCCAGATGAACAAGAAAATAAAAAGAGGCAATAGCCAAAACAACAATAAAAACAAGTCAAAAAATTAAAAGAAAAAAACAGAACCTTTTTCTAAGTCCAGTAGCCTTAAAACATTGCATATAATTCAAGATAATGCCTGCAAGCCTTCAAGCTGTTTATAACCATTGATCCCTGGAAAGGGGTCAGTCAATTGACATAATGGGGAAGAATATAACAAAAGTTAATGATTCAAATATTAAAGGCAGAAGTATCAAGGTCTTTGAAACTTGTGAAAAAGCTTAACCAAAGTTGACCTTTGAAGGATTTTGTTTCCATAAAGAGATTGGAGTCTGGGTGAGACAGGAACTTAATTAAAATAATTTCTGATTCCCAGACTATGATTTCTGTATTTATTCTTTCTGAATTATCCTTAATGCATTTACAATTTTAAAATGTTTTCAGTATTGTTTTTCCCCTGAATGTATTTTCTCTATAGCATGAGAATTTTAAAAGTTTCCTGTACATGATTAAGTGTGATTTCTTAATTCACAGAACTAAATGGATATCCAAAAGAACATGACTTTGATTTCATAATAGAAATAAATATTAAAAAAATTAACCTTAAAAATGTAACAACTATGTGGATATTTTGTTCTATGAAGCATAATTGTATTTAGAAGTTTGCATAGTTAAAGCCCTTAAACAAAATTTTCTTAAAGTCAGTACAATCTGGTTAGATGAAATTAACTTACCAAAAAAGGCAGGGTTAATGCCAGGGCATTGACAACTAGAAGAAAACTCTTCATTATTGCACCTAAAGATAAATTTAAAAAAAAATTAATTTAAAAGAATTTGTTACTAGAAATTTAGGAGTGACTTGAATACAATGTTTCCTTGATTAAGAAAAAAAGCCAGATTTACAGGTAGATTTAGCCGATGTGAAAAATTTATTTTAACAAAAGAATGTAAAAACTCAAACTTGGAGTAAAAATTTCTGAATTTAATTTTTGACAATATTAACGGAATTATCAAATTATCATTACTATGTCAAATGTTGAGATTATCAATGTAAATATGATACAGGCCTTGCCAATGAGTAGCATCAATTTTAGGAAGAGTGTTGAAACATATACTGAAAAACAACTGTAAGAGGGAAAAAAAGTAGAAAATGCCACAAAAGTGGTTTTCTATTAATAAAAGTTTCAGTTAAGAGAAGCAGCAGTCTTTGTGTGGAAAAAATGACATATAGATGAGGCTTGCCTATGCAGTATTTAACAGGGAGAGAAATATTTCAAGTAGAGGAGAAAGTCTTGAGAATCGCCATGAACATTTGATTGGAATCTTGTATGAGAAGGGAAATATAAGATTGGAAGGAAAGTTTAGAGCAGAAAAAGTAGACACCTTTAAGATAATGATGGGTTAAAAAGCTAGGCATGGCTTTATAAACAACAGAAAACAATTGAGTGTTTTTGGACTAGAAAGTGTATGACTATACATTTTTTGGAGGACTGAATTCTAGACCAGGCCTTATCTCTACCTCTGTAACTTTGATCAAGTGATTTCCCTTTCCTGGGCTTTACATTTTCTTACCTGTAAAACCAGGGTTTGAACTTAGAGATTTCTAAAATTCTATAATTCCATGATCAATCCAACAGAAGTATGTAGGATGGAATGGGAAGTGGAGGGTTATGAGACTGTTTTCTTTATAACATACTTCTCCAGTAATCATAACTGATATGATTAACTTGATTGTTTTAATAAGAAGTATAGAGATGACAATTACAGTGGCTTTGACTAAAATATTTAAAGAAATACATTAGCCTTATTTTTCTAAAAGAGTATATACAGTGTCATACTTGCTTATTTGATTTTTAATAAATCATCTTTTTAGACTAATAATATATGATACCCCAAACTTTTTATATTTAAGTATATATTATGTTTAGGAAGTAATTACTAACTTCATCTTGTTGCAGCTATTGTTATTGACACACTCATATAAACTTGAATCACTACAAAGTTGAACTTCGCAAAAAAGATTCACAGAATTAAAGCCTCAGATAGGGGATGGAAAGCCCACTGGACTCCATTAGCGTCTGATTCTCAGGCAATAATGATTAGGAAGGCTGTCTACTAAAGTGACTTCAAAACTGCCCATACGATGTCATCAAATTTCCATTCGATGGAACTCATTTGGAATCAATTTGAACAATCTAAGCACACTCATATTTCTTTAAGTGGGATGAAGCTCCTTATTAATGCTTCACTTGCTAGTGATCTTTTAGGATTATAGACTGAAAATGTTTTTATGATGAATCACAGACCCCTTATCAGTTCACACAGTAAAATGATATGTAAACAAAAGAAAATATTCTATAAAATGATAGTAATTTCCTTTTGGCACAAACAAAAATCACAGAGATAAGACCATACTTTGCGCATCAGCTACATTTGCATTTGCCCTCATCACTTGGTAAGAAGAAATAATTCGTGAAATGGTAGAATTATCCAGCTTTCATGAATATTTGAAAAACATGTTTTAAAAAAATAATTATTCCATAACAAATAAAATTATGACTTTTATAGAAATAAAATTTGAAAGTAATTAAGGGGTTAATTGCGATTATTATCATGAGCCCAACTTCCTGTGGAGTTAACTCTCAACATTTGTCTGTAGGAATACGTTAAACGCCTTCTTGTTCGGAATTCACAATGGCTGCTATGATTTAGTTGGTATCAGAATTTGACTGGAACCCAAAGTAAAGTTAAAAATAAATTTGAACATAACACCATCCAGAACTTAGGTTTAGGTTAGAAATTAATTTTAAAGTGATGCTAGGTCATATTCAAACTTAACAATAACTAAAAGGAAGAAAATGTGATTCTGAAATAACTATGGTGATGTCCCAACTAACTACTGTGAAAAGGATCACTTTCTCCAAGTGTTTCAGCAGCATTACCTTTCCTCGTGCCAGTCAGGTCTTGGTTGGCAGTAGGTTGAGTTGGCCTGTCAGCTGTAGAGAAGACCCAAGAAAAATAACTGAAGACCAATTAAAGGGTATTAGTACCTTGAGTCACGCTATTCTATTTCCCTCCTACTTTTTACCCAATAAGATGATGATAGCAGGGTCACCTTTGGGTCAGTCTGTGGTGGGGTGGGGGGAGTGGGGAGGGATAGCATTGGGAGATATACCTAATGCTAGATGACGAGTTAGTGGGTGCAGTGCACCAGCATGGCACATGTATACATATGTAACTAACCTGCACAATGTGCACATGTACCCTAAAACTTAAAGTATAATAAAAATAAAATAAAATAAAATAAAATAAAATAAAATAAAATAAAAAAGAAATGCAGAGAAGGATGTAGAGTCATCACTCATAAAGCTTGAAAAAAGTATTCATATCTTTTTAAATAATCTTTTTTTGTTTATAAAGAAATATAGAAGAATTTTTAAAAATATTAATTGTATTCTTATTCAACTTATCCTATCTATTTAAACTTAAAACTGCTGTTGAAATGAAAAATAGCCACAATACTTTCACATTTTAATTGTTTCTTTTAGTTTAAGAACCTGGATTTCAAGTGATACTACATCTGGCATTGACTGTGGTTGGTCTTCTTCCTTCCAGAATTACAATTATTGATTTTTAAAAATTAAATAATTGGCCATCTCACACATACCCAAGAGCACCTCCTTATAAAAGTCAAACCCATATATGAAACATTTTAATCAGTATATAGTGGGGAATCATTTGCGTTTGGGCTGCAGCACATTTTCTCCCGTATGCATTGACTACATACTTAGTGATTTATTATCCTCTTATGAATAAACTTTTTTTAAGATTTTAAATTTCAATAATATAGGTGAACCATTTTGAAAAAAAAATTATTAAATTATTGAATTGGAGATAATTGTTCTGTTTTAAGGAAAGTCATTTTGACTTAGAGCATAAATCACAAACCCACTGACATTGAGAATATTTTGGCAAAAAATAGCTAAACAAAATTTTGCTTAGATAATTCAGGAAAGCATATTTTCTTTTACTTGCTTTTCTAAAGAAATAATGTTAACTGTGACTTATTTTGGCTGTGAAGACCTGACCAGATTGAGGAACTTACAGGAATTAATGTAGGACTGCCAGAACACAAACAAGAAATAATATCAGCATTGTAGTTATGTCTATATTCCTGTCTGTTTCTTAGAAGTATTGCATGTCTTAGAAAGTTAGGAACAATATTCTAAACCCTAGAATACTTATTTGGATTACACAGAGTAAAATAGTAATATGAAATTTTCTGTTTCTCAGAATAGTTGGTTTTTGTGGTTCAAAAAGAGATGACAGAATTTAAAATGGCTAAACCAAGTTGGTAAAGTAATAACACCAGCCATTCTATCTGAACTATTTAGTCACAGTGTTTTCCTTTGATTATCAGGGTCCGTGGTTGAAAGATCATGATCCGGTCATTCCTCAAATTTTGAAGGTGTTCTATTTCACATAGTAATTTCTCAGCCATTTATTTAGAGTAATAAGAGTGATAATGATTTTCAGTTGAGTATTGAATTATTTAATTTACAAGTAGCAGAGACTCAGAACACTTCTGAAGACATTGTTTTCACAGGAAAATATATTTTAAGAACATCTGAGAGTGCTAGTAATCTTTTCTCCCACCAAGATAAAAACATGTTTACCATGGTGTCACCCATTCACTTCAAATACTAATGTAGCTTTTGTGGGGCTTTGCAAAACTGTACATTATTATTTGAGCACATACAATATTTCAGGTCCTGGACATTATTCTTTGAGCACATACCTTATTTCAGATACTGTTTCAGGTAGTAGGGATAAATTAGTAACCAAAGCAGGTAAACATCTCTGTTCTTGTGGACCTCATAGTCTAAAATTTACTTGAGTACTGGTAACATTGGATATTTCCCATATCTACTGATCTAAGGCAACCTTAGTGAAAGTGTTTTGAGTGACTGGAGTAGATGAATTAGATGGATTCTATAATGGAGCTATGCAATGCTCTTGCGTTTTCGAAAGAAAAGCAAAAGGAGGATCAGAACTCGCATGCTCTGAAATCTCCAAGGAAGCTGCGATGGTGCTGAACAAGGCCTCCAAACTGAGAGTGTTTATAACCTGGAACGAATCCACCAGTCTTTATCTACTTATGCATCCATCAACAGGGGCATGGCCTGATTCTGGAATGTCCCTGGATTGTGGGAAGAGAACCAGCAGGGCTTTTCAGTCCAGCTGCAACTTCCCTTTGTTTAGGTCCTGATAATCAGTGTATATTCATACCACCATTCACACACTGGGACTGGGTAAGAGGCTATTGTGGGTACATAAGTTCACATTTTAAGCATTGTAAACAAAAACATTTTGCAATAAGTGACATAATGATTATTGACTCATATACACTCTTTTTTTAGTAACAACTTCTTGTTATTCTGTTAATGTTTCTTACTTTTGAAATGTACTTCATGTCTGTTTTATCTTCCCTTGATGGTATTTACATCCATGTAGTTTTATTTTTTCTGTCTCATTTTATTTCTCAGCCACTTCATTAGTACCAGGCTGACCTCAACACTCTATTTTGTTCTTGAAGTACAATAATGTTTGTAACAGTAGTTGCAAAGTAAATGATGAACACAGCTTTCCATAGGATTAGTAAGGCATTAGAAAATTGGTATTTTCTAAAAGCATACAAAAAAGAAATGTGTATGCTTCAAAAGTCTTTGCTATATGTAAAAACCATGGAAAAAATAGCATAAAATGCTCTTTAAAATGGTCAACAAACTAGAGCAAAGTGGAATATCAAAATTTTACTCTCCTGTAGCCACTTCTGTTAAACAAACAATACACATACAAACTGTTTGTATTAGAAACAAAGTACTTTTGGGAGTATAGTAGACAGCCACAATCTCTGTTTGTAGAGATTATCTAAGGAGATAGTGCTTTCTCCTGAACACTTACAGAAAGACTATTTTCAGATTGTGAGGAGACATTTGATGTCATCTGGAGCCTAGAGTGAGTGTCATTGTGACTTTAGCATTAGCACACACATTAATTTATTCCTCAGTAAGTTTTAGGGTCCAAAGATTTCTGAAGCCATTAAAATATACAGATTTAAACATACAAGGGATAATCAATTTATGTAAAGTGTTATTTCTCCAACACGAACCCAAGACCCCCTATAATCCTGTCCTATGTTTACTTCATTCTTGTCATTCTTGTTACCATTCAAAATAAACAGCCAGATCAACGATGATCTCTGTGTAGCCAAATCCAGTGGTAGCTGTTAGATATTCTTCCCACTCAATGTTGTAGCAGCTCTTGGCTTGGTGATTCATTTTTCTGGCTGGTAAAACTTTTTGACTTTTCCTTCTTTTTTTTTCCCCCTCGAGTCACTTAAAGCTGCTCTTAATTTCCATTTTGGTTCCTCTTATTTTCCTCAAACTCTAAATTTAGGAGAACTTTTAAAAATTCTTCCAGCATCCACCACCACTCTATCTTTTCTCCCTCTATCTTTAATATCTTTCTAGTTAATGTACTCAATTCCTGTAACCTTAAGTATCATCAGTAGGCTATTGCCTTCACTGAACTGTAGATTCAAGTATCCAATAGCTGTTTTAAAATCTCTATTTGCACGTAAAATAGACATCTCCAAATTATCATGAACAAAACAGAATCTTCTATTTCCAAACATACCCTGTTTCACGACTAGTTCTCCACTAGTCTCTTTTCTCCTTTAGGAAACAGTACCATGATACTACTAGTGGCTCAGGGGCCATCTGGTGACTCCTATAGGTCATCTTTTCTCTCCTCCCTGCAACAACCTGTTAGAAGAATTATTAATTCTATCTTAACAATATACCCCAAATCTGACACCACTTTCTAATCTGACCTTTGTTGCTTTAGTCCCAGCCACTGGCATGTTACACTTGAACCATCCTAATATTTCTGTTTTTGGTCTCTTTACTTTCACTCTTATCGCCCTATACTCATTTCTTACACAGTTATAAAAATGTTATTTTTAACATATATCTGATATGATTATTCTTCTGATTAAATTCTCAATGGATTCCTATGCACTTACAATACATTCAAACTTTTTGCTAGGGACTGTTTCTAAATAATTTGGTCTCTCTTTATCCATCTTACCTTAACTTCTACCACTTTTTCTCTCACTGTGTGCTGGTTTCAATGACATTTCTGTTCCTAGAATGTGCCAAACTCTCTCCTAAATCAGGAACTTCCATTTATATTCATGGTCTCTGGAATGTTCTTACCTCAATTCTCAGTAATGTTGCCTGTATTATTTGGGATTCAGCTCAAATGTCTTCATTTCAGAGAGGCTTTCCTTGGCAGTTTGTCTAAATACTTCTTCAAACACTTTATTATTTTACCTTTTATTTTCCTCATAACATATTACAATATAAAATGTTTTTTAACTTATATATGTTCATTTACTATTTCCTGTCCTTTTCCATTAGAAAATAATAGTCCCAGTCTCTAAACCTGTGCTTGGCACATATTAGACAAATACTTTTTGAGCAAATGATTAATTATCTGTACTACTTGTTCAAGTTGCAAATTCCTGCCTAATCCCACAACACGGAGTCAAAATTTTCAGAGCAGGAATGTTCCTAGAAATCTGAAGAACAAATAAGAAACTAAATAATTTTTTATGCAGATCAATGTTTTGGAATTACTACTTTCCTCTGCATGAGGCCAGAACCTAGTCAAGAAGAACTTCTAAAGTGGGCAGTCATATTATCTGTTTTCCCCTTGAATTCTAACTTACTTCATAGAAGAGTTAGAACATGTGGATGAGGGTTGGATTTTTCTGGGCTCTGTTCTCCTGTGAGTGTATTAGAACTGGTCTTCTCCTGACTGTTGGGGAGACTGGTCTCTAGCTGGGCTCTCATTTAGAGTGACGGCAATTAGAATTCAGTGTGTCTCTGTGCTCTTATTTCATTCCCGTGCTAAAGTCTTGGATACTTGAGGGGAAGTAGAAGCTTCCTTAAGCGATTGTGGGGAGCATCCAATAGGTGGTCCATGCCTTGCTGTTCACCTTGCTGTATTGCTGTTAGTGTCCTTCAGCTACCTTGGTTTGATGCCCATGGCTTTGGCCAGAGTTTCAACTCTGCCCGGGTATTATTGAATTGACATAGAAGTCTAAATAAATACTGTCTCCTAGATATATTAGCTACTTTCATAAGGAAATAACTCATCAGGTTATATTTGCTCTGTATCTGCATGAAAAATTGGTAGAAATGTTATTTAGTGAACAAGAATATTATTAAGATGTTTATCTTTTGCTTCTCAGGTTAGAGGTTGTTCCTAAGATTAATAGAACTTTATATATTTATTAGAAATATGTTTTAAAGTATTTCACTCCCATCTTTTGCTCTTTTGTCTTTGTCCAATGAAAATAAACATCGTTAAAAATATCCGTTTTCAATAAAAAAAACAAAAAGAAAATAAAAGCAACAAGCAAAAATACCAATTTGAGTGTAGAGCTTATCTAGTAAATATCTATTCAGCATCTAATTTGTGCCTATTTCCCTGTCAGTAACCTATGTATCCATTAAAGTTCAACTCAAAGTCACCTGTGGGACCTTTCCTAATTTGTGTAGGCAGAGCTAGTTTCTCCTCTGCTTTAAAACAAAAAGCTCTGTAATTTTTTGGAGCATTTATTACATTTCTTGAAATTTTGTATATGTTTATCTCCCCTATCTAACCTGTAAGATCATTAAAGAGAATCTTTTTTCTTAATCACTAGTATTTAGCACAACAATATTTTCCCCAAATCGCCAGTATTTAGCACGACAATTGACAAAAAATAAGTATAGTCATGCGCTGTATAACAGTGTTTTGGTCAATGCCTAACTATCTATGATGGTCATCTCATAAGATTATAATGGAGCTGAAAAACTCTTGTTGCTAGGGATGTCTTGATAATCCTGGCCCTGGGTAGGCCTAGGCTAATATGTATGTTTGTGTCTTGGTTTTAAACAAAAAAGTTTAAAAGTAAAAAAAGTATTTATATTTAACAGTAGAGAAAACTTATAGAATGAGGATATAAAGAATAAAGATGTTTTTGTGTCTTTTTTTGTATCTTTATATTCTAAAGATATTTTTGTACCTTAATTCATTATTGAAGAAAGAAAAATATGTTTTCATAAATTTAGAGTAGCCTAAGTTTGCAGTATTTATAAGGTTCACAGTAGTGTACAGTAATGTCCTGGGCCTTCACATTTAATCACCACTCACTTACTGACTCACCCAGAGCAAATTCCAGGCCTAGAGGCCTATATAGGGTATAAGTACCGTATATAGTGGTATCATTTTAAAAAATCTTTTATACCACATTTTACTGTATTTTTCTGTATGTAAATACACAGATACTCCCTGTTGTTTTCTAATTACAGTATTCAAGAATAATGCCCAAATTCACTGGGTGGGGGAAATAGTTGATTAATTTTAATAGAAACAAATCTAGTAGTTAAAAGTAAATGCCAGAGTTGTTTTTTCTTCAGAAAGTTATTGTGACATAAAATGAGGCAGATAAAATAAAAGCTCTAATCTGAGAGTTAAGGAGAGATGTCAAAGACTTTTAATGAAACAAAAAAGTGGGATAGATTAGATTAGATAGTAGATTAGTGGCACAGTAGATTACTTGCAGAGCTGACTCTTCCACATTTCAGAGCAACCATTTGTCTTTGGCCCCTCTTCAGGGCTCTGATTGCCTTTGTTCTCCCTGCCCCTCTATCTTATTTTCCCATGACTGCCTCTCCCGGGTCATGCAGTTGCCTCCAATCTATCAGCCGTAAAGTTAGGAAACAATGCCTATAAAATTAATTTACCAAATTATATTGATGACTGTTTGGTTTTCTTGCTGTCTTTCCCATATTTTAATTGGGATCACTGACTTTAATGCCAATAAATATTTAAATGTTTGAGGTACCTGTAATCCCTGAAAGTGACGAAGGGAGTCAGCCATTTCCCTACTCAAGTGCCAAGTGGCTCATTAGGCTGACTTTGATTTGTAGCCAGTTATGGATGAATGGTGGCAGAATTTCCATTATTGATGCTAAGGGGCTCAGCTATGAACAATTTAAACTTAAGGTGAAGAAACATAATCTTTATTCAAAGAGAATTTTTCTAATTTCCTGATAATCAACTTATGGAGACAAAGGCAGTCATTCTGACCCACTGAAAGGCTTATTGTGCAAGTAGAATCTTGTTGGATGACTTTTGTCACATGCTGTAGGACAGTTTATTTTTATCACCACCTGCCACCTCTTCCTTCTTCAGGGGATTGCTGAAGATTGAAAACAAATTGAGTACTAATCATGGAATTTGTGGAAATTAAGAAACCAAAATCTTTGCTTTCAAGTTTATTAAAGAAGATCACTAAAGATATTGACTAGAGAATGCTGTGTGCTATTTCAATTACATTTGTTTTTCTTTTATTAACAGGAATTTTGATTCTTCAAGGAAGTGGCTCAATTTCAATTTCAGGTGACCTGAAATAAATAACAGACATATGGTTATTAATTGCAATGGGTCATTTTCTTGGAAACATATACATTTTCTGCATTTTAATGACAACTATTGGCTTAAAAATATATCTAGTTCAAGGACTGGGAAACCATCTGCTCAAGATGTAGAAAGAAAGCAAAGGTCTTTAGTGGTAAGTAGTAGCTGAAATATTTTTTTCCTAGAACAGTCCTCTGGGTTCTAATTTAATCTTAGATAAGATTAAATTATATATATTAAATTATAAATTATTATAGTAGATTAGATCTATAGTCTATAGTATAGATTATATTTCCTCAATTTATCTAGTAATTGACACACCATCCACTTTGTTTTTGATGTGATGAAATGACAGGGGCCACTGTTATAGGTGAAGCATGAAGCCTTTAAAATTTTACTATAATGTGACACTTGGAAGCTAGGTTTGGAGTTTTAGTATTAGAAAAATTACATGTTTCTCTAAGGGCTAAGCTGGTCTACTTTAAACTCTAGGCCCATAACTTCATCTACTATGATCTCCACCTTGGTTACTCTGATTCAGTCCAAAATGCAGTTATTGACAATAGTATAAAGAGTTACAAATACTTTGTAAACAATATTTTAATAAAATTGAAATTGTTTCTGTTACATCACAACCAAGGAGGGATTTAAAGTGCTGTGCTGGTTAGATCATGGAAGGGCACATGTGTATTTCTGAGTGGACACACGTGACAGTATCTACCAGAGAAAAACATTAAAACAAACAGAAACTGAAAGGGGCCAACTAGGGACATAGTTAACATTTTTTTTTCCTTGAAATTATGGATTCCAATCTGCAAACTTAAAATAAACTATGATTGTAACTATGTGTACTTACCAGGTTTATCGTGACTTTTCCTTCTTGTTTACTTTTCGCTAGGAAGGGGAGTTGTAGGGGCAGATTCAGGTATTGGAATAGGAAAATTACGTCTAAACCATGGAAATCTTGGAAATGGAATTGGTGGAAGTGGGCGAAATGGATATGGGTAAGGGAACACAAAAAACCCTGAAGCTAATTCATCGCTGTCACTGATCTGTTGAAAGAAAGAAGTTAAAGGGTTTATTTCACTTTTTACAAAGAAGAGAAATAAAACAGCTTTGCTTTTTAAATAATGGGCCTTTATTTTTAGGAAGAGGCTTTAGAAGCTCTAAAATCCTTTATCCTTTCTGTGTGTACTATGGACAGGGAGTTTATTAATTTGCATCATTTAAAAATTATTTAGAGATACTCATGTTCCTATACCTTTCCAGTTAAAGGCAAGTTTTTCTGGCAATCACTTCTTTACCTACAAGGCCAAGATGAATGTGGTGTTGCGGTACCATAAAATTTCTCCCTTTGTCTTCATGCAAGGTCTTTACCCAAACCACATGTAGGAAACAACTTCTCTCTTTCATTATCTCAGTTCCTTCTTCCTGCTTTTGCTCTCAATTATCTGTTTGTGTCTCTATTAATTTTTGTATTCTTAACTCTCTGTTTGTAGTTTTTGCGATAAAATCATGCTTTCCAGATAACAGGATTTCCATAAATAAAAACAAACCTTTAAACAAGGCTTTCCCTCTTCAAATTTTATTTTCCTTTTATTAAACAATTTTAGTTAACTGTTTAGACCCAAATAATCCATGAGTGAATTTGCCACTGGGAGGATCATCAAAGCTGGCCCACATCTCTTAATGCTCAGGTTTCATTTTTTACTTTTTTTGAAATGAGTTTCATAGAGCTATGGCAGAGTGGAGGTCTGAGTTATTAGGCTAGATAAATCTAGTAAAAAATATTGCAACCCAAATCATCACAGAGTGATTCGGATTTCAATCCAATTTTTACCGTGACATGAGATATGGAGATAATTTCCTTTCTATGAGCAGAGCTCAAATACCTGAAGTCTAAACCTCTGTTGAGTGCTAATACCAAAAGCTCTTTATGAATCTCTCCACAGTTTGGGAGGTTTAGATAAATCAATATCTTTAACAATAGTTATGAATATTTCACGTGTAAAACTTACATGTAAAAAAGAGAAAAGGTAACTTACACTTCTTTTTTCTCGTTCCTGGTCTTGAGAGACCTAAAGATCAAATAGTGAAATTAATTAAACTCATGCTCATGAAAACACACAAATAAATATATACATATGCATGACAATCTATTACCTAATATTGTTTCATAATAACCATTTTTTAAAATACCCATAATTTGTCTAGAAATGTAGAAATGATTTTCCCAAAAAGTCTTAACATGTATTCTTAAATGGCTCAAATTCACCACTACACCAAAGATATGTGGAACTGAATTATGCACTGAACAGTATATGGTTTATAGTATTTTCTGGACTGTAATGATAAAAGGGCAGGTGTTAGGTATTCTTACAGAATACAGCGTGTGTGTTAGGTATTCTTACAGAATACAGCCTGTGAAGGAGAAAAAAACCCTTAAGATTCATGAATCAAGACAAAATATAGAGTCATGCATTGCCTAACAGCAGAGATAAGTTATGAGAAATGGGTAGTTCAGCGATTTCATCATGTGAACATCATAGAGTGTCCTTACACAAACCTAGGTGGTATAGCCTACTACATAACTAAGCTAGACAGTATAGTCTCTTACTCCTAGACTACAAAACTGTATGGCATATTACTATCCTGAATACTGTAAGCAGTTGTAACACAGTGGTAAGTATTTGTATATCTAAACATATCTAAGACATAGCTAAACATAGAAAAGGTACAGTAAAAAATACAGTATAAAAGATGGAAAATGGTATCCTTTATACCTATACACTTGTATAGGTTATGTACCATAAATAAAGCTTTCAGGACTGGAAGTTGCTCTGTGTGAGTTAGTAAGTGAGTTATTGTATATGAAGGCCTAGGACATTACTGTTTACTCCTGTGGACTTTGTAAACACTGTACACTTACACTACACTAACCTTATAAAAACATCTTTTTCTTCCCTTGATAATAAATTAACCTTAGCTTACTATAACTATTTTACTTTAACTCTTTTGTAATAACACTTAGCTTAAAACAAACACATTTTACAGCTGTACAAAAATACTTTCACTCTTTGTATCCTTATTCTATATGCTTTTTCTTTTTTACTTTTAAACTATTTTGTTTAAAACTGAGACATAAACATATACATTAGCTTAGGCTTCCAGAGGGTCAGGGTCATCAATGTCACTGCTTTCCACCTCCCCATCTTTTCCTACTGGAAGATCTTCAGGGGCAGTTAGACATGTGGAACTATCATCTCCTATGACAATAATGGTTTCTTATGGAATACCTCCTGAAGGACCTGTCTGAGGCTGTTTTACAGTTAATGTTTAAAAAATAGTAGAAGGAGTTAACTCTAAAATAATGATAAAAGCATAGTATAATTAATACACAAACCAGTAACATAGTTGTTTATTATTATGAACTGTGCATAATTTTTTGTGCTCTATTCTTATATGACTGGCAGAGGGTAGGTTTGTTTACACCAGCATCATCTCAAACACATGAACACATGACTAATGCATTGCCCTATGACATAATGATGGCCACAATGTCATTAGGTTCATTATATATATATTTTTTTTTATAGAGAGGGGATTGCTATGTTGCCCAGGCTGGTCTTGAACTTGTGGGCTCAAGTGATTCTCCTGCCTTGACCTCCCAAATTACAGGGAATACAGGCGTAAGCCACTGCACTTGGTAGCTCTGTTATAATCTTTTGGGACCACCCTTGTGTATGTGGTTCCTGGTTGACATAAATATGCCATACATGGCCATACATAAATATTTTGGAATGTATACGTGGATACTTACTGGGAAACCAACAGCCACTGCCAAGATGGCTGTGATCAGGAGGAGAACTTTCTTCATCTGCAAAATGGAGTAAATAAAAAATAAGAAGAACTTTCATTTTATTCATAAATATCCTAGAAGTCAGCTAAAAGACCATGAATTTAAAAGATCCAGTTAAAGTACGAATTATTTGACAAATAGCTCTTTGAGTTTGAGCAAGTCACTTACAATCTTAGGGAATCAATCTATTTGTTAATAAAGAACTTTTTAAAGGTCAAAGCAAAGGAGCTTTGTAATTTCATAACTATATTACACCAATTGCTTTAAAAATAAACATTAACATATTATTTAAGAATACTAATTCCTATGTAACAAACCTACACATGTATCCCTGAACTTAAAATAAAAAATAAAAGAATAACACTTCTACATACTTGATAATCACAGAAAAGTTTCTGGAAGAAATAATGCATTGGTTTATACAGAGAATGTTAGTTTGGAAGTAAGCGGTTATTTAGTGATCTCAGAGAGTTCAACATTCCATATACTAATGTCCATGAAAGTAATGTAGGTGACAGATTTATTTGCACTGGTTCCAGGCAACCCCCAAAAATCCACGATGTGAAGAAGGATCTCTTTTCTTGCCTGCTAACACAAAATCCATCCTGCAGTCCATGGATCATAGAGTAATTTTGACTTTCAAGTTTTATTATTTAATAAATGATAAAGGACTTTCCAAAGCATTTTATTGTATTTTAATTTTCACTGTAGATTCCTTATCATATTACACACACTGTTAAAATGTATCAGTTACAATATTGTTAATATTATATTTGAGAAAACTGAGCTAAATTAAAGATTTATTCAATAATTTTATAATGGAGTACACAATGAAACAGAACATTTGCATTTATAAATATTTGTCATTAATACAATAAACATGTGCATATTACTTGATTTCAAATAATAATGGGAAATCTTCCATATTGGATGGTATCATTAGGCATTAATCCTCTTCTTTGTCATGGTGTGAATGCAGTATGTGCTAAAGAATATGTGGGGGGTTCTGGGAAAGGCAATCAAGTTGAAAATGGAGATTGGCTAGGGGACTTTACTTGAAATTTGCCTCATATTTGTTAATTTATTAGTTTATAAAGGTTTTCTTGATAACTGACTAAGCATGAGATGTTATTCTAGGTGTTGTGTATATACAGGCACACCTCATTTTATTGCACTTCATACATATCTTGTTTTTTACTAATTGAGTGGCAATTTGTGGCAATCCGGCATCGAGCAAGTCTATCAGCACCATTTTTCCAACAGCACATGCTCACTGCATGTCTCTGTGTCATATTTTGGTAATCCTAGCAATATTTTAAAGTTTTCAGTATTATAAGATATTTTGATATCTATAAGACATTATAAAGATGTAATAATATTTTATTATATCTTTTATGGTGATCTGTGATCAGTGGTCTTTGGTGGTGTTACTTTGATCTAATTATTTGGGGGTGTTATGGGAAAAATAAGTGGCAAACTTATTTGATAAATCTTGTGAATGTTTCGATTGCTCCACTCACTGGCCATGCCCCCAGTTATCTCTTCCTCTCCTCAGGCTTTTCTATTTCCTGAGACATGATAATATTAAATCTGGGCCAGTTAATAACCCTACAATGCCTTCTAAGTGTTCTAGTGAAAGGAAGAGTCGCATGTCTCCTACTTTACATCAAAAGGTAAAAACGATTTAGTGAAGAAGGAATGTCAAAAGCCAAGATAAGCTGAAAGCTAGGATCTTGCAACAACTAGTTAGCCAAGTTGTGAATGCGAAGGAAAAGTTTTGAAGGGAATTAAAAGTGCTACTACAATGAACACAGGAATGACAAGAAAGCGAAAGAGTCTTATTCCCAACATGGAGAAAGTTTTTAGTTGTCTGGATAGATCAAACCAGCCAGCACATTTTATTAAGCAGAAGCCTAATCTAGAAGAAGGCCCCTATGCTCTTTAATTATACAAAGATTGAGAGATGTGAAGAAACTGCAGATGAAAAGTTGGAAGCTAGCAGAGATTGGCTATAACATAAAAGTGCAAGGTAAAGCAGCAAGTGTTGATATAGAGGCTGCAGTGTTATCCAGAAAATCTATCTAAGAACACTACAATAAATAATAGATTTTTATTGTGGACGAAACAGTCTTATTTTGGAGAAAGATACCATCTAGAACTTTCATAGCTAAAGAGAAGAAAACAATGCCTGGCTTCAAAGCTTCAAAGGACAGGCTGACTCTTTTAAAGGGATAGAGCTGGTTTCCTAAATTGAAGCCAATGCTCATTTATCATTTAGAAAATCGTAGTGCCCTTAAGAATTATACTAAATCTACTCTTCCTGTGCTCTGTGGATGGAACAACAAAGCCTGGATGGCAGTACATCTAACACAGCATGGTTTACTAATATTTTCAGCTCACTTCTTAGGAAAAAATGTTTTTTTCAAAATATTGCCATTCATTGAAAATGTACCTGAGCCCCCAAGAACTCTGAAGCAGATGTACAAAGAGATGAATGTTGTTTTCATGCCTGCTAACACAACATCCATTCTGCAGCCTATGGATCAAAGAGTAAATTTGACTTTCAGGTTTCATTATTAAATAAATACATTTTGTAAGGCTATAGCTGGCACAGATAGTGATTTATTTGATGGATCTGGGCAAAGTAAATTAAAAACCTTCTGTAAAATATACACCACTCCAGATGCCATTAAGACCATTTGTGATTCATAGGAGGAGGCCAAAATATCAACATTACAGGAGTTTGGGAGAAGTTGATTCCAACTCTTGTGGATGACTTTGAGGGATTCAAGACTTCAGTGGAGGAAGTAACTTGCAGATGTGGTGGAAATAGCAAGAGAACTAGAATTAGAAGTGAAGCTTGAACATGTGACTTAATTGCTTCAATCTAACGGTAAAACTTGAATGAATGAAAAATGGCTTCTTATGGATGAGCAAAGAAAGTGGTTTCTTGAGATGGAATCTACTCCTGGTGAAGATGCTGTGAATATTTTTCAAATGACAGTAAATGATTTAAAATACTACATAAACTTAATTGATAAAGCAGTGGCAGGGTTTGCAAGGGTTGAGTCCCATTTTGAAAGAAATACTGTGGGCAAAATGCTTCACATGCTCCAAAATGCTACAACATCGCATGCTACAGAGAAATCTTTTGTGAAAGGAAGAGTCAATCTGTGTGTCAAACTTCATTGTTGACTTATTTTAAGAAATTGCCACAGCCAGCTTAGCCTTCAGGAACCATCACCCTGATCATTCAGCAGCCATCAACATCAAGGCAAGACCCTACACCAGCAAAAAGATTATGACTCAGTGAAGACTGAGATAATTGTTAGCATTTTTGAGCAATAAAGTATGTTTTAATTAAGATATGTATGTTGTTTTTCTAGACATACTGCTATTACACTTAACATACAATGCTGTAGTGTAATCATAACTTTTATGTACACTGGGAATCCAAGAAATTCATTTGACCTGCCTAACTTTGATACTCATTCTATGGTGGTGGTCAAGAACTGAACCTGCAGTATCTCTGAAGTTTGCCTGTAATATCAGTTTGGAAAGTCCCTGATTTATGGATCTTTTAAGCTCACTGTTACATTGTTATAAGTAAATACATTACAAAGCTTTTTAAAGACTATTTAATTTAATATTTTACATTGGGGAAAATGTCAATTTTTAATATCATTATCATTTTGAAGTACCTTTGAGATAGTGGAGATTCTAGGGAAATTTTATCACCTTTTGATGTTTCCTATACATCTATGAGACAAAAGAACGCAGTGTAAAAAATGTAGCAAAGTTTTGATCTCTGCCTTTATTTTCTGATACTAATCAAAATTTGAATTCAAATTCAAAAAAGTACCAGATAATCTAATAATTTTGAGAAGACAGGAATGTAAAATTCCGGTCAAGTTCAGACTTCTACAGGCAGATTGTTAATGTAGGAAATCAAGAGTAAAAATTATACAAACACACACATGCACACACTCACACATACTCCTCACAGACACACACATACATATACATAGTCCACTTTCTATGTGCAAAGCAACAATGCTGGGTGCTTTCAGGGATACAATGATAAAGCATAATTTCTTCCACTTGAGACTTCCACATGGAAGATGGATACAGATATTTCTGTAATGTGAAAAAAAAGCGTGATATATACCATATGTAGAAATTGCAAAATATTTTGAGTATTTAGAAGAAGAAAGAGGCAGGTTGAGAAAATAGTTTTGGAGAGAATAGAATTCAAGCAGGGCCTTTACAATATAATTTCTTTCAACTGGTTTCAAGAATTATTCAAAACTACATTAAGCAAATAAGTAAATAATCCACATTACAGACTCTTCCAGATCATATCTTAGAGTCAGGACACAGCATAATTACCAGCTATCTCCTTTTATTTTTATACTTATCAAGTCATGATACCCATAGCAGTTTATTGCTGCGTGCTGTAGAATAAATGATTCTCCAGATAAATCAGATGCATCTTCCTAGATAATTAATTTTATTCAAGAGTTTATGGGAAAGACAAATGACTTTTATATTAAAATCAACATAAAATGTTATGGAATGGAATGTAAGTACTGTATATATTTTAAAGATAAAAGAGGAGGCCAAAGAAATTGGCACTTGCTCAGACTTTAGAGAATCTCTGGCGGGGCGTATTCCCTCTGTTTGCTGACCTGATGGCCACAAATTTAAAAATAAACCTGAGGCTCTGTTGTTTCACTCTGTCCACACTCTCCCCCACCAGTGCTCCACTCCTAGAAAGATTCATTTATGGTCACTCTAAAATAAATATTTACTACAGCAGGGTGGTGATTTTAAAAAAAGTTTTGCAAACAGAATACTAAAAATGGTTTTCTAATTACTAAGTCTACAAATTCAAGCAACCATTACAATTTAGTCTCAACAATTAAAATTTTTATGATTTAAAGAAAAATATATGGAGAGATGCTATATATCTATATTTACAAAATAGATATACAATCTTAGTTTACAATGATATTTAAGACCTTTCTTACCTCAAACGTTTCAGTCAGTTCTTTCTCTCTGACGCTGTTATGAGAAATGGCAAGTGACTGGCCCTGGAATATTGTAGCTGTTTTATATACTCAAAGGTATAATGGAATGGAGAAATCTGTGGCTTAAAGGCCTCTCCCCTAGGATCAGTTATTACTCATCAACTATCTCAATATGTTGAAATTGGGGAATAACCAATGTTTAGTTTCCTAGAAACTACCAAATACCAAAATCTTTTGTGGTTTTTTTCTCCAAATTTTGTGTCTTGTATATTTGAAGTTTATCACTTTACATGTTGTTGCTCCATTGTCTACTCTCACAATTTTTTCCTTTACTTCCCACAATTTAAAATACCTCTAAGCATTTTACTGGTATTGATTATAACCTATTGCAAAGCATATTTGATAGTGCTGGAATCTTAAGAAAATAAAAAATCTAAAAATTGTTTAAGATGGGATTAAAATCTTTTGCATGATTCTTCTTTCAACTTCTTCATTTTATTATCAGGATTAGAGCTTCGTAGATGAGTGAATTGTATTTTTGGAGCACCACAGCATCTTGTTTACCTTATGGAACACTATACTCTATTTCTCAACTAAAAATTCACTTACAGCAGAAAAGGTATCATTATTAAGTGCGGGAACAGAAACTAGGGCCCACAAAACATTCAAGAATTACCTTAAATATGCGTGCATATTGTATATGCCTTTTTCAAGAGTCATAAAATTTGAGCTTTAACTAATTCGAGAGCTTTTAAGAATATTCTGTTATTGAGTTCGATTTCTACTTCAAAAGAGGTTATATAGTCCAGATTGTAGTAGTAGTGCATCAAAGTCCCTTTTCTTCTTTTTATTTTTTCTAGAATTCAGTTCTCAAGGCAACTCAGAAAAATAATAGCAGGTAAGTTTTTTTGAGGACTTTAAGTGCTGAAGCACAAATTTAAATGCTTTATATATATAATATAATTAAATCTCCCAAACAACCACCTTAAGAGGAAAGTACTATGATCAACACCATCCCATTTTGAGACTGAGAAGCAGAGAATATTAGTAATCAGTCTGGGTATTACAGCTAGTCTCTGGCAGATATTGAATTGAGCACCAGCAATTTGGTTCTAAAACCCACATTTATAACTGGTGCCTTATACTGTCACTGTTAACAGAAGGTTAGAAAAATCAGCACAAAGCCAGAGAAACATTAAACTACTTCCTTCACCTATAACTCAACGTTTAATCTTATCTCAATGATTTAAAGAAAACTGCCTGAATCAGAAACTTAATATATTAAACCTGTTATGTTATTGTACATATTTTGACCAATTTGGGGCTCATAGTACATTTCCCCAGGGATGGGGATGACAGGTGTGTGTGTGTGTGTGTGTGTGTGTGTGTGTGTGTGTGTGTATTATCCATTTCCTTACCTAAAACCTGTCGTTCAATTTATTCTACTTCAATTTCTTTTATCTGAAATAGCTCTAATGGAGGTTGGCAATTGCCACTGAATTGTGAAAACCATAAATGATTTTCTGTCCTTGTGTTACTTCAATTCTTTTGACATTTAACTGTGACTATGCCCATCTGGAAATCTATTTTTCTCTTCCTTGGCTTCTGTAAGCCAATTTTTCATGTTCTTTTTCTTTTAATAGAAACCATAAGTCTTATTTTCTGATTCTTTTTCTCTGATTTATTATACTTGACAATTTATCTTCTTAGTCTTCACTTTCTCTTATAAAGTAATCTACTTCTGACTCCTTAAGCTATGCCTTCAGCTAAAACTCTTCTCTAATTACCCAGAATCTTGTATCCAACTGAATAAGCATCAAACCCAACCTATTCAAAACCTAGCTTACTCTTTTTCCCTCTTAATATGCTCCTCACTTTTATTTAATCTTTCAGCTGATGACCATCAATCACTCAGTTATCCAAGCAATCAATCTAAGACTCATCCTATTTTTTTCTTGTGCTTTCTCTTCCACATCAAATGGTCATTAACTTTTTCCTTCTTATAATGCTCTGGAATAAATATCTTCCATCTTTTTTGTCTTTTCCTTAGTTTAGTTTCTCATTCTTTACTAGAGTGTTACAGTAGCCTCTTATATAGAGTCCCTGTCCGCAGTATTTTTGTCTTCAAGCTATCTTCCACAGTAATGCTATAATGATCCTTAATGTGGCTTTCAAAAATTTTAAAATAAAAGCCACAGTAAAAAATGCATTATATATCATAACTCAGTCTACACACACACACACACAACTGAGACAAGGATTTAATAAAATATTTTTTACATTGTTTACATGAGGAACATACTGAAATTTTCATTTTTTTAAATTTATGTTCTAAACTAGTTTTTTACGTGTCTTTCATTCTCTTCTAATTTATATCTCTTAAATTCTAGTGACCCACAAAATTCATTTCTCAATGGAAAGAGAAGGATTTAAATAGTGGCAGAATACTAACAATCTAGAAAATGAAACGAACTGCTCAGTGTATTATTCTTACTCATTTGAAGGTTTACATTTTTTTAAATAAAATATTGGGGAAAATTATTTTACTGAAACATTTTCTTCCTCATTGGCTTCTAAGATCCATTAGGGCAAGGATGGTGCATTTTAAATTCTTAGGTGTTAGATACCTAGCATAATGATTGCCCTATAATAGGTAATTAATAAATATTTGTTGTTCAAAGAATATGCATTTGAATAGTTCCTAATATACTTGGAAAAACAAGAAGGAATTGTGTTTTGAGAGGAGTAAGAAGATCAGAGAACTCCAATCTAGAAAAAGAAAGGCTAATTTGTATGAAAAATTGAAAGTTGTTATAATGGCGTTCACTGCACAACTGCCAATACTTTCTGTTGCTATTGTTCATAATATAATTTTGCACCAATGGATACAAATATGACTTAGTATGAAAATATTTATCCCAGAATTTTGTATGAAAGACATTCTTTTTCAGTTACATAAAAAAATAGTTACAGTTTTCAGAAATTAAGCCTGATCCTTATCCATTTGCAAACATGTAGGCAAATCATGAGACTCAGTTTTCATGCCTTGGTGTATAACTAAAGGTATTTTAAATATTTAGTTTAATATGTTGAATCAATAATATTAAATGTTGTGTCATGCACATTGCAGATAGTAAATAACTGTTAGCTGAATTGAAGGAATATTCCTCTCTTAGCCATGTGTTTATCTTCTTAAGAAAATAAAAATTTCTAGTTTTTTAGGACAATCTCCCCTTACAGATTATTTTAAAAGTGAATTTGAGTAATTTAGGAAGAGAATAAACAGTTTTCATTGAACATTCTCTAGTTATTAGTAACACTTGAAATGACCTTTGCGGTTCATTTTCAAGGTGAAGCTGTCAACTCTGGATTTGTGGAAGGTTTGTATTATTTTCTTCAGAAAAGTACTTTGATAGGAAAATCTAACAAAAAGAAGCTATACATTTCTTATGTTGGTACGTCTTTCCTGTATAGAACTGGATTCTAGTGAGCACTTTTTGCTTTCTTGATCTTTGGCTCCCATTTGTGTTGGCTCATAGGTAGTTCTGATGAAGCCAGGAGGTTGTTGCCTAAATCCGAGACTATCCTGTTACTAAAGTTCTAGCCACCACGAGGCAGTAGGAATAATGAAGTCAAGGATGGATAGCTCCAAGCTAAATGAGTTAGGAAGAACTGTAGATTTCACTGATGAGACTGTGTTTAGATATTTAAATCTTCCTCTTTATTAGTTGTAAGTGGACAAATCAGGCTTTCTGAGTTTCAATTTTCATCTGTAAAGGGAATTGTCTCTGGAATTGAGAATAAAATGAAATGAAATGTATAAAAGCACTAATCATGTGTCTAACATCATTAATGGTGGTTTCAGCAGCATCAGAGGCATTGGTTCAGGATATCCTTTAAGTGTAGCTTTGAGTAGATCAGACTTCTTGCTGCCACCCATTTTCAGGGGTCCTTAGATACTTAGGTTCCCTGGCTAATCTAAAGGTATATGAAAGCCACTTAAGTAGTAATTGGAATAAGATAGGGGATTAATATGTTAATTAAATCTGAATATAAGTAGGAGAATTCTGAAACCAAGCAGTATCAGGTAGGAGTAATTATTCTTTCTAGTTGGCCATATGGTTATGTGACCTCCACACAACCTCCAAGTATTGTCTAACAAGCTGTAATCTTGGCTTAATTTATGCAGTAGAAGCTGGGGTTGCTTTCTTGTGTGAATCTTAATTCAATTGGCAAGAATGCAAAATATAGAAAAGACTAACAATGTAAAAGTTACAGCTACAAAAATCCCCTCTGCAAATTCTTCAGCACATGATTGTCCTTAAAAGCAAGGGCAATTGAAGGAACAGCAACCAGGATGTTTTACTGGAAAGAAAAGTTGTGAGTGGCTTCATAGGAAAGAGGTCGGACATGCCATATGAAAAAGTCATAGGTCTATTTGGGGTATTCAGACAGAAGAAGTAAAAACTAATTTATCAAGGTATTAAATTATAAGAAAAAACTTTTGAAAGAACAAAAACACCATCTATGCAGATATTCAAGGAGTGGATAGATGACCAGAGGCTGAATTATAGCAGAGGGGATTTTTGTGTAGTCATTGGAATTTATTAAATGAACTCTCTGTGATTTGCCTTTCAACCATAATATTCTCAGACTGGGTGTTACAGGGATGAGAATTATCTACTGGAAGAGGTTAAGCAACTTACTAAATACAAAGGCGCCATTATCATTAAAGGATTAGACATTAGTATTAGGGAAATGCCCACTATGGGAAGCCTTCGCAGTGGACTTCCTCACCATTACATCAATAAGAGAGCAGAAATATTTTATTTCACGTCTTTTGGCCTATACAGTTTGCAAAAATTAAAAATATGCATACCTTTTAGGCAATCCTCCTTCTCTGCTGTGAATTGGAAATCCTGATAAATGATCTGAACTTTATCAGGTTTGCATATATCTCAATACTAAGGAGCAATTTTTAATTTTAAGAAGTTTATGACAGACTTTCTAAGAGAATAAATACAAATTAATCCATGAATTCTCATTAAAGCCTCTCCTAACATTATGTGTTCAACTAAAAGTCAACTTAGTGTCTGTGAATTCCTGCAAAATAATTAGAACCCTGTGTGTCAATGTTGTAGAATCTGAAGAGGTGTCAATTCCCAAATCTCCAGGGCATACTTGGCCCTAGCTATAAAAAGGGAAGTAGTTGCAGAGTTCTCATGCCCAGATTTCATACTAACAACTGCCAGAGCCACAGCCAGACAGCCCCGTGTCCACCGTACTGCTCACTGAAATGGGCTCGGCTTACATCGGCACCAACTATGTGCTTCATAAATATTGAGTGAAGGATTTAAGCTCCTCAGTACCTGCCTTGGACATTTCTTGGTGCTTTTTTATCATTTATACCATAGCTTGAAGCCTGAAGGGCAACAGTTGAGAAGCCTTGCTTATTAACTGACCCCACACTCATAAGATTGGATTTTACCAGTATAATTTGAATGTGTATCAAGTTTTATTAATAATTTTATATACCTCATATGGCTTAAGTGATAGAAAGGGCTATATTTTGCATATATTACAAATAGCCTATGTAACCTTTTCCTAAACTTCCCTTTCTCTTTGCAAAATATATAATTTCTCCATTTGAAACTAATATTGCTTTAAATATAAATCCACCAAAAATTGAAGACCCCCTTTATACACTATCATACATATTTTCTATAATGTTTGACTAGAACATAAGTATTTTGATATAAAACATGGTTTATTGTACTGGTGCCATGTCTGTATTATACGGAGCTCTGTCGACAGTCTTCCTGTGACTCCGCTGAGTAGACATTTTTCCCAGTTGCAAGCTCCTTTTGCAGGGTTTAAGAAAGAGGCCTGTGGAGTCATGCATATGGGTCTGAATCATTCCCATCTACTCACTAGTTGATTTAACTAGCACAAATCTCTTAACCTTTTGCAATCATTTAGTTTTTTTTTTTTAGAAGGAGTCTCCTCGCTCTTCGCCCAGGCTGGAGTGCAGTGGCACGATCTCGGCTCACTGCAACCTCTGCCTACTGGTATTAAGCAATTCTGTGTCTCAGCTTCCCGAGCAGCTGGTATTACAGGTGCCCACGACCATGACCAGCTAATTTTTGTATTTTTAGTAGAGATGGGGTTTCACCATCTTGGCCAGGCTGGTCTTGAACTCTTGATGTTGTGATCCACCTGCCTTGGCCTCCCAAAGTGCTGGGATTACAGGTGTGAGCCACCGTGCCCGGCCATTTAGTTTTTTCCACATTGAAATAACAGTAACATGTTTTCCTATTTGCCACATAGCTCTAACAATTTAAACAAAAATGATGCTTTCTATATGGCAGTGTGTTGATATCAAAAGTACAAACTTGAGCTGCTAGTCTCATTTGGATATATATCTGATCTTCACCACGTTAATTGTCCAAACTTTTACATTTTTGTCCCGTTATGTTTATCTTTGAATTATCAAAGTATAAGAAGTTTTTTTGCATTTAACAAAGATTCTAATTATACTAAATCCTAAGGGATGCATATAATTAAATAATGACCTCTTAGCTATGTATTATTTAAGGTAACATTGTCAAAATGCTTATGAAACCGCCAAGCACTTTTTTATATACACACACACCCCCACACACAAACAAGTGTATGTGTATATGCACATACATTCACCGTAGACGTACATAGGATAAACTATAAAATTACCGCATTTTATAGGTGAAGAAAATTTGCTTAGAAAGTTAGGTATTTAAGATTACAAATCTATAAACTGTGTAAATGGAATTCAGAATGAGTCAGTTCCTAACAACAACACACAGAACATGAAATGAATTAGGGAAAAGTCCACTTAGTGAATCACAGTGGGATGGCAAAAATTTTAAATAATTTCATTAGCTGTTATTTTAAAAACAATTTTTATAATAAAAGAGAGGTTTCATTCAAATATGTTTAAACAAAAGACTAGTTTACAACGTGGTCTTTTAGTTTTATATGCTTTAAATAATAACCGTATATTTTAAAAGGTGGTACTTTTTGATAGAGACAAGTGAAGTTTTGAAACCAACCAAAATTTTTTTTTTTTTGAGATGGAGTCTCGCTCTGTCACCAGGCTGGAGTGCAGTGGTGCGATCTTGGCTCACTGCAGCCTCTGCCTCCCGGCTTCAAGTGATTCTCCTGCCTCAGCCTCTCGAGTAGCTGGGACTAGAGGTGTGTGCCACTACGCCCAGCTAATTTTTGTATTTTTAGTAGAGACAGGGTTTCACCATGTTGGCAAGGATGGTTTCAATGTCTTGACTGCGTGACCTGCTCGGCTCGGTTTCCCAACATAATTCTTAATAAAATTTGATATGATATATAAAGTGTTTTGGTAGAGTTTTCATGTCTTATGACTTAGGGAAAATTAGTACGTGACTGCCCAGCTGTTGACCCTTGCCATTTAAGTTTTGAAATTATGGATAAAATCAGGTTGTTTCCAAAGTAGTTTATATTTGTTAATTCATTAATCATTTATCGTGTTTTAATTATATGCCAGGCAGTAGGCATAGGACTGTAATACAGTATTCAGGGAAGACATCGTCCATACCTTCCTAGAGCCATAAGAGGCTATAAAGCTTCTTAGACAAATTAAACAAAAATAACAATAGAATTTATATGTGAAATGACTCAGGAAGTTCAGCACTATAGAAATACACAAAAGTAAAGATGTAAAAGTCAATAAGGCATCAGCCAAATTAAGAGGATCAAGAGCAATGTTCCAGACAGAGGGAACAGAGTATGAAATTTTGGAGATCACAGGTACAAGGCATATTTCATGGAGTATAAAGGAGTTTACTTTGGCTAGAGTGTAATAATCAACGAAGGTAAATGGCAGACCATTTATCACCAGGACCAAGTGATTATGGACCTTTTAAGCCAAATAAAAGAGTTTGAAATTTAAACAGAGACCAATTGGAAGGTATTGAATAGTTTTAATGAAGGGAGGAACATGATTAGGCTTCCATTTCTGAACGGATCATTCTTTGTTAGAAGAAAGAATATGAAAGCATTGTATATCTCGATCCTCCTAAGCAATGAGGATGACCTTTAGGAGAGTAGTGACAATGAAGATAAAGAGAAAGCGATTGAAGAGATACTTATGAGAGAAAACCTTCAGAATGTAGACTTGCATCTTTTGGTAATGACAAAGCTTATGTTGACCTAAAACTGTCTGTTCCTAATAATGATAAACTCTGGACAAAATATGATAAACAACAATTTGAAGGCATTGAACATGAGGGAATATAGGCAGAAACTCAAGGAAATTGATTTTTGAGAGAAATGTCAGATAAACGTTTATTTGTGTTTTCCTTTATAGGCATTTCCCAGCTTCAGAGTGTGAGGGCAGAAACTTCGAAAAGGAAGTCACAGTCTTTTTAGCCTGAGGCATCAAAAGAGAGAGTTCGGGAATGGCTGAGGGGAAAAGTCCCATAAAGATGAGAACTTCTGAATCAGGAGCCTTGAAATCTGTGTGTGTATTTCTCCCAAATCCTTGGGTGACCATAAAATATGCACATGCAGGACAAGATATTAAGGAGGATCCCAGGGCAAACCAATAGCTGGAAAACTAAAAAACTGAGCAGTCATTTCAGCAGTTTCTTTTGCAGTGGAGATGAGCAAGCAGTTAGAGTTCTACCTACTTGGAGGAAACTGATAAGGATCCCTGGCTTTTTATTGAACCTGATTAACATCACTGTTTTTTTTTTTTTTTTTTTTTTTTTACCAGAAAAGCAACCTTGTAACTGCAAACACCATGTTGATAGAATTGAGTTTTGCCTTAGCACTAAGGGTAAAAGTTAAATAAGAATATGAATAAGTAAAATAAACTGCAGGGCATTTTCTTAAGTGAAGCAACTCAGAAACAGAAAATGACATACCACATGTCCTCACTTATTAGTAGAAGCTAAGTAATGTGTACACATGGACATAGAGTATGGAATAAGAATTCATGGATTATTTTGTGTTTATTCTCTTAGAAAGTCTCTCAAAGACTTTTTAAAATTAAAAATTGCTCCTTAGTGTTGACATATATGTGAGCCTGGTAAAGGTCAGATCATTTATCACAGTTTCCAGTTCACAGCAGAGAAGGAGGATTGCCTAAAAGGTATGCATATTTTTAATTTTTGCAAACTCTAAGCCAAAAGACGTGAAATAAAATATTTCTGCTCTTTTATTGATGTAATAGTGAGTTAGTCCACTGCTAAGGCTTCCCATAGTGGGCATTTCCCTAATACTAATGTCTAATCCTTTAATGATAATGGCGCCTTTGTATTTAGTAAGTTGCTTAATCTCTTCCAGTAGATAATTCTCATCCCTGTAACACCCAGTCTGAGAATATTATGGTTGAAAGGCAAATCACAGAGAGTTCATTTAATAAATTCCAATGACTACACAAAAATCCCCTCTGCTATAATTCAGCCTCTGGTCATCTATCCACTCCTTGAATATCTGCATAGATGGTGTTTTTGTTCTTTCAAAAGTTTTTTCTTATAATTTAATACCTTGATAAATTAGTTTTTACTTCTTCTGTCTGAATACCCCAAATAAACCTATGACTTTTTTCATATGGCATGTCCGACCTCTTTCCTATGAAACCACTCACAACTTTTCTTTCCAGTAAAACATCCTGGTTGCTGTTCCTTCAATTGCCCTTGCTTTTAAGGACAATCATGTGCTGAAGAATTTGCAGAGGGGATTTTTGTAGCTGTAACTTTTACATTGTTAGTCTTTTCTATATTTTGCATTCTTGCCAATTGAATTAAGATTCACACAAGAAAGCAACCCCAGCTTCTACTGCATAAATTAAGCCAAGATTACAGCTTGTTAGACAATACTTGGAGGTTGTGTGGAGGTCACATAACCATATGGCCAACTAGAAAGAATAATTACTCCTACCTGATACTGCTTGGTTTCAGAATTTGCCTACTTATATTCAGATTTAATTAACATATTAATCCCCTATCTTATTCCAATTACTACTTAAGTGGCTTTCATATACCTTTAGATTAGCCAGGGAACCTAAGTATCTGAGGACCCCTGAAAATGGGTGGCAGCAAGAAGTCTGATCTACTCAAAGCTACACTTAAAGGATATCCTGAACCAATGCCTCTGATGCTGCTGAAACCACCATTAATGATGTTAGACACATGATTAGTGCTTTTATACATTTCATTTCATTTTATTCTCAATTCCAGAGACAATTCCCTTTACAGATGAAAATTGAAACTCAGAAAGCCTGATTTGTCCACTTACAACTAATAAAGAGGAAGATTTAAATATCTAAACACAGTCTCATCAGTGAAATCTACAGTTCTTCCTAACTCATTTAGCTTGGAGCTATCCATCCTTGACTTCATTATTCCTACTGCCTCGTGGTGGCTAGAACTTTAGTAACAGGATAGTCTCAGATTTAGGCAACAACCTCCTGGCTTCATCAGAACTACCTATGAGCCAACACAAATGGGAGCCAAAGATCAAGAAAGCAAAAAGTGCTCACTAGAATCCAGTTCTATACAGGAAATACGTACCAGCATAAGAAATGTATAGCTTATTTTTGTTGGGTTTTTCTATCAGAGTACTTTTCTGAAGAAAAATAATACAAACCTTCCACAAATCCAGAGTTGACAGCTTCACCTTGAAAATGAACCACAAAAGGCATTTCAAGTGTAACTAATAACTAGAGACTGTTCAATGAAAACTGTTTATTCTCTTCCTAAATTACTCAAATTCACTTTTAAAATAATCTGTAAAGGCAGATTGTCTTGAAAAACTACCAATTTTTATTTTCTTTGAAGATAAACACGTGGCTAAGAGAGGAATATTCCTTCAACACAGCTGACAATTATTTACTATCTGCAATGTTCACAACACAACATTTAATATTATGGAGTCAACATATTAAACTAAATATTTTAAATGTCTTTAGTTATACACCAAAGGTATGAAAACTAAGTCTCATGATTTGCCTACATGTTTGCACATGGATAAGGATCAGGCTTAATTTCTGAAAATTGTAACTATTTTTTTATGTAACTGAAAAAGAATGCTTTTCATACGAAATTCTGGGATAAATATTTTCATATTGTCATATTTTTATCCATTGGTGCAAAATTAGAAACAATAGCAATGGAAAGTATTGAGCAGTTGTTCGGTGAACTCCATTATAAAAACTTTCAATTGTTCATACAAATTTGCCTTTCTTTTTCTAGATTAGAGTCCTCTGATCTTCTTATTCCTTTCAAAACACAATTCTTTCTTGTTTTTCCAAGTATATTAGGAACTAGTGAATGCATATTCTTTGAAAAACAAATGTTTATTGATTACCTTTTGTAGGGCAATAATTATGCTAGGTATCCAACACCTAAGAATTTAAAATCATCATCTTTGCCCTAATGGTGCTTATAAGCCAATGAGGAAGAAAATGTTTCAGTAAAATAATTTTCCCCAATATTTCATTTTGAAATATTTTAAACTTTCAAATGAGTAAGAATAATACACTGAGCATTTCATTTCATTTTCTAGATTGTTAGTATTCTGCCACTATTTAAATCCTTCTCTTTCCATTGAGAAATGAATTTTGTGGGTCACTAATAGAATTTAAGAGATATAAATTAGAATAGAATGAAAGACATGTAAAAAACTAGATTAAAATAGAACATATCTGAAGTAAAATTGCAAATTTCAGTATGTTCCTCATGTAAACAAGGTAAAACTTATTTTATTAAACCCTTGTCTCAGTTTTGTGTGTGTGTTTGTGTGTGTGTGTGTGTGTGTGTGCAGACTGATTTATGGTATATAATGCATTTTTTTTTTACTGTGGCTTTTGTTTTTAAATCTTTGAAAGCCACTTTAAAGACCAATATAGGGTGACTGAGGAAGATAGCTTGCAGTGGAAAAATACTGGGGACAGGGACTCTAAATAGGAGGCTACTGTAACACTTTAGGAGAGAATGAGAAACTAAACTAAGGAAAAGACAAAGAAGTGGAAGAGATTTATTCCAGGGCATTACAAGAAGGAAAAAGTAAATGACCATTTGATGTGGAAGAGAAGGCATAAGAAAAAAATAGGATGAGTCTTAGATCGATTGCTTGGATAACTGAGTGATTGATAATCATCAGGTGAGGGATTAAATAAAAGTGAGGAGCATATTAAGAGGGAGAAATAGTAAGTTAGGTTTTGAATAGGTTGGGTTTGATGTACCATCAAACTTCTAAATGGGTTATTCAGTTGGATACAGAAACAGAAAATGAAATACCACATGTCCTCACTTATTAGTGGAAGCTAAATAGTGTGTACACGTGGACATAGAATACGGAATAATACTCAGGAAAGTGGGATTGTGGGAGGGGGCGAAGGGTGAGAACTGATTGAAGGGGCATACTGTACCTTATTTGGGTGATAGTTACACTAAACATCCAGACTTATCACTACAAATATATCGATGTAGCAAAACTGGTCTTATGCCACTTAAAAATATACGAATTTTTTTTAAAAGATAATACAAAACAAAACAAAAAACAAACCTTTACAAGATCAATATGAGCAATGCAACACTCTTCAGATGAAGATGACAGAATGCAGGCTTTCTATCTTATCATTTACAAAGTCAAGCATACAGTGCAAAGCAAAACTAAAACAAAACAAAAACCGTACACATATGACAGAAGCAAGTGAATGTGACCTATACTTGAGAGCAAAATCAGTCACTATAGATTCACAGACAACCTACATATTGAAATCAGCAGATAAAAACTTCAACTAGGTTTCAGTTCCAAGATGGCTGAATAGGAAGAGCTCCGGTTTGCAGCATCCAGTGTGATCAATGCAGAAGACAGGTGATTTCTGCATTTCCAACTGAGGTACCTGATTCTTCTCATTGGGACTGGTTGGACAGTGGGTGCAGCCCACGGAGCATGAGCTGAAGCAGGGCGGGGCGTCACCTCACCTGGAAGTGCAAGGGGTCTGGGGATTTCCCTTTCCTAGTGAAGGGAAGCTGTAACAGACTAGCTGGAAAAACAGGACATTCCCTGCCCAAATACTGTGCTTTTCTCAAGGTCTTAGCAACCGGCAGACAAGATGATTATCTCCTGTGCCTGGTTCAGTGGGTCCCATGCCCACTGAGCCTAGCTAACTGCTAGCACAGCAGTCTGAGATTGCTCTGCGAGGCAGTCTGGCTGGGGGAGGGGTGTCCGCCATTGCTGAGGCTTGAGTAGGTAAACAAAGCACCGGGAAGCTTGAACTGGGTGGAGCCCACTGCAGCTCAACAAGGCCTACTGCCTCTAGAATCTACCTGTGTGGGCAGGGCATAGCTGAACAAAAGGCAGCAGACAACTTCTGCAGACTTAAAGATCCCTGTCTGACAGCTCTGAAGAGAGCAGTGGTTCTCCCAGCACGGCATATGAGCTCTGAGACCAGACAGACTGCCTCCTCAAGTGGGTCCCTGACCCCTGTGTAACCTAACTGGGAGACACCTCCTAGTAGGGGCTGACAGACACCTCATATAGGTGGCTGCCCCTCTGGGACAAAGCTTCCAGAGGAACGATCAGGCAGTAATATTTGCTGATCTGCAACATTTGCTGTTCTGCAGCCTCCACTGATGATACCCAGGCAAACAGGGTCTGGAGTGGACCTACAGCCAACTCCAACAGACCTGCAACTGAGGGACCTGACTGTTAGAAGGAAAACTAACAAACATAAAGGAATAGCATCAACATCAACAAAAAGGAAATCCACACCAAAACCCCATCTGTAGGTCACCATCATCAAAGACCAAAGGTAGATAAAACCACAAAGATGGGGAGAAACCAGAGCAGAAAAGGTGAAAATTCTAAAAATCAGAGTGCCTCTTCTCCTCCAAAGGATTGCAGCTCCTTTCCAGCAATGGAACAAAGCTGGATGGAGAATGGCTTTGACAAGTTGACAGAGTAGGCTTCAGAAGATAACAACTTCAGGTAATAACAAACTTCTCCGAGCTAAAGGAGGATGTTTGAACCCATCACAAAGAAGCTAAAAACCTAGAGAAAAGATTAGATGAATGGCTAACTGGAATAAACAGTGTAGACAAGACCTTAAATGACCTGATGGAGCTGAAAACCATGGCACGAGAACTTTGTGATGCACGCACAAGCTTCAATAGCCGATTTGATCAAGTGGAAGAAAGGGTATCAGTGATTGAAGATCAAATGAATGAAAAAAGTGAGGAGACAAGGTTAGAGAAAAAAGAGTAAAAATAAATGAATAAAGCCTCCAAGAAATATGGGACTATGTGAAAAGACCAAATCTATATCTGATTGGTGTACCTGAAAGTGATGGGGAGAATGGAACCAAGTTGGAAAACACTTTTCAGGGTATTATTGAGGAGAACTTCCTCAACCTAGAGACGTAGGCCAACATTCAAATTCAGGAAATACAGAGAACACCTCAAAGATACTCCTAGAGAAGAGCAACCCCAAGACACATAATTGTCAGATTCACCAAAGTTGAAATGAAGGAAAAAGTGTTAAGGGCAGCCAGAGAGAAAGGTCAAGTTACCCACAAAGGGAAGCCCATCAGACTAACAACAGGTCTCTCAGCAGAAACACTACAAGTCAGAAGAGAGTGGGGGCCAATATTCAGCACTCTTAAAGAAAAGAATTTTCAACCCAGAATTTCATATCCAGCCAAACTAAGCTTCATAAGTGAAGGAGAAATAAAATCCTTTACAGGCAAGCAAATGCTGAGAGATTTTTGTCACCACCAGGCCTGCTTTAAAGAGCTCCTGAAGGATGCACTAAACATGGAAAGAAAGAAGCAGTACCAGCCAGTGTAAAAACATGCCCAATTGTAAAGACCATTGATGCTATGAAGAAACTGCATCAATTAATGGGCAGAATAACCAGTGAACATCATAATGACAGGATCAAATTAACACATAACAATATTAACCTTAAATGTAAATGGGCTAAATACCCCAATTAAAAGACACAGACTGGCAAATTGGATAAAGAGTCAAGACCTGTCAGTGTGCTGTATTCAGGAGACCCATCTCACATGCAGAGACACACATAGGCTCAAAATAAAGGGATGGAGGAAGATCTACCAAGCAAATGGAAAGCAAAGAAAAGCAGGAGTTGCAATTCTAGTCTCTGATAAAACAGACTTTAAACCAACAAAGATCAAAAGAGACAAAGAAGGCCATTATATAATGATAAAGGGATCAATTCAATAAGAAGAACTAACTATCCTAAATATATATGCACCCAATACAGGAGCATCCTGATTCATAAAGCAAGTCCTTAGAGACCTACAAAGAGACTTAGACTCCCACACAATAATAATGGGAGACTTTAACACCCCACTGTCAATATTAGACAGATCAATGAGACATAAAATTAACAAGGATATACGGGACCTCAACTCAGCTCTGCACCAAACAGACCTAATAGACATCTACAGAACTCTCCACCCCAAATCAACAGAATATACATTCTTCTCAGCACCACATCACACTTATTCTAAAATTGACCACATAATTGGAAGTAAAGCACTCCTCAGCAAATGTAAAAGAACAGAAATTATAACAAACTGTCTCTCAGACCACAGTACAATCAAATTAGAACTCAGGATTAAGAAACTCACTCAAAACCACACAACTATGTGGAAACTGAACAACTTGCTCCTGAATGACTACTGGGTAAATAACGAAATGAAGGCAGAAATAAGGATGTTCTTTGAAACCAATGAGAAAAAAGACACAACGTACCAGAATCTCTGGGACACATTTAAAGCAGTGTGTAGAGGGAAATTTATAGCACTAAATCCCCACAAGAGAAAGCAGGAAAGATCTAAAATCAGGACCCTAACATCAAAATTAAAGGAAGTAGAGAAGCAAGAGCAAACAAATTCAAAAGCTAGCAGAAGGCAAGAAATAACTAAGATCAGAGCAGAACTGAAAGAGATAGACACTTAAAAAAACTCTTCAAAAAAGTAATGAATCCAGGAGCTGGTTTTTGAAAAGATCAACAAAATTGATAGACTTCCAGCAAGACTAATAAAGAAGAAAAAAGAGAAGAATCAAATAGACGCAATAAAAAATGATAAAGGGATATCACCACCGATCTCACAGAAATACAATCTACCATCACAGAATGCTATAAACACCTCTACGCAAATAAACTAGAAAATCTAGAAGAAAAGGATAAATTCCTCGACACATACACTCTCCCAAGACTAAACCAGGAAGAAGTTGAATCTCTGAATAGACCAACAACAGGCTCTGAAATTGAGGCAATAATTAACAGCCTACTAACCAAAAAAAGTCCAGGAGCAGATGGATTCACAACCGAATTCTACCAGAGGTACAAAGAGGAGCTGGTACCATTCCTTCCAATCAATAGAAAAAGTGGGAACCCTCCCTAACTCATTTTATGAAGCCAGCATCATTCTGATACCAAAGTCTGGCAAAGACACAACAAAAAAAGAGAATTTTAGACCAATATCCCTGATGAACATCGATGCAAAAAACCTCAGTAAAATAGTGGCAAACCAAATCTAGCAGCACATGAAAAAGCTTATCCACCACGATCAAGTGGGCTTCATTCCTGGGATGCAAGGCTGGTTCAACATATGAAAATCAATAAATGTAATCCATCACATAAACAGAACCAATGACAAAAACCAAATGATTATCTCAATAGATGCAGAAAAGGCCTTCAACAAAATTCAACAGCCCTTCATGCTAAAAACTCAATAAACTAGGTATTGATGGAACGTATCTCAAAATAACAAGAGCTATTTATGACAAGCTCACAGAGAATATCATACTGAATGGGTAAAAACTGGAAGCATTCCCTTTGAAAATCGGCAAAAGAAAAGGATGCCGTCTCTCACCACTCCTATTCAACATAGTGTTGGAAGTTTTGGCCAGGGCAATCAGGCAAGAGAAAGACATAAAGGGTATTGAATTAGGAAATGAGGAAGTCAAATTGTTCCTGTTTGCAGATGACATGATTGTATATTTAGAAAACTCCATCATCTCAGCCCCAAATCTCCTTAAGCTGATAAGCAATTTCAGCAAAGTCTCAGGATATAGAATCAATGTACAAAAATCACAAGCATTCTTATACACCATTAACAGACAAACAGAGAGCCAAATCATGAGTGAACGCC
Source organism: Homo sapiens (assembly GCF_000001405.40). Lineage (NCBI taxonomy): Eukaryota > Metazoa > Chordata > Mammalia > Primates > Hominidae > Homo > Homo sapiens. The sequence continues at coordinate 70,208,976 of NC_000004.12, read as the reverse complement.
CATTCATAATTGCTACAAATAGAATAAAATACCTAGGAATCCAACTTACAAGGGATGTGAAGGACCTCTTCAAGGAGAACTACAAACCACTGCTCAACAAAATAAAAGAAGACACAAACAAATGGAAGCATATTCCATGCTTATGGGTAAGAAGAATCAATATCGTGAAAATGGCCATACTGCCCAAGGTCATTTATAGATTCAATGCCATCCTCACCAAGCTACCAATGACTTTCTTCACAGAATTGGAAAAAACTGCTTTAAAGTTCCTATGGAATGAAAAAAGAGCCTGCGTTGCCAAGACAATCCTAAGCAAAAGAACAAAGCTGGAGGCATCACTACCTGACTTTATACTATAAGGCTACAGTAACCAAAACAGCATGGTACTGGTACCAAAACAGAGATATAGACCAATGGAACAGAACAGAGGCCTCAGAAATAATGCCACACATCTACAACCATCTGATCTTTGACAAACCTGTCAAAAACGAGAAATGGGGAAAGGATTCCCTATTTAATAAATTGTGCTGGGAAAACTAGCTAGCCATAAGTAGAAAACTGAAACTGGATCCCTCCCTTACACCTTATACAAAATTAATTCAAGATGGATTAAAGACTTACATGTTAGACCTAAAACCATAAGAACCCTAGAAGAAAACCTAGGCAATACCATTCAGGACATAGGCATGGGCAAGGACTTCATGACTAAAACACCAAAAGCAATGGCAACAAAAGCTAAAATAGACAAATGGGATCTAATTAAACTAAAGAGCTTCTGCACGGCAAAAGAAACTACCATCAGAGTGAACAAGCAACTTACAGAATGGGAGAAAATTTTTGCAGTCTACCCATCCTACAAAGTGCTAATATCCAGAATCTACAAAGAACTCAAACAAATTACAAGAAAAACACAAACAACCCCATCAAAAAGTGGGCAAAGTGTGTGAATAGACACTTCCCAAAAGAAGACATCTATGCAGCCAACAGACACATGAAAAAATGCTCATCATCACTGATCATCAGAGAAATGCAAATCAAAACCTCAATGCGGTATCATCTCATGCCAGTTAGAATGGCAATCATTAACAAGTCAGAAAACAACAGATGCTGGGGAGGATGTGGAGAAATAGGAATGCTTTTACACTGTTGGTGAGAGTGTAAATTGGTTCAACCATTGTGTAAGACAGTGTGGCGATTCCTCAAGGATCTAGAACTAGAATTACCATTTGACCCAGCAATCCCATTACTGGGTATATACCCGAAGAATTTTAAATCATGCTACTATAAAGACACATGCACATGTATGTTTATTTGGCACTATTCACGATAGCAAAGACTTGGAACCAACCCAAACATCCATCAATGATAGACTGGATTAAGAAAATGTGGCACATATACACCATGGAATACTATACAGCCATAAAAAGGATGAGTTCATGTCCTTTGTAGGGACATGGATGAAGCTGGAAACCATCTTTTTCAGCAAACTATTGCAAGAACAGAAAACCAAACACCACATGTTCTCCCTCATAGGTGGGAATTGAACAATGTGATCACTTGGACACAGAGTGGGGAACATCACACACTGGGGCCTGTCGTGGGGTAGGGGGCTGAGGGAGGGATAACATTAGGAGGAATACCTAATGTAAATGATGAGTTGATGGGTACAGCAAACCAACGTGGCACATGTATACCTATATATCAAACCTGCACGTTGTGCACATGTACCCTAGAACTTAAAGTGTAATAATAGTAAAAAAATACACTTCAACTAGAATAAACATGCTAGAAGATTGATAGGAATATGCTGAGTATATCGAGTGATGAGTTAGAAAATTTCTGGAACTATAAGAAAACTGTTAAAAATTAAATAAAAATCCTAAACTTAAAATTTAAAAAAACTGGATGTATTTATTAGATGATATTAGTAGCAGAAGCAGATTGGCTCTAATAGAAGAAAGGATCTGTGAAGTTGAAGGTAAATGGAAATTTTCAAACTGAAGTGCTCAGAAAATATAAATCAACAAAGGCTCAATGACCTAAGAAATAGTGTCAATTAATCCAATATACATGGAATTGGAGTTGTAAGAATGAGAGAAGAGAAAAAAACGAAACAGAAAAATAGTCAAAGAAGTACTGATGAAACTTTTCCTATTTTTATCAAAACCAATATGCAGATTCAGAAAGCAAAGTGCACACCTAATATGATTCCTACAAAATTAGCCAGCCACACTTAACTCTCCTCGAGTCAAACTGCTGGACATGAAAGGGACAGAGAAAGTCATAAAAACAGCTCTAGAAAAAGATACACTGCATACAGGGGAATGTCAATAGGAATGGCAGGTGACTTTTTATTGAAACCATTAGAGGCCAGAAGATAATGTTAGAACAATTTTCAAGTGTGGAAAGAAAAAAAGTCAGTCAACTTAGAATTTTATATTAAAAAATATCTATAAAATGTGGGCATAATAAAGGCATTTTTTGATAAATAAAAATGGGGGAATTTATAGCAATCAGATGCAAACTAAATAAATTTTGGAGACATTTCTTTATATAAAAGGGAAATTATAGTGGATGAAATCTCAGACGTATAGGAAGGAAGAACACTGAAATTGGTAAATATGTAAGTAAATATATTTTTTCTTTTAAAAATTATTTAAAAGTTATACGTAGCAGTAGTACACTTCAAAAAACATGTTATACTAATGACTGATAAGTGTAGAAACAAATATAACACAATTAGTCATCAGGATAATGCAAATTTAAACCATGAGATGCCTCTTTGAACATTTTAAAATAAAACACGGAATCCAGAACTATTTAATAGATGAGACTATAAATATGCTGAGATACAGATTTAGGAGCCAGTACCTTTTTATAAATCCTATTAAAGTCAAAATGGAAATGTTCATGTAGCAATTTAAAAAAAATCGATGCAGCGATTTTTTGAGAGAGAGGAGAAAAGAGGACTGAGGTCAACCTGTATGAAGGTTAACATTTAAGGGATGTGTGACAAAAGAGGAATTTATAAAAACAATTTTAAGAAAGGACAATTCTATAATAATTGTGGGCCAGAAGTGAGAGGAACTGGAATTCTTATTCACTCCTAATAAGGGTATAAAATGGAACAGCCACATTAGAAACTATTTAGCAGTCTCTCATAACATATACATATCCTTTGAGTTAGAGCTGTGTCTTGGTATTTACTTAAGAGATATGAAAACATGTGTTTACAAAAAGTGTACAAGAATGTTCACTGCAGCTTTATTTCTGATATTCAATAATTGGAAACAACTCAAATGTTCAACAATAGGAGAATGGATAAAGAAAATGACATATATTAATGCAATGTGGTATACCACTTAAGCAATAACATGAATGAATCACAAAAGCATTATGTTGAATAAAAGAAACCAGACATGAAAGAATACATCATGTATGATTTAATTTATATAAAAACCCAGAATAGGCTAAATTAATATGTGTTGATTGAAATATGAAAATAGTTGCTTGGCATGAGAGTGGGGAGACTAAATTGATTGGAGAAGAGTATGAAAGAAGTTTATGGGGTGTTGGAGATGTTCTGTATCTTAATGGGGTGATGGTTACAAGATATATACATTTTTCACACTACACACTTAAAATGTCTTCATTTGAAAGTATTACTCTATTAGGCTATGATGACAGATTGAATATAGATGTATGGAGGAGTTGAAGTCATGTATGGATTCTATACTTCATTCTTTTTTAAAAATTTTACTTTAAGTTCTGATACATGTGCAGAGCATGCAGGTTTTTTGCATAAGTATACATGTGCCATGGTGGTTTGCTGCACCTATCAACCTGTCATCTAAGTTTTAAGCCCCACATGCATTAGGCATTTGTCCTAATGCTCTCCCCTCTCCTTGCTTCCCACCCCCAACAGGCCCCTGTGTGTGATGTTCCCCTCCCTGTGTCCATGTGTTCTCATTATTCAACTCCCACTTATGAGTGAGAACACGTGGTGTTTGGTTTTCTGTTCCTGTGTTAGTCTATATTTTATTCTTGAACTAATGCTGTTTTATTTAGATAGGAAACATCCAGTGGAGAATAGTTGGTAGGGAAAGTTTTGAGAATTACCAAATGTAAGCAAAGCTGATTTTAGAGAAATTATTCTAGATTGAAAGCCAGATCTGATGAAACCCAAAATCTCCACCTTATTCTCTACAGGATGCTGCCTCCCCCAAACAAGCATACACTTTCCTATCCTTTTGAGTAAGGACAGACACCTCTCTATGTGACTGTGTCATATTAGGAATAAGCACTTTATGATATCTGCCACCAAATAATTTTGATTGTCATGAGAATGTCTCAGGAGGAAACTGACTAAATGGACCTTAGGGAAATGAAGAGATGACATGTCAAATCTAGATACTTATTTTACTTCATCAGTTCCAATCACAACACTCATCATACATCCAATGACAATATACATATCTTCATGGGTACTACCATTTTGCAGAGGCATCATTTACTAATGCAATTATCCAATTGATTTAATGATACTAGCTTTATTCTGTGTTATTATATTCCATATTATACAATGATAGGATATTTGAAGAGACATATAATTTTGTAAGACAAGACTCATTACATGATTGTATTATTTTCTATGACATATTTAAAGAGTTTAATAACATGTATAAGTAAAAACAAATTTAGGAGAAGAGTCAAGATATTTCATGTATTCCAAAGAACTGATACTAGTATTGAGGAAGCTAATAGCCTAAAATTATATCCAAGGCATGGCCACATCTTTTTCCCTGAAAAATATAATAGAAAAGCATTTTAATATCATTGGACTGCTTTGCATAAAACATCCTAGATATCTTACAAATTGCTTATTAAAGAAATAGAAAGCTTTTCTTTCACTGGCATTCATACATACAGAAAAAAGGTCATAAAAATACTGAAATCTCTTTAGTATTTCTTACTGAATAACTTGATTTGCCTTGTACAATATAGTACATTAGTAAGGAGGCTTTCCTAAAGAGGTATTATTACTGTTCACTTGGTTGTGTTTTTATAAACTTTTTTCATCTGAAGAATGCTGCGTGCTCATTTTTATGGAAGGAGAGATCAAAAGAGGCTCACAGGCAGCAGGGAGGAGATTTCAAAAACTTTGTCTTTTAGTTTGCCCTTCAAGTTAAATTGTTTGCTTTTCAGTGTGTGTTTTTACTTTTTGGTGCTGTTCCCAGACTGCCCTTCTATCAAACTCCTATTGTGGCCTCATAGCCAACCAAGCTGATTAAAACAGGTAATTAGTTCAAGATTATGTCTGATATAAAAGTCATGGAATTTGAAATTTTCTTTTCATTGTACAATTTCTTTATCATTTTGAGATTTTTACTTAATTTCAAACTAATACAGATATATTGGAATTATTACAATGTTTACTTGCAAAATGAAATGATGATTTGGGAGAATTGATTCTGTATGGAGTGTCTATAGAATGTCTTTTACAATGGACCTAGAATATCTAGTATTTGTGTTTTCAGAGAGTATACCAAACTTATAGGCAGACATGATTCTCAAAATTTAATTTTGTTTTTAAAAATTGTTGAAGTCCATAATTATTATTAATTTTATAGGTATATATAGCTAACTTGTTTTTATAACTACTTTGGTAAGAACTCCATTAGCTCCTCTGCCAACTTTTTTCTTTTGTCTTCTTATGTAGGAATTGTCGTGGCACCTAATTCTTGACTTTGGCAAATACCTACCAAAATGTCTGAATGATCAGGGCAACTTCTTATGGTTCCCTTAGGCTGTCAGTCTTGTCCTAGTGAGAAAAGGACATTCATAAGAAACTGTTATTAAATTGAAATTAAATTATATTCTGATTAATTGATTATCAAAAACAAGTTTTGGCCACCTTATTCAGAGTTAAGACCACATATTTTTCATTAGTTATCTTCTTAATTTCATGACTAAGTCCTATAAATTAAAGCACTAATTTTATCACTGTATTTTTTCATTAGACAATTTTTTTGCATAAAGTGAAGTTTTCATGACTCTACCTTCTCTTCTGGGAGCTCTGGGGTAATAGTTTGGTCTACAGCAGAAGTGAAAACATTGGTTGTGCTGGGTTTTGGTGAAGTTGAGGGCATGAAAACTCCTGCACTGTCATGTCTAAAGTTGATCGCTTCTTTTTGTAAATATGGTATCTCTTCTCCTGTTGACTACAGAGAATGAGAATGAAAACAAAGTTGTCGTAAGTTCAACAAGAAGGCCAAAATTGGGAAGAATGTAAAGCAACAGGATTGAGATGTAACAAAAGCATTATATTAAAAAAAGAGTTGCTATTATTAGTATTTTTAGATTATAAGCTACATAAAAGACCATGAATATATACCAGCAAACATTGTCTCTTAATATCTGCTTTTAAATAAAGGTGCATCAAAGAGTACCTGGCATAGCATACTTAAAAATACTGATGAACTGAGTAAGAGTGAACTGAATCTTTACTGGCAAAATATTGTAAGAAGAAGAAGAAGCAAAAATTATTGATGGAATTACAACAGAGTTGATATTAAAATGAACATTAGTGCAGTAAGTTGTCAATTGTTGATTTCCAGTAGCTGGCAAAGTGTTGTAAGGAATCTTACCATCACAGCAATTTCAGGAGCTGTGCCTAGTTGGGGATCAAAAGCTAGTTGCTGCTGTCCTCCTGATATAGCCTAAAAACACAAAAAGTTTTAAAAAGTCTAAATCAGTGATCGTTGAAAATATGCTCTTTGGCCACCCAGAGTACCAGAGTAGTAAAACACTCCCAAACTTCTTAAATTATTTTGCTAAAAACAGAAATAATAGTTTAATTTTTGCTATTAGAGAACTGGCTTGACATCTCGCCTCTGCTTCTGTTCTGAAAGTGCTACTTTCTAACATTCTCTACTAGGACCAGGTACTTACCTGTTGAGCATAAAGAATTCTACAGAACACCAACATCAGAAGGGGTGGAAAAAACAAGACAATTTCAAAATTTTGTCTGAAGTAAGGTCACCATACAAGTTACGAAAATACCAGGTGTTCTCACATCTTGGCTAATATGAGCGACTGATGCTTCTTTACCCATTAAAGCTTTCACCTTGCTCCACTATCCTTGCCTTAGAGAAATGAGCTTTTAAAATAATCATAGAGCTACCCTACTTTTGAGAATAGCCACTGCAGAGTGAACAACCACTTCTTTGCAATCTTCCCCAAATTACCTAAAAGAAGCCCAAATCATGTGAGAAGTCATTCTAATACTTTCCTATTAAGACACCCAAGAATCCCCACGTGTGTGTTCTCCTCCTTGTACTGAGTGGATACATACAATTTTGTTCAATTAGAGGTGCGCTCCTGGTCATCTTTGGCTGAAGGGCATTGATAGATTTAGTAGACAATGAAGGAAGTAGTTTCAAAATATTTTTAATGAAAAATATGCATTTACTTACAGGTTCTGCTAGTTGTGGAATGTATCCAAATTGAGCATAGAATGGTATCTGTCAGATTTTTTAAAAAATGTATTATATTTTCTGTGATTATTCTTGTCGTAAGTTTGCAGTAAATGATTACTTAAACTTATATATCTTTTTATATAAGTTAAAAGCATTTTTAAAGTTTATATGTTCCAGTAACTAAAAATTAATTATTGTTAAATTAACAAGAATCTTTTTAATACCATATCATTTCTAGGATAAAACTCTCTCTTTCCCTTTAAAGCAACATGACAATTAGAATTAATACTACCAGTTTTTTAAAGCATAATTCTGAGTTTTCTCTAATTTGTAATGCCAGGTTTTAGAGTTATGATTAAACTAAAAAAAAGACATTTTCATTCTAACAGGAAGGATGTTAATAATATATGAGCCACCTGAATTTATGTTAGAATTCTAAAAATTTATTGCAGTTTCACAAAATTTAATATAATGGTATCTAATTGTATCTCAAAATCCAGTGATCAGATATATCTTTCATCAAGGTAGCTAATATTTTTGCCATTTATTATTTTTAAATAGTAACCACACACACATATGTGGAAAGGTGGATGCTAGTAAATTTTAAATGTGAGAAAACTTCACTTTTCGAGGTTATTCAGCTTTTTGGCCTTGATTCTATTGAAGTCCACTTACTGATTTCATTGGCTAAAAATCCAGCCCTGGAATATTACCAAATAAGTTTACACAAATGATTTATAGCCGAGAACACTATACCTACCCTCTTATGCCTACCTGTTTCATGCTGTTGAGTGTTTGCATTAAATATACTCAGAAACTTTTTTTCTATGGTAATATACCTTATTTTCTCTATTTTCAAGTGGAACTAGTAGGATTAAAATAAAACATTTGCAGTACCTGCTCCTCATACTGTTGCTGTCTTGTTTGTTGAGGTGACCTTGGAACTGTTTGCTGAGGTTGTTCCCAGGGTAGGACCATGTAAACTGGATAGTATTGAAACATCTACTTGTAAAAAGAGAAGGATACAAGAGATTCCATTAAATCAGCATAGGACATACTTTTTATCTTCTAATGTCAATTTTATTTAAAAGCTGTTTTATGTCTAGCAGCTTTATATGATTAAATACAAAGCAAATAGATGAAGAATCCCTTCCCAAACTTTGGAAACAACTTGTATCCCAGGTAATACTGGACTTGGTTTTTAAGGTTGCTTGGGCAAACACATTTAGGAAATAGTGGGTTGAACTAAGCAGAAGAGCTTTTTTTTTTTTTCAAAGGACATCTTAGAAACTTTATATACAAATTACTTTGCAAATACCTAAGTGAAAGATAGCCTATGTAGCACTTACCCTATATTTTTGAGAATCATCATTCTGCAGAATGTGGTATTAGATGTTCTGCCATAATAAATGAAATGCTATGAATGTATTGCCTTTAAGAATTGCTACTTTATTAAAATAATCCATATATATTTTAGGATATTTGGTAAATCAAGACATAGACAAGTAACAAATGAAATCATCTGAAACTTCCCCACCTACATTACCATGTGGCTTCCATTTATATTATCATTGCCTTCTACTTATATGTCTGTGTCTGTTTATTTGTGTATGTGTTCATAGAAAATGAGAATCTTAGTACATATGTTAATTTTTGTATGCTGTTTTTATTTGCATAAAGTAAGAGATTGTATTAGACATGAAGTTAAAAAAAACAACTAGGGTTTCAGGAGGATTATATTTTGTGCAAGCATTCTTAATCCTGGCTAAGAATCAAACTCACATTTGAGCATTTTAGAAGATGACCAAACTTAACATCTATTCATGGGGTATTGATTCACTGGGGTAGGGTTCAGACGTCTGTAATTTTCAAACACCAGAGATTCTAATGTAAAGCCAGGATGGAGAGCTACTGGTTTCATGGTTAAAGGAGACAGAAGGGGTGGAGAATTATATTCCAACTCAGCTATTTACTTTCAATGGGATGAGGAATTTGATCTCATTAAGACTAGGTTTCTTGATTCTTAAGATGAAGTAATTCTAGTTATACATCTAATTCTTTAAATGCTTATGTCATAGAATGAGATAATGTCTAGAAGTAACTTTTGTTTTATAATGGGAGTGGATGTGGGACAAAGTTATTTAGTTATAATTACAGTAGAGTCAAATGCTGTAACTTTTTATGAAAAGGCCAATATTCTGTGATGAGTAATATAATTTATTTATAATACTGTTTCTTTGAACCCAGAATATTGTAAAATTAATAATCCTGATATTTATAGGGTTTTCCATATTAATATGATGATTATACTAGTTTGCATTCATTTTTAAAAGATTATCCTATTTAATGGAAAAAATTACCATTTGATTGTAATATGGATTCAAATTGGAAATGTATAAGAAGCTTAAAATGTTTTGAGCAGAATTTCATAACAGCCAAATAACATGGGCAAGTGTTTCTTATCTCTACATCATATCATATATTATCAGCTTAGTGCATCTCCTTCTGAAGCAAAATTTAAATTTGGATAAAGTCAGCCCATGGTATTTCTCTTGAGTTTTTCCCAACTTCCAGCACTTTGGATGCAGAGAGGACATGACCTGGGGCTTACTGAGCTCTTTTACTCTCAACATAGCAATGCCCTGGAAATTCAGGGGTCCTGGAGACTCTACTTAGCTGCCTGTCCTTAAGGAGTTGTTAAGTGAGCCCAACATCAACAAACTGATACTAGCCCAGCAATGATGTTATCTAGACAGTGATATCATTATATAGGTTTTTATAGCCCTGCTATAGGAGTCAGAGCTAGAAATAGAAAGCATTGTGGAGAGTGTATGTAGCCATCTCTATGGGCAGTGTTGTTATATCCATTTACCTGTCCTTGCTCTTGAGGCATTTTGAAGGAGAATACATAGGGCATCACCTGCCAAAAAAAAGAATTATATAAAAATGTATGCTTGACTTTGTTATTTAAAAATCCCTGAGCTGCTTTTCCTAGAGCTAGCCATATAAATTTATCCTTTGTGTTAACAAGTTTCCACAACAAAAAGTCATCCGTTACATGTGCTGACATAAACTGCCTATTATTGAAGTTTTCCTATCTTATCCTAGACTTGTTTTTAACTTTTTTGGCTTGTTGCTGTATCCTAGAGTAGCTGATTTAAATATTTTTTGTCTTAGAAATCAGAAAATAAAAGAAAGAACTTACAGCGATGGTAGAAACATATAATGAGAAAAAATATTGTTCAAAAACCCCTGCCTATTTCAAAGCTGATTCATATTCATTGTCAGATTAAACATGCAGTTCTCTCTCCTCAGAACAAAATGAAAGAGGCCTGACTTACGTGACTGGGGCCTGGTTGTGTCTGAGGCGGTGTTTGAAGCTGTAAGGGATCAACTTGGCCTGCCTGGGCTCCTTGGGCAAAACTGGCCTCTCCTGTTAAGGGTATCTGATTTGGGAGCAGTCCAGCAAACTGGTCTAGAGCTGATAAAGAGAACTGGGAGAGTCCTGGAATTTGAGCCTGCTGCTGCTGTTGTAAAATTCCAGAGAAAGGTGGAATCCATGAATTAAGTGGGCCCTAAAAAGACACAAAGGAAAGAAAGCATGTTCCCTTCATGCCAAAAAGAATTTAAAAATTAGTCCTGAGCAAGAAAGAGGCAAAATACAAACAATTTCTATAGTTCCAATGTTGCAACATAAAAAAGGACAGCATCTTGATTCATTTTGAACCAAGCAAATAATACGAAGCAAATGCTAAATTCCCGATGGCCATGAGAAATATGGGGCAGGATAAGGTTGATAAAAGAGCCCAACATCTGCATATGCCACACTGGTTTTAAACCGTCTGTATTTTCCCCTACCTTAACCCTAAACCTGCCAACCTGCTGTTACTGGTTAACTGGGCATGACTTTTTGTAAAATAATTACTTTTAACTATCTCATAGTTGTGAGAATTAGTGCCTGGCATATACCAAGTTCTCAATAAATAAGTGTTGTTCAAATTACAGTTTTTACTTTAATCTTCAAGCAAATGGCCACTAGAACATATGAGACAAATTCATAATGTTAAAAACTGAGATTTCCAAAATAGGATCAGGAAACATTTTGTTTTCTTACAAAATAACATAAATGAGCAATAGGTAAATATTCCCCATAAAGTAATTATTGAAATGGAGGTACCTGAAGTTGTAGTGGCAAAAGTTGACCATTATTAAGATTAAGAAGTAACTAGAAAAAGAAAAATAATATGAAATCAAGATTACTACACACTAAAATGAGTAGGAACAATGTTTACTGCAAATATAGCACAAGTCATAGCTGGTTGCTCAATTTCTTGTTAGAAGTGGGACATTTTCTCACTAGGCTTACATTAAATTACAGTGATTAGAAGTTAGATTTAAAACAAGGTTGGGATTTAACAACCTCTCCTCTGTTGGGTATGAGATTGCACAACGTTAGCACATTCCAGTGGTTTAGTCATTTTATGTTTTTAAACACCTATATACACCTGTGTGAGGTGTTATTAGAACAAAAAGATATAAACAATATTGTATCCGCCTTTGAAGAATTAACAATCAATCAAGGGAAGCAGAATAATATTTTAGAGGTAACCTGTTATATAATCAAACATGGACATTAGAAATGTGCTTGGATATACATAAAAGCTAGTGGTGAGGAACACAGTATAAATTAAATGACGACTTCTATCTCTTCCCACTTGATTTCCATTAAAAAAAGGAGGAGATTGTTTTAATTATTTAAACTAACCTCATTGCTATTGCTGGCAGACATGAGACGCTGTGGGATAAGCTAAAAGTAAAAATGAAAAAAAAATCAGAAATAGTAAAAAGAAGGGATTGTTGAAGGTTTAACACAGTGGGACTAGTAGTGCCATAAAATCACTTACTGGGGCTGACAATGTGGCTCCCAGGAATCCAAGAAGAATTATAATTTTCATTTTCGTATGATATATCTAGAAAATAAGTTGTGATCTTTAGCTTTATAAAGACATTACTTAAAATTCATGACAAAATAATTAGTATTGTTCAATCAAAGGAATAGCTGGGTGAATTCTATAGTATTTACTTACATTTTGCAATTTAAAATTTAAAAAGTTATGTTTGTAAATTTCTGATATAACTCTTTATTTTCTCTCAGACAAGCTGTTTATAAAAACCAAGATTGTTTGCTTGTCCTTTTAGCTTGAACAAAATACTCATTTGGAGACATATGATGTGGTTGAATGCATTAAAGAACAAGATGATCTCCTCCTAGTGCTGCCCTACAAGGAGAGGAGCAGGCCCATCAGACCATGGGAGGTCATGACTAAGGCTAACCAACTAGGGACTTATTACTGCAGCAATTTTAATGTCTATGTTGAAAAGTACTTCAATAGAGATTTGACAATACCAGTCCAATACCAGATAATTTCCACTTAGTAGTCTAATAACAGAATAATATACTAGAACTAAGCAACTGAGTCAATGTTTTTGTAATTTATGGCAATAGATTATAAAACTGAACTGTGATATTGATTTATGGTGTAACCTGTTTAAGTATATTTCTCTTGTCTTCTAGATGTGAAACTTTTTTCCCTGCTTCAAATCATTGACCTAATCAAGCATTTAGGGTGAACTTGATAGTCTATCCTGCAGATTTCACTGATTTTGGTTCTTCAAACTATAAAAGCAAAGATTTGATATCTTACCTTACTCCTGGACCTAAAAAGAAAAATCTGAACCATGCGAGATCTGTGTTCTTTTCCTCTCTCAGCTCTACTGCTTGGCACTTCTCTTAAATTTTAAAACTCATCTTTAGAAAAAAAGGACCAATCATTGTTCAAAAAGGACCAGTGATTCAGTGGGTTTCAGACAATGGCTTAGCTAATAACCTCTTTCCTAATCATTTAGGTGGTATATGGATTCCCACACTTTTAGTAATGTTATTAAATTATCCCCTGAGAAATGTTTTCCTGTGATCATTTCTGGCTTCTGGTTTGGTTATGAGTAATTCTCCTAGAATAATTCTCCTAGAATAATTCTATTCTACTCTTTTATAATTCTTAAACTGGATACTCTAATTGAATAAAACTGGATACTGTAACTGAATAAAAGTTAATATCTTTAATAAAGTCAAGGATAAATGGGTGATTATTTTTACTTCAAGGGCGAAATACAGAATTGTTAGGAATCATAGGTCTGAAAAGCAAAACTTCAAAGCCTACTTAGCAGAATTCTTTGCTTCCTCAATGCTGGGCTAAGTAAATGTGGGCTAGTTTCCTTTAGATTTGACCTTGAAAACATCAGTTATTCTCCCTCTACTTACTGAATGCAGTCCTTAAAAAATTGCTAAATTTCCATGTGTCTATGAAATGTATTTGTATATGATCATGTTGCTTGAAATAAATAATTTAATAAGTATAAAGCATGATATCCTACATTTTAAAAAATAGCCGTGAATACATGTTTTTATTGAAAAATGTTTTTGTTATATATTTTAATATTCAAAATACAACTATTACTCTCTGCACATTGTTATTATTTAAATTTCCTTCATAATGGGAGTTTTGTGTTTATTTGTAGTTTTTTTGTTGTTAATATCGACTCCCCTCTAATAGTTCAGGATCACAAGTGTTTTGACAATGTATTATCAATTAATTTTTATTATGGAAGAGTTCTTTTTAGCTAACTTAATCTTGAGCAACTCATGATAGTCTTATGCAGGAAAACAAAATTATTGCCTTTTAATACATTTGTCTTTTTTGGTAGAATGAGACAGAGCTTGCATGGCTCATTAATACTAAAATAATTATACTATTTGTTATTTATCTGGTCAAAAAATCCAAGTACATAAATCATTAGTTAGAATAAAAAGACATTTTTCTTTACTAAAGAAGAAAACCCACCAGTAGGACTTTATATCTATTAGAAAGTATTAAATTGAATTACGTTTAGCCTAAAGCTGCCTCCATACATATTTTAAGTTTGACCTAAAGATTTCTTATAATAGTGAACTGTAACCTAATGATGTTAAACAAACTGTAACCTACTGTTTTAACAAGAAGCTGAGTGACAGCCAATCACAAGCAGCCAACTGTTCAAATGTGTTCAAATAAGGCAATTGCAGAGCTGCAACGGGTACCAACTCACTGTTTCTGTAATTCATTTCCATTTTCTGTACACCGTTTTCCTTTTCTGTCCATAAATGTTATTTGACCACGTGGCAGCTCCGGAGTCACTCTGAATGTATTTTTATTCCAGGCTGCCTGATTTGCAAATCATTCTTTACTCAATTAAATTCTGTTAAATTTAATTTGCTGAAAGTTTTTCTTTTAGCAAAAGTAACTTTCCTGAGATTTGTGATAGTGGTCTTCTTAGATTAACTAAAAAATTAGACAACCCTAGATGTTAATGGCAGATTTAACTAAAGCTTAAACATAAAGGTCGTTAATGTAACCAATTGTTGCCTGGAAAATGCAGTAGATTTGTTGAATGAGTGAACTAGGAGGAAGGTTCTGTATTGCATGATGATATATATTTACAATTAATGACTTTGGTCTATTCTGAATATTGTCAAATTAAATACGCCATAAGCTCTCATTCTCTTGAGAGACTATTTTCTATTGCAGGCTGCAGGGTCTTAGCCAGCTAACCCCACTACTGAGCCAGAAAATTGTCAAGACCAAGCACTGGAAAGGTCAGCAACTGGATTATAGAGTGAAAAACACAGTCAATTTAAAAATTATTCTGATGGTGAATTGTTTATCTAACTATATTCCTCAACTCTGGAGACAATTGGAAGACTTCCGTCATTGCGTTCTTTTTGTTTTTATTTTTCATTACCTGAGTATTTAAAGAAAAGCAATTGAAACTCTCCAGTTATTCAGCAGTTGAAGTGAAAAAGAACAGGCTATGCTTTATTATCTGATAGCTTTCAAGAACCTGTGTCATTGGAGGCAAAGTTATCTCTAGCTAGGAGGGGAAGTAGCAAGGGACTCTAGTTTTCATCACGTTGTAGTGTGGATATTGTATATGTCTGTTTCTTCCATTCAACTAGGTTGAATATACTCATTATCTATTCCTGTGTCAGTCACAAAATAGGTATTCCCCTAAGTTTTGTTAAATAAATGGTTTCTTCATTCAGGGAAGAAAAAAAGGTGGTCTAATTCCAGAGCAATGTGAGTCTGTATGGATTAAGTTGCAGGGACCTAAGATGAGGAAATCCGGAACCTGATGTCATCATTATAACTTCATTATTTTGGTTTAGTTCAATTACCAGAACACCAGACAACCCTCCATTCAAATAAAAGTACAAAAACATATTCTAATGCCAAGTACACATGACTGTTGAATTATGTACCATCTATATCTTTGTTCTGTTCCAGTAACATAGATGATGAAAAGTAAACAACAGTGGTTTGTAAATTAGTGCTTTCAAAATGTTATCCCTGCTCTCTTTTCCTTCAACTATCCTGAAAAATCAATCAAGGCTTAACAGAGTGCCATTGTAAAGCAGAGCAATGTTCTGTGGATCATGACAACTGAATTTAAATTTTATCGCTTCTTAAAATAATTTTCTTCCACCTGAGCTGTAATTTCCCAGGGACTTCTAATGATATATCAAGGTAGGCAAGATATGTATATATCACCCTCATGCTTCAACGAGAAAACTGAAGTACAGAAGGTTCAGTGACTTCATTCATTAATGAATTAGTTTATTTATACAAGAAATAGTTGTTGCACAACTTCTATAGTCCATATCCTTGCTAGGCATTCAGAACTTAGTGCTAATGTTAATACAAATAGTTTTTACCTTCATGGACATTACAGTTTTTTTCACACTTTCAGAAGGTACCAGACTTGTGGCTAGAATTCAGGTCTTTTGATTCTCAATTATGTAGTTCTATCTCAAAGCACCCAGATGCCTAACTAGAGAGGAGAAAGACATAGTACCATAATAAAGACAATTAACAAAAAAATTATAACTCGAGCAGTAAATACAGAGAATCAGCAAGCTGTCAACTAAATCTCTTCTATTACATTGGGTGTTTTCTGTTAACTACCATGAGACTTTACTAAAGTAATCCCTTCTATTTGATATTGTACATTATTGGATACTAATCATCCCATGTCCACTATGACAGTATGTCCTAGCTTAGTAACTCTAGCTTGATGAGGTGAGTCTATTTTATTATATTTAAGATTTGTAGGTATGTGTATGTGAATTATGGCTATAATTTCCAGGAGTGTTGGCTTAGATATAAAGGTGTTAAGAAAAATAAAAGAATATACCTCTTCCTTTCATAAGAAGGAATTCATAAGTTTCAGAGTAGTTGAGAGAGGCCAGCACACAGCTAAGTTTGGGCTAGAAATGGTCAACTTTCAGCGATTCCCTGAAGTGTGGCAAGTCAAGTATGCAATGGGAGACATGTCTCTCAAATACAGCTTGTTCTAGCCTGGGTGTAAATCAACATCCACTTTCTCTGAAAGTAATTTCTTTTGTCCCTTGACCTGAAAGAGTTTCTTTCTGTACTAAACCTCTATAGTATTTATTTTGCCTTTTGCTTTGTGAATTCCATCCTTACCATTTTAATGACTCCTGCATCTGTTTCTTTGTTTGGGGCCTGCAATCAGTTTGGCCTTAACCCAGTTTTTGTACTACAACTTTTTGGAGAAACAAAACACGTCATTAAACAACTCAATTTTAAACAAAATTTTATGGTTCTGGTAACTTGCCTATGATTGATGTCATGAGGGAGGAAGTCCACAATGTTTGGCCAATATCAGGCTTTCTCCTCCTTCCCAAACATTTAGCAAAGCCTGTGGTGTGGTGAGGGGACTCTCTTATGAATGTCCTAGTCAAGGGGAGTAATACATTGCCCAGTCTGCCTTAGTTCTCCCTCAGACTTCTGGTGATAATCTTTTTCCATTTTGTTGCATTAAAAGTTTATCTCCTTGATAAGATGTTATGCTTTCTGATAGCAATGTATTTTATTCTACTCTTCAAAAAATTTGCTATAAAAAAACCAAAAACAAACAAACAAAAAACAAAAAAATTGCTATCTTGTCTGGTGAAACCCCTTCTCTACTAAAAATACAAACAAAAAACAAACAAACAAAAAACAAAAAAATTGCTATCTTGTCTTTCTTTCTTATTCTCCACTCCTTTCTCCTTCCCTTTTTCCATTTGCTTCTCTTCCTTTTTCTCCTCCTTCTCCCCTTATCTCCTATTTCAATTATTTTCCTCTTACCCTAGAAGAAAACCTAGGCATTACCATTCAGGACATAGGCATGGGGAAGGACTTCATGTCTAAAACACCAAAAGCAATGGCAACAAAAGACAAAATTGACAAATGGGATCTAATTAAACTAAAGAGCTTCTGCACAGCAAAAGAAACTACCATCAGAGTGAACAGGCAACCTACAAAATGGGAGAAAATTTTCGCAACCTACTCATCTGACAAAGGGCTAATATCCAGAATCTACAATGAACTCAAACAAATTTACAAGAAAAAAACAAACAACCCCATCAAAAAGTGGGTGAAGGACATGAACAGACACTTTTTTTTTTTTTAAACCTGGTTTACAAAGTCCTCAGTGATCTGGCCTTTGCTTTATTCTTCCACTTCATGACTTCTCATTCTTCTCCTTATTCACTAAGCTGCAACCTCACTAGCTTTCATTCTGAGTTTTGAATATGTTAAATGCATTGCTCTTTAAGGCCTTTTCACCTGCTGTTCCCTATGCCTGGAATGCGCTGCCTCCAATTAGTGAGGGGCTGGTGGATTCTTATAATTTATATCTCATTTTAGGTATCACTCCACAGAAGAATGTTCCCAGATTACTCAATCTAGGGCAGCTGCTTCTATCATACTACCCTGTTTAAGTTCTCTGCAAAGCATGTGTC
Source organism: Homo sapiens (assembly GCF_000001405.40). Classification (NCBI taxonomy): domain Eukaryota; kingdom Metazoa; phylum Chordata; class Mammalia; order Primates; family Hominidae; genus Homo; species Homo sapiens. Next base: position 70,190,595 of record NC_000004.12, on the reverse strand, counting down.
ACCATTTCATACTGATATATTCGTTTTCTTTTTGAAATTTTAATTATAAAATATTCTTGAAAAAATCTAAACTATTAACTTCAAAATGTTGTTCAGGAGAATCCCCTTGCTTTCACCAATGCCTCTATTCTCAAATTCTATCCTTTAGGCAGTGGAGTGTGATAAAACAGATCTCTGCCGAAAAAGGGGGCCTCGATTTATACCATCTCCCAGTTTTTATAGCGTGAATACTCCCACCAGGGCCACATGATCTTTCTTATGTAATGTAATGGTACTAAAACCGTAATTTATCTGGTGGGGTGGGGGGTGTAAATATTTAGAGATATGTGAATCTAGCACATGTTTAGTGCCATACATCAGATTCTTGGCTATCTTTTCTATATACATTTTCTGAATTGATCCTAAGCATATGCAAAATATCATTGTCAGCATACATTGAGGAAACTGAGACTCAGAGAGGTTATTTTCCTGAGGTAGCACAGTTCTCTAGTAATAGAACTCAGATTTGAACACAGGTCTGTTTCCAAAGAAAATATCTGTTTCAACACCATACTCTGTAGGTTTTCACATAACCAAGACATTGGATAATTTTTTTCCATGCACTTTTAGGATATATTAAATAAACTTTATGACTCTCTTGATTAAACATTCTTTCTCATCATTTGTTGAAGATTCCCCAGGTTTCTTGAATATTACTTTCAATTGCAATAACTGCAATTACTTTTGTACCAACCTACTATAATCCCTGACATACATTCTGTAATAATCAGGACCTCCCAATTTCTGGATTTTCTGAGGTTTGTCTTGGATTGTTAGGACTTTTTAAAGACAGAAGTACTGAGCTACACTATTTCTGTTCCTCCAAAAGCCTTAAGAAACTCATTCTGATATGAGGAAATATATCCAGTATTGTTCCAATCTGCAGGTTAAGTGCTCTAAGCTGAGATTATCAACCATGAAGTTCACCTAAGAATAGTGCTTATTGTTCAGGTCACATTTCAATGAAAGAAGTTTTGTTTTCTCTATTCCTTTTCCGAGAAACTTTTCTACTTACAAAAACAATCATTTTAAACTACAAAAGCCAAGAACTTACAAACCAACGCCACAGACAACTTTCCTCATCATGACTGCTTTCAGAAATGTAGGAAAACTGTGAAAATACCATATTGTATTTTAATCAAGTATCTGTTTCATTGGATATTTTAGAATAAGTAATTAGAATTCATTTTAAAATTACCAGTCAATTTATGTTTTTATCAAGTTAGAATTTTCTGTGATTTCTGATAAATGGTAATATTACTTGGAAAGGATTCTACTTTTTTTGAAATTAAGTTCATGAGTACATTGGAGGCCTCATCAAATTTTTAAATGTAGGTACTATTGCAGAGCATATTCTTGCTCTCACATTCTCTCATTTTCCATGTATAGATATATATAAAGAAACATATTCAGCACCTTTTTCTGAATGAGGATGTTAATTAGAATAGAAATAACGTATTGTTTATCTAACATGTAGATTGTATCAGGTATTCTTCTAAGTGCTTTATTTACATAAATCAACTCAACTGTATTAATCCTCACCACAGTCTTGAGGTTTAGATATGATACTGATATTTTCATTTTACAGGTGAGGAACATATGGCTCATTAAGATCAGAAACTCTCCCCAAAGTTACGTGGTTAATGAGTTCCAGGATCAAGATCGGAACTGAGATGTGTTTAACTCTGAAATCTTCTACTTGACAATCATATTATGCTGAAACACATAATTTTAAAAGACCTACTTCATAACCTTCATGTTTACATTGAAAAAAAGTGTCACTTTAAAAAAAATTTACTTGGTCAAATGGTGCTCTAGCATGGTGGATGTGGACCTACGTTTGTATAAAAGTATTTTTCTTCTCTTGTATCCTATGTATGTATAAGACTTGAATTAATTTAATCTTTATTAATAATTTATTATTAAAATATCTCTGTCATGCCTACTTTTCAATATCCTGGAAAATATTTTCTTATGTCTTTATTCATCAGGCAAAGATGAAAAAAATGGTGTCTTGGAGACAAATCAATTAAAAGTGCTACAAAATAGTAACTCAGAAAGTATGAATGGATGTAAAAAATTACCAAGAAAGATTGGTAACTAATATCTGTAATGCAGACTAAAATAGTCCATGAATTTCTTTTATTTTATTTTTGTTGTTGTTTTGTTCTGTTTTTTTTGAGACACAGTTTCATTCTGTTGCCCAGTTTCATTCTGTGCAATGGCACAATCTCAGCTCACTGCAGCCTCCACCTCCTGGGTTCAAGTGATTCTCCTGCCTCAGCCTCCCTAGTAGCTGAGTTTACTGGCCTGCATCACCATGCCCGGCTAATTTTTTTATTTTCAGTAGAGATGGTGTTTTGCCATGTTGGCCAGGCTGGTCTCTAACTCTTGATCTCAAGTGATCTGCCCGCCTCAGCCTTCCAAAGTGCTGAGATTAGAGGTGTGAGCCACCACACCCGGCCTCAAATCATCCATGAATAAACATTATGTAATGATTTTCAAGATGTCTAAGAATGGATTATCTGTCTAAGCTCAGACTTTGAATACGTGTTAGGTTGAAATAATTCTCTTAAAACCCAAGGTGAATGAGACATTTTGTGGGAAACGATTTTGAGACAGCATGGTCTGTTGGATTGCAAGGACAGCAGAAACAGCTTAACTACTTGGGCACTCTTTCTTCAGTAATTACTCATCTGATTCCTCTGGAACACACAATTTAATGGGTAGTCATGTTAATTATTTGTTCTGGTGAAGCATGCTCATTGGGTTTTCTTATTGTTGAAATAAGCAATTTACATTTGCTTGGGTCCTTCACACACATTCTAAGCCCAGGATATGACAAATTTGGAATAAACAAGTAAACTCTCTAAGTAGAATTTTTAAAGACAGTTTTATTACTTTTGTATAAAATATGTCCATAAAGGAGTTTAAAATCACTTTACCTTGCATTATAAGAATAAAGTTCCTAGTTGTATATTTCATAAGTACTTCAGAGAACTGACTTTTAGATTCAAAGATTAGATGAGCTTTAAGATAGAAATGCTTTTGGCATAGTGAGATACAGATTGAGTCCACAAAGGAATGATTGTGAAGATCTGCCCTGGGGCTTATTGTGAGAATTTAGGAGAATGTGTTTTAGAAACCTCTGGCAGTTCCATGGTGATATTAGGAAATACTTGGTGGAAGTTCCTAGAAAACAAATGCATTGCTCTTTTCCTTCAAATGTCAAAAACATCAAAGAATTCAAGGACACATTCTACCCAATGATGCATGTGGGTTTGGGTAGGTACGTAAGTCATGAGGTTTCTGGGTGAATAACCACCACACAGCACCAGGCCCAGCATAAACCCGAGACTGGCAAAAATAGCAGCTGCTCATGAAATATGATTTCAGTAAAATTTGTGAGTTACTCTATTGCCTACATAACTGATAAAGCCTGAAGTTTGTAACTTATCAATGCTCTTTCGATAAAAGTATTGTCAGGCGAGGAGCCCTGATGAAACAGAGGGCAGAGTGATTCATCAGAACAACAACTCCCATTAATGTGTGAATATAATAAATTTTCACCTAAACAGTTTTCTGCAACTACCTGCATTTATTGTGTAGATGGCATGTTGATAGCATGGCTTCACCATCAAAAAGTCTTAGATTTGAAATCTCACTTCAGGTTCTTATTAGCCATGTAACTTTGGGCAAGTTTATTATTTTCTCTGAACCTGTTCCCTTCCTTGTAAAATGATGCAAACGTGTACTTATCTTCAGGGTATCCACAGAATACCTGTGGCTCATTTTATGTGCCATTAAATGAGAAAATGTATTTGCTCAGCGTGGTAATATTTCTGAATAAAACATTCTAGGGGAAATTTGACACATCTTGATCCTTTAGGGAGAAGTCTCTAAGAGATAGAAGAAGTCTGAAAAAGCCTCCAAAGCAGATTCACATATATGTGACTTTCCATTTTAAATAAAAATCACCAGCTTACATTACAAAAAGTTAACTTTATCAGTAAAGGGTAATGCACAATCCCAAGGTACCTATGTGCCTATCCATCTGTTGTCTCACTTTTTTATTCAAAACTCCCTTGGTTTACTGTAGATATTAATTTTGCTAAACCTTGTTATCTCCTATTAGAATGCTGATGACTTCATTTCTTCAACCAGACATTATTTATTGAGCACTAGCAATAACCCAGAGATATTGCATTCAGGGCACGTACAGTATAATAAATGAGAATTACATATGAACAAATGAGTGTGGCACTCTTTGATGAAGATAAAAAATAGGTAAGGGCATGTTGTGTTTGGATTGGGGATGGAGTGATCTGATAAAAGTACAGAGCAGAAAATCCCCGAGTTGAGCCCTGAAGGAAAACTAGGATTTCACCAGGAAGACATGGAGGCAAATGCATGAGGCATGACATAGTTTGATATTTTGTGGGAAAATAACAAATTCAAGATAATTGGTACATAGGATACCTGTGGGAAATGAGGTATGGCCTGCAGTTAGAGGTCACATCACAGTGAGTTTTCTAAGACAAATAAATGTGTCTGGATTTTATCCTGTCAGCAGCTGACATCAATTAAGCAAGGGAATCTTTGCTGTTACTCATTAGTAATGCCTAACAAATATTTCCATTCCTCCTTCTGGGGACATGTAATGTACCAGTTTCCAGCCCTTGAATTTAGTAACTTACTTTGACAAATTAAGTATGAACAAGAAATAGCACATGTCACTTCTGGCTGGAAATTTTAAGATTATTCAGCACTGTCTCTGTTTGCTGTGGCCACTAGCTGTGGCCACTAGCAATGTTCCAGGTGGTAGCTTTTCCATCAACTTGAGTTTCTACAATTGGGATCCCTGAGAAGGAACAGTGTAAAGCAGAACTTTGAACTGAGCCAGGGAAAATATAGTGCAAGGGAGAAATAAATCTCATAGTTTCAAGCCACTGATATTTTGGGGTTGTTTGTCACTGAAGCATGGTTTAGCTTGTCTTTATTATTACACTGTCAGAATGGTATTTTTGCAAAATCACTCTGGCAGCAGTGCCATGGACAGACTTAAGGCAAATGTGAAGGCAGGGTACCAATGCAATGGGCCACTGAGTTGGTGCTGTGGCAGGAGCACAGGGCCCAACCATGTTCCCATCCTGACTTTGCCATTTACTAACGGTAAGATCTAGAAGTCAATTGACATCTTTGAGGAAATTATTGATTTCATAGAAGAGGGATTTATTGATTGGCTTTTCCAATTCTGACATTCAATTATACAGATTAGAAACTAGAATTTATGGACAACTAGAATAAATATATTCTGACTATATAGAATTTAAAAAAATGGAATCAGAGATCTCAGTAAGTTTACTGATTTTTACTTTCACCTTTTCCGTTGCCACAACCCTTCCTTCTACTCCACCCAAATTATTTTTCTCCCTTAATCCTACTAAAGCTTTTTCCTAGGATTTTTCATTCCATCTTACTTTCCAGTGGGAAGCAGTATATTATGTTGGCATCAGATTATTCTATCTCTGTAATATATTACCTGTAGTACTTCAAGAGAGCTACCTAACCTTTCCATGTCCTAATGTTCTGATCTGTAAAATTAGACTAACATGTGCCTTGTGAGACCATTGTGAGAATTAAAACACATTATAAGAAGTACTTTGTATACTGTCTGGCATATAGTGGGTACTCATTAAATAGTAGCTATATCTATCATTATTTTTAATATTGCTAATATGCCCACTTCATTCATCTCAACCTCTCAACTCTCAGTGCTTCGTAATGCAAGGGGCTTAATTTCTGGAACTATCAATCAGCGACCAGTCCCAGTCATTCTTTGAACTTCAGGTTTTATAACTCTGATTAGGTAATAATCTCAATAACCTGAGACGTAAGGTTGTTGATATCTCAGCACTTACATGAGCCATGCTAATTTAATGGTAGTTGCAGTACTGTCAAAACTTTATGATTTTTAATTACAATTTCACTCTTGTAACAGCTACTTGAGGGTTTCTATTAATGAATATAGGCTATATATATTTTGTCACTAATTTTACTTTAGGATGAAAAATCCTCTGTTCCATGAACAACGTATAGAGCCAGTCAAGTTTACAAATTGTGTGGCTTCATTTGTATATAGGTACTTGATGGGGTGATGGTAGAATAAATATTACATGGTTTTGGTAAGAATGAACTACAGATAATAGGACAAGAAAGTCCCTAAATGAAAGGATACCCGTGTGTGTGTGTGTGTGTGTGTGCTTGTGTGTGTGCCTGTCTCTCTATGGGTGTGTGTGAATGAGAGAGAGAGAGCAAGAAAGGGGTTATATATGGTTGGTGATGTGCTACTGTTGCAGAATTAAGTTTTTCATTTTACCTGCCTGTTTTTGGACAATGAAGTCTTTCACATAGAAACATTAACATTTAAAGAAAAAACAATGAAATATGAAATCAGAAACTTGAAAAAATCTTACAAGTTACAGTTGAATCTGATTACTTCTGAATATTTTCCCTAAATGTTTGCGGCTAATTAAAGGAACTAAAGTTTTATCTTAAGTGCCTGTCATAACTGATGGTATGTAGCTACTTAGAATGTTGTGGTGTGTTGGATTTTCAAGGCTAAACCATGTTAATGGCTGAAATGGGCACAAGGGGGGCCCCATGACTTGGTAAAACTTTCAACAACTTCAATGCAATCCAGCTCTGCTTGTGCATTACCACATGAGGGCGCTCTTTCCATCAGCTATACATATATTCAGTGTTTTTTTCCCCTTCAGTGTTATTCTTTTTTTCTAATTAAAAAAAAAACAAAACCGCGTATTTATCATGCAGCATCCTAAATTTTACAGAAGTCCTAGATTCATACCATAGAAAATACATCTCCAAATACTGTAGATAACACAAACTTAATCTTAGCTAATTGGATTTGGTGAAAAAATCTGAAAGGCTTCAGATCCTATTGCTAAGGGAGAAATTATGCTGGGTAGATTTGTACTTATGGTGTCTATTGGGATTCACAAATGTGTATGTATCTCAAATAGTTTCTCTGTAAGTAAAGTTTGGAAGTGTAAAAATGAGAGAATATTCAAACTACTTCTTCCGGAAGAGCTCTGTTATCTGTTGAAATTCAATTATTAAATCTAATATGTGATGGATGGGTGCTATTTGTCTGACTGTTACTGTTTATTAAGTAATGCCTATACATTATGAAATATAAGTGGAATCCATAGTGGGAATCAATTAAAATCTAGGCATTTTTTTAATGTACAGGTTTTTTAATGTTAAATACCAATAGAAATTTAGTGCCAACTCAGAAACTTACAAAATGATTCCCCAAACCCTCATGACAACATTAGGAGGTGTATCCAGCTTCCGTGCGAATTCCACTAAGAAGGGCATAGACTAACAGGTCATTTATGACCACAAAGGACAAGTTCACTCAAGGTATGTACCAGGGATTAATGTTTAGTACAAGGAAAATAAGTATGATGACAGAAATCAATACAGACATTCACAAACAAGAACAGAGACACTTTGTTTGCCAACCAGAGAAAAGTCACAGGAAACAAAGACAGGAGGAAAAGTCAGAATTAAATTCATCTCAAGGTACCTCAGGGACAATGCTATTATTGGTGCACTAGGGCTTAAAAGGACAGACCAGAGGCCAGCCAAATGTGTACATCCCCAAAGGCATGATTGAACTGTATTTTTGCCAATTGTTTACGTAGTTTGGTAATTTCAAAGGCCAAATTTTTTTTCATCCATGTGTTCTGCTTATCACTTGCTCAGTGATGCCAAGATTTTCCCCAGAAAAGAGTGATTTCATTTTCATGAGAGCTTTTGATCTCTGTTCAAACACAGTCGTTTTATGTTAGGGCTTTGAGCTCTGATAATGTGCTGCCTTTTCTTGAAAAGAAATGCTTAAACATTTACTTAAATGAATAAGTGCCAAAGACTTAAAATTTCAAAAGGTTGAAGATGAAAGTGCAGGCTGCCCTAGAAAGAGTGCTTTGTAAAAGGTCATTCATATTGTTAAGGTACCTTTGAGGGACCAGGTATAGATAGGAATAGAATAGGAAGACAGTGAGAAGATTTTGTGGTAGATGGGAACAGGTTTATAAACCCGAGACCACTACAGACAGCTTTTAACCATTTTATAATTATTCCCGGAGCTGGTATCACTGAAATTTGTCTTTTGTGTATTGTCATTTTCCTGACCTGTTGAGTTGTTGGAGTTAAAGAACAACTCTCCTGAAATAAGGGAACTTTTATTCTAAGTAAATGCCAGGTATTTAGATTACTGTGTCTAGATGTGTAGTTTGAAGTGTGTGGAGGATTTATAGAAAATCTCAGGGAGATAATTAAGACAATTAAATGTCTGGGAAACAGATGCATGCATATAGGCTAAGGAACTGAGATCTTTTGGCCCATAAAATAGGACTTCCAAGTGCTACATGTATTTAAAATTTATACTGCAGAAAGTTACAGTAGCAACTTGCTCTCTTCCCCACATCACCCTCCTTCCAGTGCTGGAGGATGAAAGCTGCTGTTGAGATCTTTCTGGAGCCATCACTGGAGGGTTTGCTCTTTCTTCAGGAGGAACTGATAGAAATAGAGCTGACAAAGAGGCTGCAGGGATTGAAATTCGACAATATAATAAGTATTTTTTATAAATTTTTATATGAAAATTCCTTTGTATCCATGAATCGTTGGTGACACAATTGGAGAGAAGTGAAGGGATTTTTCAGATATCATATTTGAATGTTTTTCTTAATGTGAATTATTCTGCTTTTCCATTCCATTGTTGAAGTGGATCAGCCTCTCCTTTCCATAATTACTTGATGATTTTAATCACAATTGAGACCTGTTAATCAGTCTCTCTTTTGTGCTTTGCATCCAGGTACCACTAATTTCTTTGCAGAAACACTGAGTTCGATAATTGTATTGCAATTTAAAAATTTATTATGATCAATTTTTTACAGGAAACTACTGTCTTTCACAATAATTTTAGACATTAATTCTTTTCATATTGGCAAAATTATTTCCATTCTCTGATTCTCCGTTGGAGGAAGTTGTATAATCGACAACTACAATAGTTCAAAGAAGAGAGATACTGGTTGAAGTAAATGTAGAGGTGTGTGTGTGTGTGTGTGTGTGTGCGTGTGTGTTTGTGTTTGTGTCGGGGGAAGCGAGAGAGAAAGACTAAAAACAAGGGTGATAGCAAAATCAAATACAAATAGGCCTTGTCCAAACATCATTCTGTAAGCAATTCTGCCTTACCTGGATCCAGGGATGAGGACAGTGATGCTACTTAAATTGTGTGTATTCTGTTTAAGTAATTAATGGATTATGTTAACTAGAAACAATATAACAAGGAGGTTAGTTTTTCTTCCTTCTTTCCTAAGGATTTTAGCCAATTTCAGATAGAAAAACATTTTTTAGCATAAGTATGTCCCAAATATTGCATAGGATATACTTATCCTAAAAAGATTCATTGTTTATTCAAAATTAAAATTTAACTTGGTATCTTACCCTTTATTCATGCTAATTCTGGAAACCTTACATATGACCAAACACCCAGAGGAGGTGAGGATGCAAATCACGTAGAAAATGAGCATTCTCGGCAAAGGAAACAGCAGATGCGAAGGCCTTGAGTTAGGAATATATCCAGTGTTTTCAAAGGTTGGCCAGGAGGCCAGTATTATAGTAGGAGTGTTATAGTAGAAGGAAGAACATTAGGAGGCATAGTCAAAGAGATGAGAGCCAACATTTAAAGGTATTCTTACTTTTATTATGACATAGGAATCTCACGGAAGGCTTTGAGCAGAAGAGTGAAAAAACATGGCTGATATTCTGAAATGATCGCTCTTGTAATGATGTTGATTTTGAGAATAGACTCAAAATGAGAAGAATGGAAGCAAGATGCCCAGTTTGGAGGCTACTATGCTACTCACATGAGAAATGATAGTGGTTGTGAATAAGGTACTTGTAGTCCAGATGATGACAAGTTGCTAGATTCTGGATATTTTTAAAGATAGTGTTATTATGACTGATTAATGATTTCCTATGTGGCATATGACAAAGGAACAAAGGATAACATCAGTGTTTTTGTTCTGAACAACTAGAATAATTTTGTCTTATTTAGTTATATATAGAAGAGAGTGTATAGAGAGGCTTTGTGTGTCTATTAGACCAGAGGAGAACAGTTCAGATTTTATTTCAAGAATAATATAATTTCTTTGTAATAATTCATTGAGCTGCAAAATTATAAGTTATATACTTTTGATATGCATGTGACAACTTCATAAAATATTTAAAAATAAATAAACAAAATAAAAATAAGTCAACAGAAACAAAATAGCATGAAAGAAAACCCAAGAATGAACATGTTAAAATGTATAAGGCCTACAAATAAGATCTGAGATCTTATTAAATATCTAACAATTAAATATGAGTGCTTGTAAATTTGCCAACGAAACTGAATGCAATTCCCACTGAGTTTATGTTAATCTCAAGACTAGATTAAGAACAGCTGGGATGTGGGGAGAAATGGGAAGCATGCCACCTAATTGAGAGGGACAGAGGCATCATGAATAGGATGAAGTGGTAGAAATGCACAGGAAAGTTGGAACCAGAGAAATAGACAAGACTTGGTCCCTACTGCGATAAAGGAGGAAGGAAAAGTGATGTCCCCCTATCTTGCACTGGGACACCTCCAAGACAGTCCTGTCCTTCCCTGAGATGGGAAATGCAGATTGGGCATAGTGGAGAGTTGCGAGAGGTCAACGGTGATCAATAGCTTCTTCCCTTCCTGCTACTTCCTGCAGTCTCTCAGGAAGAAGGTTTAGGAAATAAAAAAACAAAATTAAATAAATAAAAACAATTTAAATAGTCTGTTTATGAAGTACATACATTGTCAAGAATGTTTATTGCCATTGCATATTTTAAATTCTAACAATAATCTTTTACAGCTATAGAACACATTTTTTTCTTAAAAGAGAATGAAAGACAATCCACATAATCATTACTTCTGTAATTAAGCTGACTAAAGAACACGATGCAAAACAAAAATATATTTTAATGCATAATCAGAAGTAAAATTTTAAAGAGGGGAAAGGCATTTAATATAGATTTCACTGATTTCTTCATCTGTAAAAAGAACAATAATATTAAAATAACAGTAATATTAAGTTGGTATTTATAAAATGTATAAAGGCTCATAAAAGCAAAATTGAAGTTTCTCTGGCTTTGTAATTTCAACATTTTCTTTTTGCTGCAACTTAGTATTTCTTAAAATAAGTCTTTGGCAGTCAATAACCTTTTTTAAATAACAGATTTATAATAGGCGTAGGCATTGGAAATAATTCAGGGTCTTTCTTTTGTACTTTATCATTTATATATGTGTATGCCATCTGTGGGGATTCTGATTGTCTGATCAATATTATCTACTGGCACTGTCACTGAAAATTTTTACTTGGTGGTCTTCCTCTGCTTTATGTTGAAAGATCTTTCTTGAGAGGCTTTTTGGAAAATTTGGAGTAAACAAATAGCTAATAATTACATTCATAAACTAAATATGAATTCTGTCTTAAAATGTTTAATAATACATTTTTGGATAGTGAGGACAATAAAAAATAAGACAGCAGATATCATGACTTAATGAACATCAGGCTTTTAAATTATTGGAGCCAGGTATGTACTTAGAGGAATTGTTATCACTGCTTTAATTGTGAGTTTAAATTATGCACAGTTACTGATTCCTACTCAGTAGACATATAGATTTGCCAAAAAAGTAAAACAAGCTTTGCTATTTTCTTGCAATGCATAGTATATAATTAAAATTTAGACTGATTTTGGAAGGAAAAAAAATAAGAACATCGAATTATGGTGTTGATTTCTTGTATCCCTGGATTGCCTTGTTGCACAACTGTGGCTTCTAGCCCAGCAGCATCGGCATCACCTGGAATCTGTTGGAAATGCAGAATTTCAGTCTCCACTGCGGACCCGCTGAATTGAATCTGCAGGCCAGAAAAATCCTTGGGTGATTTTCCTGCCAATCAGAGCACTGGAGAGAAAGGGGAGGGGAGGAGAGAGAAAAATGAGAGAGGTGGGGAAGGAGGAAGAGGGAAGGAGAGAGACAGAAAGGGAGGAGAGGAGAATGGAGGGGAGGGAAGGGGAGGAGAGGAGAGGAGGGGAGGGGAGGGGAGGAGAGGAGAGGAGATAGGGATGAGTAGAGGAACGGAGGGGGAAAGAGTGGAGGAATGAGATAGGGTAAGGAATTGCAGAGGGATGTGGAGTGAGGAGAAGGGAAGAAGGAGGGCTTGTGGATGTTTTAAGATTATGTTATTTTAACATATATTCTAAAATTGTGGTTCGAAGACAGGGGCAAGTATGAGGGTTGGGTTTTTACAAATGATATGTCTGTACCAACCATCCTAACTCCAATATGGTTATTCTTCTCTCAACTTTAGTAGTAATATTGTAAAATATTATATTGATCATTTTGGGGTCAATTTAATTAACTTTAATTTTCTAAAAGTGGGCTGGTTCTTTCCAGTAGTATTAAATTCACATTTTCTGGAGTATTCATGAAGAAACCAGATAATCACTTGTTTTCTACAACTTACTTCCTCCACATCCTGTTTGCCTCCTTTATTTTAGTAAAATGTACTCAAGACTTTACTCCTATGAAAAGGTGGAAAGCTAATTGGATTTAGACTATTTCTGGAAATGTTCACTTTTATATTTTAGATAAGTCAGGAGGCTAGGTGAGAAATGATTGTACTTGCCAGTACTTGACTGATTTTATTTGCACAGAAAGGAATTTTTTTCTGAAGGAAAAATCCCATTGATATGTAAAAGGATACGGCAATAACAGAATTTAGTGAGTGCTTACTATATTATAGACATATTACATAATCTCATATGCTACTAAAAATTATTAGTTCAGTATGCTAAGCCCTCATTTAACATTGTTGATAGGTTCTTGGAAACTGTGACTTTAAGTGAAATGATGTCTAAGGAAACCAATAGCTAATGGATATAAACAAGAGTTAAATTCTTATGGTATATTTCTGCTCATAAAACCATCACCAAACTTCTAAATAAAGACCAAAACACTTCTAATATTAAACACTGAAATAAATGTGAGTCATACATACATTTAAGAAGGTTAATAAAAACAAGTAAGACAATTGATTACCCAACGATTCCAGTTCAGGGCTGCAGGTGGCCAGAACATGCACATCTCTGGAATGTGAGAGGAAACTGGAGTATCTGGAGAAATGCATGAAGTCAAGGGGGATAATGTGCATATTCCATAGACAGTGGCTCCAGCTGGATTCGGTATACATTTTTCTCATCAACGTTGTAACAAAACGACGTTTAACTAAATGATGTTATGTGAACACCTGCTGTACTAGCATTTTCCCAGTGCTGTTTGAGAAAACACCAGAGAAACAATTTGCCTTGAGCTACATTCTTTTTAATTAATGAACCTGAAATTTTTAACCTATTGTAGCTTATTCTAGCATTAATTCTATTTTATCTGATTCCAGATCCATATTATTTAACCACTAAACCAATATACTCTACTATCTATTACGCATATTTTTGTCTGAGTTTATGGAATATTTTATAACAAAACAATTTAGAGCTCATTTGTTACATCCAGGGTAAATCATAAGTTACCTGTATCCATGAATGGTGTACACAAAACAGGTATATTGATCACCAGAAAACCAGGGAGTCTATTCTATAGTTAGGTGTTTAATATGAACGTTGTTTTGATCATATTCATGGTCATTTAAATGCTAAGGAAAAATAGAAAAACACAGTTTCAATTAATAAATATTTTTGGTTAATAATAAAAACTTTTCATAAAAGTTTTTTTGCTAGTTAAAATAAATGAGAATCCAATTATATTTTGAAATAGAAACCACAGTAAAACATTATAAGTAAAACTAGCCAATACATTTATAAAATATTAAATTCAACGTTGAATGCTAATTGAATGCTAATGAAATGTTGATAGAACTATTCCAAGAGAAATACTTCCACTTTCTCATAGTCAAAAGAGTTAGATACTTGGATATGACAATAATACTATTTTATTATTCAAATAATGTAATTAATTTTCTCACTAATTAATTAATTACCATTTTATTTTTATTATTTTCCCAAAAACTTTCTATTATTATTTCAGGGTTTTGAATGTGTCATGTATGCATAAAATAATTCGTGTGAAAGTGTTGAAACTGAGTGGGAAGCATTAAATTGTATATATAAAGGCTACTTGCTTGAAAACGACCCTCTGTTTCAATTTATTTAGAAGTGGTGGCTTATTTCCTGTTAAATGACTTAATAATAATGTTAACATGAAGAAAGATTTTTGAGTGATTAAGCTATGCCAAATTCTTTACAATATTCTTTCATCAATTCTATATATGAATTTGTAAGATTCTAAGTCATTACCTTCTTTTTTTTGAAGATGAGGAAATCTGAGGCTTAAAGGAGTTAGGCAGAGTTTTAGGATGTGGGAAATTTGGGATTAAGACCCATATGAAGAGCAACCCATAACCTCCATATTGCATATTTATTTGGTCCTTCTATTTGGATTGAGACTAATTCTACTCTCCCTCCCTATGTAGATGGAGGTTAATTTCTCATGAATTATATGTCACTGTTTTCATATATCTAAAATAATTTATGAAATCATACTTTAGTTATTCATGCTGTAGGCAAGAAAAGTTTAAATCATTTTAAATCATTAATAATTCCTCTGACATCTCCATGTATAATCTTTGATTTACCATTTTATTATCTTTTATGATCGGCTCAAAGTTGCTGGATTTCTTTGATCCTTAGGTGCATGTTTTTCATATTTAAATATCCTCAACTCACGATCTATCTAATAATAGATGTCTCCTTACTGTGTTTAGATTAAGTTTTAAAAATAGTGAATTTTTTATTAAATTCACATTTTAATGTCCTGTAAAATATTACATCAGATTTTGCATTGAAACAAAAGAAATGTGTAAAAAGAAAAGCACAGGAAGAGAGTGGCAGGATGTAATTTTGATTTTAGTGAGAATATATTTATTGTCCAAGTAATGAAAGCAATGCTGTACTTTCACACAGTGAAAGAGATAAACACCCCTAAGAAAAGAAGCTGCATTGTTTTGTGATTGAGATGTATAGAGAAGTTTTATTTCACATGGCAAGCAATGAACAGGAAGGGGAAAAAATAATGAAATGTTTTGGAAAAAAGAAATACATTTCAAAGCAATGAGATATATGACCCAACCCTACACAGACATATATATTGACAATGTACTATTGATACTTCTTTTGGGCTTTTGAACTTCACATTTTTCTTAGTAGTATGATAAGTAAATCTTAGATAATATTTAATATTAGCATCGTCATGCACAGTGCTTATGCTGTGTATTATTTTTATAACTCCTTAACCTACTTTCCCCTTCACAAATCATTGAATTTTAATTAATCAATGGTTTATTTAAGATACAATCAGTATAGCTTTCCACAAGAAACTTTACTGCCATTCTTTGAATAACTTCTCCTCTGGCACATATATAAAGAGAACAGAGGGAATAAAGTTGTTGCTAACAAAATTACCTTATTTCCAAGATTAATGATAAGCAAATAATTCTTCTGAAAGGATCTAATGCCTAGATTTACAGCTATATAAACTCTTTAAAAAACTCAGGGCCTGTTATCTTTAAACAAACCAGTCTTTTCATCTCAGCACCACTAGTAATTTATATGGTTACTCAAAGAATTAATGGCTTTCATATCCTTTATCATTTCGAGAAGTTTTTAATCTCCTCTATTATAAAAAAGGGATCACAGCATGAGAGATTTGCAGTATTCTTTGTAGATGTCTTCTTTATCTCTTTAATTTAAAAAAGAGATATTCCAGACTGCTAAAAAGCAATGTTTGTCAATATAAATACAGTGAACGTTTCCTTTGTAGAATAGTAGAATTGCTTTTGTACTTTTATTGGAAAAATAAATCTTAAATATATGATTCACTTATTTAAATACTTTATTCTCCTCGTTAAACTTGTGCATGAGACACAGTGATTCACTTGCAGAATTTCAGGAGGACAGAGATGACTATGACATGATCCCTTTTACTGCTGTGTAGAAAACACATTAGGAGGATGTGGAAGACATAAGAAAGGAGAGGTTAGGAGGTGAAGGTGATTGTGATAATCAGTGAGAGATTATGGTGGTTTGTATATGATAGTGATAGGGAGGGATGGCAAAAAATGAATAAGACCTACTTGATAGCACAATAGTCAGTAATAACTTAATTGTATATTTTAAAATAACTTAAAGAATGTAATTGGATTATTTGTAATTCAAAAGGTAAATGCTTGAGGGAATGCATACTCTATTCTCCATGATGTGCTTATTTCACATTGCATGCCTGTATCAAAACATCTCACGTACCCCATAATATATACATCTACTATGTATCCACAAAAATTAAAACAAAGAAATGTTTGGATTCTAGATGTATGTTGAAGTTGGCATTTCCAAAATACTTTGTCATGTCAGCTATTGGAGTTTAGAAAAAGAGTATAATCAAGAAAGACTTTTAAGTGTTTTGCTTGCACAACTGAAGGACTCAAGTTTTGAGTTACTAAGAGGAGGAAGATAGCAGTAGGGAGAGATCCTATGGGGAGGTAATCAGTAGTGGAGTATTAGACAAGCGTTATATTTAAGTTGTTTACTGGACGGCTAAGTAAAAAGGTGTAAATATAGTAATGATTCCATGTTTAATGTTTTGACAAATTGACAAATTGTTTTTCAAAGCAGCAAAGCAGCTATACTATTGTATATTCTCACTAGCAATGTATGAGGGTTCTGATATCTTCAGATCCTCATCAACACTTGTTTTCTGACTATTTTATTCTAACCGTGTTTGTAGGTGTGTGAAGTGATATCTCACTGTGATTTCTATTTGCATTTCCCTGATGACTAATGATGTCGAGCATCTTTTTGTGCTTATTGACGATTTGTATATCTTGTCATGAGAAATGTCTGTTGAAATCTTTTGCCCATTTTTAAATGGTGTTATTTGTAAGAATTCTTTATATTCTGAATACAAGTCCTTTATTTGATATATGATTTGTAAATATTTTCTTTCATTATATGTGGATTGTCTTTGCATTTTCTTGATGGTGCTTTTTTGATGCACAAAAGTTTGAAATATGTATTGAGTTCCAATTTATCTATTTTTTATTTTGCCATTTGTGTTTTTGGTGTAATATCTGAAAACCCTGTGTAATTCATGGTTGTGAAGATTTAATCTTGTGCTTTAAACCAAAAGTTTTTATAATTTTTATATTTTTTAAAATAATTTTTATAATTTTATAATTTTCACTCTTACATTTAGGTCTATAATCCATTTTTATTAATGATTGATAGGTAGGGTTTCAACTTAATTATTTTGCATGTAGATGTCCAATTGTCCCAGTACTATTTTTTGAAAAAAAATTCTTTCCCCATTGAATTTCTTTGCATTCTTACTGAAATTCAGTTGACTGTAAGCGTAAAGGCTCATTTCTAGACTCTCCATTCTAATCCAATGTTCAGATGTATATATGTTCAAGGTGTGAGTATTTTATTGCTTATTTGTGGCTTGTCTTTTTGCTATCTTTACAGAATACGCTGATGAACAGATATTCTTAATTTCAACACAGTCAAAATCATCACTAGTTTACTTCAGGTTAGAACTCTTCCTCTACTTAAATGTCATGAAGATATTCTGCAATGTCATATTCTGAAAGACTTTAGTTTTCTCTTTCACATTTGGGTCCATAACAACCGTAGAGTTGAATTTTGACCTGATATTGAGTAGAAATCCAATTTAATTTTTTTCCATATTTATAACTAATTGGTTATGGTATTACCATGAAAAAAACTGCAGCACTAACCCTTTCATAAATTGTGTCCCTATGCATGAGACTGTTTTTATGTTTGTTTTTCTGTGCCATTGTTTTTTTGTTTGTCTTTTCAATACCAGAGTTTTAATTAGTTATAGATTTATAATAACTCTTGTTATCTTCTAGAATAGGCCCTTCAAACATGCATTTGTTTAAGTTTATTGATTTTTCCAGGTTCTTTGATTTTATCTGACAATGTAGAAATCATATTGTCAATTTTCGAATACTGGTTTGAATTTCTGAAACATATTATTGTATCTACATTATCAAAGTTCCCAATCCATGAACATAGGATCTGCATTTTTTTGATGTCTACTTTACCAAAGTTTTATAAACTTTCCCACAGAAGTCATGCCCTTCTTTTGTTGGATCCCCCACCCCTAGATTCTTGATAATGTTTGATGAAAAGGAACATAAAAAATGTTATTTTGGAACACTTACAAATTTAGGTAAAATTTACATACTGTAAAACATATACAATATCAGTGTACAGCTCATTAAAATATTACATTTTTATAAATCCATGTATTTGCTTAGGTCCAAGATATAAACCAATTCCTTTCCCCAAGATCACCGTCAGTTTTCTAAAGTGATTGTGTCATCTACGCATCTACTGGTTTTAGTTCCAGTTAGTTCAAAATTTTATCAACATATGGTGCCATTAGTTTTTGCCATTGTGACAAATGTGTAGAAGTAACACATTTGTCAGGACATCATCCTGTACAGGGCTGTTCCCACCTTGTGCCCTAAGCTGCTAGGATAGTCTCTCACCATTGAAACTGAAATAAACAAGTTGGAAAATGAATGAATGAATGAAGACAAATTATTGAAAAATAAAAATTGTAAAGGATATAAAATAAAAATGGTAAAAGATCATATAAATGCACAACAACAGACAGTGTGGTCCAAAAGAGCTCAGCAAGACCATCACATTAATTATTGTTTGTTTTTGAACTGCATGGTGGTAGGTCGGAGGTGCTCCTTACAATTTTTGTTTTGCAGACATTTACATTTTGATCTAACCTACCACCACCATGACTGCCATTGCTCATTGACTCACCAAAAATTGGGTAAATGATTTTCTTATTTGTTTTTATTAATCTTTCTTAAATTTATGTATAGCTTACATTTATTTCAATGTTTTCGTGACCAGAAATATGCCATGGGAACTTTACACTTTTTTTCTTCTATCAATTA